>NC_000022.11:27459564-28709564 GCF_000001405.40 Homo sapiens
CACCTGACACAGGACCCAGGGTTGGTCTAGGAAATATTTGTTAACTAAGACATAAAATATTCTTGTGTTGAACTCTTCCTGGGCACCAGACCCCGCACCTATTTCCTGCTGACTTTTCAGACATCATTGCACCCACTTTACAGATGGGGAGGTAGAACTCACTTCCCCCAAGGTCACTGTATTCACTATCTATGCCAAGTAACAAATTACCTCAAAGCAGAGATGCTTGAAACAACAGCACGGGTATCTCATGATTTCTGTAGGTCAGCCATCGAGGTTTACCTGGCTCCTCTGTTTTAGGGTCTCTCAGAGTCTACCATTAAGGTCTGGGGCTGCAGTATCATCCTAATAGGCTTGGCTGGAACAGGACATGACTTAAACTCACTCACTTGCTTGCTGGCAGAATTCGATTTCTTGCAGATTGTAGGACTGAGGGTCCTGCAGGAACTGGGACAGTTCCTGGTCACACAGGCATCTCCAATGTAGCAGCTTCCTTCTTCCAAGTGTGCAGGTGACAGAGAGAGAGAGACAGAGGCAGAGACAGAGAGAACAAGAAGGAATTCATGGTCTTTTTTAGCTTAATCTCGGAATTAACATGTCAGCACTTATGCAGTATTCTATTCTTTAGGAGGAAGTCACCAGGTCCAGCTCACAGTTAAAGGGAGGGAATACCATGATGTGAATACCAGCACGTGGGACCATTGACAGCCACATCAGAACCTGCCTGCCACAATCATTACTAAGGATCTGAACCCAGGCAGTGTGGTCTTTCTCAACGCCACAGAGTCTCTCTGACATAAGGGAGTGTGGACAGACCTCAAGGGTTGAAGAGGGTACCCTACGCTGAAAGAGAACGAAAAAGCCATTTCCTACTACCTGAGCTTTCCTCATTGCATGGAAATAATGGAAAGGAAAGAACAGAAGATTTTTTAAAAAACGTAAAAAGAATATAGGAAGCTACCAGCTTTCTCCAAGCAGCCTCAAAGACTGAAAAAAGAAAGCAAAAAAAGAAAGAAAGAAAATAGAAAACTACCAACTCTTCCAAGAAGCCTCAAAGACCAAGCAAACTGGCAGCATCTCGGAGTCACTTGGGCTGCCAAGAGGCTGCGACTTTTGGATCTGGAGAGATCTAAATACCAATCAGCTGATCCGAGGAACATTTTCCTCATTTCTTCCAGCATCTGCAAGCTGCTTTCGGGCCAAGAATGCTTCAGTTGGAGAAAGGGCTGTGTAGATTTGCCAGTGGCTGGCTGTCCCTGCAACTCCAGGTCCATCCTTATCCCAGTCTTTGGGATGGCTGACTCTGTGCTCACAGCTTAGGGAACAGGGACACATTGAATAGAAGCAAGAGAAGCAGAGACCATTGTGTTCCCACAAGAATGAAACAATCCATTAACCCTTTTGTTCCTGAGGTCGCAGGGCCAGGATCAGAGTGACCATTGACATAAACCTATAGGTTTGCCACACTCTTCTTTGGGATTTGTAATTATGACTAAGGTCCACTTCCCCTCTCTGGACTTCTATTTTCTCATCTATAAAATGACATTGACTCATGTTGTACCACCAACCTTGGAAGGAAGTTCCTCTGTAAGCTTGACAAACTCCTACTCATTCCTCAAAACCCCAACCAAAATATCCTTTCCCCCGAACCCAGGTAGGAAGTATAATAGTAGTTCATTTGTCTTATGATTCTCATAGTAATAATAAAAGCTAATATTACTGGAATGCCTACTATGTGCCAGTCATTGTTCTAAGTGCCTTACATAATTTAAATAATTTGATCCTCACATTGACCCACGAGGCAGGTGTCGCCATTACCTCTATTTGCCGATGAGGACATTGAGACTCAGAGGTTAAGTGACTTGCCCAGGGTTACCCAGTTAGTAAGTGGCACCAACAGTATTTGAACCCTGCTCTGGCTCAAGTCTGGCTTAAAACCGGTCTGCCCTCAGCAATCAGGGTCCTGGCCACCTTGCCTGGGTGGTTGATATTTGGGGATGGGTGTACTCTGTAGGACTGTGAGCTCCTGGAGAATGAGGTTGGAATGCCTGCTATGCAGCAGGCATTGTTTAACTCTGAGTCTCTCCTCCCAGCCCTGGGAACCACGCTGACTCCCAGGGCTTCTGGTCTCATTTGTCACACTTGCCTCTTCCTCAAGCAGAGTCCTTGGAGGAGCTGGGGGAGGTGTGTCGTGATGTGAGCAGCTCTGAAACCTTAAGCCATTCCTCTGACCCATCAGTGCACAAGCCAGGACCCAGAACATTGAAGAGAAAGTTCACACTGGTGTGTACAGGGCCCAGAAGCTGATGGCCAAGATGGCTTCTTCTAATTGAGTGGGGATGTTGAGGCAGAGATGCAGGGGCAGAAAGCAGGGAGAAGGAGACACATTGAAGGAGACACACACAGGGACCAACACAAGACAGAAATGTTGAGAAAGACAGAGACGCAGAAGGAAGAGACAAATGTCACAGGAGAGACAGGGACAGAGACAAGGAGAAAGAGGGAGAGAGAGAGAGATATGCAGGTAGAAACCCACAGGTGGAAGAGGGAGAGAATGAGTTGGAAAGGGGAAGGGTATAGAGGGGACAGATGGAGAGGGCCATGCACAGGGACAAAGGACAGAAACAGAAAGAGGGAGAGAGACAGACAGGGAGACAGAGGGAAAGAAACCCAGGGGGACAGAGACGACCCAGAAGCCAAGACTGCAAGAGAGACGAGCTGGGCTCAGAGGCAGAGAGGATCCAGAGGACAGCCTGGCCAGGAGGGCCAGGGCACAGGGGACCGGGCTTGCGGACACCCCTCGTCACTGTTCCATCTCATCACCCTCGCTATTGATTCCTGAACAAACACTGGCTTTGTTGGCCAAACAAAACCAGGCTGAGTCTGGGCTGGGATCTCTTTTGTGTGGCAACTGTTGCCATGTGGAAAGAAAACCAGATCTAAATGATTCCACGTTTTTCCCTGTTCCTCCTGGTTCCTGGTCTTGGCAGGCAGGAGCTGGGGAGGAGGTGAGATGTGCAGCCCCTGCGCAGGAGGGGGCAGGAAGGTAAGGGTGCAGAACTCCTGCTTCTGGAAAAATAAAATGTTCCTCTAGCTCTTCTTCTTTTCTTTCTTTCTTTTCTTTTTTTTTTAATCACAGCCAAGCCCATCACACATCCAAGAGATTTTTTTTTTTTAGGGAAAACAAATCTTTTGAGACAGAGGTGACTCCGGCAGTGATAAGTGAGGAGGTTCACCTGCAAGAGTGTTATCAGCGCTCCATGGCTGCCCAGACCGCAGATTTCTCATTTTGATGAGGATCCGGCGGAATTGGATGCACCCCGGTGGTGCTCCTCTGATGAGCTTCCATGTGCAGGGACGGCAAGGGCGACTGCTGGGCCTCGTCGTCAGAGGTTGAGGGGTTTCCAGGGAGGCTGGGGGAGGCTGCAAGAAGCCTTAGGGGCTGTGCCAACTCCTTGGGGAACCCAGAGCCCCCAATTTCACCAGGCACATCCAGCAGAGGCTGAGGCAGGGAGGGTGAAGCAAGACCCAGGAAGGGGAGGGATTTCCAGAGTGACTTTCTCTTGCACCTTTTTATTTCTGTCACTTCTTCCCCAGCCTGTCCTCCATCTCCCGTGCTCAGTGTTAGAAAAGGGACCTTCCTGGTTGAGGAAGACATAGATGCCTACTGAGTCAGCTCCGCGACCAGGGCTGTGAACCCAGCCCTTTTTCTGGGCCAAGTGGCCTCAAATCCGTCTTCTTGTTTCATTCTTTCAACATCGCTTCAGGGGTTGGCAAACTCATGCTGTAAAGGGCCAGATAGTAAATATGTTCAGCTTTACATGCCACACGGCCTCTGTCACAACTGCCCAACTCTCTCACTGTAACACGAAAAACGTCGCAGACAATATGTAAATAAGCGTGTGGCCATGTTCCAATAGAACTTGATGTACAAAAGAAGATGGCAGGCCCACGGGCTGAAGTTTGCCAACCACTGATCTAGGCTAAGCCTCAACTACTCAAGATGCGGTCCCCAAACTTGGAGCCTCGGTGTCCCCAGGCACTTGTTTGAAATGCAGAACCCCAGGCACTGCCCCAGACCTACTGTGTCAGAGCTAGCATTTAACAAATTCCCCAGCAATCGGCGTGTGTGCCTGTCTGAGAAGTCCTGGTCTGTGTAAATGGAAAGCTTGCTGTCTTTTGCATATAAGGCACCATGTCCATCTGCCAAACGAGGAAACAAGCTCATAGAGAGGTCAGTTGCCCAAGGTCATGGGCCAGGAGCAGCAGAGCCAGGGTTTGTGCCCAAGGTCAGAGTCCACACTCTTGACCACCGTGTTGTACAGGAATTGAAGGAGCTTTGTAGAAAGGGACACCAGTCTCTTTCTGAAACCCACAGATAACCCAAGGAATACAGCAAGGCCTTGAAAGAGACAGGATTTTCAGGGGCTGAGGCTGTTCTCAGCCTCTCTCCCACAGGCCAAGTGGTGTCCCGTATAGACTGTGGTGTCTCTCTGTCTCTGTGCAGGGGGAACGCCTGCCTTCCCTGTGTCCCCACCTCCTGCCGGGGTTGTGGCTTCTCCTGCCTGGGGGACTGTGGAGGGTGCCAGGTGCTGAGCTGGAAACAGATGTAAACAGGAGCTTCTGGTCACCCCTAATGAGTGGAGAGTCTAATAGGGGAGGCAGATAGGTGCCAAAGTTGCCAGAGTTCAGGGCTGCTGTTATTGTCCTTATTATCATGACAGTATTCTTATTGCTACTGATAGTATTTTTCTGCCAGACTAACCCCTTCAGAAAATCTAGACTTCCCCCATGTATCTGCCAACACTAAGCCAACTGAATTTCCTTCTTCTAGAAGGGAAAACCAGATAAATACCTTCTCCCTGCTTTATCCATTAGGATGCAGATTAACTTAGAGAAAAGCTAAATATCAGTGGCTTCAATAAGATAGAAGGTTATTTCTCACTCCTGTCACAGAATTCCAGAGGCAGGCAGTCCACCCTCTGGATGGAGCTTCTTTCCTCATGGTACAACACGGCTGCTTCAGCATCAGCCATTCCATTCACATCCCAGACAGGAGGAAGGAGGCAAGGAAGAAGAGGCAAAAGGGTGTCCACCAACTGTGCTTCAAAGAGGTTTCCTTGACACTGTTCTATATCACTCTGCCTGCACCTCATTGACCAAAATTGTAAGTCACCTGGCCACACTGAGCTACAAGGGAGGTTGAGAACTATAACACTGGGAAGAAGAAAACAGATTTGAGGTGGAAAACTCAGTCTCTGCTGCCCTTATCATTTGGAGGGTGGTCTCCCAAAGCAGTCTAGGACTCACCTACTGGAGAATTCTCTTTGAAGGGTCCCAGAGAGGACCAGTAAGGAGGAGCCACCACAGGCATTCAGGTGGCACTTCACAGCATGCCAAGCACACTCTCATCCCTTTATCTTCAGACTGTGCTGGGAAGTACGAGTTGGTAATGAGGGGACCCAGGTTCCAAGAAAGAGAGAGTCTCTTCAAGATCACCCTCTGGCCAGGGACAGGGCTGGCTCCTGGGAGGCCAAGCTCAGGCCACTTTTCAACATAATGTGCCTTGAGCTGTTGAGAATATGTTCATTTCCTTTCTGTTTCTCTGTCTCTCTTGTCTCTGTTTCTCCCTGTTTCCCTGTCTCTGTCTTTCTCTTGACAGATAGATGGATGGATAGATAGACAGCCAGACATATGTGTGTATGTATATATATACTTGTGTATATCTGTATCTCTATCTTCATCTCTGTCTCTCCCTTCTTTCTGCCTTCCCCCACCAAAAAGAATTTTGAATTTCAATTTGCCAAGGCTTACCCTTTCTCAAATAGGGTGCTCCTGATAAACGCAGGCACCTCTGCTTCCTCCTTCCCTGCTAGGGCTCCCATCCATGGTGTCTCTCCCCATCCCTGCTGCTCTCATGTAAATGGGGAGATGGGCCCGGGGAGCTTGGCATCACACAGGGGCCTCTGCTAGGAGGTCCTGGGAGCCAGATGTCTCTGGGCTTTGAGGAGCGTGTCTGAAAGTGCCCTGAGCACCTGGTGCCTTCCCTACAGCTGGGGAGTCAGGAGCTTCCTCTATCAGGGCCTGTGAAAGCAAATGTCTTTAAGACCCCAGTGTGGAGAGGGGGAGAGTGGCCCCTGTAGACAGACATCACCGCACCTTTGTAATTGCCAGGCAGGCATGTGCTGAGACAGACCCATTTCACTAGGGAGAAACTGAGGCTTAGGGGCCACCATGATCGAGTCTCAGCCTTCCTGGCAGAAAGTGGTGAAACCAGGATTTGAACCAGGGCAACTCCGGAGGTCAGTGTCCTCACGGTCCCATTCCAGCCCCATCCCAGGGAGCTGCTGGGTTCTTAAATCCATAGTGAGCTGAGATTCCAGCGAAAGTCCAAATGATGCAGACAAAAGTGGTAGGAGAGGGGTAATTTGCACACGAATACAACCAGGCACCAAGGCCATGCATACACACATGTACACACAGGCATGTGGATGGGCATATGACACACATATACACATGCATGGTCACAAGAAGGCAAACGTATGCGTGCACATGCACACACAGGTGTACACATGGACACAAGCATGAATGCACACACATGCATACATGGGTGCTCACACACGCACACATGTGTGCCTGCTCTCAGGCAGGGACATACAGTTGCTTTGGCCCCAGGTTGGGGGACGGTTTCCACAGATATTCCATTCTGTGATCCCACATTGAAGACTCAATCAAAGGTAGAGGAAAGCCAAGAGCCCAGAACAAGGGTCAGTCCCCCAGCTCTGAATCTTTGATCTGACCTCAGCTCTTCAGACCTCCATGGAGGACTCTTTGGGGTATTTTGCAATCACCCAGCTCAGCCTCCACCCTACAGAACTTCCTTCTGAGTCCAGCCTGTGAGCTGGAATGCACCCAGGGATGGGAAGCTCGTTACATTTCTAAAACCAACCCTAGTGCCAGGTGGCCCCCAACTGTTGTCCAACTGATGATGGATCCTCTCTTGCTAGCCATGTGGCTTAAAAGAAAGCCTCTTCACCTCTCTGTGCCTCAGTTTACATAACCATGAGCAGGGCCATAGTACCCACCACCAACCACTCTGAGGCCCAGAGGAGCAATGAATGTGGCCAGTGTGTCCATGTTAAAGCTTTGGCTGGCTTCAAAAGAGCAGGTAGGGAAGAGGTCAGGTTCAAGAATCAGTCAGACCTGGATTCGAGTCTAAGCTTTGCCACTTGTTAGATGTGAGCGCATAGGTACGTGGCTGTTCCCCTCCAAGTCCTGGTCTCCCCATCTGAAAACAGGGACATCATATGCTGGTGTCTGACACTATGAGGCTTAAATGCCACTGGGCATGTACAGCTCTTCCCCGAAGAGGCAGAACACGTGAGAGTAATTATTCTTCATTATGGCCTCCTCCAAAGCCGTGGGCCCCTCCCTGTCTAGTGCAGGGTGTTCCTGCCTTGGGGAGGGGAGAAGCAGGGGACAGATGCAGCTACAGAGGCCTCTCTTTTGATAGAGAGCTCCATAACCTGGCATGCTAGAATGAGGCCTGGTGACAGCTGCCCTGTCCCAACCCATGAGGGTCTCCAGCCCTCACAAGGCCCGGCTGCCCTCCTGCAGGTGACTAGCTCTGGCCTCTGGCCCCTGGGGCCTTAATTTCTCATGGAGGGTTGGGGTGGTGGCCAGCGGGATTTCACTGCATAGGATGGCTGCCAGCACACATGAGCAAGAGTGTGCAAGAATGCAGTAGGGGACTACCCTCTGAACCAGAAACTCAGGTGGATCCCTGATGTTATCATCCACTCCTGTGTTATCTCCAGCAAGCCTCCATTCTACCCTGGGCCTCAGTTTCCTCATCTCTCCAATGGAGACAAGCAGGCCAACCTCAGTGGGCTGTTGTGAGAATCAAATCCACAAGCAGATGCCTGTGTGCCTGTGCTCAAGACAATACGTCATGATGATTAATTTCAATCGAACCATTTTATAGACAGAATAGCTGAGGCCCAGAGAGGGCAGGTCATTGGTCTATGGCCACACAGCATGCAGGACCCAGCCCACGCCATCCCGTTCTTCATCCCTATTCAGAGAAAGCAAAGAACTTGTTCCATTGACGTCAAGATCTTCAGCACTGGGACCCCATTTCGGACCCTCCAGAACATACACCAAGCCCACTGGGCATTGGATTAACTCTTCCTTTTTGCAAATGATCCCCGACAGAAAATCCTTCCAAAGACAAGGAAAAATATTTCCCCAAAACCTATTTACTTTTCAAATTTCAGTTGCCATAACAACTCGGCACAACTATTTATATGAAATCTTCGCCTTCCAAGTCTTGCTGAGCGCCGTGCTCTGTAAAGAGTTCAACTCGGCCCTTTCAATAACAACACATTTTTTCAATCAATTTGGGTTGGGGATTTTTTTTCTATAAACACACATCAAATATGTTTGCAAAAGTTTTTAAAGCTAACGGGGAAACGCCACATTTTATAGACTCACTCTCCTCTAATCACCCCCGGTAGTTACTTCGTGAAGCATGACAGTGACAAAAACGACTGGTCAGCTTGGTATTTAAAAAAAAAAATCTTTTAAAATTATTTCTGTTCTCGTCATCTGGGGAGTTGATAGAATCCTTGGTGGAGAGACTTGAACACCAGCTTGGGATCTGTCCCTGTCTCTAAAAGACTATGTGTCCCTAGAAAAGTCAGCAGAGGTCTCTGGCCCAGAGAAGGACATATTTTGAGCCAAATAAGCCCCTACCCAAAATTGAGAATGGAGAAGGGGTGCAGAGGCCCTGTGCCTGAGGCATCCTGCAGATGCTCTGGGGCCACAGCAGTCACGTGTTTGGATTTTCAGAGACAATTCCTGTTTCAAATTTTCTGTTCCAGGCTCCTTGTAAGCCTTTGTACAAGCTGTTCCCCTTGCCTGGAATTTCCCCTTTGTCAGCCTGTCGAGCTGACATGAAGGGACCCGTACTTGGTTTCATGCTCGGCCGTTGCTGTCTTGAAATTCTTAATTATTTGTGAACAAGACGCCCCGAGCGTTCGTTTTGCAACTGGCCCCACAGATTCTGCAGTGATACTGGCCAGTCTCTAGTGTGCTGTGTGCTTCAAGTCATTTAATCCAAGACAACCCTTTGAGGTAGGCATTGTTGTGACCTTCATTTTACAGATGAGGAAACTAAGTCCGAAGAGGTGAAAGACCCTCACTGTGCCCATGGTGGCAATACAAGCTGTTGTGCACTTCACTCTGCTCCAGGCACTTCTGTGTTACTTCATCTAAGCCTCATGAGATGGGAAATATTGTGATCCTTGTTTTCCAAAGGCACAGAGAGGTTGGGTAGTTTGCTTAAGGTCACACAGCAAGCAAACGAAGGAGCCATGCTTTCCAGAGAGGCCCATTGGATCTCACCCCAGGGGCCAGCAGTAACTTTCTCAACAGGTCTTGGCCTCCAGGCTAACTCCTTCCAGCCCATTCATGACATGGTGACCAGAACCATCCATCTCCCTTTACCTGACCTCCTGTCATGCCATTTTCTGGCCGCAAATCCTCCTATGGCTCCCAGTGCTCTACAGAAGTATCTAACCTTCTTAGCCTGACCATTGAGACCCTCAGTGACATCACCTCGGCACGCCTCTGCAGCCTCGGTGCCTGCCTGAACTCCTGGCACTTGGTGCTCTTGCTCTCCAGACTACCTGCAGTTAGATCTCTGCACAAAAAGGCTGCTTCTTGAATTGCCAGGTTAGGAACCACTGGTTCCCTAAACAGTGTTTGGCTCATGGGTATTATAGGAAAGAATTGGATAGGTTGCTGGACTTAGGTAAACTGTTCTTTTGGAGCCCCTTCACCCCCATAGCCAGGATGCTAATCCTTCCACTTCCCTCCAAGATGCCTCCTTCTCTATCCCTTGCCAGCCCTCTATCAAGAACCACCACGATTGTTCACACAGATTCCTGTACTACCTTCTCCCCAGCTTCTCCACCTCCACTCATGCCCCTGCAGTTCAACTCTCCAAACTGCAGCTGGAGAAATATTTTTAAAACACAAATCATTTCTAACCATTTCAGTATCTGCTGAATGCCCATCATTCTCAAAATGAATCTCAAAAGCCAACAAGGCCACCACATCCAAGCCCTGCTGACCTTGTTGGCCATGTCCCCATACCCCCAGACACCCCACATGAGGCTGGACCACCTCAGAACTCTGGCTCCCCATGAACCCTTCTTCCTGGCTTGCTGCTCTCCCCCTTCTGCCTCAGCTAAATAGCTCTTCTTCCAGGAAGCTTTCCCTGAGCACAGTTCCTTCCCTCAGCAAAGTCAGGCTTCTCCTGGGCTCCCATAGTCCCCTGTCCTTCCCCGTAAAAACACATATCACACTATTGCAAGCACTGGTCTGCATGGCTGCAACCTGTCCTCCACACGGAGGGTGACTTCCTGAGAGCAGAGGCCATAGTCTGTTCCTCAAGTTACTTTCCATGCTTGGAACATAGGGAGTGCTCAATAAATAGACAGATGGATGCATGCTGGATAGTGGATGGATAGATAACAGGTGAATGGGTGAGTGGATGGATGAGTGGGTGGATAGATGAATGAGTGGATGAATAAATGAATGAATGGGTAGATGGATGGGTGGAAGGATAAATAATGGATGAATGAGTAGATGGATGAGTGGATGAATGCATGGGTGGGTGGGTGGATAGATGAATAAAGGGGATGATGGATGAATGATGGATAGGTGGATGGGTGGATTAATGGATGGATGAGATGGTGGGTGGATGGGTGGATGGATAGATGGATGGATGGGTGGATGGATGGATGGATGATGGATGGATGGATAGATGGATAGATTGATGGGTAGGTAGACAGGTAGATGGGTAGGTGGATGAATGAATGGGTGGATGGATAGATAAACTGAGGAGAAGATGGATGAATGAAGGATAGGTGAATGAGTAGATGAATGGATGCATGGGATTGTGGATGGGTGGATGGATGGGTGGATGAGATGGTGGATGGATGGATGGATGGATGGATGGATAAATTGAGGAGAAGATGGATGAATGACGGATAGGTGGATGAGTAGATGAATGGATGCATGGGATGGTGGATGGGTTGATGGATGGGTGGGTAGATAGATAGGTGGATAAATGTATAGATGTGTGGATGGATGGGTAGATCGTTAGATGAATAAATAGATGGATGGATAGATAAATGGATGGATGGGTGGATGAATGAATAGATAGAAGGATGGCTGTGTAGATGGGTGGACGAAGATATGATGGATGAATGGGTGAATGAATGAATGGATGGATGAGTTGATGGATGGGTGGTTGGGTGGATGGAGGGAGAGATTGATGGGTGGAAGGGTAGATGGGTGGGTAGGTAAGCAGGTAAATGGGTGGGTGGATGAATGGATAAACTGAGTGGATAATGGATGAATGAATGGGCGGGTAGATGGATGGATGAATGGACGGATGAGATGGCGGATCGATGGGTGTGTAGGTGGCTGTATGGCTATATGGATGGGTAGACAGATGGGTGATGAATGATGAACATATAGATAGATAAGAGAGAACCCCAGGAACCACCTTGAGTAGTTAATATTTGGATGTTAAGGTGCTCAAAATTCCTAGCATGTAGTAGGCCAGCAATAAGTGTTTATTGAATTAATGGTTAAATGAATGTCACAGAGCAGCTGGTCATCAACCTTTCATGACCACCTGTTTTCTTCCCTGTTTCCATTCTCTCCACCTCTGCCTCCTAATCTCTCAGGCTCCCATTGCTTCCCACAGTTACCATGTGACTCACAGTGGCCAAATTCCCCGGATTCAGGTCTGCACATTAATTATTGAGTGATATAATCCAAATTTATCTAATGAATTAATAATAGACCATAGGGGTATTTTAACAATGAAATACTTGGAGTTGTGTTTTGATAATTACAGCAGGCTTTCATAATTACACCAAGGCTGTTAAAATAAAATCGAAATCAATGAGGTAGTGTGCAGTGACACCCCAGGAGCGCCCCCTCAAAGCTATGACAAACAGACCGACCAGGAACAGAAAGATCCTTTTAGCTCTGAATCGGGTGACGTCTGGGGGGTTGGGTGGTCAAGATCTTTGCAGGATTGTGGATTTGGGGAGAGATTCTGGGAAGGACAAGAAAAATAACATCCCAGAAATGCATCAGATGTGTGAATCAAAAAGCACCTCAAAGACCAAGAGAAGAAGCCTCTGCTTTTACAGATGAAAAGACCAAGACTGAGAGAGGAGCCATGACTCACCAAGTCAACTTCAAAACAATGGCAGAGCCTAGACCTTGTCTCCGGACTCCTAGTCCAGTGCTCTCTTGGCCCTGGACCATTCATGTGCCCTTCCTCTACCATGACAAAGCTCTCAGTGGTCTGCCTGAGCCCTGGCTATGCCTCCTGTCTCATCCTCTACAGCTCCCCATATGCACAACCAAACCACAATCGTTCATGAACTTAGACTACTCCATGCCTCTCTGCCTTTGCCTATATTGTGCCCTCTGCCTAGGATGCCTTCTCCTCCCTCCCTCCACCTCTGGACATCTGCCTGGAAAACTCCCCCAAGCAGGGATGACATCCTCCTCCTCCGGCCCTCCAGGGCCCCCACTACATAATAAGTGTTCATCTATATCCCCTAAAAGATGGAAAGCTTCAGCCAGATGCAGTGGCTCACACATGTAATGAGCCACTTTGGGAGGCTCAGGTGGGAGGATCGCTTGAGCCCAGGAGTTCAAGACCAGCTGGGCAACACAGTGAGACCCCATCTCTACAAAAAATGAAGAAATTAGCTGGCCATGGTGGTGCATGCCTGTAATACCAGCTACTTGGGAGGGTGAGGCAGGAGGATCATTTGAACCTGGGAGTTTGAAGCTGAAGTGAGCTATGATCGTGCCACCTCACTCTAGTCTGGGTGATAGAGGCGACAGAGTGAGACCATGTCTTTTTTAAAAAACAAACAAACAAAAAAAAGACGGGCAGCTTCTTGAAGGCAGAGATAAGTCCTATTCATTCAGTTTCCCTGGGATGTTAACATGGGGCCTGACAAACAGTTAAATGTATAATACAGACTTGTTTAAGGCCAGATGGTTGGAAGGAGAGGGAGAGAAGAAATGCAGGAAGGGAAAGGAACAAGAAAGTTTGGCTCGGGATTTATTTCCAGAATGTGCTTAACCAAGGCCACCGAAATAATATTTTGATGTAGAAGTGCTAGCTTGGGGACATCTTACTGGATATTTGAGCAACAATGAAATTAGAAACATTAAAGAGAGAGAAACCTTCTCAGGAGGATAAAGAGTGATAATGATGGCAGATTGGTAGATTCTAAACCACCACCCCCACCGCACCCACACACAGGCCTCGTCAAGAAGCCTGGGCTGTTGACCCCAAGGTCCTTCCCTAAGAAGTGTCCTCAGGAAGACACTTGAAAGTGTCAATTATAAATAAAAATAATTAATTTAAAAAAGAAGGCACTTAAACTTGCCACAGACATTGCCCAAAATGGGTCCCCCGTGTGGAAGTGACAAGAGGCAGCTGGGGCTGCAGTTGGTGTGATGATGAGGTTTCTGCAGCCTCCATGGTGACGTCACCACTGGTAACTACAGAAACAACGTCGAACTTCAGGTGTCAGCCTGGCTTAGCCATCTTTGCTGTCTAATGTCAACAGTCAGGTTAGGGGGAGCTGTCTAAATCATAGGAGGAGGTTGGTGAATGTAAAACATCATCACTTCCTCTTCCTCTCCCCTTCCTCCCTCATTTCAACTCCAAACAGGATCTATTGATTTCATCTTCAGGCATTATTCTAAGAGGCAGTGTAGTACTGCAGATAAAAAGTATGGACTTAGAAGCCAGACTTTCAGGGTTCAGCACTGTGGTTCACAAGCTGTGTGACCCTTGGGTGAGTCTCTTAGCTTCTCTGTGCCTCAGGGTTGCTGGGGGGATTAATGGGTTGATTTGCCTAAATGCTGGATTAAGGGATATCTGCTATTCTTACCTCCTCTGCTAAGAGCACCTTGACTTGCACTGCCCTCCCTGGCTCTTAATGTGGATTGGGTGGCACGGGACCCACCCACCAGCTCAGGGACTTAGTTAGGCACAGCCCCTACAACTGGCCAATCAGCTGAGTCCATTCCTCCGGCTACAATGATTGGTCAGAATCAAGCCCTTGACTGAAACCAACCAGTCACAGCTAATGAGATTAATCATCAATGAATATTAGCTAGTGTTACTGCTCCATTATTGTGGCAAATGTTAACTCCATCCCCCACCCACAGCCGGGTCTTGGTAGGGAGAGGGTGAAATGATGGACTAGGAGAGATTTGGGTTCCTTGGACAGATCTTGCCTTTTCCAGCAAGGTTGGGTTACATGCCCTCTCTCTCTCAGCTCCTGGAATTCCCCCTTGGCTTGCTACTGTTCTGAGATGAAGTAAACTGGGTGATTCTAAGAATGGGCCTTGAGTCTGGCAAACCCATCTGTTTCTTCCTAGCTATGGGCCCCTGGCCCTCACCTCCCGCTTCTCAGTTTCTTCACCTGGAAAATGAAGATGACTAAGGAACCTGGGCCTTGGAAGGTTCTGGGAATTCAGTGGAGTCAGGTATGCCCGGGGCTGGCACAAAGGTGGGGCTCCAGAAGAGATGCTAGCTGTGAATAACATGCCCGTCACTGCCTTCTGTTGTAACTGGCTGTGAAACGTCTGTCTTCTGCCAGACTAGGCTTCTAAGGTAGGGATGGGTTTGCTCATCATTGTGTCCGTAGCATACTGTGCAAGGCTAGACATGGAGTGGGAAGGAATGAATGAACGAACAGCAGGAGGGAGGGCAGAGGAAGGGAGAGACAAAGAGAAAAACCACAAGTCTCTCTCTTTTTTTTTTTTTTCTTGAGACGGAGTCTCACTCTGTCTCGCCCAGGCTGGAGTGCAATGGTGCGGATCTTGGCGCTCTGCATCCTCTGTCTCCCAGGTTCAAGTGATTCTCCTGTCTCACCCTCCTGAGTAGCTGGGACTACAGACGTGTGCCACCACACCCGGCTAATTTTTTATTTTTAGTAGAGACAGGGTTTCACCATGTTGGCCAGGCTGGTCTGAAACTCGTGACCTCAGGTGATCCACCCACCTTGGCCTCCCAAAGTGCTGGGATTACAAGCATGAGCCACTGTGCCCAGCTGAAAAACCACAAGTCTCCTGATGATGCTGGAAAGCCCAGCTACTCCAGCATCAAAGAGTGTTCAAAATGGGAGACTCAAGACCAGCTTGAAGCCCTTCACTCTGCAGAGATGGAGCCCAGAGAGGCCACGTGACTTCCCCAGGGACACACAGCAGGGTGTGATGGGACAGGCTCCAGAAAAGAGTGCTTCCTTCAGCTCCCTTGCAGCCTGTCTCTAACTCCCAGGCATTGGGGCCTGCTTTACCTGCCCAGCCCTCTCCCCCCTCCTCTTCACCTGGGGCCAGTCCCAACACGGGGTGCCTCTTCCTGTCTGCAGACAACACCAACCCCCAAGCCAGGTGCTCCCTCAGGTATCTCTTCCCTAAGTGGGCTGGGCTCCTCCGATGGAAAATATCCTCAGGGCTTCAGGCTGGAAGGAGTGAGATGACTCAGGGCCAGGTGGGAGAAGCTCAGGGAGAAGGAGGCTGGGGGCGCAGATGGAGGGAGTTCTTTGTAAATGAGTCAGAAAAAGAAGCCTCTCTCCGGATAATACCAAGAATCTATTGGCCCGAACTCAAGTATGCAGGACATGAATGTTAGTTTCCTGTAACTGAACTTGCAGCACCGTAGCCTCACTAGCTAAGTTCTGATCCCACCTGCCGTTCACCTGGCCTCTTAGAGCGACTGTGACACGCAGCCTCCTTCTGTGCCTTCCTCTGCCTGCCCCTCCTGGGAAGTCTGTCTCTGGTTCAGAGGTGGGAGAGGGGTCTCTCATCCCCGGTTCTTCCCCGCCTGTTGTTTATATCCAAGCTTCTGCTTTTTGAAGTTGATTATTCCCTCCTCGAGGTGATAAATGCAAACTACTTCCCGCCCTGATGGGGGGAAGGACAGGGGTTATATAGGAAGGAACAACTTTGCTTCATGTTTCAAGGATTCTTCAAGGAGAATTCCCTTCCTGATTGGGGTGTGGGTTGCCCCAAAGCACATCCTGCAAAAAGAACTGCAGTGTGTGGGGAGGTGAGAGGGTGAGGGAGTGAAGCCCGGAAGGGAAGCTTCATTAGCAAGCAAGGTTCCAATGTGGGCAGCTGGGGCACCTGAGTCCAGGGCCTCATATGACTATGTCCCAGTTCCTGGGGTTGAATTGAATGCCAGGAACCCCTTTCTCCTTGACCTGTTCCTCAAAGGGCTTCATCTGCCTCTCTGTGCCCTCTCTCGCCTGCGAGCAGGAATGAGTTTTAAACTCACAAGCGGCCCGGCACAGCAGCTCACACCTGTAATCCTGGCACTTTAGGAGGTGGAGGTGGGCCAATCACGAGGTCAGGAGATCAAAACCATCCTGGCTAACACAGTGAAACCCTGTCTCTCCTCTGGGAGCCAACATGGGACATGGCTGGGAGTTGTCTCACCCAAGGATCAAAGGAGCTGGGGTGTTTATCCTGCAGCCCCCGTAGGCTCTGCCATGGGCTGAGGGGTACTGCCCGGGGCATTAACTCCCTGGCACTTCATTGTGTTGGAAGCCATGGAGTGGGCCCACATGGGGATGGTGAGAGCCCAGGAGGAATGGGTGGGCACCAACAGCCTCTGCTACATTCACATGTGTAATATGGGGGTACAAATATTCTCATTTGCATATGGGGGTAGTTCATATGCTCATGTATGCTAGCAGCATGACCTGCACACACCAGTGCTACCCCCATCTTACAAATGAGGCAGTTGAGGCCTCGCTTACGTAAGTGCCTCACTGATAAAGGCAGAGAGGGTCAGAGATCCAGGTCTTTGGCATCTATATCTAAGAGAACCTGCTCTGTGTGATCTCAGGCCCAGAGTCCAAACCCTCGCCTGCCTCCTCTCGGCTTTATTTTTCTGGGCTGTAGATTTCACTTCCTTTTAGCCTCATTGTTTTCCTCCGCAAAGTGGGGACAGGATCGTCCCCCCTCGCAAGGCTGATGCGAAGATACAAGATAATGCGTGCACACGTGTTGTGGACCGGGCCTAGCACACTTTATGTGCTCCATAATCATTCCCCTCCCACCCTCTTCTCGGCCTCATTCTGCCACCAAGTCCCTCTGGGACTTTGGGCCAGTCCTCTGTTCAATTCAGTGAACATTTTCAGAGCCTCTGAATGTTCCATGGTTGTGGCTGCATGTGAGTCAGGCTGGCCACATCCAAGTCAGCAGTGAATCACCTGAGACGGGAGGTGGGGCGAGGCCCCATGGCGTTGTCCCGTGGGAAGGTCAGAGACAGCAGACAGAAGCAGGGACGACAGACACAGTCCGGAGGGCTGTAAGCTAGGGGTGGTGGGATCAGGTTTCTGAAACTTCCTCCACTGCCGTGTGGATGCAAGGCAGAAGCTGGCCCAGGAGGGTCACTTAGAAGGCCACCTCTTAAAACAGAGATGAGCAAAGACAACGGCTGACCTGGGGCAGGGGAATTAGGGGTGGGGGAAGGGGAGAGGAGATGCTGCCTGGGCTGGGGGCTGTCTTTCATGAGGCAGCCAGAGGAGCCAAGGATGGCCTCTGAATGGGAGGCTGGGGCTG
Organism: Homo sapiens; assembly: GCF_000001405.40. Lineage (NCBI taxonomy): Eukaryota > Metazoa > Chordata > Mammalia > Primates > Hominidae > Homo > Homo sapiens. The sequence goes on from NC_000022.11 coordinate 27,477,259, forward strand.
AGTCCAGCCATCCCAGGACCTCCGGTGTGTGACTCCTGGACATACCAGTCTTTGCCATCCTAGCCCAGGCTGTCCCCACATCCAAAGCTCCCCCTGTGGTCCCACCCCTGCTGCCCTTCAGAGCTGCGACCATGGCCCTCAGGCCTGTCCACCGCCCTCGGCAACATCATGGCTAACCTGGGCTCCACACATTTCTTCCATCAGCAGACAGTGCCCCTCCGGGGGAAGCTCTGAGACCCAGCACCTATCGGGAAAAACTCAAAGGTCCAGGCGCTGAATCTAAGCCAGGTAAAAATATAGATAAAGAGTGCTGGGAAGGAGCTTTTTTGAAAACACACCCACCCAGCCCCTGGGGTTGAATTCAATGCCAGGAGCCACTTTCTCCTTGACCTGATCCTCAAAGGGCTTCATCTGCCTCTCTGTGCCCTCTCTTGCCTGTGGGCAGGGATGAGTTTTAAACTCACAAGCAGCCGGGCACGGTCTCTCATGCCTGTAATCCCAGCACTTTGGGAGGCCGAGGCGGGTGGATCACGAGGTCAGGAGATCAAGACCATCCTCGCTAACACAGTGAAACCCCATCTCTACTAAAAATACAAAAAAAAAAAAAAATCAGCCGGGCGTGGTGGCACATGCCTGTAATCCCAGCTACTCGAAAGGCTGAGGCAGGAGAATCACTTGAACCCAGGAGGTGGAGGTTGCAGTGAGCCGAGATCGCACCACTGCAGTCCAGCCTGGGCAACAGAGTGAGACTCCATCTCATTCAGATCAACAGGGGATGGTTGGAGTGTCCCAAGTCGGAATGTGGCTCCAGCAAAGAAGAAGACAACACTTGAGAGGTGGCTTCAAAATACACAACACAATGGCAGCATTCAAAGCAACAGTCACTGTTTTTTTGGTGTTGGGCCATTTTGGTTTGGTTTGGTTCAGTTCGGTTCGGTTTGGTTCAGATTGGTTTGGTTTGGTTTGGTTTGGATTGGTTTGGTTTGGTTTGGTTTGGTTTGGTTTGGTTTGGTTTGGTTTGGATTGGTTTGGTTTGGTGTGGTTTGGTTTGGTTTGGATTGGTTTGGTTTGGATGGGTTTGGTTTGGTTTGGTTTGGTTTGGATTGGTTTGGTTTGGATTGGTTTGGTTTGGTTTGGTTTGGATTGGTTTGGTTTGGTTTGGGTTGGTTTGGTTTGGTTTGGTTTGGTTTGCATTGGTTTGGTTTGGTTTGGATTGGTTTGGTTTGGTTTGGTTTGGTTTGGTTTGGTTTGGTTTGGTTTGGTTTGGATTGGTTTGGTTTGGTTTGGTTTGGTTTGGATTGGTTTGGTTTGGATTGGTTTGGATGGGAAATTTTTTTTTTTTTTTTTTTTTGCAGCTGTATCAGGGGGTCCAGAAAGGAAGGCAATGGGGATTCCTCTACTTGGGGAACTCTGCCTAGAGGGTGGGTAGATTTTCCAGGGATAGGATGGTCCCAGCCCCTGACAGATGCCAAGTTGAAGACAAGGGCACTGCTCGGAGGCCAGGTGTCTCCCTGACTGGGGAGGTCCTCCTGACTTGAGTCCAGGGCCTCATATGACTATGTCTAAGCACCTGTGACACACCTGGAGCAACACCCAGGAAGGCAGAGGGGAGGGCGAGAACCTGGTATTGACTGCCAAGTGCATGGCACAATGGACCAGGAGGAGGACGGTGGGGAGGAGGAGAGGGAGGAAGAAGGAAGAAGAAAACAGCAGGGAGGCAAACTGAGGCCCAAGGCCGTAAGGTGACAGCCAGGAATTTAGGTTCCCTAATTCTCAGCCTTTTATCCTCATTGCTTCTTTAGACTTTGGGTGGAACGTACGGGAAAAGATAATTGATGCTGCTGAAATAAAGTCAATAAAATTCTCTCTCTCTCCCTCTCCCTCCCCCCATCATTTAATGAGCACTTACTACATGTCAGGCACACTGACCCCCTCCACCTCTTTCAAGCCTCACCATTATTGTGTGAAGCAGTGGTCACAAGCCCCCGTTTCCAGGTGAGGAGCTGAGGCTGAGTGTGTTTCAGGCGCTTAACCAGAGGCCCACACCAAGCAGGTGGCCGAGCCATCCTTGCGGAGTCCCCCCGACTCCCTCCTTGCAGGAACTACTGAACTCCCCTGGCAGCAGCGGTACTGGGAGTCTGTCTGCCCCCCAGGAGACAGGCACAGGGGCTGGGCCCACAGAGAAATGGGGCCTGACTCCCCAGCCCCCTGTCACCATCCTGACGTTTCTCTATCTCCTCCCTCTCTTCCTAACCTCCTTTTTCCTTTCTCGTTCCGCTTATACTCTTCTGGTCTTGGCTCTGCCAGGAGCCTCTTCTTAAGTTTTTATTTTTAAATAACAGCTTTTTAAAAGCTTTTTTAAAAAAAAAGAAAAGAAAAAGAAAAACAGCTTTACTGAGATATAATTCACTTACTATTTAATTTGCCCGTTTACAGCACACAATTCAATCATTTTTAGTCTATTCACAATATGAGCGAAACCGTCACCACAGTCAGGCTTAGAACACTTCCACCACCCCACAAAGAAACTCAGTTCCTCTCAGCTATCACCCCATCCTCCCACCACACCCCCAGCCCCTGAAAACCACAAATCTACCTTCTGTCTCTATGGATTGCACTGATCTGAATGTTTCATAGAAATGGAATCATATAGTACATGATGTTTTGTGTCTGGCTTCCTTCACTTAGAATAATGTCTTCAAGGTTCATCCATGTTGTGGCATGTGTCAATGTGACATTCCTTCTTGAGGCTGAATAATACCCCATTGTATGGGTGGACCATACTTTGACTATTGATGAACATTTGGGTTACGTCCACACTTTGGCTCTTATGAATAACGCTGCTGTGAACATTCCTGTACAAGTCTCTGTGTGGCCATGTGTTCTCACTTCTCTTGAGTAGATACCTAGGAGTGGAATTGCCTGGTCACAGGGTAACCGCATGTTTATTCCTTTGAGGATCTGCCCCACTGTTTTCCAAAGTGGCTGGACCTTTTTTATTCCCACTCTCCCCTACTTTTCAAAAGTACCGTATATTGAGCCAGGCACTCATGGGCATCATCTCTTTGAATCCTCACCACAGTCTACCCACGGGATATCTAGGCATGACCATCACCTCATCTTCCAGATAAACTGAGGCTGAGAGACACAAGGCTGCTTGCCTGGGTCACTTGGCCGGTTGGTGTTCCAGGATCCCGATCAGCTGCCCTGCTTCCAACCACGCCACTGGGGCCATCCCTCCATCCCCAGTGGGGCCGCTGTTTGGGAGGCTGGGATGAACCACTGGGCCTGTGGCGACTCCTGCTCCAAGGAGACCCTCCCCCATGCCTGACAGGTGATCCTGGGAGGAATATTTACCCTAGGGCTCCGTCTGCCGAGTGGGAAAGCCCTCGGGTGCTGTAACTGGAGAGGCCCAGTCCTGAGGCTCTGCTGAGGCTGGAGGAAAAGCACAAAGGGTTCTTTGTCCTGCCCATTGTTTGCACTTGCAGCCAGCCTTGCTGTGCCCCTCAGACCAGCACGGGGCACGCTGGGTCTGCAGAGCAGCTGGGCTGTCTCAGGTTCTCCGGGGGGCCCCCTGGGATAAACCAGAGGATTCATTGGGGCGGAGGCAGAGGGGATATGGAAAATATTGGGAGCTTAGTAGGCACTCAGCGTATGGGAAATCATCCCCTAGACTTTTTAAAGGAGTCTTTTGTCCTTGGTTGTAAAGTCACCAGGCATATGCATAAAAAGGATGAAACAGCCCCAAGGGTATGGTTGTACTCCTCTGCCCACCCTGAGCCCAGCAGCCATGTCCATGCCTCTTGTGTGTCTTTCCAGAAAGTTTTTATGCTTATATATGAAAATGAACACGTGTGTGAGTGTGCTTCTTTTTTACATATAAATGGCGACTTTCTTTTTTCCTTAAGATTTAAATAGATTTTACTGCGACAGGGGAGACCCCACCAAGCAGGGCCAATATATGTGGTCCCAGGAGGTCAAGAAATGGTGACTTTCCGTATCCACTCCCGTCTTTCACTGCACGAAGCCCTCGGAAGATTATTCTATAGCAGTACGATGACAGCATCCTCCTTCTAGGAACTACATCGTCTTCCGTCTCTGGATGTGCCATCTTTTACTCAGCTAGTCTACATCTCAGGTGTTCCCCATCTTCTGCACACAAGTATTTGCACATGCGTGTGAGTGTGTGCTGCGAGCACATTCTTACCAGTGGTATCACTGGGTCTTGGGAGGTGTGTTTTTGTTTTTGCATGTGACAAACACAAGCAAATTGTCTTCCATGGGGGTGGCCTCGATTATCCGTCCCCAGCATGGCCCGGGAGTGCCTGTATGCCCATGATCTCACTAATAGGATAGCATCAGCTCTTTCATTTTTCTTTACTTTCTTTTTGAGACAGAGTCTTGCTCTGTCACCCAGACTGGATGCAGTGGCATGATCTCAGCTCACCTGCAGCCTCCGCCTCCTGGGTTCCAGCGATTCTTCAGCCTTACCCTTCCAAGTAGCTGGGACTAGAGGCAAGCACCACCACGCCGGGCTAATTTTTGTATTTTCAGTAGAGATGGGCTTTTGCAATGTTGGCCAGCCTTGTCTGGAGCTCCTGACCTCAGGTGTTCTGTCTGCCTCAGCCTCCCAAAGTACTGGGATTACAGGCATGAGCCATCACACCTGGCCTTTTACTTTTCACTGAAGGGAAATATACATACAAAAAAGTGCGCCTGTCATCAGAGCCCAGCTCGCTGGATTTTCACAGCATCCACGCCTCCATGAAACCAGCACTTGGATCAAGACGGGAAGGTCCCCAGTCCCTGAAGCCTGCTTGTCACTCCCCTCCCAACATAAACTTGATCTATTGTCAGTCTTTTTTGTTCACTAAAATCCCCCTTCCCTTTCCAAATTCCCCTGTCTGCATAGACCATGTCAGTGCCGCCCAAACCATATGCCAGGAAACTGAAAAACTAAAATGTTTTGATTTTTTTAAAGGAAAAATAAATCAGTAAGGACAAGGGTCCCCAAACTATTCCCCACGGGCCAAATCCATTTTGCAGTCCTTTTACGTGTGGCCCACATGCTAAAAATTATAGTCATTTTTTAAATGATTGGGAAAAAAAATCAAAAGAAGAATAGATCAGGACACATAAACATTTTATCAAATTCAAATCTCAGTGTCCATAAATAACGTTTTCTTGGCACGCAGGCACGTTCTTCATTTGTGTATTATCTACGGCCCAGTTCTTGCTGCAGCAGCGGAATCGAGAAGCTGCGGGAGAGACCCCGCAGCCTGCAAAGCTGAAAATATTTACTTCCTGGCCATTCACAGAAAATGTTTGCCAACCCATGACCTAAAGCATCATCTCTCAGAGGGTTGGGAAGGAACCTGGAAGCTGTCCCATTCAGAGGCGGGAGCTTCAACGGGACCCTGCGTCTTCTGCCTCCAAGGCCTGTGGTAGGGGCTGTCACAGGCTGCAGAGGAGTCCAGGAGGGAGATGCTACAGGTAAGGCAGGAGGATGGAGAAGAGAGAACAGACTTGAACTAGACTTAGGGTCACACCAGCAGCTGTGAGCAGCTGACGAGTGTTCCAGTGCAAGGAGAGGAGGGTGCAAGAGCCAGGGATTATACACTGATTAGCCTCCATCACCGCAGAAATTATCTTGCCTGTGCATGGTGCGAGGGTCTGGAACATACATTTAACCAAGGCAAGGAGCGAAGTGAGAGGAAGCAATATTGTGGATTGCAGGAGGTGATGGATGAGATGAGAGAAGAATCTGCATGGTCAGAATCTGTTTGGCATCGGAAGGGAAGTACCCAGGAAATTTGAGGATCGCCTCGTCCAGTTGTCTGTGGAACTGAACTGTGAGTTGTCCATGAGGGATGAATGGCAATGCCAATGTTTCCAGAGTTTCTGTCATGAGGTCTCCTGGCTTGGAGATGGAGAGGGCACACACAGGTTTCGGATTCAAGCCTGCAGGACAGTCCTGGCTGCACCACTCAGGAACCCTGGGTGAGTCTCTTTACCCCTCACAGCCTCAGTTTTCCCTTCCTGGAAATGGGACCACAATCCAAACCTTGTAGAACTGCTTCAAAGATGAAAGGAGACATCGCATGTGAGATGCCGGCCCATAGGAGCCAGGGCACGAAAGGCAGCTCCGCATTGGGTCCCCAAAAAGTCTCCGCAGGTTGGCAGCCAAGAGAGCTACCATTTCTTTGTTTGGAGAGATTCCACTCCCTGGAAAGGGTAATCCTGCAGGAAAGGAGGAGGGAGTCGTTCCAGAGTTTGGGAGATGTCGGCTTTGACTCTGAGTGATGCCGCCTCAAACACTTACTGTCATACAGGAAGTTACTCAAACACAATCAATTAGACACCCATATTAGCATATTTGTCATTGTAATACAGCCGCAGAGAGGAGATGCTGGAGACTGTTTATTGCTGTTCTGAGCTAATATTTATTAAAGTGATTAATATGTTTTTCAAATATCTGTGACAGGCGTGGCAGGAATTACTGATCTCCTCCCTCGAGAGCCTGAAAGGGTGAGGGGTGGGAGTCACTTAGAGAGGGGCGGCAGGTAGGGGCCTTGGGGCCTCAGGGGACCGTGTCCTCCTCTGGGGCCCCTTTCCTGCTCGGGCCTCCTGCCTTCCATCTTCCCCTGTCTCCTCCACCTTCAACTTCCCCTGTCTCCTCTCCTCCACCTTCAACTTCCCCCTCTACTGACCGTTCCCATCGGCATTCTGAGACATCTCCCACCATGACAAATAGAGACCTCCCAGGATGCCCTGTCCCCCTGCTCCTTCCTGGACCCCCTCATCCCCAGCCATTCTGCCATCTTCCTCCTTCCCTCCATAGCCAAACTCTTCAAAAGAACTCTTTTCCCTCCCTACCTCCTTTGCTCATCTTCCAGTCTCTGCTTTTTAAAAATCATTACAAAAAATTAAAAGTGGCTGGGCGCGGTGGCTCACACCTGTAATCCCAGTACTTTTGGAGGCCAAGGCGGGAGGGAATAACCTGAGGTCAGGAGTTCGAGACCAGCCTGGCCAACATGGTGAAACCCTGTCTCTATTAAAAATACAAAAATTAGCAGGGTGTGGTAGCTGGTGCCTGTAATCCCAGCTACTCAGGAGGCTGAGGCAGGAGAATTGCTTGAACCTGGGAGGCAGAGGTTGCAGTGAGCCAAGATCACACCATTGCACTCCAGCCTGGGTGACAAGGGTGAAACTCCATCTCAAAAAAAAAAAAAAATTTAAAAGCAGCATCCAGGATGCTCTAGAACAGCAACACCCAAAAAAACTTTCTGCAGTCATGGAAACATTCTATGTCTGCATTGTCCAATACAGAAACTGCCAACTGCATGTGGCTTTTGAGCTCTTGAAATGTGGCTAGTACAACTGAGGAATCAGAATTTTTTTTTTTTTTTTTTTTTGAGACGGAGTCTCACTCTGTTGCCCAGGCTGGAGTACAGTGGCGCGATCTCGGCTCACTGCAAGCTCCACCTCCCGGGTTCAAGCAATTCTCCTGCCTCAGCTTCCCGAGTAGCTGGGACTACAGGAGCCTGCCACCATGCCCGGCTAATTTTTTTTGTATTTTTAGTAGAGACGGGGTTTCACCATGTTAGCCAGGATGCTCTCGATCTCCTGACCTCGTGATACATCAGGCTCAGCCTCCCTTTTTTTTTTTTTTTTTTTTTTTTTTTGAGACCCAGCCTTGCTCTGCCATCCAGGTTGGAGTGCAGTGATACAATCAGGACTCACTGCAGCCCGGACCTCCTGGGCTCAGGTGATCCTCCTACCTCACCCTCCCAGGTAGGTGGAACCACACGCATACGCACCACACCTGGGTAATTTTTGTATTTTTTTTGTAGAGATGGGGTTTCACCATGTTGTCCAGGCTGGAGGAACCAGATTTGTAATGTTATTTAATTTTAATGAATTTATATCTAGATTTAAGTAGCCATGTATGGCTCTAAAGGATTATACAGTGGGTCTGTGGATCCCCAACACCCACTAGCATTATCAAATATCTACACTTTGTCATATAGGTTTCAGGATTTTTAAAGTAACAAAACCTTACAGACCTGTTTCCTTTTTTTTTCTCTACTGATGTAATTACTATCTTAAAGTTGGTCTTTATCTTTTCCACTCATGTTTGTATACTGTTACTAGGTAAGAATGTGTCCACAAGCAATATATAGTATTATTTTTCACATTTTAGTAACTTACATGCATAGTAACCTATTTTATGCATCATTTTGCAATTTTTTTCTTTTTGGCTAAGCTTTGTTTTCCCAATTAACACAGAACTAGCTCATTTTCACCATCGTGTAATATTCTACTATAAGAGCATGTTTCAGTGTATCTCTCCTCCTTCTATTGGGGAACTTGTGTTACTTAATGCTGCAGTGAACATCTTTGAACATGTCACTTAGAGCAATGGGTTAACATTTCTGAAACCTATTCACCAAGAAATAGAATTGCTGTGTCAGGTTGCACAGCTTTAACTTTACTAGCTGCCCCAAGATGGCTCTACAACATGGCTGTGCCAATATACCCTCCAACCAATGCCAGAGAAGAGGCCCTGCTTCCCCACAGGCTCATTGATGCTTGGTATTCTCAAGTTTTAAATTTCTGTCAAACAGATGGGTAGGATGGTGTGGTTGTTTTCATTTGCGTTCCCCGTTTATCAGTGAATTTAAACATCTTTCATAATTATTGGCCATGTGAATTTTCTCTTTTGAGAACTGTCTGGTCATGCTCATTTCCTATTTGCCTATTCGGAAGTTAGTGTCATTGATTTGTCAGAGCTCTTTACATATTATGGATTCAATCCTTTTTCAGTTATATGTGTTCAGGTATCTTTTCTGAGTCTTGCCTTCTCTTTTAACTTATTCAGGATGAGTTACTTTGAAAATAAGGTTTTAATTTTAAGGTAGTCAATGTGTCAATATTTTTCTTTAATTTTTTTTTGTACTATGAATAAGGAAACTTCTCTTACCCCAGGGTTATAAAGACATCCTATATTTCCATATAGAACTTTCCAAGTTTTCCTTTTTGTATTTAGATCTTTAATGAATCTTGAGACTATTTGTTTGTGTGTATGTGTGCTGTATGAATTTGGAATCTAACATAATATTGTTTATATAATATAAGGCAAGACTAGAAAAAGGTATTGTTTATGTAATGTAAGGCAAGACTAGAAAAAGATATCTGAACACATAAAACTGAGACAGGATTGAATCCATAATATGTAAAGAGCTCTGGCAAATCGGTAAGACACTAACTTCCCAGTAGGCAAATAAGCAATGAGCATAACCAGACAGACAGTTCCTGAAAGAGAACATCCAAATGGCCAGTAATCATTAGTTGTCTATGCTGATGGCAAATTACCATAATTGGTGGATTAAAACAACACACACACGTTTATTATCCCAGTTTCTGTGGGTCAGGAGCCTGGCACAGCTTAGCTGGAGCCTCGCTTATGGTGTCACAATGCAACAATCAAGGTGTTGGCTGGAGCTGGGTTCTCATCAGAGGCTTGACTAGGGAAGGATCCTCTTTCAAGCTCCTCAGCTTGTTCACAGAGTTCATTCCCTTGCAGCTGTATGATCCATGAAAGTTTATTTCTTTAAAACTAGTAATGAGAAAATAAAGATCAACAGAAAAAAAACAGACTATAATAATGTAACATAATAAATGCAGTGACAGCCATTCCCTTTGCCATGTTTTATTGGATAGAAGCAGGTCACAGGTCCCGCCTACACTCAAGGGAAGGGGATCATACAAGGGCGTGAATACCGGGAGACAGGAATCATGGTGGCCACCTCGAAGACTGCCTGCCACAGTGCGCGTACTGATCATCATCTTCCAGCATTCTTTTTAGATGGTCCACCCCTTCCTCACCAAATGGCAATGCATCCTCCACCACGTACGAAGTTTCCATAGGCACAGAGGTCTGTTCTGGCCTCCTTTGTTATTGCTGTTGTTCCAGTGGTCTTCCTGCCCCTACCGCCCTCTAAATATGCTCCAGTTTGGGGTCACCAATGCCCACCATATTGCTAAATTCCATTAAGTCTTTTCAGTCTCACCCTACTAGACCCTCAGGGGTATCCGGCACCATGGACATCTCCTTCCCTCTTCAATCATTCTCCCCAGACTTGAGGCTCCTCATCCAGGGTCTCCTATGCCAGGTGCCCCTCCTGCCTGATGTGGGCATCCCCCAGGTTCACTGCCTGGGTGATCTCATCTGCTCCTGGGACCAAATCCCACCTTCGGGTTAAGGATGCTCAATGACCACCCCAGGCTGGAGCCTCCTGGAGCTCCAAGAATGTGCAGCCGATGGCCCTTCAGACTCCACCTGGAAGACCTCTGCTCACCTCTGACTCAATGTGCCCACACTGATTTCCCAATTCCACTCTCCCCTCTAGAGGACTCCCTTCCCCGTCATCATTGCTGCCTCCATGGATGGATGGAATGGATGTTGAAATCCATGGTGGGCTGGACTGCCTCCTTCTGTCTTCGCTGCCACCCTGCCCGAGCCACCGTCACCTCTCACCTGGGTGTCTCCAGTAGCTTTCCAACTTCCACTCCTGCCCCCTGCAGTCAATTCTCCACATGGTGGTCAGGGTAATAGTTGTAAAAACATAAATCATTTCACATCATCCCCCTACTTAAAATCCTTTCTGTGGCTTCCCACTGCTTTTGGAATAGGATCCAGATTCCTCAGCGTGCTCTCGGTCACAGGGGGCCACCTCCTCTGCAACTCCATCCATCACCACCCTCCCCCAACATGCGCCTCCCCCCCTCACTGGACCCCGGAGATTATCTGATTATTTCTCTAAGTGGGAGACTTTGGGGTGGTCCAAGTGGTCTGGAGGGGAAAGGTACCAAATTTCCCCTCTGAGTGGCAGGGCCTGGGCAGAGCCACGAGCCCCGAGGAGGTCAGGTTAAACGGCACTGTTTACTTTAGCCCTCTCCAAAGTGTGTTTTGGTGGTGAGAGAGAGTTATGAATAAGCTCTTAATTCCAGCAAGGGCGTGGGTCAGCTCTCCGACCGCAGTGTTTATTGACACACGCGTCTGCTCCCTTGCCCAGCGCCCCGAGTCTGAGGGGCCCGTCTATGTGCAGGGGCTGGTGGCCCCGGCTCACCTGGGTGGGGGCCGGGCCTACCTGCAGCCTCTCTCCAAATGCACCACAGCATCAGTTTTTCCATTGGTGCTGGTGGGGGCCAGGGAGGGTGGGAGGGGGTGCATCTGGGAAAACTGTCATGAGCAGGGAGGGACCCAGACCCCACCCCTGGCGGGGGGGGTGCCCAGAAGCCAGATGCCACCCAAGAAACGAGGTGGGTGGGAGGTCCGTGGGGCTGTTTGGAGTTCTGTCACCTGGTTAGGCTGTTTGTTTGTGTTTTTCCTGGGCTGATGGCATCCTTGGGGCCTGAGTTGGGAGCAAGCTCATGAGCTCACTTGCTATGTGGCTTGAGACCAGTTGGGTTCCCCTGCTGGGTGGGCCTCAGTTTCCCCATCTGCATTACAGCCATTCTGTTCTACAGGCAGAGATGAAAGCACAGCAGACTGTGTCCTCATACAGGATCATGGTTTTTGGAAGAAGGATATTTGAGAACACGTTCTCAAATGGAAATCACAAGTTCAGAAAGGTCCATTTATATACATCTGCCCAGGAGCCGCCCTGATGGAAGCCAGGAGCCAGGACAAGAAGGTCCAGATAAATATACGTGCCAAGAGCCACACGGTGACGCTGCTGTGAGGCTGCCAGTGCACCAGTCTCAAAATGACAAGACGGCAGAGATGGAGAACAGATTAGCGGTCGCCTGGGGATAGGAGCAGGATGGGAGAGGGACGCAATTCTAAAGGGGCAGCACAAGGAAGCTCTTCTAGGGTGATGAAGTCATTCTGTATCTTGACTGTGGTGGTGGTCACAGGAATCCATACATGGCACCAAGTTGCACAGAACTACACACACACACACTGAATTCATGTAAAAACTGATGAAAATATAATATAGTCCATGATCTAGTTAACAGTAGAAAACCAGTGTCAATTTCCTGATTCTGAGGTCATACTACAGTCATATAAGCTGTTGCCATTGGAGGAAGCGGGGGGGCGGGGGAGAGAGTACACAGGACTTTGTACTTTTTTTCCAGGGCCCTGTGAGTCTGTAATATAATTGCAAAATTAAAAGTTGTTTTTTTTAAGAGCTCGGGAAGGTTATTCATGTGCCCAAGGTCACACAGCAAATTGAGAACTAAGCTAGGCTTAATCCCCAGGGATATTGATAGCCATGTTTTTTCCACTCTACCGTAGAAAGACAGAGCAAGAGAGGCATTCTATAAAATAATCCTAGATGAGTAATAGTGAAGGCATGAGAGTAGTAATAGTGGAAGTAATAGTAATTCTTTTTTTCTTTTTCTTTTTTTTTTTTTTGAGATGAGGTCTCACTCTGTCACCCAGGCTGGAGTGCAGTGGCACAATCATGGCTCCCTGCAGCCTCGACCTCCCTAGCTAAAGCAATCCTCCAGCCTTGGCCTCCCAAAGTGCTGGGACTACAGCCGTGAATCACTGTGCTTGGCTGCTAGTAATAATCATTGTAGTAATTGTAGCAGTGACATTAGCAATAATCATGACAGCTTTTGTTTATTGAGGACTGGCCTCAAGCCAGGCACCTTGTGTCTGCTTTATATATATTACTCCTGCTCTTCCCCACAGCCCCCAAGGTTGTATAGATGGGAAACTGAGGCACAGTTCCCAGATCACACAGAAGATAGTAAAGGTTGAATCTAAGCCTTTCACTCCATCTTTCGATTCAGGTGTCCACCATAAGCCTTTGTCCTTAGCCCGTGTCCCCATCTGAAACCCCCCAACGAAATTATGCCAGCTAGGCTGAAATTCCAGCCTGGTGTCCAGGATCCACCCCTTGGTCATGTCTACTGTCTGAGAGAGGTCCTGGCTGGCACAAAGGGGCCACCCACAAATGGGTCAGTGGGAGGATCAATTACCTTGCTTGGGAATCTAGGCAAGTGGCCAGAGATGGTTTTGGCACTGAGCGGCCCCTCCCACTTTACATCTACCCTGAAGCCATCCTGACAGAGGTCATGGGCCAGGACAAGGAGGTGTCCAAATAAATAAACAAGCCCGTAGCCAGGAGGTGCAGCTGCTAGGTGGCTATAAACAGGGAGCATATTGGGAGGCTGAGGCAGGCAGATCACAAGGTCAGGAGATTGAGACCATCCTGGCTAACACAGTGAAACCCCGTCTCTACTAAAAATACAAAAAAATTAGCCGGGCATGGTGGTGGGCGCCTGTAGTCCCAGAAACTTAGGAGGCTGAGGCAGGAGAATGGCGTGAACCTGGGAGGTGGAGCTTGCAGTGAGCCAAGATCCTGCCACTGCACTCCAGATTGGGCGACAGAGCAACACTCCGTCTCAAAAAAAAAAAACAAAAACAAAAAAAACAAAACAAACAAACAAAAAAAACAACAGGGAGCATACAGCACTGGATAGACAGCCCAGAGCCCCCGGTCCTTTTTATTTTCTTTTTTGGTCGGGGGTGGAGATAGGGTCTCCCTCTGTCTCCCACGCTGAAGTGCAGTGGCACAATCCCGGCTCACTGCAACCTCAAACTCCTGGCCTCAAGCGATCCTCCCACTTCAGCCTCCCAAAGTGCTGGGATTACAGGCATGAGCCACCGTGCCTAGCCTGCCCAGGTGCTATTTATTCACTGATCCACCCCCATGGGCTGGGCGCCTGGGTTGACACGCCCCCTCTGCGCCTCAGTTTTGGTCTCAGAAAGCTCTGGGAGCCCTCCCATTTGAGTTGCACAGCTGCTCTGTGTGGGGCTGTTTCTGGCTCCTGGACAGCCTGGCCCATGCTGGTGTGGCCCGGACGTCCCTCTCCTGCTAGATGGGGCTGGGCAGCCATAACAAATGATCACAAACCTGTGTGGCTTTGAACAACAGGATTTAGTGTCTTACATTTCTGGAGGCCAGAAGTCTGAAATTGAGGTGCCAGCAGGCCGTGCTACGTCTGAAGGCTCTAGGAGAGTATCCTTCCTTGTCGCTTCCAACTTCTGGTGGCTCCAGGCATTCCTTGGCTTATAGCCGCATCCCTCCAGTCTCTATCTCTGTTGTCACCTGGACTTCTCTTTTCTCCCTGTTTCTTCTCTATGTGTCCCTTATAAGGACACTTGTCACTGGATTTAAGGCACCCCTGGATAATCTCAATGATCTCACCTCGAGATCGTTAACTTCATTACATCGGCAAATAAGTTCAATTCGCAGGTTCCCGAGATTAGGATATAGATGTATCATATACATGTATCATATACACCTATATCCATAGGATACACATCTTTCTCCACCCCTCATGCCCTCTGCTTCAGCACAGTGCCTTAGCACATGCTTGTTTTCTCAGCCCGGGACACTCCTTCCCGCATGCGTCAGCAGTTTCTTCCTGACCCTGTCTGAGCTCCCAAGGTGGGCCTAACTCCAGCTACAAATCCTTAGCACTCCCAGAACTTCTCCCTCGAAAAACATGTTATCTTAAGTGAAATAACTCTCAGTTTCTTTATCTGTGAAATGGAGCCAATATGATACCTCCCTTGCCAGGTCACTGTGAAGATTCAGTAAGGCCCTGGCTGGCCATGTGTTCAGCTAGTGGCCCAACATGTACCAAAGGCTCAGTAAGAGGAAGGCTGTGTATCTGTTTTAATGAAAAGTCAAAGCTCTTTACCACTTGTCGCCCAGATCTGAGCACTCGTTAGGCATTCTGGCCTATGACAGAGATGGACACCTCAGAAGGGGCTCAGGAGGGTAACATAGGAGTTTATTGAAAGGAACTCAAGTGCAATGAAAAGAATAAAAGCAGGATGTGGGAGTGACTGGGACAGTAGAGGCAAGAGGCACCTTAGTTGTGGTGGCCACGGAAGGTCTCAAAATGAAATCTGAGTGACAAGAAGGAGCCAGCCGAGTGCAGCATGATCCTGCAGAGGCAATAGGTGGGGCAAAGGCCCCGAGATGGGAAGGAGCTGAGTGCTTCCAAGGAAGAGAAGTAAGGTCAGTGTGGCTGGAGCAGAATAGATATGAGCAGGACTGGCGAGGCCTGAAGTCAGAGAGCTGGCCGGAGACTGGGTCGGGAGACACTTGTAGGCTGGGGTAGCATGGAGTGGGCTGGAATAGGATGGAGTCTGTTCCCAGTGCAAAGAAGAAGCCATTGGCAAGTTTAAGAAGATATAAGATCCATTTTAAAAGTTCTTTGATCCTAAGGGGAACAGTTTGGAAGGCCCCAGAGTGGAAGCTGGGAGACCAGGGAGAAGGCTATTGTGATAACAAGGTCTCTGGGTCGTGGGATGAAGGGCAGATTCTAGAGAAATAATGGAGGGACTTGTGACAGAATGTGCTGGCAGGTGGTGTCTCCATTGCTTATTGTGTGTAACAAATCACCCAAACTTAGTGGCTGAGAACAACAATCATTTGATTGCTAATGGTTCTGTGGGTTAGGTGGGCTCAGCAGGGACGGTTCATCTCAGCTCTACAGGGTGTTGCAGGGGTAATTCATAAGGCTACATACACTCAGCTGGGGGCTGAACTGGCCTGGAAAATTCCAGCTGCATCTACCCATGCCTGAAGCCTTGGGGCTGGCTGTCAAGTGGGGCACCTCAGTCCCTTCTAGGTGGCCTCTTTGTCTAACAGGATAGCCTTGGCTTCCTTCCCTGGCAGCTTAGGGGAGCAGAAGAGTGAAAGTGAAAGTCGCTAGGCCTCTTGAGGTCTAGGCCCAGAAGCACTGGAGTCACTTCCACCACATTCTGTTGACTACAGTAATTCACACGGTTGAGTCCAGGCTCAAGAGCAAGGAAAATAGACTCTGCCTACTGGTGGGAGAAGCAGCATGCACGTACTGGTGGGAGGAATTGATGGCCACCATATTTGCCAATGACTAGCACAGATGGGATGTGGGTGGGGGTGGGGGGTGGAACTCAAGACAATGCCCAGGGCTTTGGCTGAGCCCTGGGTGCACAGTGGTGCCACTGAGATGGGGAAGACCCAGGGAGGACCAGCTTGACGGAAGGGAAGGGAATCAGGAGTTCTGCTTGGGCTGTGTGGATGCCAAGCTGCCGGGTGGTTGATGGAGCATCCCCCGTAACAAACAGGACTGCATGTGGAAGAGGAGGGAGCTCCTTGTATGTGCAATGACCCTAAGAGTTAAGGCTAATTTGCCCCATTCTAGACATGAAAGAGCCTGAGGCTCACAGCATTTTACCCACAGTCACCTGACAATTTAGTCTCAGAACAGTGATTTGAACCTTGGGTGAGAAGCAAAAAGCATTTGATCTTCCCCCTCTTGCTCATCATGGACCTAAGGGAGGCTGGTTGGGACATAGTGTGTTTCTATTACAAACGAAAGCGATCACCGGTGTGGTGTTCCTTCAGGGCTCACCATGCACCAGGCATTGCTAACTTGTCATCCCAACAACGAAGTAGAATAGGCACTGTTACTGTCCGCATTTTACAGAGGAGGGAACTGAGGCTCAGAGAGGGGAAGTGGTTGGCCCAAGGTCACACAGCTGTCGCTCTTCAGAGATAGGAATCCAACTCAGGCCTATAAGACCTCAGAGCTTGCAACCATTCACCTCACCCATCTGTCTATCATTTGGGACTCATGGCATGGCAACCCTGTGAAACTTTGCCCAAAAATCTACATCAACGGTTGGCAAACCACAGCCCACCGTGGGCCAAATCCAGCCCACTTCCTGTTTTTGAAAATAAAGTTTTATTGGAACTCAGCCACACTCATTTGGTTCCATATTGTCTGTGATACCTTTCGTGGAATGGTGGCAGAGTTGAGTAGTTCCAACTGCTACTACTGCATATCCAAAAACATGTACTGTGTAAAGGCCCTTAGAGAACAGTTTTAGAGAAAAGGTGTACCAAGCCCTGATCTAGAACAAAGACAGTAGGATCCTGGCTCTTCATTATGGAAATGAGGAGAGTGATGCCTGAGGGGGCATCCCTCAGCTGAGGCCACAGAGTGGCAGGGCAGGGACAAGAGCAGAGGCCTCGGGACTCTGTCCCTCACTCATGTAGCTGATGGAGCTCTCAAGAAGAAATATACTGCCAGGCTGGGACTCAGGAGAGATATGCTTTCATGGGAAGGCAAGGGAAACTGAGAAAGGCTCTTTGCCCAACTCAGAGGAAGTTCTCATCCAGTAGAGATGAAAAGCCAGAGATTTGGGCTGCTCTGAAGTTTTTTGCTGGACTGGTTTTCAGGCAGCTCACCCACCCTGCCCCTTTCTCTTCAGCTCAAGGGCTCCTTCCAGGGCTCTGGCATGTTCTAGAGAATGTAGCCCCTGACTTTCTAAGTCATCAGGGACCTCCGCCCCCAAGGGAGCCCATCTTGCAAGGACTCTTGGAATCGAATGAAAGGTCAGCGAGAAACCCAATCTGGGCTATCAGGTGGGGGCTTAGCCAGCGCCTCTTTCTCCCCGAGATGGGCAAGATCGCTTTTCCTCTCACAGCCGACGACCATGCATTCCAAGCACCAGTTGGATACTCCCAGTCGAAAATAAAAGTCCTTCGAACATTGCAGAGGTTCAGAAGACTTCTTTTAAAAGTAACCCCCCAAACAGCGGCTTTGCAAGCCACCCACAGACAGAATCAAGCTCCATTTGTTTCCAGAAGGCCGAGGGGCAGGGGCTTCGAAAAAAGAACCTTCTCTGAAACTCACGGGGAGGTGAAGGCGGGGTCAGAGGGCACATTCCGATTGCTAAGATGCATTGACGAGAGCCCAGGTCCCCCTGGGCCCTGCCAGGAGACCTGGAGAAAAGGAGGGGGCTACAGCAGGGGGCACCGGGGCCTACAAGGCAGCCGGCCTCAGAAACACTCCCCCGGGAGCTGGCCACAAAGAGTCGGAGAGCAAACCATCCTCCCTAGCTGGGCCCCTACCTCCTGCAGATATACCGAAAAAGAATCCTCAGGTCTTCTGGAAGGAACAGAAAGCAGCGAGGTTTTGCTAAGAGGGTTATTTATTATTTATTTATTTTTGATTGGTTTGGTTGGTTGCATTTTGCCCCAAAATCGGAAGCTGCAAGGGGGAGTGATGAGTGATGAGCAAAACCTGGGCAATGTTTTGTTTCTTTACCATTTGCAAGAGGGGAGCAGGCAGGATGGACAGGATGTTCTGGAATGAGTCCTGGTTCGGCCGTCCAGGGCTGGGTGATCTTGGACAGACGTCCTCACCCCTCTGAGCCTTGGCTTCCTGCACCTTGACTGGGCCCCTAGTTCCTGCCTCCCGAGGTTGAGACTGTCCACTAAGATGACAGAAGGGTACAAGCGCCTGTGTGTGGCTAGCACAGAGGAGCTGCTCTGAAATGCTGAAGGTGACAGTAGCTAGAGGGTCAACTGGGAGGCAGGATGGCACGGGAGTCTGTGAGTTGAGGCCCCAGTGCTGGGCAGGGAGGAATTCTGCTCGGAAAGAAGGAGCAGCTGGTGAAGTGATCTTGAACTATGAAGTGGCTCAAACAGAAAGAAGCTCTGAGAGCATCTTCTGAAAATCTTTCCAGAGGTAAACTGAGGCTGAGAAACACATGGGCAAGTTAGTGAGTGAACTCTTGGTGTCATCTAATGCCCCAGTCCATAGTTTTCTTAGCTCACCTTCTCTTGGAAGCACTTTGGCCAAACGCTTCGGTCCATCCCTTTAAAGGTGGGTCAGGGGTACCTCTTTTCCCTTCAGAAAAGTGGGGCTGGGGGGAGGTTACCTAAAATATTAAGAAATGAGGAAAGAAAACTTGCCTTACTCCCTACTAAGGAGAAGAACTCACAGCCTATGTATTTTGGCCTCCGCTGGAAAATAGCACAGAAAATAATAGCCCATTATTCAAAATAAATTCAAGGAGCTTGATGGTGGAGTCACTCTGGGCTGGGGCAGCCCAGGAAGCCTTGGGCCCTGCAACTCCTGTAGGTGCAGAGGGAAAAAATAACAATAGGCAATGGGGAGTGAATTTATAAGACAACTTCTTGTAATCCCAGTGCTTTGGGAGACCAAGGTGGGAGGACGGTTTGAGGCCAGGAGTTTGAGACCCGCCTGGGCAACATAGTGAGACCCCCATCTCTACAAAAACTTTTAAAAGTTAGCCGGGCACGGTGGTGCAGGCCTGTAGTCCCACCCACTTGGGAGGCTGAGGCAGGAGGATTGTTTGAACCCAGGAGTTTGAGGCTGCAGTGAGCTATGATTGCACCACTGCACTCCAGGCTGGGTGACAGAGCAAGAACCTGTCTCAAAATAAAATTTTAAAAAGACGCTTTGAACTCACCTCTGTTGACAAATAACTGGGAACTGAGTTCCATGTACTTAGGGGGAAATAGTATAGCACAGTGGCTCCTCATGGGGACTGAACCTCCACAGGATGAATGAGTGATCTCATTTTCTCCAATGAAATTGTCAAGATTGGAGGTGATGAAAAGGCCCTGGGGTAGGTAACCCCAGCTCATGGGTCCTTCCTGGGTGTTTCCCAGCATGTGTGTCATCCCTGTTTCTTGCACAGTGCCTGGGACCTGGCCTACACTGCTCTCATACAAACTGCTCACTAATAGGTGGCTCCAGGCACTGAAAAAGGAAGGCCACATCTCCAACTGCTCCCTCTGGGTCCTTAAACTCACTGGCCCCAACAAATCCCTAACAAACATGTGACAACTCAACCCCCTCAGTTCCTACCCATGTCTCCCCCATCCCATCTCAAAAGCTCTTCCCACAAGGAGGAATTTGTTATTCTGGAATGCCTTGGGCCTTTCCTGTCTCTGCAGTTCTTCCATCAGCTCTTTTTTATATGTTTAATTTTTTTTTTTTTTTTGACTGTGTCACTCAGACTGGAGTGCAGTGGCGCCATCTCGGCTCACTGCAACCTCCACCTTCCGGGGTCAAGCGATTCTCCTGCCTCAGCCACCCAAGTAGCTGGGACTACAGGCATGCGCCACCATGCCCAGCTAATTTTTGTACTTTTAGTAGAGATGGGGTTTCGCCATGTTGGCCAGGCTGGTCTTGAACAACTGACCTCAAGTGATCCACCCACCTGGGCCTCCCAAAGTGCTGGGATTATAAGCATGAGCCATTGTGCTCGGCCTTTTTATGTTTAATTTTTAGAGACAGGGTCTCACTCTGTCGCCCAGGCTGGAGTGCAGTGGCACGATCATGTCTCACTGCAACCTTGACCTCCTGGGCTCAAGTGATCCTCCTTCCTCAGCCCCTCGAGTAGCTGAGACTATAGGTGCACACCACCACAACTGGCAACGTTTTTATTTTTTTGTGGAGACAGGGTCTTGCTATGTTGTCCAGGCTTGTCTCAAACTCCTGGCCTCAAGGGCTTCTCCTGCCTCAGCTTTCCAAAGCACAGGCATGAGCCACCATGCCCAGCCCATCAGCTCTTTCTGGGCCTCTCTTAAGAGAGGACACTTTTTTATTATACTTTAAGTTCTAGGGTACATGTGCACAATGTGCATGTTGGTTACATATGTATACATGTGCCATGTTGGTGTGCTGCACCCATTAACTTGTCATTTACATTAGGTATTTCTCCTAATGCTATCCCTCCCCACTCCCCCCACCCCCCGACAGGCCCCAGTGCGTGATGCTCCCCACCCTGTGTCCAAGTGTTCTCATTGTTCAGTTCCCACCTATGAGTGAGAACACGTGGTGTTTGGTTTTCTGTCCTTGCAACAGTTTGCTCAGAATGATGGTTTATGAGTTCATGTCCTTTGTAGGGACTTGGATGAAGAGAGGACAATTATCGTTCCCACCACATAGGGTTGGCGGAAGGATCCTGAAGCTGCGCAGTGGCCCCTCTACTGGGATGTCTCTGAGAATCAGCCCCCTAGAAGATGCTAGTGGTGACAGGGCACCAGGGGGAAGTGTAAAGGGTAATTCCCTGAAAATCATCCTGTTCCACATGCAAATGAGAGGCAAAGCCCACCCTAGGCTGGTGCACAGCCCTTCAGAGTTTGCAATATGCTTTTCCTTCCCAAGAGCTCCCTGGCTTCTCTGAGTGGCCTCAAAAGGGAGGGAGGAGAGGGATTCTTATCCCCACTGGACAGATGAGAATCCTGAGGTCAGAGAGGACCAGGAGGACTAAGCTGGAAGTAACACTGGACAGGAGACAGGAGTGACTGATGGAAGCCCTGACTCAAGGGCCAGGCTGTGGGGGAACAAATCATGGATCCACTACAGATTAGCTGTGTGACCCTCAGTAAGTGACTTAACCTGTCTGTGCCTCAGTCCCTTCATCTGTCAAATGCGGATACTAATAAATTCCTACCTCCTGGGGCTATTGTAAAGACTAAATGAGTCGGTGATCATAAAGTACTTAGAACAGGCCCCAGTGCACAATAAGCACGAGAACTGTTGGTTTTTATTCTTATGGTTGTCGTCGTCATCATCATCATCGTCATCATCCTTGCCCCACAGCCAACCAGCGATGGGAACTTGGGTACGTTCCTTTTCCTCTCTGCGCCTCAGCTTCCCCACAGGCAGAATGATCGTGGTTTGATGGTCTCTAACTAACAGTTTAGTGTGTCCAGAATTCCTGCTTCCATGCCCAACGTACAGACGAGAAGCGGGGTAGAAACTGGGGGCTCACAGAGTCCCCGCAAGAGACCACCTTCTCTTTTCTAGGTCTCAGTTTCCCCATCTGCCAGGTGAGGAGGTGAACAAGCAATGCCCTGAGAAACACAGAGCACTGTGACCTCCCCAGATCCCCAGAAGCCTGTGGAGCCCTGGGGGAAACCGAGTCACCTGGCTTCAACTGCCCTTCTGCAGTGTCCCAGGCCTAAGGTCAGAGCAGGGTACAAAGGGTTAATCCCCATGGGCAAGGTGAAGGGAGCCCTGTGTGCCGTTTTCTGACCCTGGTCTCCACAGCCAGAGCCCCGGAGGGAAGAGCCCCATGTTTGTGTTGGCACCTGGGCCAGACGGTGGGAGGAACCGGCACTCAGTGGGGCCTGGAAAAGTCGGCTCATCCTGCAGCAGGGCTGGGCCAGCCTCACCCGGGTCCCTGTTCCGCCACCTGCTGCCCCATTACCTAAGCCCCACACAGGACATGAGCACATGGGCCGGGCGTGAACAGCAGCAGCAGCTCAAACAGGACGGCCTTTCACACAGCCGCCCCCAGCCCGGCCCAGACACAGCCCCAAGTGGGGTCTGCAGCCGGCCTCCTCTTGCTCTGCCATTCACCATGAGGCCTGTGGGTGCCAGGCATGGAAGGAGCACACCTGGCAGGGGAGAAGGGGACAAGACAAACCAAACGTGTGCCCCCGACCCCCGAGAGCTTGTGGGCCAGGAGGAAACGTGCTTTAACAGGGGTGTGAGGCACCAGTGATTAAGGAGCAAGAGGAACGTTCCAGAGACTGAGGAACGGGGGCCTCCATGAAGGCTTCTTGGAGAGTACAAGCCCTGAGCCCATTTAGGAGCTTGTCCAGGAAAGGTGATGGCTTCAGGGAGGACCACGGAAGGCTGCAGAACAAACACAACACTTGAACTGACCCTCGAAGGATAAGGGGACGTTTGACTCATTACACAAATAAGGGAGGACTCCAGGTGGAGAGAGCTGCATGCGCAAAGCCTTGGCGGTGTGAGGCCCTAGGAGGGTGGAGCACACCTGAAGCATCACATGGGCATCTCTGACTGGGAGGGGAGGAGTATTCCCTGCAGTGACAGCCACAGCCCCCTCCTCAAGCAAAGCTGTGGGGTACTGTGGTCTGAGTGGCAGACTCAGGCCCAGATCTCCTGGGGGTAAACCCCTGCTCCACCCCTTGCCCTCTGTGAGACCTTGGGTGAGCTCTGAGCATGGCAATTTGTCTTGCCTCAGTGTCCTCATCTGTAAAATGGGCACAGTCAGTGGGTTACAGATGAGGTAGAGTGTGCCTGACTTAGGTAGACTCCCTAAGTGGGTGGCCTGCCCTCCTTTAGCCCTGGGTCTCCCTCCCAGAGGCACTGAGCGGAGGCTGGGAGGCCTGGTTCTAGGCCTGCCCCACTGAGCAGCTCCTCGTGCCTCTCTGGCCCTTGGTTTGCTCATCTCTGAAATGGGCTATCCTCTACCCCTGATCACCACGATTGTACTCATGACGGTCCCTAGGATGGGAAATCAAAAGGCGCTTTGCCAATAATGGAATTTGTTTTCTTACCGGGTCCCAGACTGGGGCTCTGGGTTGACACCAGCCTGGGCTCCAGTCCTCACAGCAAGTCACTTTGCCTCCTTCTGCCTCAGTTTCTGCATCTACAAAATCAAGGCCACTGCACTGCCTGCCTCACAGTGGTGAGAATGAAATGAACTAGACAGGAACCATCTCTGGGGCTCCTCCAAACACAGACTGCTGGACCCCACCTTCACAATTATCATTCAGAGTTTGCGTTACTGACGAGCTCCGAGGTAATACTAATGCTGCAGGTCCAGGGGCCACACTTTGAGAACCGCTCATCTACTGCACGCAAAAGGCTTGACGTGGCCAGGCACGGTGGCTCATGTCTGTAATCCCAGCACTTTGGAAGGCCAAGCAGGAAGAATCATTTGAGCCCAAGAGTTTGAGACCAGCCTGGGCAACATAGTGAGATTCTGTATCTACAAAAAAATAAAAATAAACAAACGAGCCAGGTGTGGTGGTGTGTGCTTGTAGCCCCAGCTACTTGGAAGGCTAAGGCAGGAGGATCATCTGAGCACTTGAGCCCAGGAGTTCAAGGCTGCAGTAGGCTATGATCACACCACTGCCCTCCAGCCCAGGCTACAGAAAAAGGCCCTGTCTCAAATAAAATAAAATAAAATAAATTAAATAAGAAATTTTATTAAAGGCTTAACACACCTATACTAATATAGGAAGCATTCAAATTATAGCTCAGGACAATCATATTCCTGTTTCAGTTTGAACTTCTGGCCATGTAGATCCTGAAATTTGACCCAGACCCTGTGCCCAGTTTTATGCCAGCCCTAGGCCCCCAGCCAGGTGGTCACAGCCCTGCGTCAGCAGCTGCAGCCCGTGAGCTCCTCAAGATTCCCCCTAGTAGTGTGCCCAGCTGTGACCTCTCACACAGAAGGAGGCAAAACAATTAGCTTCTGGGGAGGTATGAGCCAGTCTCAGGCCCTGTTCCTCCTCCCTACCCCCACCCACCTCCCTACCCCCAACCTTCCCCTTCACTCCCCTGCTCCCCCACAGCAAAAAGACCTCTAAAAGGAAATTTGAGCTGCCCCTTTCTCTCCCTTCCCCTTTATCCTGCCCAGGCTGGGGGCTGTCACTGGAGCTGTTTGCTCTCCCCAGGCAAGCCCAGACACCCTTCCCTGGAGCCATCCCTCGGGGTCCCTTCCTTCCCTAGAAAATGTCCGAGCCAGTAAGGAGATTCAGACATTCATATGCCCCTCCAGGGCAAAGCTCAGCTTGCTGGGATGGCAGGTGACATTCTGGGTCGCTGCTAGCAAACTGAGAAGGCTTAGGGCCAGACAAGGAAGGTAAATATATAACTGAACAGAGTGCAAGGCAGTAGGGCATGGTGGGAACTGTGGCAAACAGCAGAGCAAAGGCCCTTCCTGCTCTACAGTTATCGCCAGGCAGGAATGTGGGCCCAGAATGCACACTTCTTATTTCTTAGAGCAAAACTGCAAGTTTAGTTTTTAAAAATGTTTGGCCGGGCACGGTGGCTCACGCCTGTAATCCCAGCACTTTGGGAGGCCGAAGTGGGCGGATCATGAGGTCAGGATATGGAGACCATCTTGGCTAACATGAAATCCGTCTCTACTAAAAATAAAAAAAAATCAGCCGGGTCTGGTGACGTGGGCCCTGTAGTCCCAGCTACTTGGGAGGCTGAGGCAGGAGAATCGCTTGAACCCAGGAGGTGGAGGTTGCAGCGAGCCAAGATCGCCCCACTACACTCCAGCCTGGGCGATAGAGCGAGACTCTGTCTCAAAAAAATAAATAAATAAATAAAAATTAAAAAATAAAAATAAAAATGTTTAAGTAAGAGTTATTGCCTTTTAAAACCCTACAATGGCCTAGTGAAAAATATCTGAAGCTGGATTTGACCTGTGAGACAGCAGTTTGTGACCTGATTCCACGTCAGTGTGTCCTGCAGACCAAGAATGCCACAAAATAGTCACTGATAAAAGCATCCCCTGGTCAATACCACTGGGCAACTCAGCACTCTTAATCCCCTCTGGGAATCCCAGAGTTTATTAGCATATTAAAGGCTCTGAAAAGGTCTGTAAGAAAGAGATCTGATTAACTTTGTGAAGACCAGAAGGGCATTAGTGCTCCATAGGACCTGTCGTGTGACATAGCCCCTCATAGAGCTGTGATCTCTTCAGCGTGCTCACCATTTCAAAGGGTCACAGGCCCCCGGAGGCCCATCTCAGCCCTGAGTTAGGAACCTACCTCTTTCATCTGCTAATCTGACAATAGTTATGAAGCCTGTTTCTGGGACAGGCATGGTGTGAGCACCAGGGACACAGTGATGACCTGACAGGTGTATGTCCCCTGCCCTGCTTTGTAGAGACCACACCTAATGGCCCCTTTCTGTAGGTTTGCTCTCACCTCCAACTCCAGCCCTTCCAATCGCACAGCATTAATGCACACATAAAGGACTTGTCAGCCCAAAGCAGGCACTGGTGTTCTCTCCCAGAAGAGCCAGGTTCTATCCTGGCTCTATCCTGAACACACTGTGAGACATCCAGTTTACATTTAGCCATCATATATCTGCTGGGCAGCTACTATGTCCAGGCACTGAGCTCAGTGCTAGGGACAAAGGCAAGAAGAGGAGAGACTCCAAGAGCTGGCTCTGGCCATCATGGAACCTGCAGCAGAAAAGAGAGACAGAAAATAATAATAATAGTAAGGAACAGCAAGGACCAAAACACAAAATAATTAAGTTGTTCTTGGGTTTTTGTTTTGTTTTGTTTTTTGAGACGGAGTCTCACTCTTGTTACCCAGGTTGGAGTGCAATGGTGCAATCTCGGCTCACTGCAACCTCCACCTCCCAGGTTCAAGTGATTTTCCTGCCTTATCTGCCAGAGTAGCTGAGATTACACCATGCCCACCTAATTTTTTTGTATTTTTAGTAGAGACAGGGTTTCCCCATGTTGGCCAGGCTGGTCTCAAACTCCTAACCTCAGGTGATCTGCCCGCCTCAGCCTCCCAAAGTGCTGGGATTATAGGCATCAGCCACTGAACCCGGCCTGTTCTTGTTTTTATTTTAACTTTTATGAAGCACATAAACAAGAGATTGAAATACAGAATGTAATAGACTGAGAAACTTAACTTTTGAAGGGATGGTCAAAGAAGGTCTAAGGAGGTGGCATTTATACTGAGACCTAAAAGGCAGGAAGAAAAACATGACAAAAGCTGTCCAGATGGAAAGCACTATATGGGCAAAGGCCCTGAGAGAGGGAAGAGCAATAATTATAGAGGAGAAGGACAGGAGATGAGATTGGAGAGGTCAGAAGGGCCCGAATCATGCAAGGGCTTATAGACAACATGTATCAGTTAGCTTTGCTGCATAAGAAACAATCCCAAAACTTGATGGTGTGTAACAGCTATCATCTATTATTATAGCTCACACTTCTAGGGGTCAGTAGTTGGCTTGGGGAGTATTCTTCTCTATGTTTGGCTTGGCTGGAGCATTTTAGCTGGAGCAAATTTGCCCCTAGCTTTCTCATCCTCTCCTGGGATTGAAAGCTAGCCTGGGCATGTCCTTCTTATAGCCATGGCAGAATCTCAAGAGAGTGGAAGCCACAAGGCCACTGGAGGTCTTGACTGGAACTGACACATTGATACTTCTGCTTCATTCTAGTGACAAAGTCACATGGCCACCTTCAGGAGCAGGCAATTCCATCCCAACCACAGTAGGAGAGCACAGCAAGAGAGAGGGAGAGGTGGTGGCTTAGACAAGGATGGCGATCATGATGAGTAGAAAAGTAGATTAATTCTGGAGACATTTAGGGGGCAGAAACAACAGGAATGTTGATGATGGGTTGGACCAAAGAAGTGGGGAAAAGGGTAGACTCAAGTTAGGCTTCTCAATGTCTTCCAGAGTGAGGGGTTGGATGGTGAGGGTATTGGAGGCAGGAGAAAATAGGTGTGGGGCTGACCACAGCCCACTCTGGCCCCCAGCTTCCTCATCTGAACCATAAGAAGATAGGGAAGGGCCTCCCGGGCTAGCCTATGCCCCTCTTCACCCCCAACCCCAGACAGAGCCCAAGCTGCCTGCCAACTGTGGCCTCCACGGTGTACAGGGAAGACCAGCCAGGCCTGCTGTGATATATGACCCCCATAGCTCACAGCCGGGCTGCCGCTGGGATGATGTGTTGTTGCCATCCATCACCAGCCTGACAGGCACCCAGTGCCAGAATTCGGCAGCTGCCCTTCACCGGGACACTTAATTATAAAGGTCTGAAATTTTTCCCCACTGGCCTGGGAAATAAAGGCTTTGTTTACCAATGGCAAGTTGGGAGGCTCCCAGGAGAGGGCCAATATATCAGAGCAGCCTGGCAGACACAGCGCAAATCCTGATGGGGTGGTGGAGGGGTGGGGGCTTCCGAGGAGCTGTCACCTCGACCCCCCTGGCCGCTCCCCAGCCCTGCTCTCCAACGCTGCACGAGAATATTGATTCCCGAAGCTCTATGCCATCGTCTCACCTGTGCCATGTTTGAGTTTGCTGAAAGCCCACTCCATTGCTGCAAAGCCCCCGGATCCACTCTCTGGACCTCTCCTCTGGGTTTGCCAGAAAACTCGCAGGACATCATCTCTGTCAGGACCCATGTGAGCAGAGTCACTGGGGAAGTGGGTCATGGATCACAAGGGAAACCAGCGGACTCAGCAGTACTTGGAAGAAGCCATTCAATGTCACTACTCAAAAGAATCTGAGTTCATCCAGCCACGTGGTTCTCAAAAGTGTGGTCCCTGGACCATCAGCAACAGCATCTCCCTGGAACTTGTCAGAAATGCACACTCTTGGGCCCCATCCCTGACCTAATGAATCAGCAATTCATTGCTGGGGGTGAGCCCGGTGATCTGTGTTGTAACGAGCCCTCCAGAACTTTCTGATGTGCACCCAAGCTTGAGAACCACTGACTAGTTCACTCACAGCCTCCTTTTGTGCTTCTGGGTTACCAAAGCTCCAGAGAAGGGGGCATGGCTTGCCCAGGTGACCCAGAAAGCAGAAACAGCTGCGACATTGGACCCAGGTACCAACACTCTCTAGGTTTCTGTGTGCAATCCTGGGATGGTGGTTAAGTCTCTCCAAGCCTCTGTTTTCTCTTCTGTAAAATGGGGTTAAGAGTGCTAACCATGTAACTTGGGATCAGGGTTGAGTGAGGAAAAGCCTGGCGCACAGAAGATGCTGGACACAGATGGGCCTTTACTGGGTCTTCCTGCAGTGGGATGTGGACATTCCCTCCCATCTAGACAGAGGGGCCTCCCTGGCATGACCAGGACCTACCTGCTGCAGGCAGGGGATCAGTCCTTGGCTGAGGCTCAGCTCAAAGCCAGGGCAAAAACCCATGCCAGCTGGCATCTGAAAGATTCCCAAGCAAAGGTGTCTTCTTTCCACTCATTCTCCAGCCTTACTCCTAGGATACAGGAATTGGAAGGGCAAAAGAATGGCAGGGGTAGAAAGGGGGCTTCAATTGAGAGAAGAGGGCTCTCAGAAGCACAGAGGCCAGAAATGAGAAGGCAGCCCAGGCGCATCTCAGTGACGTCCACAGATGTATCTGGAGCCCTCACATTCGTGGCTTAAGGCAAGGCAGGGCTGGGCAGGTTTATCCTCACATGCACCATCTCTTTGAATCCTGAGATTTTTTTTTTTTTTTTTGAGACAGAATCTTGTTCTATCACCCAGGCTGGAGTGCAGTGACACAATCTCGGCTCACTGCAACCTCTGCCTCCTGGGTTCAAGCAATTCTCCTGCCTCAGCCTCCTGAGTAGCTGGGATTACAGGCGCCCGCCACCAGGCCCGGCTAATTATTGTATTTTTAGTAGAGACAGGGTTTCACCATGTTGGCCAGGCTGGTCTCCATCTCCTGACCTCGTGATCCACCCACCTCGGCCTCCCAAAGTGCTGGGATTACAGGCATGAGCCACCGCACCCGGCCTGAGATCTTAAGGTAAAGGGCAGAGTCCCGCAGTCCATCAGTGCCAAAGTCAGGACTCAAACCCAGGTCTGTCTGGCTCCTCTACCTTCAGGGTTCTAACAAAGTGTTGGAGTTAGAGAAGGGCAGATCTCCTCCTGGGAGAAGGAAAGTGCTCCTGGTGCAGGCCAACCCTGGATCAGGTGCTTCAGGGGGAGGGAGGCAGGTGAAGCATGGGCAGCCTCTCATCAGAGTTTCATCTCTGCCAGGTGACCAGATCCAAGAAATATCCTCTTCCAGATCTAGTCTCCTCGGGGACGGTGGGGAGACTGTGGTCAGAGTGGGTCAGAGAGGGCTCTGTAAACCACCAAGTGTGATGCACAGGTTACTGTGGAAGGACCGTCCCATGGGCAGCCTTCAGGGGCTAAGTCTTTCTCTGGGATTTGGTTTCCCAACTTGTACAACCAGAGGATTGGACAAAGTGATCCTGCAGTCTCCTCCTCTGCATCCCTGAGTCCTTTTGTAAGATGACCACAAATGACATTGGTCTACAGGGTCCAGGCACACAGCAGGTGCCTACTAAGTGCAGAAGTGCTCAGGGAGTGACTGCCCCAAGCCACATAGTGGCGCAGGATCGAAACCCAGGCTTCCCAACCCCCAGCACCTATCTCCTTTCTCCTTCCCCCTGCCACCACCCCCCAGAAATGATATCTGCAACTTGGCTTTTGGTTCCTGGTCACCAGGGAACCTACTCTCTAGTGGCAATTGGTTTATTGAGCACAGAAAGGTCAGCTCCCTCATTGTCCAGCTAAGGAAGTGGCTGCAAAACACCAACCTTTCATCGACTGCAGGATCTTAGTAATTGGCATTGTTAATCTGCCCCGGCTTCTGCTTCCCAGGCTTGGGAAAGACCTAGCCAACTCTCCCAGAAGCTCCTCAGAGTGGGGCTGAAAGGAACAAACAGCATTTTGGCCAGCAGCCCCACTCCAGCAAACCAGGTTATTCTCTTGGCAGTCATCTCCTCCAAACCTAAATGGGGATACCCAATCTGATTGCTGGAGAGAGGAGTGGGACTGAGGGCTGGGGCTAGCACAGTGTCTGGGGCATGGTAAACATTTAACTAATCTTTTCCAAAAGGGGCTAGGAAGGAAAGGAGGGAGGGGGTGATCTTGGGGACTTTTATTAGTCAGACACTTGGTATGCACATTACAGAAAACCCAATTTGAACTGGCCTAAGCCAAAATCTTTTTTAAAAACATAGGACAGGGAGGGGCTATAAGAACATTTGATGGGGTGGGAGTGGTTGATGGAACTGTCTGATATTCCAATTTGTGGTAGTGGTTATATGACTATATGTGTTTGTCAAAATACATGAAACTATACACTGAAGAATGTGGATTTTACCATGAGTAGATTATACCTCAATAAACCTAACCCTCATCCAATAAAAAAGAAAAATATATTAACTTACATGTTGAAGTCTAGATATGCTGCTTTCAGGCAAGGCTTGGTCCAGCAGCTCAAACAATGTCTCCAAAGTCCCAATTTCTCTGTTTCCTCACTCTGCCTTCTCTGGTGCTTGTTTCTCTCTCACTTCCCTCTGAGGCATCCAGCAAGCTTCAAGGTGTCTCCTATAAGGAACACAGAAGCTCCAGAGTCTCTTGACCTGGTAACAATTTGACCGTATCTATCACAGAGATTATATCTTTACTTCTCACTCTTAAGTAGAAGAAAGAGGAAGCGTCTCTTTTCTAGAAATCCCAGCAGATGCCTTCTTGCATCTCCTTGGCTTGTGATGGGCTCTCATGGTCTAGCCTTGAACCAATCACTACGACTTGACAGTGGAAAATGATGACTGGTATAAGCCAATCAGGGCACTCCCTGCAGTGGAGAGTGAGTTCCACTCTCACTCTAACCCCAACCCCAGGGCTAAGAATAAGAGAGGGGTGATGCATCCCAAAGCAACAAATTAGTCAGAGAGGAGGGGGGAAAAGACAAATGCCCATTACAGCTTCCCTTGGAAATTTCCCAACCTGTTACTCATGGAAGTTCCTACTCTTCTTTTTGGCTTCTTCAAATACTATCATGCTATAGAGAATCTTCCCAGCCCCACTGTCCCCAAGCGTTTTGAATGCACTCAACCACACTTCATCAATTGATTGCTTACTACTCAGAGAAGCCAGCATCCAGGCCCCATCCAGCAGGGCTGGAGCTCTTTGCACAGCAGCACCTGCTGCTGGCACAAAACTAGCCACCCCCCTACACACACACACACACACGCACACACACACACACACCCTCCTGGCTGTCCCCGACCTTGTTCCAAGGGCCTGTGAGATGTGTCAGCTGCCCCAAGGGAAGAAGATGGCTTGTGGGTGAGGGACAGGGGAGGCACACAGTGGAAACATACCTTGTACCCTGCTCCAGAGAATCATACAGTAACCTGCAGAAAAACTGAGTCACAGAGTCCTGAAAGATATACAGCAAGACATGGTGGTATTCCTGGCCTTGAATCACAGACTCCTGGCTTCTTGTCTGCACCACACAACCACTGGCTCTGTGTTTCTGAGCAAGTCAACTTACTCTTCTGAGCTTTGGAGTCTTTACCTGCAAAATAAGATTTGATGATGTTCCCCAGTGGGCTGGTTGCAAACCAGATCAGAATGGGAATGGCCAGTGATGATGGATACCTAGCCTAATCATTGACAATATATCACTCATCACATTTCAGGAATGTGTCACGTTGGTGATCCATGCTTCTTTCACTGTCTTGATTTGGATTTTCCCAAAAGCTGGCCCCCAGATGAACAGCAGTTTACTCGGAATGTGCAGAAAGCCCTTGCTGAAGAGTGGGAAAAGGAGATAAGGAAGAAGCCAGCCATACAGGATGCATTATCTATGGCAATTACCACCATGGGCAACTAGGGCTCAATTCCACTGGGGAACATTGGGAGATTCTGCAGAATATACATCTCAATGTTATTCCACCTGAGTGGGGAGGGAGCTGGGGTATTGATACAACAACTCCATCTGTTAGCAGTTGAGGGCTTCCTGGGAGTGTTAATTCCCAGCCTCTCTCTGCCTACCACTCACAAGGACCAAACAAACTCTGGTGACCAGAAAAACCCTCAGACAAAGAGCATTTGGTGTTGGCCATTGGAATGGGCCAGGTGCACATAGAAACATTTTGTGCTGAGAGCAATGTGGGTGAAGCACTAAAATACATGCCACATCCTCCTCCCTTCTCCACCTGGAGAAACACTTTATCTTCTTCAAGACTTAGCTCAGAGTATAATTTCCTCTGTGAAACCTTCTGCTAATCTCCCAAGGAGAATGGGAATTTGCTTTCTTGCAGCAACTTTATCTTGTCTCTATCACAAACATTGCTTCCATTCATTTGCTGGACATTCCCTCAAAGGCAGCTGGGTGCCAGGCACTGTACGGCTCTCTGATCTCACTGCACTATAACTGTTTTTTTTTTTTTTTACGTGCCTGTGAGCACTAGATCATGAGTTCTCTGCAGGTGGGACTATGTCAGATTCATTTTTGCATCTCCAGCTCCTAGCACATAGTAAGCACTCCGTGTTGGCTGATTTACACTTCAAAGTAAAAGTAATCCAATAATACATGAAAAGCACTTGACTTGGAACAAGACCTGCCACAATAAAAGTCCTGAAGAAAATTGTAGTTAATGTTGTGTGGATACAAACTGTGTGGGTCCCTCTTGAACATATCACAACCCTAATCTATTCTGGAAGGCACCCACTTCACCCCAGGTGCTCCAAACAACAGAGCTTGAATTCCCTTGGGAGCCCCCGGCACAAGGGCCACCCAAAATTAGACCTGCCCCTGCTGGTGCTTAAAATTAGAAGGAGTTTGCATTCCAAGATGCCAACAGGTGCGAGCAATAGTTCATGGACCAAAATAAATTGGTGACACACTAGGGCTTAAAATTAGATGAACCCTCTTGGTTCAAACTGTTGTCCATGGCGGGTGGTTGTCTTGGGTAAAGGATAGAGAGGAGGATGCTCAAACTACTCAAAGCCTGAACTCAGGAGATGAAAGGAATCCACATGGACTGAAAATGTATCTGGTGCCAGGCCCTGTGCCGGCAGTCTGGATTAAATTATGCAGCTGGATGTGCACAGTGGTGCTGGAAAACAGTGCTGTCCTTATTATCATCATACGTTGCCAATGACAAAACAGCTTCATGCCAGGGACTTGTCCAAAGGCACCCAGCTAGCAGGAGACAGAGCAGGGTTTGAAATCCCACCTCTCACTGGCTGCCCCAGGCTTGTTTCAGGGTGCCAGACTACCCACCACCCCTACTTCCCTAAGTAGCCTTTGTCTGGGTGGATCATGTGTCCTGGCCCTGAACACACTGATTGGACAAAGCAATGGTTGTGTGCCCTAGTGCAAACCACTCATTAGCCAGGGACTTACAGGTGGAAAGAAGTAACTGAACCAATCAGATGTCACCTGGAGGAATGTGCACTAGGCAACTGTCCTAAGAGAAAGGGATGCAGTAGGCTCTACTGAGGAAAGCGAGAGGTGGGGCAGCAGCCCAGAGCAACACGGTCACATAATGACTTCAGCAAATACTAAGGAGCAGACGGGCATATTACACTGTATCCTCAACTCATCCCTGGGAATTTTACCCCCTTTTATAGATGAAAGCAGCTGGGTATTGGTGAGGTCACCAAGCAACCCCACAGAGAGGTGAAGACAAGGTTTCAGATTCCAAAGTCTTCCAGTCTACTGTAGGAACTTAGGGGTGTGTGTATATTCACGTGTGTGCACAGATATGGGAGAGGGCATGCGCGTGTGAGTGGCTGTGTGTGTGCCCATTGTGTATGTGTGCATGGATGTGGGTGTCACACAGGAAGGATGCGAGAATGGGAGATTCAGAGCAGGTTTGGTCCTCAAGGTGGCTGCAATGGGTGCCCCACACTTCAAGCCACCAGTAACTCTGTGATCCTCTTCACATTTCCCCTGTTTTCCAACAATGGGGCCACATCAGCCCCACCAGGGCTCTACTGGAAATTGTTGTTGATACCTAGACAGAAAGGGCTTTTCACTGTCCAGACCCCCATGGGCTGGTTGCTCTCCCAGGATCAGCACGAGGACTTTCTGTGAGCTCTGGAAAAAAGTAGACTGCACTTAAGAGAAAACTTCCCAAAGGAGTAGATTTTAAGTCTGCTTCAGTTGAACGCCATTGATCTCTTTCTCTAAAAGACCCTAAACAGTGAGAGAGTCCTATTCAGAGGTTCTGATCAAGGCTGGGTAAGGCTCTGCCCCCACCAGCCCTCTGTGTGCTACCGAACACAGGCATCAAGCTTTGGAAGAAGCCACTTCAAGACAAATTCTGGGTCCTCCACCTGGAGCCAGCTCAAACCTCCCTGAACCTGTTTCTCCATCAGTAACATGGCGAATATTCCTCCTTCATAGGTTGTTCCAAAGAAGTTAAAACTATAAAGTCAGAGATCAGTAATAGTCAGTTTCTTTGAGCATCTTGCATAATGACATAAAATAAAACTGTACTAAGTGTCAGGAACATTGGGTTCCACTTTTTTGCCTTGCCGTTGACATACTCCATGATTTGGGGCAAGTCCTTGTCCTCTCTGGACCATATTGTTCTCTGTTCTATAATTAAAGTGTTAGCCCTGATTAATGGATTCATTCTTACTATGTACTGAGTCTTGGACTCAACATGGTAGGTGTAGATGTGAATATGACAAAGAAGGTCCCTGTGGCATCTGGGAAGGCTTTACCCAGACACCTTAGGAAACTACTATTGGTGACTGACCTTTGGAAGAAGAGGCACGTAAGCTAACTCCTTTTTTTCTTTCTTGGGAGGTTGCAAGAGTAAAGAGCATGTTCAAGGAAAGAAGGAGTCCCTCTCCAGGGTTCTCCTAGGTCTGTTTGTTGATTGGCTCGTTGAGTACGTAACCCACATGTACACACACACATCTGCATGGGCATGCATAGACATGCGACGCACACACCTACCAGAAGGCAGGGTTCAACAGGCCCAGCAGCGGCGTCTTGGGGAAAAGGACTGATTCGAGAGAAAACAGGAAGCAACTCCAAGTGTTCAAGCCTCCCTCTGCAACCCCGTTCCTTTTCCACACATTATGAAAATGAGATTGGACGGTGGAGGGTAGAGAGGTGCGTAATGCTCCTGCTATTTCCTGACGTCCTTCCCAGTGCCTCAGAGGCCCAGATCGAGTGGAATTATCTCCTCCCCTGGCTGGGAGGGAGCTAGCTTAGAGCCAAAAACACCAAGATATGGAGAAGAAGCCTGAAGGACTATACAAACAAGCTAGGCTCGTGGCTTCAGGCCAAGAGGAACTGAGCCAACAACCCTCCCCTGTCCCAGTGCAAACCCAGATGTTGGCTGGCCCCCCCGCTATTGGCCACAGAGGTGATGGGGGTCCCACTTCAGGATCTGAGCCCTGCTTGAGTAAGACTGACAGGGGGCTGGTGTGTGAATCTGGAGAGAAACAGGGGACTGGGTGCCTTCCTTTCTTTCTCTCTCTCTCTCTCTCTCTCTCTCTCTCTCTCTCTCTCTCTCTCTCTTCCCAGTCTCTGCCTCATCATCTTGTCACCTGTATGTATCTCTCTCTTTCTCTTTGCAGTGTCAGCCCAGTCTTTTTCTCTGGAACAAGTAGGGTGAAGCTGGCAGGATGTCTGAAAAATCCAACCTGACCAAAAACTTGCTATGAAACCCAAATTAACATAAGACACCCTGTTCTGTCTATCACACTGATAAAAATGGAAACATCAATAATATTCTTCATTAACAAAGGTAGAGCAAACAGGCTGTCTCAAAAATTATTAGTGGGAGTAAAAACCAGTATTAAATGTGCACGCTCCTGACCAAGCAATACTACTGGCACA
This sequence comes from Homo sapiens, assembly GCF_000001405.40. Classification (NCBI taxonomy): domain Eukaryota; kingdom Metazoa; phylum Chordata; class Mammalia; order Primates; family Hominidae; genus Homo; species Homo sapiens. Next base: position 27,513,239 of record NC_000022.11, read on the forward strand.
AACTCAACGTGCACAAAGATGTATGAGGAAGTATAAGAATACAATGGTATTGTTTATACACCATTGTTTGTCATAATGAAATCTGCCAATAATGCAAGAATGATGTAAAGGGGACTGGTTAAATAAGTCAAGGTGTCACCATACTATGGAATATTATGCAGATATGTAAAAGAATGAGCTAGGTCTACATGTCAGGCATGGAAAGACATCCATGAACAAAGAAAGTCACATAAAGGTTTAGCTGGGGTAGCTTAGGCTATGCTTAATAACAAGTATGTCTGAACACCTCAGTGGCTTACTACAAAAAGGTTCATTTCTTGCTCAAACAAAGTCTAATGGAAGCCTGGTCACTCTCCAGGGTAGCTGTGCTCCATGCTGTGACTCAGTGATCCAATCTGAGTCCATCTCATGGCTCTACTATCTCAATACTATCTCGGCATCCTGTTCACTATAGAGGGAAGAGAATGCAGAAAGAACTCACACCTGATCATGCATGCACCACCCTTTGCTGGGAAGTCACATGCCCTCTGCCTAATTACAAGGAGACAGGAAAATTGGGAGGAGTAAGTTGATTTTAAGTGAGCCATAAAAAGGCAAATGTAAGAATTATCCCCACTTTACATATGGAAAAATGAAGTCTCAGACAGACCACCACTCACTGCAGTGAATGTTTTTACCTCCCTAGCATCCATCCACCTCTTCTTCAGCCGAGGGTATCATTATATCCCTTCAGAAAGACCTGTTCTAATCTCACCCACACAGAATATGTGGGTCATAATTGCCTTAGGTTAGTTGCTTCCACAATTCTCTCAGTCATAGTGACTGGTTCTGGGAGGTACTATAGTTCAGTCAGAGCCAATGAAACCAATGGATACTCTCATGGGAGTTCTGTGTAAGCATCTGGATCAATCCATTCCTGAAGCTAATACCAACCACTTCGGCCAATATATTATTACTCCCTTACTCACCCATCCCCATTTTTTTTTGTGTTGATTTTTGTTTGCTTTGTTTGTTCCTAAGCCTCTTAGGGCCTAGAGTTTTTATCAGGACTTAATCCCAGGTCTTCCAGATTCCAATGCCCACTCTTAACCAGCATATACGATACCCTGTCTTAGATGAGGCAGCAGAAGGGACCTTACATATTTTCTGGTCCAAACCCTTTTATTTTACAAATGAGATTGAGACCCAGGGAAGTCAAGTGACTCCCCTGAGGCCACACAGCAAGCCCATCTCAGAGCCTGCATTGCCATCCACAGACCCCTGCTCTTGCCACAAAACTTCCACTCAAATTTACCTGACCTAAGCCCCTTGTGTCTCTGAGGCCCTGGGGATGTCAGCATCATTTCTGATGTAAACAGATGATGACCAAGGCCCACCCTGATACGTCTGGCTGTGAACTCTGTTCCAAGCTATCGGTTGCCAATAACAGTTCAAGTGCTGACATTTTAGAATGACTTAGTTTCTTTTTCATTTCATTTAGTGTGGATTCTAATGACATCATCCTCACTCAGTCACCTTCTGATGGGTTTTGTCCAGTGAAGAGAAAGCCAGAGATTTGCGGGTGGCCTTCTGCAGGAATTGCATGTCCAACCACTTGAGGTCTCCAAGTCTCATTTTCCTTCCCTATAAAATGGCGAAAATGATAGCAAACACCTCGCAGGATGTTGTCAGAATTAAATGAAATCTCACATGGCAGAGCCAAGCACAGAATGCAGTGCAAACAGTATTGTGTAAACTCCAGTTAGCATCTTCTTCAACATCCCCCGATGGGGCCCAGCAATGTCATGAATTCTCTGGGCCCTAACAAAGTTCTCTCCACTCTGAGCCTCAGTTTCCCCAAGGGCAAAGTGAGACCGAGACACTCTAAGGACCTTCCAGCCCTAACAGCTGGACAGCCAGCTGGAGAATAGCATTGAGCTGATTGCTACAATTCCCTGGATACCTGCAGGGTGCCAGGTCTGTGTCAGGGCCCCTCCCTCTATGAGCTCACCAGCCCTTGTGGGGGTAGATACTTTTCCCCCAATTTGCTGAGGAGGAAATTGAGGCCAAAGAGACCCAGGGAGACTTGCACTGGCTGTCCAGATCCAACATTCCTGGACACTTTCCTAAGCAAGCAAGTTAGACTTTATTCCTAGTTTCAACAAGCTCTACGGCATGTTTTTTATGTTTCCTTTGAAGGAGAGGCCACAGCTGACGGATGGGGAAACCCAAGTCCAGAGTGTTTGATGGATTTGACCAAAGCCACCCAGCCATAGGCAAGAGGTGCAGAGTTGGAGCCCAGGGCATGTGATTCCCAACAAATTATTCTTTCCACCAGACCACATGATTCTTTTGGATTGAGGCCTTTTCTGCTCTTTCCAAACAGAAGACATCAAGTTGTTTTCAGAGGCAAGGAAAACTTTGCTCCATATTTTGAGATCAGGAGGTGAGAAGAACTTGAGTCTGAACTCTCTTCTTATAGTTTCTTAAACTTAGGTAACTACTACTGGTGACTGACTTTTGGAATCGCTCAAACTGGCCCCAGGATGATTCCTGGGGAAGAAATGTCGGTGTGATAGACCCAAAGAGGCCAAGGTTTGGAAAAGAATAGATCTAGTGTCTGCCTCTCAATTATAATTGTGTGGCCTTGGGCAAGATACCTTACCTCTCTGAACCTCGGTCTTTTCATGTGTACTATGGAGATAATAACAGTTGGCTGTGACATTACTACATGGCTAGAAAAAAGTAAAATTGATCTGCACGAACTGATAAGGATTATTAAATCTCTGATGTGTTATTAAGTAGAAAAGTAATATTGCAGGACACTGTGGTGTGATCGTGTTTGTGGATGTGCCTTCCTCTCCCTCATCCTCCACTCTTGTGGCAGACAGCAGGAATGGCCCCAATTCTCCAGCATTCACCCCAGCATCCATGCCCTTGGCCATGGGACCTACAGTGCCCTTCCACTCTGACCTTAGAGTGTCCTCTCACAAGGTTCAACCATATGACTTGCTTTGGCGAATGAGATGTTAACAAACATGATGCTTGTGTATTTCACTTACACTTTCTGCTCTTCCATGATTGCCATGAGAACGTGACCTGGGCAGCCTTTTGGAAGATGATTGACAAGGGGGTTCAGATGAGTTGTCCCCAGCTGAGGCCATCCTAGATCAACCAACAGCCAGGCCAACCCCTGGAAATGTAAGCCAGCCCAGCCAAGAGCAGAAGAACCATCTAAGCAAACCCAGTCTAAATCATCAACCTGCAGACTCATAAGTGAAATAAATGCCGTGAATTGACACCATGACATTTTGGGGTGGTTTGTTAACATGGCATCATTGTGTCAACAGGTGACTGACACACCCCTCACCTCATCCTGTTAATTCCACCTTCCAAGTATGTCTGAACCTTTTTGTTTACCTCCTCTCCTTCTCCGCTCTCCTCTCGTTTCCCACCACCACTGTATTCTAAGCCACCAATTTCTCTCTCCTGGATTTCTGCAAGAGCCTCCTGACAGGTCATTCCCCTACAGATTATTGGCCCCTCCAATAAATCCAAGGTTGCTCCAGTCATCAACCTTACAGAAACATTTGGGGCATATGACCTTTTGTGTTTCTAAGTGTGTGAAGTGGAAATACTCAAAGGTAAAATTCAAAATGCTCTACCATCAGTATAAGTGGACACCAAGAAGACAACAGACAGCCAAGTATGGTAGTCCAAGAATTCCAATGTCAGCCCAACATAGCTGTCATGAGGATTAAATAAACACAAGTTCTACCCACTAGGAGGAAGTGGCAACTAAATAAACAGCTGGAAGGAACTTTGAAATTAGAGTCCAGTGTCCTCATTTTAGATACAAGGAAACTGAGGCACAGAGAGAAAAAGCAACCTGTCCAGAGTCACACAGTGACCAGGAACCTGTAGGGGAAGGAAGGAGGCCAGTGTCATGAGGCAGTGTTCTCCCAGTTCTTATCGCTGGTGTATTCTAGCACCCACCACATGGTTTGGCTCACATTTGTTGATAAATGAACCAAGGATCTAGACACTTCCTAACTCTTGCCGCATCCCTCTCCAAACCCCTTCCCACACACACTTGCCTCCAACCTGAACAAGGGGGATGGTTCTCCCACAGCCAGCAGAAAAGAGGTCTGGAGTCACCCTTCTGTGTATTCACTTGATCAGTAAATCTGGGCTCCACATGTACCTCGGGCAGAGCTGCTAAGAAGCCCCAGCAACACCAGGAAGAATCCACAATGGGGGGTGGGGGTTGCTGTAGGAGCTACAAGCCATTCAGACCACCCCAGGCTTGTGCCTTGGCTCAAATGGCTGCGTCTTACTGTGCCTCTCTTTGCCCGTCTGTGAAATGGGTATAACAGGCCCTATCACACAAGAGGCAAATGATAAATATTAGCCCTTCTCGTTGCAGCACCAGGGCCTTGGTCACCTTCTTTCATTTTGTTAATTTTGTTTTCATTTTGCTAATTTTTTTAAATGTGGATATAAACCAAAAAAATGGCCTTTGAGGGATCCCCTCAAGGAAGGTATCTAAAAGGAGAACCTAAGAACCACCTTTCCCCATGGGTGTTTACAGGTTGGGGGACCCCTTCCTGCTGCCTAACCTTAACAGCCACTGTGAAATACATTTTTTCCGCTCAAATATTCACTGTGCAGGATGAACTCTGGCCAGATGTGGAAAAAAGTAACTCGGGGGTGGTGGCTCAGCCCCAACAGAAGGAAAATGGAGCCAAGGCCTGATGCCTCTGGGTTTTCAGCTGGTGGCCACATGGTATCCAGGCCACACAGCAGAGTGGAGAAGAAGGTGGGTTCGAAACCAGCCCCCATGCCCAGCCCACAGCAGGGATCCCAGGAGCCAAAGGTGCTGAGGTTTGAATTCCAGTTCAGCCACCTACTGTCTGACTACAAGCAAGTCCCTGTTCCTGTCTGAGCCTCAGTTTCTCTGTCCTGTTGGGGGTATGGCAGCTGGCTGGGTCCTGGTGGAGGATAAGAGAGAAAATGACCTGAGTTTGAGCATAGGAGTCTATTGAGGTGCACGTGTGTGTGCACACGCACGTGTGTGGATGTGTGTGTGAGCATGCACACCCCTTGCAGAGTGTCCAGTAGGTGTGACTATCTGAGCAAGTGTAAGAGCCAGGGCTGGAACCAAGGGGAGGCCTGCAAGGTGCCCGGGATGCATGCTTTATGGAGGCATCCAGTCCCAGTCCTGGTGGGGGTTCTTGTTTCCATCACTCCAACATCCCCTGGATGAACCAGGTAGGAAAAATAAGCCGTAAGCTCCCCAGTCTGGCTACCACCTCCCAAGCCCCCTCCCTCCCTAGCCAGCCTCCAGCAGCCTTCCAGGCAAGAAGGAGTTAACTGGATGCCCTTCCAAAGCAAATAGGGCCCGGAGCACAGCCAGCCCAGAACTCAAAACACATGAGAAGAGGGAAACCCCTTCCCCCATTTTCTCCCCCATCCCCTCCCCTACTCCAGGGCTGCTTTTGTGCGGTTCCTCCCACACACCCTGCCCTTTTTCCCTCCTGCCTCTGGCTACCACTAGCAAGTCCCACGGATTTTTCCTACTCCCTCCCTCCTTATCTCCATCTCTTGTGTCCCCAGTCTGCTCCTGCCTAGGATACAAGCAATCGGGCTACCAGCTGACCTGTACTCTGTTGCTCCCTGGCCTTCCCCAGTCCTAGACCCCCAGGCTGTGCAGGGGAGCCCTGCCTAGAGAGCCTCCTCTGTCACACACTGTTGTGGGAGCCCGGAGCCCTGTCAACACCTCTGCTGCCTCCATTGCCTCTGAAGGTGAAGACGCGCGTGAAATGCACACGATGAACCACCCACTTACTCTTAGGCGGAGAAGGACCCTTCCCTGGGGAGATCTGTGGCAGAGACAAGGCTGACAGCAGCAATATCTAGGCCTGCGTCCTCTGTATGGGTGACACATAGCCCCTATCTGGGGCTGCAGTCCTCCTGGAAAATGAAGTTGCAGCTGCCAGGCCTTCTCAGGGCAACCGTAAGGCTGGAAGGAGACCAAGGGTGTGAACGCTTCACACACTGCATGGGCAGCCCACATCGCGGTGTTGATTCTCAGCATCACCGTGCCTCTACCAACCAGCTTTCTCACTCCAGTGAGATGTGCTAAGAAGTAGAGGGGCATATGGCTCTTAGAATTCCTGCCCCTGTGAAACAAGGGCAGACTGGCACTGATGGTTGAGCGTTTTTGGTGTTTTTTGTTTGTTTGTTTTTTGAGACAAATCTTGCTCTGTCACCCAGGCTGGAGTCCAGTGGTGTAATCTCAGCTCACTGCAACCTCCGCCTCCCGGGTTCAAGTGATTCTTGTGCCTCAGCCTCCCGAGTAGCTGGGACCACAGGCATGCAGCACCACGCCCAGCTAATTTTTATATTTTTAGTAGAGACAGGGTTTCGCAGTGTTCGCCAGGCTGGTCTCGAACTCCTGACCTCAGGTGATCCACCCGCCTCAGCCTCCCAAAGTGCTGGGATTAGAGGGGTGAGCCACCAAGCCCGGCCTACGTTTTTACTAAAAATAAGATTATGAATATTTTATTGATCCCTGCACTTGCACCTTGTGCTATGCCCATTCTATAAATTATTTCATTTAATCTACATGCCAGTCCTGAAAGGTGGGTAGTACTGTCTCCATTTTATAGATGAGGAAACTGAGGTGTCTGGTGGTATTTATCTTCCAAGAAGAGAAAGGTTTACATTCTCTCTACCAAACTCATCATTTAACAGTTGCCCAAAAAGGAAAAAAAAATCACTTTTAAGAGTCAGAGAATCTTCTAGTCTACACTGGGACCAGGGAAGGGGTGACCTGGGGGTGCCCAGAACAGCCCACCCACCCAGGTAACCCAGAAGCCAAAGTCATTTATTTCCTTATTCATAAAAGTGTTTTTAAAATGATTTGTGCAGCTGGGCATGGTGGCTCACACCCGTAATCTGAGCACTTTGGGAGGCCAAGGCAGGAGGACTGTCTGAGGCCAGGAGTTCAAGACCAGCCTGGGCAACATAACAAGACCCTGTCTCTATAAAAAGTGGAAAAAATGATATGTGTTTGCAATGCTTTATATACATCATGCGCAAGGCAGTTTGTCACCCTCAAAGCCACCTGCAAGAAAGATCCGACCTGCCCATTTTACAGATGAGGGAGCTGAGACCCAGAGCAGGGAAAAGACCTGCTTGGGGTCACAGCCAGTTAATCAGATCCAGGCAGGGCCCTCAGTTTCCTGACTCCCAGGCTGGGATTCTAGGGTTCAGCATAGTCTGTCTAGGTCTGCAACAATGGATCACAACCTCAGCACCCCCTGGAAGGGTTATTTCTGGTTTTTTTTGTTTTTGTTTTTTTGAGACAGGGTCTTGCTGTCACCCAGGCTGGAGTGCAGTGGCATGATATCAGCTCACTGCAACCTCTGCCTCCTGGGCTCAAGTGATCCTCCTGCCTCAGCCTCTCAAGTAGCTGAGACTACAGTCTCGTCCCACCATGCTGGGCTAATTTTTTGAATTTTTGGAGAGTCAGGGTTTTACCATGTTGCCCAGGCTGGTCTCGAATTCCTAGGCTCAAGCATCTGCCCACCGCAGCCTCCAAAAATGCTGGGATTACAGGCATGAGCCACCATGCCCAGCCATCCCTGGGAGGATTTCTTATGACACAGATGACTGCTGGACCCCAGGCTCAGAGTTTCTGATTCAGAAGGTGTAGGTGGACCCAATAATCTGTATTTCTAACAAATTCTCAGGTGATGTTGATGCTGCTGATCCACAGCCTCCACTGTGAGAATCAGTGATTATCATGAGGGACCTGTCAGGCATTTTCAAGCTATTAAAAAAATTTTTTTTTAAGATATTTCAGGTAGGGCTGGCAGCACCTCAAGTGTCATTCCATGCAATCACCTGAGTCCTCCCATTCTGCAGCTGGGAAAACTGAGGTCCCAAGATAGAATGTGCAAGAACCAGACATTGCGAAGGCTATGCCTGGACCCCGGGGCAGAACAGGCTGCATAATCTGCCAGGCCACATGCAAAACCAAAATGCAGGGCTCCTCATTTTTAAATGTGTTAAGAATTTTGGCCGAGCGCGGTGGCTCACGCCTGTAATCCCAGCACTTTGGGAGGCCGAGGCAGGTGGGTCACGAGGTCAGTAAATTGAGACCAGTGTGGCCAACATGGTGAATCTCGTCTCTACTGAAAATACAAACATTAGCTGGGCATGGTGGCAGGTGCCTGTAAGTCCCAGCTACTCGGGAGGCTGAGGCAGGAGAACTGCTTGAACCCGGGAAGCAGAGGTTGCAGTGAGCTGAGATCATTCCACTGCACTCCAGCCTGGGCAACAGAGCGAGACTCTGTCTCAAAAAAAAAAAAAAAATTTTAAGATGGTAACAATAGAGCATTCAACAAACATGGCGCCCTTCTCAGCTCAAGGCCTTGTTCAATTGCAGAGGTCCCAAGGCCATGAAGCCAGCCCTGCCCCCAGGTCTCCTGGCTGCATCCTATACTGAGGCCACAGTTGATAGTCTGGAGCCACAGTGGGGGTCACATGGGTGAACCCCAGCTCCCCAGACGAAGCTGGCTTCCTGGGGAGCAGCCTAAGCCATTTATCCTCCAGGTGACAAGACCAACGAGGCCACCTGCACTGAATTTCAATTTGTTTTCTTTAAGTAGAATGGCACCTTGGGAAGCTGGTGTCGGCAGAAATACAACCCCTGAAGAATTCGACCTGCCTTAGCCCGGCTCTCATGGGCCCCCACCAAGCCCCTTCATCCTCCCCCTGTCACCCCAGCCTGCGTCCTATTCTTTTTTTTTGGAGACAGAGTCTCACTCTGTCACCCAGGCTGGAGTGTGCAGTGCCGTGATCTTGGCTCACTGCAACCTCTGCCTCCCAGGCTCAAGCAATTCTCCCACCTCAGCCTCCCGAGTAGCTGGGACTACAGGCGCACGACACCACACCTGGCTACTTTGTGTATTTTAAGTAGAGACGGGTTTCACCATGTTGGCCAAGCTGGTCTCGAATTCCTGACCTCAGGTGATCTGCCCACCTCGGCCTCCCAAAGTGCTGGGATTACAGGCATGAGTCACAGTGCCCGAACCTGCATCCTATTCTTAAGCGTTTTAGGAAGGTTTGTAAAGATGAAGCAGGAACCAGCTGGGCAAGAAGAGGAAGGAGAACATGATTTTTTAAGCTGCAGACCAGGGAGGTATACCACTGAGGAGCCACTGAAAATGGGGCAAGCTTTAGGGAATAAGTTGAGGATGGAGTGATGCTTACAGCAAAACCTCCTCGCCCTACACAAAGCAAGTCCCGTGGGGACTCGGGAAGGGAGGAAGGGCCTCCCAGGAGTGGAGACCCTCCCTATTGCCTCCCTGGGACCCCACCTGATCCCCAGGTGCCACCAGATTCTTCCTTCCACAAGGAGACACCTTGGTGGCCAGACTCCGGCAACAGAGAGAACAACATGCCAGGTCATGGGGCTGGAACCCCTGAGTGAGACCAGTGAGAAAGATTTCTAGGGGAAGGTGAGTGGAGTTCCCGCCTTGTCTCCAGTGACTTCAAAGGGAGAGGAAGAAAACCAACTGCCAACAAGATGCCTTGGAGAACTCCATTTAGGTCACTGTACAATGTGTGCGTGTGCCTGGTGTGTCTGATGTGTGTGTGTGTGTGTGTGTGTGTGTGAGAGAGAGAGAGAGAGAGAGGGAGAGAGAGAGACAACAGTCTGTTGACAATGGTTATCTGGAGAAGGAGGTGGGAGAGAGGCTGACCTTTGATTTTTGTTTTGTTAGAGACAGAGTCTCACTGTGTTGCCCAGGCTGGAGTGCGGTGGCATAACCATAGCTCACTGCAGCGTCAACCTCTCCAGCTCCAGGTGATCCTCCCACCTTAGCCTCCTGAGTAGCTGGGACTACAGGCACACGCTACCATGCCTGGCTAAATTTTTTATTTTTTGTAGAGACGGGGTCTCACTTTGTTGCCCAGGCTGGTCTCAAACTCCTGGCCTCAAGTGATCCTCCTGCCTTAGCCTCTCAAAGCACTGGGATTATAGGCATGAGCCACCATGTCCAGACAAAAAACTTTTTTAAACATGAAAGCAATGCTTGGTGCACCACTCAGGAAGTCTGCTTAGCGGTGCCTGCTGAAGCCAGACATGCCCCTGCCATGGGAGCCAGCAACCCTGCTCCTAGGCAAACACCCAACATAAAGTGTGTGTGGGCACCAGAGACCCACGGGAGGATGTTAGCAGGACCACTCTTCCTACTAGCCCTAAATCAGACACTACCCAGGTGCCTATCAATAGGCAAATGAATATACGGACTATGGAAGATTCACAGAAGGCAAAACTCCTTGGCAAGGAAAAAGAACGAACTGTTGATACTCACAGCTATGTGGATGAATCTTGTGGATACAGTGTGAGCAAAAGAAGCTGGACGTGAAAGAACTCGCACTCCTTGAGTCCTTCAGGGGAAATTCAAAAACTGGCACTGTTAGAAGTCCGGCTAGAGATTCCATCTGGTGGGCAGGGGGTGGGGGTGCCAAAAACAAAACAAGGAGAACAGTTGTCATAGATGGCGTATTTTTGAGTGTCCCCTGTGAGCCAGGCAGCATCTTAAGCACTCAATGTGCAATGCATCCTCATCCATTTACATACCCATTTCACAGATGAAGAAACAGAGGCTCGGAAAGGTGAAGTTCTTTTCTAGAGATCCAACAAAGAGCTAAGCGACAGAGGTTGTGGTCTGGATGCAGTTCTGCTTGGTTCCAGGGTCTGTGTTCCAAAGTATGTGGGGACTTCCAAAGTATGTAGGGACTTCATCTAAGACTTATGACAGCCTCAAAATGGGACTTGGACCCCGGACCCTTCTGAAACCAAAGTCCCCCACAGTCTTAATGCCTACCCCTCTAAGTTAAGGTGTGGAAAATGCTTAGCACACAGCAAGAGTTCACCTATGTTGGTTATGATAATCAATAATAATACTAGGGGGCCTTGTCTAGCAAAAAGTATAGGAAGAGGGAGAGCACAGCTTCCCTAGGGGAGCAGACTTGTGACCCCCACGGTAAACCCAGCAGTGCAGGGGGACAGGTCAGAGGCCCGTTGCTCAGGAGGCTGCAAGCCAAGGAGGAATTTCCTACACCCGAGTCCTGACTCCTAGGGCATGCTGTCCTACAGCCCCCAGGCCCTGGTCCTTGGCAGATTTTATTGATCAACTGGAGCAAACTGCATGGTCCACGCCAGGGCTGGCCTGCATGGAAGGAGCCGGAGCATGTGCTTAGACAACCCTGGATGGAGCAGCTGGGGAACCAGGGAGGTAGGTTCTGAGCTATTCCTCTGTGAAATGTGCGTTAAAAATACGTCTGTATCTATCAGAGGCCTGAGGTCAGGCTCCAAGGACAATGTGTATTCCCTGCATGATAGGATGTCCCTTGCAATTTCAGAAATGAAAATTGAGAATGCCTTAATTACCTCTCTTGGGGCAGACAGGAGCGAGCTGCCCCGTGTCCCCTTCCAAGGCTGGCTTCTCACACTGGCTGAGGCCATCCCAGGCTGGCAGAGCTAGAAATTGCCTCAATTTCATCTACTCCAATACCTCCATCCTACAGATGGGGACACTGAGGCCCAGAAGGGGAAACGGGCTTACCCAAGGTCAAAGAGTGAGAGGTGGATGCAGAACAAGAATTCAAACCCAGGTTTCTGGACTCCCAGGCAAGATTCTCGCTCAACACCCCATCTCTTGACTAAAGTACTCATTCTCTAAAGGAGGTCTTTGAACCACTCGTTCATTTCACAAATATTTATCAAGTACCTACTATAGACCAGGCTTTATGTTAGAAATTAGGGAAACCACAGAAAGCAATTCCAGGCATGTCTCTACCCTTGGAGAGGTTACAGTCTAAGGTGGTGGAGTTCCCAGACCTGCTGGCCACTCTTGTAAACTCATTCCCAGTCACCTTGGCATTTAATAGAATTTCAGGGGCTCTTACTGATGCCAGGCACGGTGTCAAGACTGGGGAATGCAAAGAGGAAGCAGGCATAGTTTAAGGTCCCAGAAAATCCAGTAGCTTGGATAGCGCACCTACACAATCACAAACTGAAGGAAATTCATGATGGAAGGTAAAATAGACAGAGAGGGTGTCACAGAACCCAGGAAGGTTAACAAGGGCTTCTCGGAAAATGTGGCCTTTGGTGTGGATGTTGAGACTATGAAGATTTTAGGGCTGGGCACTGTGGCTCATGCCTGTAATCCCAGCACTTTGGGAGGCCGAGGTGGGCGGATCACTTGAGGTCAGTTGTTCAAGACCCGCCTGGCCAACATGGCAAAACCCCCTCTCTACTAAAAGTACAAAAATTCAGCCGGGTGTTGTAGCGCATGCCTGTAATCCCAGCTACTTGGGAGGCTAAGGCAGGAGAATCGCTTGAACCCAGGAGGCAGAGGTTGCAGTGAGCCAAGATTGCACCACTGCACTCCAGCCTGGGCTACACGGAGTGAGACTCTGTCTCAAAAATAAATAAATAAATAAAGATTTTGGAAGGGAGGTGATAGAGGGATAGGGCATTCCAAGTGGGAGAAATGGTTATGAGCGAAGGAAGGTGCAGAGGTGAGACCATGAACATTCTGTTCAGGAAATAGCAAATAGCCTCACTAGTTGGCACAATGGATAGAAGCCAGAATAGTAGCTTAGGGTTATATCATAGAAGGAGGTCAAAGTCAAACAAGGAGGTTATTCTTTAATCTGTAATGTAAGGGGAGAATGGTTGGAAATTTAGGTTCCTCCTCTCTACCCGAGACCTATTAACCCAGTATGCCTAGGACCAGTCTGGCCATTCCTCAAAAAGTGCAATATAGAGTTACCACATGACCCAGCAATTTCACTTCAGGTATTTATCCAAGAGAAGTGAAAACACTTTTCCACACAAAAACTTGCCCACGAGAGCTCACAGCGGCAGTCTTCATTCTAGCCAAAAAGTGAAAACACCCCAAATGTCCATCAACAGAGGAGTGGATAAACAAAATGTGGTCTATGTGTGCAATGGAATATTATTCAGCCATGTAAAGGAATGAAGTTCTGATCCGTGCTACAACATGGATGTTTCAAGGATGAACCTTGAAAACATGGTGCTAAGAGAAAGAAGCCCATCACAGAAGGCCACATATTGTATGATGCATTTATAGGGAGTGTCTAAAACAGGTAAATCTATAGAGACAGAGACTAAATTAGCAGTAGCTAGGGAAGGACTGGGGTGGGGGTTGGTAGCAATGGCTAAGGGTTTAAATAGGGTGGTTCAGGGAGGTCTCCAGGGGAAGGTAATATTGAAGCCAAGACATGCAGCAGGTGGGGCTCTGGCCTTTTGCTTTCCAGAGAAACAACTCAGACTCATGGCCAGCGGGCAGAAGGCAATGAGTGGAAGCTACTGATTTATTGATCCTGTCGTGTCTAGGTTTTCCTCCATACTCTTCCCACCAACAGCAGGAGAAGTCAGACAGAAATGCTCACCTCTTATAAAGAGGAAACTGAGGTCCAACGAGGGTTGCTTGTCTACTATCACACAGCAACTTACTAGTCCATGTGGGGCTCGGGCATAGGGGTCTTCCCGCTCCATTCCAGCTGGTGAGGCAGGCAGGGGCAACCTGCAACACCCCCCAAATCTCAGGACACAGCAAAGGGAAAATGCCCCCCCTCCCCACCCACTGCCACTGCCACAGCCGCCTGCCTCAGGTGTGCCTTCAGGAGTGTCCACGGAAAACACCCCCGGGGCAGCTCTGCAGACCACCAGCCCCCACCCCGCCCCACAGGCATGCACAGGACCAGCCCATGATCTCACGGAGGCTCTTGCCAAAGCAATTGAAATTGTTCAGGGCTTGGCGAGCGCCTGCTGGCGAGGCTGCGGGTGGGAGGACCTGGTGGGGGCCGGGGGGTGGATACTGGGGAAGGGGATGGGGAGCAACAAAGCCTTCCTCCTTAGAGACAGTTTGTTCTCTCAACAGCTGTTAGAAATTTGAGGTTTTTCCATGCTCCAGGCTCAGAAAGGAAAGGGGGGAGACAGCTCTAGGGACACATGCTTGCCAATGCCTGTGTCCTGGGAAGGAGGATGTGCACCTACCAATCACCTACTTTGTGCAACCACCGTTGGCCATGCACCCGCTTCACCAGCCCTGTGGGCAAGCAGCAGGCTCTAGCTGGGCATCCAATGGGTTCTCAATAGTGTTGAATTCACGACTCCACCACTGAAATCCTGCAAGCAACTTTGCCACTCCTAGCCTCAGCTTCCTCATCTATAAAACAGGCATGGTAATCACCCCCTTCTTCACAGGGCGACTGGGAGAGAGTCATCAGTGTCAAGCACTTAGCACGTGTGCAGTCAATGCAATTTATAGTAATTACTTCTGTATATGAGATTGTAATTGTAATTGTTACAGCAGCACTGTGAGATTGAGAGGACTATCTTCCTTTTCAAATCAACAGTTAAGGTCCCAGGGAGGTTAAATGACTTTTCCACGTTCCCACGGCCACAGGAGCAGCTACGTGATTTGTGGGGCCCAGCGCAGAATAAAAACATGGAGACTTTTGTTCAAAAATTATCAAGAATTGCAAGGTGACAACAGCCGAGCATTAGGTCAAGCGTGGGGCCCGATGTGGTGTCCATGAGGACAGCTCTGCATGGCCAGACTGAGCCAAGCCAGAATGCATATCCAGGTCCCCCCAACTCAAAAGCCAGTGCTTGTTCTACTTCTAAACTCCACCGTGGCCTCGAACTTCACCCTGCCAATCCAGCAGTGATTGTGCTGGAAAATAGCATTTTCCAAAAAGCATCCTCTGTTACCTTAAAGAGAAAACAGATATGTACATGTTTAGGGGGATACCCAGTGACTGGTAAAGTTCAGACCAAGCCCTGCCCAGAAGTTGCCAGGAAGTGCCTCCACCTCTCCTGCATCCAGGGAAGCTTCCCCAAGGCTCAGATGGAAGGCTGCCTCTTTCCAAAAGTCATCTGTGATTGGATCCCTTTTTCTCTGGCATTCCTTCAATTATCAGACGATGCTTGCTGATACCTATACGTGTGGGTCTCTGTCCTAGGCCCTGAGAGTTGGGCACATACAGAAGGTGGGCCCCATCTTCAAGGGAGACTTGTCATTAGAAGGAAATAAAAACATTACACATCAACAGCAGGTCTCATCTATGCAAAAAATTAGACCTAGAACAAAAGACTGGAAGGAAGTACTTCCACATGAGGGGTACTCAGCCCCGGATGGTGGAACTGAAGAGGGCTTTCTTTGCGGATAAAAAGGAGTAGCTTGCCCTAGGGCTGCTATATCTGGCACGGGGACTTCTGAACTGGGGGGTTTAAGTTTTAGGAGGCAATAATGTTCAGATTTAGATTTTTTTTAGATATAGCTTTTGTATTTTTTTCCAATTTCCTATAAGGATCCTATCACAGTTGCATATTTAAGGACTACGAAATGAACGTATTTTAAGGCATGAACTGTGACTAAATGATGGGGCAGGGATAGGAGCCTATGTGTGCCTGACTCCCAAACTTGTGTATCACCTCGTTGCTCCATGCCTCAGTTTCCCCATCTGTTGATAAGGCAGTGGGATCTGCCACCCTTTGAGGTCCTGCTACCCTGACATTCAGAGTGTATTTGACACCATAAGCTGCCAAGCAGGGAAAACTGGGGTGGTTTCTGGCCATCAGAGGAACCCAATCAACTCCATCACATATGCTAACTGTACACCTATGATGTACCAAACCTGGGGACACCATGAATAACAAGCCCACATGCCACTCACAGCTTCGGAGGGAAACAGCAAACAAATGATCCCAAATGATCACTTATATGAGTCCAAGTGTGCAACCTGCTGCAGAGGAGAAGGCAGAGCGTTCTGGGATCAAAAGCGTGAGACTTAATACAGAGGTCAGGGGAGGCTTCCACATGGAAGAGGCACTTCGGGTAAACGAGAGCCAGCCAGGGGAAGGAAGGAGAGAAACGCACACAAGGACCCTGAGTCAGGCGATTGCAGCTCTGGGAAGGATGTCTAGAACAGCTGAAGCAGAGAAAACCAGAGAGACCAAGCTAGAGGATGAGGCCTCAGAGACCAGAGGGGCCGGTTCACATGGGCCCTTGCAAGTCACTGGCAGGATTCTGCACTTTTCTCAAGGGCACTGGGAAGCCATGGATGGCTCAACCTAGAAGGAGCCTGATAAGCTCATAGAAGACCAGAGTCCTCTGCCCCGAGCAGCAATTCCTGTGGGGCCTTTTGTGGCCACACTTGACTAGGTACTGGGGATGGGTTCATTCATAAATTAGGTTTAGCCTGAGTGCCAGGAGGAGGGGCCTCACAGGCAAGACGTTTGTTCAGGGTCAGGTACCTAGAACATTCCCTGGCTGCCACCAGAAGGCTCTGTCTTTACCAAAAAGTCATCCCAGGAGAGCTCACAGCCAGGTTTTATCACTGCTCTCAACCCCAAGGCCACATTTTTTCATCTCAGAGCCTCACACCTTGAAGGCCGGCAGGCTCAGTATAAAACATCCCAGCACGGAGCCAGTGCACAGTAGGTGTTTCATGACAAAAGCCACCATTCTTTGAGTAGTTACCATGTTCTCATGGTTCTGAGAATTTCTATTCATAAACATAGTTAACCATCATATTACTCCATGAGGTAGGAACCAGTATCCTCTTTGTTCTGGAGATGTCTGTCAGACTGATGCTTGGAGACGTTTCTTTTCAGGGCCAAGGCCTCAAAGAGGTCTCACAGCAGGTCTCCATCACAACCACCTGTCTTCTTAACTCCTTCTCTGCCCCACTTCCTCTTTACACATAGTAGGGCATCCTCCGACTCCTTCCAGAGGCCATTTGCACGTATTTTCTTGTGGGTAGCAGAATGAGGGTCACAGCCAACAGCAGGGTTAAAGTCCCTGCACATGGGCTGTGGTAAGGGTTGAGACAGCACTGGTAAAGCACTGGCTTAGTAGTTGGTATTCCATACCCACTTGATAAATGATGGAGGGTCCATGATGACTGGACCCTCACATCACCATTGAGCCAGGGATAGCTCTGTGGTATTCATTCCACTGGTCAAATAGGTCAAGGGAGGCCCAGAGAGCTAATGTCAAGCCAAAAGTCTCACAGCAAGATCAGAGTTGGGACTGTCCCAACCCCACACACAGGATCCACGCATTGCTCCATAGAAGTTTCCTGAGGGCAGGACCACATCTATCTTGCTTACTATCAATAGTACTAGTTGAGATGGGGGCAGTGGTTCATACCTGTAATCTCAGCTACTCCAGAGGCTGAAGCAGGAGGATCACTTGAGCCCAGGAGGTCAAGGCTCTAGCAAGCTGTGATTGCACCACTGGACTCCAGCCTGGGCCACAGAGCAAGACCCTATCTCTACAAAAAATGAAAGAAAAATAAAAAATAATACTAGCTGAATGAATAAGTGAGCCATTGCAGCAGACAGACTCTTCTCCTAATGTTTATGCCCTTATGTAGCCAGTCCCTTTTCCTGGCATGTGGGAAGAGCCTGTGACCTGCTTCTAATCCACAAAATAGAGCAAATTGACAAGATGTGTGTGATTACATACTTAAGATTATAGCACCCATCTTCCTGGAATCTCTTGCTTCCTGACAGCTTTGAAAGCAGCAAGCTGCCAAGGTGTAGGCTGCCTATGTTGGGAGGCCCATGTGGCAAGGAAATGTGGGGGTTTCTAGGAGCTGAAGGTGGCCTCTGACCAACAGGCAGGAAAAAGCTGAAGTCTTCAGTCCTACACCCACAAGGACCTAACTCCTGTCAATCATCTGCATGATCATGGAAGCAGATCTCTCTCCAGTTGAGCCTCAGATGAGAACACAGCCACAGCTGACACCTTGGCTGCAGTCTTGTGAGACCCTAAGCAGAAGACCCACCCACACCATGCTCAGACTCCTGATCCACAGAAACTACGAGATCATAAATGTAAATTGTTTTAAGCCACAAAATTAGTAGATGTTACACAGCAGTAGATAACTAACACAGCCAGAGACAGCCATAGCCATAGTTCCCAATTTGACTCATTCACAAACCAGTTCCTCTTCCATAGTTTCAGTCAAGGGAGATTTTACCAAGACAAAATGGCCGAGCATGGTGGCTTACACCTATAATCCCAACACTTTGGGAGGCCAGACAAGAAGGATCATTTGAGGCCAGGAGTTCAAGACCAGCCTGAGCAACATAGCAGGACCCCATTTCTATTTAAAAAAAAAAATTAAAAATTAGCCAGGCATGGTGGCGGCACCTGTAGTCCCAGCTACTTAGGAGGCTGGGGCAGGAAGATCACTTGAGCTCAGGAGTTCAAGATTGCAGTGAGTTACGATGGCACCACTACACTCCAGCCTAGGTGACAGAACAAGACCCTGTCTCAAAAAAAAAAAAAAAAAAAAAAAAAAAAAAAAAGAGAGAGAGAGAGAGAAGAAAGAAAACCATTTGGAGCCATTTGGAGCTGGGAGTGGAGGGAAAAGGGGAATTCTTAAAACCGTCCCTGGGAGCTCAGACGTGGTTGAACATGAAAATACACTCTTCTTACAAGTGGCTTGGAAATGGGACCTAATGTAATTATCTTAAACAAATTCACAAGAGGAGAACATTCCTGCTTGAGGTCATCTCAACTAACCAAGGCAGCCTTGCTCTGCTCAGCCTGACACAGTGCTTAGCCTGGGAACCTGATTTGGACTGAGAAAAAGACCTCTCTGGCTGTCACTGTTCCATGTGGATTCTCTGAATGTCAGAATGTTCCAGGCATCAACTCCTTAAGTCTATGAGTCATGAAATTCCAGACCTCTGCAGGCACTGGAACGTAGACTGTGATAACCACCACATTTGTCCTAATCACCAATTTGTTTCTAGATAATCTAGTTTGGGTGGTAGAGACATGGATGAACACAGCTGGGAGTGTGTTGATGAATGTTGAGGCAGTTGATAGGTACCTGGGGGTTCTTTATACTACTGTTCTTTTTGCTTTCACACGTTTGAGGTTTTCCATAGTGAAAAATTAAATCAGTGGAAAGGCAGTGCAGTCCAGTGGTTATGTGCATGGACTCTGGGTCCCGCAGATCTGGGGGTGTGTCCTGGCTCATCCAAACTACATCATCCCAGGCTGAGTCTCCACAGTAGTAACCTCAGTGAGATTTTTTGTTTTGTTTTGTTTTGGTTTTGAGATGGAGTCTCGCTTTGTCACCCAGGCTGGAGTGCACTGGCGCGATCTCAGCTCACTGAAAGCTCCGCCTCCCAGGTTCACACCATTCTCCTGCCCCAGCCTCTCGAGTAGCTGGGACTACAGGCACCCGCCACCATGCCCAGCTAATTTTTTTGTATTTTTAGTAGAGATGGGGTTTCACTGTGTTAGCCTAGCCAGGATGGTCTCGATCTCCTGACCTCGTGATCCGCCCACCTCAGCCTCCCAAAATGCTGGGATTACAGGTGTGAGCCACTGCGCCCAGCCAAGATCTTAGCTCCATTTTACAGATGAGGCCACTGAGGCTCAGGGAGTGGCTGTGACTTGCCCGGAGTCTCACAGCTGGAAAGGCTCGAGCCAGGATTTGAACCAAGTCCTTTTGCCTCCAAAATCTTCTAACTGGTACACTCAGGACTGGCTGTATAATTTGTGGGACCCACAAAAAAAAATGAAATGCGGGGCCCCTTGTTAAAAAACAATGATGATTGCTTCTCGGAATAGGGGATTTGAAAAAATAATAATAATGATGAATTTCAAGTTGATGGCAGCAGAGCATTAAACCAAGCACAGGGCCCCCCGTGAAGCTGGCCCTGGCTACATTGTAGTGATGTTAGCTGCCATTATTCTTATTACAATTGCATATTCATAGTCCCCTGGAGTCTTCAAATCAAAGAACAATAGAACAGAATTCTGGTGTCTCAAGGATCTTGACGATCCCAGAATTACAGAACAGTGTCCACTCCCACAAATTCTTGCTAAGTCAGAACCCAGAACATGAGAAAGAATAAAAAATACTTTGGCAAATACAGAGTGCTGGAACCGGAAGAGGTCATCAAATCAGCCCATTTCACAGATGTGGAAATCAAGTCCCAGAAAGCAGTAGCGGCTTTCCTAGTATTCAGGACCCCAAGACCCCAGGGTTCCTCATCACCCCTGAGAGCAACTCTCTGGATCTTCCCATTCAGCTGACGGGCCTCCCCCATTCCTTCAGTTTCCAGTCCCTGGAGTGGGATTCTCCCTCCATTGTCCTCCTTTTGGGCCAACCTTCTCCCACACCATCGCCTCTCTTAGCTCAATGTCCCAGAAGAGTATTACCAGCAGCTGCTTAGCTCAAATTATAGCTTCTTTAGACAGAAAGAAAACATGGGATAAGAGATCCAGGCAAACATCGCCACTCTAAAGAGGCTCTCCTCAGCCTGTTATGAGTGAGGAGTTTGTTTTTTGTTAATATTTTTTCTGCATGGCGTGCTGCAAATAAGAACATTCAGAGAGCAAATTGGTGGCGTATTTATTGCTGTTGGTTCTTCAGCAGCACTAAGCCAGTAATAACGGAGAAGCTGCTTGAAGTGTGAGCTCAATTCCACCTGGTTAAAGCGATCAGGGCTCCGCTCCGGGGCTGTGTTTTGTCAAGTAGACACAGAGCACAACCCCAGAATGCCCAAACTAATAGCATAATCGGATTGAGACTTCCGCATGCTCCCCACATCCCTGCGGGTTCCCTGGGGCAGCAGGCTGGGCTCCGAGCTCCAGGTGCCCACCCGGTGCCCAGCCCAGACCTAGAGAAGACTGGTGCCTCTCCCTACCCAGCCAAGCCATGCTCTTAGCATTGTAACTTGCCCCTGGGTGCCTGAGAGGGATGGCAGTGTGAGACCTAAGTCATGCACCCAGGAGGTTGGGGGTGTCCCCTCAAGTAGAGGGTTTCACAGAGAAGATACCAAGAGGGTTGTCTTAAAGTCCAGCACTGGCAGTTCCTGGTTGAATGACCTTGAGCAAGTTACTTAACCTCTCCATCCGTACCTCTACTTCTCTGTAAGTAAAATGGGTATAATAATAAATACCTACATCGTAGAGTCACTATGAGGATTAAACTGAGTTAATACATGAGAAGGGAATCCTTTAGAACAGTGCCTGGCCCTTGGTAAAAATTACACAAGCACTGGGTTTTATTTATTTAAAATCTGTCGCCTAGGCTGGAGCAGAGCAGCTCAAACATAGTTCACTGCAGCCTCAAACTCCTGCGCTCAAGTGATCCTCCCTCCCCAGCTTCCATAGTAGCTGGGACTATAGGCATGCACCACCATACCCAGCTAATTTTTTTAAACTTTGTGTAGAGATAAAATTTTAATTTTGTGTAGAGGGGCATCTCACCATGTTGTCCAGGCTGGTCTCAAGGCAGAATCCTGGTGGCTCAAAAATCTTGATGATCCCAGAATTACAGAACTCTTGGGCTCAAGGGATAGCCCCACCTCTGTCCCCAAAAGCTCTGGGATTACAGGTATGAGCCACCATGCCTAGCCTTGGGTTTTTACGGGAAAGATAACAAGGTCTGGAGTCTGCAACCTGGACTTTGCACACTGTGTGAACCTGAGTGGGTCACTTCAGCTCTGGCTTCTTTTTCTGAACAGACACGAGGTGATAACTCATGCCTATGTCACCAGGGCCTGTGAGGGTTAACCAGCGTAAGGAGTGTTGATGGGTTTTGTAAACAGTGCTGTACGGATACTGGTTTTGTGGCCCGGTCGGGGCCTCTTGGGAAACAGTGTAGTATGCTGCTGGTGAGAGTGTGAATTATGACAACCACTTGGAAAAGAATTTGGCAATGTAGCCTCATGTGGAAGATGCACATACCCTCTGACTCAGCAATTTCACCCCTAAGAAGACGCCCAAAAAGAATTCTGGCTGATGTGCTCAAGATATACACATGGATGCTCATAGCAGTGTGTTCAAGGGAGTTTTGGGCGAGAAAACACCTTAGTGCCATGGCCAGGAGATCGCATGAATCAACTGTGGCACAGCTAAGCGAAGGACTCCCACACAGCCCTAAAAATGAATTAACCACATCACTATGGAACGATACCAGGGAATCTTTTCCTGGTGGAATAGCTCTGTATCTTGACTGTTGGGATGGTTATTCAAACCTACACACATTTTCAAGAACTGTACACCTGGGGTCGGGGGAAGAAATAAAAGATGCATGTAAAAAAAAAAAAAAAAAAAAAAAAACAAAAAACTGATGACATCTGAATATGGTCCACCCCTGAGTTAATAGTATTGTCCAGTGGTTAGGTGCATGGGCTCTGGGTCCCACAGATCCAGGGGTGTGTTTTGTCTCATCCAAGCTAAATCATCCCAAGCTGAGTCTCCACAGTAGTAACCTCAATGAGATTGTACTATTGTGTCAATTTCCTGTTTTGATCATTTTTACTATGGCCTTGAAAGGTATTATCATTGGGGGAAGCTGGGTGAAGGGTTCACAGGTTCTCTCTGTATTATTTTTTCAACTTTGTGTGAGTCTTTAATGATTTCAAAAAAAAGAATTAAAACTGATTAATTAATTAATTAATTACGGTGCATGCGACAACATAAAGGAATCTCAAAACAGAATGAGGAAAGATAAAGAAGAAAATACACAGTGGGATTCCATTTATACTGAGTTCAAAAACAGGCAAACCCTACACTATAGTATCTAGGAATCTTATACACGTAATAAGTCACTAACAAAGAGCCAACCCTGAACCCGGAAGAGGGGTTAGCCTTGGCAATAGAGACAGGTAGGTAGCAAGTGTGGTGGAGTCCACAGGGCTTAGCCGCATGGGTAGCATTGCATTTCTCAAGCTCGGTGGTGGAGAGGCTATTGTTTGTTTGGTTTTGCTTTGTCCCTTATGCCTACCTTATGTATTTCATTTTATTTGTATAAAATATCTCCATAAAAATAAGTTTTAAAAAGGGTTTGGTCTTTGGAGTCAGAAAGTCCTGGGTCAAGTGCTGGCTTTGCTGCCTAGCAGCCAAGTGACCTTGGCCAAGTCACTTCTAGGCCTCAGGGTCCTCTGTGTGGAGCCTACTGGGAAGGAAGACGGCTGTCTTATTATAGGGCCTTCCTAGAAAAATGACCTCCCAGCACCTTCAGGTATCTGGGCCTCCCTTTTTCTACAGGGACTTGGGGTAAGGCCTGAATGGACAGCTTTGCCCAACTGTGCGGCCCTGTAGGGGCACTACCCACCCATGTCCCTGATGTTTTCTGCTGGGAAAGGGAATGTGAACTCTATTATTATTATTTTTTGACAGGGTCTTACTCTGTTGCCCAGGCTGCAGTGCAGTGGCACAATCATGGCTCACTGCAACCTTAAATTCCCAGCCGTCGTCCTCCCTCAGCCTCCCGAGTAGCTGGGACTACAGGCACACATCACCATGCCCAGCTAATTTTTTTGTTTTGTTTTGGGTTTTTTTTGTAGAGACAGGGTTTTGCCATGTGGCCCAAGCTGGTCTCGAAGTCCTGAGCTCAAGTGATCCTCCCACCTCAGCCTCCCAAAGTGCTGGGATTACAGGTGCATGTTTAACATTGCTCCAGGTGTGTGCTTGCCCTGTCTCAACAACCCCTTCCCCAGCTTATCTCTCCCACTGAGAAGGAGTCACCCCAAGTTGCTTAGATTTGGGGCAGTGACTGGGCCAGGTTTGCCAGTGGCAGGGCCTTCTCCTGCATGGAATGGCCAAGCTTCCCTGCTTCCTATCTTTCTCTGATTTACCCACATGGGTACAGATCTTGTTGCTTTTCTCTTCTGCAACACGCTAGAGCAAGGCAAGCTTCCTCATTTGACTTAGATGGATAGTCAGCCCCTTAGACCTCATGCCTAGACCCAGCTGGGCCAACCCTCATGAACAACCATGCAAAGTTCACCTTCCTATCCCACTCTTCCCATCCATATTACACTTGCAGACCTTTTCCCATTTATTGCTTTGAACAATTTAATTCTACTCCTCAGAGGGACAGACCTGGTTCTGTGTTTAAAGCTCAAACACCAAGGCAAGCTCGACCACTATTCACCTCTCTTCATTTGCTCTTATGAAACATCACTGCTGTCCAGAATAAACCTTAGTCTTTTTTTTCCCTTGCTCCCAGCTCCCTAGATATGTGTGAATATAAAATATAAATATATGTAAATATAATTCTTTGGCCGTTTGTGTTCAAGATTTAGAATTTCCTCCTAGAGGGAAAAGGCAGGAAGGGAATGGCTTGTAAGCACAGGCTGTGCTTCATTAAGAAGCGTGTTTGGGGTGGCGATCACTTTTCTCTAAGCTAGACAAGCCGGCTGGAAGCTGACCTCTGTACATCCTGAAATTTCATCAACTCCTTCTCTCCTCCAAAGAGCCTCTCCCAACCCCTCCTCCACCGTAACAGAGCCCCTTCCTTCCTGTCTCCCCAGGGACCTCCAGGGGTCACAGGGACTGCGTGAAATGCGCTCCTCCACTCCGATCCAAGGGGCTCTGGGCTTCCAGACGGCTTTAGATGCCTGGCAGTCGGCCCACCGGCACGTGATGGGGCCCCAGGTCACGAACAACGGGGCTGGAGGGCTACAGCTGAGCGTCTGGAGGGGACAGCCGCAGCCTGCCGCCTGAATTGATGGAAAGGAATCCTTGCCCTAATTTTCGCAACAGACACATGTTGTAACACTCTGTGTCTTTAACAAAACCCTTTCATAATAACAATAAACAGCAATGTCAATAATAACACTGATAATGATAATTGCCCTATTTGAGAGCTCACCATCTCCAAGAGGGCTGGAAATGGTGACAGCCACTGACTGGCTTGCTTCTTAGATGCTACCGTTTTATCAACACTAGAGCATCCAGTTCTCACATCTATCCTCCAAGGGAGGACTGATGATTCTCCCCATTTTACAGACAAGGAAACTGAGGCTTAAGGGAGGGTTGGCTCCTGTCAGGGGCACTTACATGGTAAGGGGTAGAGCCTGGAGTTGTAACTTAGGCCACATCTTTCTCTCCAGTCCCAACATTCAGCTCTGTAAGGAGACATCAGAATGATGCTTCTTCCTGGATTTAGTTCAATGAGAAGGCTCATCCTGAGCCAGAACCCTTGCTAGGTGACCCTGGGGCTCCCAAATGGCCTCAACTATAAAATTCCAAGATTCCCAACCAAGGCCTATCCCGACACAGCCTTATGAGAAGGCAGTTGCCTGCCAACCCCCCAGCATGTGGGCTATCCCAGCCTTTGTAATATCAGAAATATTGAAAATAGCTTACAGACACTCGCCCGCCACTGTCACCTTTGGAGCCAGCAGGGTACCCCCCAGTGCCTGACTTTCTGGGGACATCCAGGGCCACCATGCTGGTTTCAGTTCTGGGCAGGCCAGAGGGCAGTTCCGCAGGAGGTAGAACCTCCTGGTGTTCGGGACTTAACCTCTCTCGCCCAGAGTCAGCTAGTTGTGAGGGAGCAGGGGTGGGGGTGGAGGGCCCCTCAGCTGGCGGGACATCAAAACCCACACAAAACGCTTCCATGTGGTACCAGCCCTCGGCCCACGTCCTTCACGTCGGATTAATCCTCCAGCTTCTCGGACAGACGTGTCCTCACCACTCTGCTTTCATGTTTGCCCACAATTTGAATGTCATCACACAAAATCAAGGCTAATTGTGAACAGACCTCCCCCTCTCCCCGGGCTGCCTCCCCTCCCCCTTCCTCCTTCCCTGTCCACATCTGGATCCCACAACCTCTCTCGGGGACCTTGGAGACCTGCTTAGGCTGCGAACTCTGAGAATCTAACCTGATTTCCTTTTCCCGTCTCCCAGCCTCCTAAATATATATCGTGGAATGTTCTTTACTTTCCTTTGCCATTGACTTTGCTGTAGCCATTGCCCAGATGACCGTAGGAATTCTCCACCTTTCTGGGCTCTCTCCAAGTGGAGAGCAAAGCTCTGGGCAAAGTTGGCTGGGTGCCGTGGCTCATACCTGTAATCCCAGCACTTTGGGAGGCCAAAACAGGAAGATTACTTAAGCCCAGGAGTTCGAGACCAGCCTGGGTAACAAAGTGGAACTGTGTCTCTACAAAAAAATACGAAGATTAGCTGGGCATGGTGCCATACACCTATGGTCCCAGCTGCTTGGGAGGCTGAGGTGGGAGGATTTTTTGAGCCCAGGAGTTAGAGACTAGGCTGGGCAGCATAGTGAGACCCCATCTCAAAACACAAGGCAAAATAAAATAAAATAGCTCTGGCAAAGCCAGGGGAAACCTTCCCTCCACTCAGCCTGCCAGCCACATCCCGCTCTCCCAACACATACCCATTTCACATGTGCGGCAGCCCATCAGGCTATATCATATACTCACCTGCCTCTTGTGCCCAGACCAGGTTGTGACATGTCACTCACAGTACATGGGACATGGTCCAGCTTGATAAGGCTCCCTGAGCTGAGAAAAGGAATTTGGTACAGGAGAAACGGGAGTGTTTGTCATCCTCAGAGAACTCCAAAAAGAGAATCTTTGGTGTTTCCTGGGAGCCTGTTTGCTACAGGGAATCTCTGGGTGCTGAGAGTCCCTTGGGGGTGGAATGGGTGTTGGCAGGGACTTGGGGCTCCAGAGAAGGAAGGTCTCTGGGGACAGGAATTCTAGGAGAAGGAGTTTTCAAGCACTGGTGAATGTTTACTGTGTGGTCCAAGCACCCCAAACAGCAATTCCTCGGGTTGTGGTGACACCCATCCTCTCCACTTAAAAAGTCATATCATTTCAGAGTCCAAAAGAGGCTGATATGACTCAAGGGCCCACTGCCTACAGGAGAAAGCTGAGGCCTGGAGAGAAGAGAATGGCCAGCCCAAGGTTCAAGAGAAAGTCAATTCTTTGGCCCCAGGGGGGCCTTTGCCTAATGTTGCTTTCTGGAAAAGATGGCAATGAATACCACTTATAGCCTGCACTGGCTGCTGGGGAATCCTACAGAAGATGACCCCACCCTAGAGACATCCAAGAGGCGACCTAAGAATCTGAGTTTGGATCTGCGCTCTGCAAATACCACTTAACTGTGGAGCTGATAGTGCAGGGCTGTCACCACACCCAGGCAACACGTGCAGAAGAGCAGATCCAAAGGAAGGAATAAAGGTTCCGGAACCAGACCCCTGGTGGGCTCAATCCACTTCATCCACACACCACGCTGTGAGCAGCGACCTAACCTCTGCAGGATGGAGTTAGTTTCCACGACTCCCTCCCCAGCCACAGTACCAGCTCCTTCCTGCGGGTGTTTGCCGAGTGCCAGGGAGTAAACAGAGCGCCAGGGAGTAAACAAAGTGTTTAGCCCTCGTGTCATCCTAAACTATCATCATTCCCATTCCCAGGAGCAGAAACTGAGGCTCTGACATACATAAGGACACACAAGAAGTCAAGATTCAAAGCGATTAGAGGAATGACTAAATGACAACAAGAACTATTTAATAAACCAGTTACTATAATCAGCAAGGGGAGCGATGAATGAGTGAGTGAATGAATGAATGAATGAATGAAAATTTGCCCTTCTCCTGGGCTCTAGGACACATTTGGCAATTTCCTCTGCACTGATGGAGAAATACCCGCACTTCATTTCCAAGGACTGCAGAAGGGAATTTAAACGCACACGCTCCCCTATCGTTGGCATCTGCCAAGAACGAGGCTGAAGCTTGCTCGGACAAATGAAATTCTGACAAAGCATGTCACAGGCTTGAAGCATCTGTCACTGACTGGGAGAGACGCACATTTGAATCTGAGAGAAGTGCCGCTCGCCTGCAAATGACAATTGTGCAGTCCGGTCCGACTTTCCCTCTGACCTTCTGGCCAGCTCCAAAGGGCTCTCTCCTGTAAACATCCTCCAAATAGTTTATCTTAATAAAAGCGCCTGTAATGGAGACGGAGTTAATTTGAAATGGTTTCCTTGGCCGTTTGTCTTGTCAGCCAATTGCTGAGAGAGGGCTGAAGTCAATATTGCCTTAGCCGTGGTGGGGTCCTGCAGGCCTCGGACTCATCCTGGGATCACGCGACCGACGTGACAGCCGACACTGTTCCATGAAGCACGGAGGAGCCTCAGTGGGTGATGGCAGCCAGTGCTGGACTTGATCTCAGACAACTTTGCAGGCTAAGCTCCCACACACCATGCTCCTTGTCCCGCAGTTCAGAAAGCAGAAGATAGGCAACTAGATGACCACTTTACAGATATAGAAACTGAGGCACAGAAAGAAGAAATGGCAAATTTGCGGTCGCCTAGCAAATTACTGGGAAGACTAGAAATAGTGTTTCTTTTCCTGAACACACACGCAATCACTGGCTAATTGCTTGGTGCTGCAGATGCAAAGTTAAATAAATCACAATAGGAACCCCCAGGACTCCCTATCTCCAGTTAGTAAAAAGAATAGGGGCTTTGGAAACGGAAAGACCCGAATACAAATTCTGTATCAGCTGCTTCCTGGCTACATCACTCAGAGGACATCGCTTAACTTTTCTGAGTCCCAAAAAGAAAAGTGATACTATTTTCGCAGGAAGGCTTTGAGGGTCAGATGTCTTTGCACGGGGATAGAAAGGCCTCGCGCCGTGCCTGCCACAGAAGTGTCCTCTCACCAAGTGTGAATTCCCTCCTCCAGTGCCTAATCCAGCGCCTTTTCACCCAGTTCTCTCTGTCTTCCCATTCTGCTGAGGCCTGAGCCTCCCCCTGCCCGACCCTGGACCTTGCAGATGTGGCAAACGCGGAAAACATTAGGCTCGCTGGCGATTGTCTGCACGGCCGTGTTTATGTTTGCAATAAAAGCAAGCAGGTGCTGGCAATTTAGCTAATCAGGTACCATCCCGGCCCCAGACGCCTGCCCGACTGCCCGCCGTCACTGCTCAATGTGGCTTTCTCCAAGCCTGCAATTAGCCTGGTCCCCCAGCCCTGCACACGGCTCAGATTACCCCCACAGGATGCACAAATGGCCAAATGGATGGTCCCTCGGCAGTCCATGACCAAAGGCATGGGGTTGAAACCTCTTCAGGCCTGTGCCCTCTGCAACATCAAAACAGGCCTCTCTTGCCCTCTGTGGAACCATTTTTTGGGGTCAAGCCTGCTAGAGGAATGGGCTCTGTCTGGAGTTTCCTCAGGGGAAGATGAACAACGTATAGAAGTGGTACAGTCCTCAGACCCTCAGACTCACCCCAGCCTGGGTCAGGCTATGTCCGTCAAAGTCACTTGATCACCTTGGCCTGCAGAATCTAACAGAACAATCTCTAACCCTGAGCATTTAGCAGTGTCAGGTACACCACCCAGGGATGGACATTCATGAGCCCTGCTTGCCAGGCTCTGTGTGACCCCAGATACACCCCACTGACCGGTCTGAACCTCAGTTTCCTCATCTGTCAAACAGGTAGATTAGACCAGTTCAAGGTCTCTCAGCCTCAGCACTACTAATGCTTGAGCTTGGAGGGTTCCTGTTGGGGAGCCGTCCTGTCCATTGCAGGATGTCAAGCAGCATCCCTGGCCTCTACCCACTGCATCCCAGCAGCCGCCCCCTCCAGTTGTAACAACCAACAACATCTCTAGACATTGCCAAACCTCCTCTGGGTGCAGAGACAACATCACCCCCAGTAGAGACACTGGAGTAGAGCCAGCCCCAGCTGCACAGCAGATCCCCTTGGGAGGACTTGGAGAGGTGAATGGTGCTCTGCTCCATAGTTCAGATGCAACCGCTCTGGGTGGCAGCCCAGGCATTCATGCTGTCGGTTTCAAAAGTTCCCCAGGGATTCGAATGACCTGATAAGGTTGAGACCCACGGGGGGCTCAAAGATCTGTGAGGACCACCACCCCCACTTTTTGTGGGCAGAGATGTCCTTACAGAAGTTCAGCACAACCTTTCCCAGCCCAGGTCCAACCCATTTCCCCAGCTGCACCACAGGCCTCCAGGGACCCCCACCTGGAGGGTCTTGTGTGGTGCTTTTATTTTTCTTAGCAGACATTATTTAACCAATTCTGAGTTGAACAGAATCCAATAAAATGCAGTCCCTACAACATTTTATGGCTAATTGGTTTGACTGGTACATTGTAAATGTGTAAAGGGACTCTAGTGAGGGAAGCGGGAACCTGGTTAACCTTTCCGTGGGGCTTAGCTCATTGGGGTGTCTCTCTTAGGCCTGTCCAGCCTAGGGAGCACCTCCTCTTGCCCACTGAGGGGACTCCAGCCCTCAGAGCTTCCAGCTCTTCTCCCAGGTAAGGTGTCCCAGGACCAAGGCCTCCTGGCAGCCCTGAGCACTGATCTCATCCTGCTGAGACAAGGTCCCCTGGGGAATCCTGGCCCGGCCCTCCCTTCCTTCTTCCTCCCTCCTCCCTGTTTCTCTGCTCCCTCCTCCCTGTCTCCCTCTTCCCTATATCTCTCTTTCCCGCTCCCCACCTCTCCTCCTTCCTCCCTTCCTCTTTCTTCCCTGCCTCCTCCCCTCCCTGCCTCTTCTTCCCTCCTCCCTTCCCTCCTCCTTCATCTTCCCTTCTCCCTGCTCCCCTCCTCCCATGTGTCCAGCCACACTGGTGTCCAGGTGGTTCCTTGGACAACCAACCTCTTCCCTTCTTATGGCCCTCATCCATGCTGTTCCCTTGACTTAGACATCTGTTCCCAGCACCTTGGCTGGCTTCATGCCTCTCCATGCCCTCAGAGGTCAACACAAATGTCACTTCCTCCAGGAAGCCCTCCCTGTTGCCAACTCTCAGCACAGGCGATCTCCTTCAGAGGACCGATTACTGACTGTAATTAGGGAAGTTTATCTGGGCAATTCTCTGTCTCCTCTAATTCAACCAGAGAGACCAAGGACAGGCTCTGGTCTGCCTGGTCAGTCCTGCTGTGGAGGAAGGTCACTGTGGTAGGGCAGGAGCTGGGTACCAGGAGTAGAAAGCGGGTGGGGCCCAGCCTCTGCCCTTAGGGGGTCCCACCAAGTATAAGGTCAGATGAGCCCAGAGTCGGTACCAGGGAGGCTGAGAATCCGTGCTAGCTCTCAGCCTGGCTGCTTCTTGCAAATGTGGAAACAACCACCATGTCTATTATTGGGGACAAGATGTGGCCAGGCTGGAGGGATGCCGTGCAACCTTAAAAATTAGAAATCTGACCTCCATGGGCTGGGGTGGGACCTGAGCTGCTGAGAGCTTCCTTTCCCCCTGAGGACCTTGAAGACGGTTTAGGTAGTCTTTTATGGGAAATTGTCACTTTTTATAATTAATCTTTTATTTTCTGTAAAAGGAATGCAGGCGGCCAGGCTCGGTGGCTCACGCCTGTTATCCCAGCACTTTGGGAGGCCGAGGTGGATGGATTGCGAGGTCAGGAGATCAAGACCAGCCTGGCCAACATGGTGAAACCCCGTCTCTACTAAAAATACAAAAATTAGCCGGGCATGGTGGTGCATGCCTGTAGTCCCAGCTATTTGGGAGGCTGAGGCGGGAGAATTGCTTGAACCTGGGAGGTGGAGTTTGCAGTGAGCTGAGATCACACCACTGCACTCCAGCCTGGGTGACAAGAGTGAAACTTCATCTCAAAAAAAAAAAAAAAAAAAAAGAAAAGAAAAGAAAAAAAAAAAAGGAATGCAGGCTCATAGTTAAAAACAAAATCCAGTAGCACTGTAAGGCTTGTAAACTAAATGAGGGGTCCCCACCCCACCCCCCACTCCCTCCCTCCCCATGTTGCTTCCCAGAGGCAGCTATTTTCCACACTTTCACCCATTTCTTAACTCCACGTTTCTCAATAATATGTATCACTGTATATTTGATTCCTTCCATTTTAATTATGTTAAAAAAAATTACATAGACATGTTTTCCCTAAAAATACATGTTTAAAAATCTGACAGACACAGTGCTTGAGATCCCACTCCACTGCTTCCTGGCTGCGTGGTCCTGAGCTGATTTCTTGACCCCTCTGAGAATCCATTTCCTCGGCTGTAACGTGGGAATAAGAACACCTGTTTGGTTCAATCGCTGGGATTTAAAATGGGATGATTGTATAAACCTGGGGGGCTCAAGGGACGTGCAATAAACCACTGCTGTAGTTTGGGGACGTGCTTGCTAGAGTCTCCGCTTGTGGAAAATGAGTAGCTCAGTACACAGCACTTAGAAGGCATGATAATGACAGATCCATCTCCCCAGTGCTGTGAAATCTGAGAGAGGAGAGAGAGTAGTGGAAAGGCTGGCAGATAGGAGCAGAGCAGGAGGAGCAGTCTGATGAACATTCTGCTATGAGTTAGATTTCTGTGTAGCCCACATCAGCTCCTTCATAACAGACTGATGGTGTGTGCAGCGTTCAGGAGCCCCAGCCCCTGGCAGCCCCACCCTCCAACCTCCTGTCTCCCGTGTTCATATTGCAACCTAGTTTTGGCATCCTCCCCAGACCCCCAATTCACTGGACAAATGGTTGCCTTTGACCTTGTCCTGAGCCTGAGCCAGCACATCTCAGAGGTCCCCTCCTCTGGGAAGATGCTGGTGATCTTTCCAGCACTCAGCCCCTCTTCCCCTTCTGCAGTACCTACATGTCCAGCAAGGGCACTGGCCACCCTTGTCAGGTGCAAGTTCTCCCACTCAGATCCTGTTTTTCCCCAGCACCACAAGCCCTAAGTACAGAGGCCTCTGCTGTTCCCTCTCACCTAGAGAATTTCAGCCCAGCTTTTTGTTGGGAGACCAACAGAGTGACCACATAGTAGGGCAATGGCCAACATGTGTCAACAGAGGAGAAGGGTCCCATGTGAGATCCATGTGGCTCCAAATGCCTATTCTGATCAAGCCACTCAGAACTCTAGCCATATATTTCCTCTGTACCTACACTCCCTCCTCCAGCCAAGTTTTATTGAGCACCTACTATTTGCCATGCATTGTCCTGGAGGCTGAAGAAAAAGCAACTTTTATTCACAACTTTTAGACACAAATATTTATTAAGCACCTACTATGTGCTGGGCAGTGTGGGTGTACATTAGTCCATTCTCACACTGCTAATAAAGACATATTAG
This sequence comes from Homo sapiens, assembly GCF_000001405.40. NCBI lineage: Eukaryota > Metazoa > Chordata > Mammalia > Primates > Hominidae > Homo > Homo sapiens. The sequence goes on from NC_000022.11 coordinate 27,546,177, forward strand.
AGAGTGGCTAATTTATAAAGGAAAGAGGTTTAACTGACTCACAGTTCTGCCCGGCTGGGGAGGCCTCAGGTAACTTACAATCCTGGGGGAAGGGAAAGCAGACACATCCCTCTTCACGTGGTGGCAGCAAGGAGAAGTGCCGAGCAAAAGGGGAAATGCCCCTTATAAAACCATCAGATCTCGTGAGAACTCACTCACTATCACGAGAACAGGATGGGGGAAACCGCCCCATGATTCAATTATCTCCACCTGGTCTCTCCCACGACATGTGGGGATTATGGGAACTACAATTCACGATGAGATTTAGATGGGGACACAGCAAAACCATATCAGGATGCAACAGTTGCGATGCAGACAGTGTCCCTGCCCTCCTAGGGATGCTTTTGATCACATCTAAGAAAGAAGGCTGTATACCAGCAATGGGCACAGAGTTAGAGCTCAAGATACAACTGCTGAATTGAATAAGAAGTCTTTATCTTCTTATGCATATGAGAACCAAATGGCTGTAAGCTGGTCATGAGCTTTCACTGAGCACTGATGCACACCACCGAGCTGGACTCTGGACATGCTGAGATCATCACCAGCCTTCCCACTTTGCAGGGAGGAAGCTGACGCTCAGAGAAGCTGGTGCGTCCACGGTGACCCAGGTAGAAATGAAACACGGGCCGGGCACAGTGGCTCACGCCTGTAATACCAGCACTTTGGGTGGCCGAGGTGGGGAGATCACGAGGTCAGGAAATTGAGACCATCCTGGCCAACATGGTGAAACCCTGTCTCTACTGAAAATACAAAAATTAGCTGGATGTGGTGGCACGCGCCTGTAGTCCCAGCTACTCAGGAGGCTGAGGCACAAGAATCGCTTGAACCCAGGAGGCGCAGGTTGCAGTGAGCAGAGATACGCCACTGCACTCTAGCCTGGCAACAGACAAGACTCCATCTCAAAAAAAAAAAGAACTGGACTAACAAACTGAAATAACTGCATTTATTAACTATAGTAAATTATAATTAATAATGAGTATTATTATATAATAAATATGTATTGTAATGTTAATGTCATGTCATGTCATGTTAATGTTAATAAGTTAATGTAGTAACTTATGATATGATTATACATCATATATATATATATATATACACACACACATAAATTATAAAACGGTGTTGGCCTGCTGGGCGCAGTGGCTCACGCCTGTAATCCCAGCACTTTGGGAGGCCGAGGCAGGTGGATCACAAGGTCAGGGAATCGAGACCATCCTGACTAACACGGTGAAACCCCGTCTCTACTAAAAATACAAAAAATTAGCCGGGTGTGGTGATGGGCACCTGTAGTCCCAGCAACTCAGGAGGCTGAGGCAGGAGAATGGCGTGAACCCGGAAGGTAGAGCTTGCAGTGAGCCGAGATCATGCCACTGCACTCCAGCCTAGGCAACAGAGGGAGACTCCGTCTCAAAAAAAAAAAAAAAGGTGTTGGCCAGGCATGGTGGCTCACGCCTGTAATCACAGCACTTTGGGAGGCTGAGGCAGGTGGATCACCTGAGGTCAGTAGTTCGAGACCAGCCTGGCCAACATGGTGAAACCCCTGTCTCTACCAAAAATACAAAAAATTAGCCAGGTGTAGTGGCACATGCCTGTAATCCCAGCTACTCAGGAGGCTGAGGCAGGAGAATCGTTTGAACCTAGGAGATGGAGCATGCAGTGAGCCGAGATCGCGCCACTACACTCCGGCCTGAGCAACAAGAGTGAAACCCTGTCTCAAAAAAAAAAAAAAAAAAAAAAAAAAGGTGTTATTTGTCATTTACGAATCGGGAAATTGAGGCTTGAAGAGGCTAAGCGACATAGCAGAGAGCCAGCCCTGACCCATCAATCTAACTCTAAAACTATGCTCTGAACATGATCTGTGAAGTTTCTATCTGCTCTTAATGTTTGTGATTACCTTCTCACTGTGGGTCGAGAAAGGAAAACAAGTTCAAGGGGTGATGGAGGGAGAGCACCTAAGAGGTCTATCTGGCCTGACTGCAGGATCTTTGGGGAACCGTGGCAGAAACCGGAACTTATAGGCCCCAAGGAGACCATGAACCCCAGAAAGGACCAGGTTCAACTCAGGCTCTGAAGGTTTCCCCCGCTGCTAGGATCCTGAGGAGGTTCGGGGGCTGCTGCTCCCCACCCAAGAGAGGCCTCTGGGGGCCTTGGCCTCCCTGTTCAGCCCGCCTAACGTTTTCTATTTAAATGCAAATTTTGACTTTTCACTTGGCAGCTAGGAAAAGTTTGTTGCACTGGAATGAGGGTCACGATAATAATTTATCCACAGGCCTTTTTCTAACAATTATTATTTGTTCAAGGGAGAAGGTGGAGGCCCCAGAGGCTGGGAGAGGGGGCTCGGTGCTGGAACACCACACACATGGACTGGCCTGCAGGTGTCAAGGCGGAGGCCAAGACCCTCTCTCTGGGGCAGAGGGAACGAGGTGTAAGTAGAAGCTGCCCATCCTGGGGCCCCCAGCCCTGGGAGCTTGCTGAAAGGGAGCTGATATTTACTCAGCCCTCAGCTCTGCACTGAGAAGACTCTCCAATAATCAAAGTCTCAGGTCTCAAGTCTTGGGGAGCTGCCAGTCCGATGACAAGAACAGAAAAAGAAATAGTCCATTACAATACAGGGTGCCACATGCATGGCGCTGGGATGGGGTCCCAGGCAAGGCTCCTGCGCTAGCTTGAAGGTCTAGGAAGGCTTCCTGAGGGAGGTGACCACTGTTCACAGTCCTCAAAAACACTGACCCATCAGTCAGTCCACGGCTGGGGAAAGTGTCCATTGGTATCCTCTATGGGGGATAATTAGATACAATCTAGCAATATAATAAATTGGTAATTTCAGGCCTAGGAAGGAATGCTATAGTTTCTCCCCTAGATGCAGGTAGATGTACAATATTATTCAATGAAGCATTTTAAGTCATGGCGAAACACCAGAAACAATCTAGATACCCATCAACAGGAGACTAGATCAATAAATGAGGCTGTGTCCATGCAGCAGAATACCATGCAGCTCTGTAAAATGAATGAGGAAGCACTTTATTTACTGATCTGGAAGAGCTCCAAATTACAGTGAGTGGGAAAAGATGCAGGGAGTATTGTACATTTTTGTGTAAAAGGCAGCAGGTGGATAATCTTTTTAAGATGTCCTTATATTTGCATAAAATGTCTCTGAAAGGATTCATATAAATTGAACACATGGTTTGCCTGTGAGGAGGGGCCTGGGCGGACTGAAGAATAAAAATGGGAGAGAGCTTTGCAGTTTCAGTTTTCGGTGTATACATTTCTGTACCTTGTGAATTTCGATGCATCTGAATGTGATGCTGATTCAAAAACTGAGTTAAAAAAAAAAAAAACAGGCGGGACACAGTAGCTCATGCCTGTAATCCCAGCACTTTGGAAGGCCGAGGCGGGTGGATCACGAGGTCAAGAGATCAAGACCATCCTGGCCAACATCGTGAATCCCCGTCTCTACTAAAAATACAAAAAATTAGCTGGGCGTGAGGGTGCACGCCTGTAGTCCCAGCTACTTGGGAGGCTGAGGCAGGAGGATTGCTTGAACCCAGGTGGTGGAGCTTGCAGTGAGCTGAGATCGCACCACTGCACTCCAGCCTGGTGAGAGAGCAAGACTTCATCTCAAAAAAAAAAAAAACAAAAAATCCAAAGGGCTGACCAGGCTATCGGGAAGACAGCTGGAGTCTCAGGCAGAAGGAACAGCATGTGCAAAGGTTGGGCTCACTTTCTGGGGTGAGAGAGAATCTGCAAAGAGAATGACTGGAAGGGTAGAGGTGAGGCGGGAGAGTGTGGCCTGGCTCACTGGGCTCAGTGCTGGCTAGCTGTGCTCAAGTCTGCTCTTGTCCTGAAGACCCCAGGGGCCACTGGAGGGTTTTACACACAGGAGAGGCAGCCAGACTTGCTGTTTGGAAAAATTACTCTGGGGAAGGCATTTGGGGAGGACAGCGGGAGGCAGGGAGGCCAGTGGGAGGCCGCTCCAGGGACACACTCATTGCATTTAATCCCTCACGATAACTTTCATTTTAGAGAGGAGGACATTGAGGTACAGAGAGGGGAAGTAACTTGCTCAAGGTTACAGAGCTGGGATTAGAAACTGATCTGTCTGATACTTGGCTTTGCATGCACCCAGGATCTCCCAAGAAAAAACACTTTGCTGGGAGGTGGCGGCCTTGGTCCCAGGCAATTCGTGTGTCTCTGAGCAGGCTGCTGCCTCTGTCTGAGCCTCACTGGACTCATCTGAGGATGAGGTGCACTGTGCCTCTTGGCTGAGGTCACTTGGTTGTTGTGACAGCCCAGGACCAACGGTAGGGAAAGGGTTTTATAAACCGTAGAGTGCTGTGCTCCTTTTGTGTTTACTCTTTTTCCAGCAGGAGCCATGTTGGGGAGTGTCGCATTTGCCTGATCAGTGGCTTCTCCGCATCCCCCAACGGTACACCCCTGCAGCTTCAGGATGACTCCCCTCTGGGTGTCCCAGCCAAGCCTCCACCTGACCCAGCAGAGGGTGAAGCCCCTATCTTTGCACAAGAAAGCAGTCACTGAGACAAGGACTTGAGGACTTGGGGAGGAGATTCCAGAAAAAAGCAACAAGGGAACAGAGAGAGTGAGACAGGGAAGGAGGGAGAGCCAGGAAAGGGGTGATTTGGGGGATGACTCTGTGGGCACCCAGGGCTCTGTTCCTCTGGAGACCTTCCCAGAAACCAAATACAATATGCCTCAGGATTGCCCCCTCCAAAAGACAGGAGGCTGGGCCATTTATCCAGGATCCCAGTTCCCCATCCATAGTTGGCATCCTGCAGAGCCAGGCTGCACCTGTGCAGGCTGAGGGGCTCCTTCAAGACCGGAGACAGACAACAAGGCTATGCCAGGGCTCAGGTGGGGTGCTAGCACCATGTCCCAGTCTGTGCACACAGCTGCCCTGAAATCAGAGTGGAGGCCAAGGGTCTGTGACACGGGACACAGGAAGCTCCTACTTCACTGGGCGGGCACACCTCCCCTTCCAGCCTTCCTTTCATGCCCCACGCCACCTCCAACCTCTGTTCCCCAAGTTCCCCCATCTCAGGTGGAGGGCGGGGAACACCCATTGGGGGAGAAGTCACACCAATGAAGGAAAACTTCAAAACCAGATGCCAGAAAGGTGTGTGGCCAGAGTGGAGGGGCAATGAGCTAAAACCCCTCCATGACGGGCTAACCTGTGTCCCCCTCAAATTCACATGATGAGGTCCTAACCTCCAGGACCTCAGAACGGGACTGTATTTGGAGATAATTCAGGGGAAATGGGGTCAACAGGGTGGGCCTTAATCCAATATAACAGTCCTTATAAGAGAAGACTAGGCCACAGACAGAGACGCCAGACCTTTGCTCTGTGTTCACACAGAGCAAAGACCTCCTGGGGGCGCAGTGAGAACGTGATCATCTCCAAACCTGCCAACACCTTCATCTTGGACTTCCAGCCTCCGGGTCTGCCAAAGAACACATTTCTGTTGTTTAAGCACCCAGACTGGGGTGTTTTGTCATGGCAGCCCTGTGACACTGACACACTCTCCTACCGGAATGGGTGGGGCAAGTAAATGAGGGTGTGGGTTCTCCACGTACCTTCTCATGCACCCCTGATGTGCTTTGGATCTGTGTGCCTGCCCAAATTTCATGTTGAAATGCCATCCTCAGCGTTGGAGTGTGGGGCCAGAGGAGGTGATTGGATTATGGGGTAGATCCTTCATGAATGGTTCAGCACCATCCCTGTGGTGCTGTTCTCACAATAGTGAGTTCTCTTGCAAGATCTGGTTGTTTTAAAAATGTGTGGTGGCCGGGTACAGTGGCTCACGCCTGTAATCCCAGCACTTTGGGAGGCCAAGGCGGGCGGATCACGAGGTCAGGAGATCAAGACCATCCTGGCCAACATGGTGAAACCCCATCTCTACTAAAAACACAAAAATTAGCTGGGTGTGGTGGTGTGTGCCTGTAATCCCAGCTACTCGGGAGACTGAGGCAGGAGAATTGCTTAAACCTGGGAGTCAGAGGTTGCAGTGAGCTGAGATATCACTATTGCACTCCAGCTTGGCGACAGAGCGAGGCTCCATCTCAAAAGAAAAAAAAAATGCGTGTGGCATCTCCCTCAGTCCCTCTCCTGCCATGGAAGACACCTGCTCCTGCTCTGCCTTCCGTCATGAGGAAAAGCTCCCTGTGGCCTCCCCAGAAGCAGATGCTACCATGCTTCCTGTACAGACTGCAGAACCATGAGCCAATTAAACCTCTTTTCTTTATAAATTACCCTGTCTTGGGTATTTCTTTATAGCAGTGGGAGAACAGACTAATACAATCCCCTTCTGCGCACGCACACACACACACACACACACACAAACACACACACACACACACACACACCAGTCACTGGTTCCCTAAGCACATTTAGGCCAAGATCATATTTTTAGTAAATGTCGCCTCTTCTGCATCCTGCCATGTACACTGTTAAAATAAGCAACAGCAGCAGCCGCCTTCATTCACACTCCTACTGCTACATGGTAGGATGAGAACCCAGACCCACGACAGCTATTCCTCAAACACCAGGATCATCTACAGGGTTGCATGATTTAGCCCCCATCCATCTTTCACCCACATCCCATGCCACTCTCCTTATTCACCACACCCAAGCCACATCAGCCTCCTTTCTGTCCCCAAAACAAGCCTTTGCATTTTCCACCTCAGAGCCTCTGTGCTTGCTGTCCCCTATCCCTAGAATTCTCCTCCTGCAGCTTTTCTCACCACTACTACTTTCTGATCCTTTGGGCCTCAGACAAAATGTCACCCGCTCAGACTGACTTTTTGTATCAGTTAGCTACTGCTGCATAACAAAACATCTCAAAACTCTGTGGCTTACAAAGAGCAGGCATTTGTATGGCTGCAGAGCTTCTGTGGCTGAAGGTTGGATGGGCAGTTCTACTGATCTGGGCTCATCAAATGATTGCTCTGCCTTTGAGGTTAGCTAGCAGATCAGCCCAGTTCTGGTTGATCTAGGTTGGCTTCAACTGGGACAGCTCATCTCTGCTATATGTGCTTCTCATCCTCCAGCAGAAGAGCCCAGACTTATACTCAAGGTGGTCACAGGGTTCCAAGTGAGTAAGCAGAAATGTGCAAGGCCAGGCCAGTGCAGTGGCTCACATCTGTAATCTTAGCACTTTAGGAGGCTGAGGCAGGAGGACCGCTTGAGGCCAGGAATTCAAGATCAGTCTGGGCAAAGTAGTGAGAGTCCCATCTCTACAAAAAATATAAATTAAAAAGTTACCCAGGCATGGTGGCATGTGCCTGTAGTTCCAGTTACCTGAGAGGCTGAGGTGGTAGGATGGCTTGAGCCCAGGAGTTTGGGGCTGCAGTGAGCTATGATCACGCCACTGCCCTCCAGCCTGGGTAACAGCAAGACTCTGTCTCTAAAAAAAAAAAAAAAAAATGAAAGAAAGAAATGTGCAAGGCCTCTGTGGCCTCAGGTCAGAGCTGGACATGTATCACTTATACCACATCCTATCAGCCAAAGCAGGGGACATGGCCAAGCACAGGTTCAAGGGATGGGAAGTAGATTCCCCTTCTAGGTGGCAGAGTCATGCGGTAAAGGGCAGTGGCTACCAGGAGGAGTGAAAGGTTCAGGGCATTTTTGCCGTCAACTTTCCCTGACCACTTTATCTAAGAAATACCCTCAGAGAGTGTCACTTTGCCTATTTGATTTCCCTCCTTGCCCGTGTTCCAATGTGTCATTATTATTATTATTGAGACAGAGTCTCACTCTGTCGCCCAGGCTGGGGTGCAGTGGTGTGATCTCAGCGCACTGCAACATCTGCCTCCCCAGTTCAAGCGGTTCTCCTGCCTCAGCCTCCCAACTAGCTGAGTGTACAGGCGCAGGCCACCACACCTGGCTAATTTTTGTATTTTTTAGTAGAAACGAGGCTTCACCATGTTGGCTAGGCTGGTCTCGAACTTCTGACCTCAAGTGATCCACCAGCCTCAGCCTCCCAAAGTTCTGGGATTACAGGCGAGAGCCATCACACGCAGCCCCAATGTGTCATAAGCTTGTTTATTTAGTAGTTAACCCCTTCTTGTGTGTGGCTCCTGAGGGCCTAGACAGAGAGACAAGCACACTGTCTGGCACATAGGAGTTTAGAAAACGCTGCCCTGCCCCCATCTCCACCAGCACAAACACTTCTTCCTACCCCGAGAATAAGCCAGAATAAGCCAGATCTTAGCAAGCTCAGGGTTGAGGGTGTGGAGGGTGCCAGACCTGTTGGGATATTTCCTCTGGAAAGCAGGGGTACAGGGCTCAGCTCAGCCAGGACTACACAGCCCAGCCTAAGAGCCACAAATCCTCCTCCCCTTTCTGGGGCCCGCTCTGAGGAAGCCGTATCTTGCCTCATAATTGTATCTGAATGCAAATAGCTCTGCCAGTGTGAATATATTAAAATCTGCGTCGTCAGCAATCACAGCGGAGGGCGGGGAGGGGAGGGGCCATGCAGAACCCAGAACACAAATGACTGTCTGGATGATCGCTCCATCCAAGGAGGCCAGGGGACGGGAAGCTCATTGTGTGCCTGGGGGGGGGTTCTTGCTTTGCTCACTAAAAATGCTCACGTTTAAAGCTGAACTAATCCTGGCTGTGGAGCTGAGGCACCAAGAGAAGGAAGAGGGGCCAAGATGGTGCAGGTGGTGCTTTCAAAAGGGGACACCTGCCAGGTGGGGCCGATGTTGGGGGAAAGGGATAAAAGAGGGTGGGACATCGAACTTCAGGAGGGCACAGTATGTGTAGGGTGCTGACTCACCAACTCACTCACTCATTCATTCTTTCATTCACTCAGCATTTCCTGGGCACCCACTCAAACTTCTCACTGTGCTGAATCCTTTCCTTAACACATCTCCCTGCGGCACCAAAGACCAAGCCTACAATCCTCCCTGGGCCTGTGAGGCCCTTTTCTAACTGACATCTGCTTGCCTTGCCTCACCAGTCCCCCCACCAACCTGCGCCCGTCAGCAGCACTGCATTCAAAACTCTGCTATGGTTGCCTCCTTCAGGAAGTCCTCCCTGACTGCCCCCTTGACAATAGCATCATTCCCAATCCCTTACCCTGTTCTATATTTCTTCATAAACACTGACACCATCATGTATATTTTTTACTTTTAACCTCAATCTCCCCATTTAAAATGTCAGCTTTGTGCCCATCTTATCCGAAAGCTGGGTCCCAAACACTTGCACCTTGCCTGGCATAGGACAATAAATGTTTGCTGAGTGACTGAATGAGCGGTCAGGATAAGGGGTGGCTGTTACTCATCAATGCTGCCCAGCTCATGTTGTTTTTCAAAAGAGGGGGCAATAATGGGATCACCCCTCGGCTCTGATTCAGGAGGTCGGTGGACACAAGCCCCAGGATGAGATCCAGGGATGGCCCCACCACAGGCCTGGAGGTTATGCGTGAACCCATTTATGAACCTGGGGACACAATGCCTGATCTCAGGAGCTCATGGGCCAGCATGGGAGGCAGACAATGATCCATTGAACACATACATGATGTGGTATAAAGCAGTGATTTGTGCAGAGAAGGAAGATAAAGCTGAAAAGGGGGTTAGGTAGTGACAGATGGGGAATCAGGGAAGACTTCTCAGAGGTGGTGTTTAAAGCAGAAACTTGAACGGAGAAGGGGGCAGCCCTGTGAGGACCTGGGGGAAGGACATTCCAGGCAAAGGGAACAGCCAGCGCACAGGGAACACAGTTGGCATATTCGAGGGACAGCAAAAGTTCCGGGGAGGTGTGAATGGAGCAAATAGGAGGGAGACAGGCAGTAGTTGTGGGTAACAGGGGCTGGGTTATGAGGGCCTTGAGATGGGGGTCATCGGAAAGTTCTGAGCAGATGGGGGAGATCCGACACATGGATTCAAGGCTTCCCTCTGCTTTGTGAAGAGGAAGGACTGAAGGGCCCGGGGAGAAGCAGGGAGCAGAGACAGGCCACTGCAGGTGCCAGGTAAAAGGTGTAGGGAGGGGGTGAGAGCTGGTGGCCTTGAGATGTGTTTTTGTTTTGTTTGTTTGTTTGTTTGTTTTGAGCCGGAGTCTCACTCTTGTCACCCAGGCTGGAATGCAATGGTGCGATCTCGGCTCACTGCAACATCCGCCTCCCAGGTTCAAGCAATTCTCCTGCCTCAGCCTCCCGAGTACCTGGGATTGCAGGCACCCACCACCACGCCTGGCTAATTTTGATTTTTAGTAGAGATGGGATTTCACCATGTTGGCCAGCCTGATCTCAAACTCTTGACTTCAAGCGATTTGCCCACCCCGGCCTCCCAAAGTGCGGGGATTATAGGCGTGAGTCACTGCACCACTCGAGATGTTTTAAAGATGAAGTTGCCGAGGTCGAGCACGGGGTGGTGGGTAGGAGAAGATTCAAGGATGCCTCCCAGTATGGGGCCTGTGTGATGGAAGCAAAATGAGGCCAACTGCTATAGGGTCTGGGGATGGAGTGGGTTGTGTAGGGAACAAAGCAGGACTGGAAGTGGGCTGGTTGCAAGGTTGGTACCGGTTCCTCAATCCACGTGGCAACTGTTGGAACATCCTCACCAGGTTGGCATTGGCTTTGGCTTCCACTTACACCGCTCGGATGGTGGGGAGCTCATCACCCACCCAGGGAGCCAGTTTCACTGTCAGAAACACATCCTTTAAGCTGCACTCCTCTCTGCTTTCCTGAGCTCTCCCTCCACCTGGCCCCAGCACAGCACTCATCATGGAGTTCTAGAATCCATGAGAGAAAACAAAGAGAGGAGGTAAAAGAGGGAGAGAAAGAGAATGGGCCAGGGACTTCAGCTCACAGAATCTCCCTTTTTCCTCCATGCTACTCCACTACAATGATGTCACTACCCTCACAGAACAGACAGGGGGCTGTGGTTCAGAGAGGTGAACCGACTCACCCAAGGCGCCTCAGGAAGTAAATGGCAGAGGTGAGATTCCAGCCTCAAGATCCCATACAGTCTCTGAACAGAACTGACTGGGGTGTTCGTGTTGTCCAGCCCCCTGCCTCGCACCAGGCACGAAGAGAGGTGAGTACGAAACCCAGGGCAGCCTCCTCCTTCGATGCTGAAATACAACCCATCTGTGCAAAGATGGGGCCAGACAGTTTCCAGGCCCCTCTGCCTTGGGGGAACTTAGAGAAATGATTTGAGGCCCACAGTCTCCTACATCAGTGGGGCCTACGATGATCTCTCCTGACACCTGGACCAACCTGGCTTGCTGATCTGTCTGCCGGTTCAAAGTCCAATGCCCAACCCCAGCACCCAGCAGAGACCCTTGGCACACAGTAGACACTCAATAAACATTGTTGGGTACGTATCTGAATCATAGGATGAAGTCATGACCTGTGTGTGTTCCTTCCTCCCTAAAGAAGAAAAGATCAAACCATATATATATATATATAAAGAAAATCAATCCATCCATCCCAGAGTTTCTATTGCAGGGGCCAAGACTGAGCAAGTACGCCAAGTTGAGCCAGGACAGAGAGACAGCGTCAGCCCCACTGTGAGCCACCGATAAGAGGGGGTTGGCTGGGGAATCCAGACGGCTTGTCTATCAGCCTATTAAACACCATTCTTACAAGTTTTTTTCCCTCCTCCCTTTTCATTAATACGGAGGGTGAATAGAACATTGAATAAAAATCAGCCCTTGCCACACAATTGTGGGATTGAAAGGTAACTGTCAACAGAAGGATTTGGGTGACAAAGGGAATGGTTTCGGCGCTTAGCAAATGATTTTCGGCTTGTCATTTCAATGGGCTGTGTTTTTCAGAGATTGTGGGGTGGGTTTTTCTCTACTTTTTTTCTTTTTTTTTTTTTGAATAGCATTTATTACCATGCTTTTAAAAATTGTGTGTGTGTGTGTGTGTGTGTGTGTGTGTGCGCCTGTGTTGTCTTTTTCCAGACGCCCTTCCTTCACAGATGCCGTGTTCCCCTCCTCCTGGGTCTCACAAATGCGTCTTTCTCCAAAAATAAAATGAGATAAAATAAGACACACAACAGCTCTGGGAGGCCAAGGAGGGGAGAAGATGTTTTGTGAGGAATGGATAGTGGCAGTGTGGGGGACAGAGGGCAAGGGGGCCCGGAGAGGGAGAAGGGCACGGCTGGGGGGGGCTTCAACCCTGACCTGTGGCTCCCAGGCCAGCTATAGCCTCGAGCCTCGCTGGTGGCCATGTCTCTCTCAGGGCAGAGATTAGTGACACCCCCTTAGCATCAAGATGCAACGCCTCTGTGGACTGGGTGGGGGTCAGTGTCAGGCAGCCCCCACTCCCTGGCCAGACTCCACCATTGCCCTCAGAGCAGCTCAAGAGAGCTCTCGATCTATAAAGAAGAGGTGTCCCTGCATCCAGCAACGTTGTGGGGGGACAACACATCCCTCGGAGACAGCTTGAAGCCAGCACTCCAAGTGGACAAGAATCCTGAGGGGCAGGACATCAGAGAAAGCACACCCGCCTCAGTTAAAATACCAGAATGATGCTTTCCACACCTCCAAGTAAAAGTACGCATGCTTTTAAAGAGCTATTCAAAAATCTCCCTCCTCTCTGAATGGCCTATGATCAGGGTGAAAACTAGGAGATCCATGTTTATTGCAGTCTCCAGGACTCAGTTTCTCTCATCTGTGAAATGGGCCAGTGGGACCCAATCATGGTTCAAAACATTAAAAAAAACCAGCAGACCCATTAGAGAAATGCAAATTTAAACCACAATGAGCTATCACCACTCCCCTGTCAGAATGGCTAAAATAAAAAAAAAAAAAAAAAAAGTGGCAACACCAAATGACAGTGAGGATGAGGGAAAACGGGCTCCCTCTCACGCTGTACAGTGGGGAAGATAGGTTGGCAGTTTCTTTAAAAAGTAAATATTCTACCACGCAACCCAGCAATTGCACTCCTGGGCACTGATCCCAGAGAAATGAAGACTTATGTTCACATAAAAACCTGTACATGAATGTTTATAGCAGTTTTATTCGTAATAGCCCAAAACTGGAAACCACCCAGGTGCCCTTCAACAGGTGACTGGGTTAACACACTGTGACACAGCTACATCATGGAATATGACTTAGCGGTAACAAGGAACGATTATCGATACACACGACAACCTGGATGGATCGATGGGAAATTATGTCCAATCCAAAAAGCAAAACCCAGAGAAGTTACATGCTGTATGTACATTTACATTCCATTGTGAAAATGACAAAATTATGGACACGGAGAACGGATTAGTGGTTGCCAGGAGTTAAGGAGGTGGTGGAGGCAGGAGATAAGTGGGCGTGGCTGCTAGAAAAGGGCCACCTGAGGGATGGAAATGTTTTGTATCTTGAAATGTTTTGTATCTGTATCAACGTCAATATCAAGGTTGGGACATTAGACTTTTTGCAAGATGTCATCACTAGGGAAAACTAGGTAAAGGATACACGGTATCTCTGTATCATTTCTTACAACAGAATGCAACTCTACGATTATCTCAAAATAAAAAGATTTATTTAAAAATAAAAATAAAAACCACAGAGCCCATTCTACAAGTAGAATGTTATGAGGCCCATATGTGTGCCGGGTGCACACGAAGACACTCTTGTTGAACTGAATGCCTGGCCCACAGCCCCCACTCCGTCTTTCAGGGTTACCAGCAGTTTGGAGACCCACCGGATCTAGGGTCCCCAGGGTATTCCCCAGCTCCAGAATGTGCAGGCTCTGGGAAGTGTCACTGGCAGGCATGCCAGCCCTGTTAGTGTCACTGGCGGGCATGCCAGCTATGGGTTCCCATAGCTTACATGTTTGGGCTCCAGACGGCCAGAAACTTTTGGTACTTTCAGCTGGTGTGGCCACTCACCACCTGGGCCCTGTGGGGGTTGCAGGCTGCAAGTGAGTGAACAAGGCACGCCAGGCCAAGAGAGAAGGGACAGCATCTTCCCTGGAGTGCTGAGGTCTGTCTAGCCTTTCCATGTGGGTGGGCCACACCATGCCCATACCCACACCGTACCCCTCGGTGGCTATCTCTCCAGCACCGCCCTCCTCCCAAACCTTCAGCCACAGAGCCACATCCTCACCTCTCCAACCCAGCTGCCCCACCTCCCGGCGGGCTGCGATGAGACTGGCAGAGAGTTATGGGAAAGCCCAAAATAGGGTACAGGAGAAGCGCCCAGCATGTGGGGAATCGGGCACCTGCCTCCTGCTCCAGACTCTACCGCCCACTCACTCACTGCCCAGTGGAGTACAAGACACATCCCTTCTCCTCTTTGAGCTTCTGTGTCCACATCTGCAACTGAGCACGCACTCAGCAAAGAAATTAATATTTATTAAGCACTGCTTCTGTGTGGGGCATTTTTACCAAGGCGGGAGGGGCTGCATGGATACAACAGGCTCAGTTCACTCTCCACTAGGGGAGTTGGATGTTAAACCAGTTATCACATAAACAAGAAAATTTCACAACAAAACAAGGTGACTTAGCAGGAGTGGTGTCAGGGGCCTATCTGGAGAGGGGAGGTTTGAAGAGGACACGACAACCTGGATGGATCAATAGAAAATTATGTCCAATCCAAAAAGTAAAACCCATAGAAGTTACACATTGCATGATTCCATTTACATTCCACTGTGAAAATGACAACGCTATAGAAATGGAGAACGGATTAGTGGTTGCCAGGAGTTAAGGAGGTGGTAGCAGCAGGAGGCAAGTGGGCAACGTCAAGGTCTGGGGGGAGGAGGTTCCACAGAAAAGGAGAGTATGTGCAAAGGCCCTGGGGTCCAGGCAAGCTCAGCATGCTTGTGGCACAGAGACAAGGCTGGTGTCACTGCAAGGGAGTGGGAGAGGACAGAGTTGCAAGACCTCGGGTCCCACAGGAAGAAGGGGTCTGATCCTGAGGGGCCTGGGGGGCCAAGCGTGGGGAAGAGTCTAGTTTTCCTTCTCTGGAGAGGGAGAAGGCACTGCAGGGGCTGATCTCATGTGTGCTTTAACAAGATCACTCACTGTCTGCAGTGGTAAGCAGGAGGACATGAACAGAGCAGGGAAACCTTACCTGGTTACCTGGGACCTTGCAGGTGAGGTTTTATGGATCCCACAAGCTGCAAAGTATTGTTAATGCACATGACCCCAGCCAGCCTTTAACCAGCCCAACTCACCAGCTGTTGGTCCAACCCAGCTGCTGCCAGTGGCTTGAACCTCCCAGGTGTCCCAAGGACATAATCGTGACAGCAGCCCCAAGGGTCAGCCCCAGTGGTCACGGTCCAGATGTGCCAGCTGCTGGGTGGAATTAGGGCTCATCTTTCAGGACTAAACATATTTCTGAGTGTGTCCGCGAGGCGTTTCTGCAAGAGACTGCCATTGAAATTGGCGGGCTGAGTAAAGATGGCCCTGCCCCATGAGGATGGGGAGGGCCTGGATAGAACAAAAGGGTGGAGGAGAGCTGAATTCCTTTGGCCTGACTGCTTGAGCTGGGACACTGGTCTTTTTCCTGCCCTCTTGCTCCAAGTTCTCAGGTCTTTGGACACCAACAAGAATCTATACCATCGGCTCTCAGGCCTTCAGCCTACGCCACTGGCCCTCCTCCATCTCCAGCTTGCAGATGGCAGATTCCCCCCGGGACTCCTCAGCCTCCACAATTGCATGAGCCAAAACCTTATAATAAATCTCCTCATATATGTTTATATATAAACCTCTTTCTATATATAAATCTTTTAAGTATATATTTTATATAAAAATCTCTATATATATTCATATATGTGTTTATGCTTTTCTCTTCTATTGGTTTTGGCTTTCTAGAGAACGCCGATGAATATAGCTGCCTTTCTGGCCCAGTTGTGTTTGCTCCACACAGCCCAGAGCAGAGAATTCTGCCCCTGAAGTAGGGCTTGGCTGCAAGCTTCGACTTCACCCTGGAGAATCCTGGGGGTTCAGGCTTTTAACGTAGAAAGAAAAGTTGGCTGGGTGCGGTGGCTCATGCTTGTAATCTCAGCACTTTGGGAGACCAAGGCGGGCAAATCACAAGTTCAGTAGTTCGAGACCAGCCTGGCCAACACAGTGAAACCCCGTCTCTACTAAATTAGCTGGGCGTGGTGGCAGGCACCTGTAGTCCCAGCTACTTGGGAGGCTGAGGCAGGAGAATCACTTGAACCCGGGAGGCGGAGGTTGCCATGAGCCGAGATCGCGCCACTGCACTCCAGCCTGGGTGACAGTGCGAGACTCCATCTCAAAAAAAAAAAAGAAAGAAAAGCTCTGACCCTCCCCAGGCTCTGGAATATGCCTTGGCTTCCCCACTTGCAAGGGGAAGAAAGGTCAGATGATCTTCCAAGCCCCTTTGCTGAAATTCCAAGAATCTCCCATGCATCTGTAGTAATAAGGTCTGTCACTGAGTGAGCACCTACTGTATTCCCCTCATGCTACCTGCCCTGCATGCAATGGCTCACTCAGTCTTCACAAGCTCCTCCCAAGGCAGGTGAGGCTAGCATCCACACTGAACAGGTGAGAACATCAAGGCACGGAGAACCTGAGTCACTTGCTTCAGGTCACACAGCTGATACGTGGCACCACTGGAATTTGATCTAATGTCTAGCTGACCCCGAGTCTGTCCCCTTAACCACTCTCCTATGTGGCTCCTCGATCATTAACCAAAACCCCCAAAATTGTGATTGACACCCATTTGTTCATTCATAGAAGATGGATTGAGGTCCACTACATGCCTTGTAGGTGCCAAGCCTCCTGGATGTTGAACAGTGAACGCAGCAGAGAGAACTTGCTGCCTCCACGAAATTTATATTCTAGTTGAGGGGAGGAAGATAATAAATAAGTAGGTGATATGGCAGAAGGTGAAAAGTGCCGTCAAGCAGGGAATAAAGCAGGGAAGGGCGATGGGAAGTCCTGGGGCCAGGATAATAACTTAAGAGGGTGGCCAGGGAGACCGTGTGGAGAAGGTGGCAGAAGTCACATTGGGAAGGAGATGAGGAAGATGGCCCTGCAGATGTCTGGACCTGGAACAGTCATGGCAGGGGGAATAGCAAATGCAAGGCCTGAGGCAGAAGGTGTCAGGGAGCCAGGAGGAGGCTGAGGTGTTGGGGCGGGACCTGAGAGATGGGTGAAGGCAGGGAAGTGTGGGTGTCCGGAGCACATTGGCGCTGTCGGTGAGAGGGGGTTCTGGGAAGGTGTGCAGCAGATGATGTCTTGTGCAGACTCATGCCTTAGGGTCCCTCTGGCTGCTGGAGCTGAAGATAGGCTACTGGGAGACAAGGATGGAGGTAGGAACGCCTTCAAGGAGGCTGCCACAATAATCCAGAGGAGTGACAATGGTGGCTCCAGCCAGGGTCATCAGGGGCCTCTCCTGCCTCCATCCCTCTGCCCTGGGAGTGGTTTTAAAGGGGTCTCCGCTGACACTCACTCCCACTGCTGCACCGTCTCCCGGGGCTTCCCCCCTCTCTGCCCTCCCCAAGGCACTGGTCATCAAGGCCACAGCTGGAGTCTCTTCCAGACCTTTGAGCTCCAGGTCAGGCACAGAGCAGCCACTTGGCAAATGTCGGCGCTCGTTCATCATTATGGAAGGTCCATACCTTGGCGAGAGAGAAAGGCGTGCAGAAAGAATCCTAGTCCCCGAAAGCTCTGGAGTCAGACAGGTCTGGGTTCCAATCCTGATTCTGCCGCATCCTCGCTGCGGGACCCTGGCCACATCGTTCTTCTCTCTGAGGCTCAGTGTCCCCATCTGTAAAATGAAGAGGGCCACTCAGGGTCACACTCTCCACCCAGAGCTCATCTTTGACTTCTCTTTGGAGATAACCTGACTCACCGGCGCCTACTCTTCAATGTCTTCCCAAACAGGCCCTACAACGCATACAGTGCCCCTGCCACCCCCTGGCCAGAGTTCGTGGCCACCTCAGGGCTCCGGGCTGCTGCAGCTGAGCACCCCACGAGGACAGGACATGGGCCTCGCTCTCCTCCTCTGTGCAACGGGCACCGCACCACCTGGCTCATAGCTGTCTTCAGTGATTCCTAGGGATGATGAACACAAAGTGCCTCATCCTGGGCTCAGGATCAGTGAAGCTCCCCATGAGAAAGCTACACAAAGATGGAGGTGGAACTAGAGTGATGTGGCCACAAGCCAAGGAATGCCTGGAGTCATCGTAAGCTGGCAGAGGCCAGAAAGCGTCCTCCCTGGGCCCTTTGGACAAAGCACAGCTCTTCCAGCATCTTGATTTTGGTTCTGGCCTCTAGAACTGTAAGAAAATTAATTTTTGTTATTTTTAAGCCACTAATTTTATGGTCATTTTTTATAGCAGCAACAGGAAACTAGTAACAGTTTTGGTTCACCTAATATTCCTGCATCACTATGATTGTGAATTACAGCTGCTGGCACATCTGTCTTTCCTCTAGACTGTGAATGTCTAGAATACAAGGACTACGTTTGGAGATCTACAGATAAGTGGGGTTGCCTAACCACTCTGCACTAGAGAAAGTCAGCCCCTGCTGGGCCAGGCTGGAAGAGACTTCAGAAGCCGTAGGAACAATCTCCTTAGGTCAGGACCAGAGGGTGGCAGGTCTTGAACCCAGGGCCCTGGACCCCACCCACAGCTCCTGCCAAGCAGACCTGCAGCCCCCAAGGGCACATCACCTTTTCAGCCAGCAATTTAAGGCCCTGCCTGAGTGCAGACTCAGAGAGAGGGAGAGAAGGAGAGAGGAGACTTGAGGATCTCGATGGACTTGTGGTTCATTCAGTCAAGTCTTTGAGAGAGAGTGCATTTTATTAGTACCAAAGAATTGAGTGCTGTGATTCATGAGACTCAGAAAGAATTGGCTCCATGCCCTGTGCCCATTGACAGGTGAGCTGGAATTATAGGCTGGTGGAGAGAGTTTGCCTGTGGGTTTCTGGGAGGGAAGTGAACTACTTATGCCAGCCACTCTCTCCACCCCCCAAACACACCATCTTCCAAGCGCATCTTCTGATGCCACATTCCAATCCCTATGCCAGGTGGGAGATGTCCTGCAGTTTGTTGCCTCCTGCCTCTTCCTGGCAAAGCTTAGACTAAGGCCTTCAACATGGTTCCAGTGTCTTGTCATGATGGCTTCTGGTCAGCCCCAGGATGTGGTAGCCCTGGGGAAAGCCTTGGGGTCCCCTTTGATGCCCCAAGAAATCATTCATAGCGATTAAGGGAGGTTATTGCCAAGCACGTGCTTGATTGACATTGGATGGATGAATGGATAGATGGGTGAGTGGGTGGATGGGTGGACGGATGGATGGGTGGGTGGGTGGGTGATTGCATGGATGAATGGATGGATGGATGGATGGATAGATGGATGGATGATGGATGGATGAAAGGAAGAAAAAATAAATGGATGGATAGATGGGGGTGGATGAATGAATGGATGGGTGGATGGATGGATGGATGGATGGATGGAAGCAAGGAAAAATAAATGGATGGATAGATGGAGGGGTGGAAGGATGGATGAAGGGATGGGTGGAAGGAAAAATAAATGGATGGATGGATGGATGGGTGCATGGATGCATGGATGGGTGGATGGATGGAAGGAAGGGTGAGTGGGTGGGTGGGTGTATGGATGAACAGAAGGAAGGAAGGGAGAAAGGAAGGATGGATGGAAAGATGAATGGGTAGGTGGGTAAGGAAATGCATGAATGAAAAAATGAGTGGATGAGTGAATGAGTGAATTATTTCAAAGTTAAACAACCCCAGTTTCAAATTACTTTCCCACTAACATCTGTGTGACTTGTTCAAGTTACTTCTCACCTCGAGCCTCAGTTTCCTCAGTTGTAAAATGGGGGTCACGTTGCCCAGCTGATGATGCTCATCCATAAAATGAGAGTGATGGTGCTGTGAGTTCTAACAACATTATGCATATAAAGAGACTGGTCCAATTTTCATCACGCCCTTCTCAGAGTCTCCTGGAAGTGGCAAATCTGGCACACAGTAAGTCCTCAGGAATAATGAGTTAGCCTTAAGTCAGCTTAAGGGGGATGACTTTTAGGCCTCAAATCACCTGGTTCCCCTGAGGTCTCTAAGGTCTCTGAAAGCCCTTTCCTCTATGAAGTTGGAGAGGATTTCTGATGTTGACTTCCCCTGTAGTGTGAGAGGAGCCAAGTTGGAGCATGTACCCTGCTTCCCTCAAGGTCATGTCCAACACCACCCCAAGCCTTGTTCTCTAGGGGACCCAGAGCATGCACTTCCCAGCTGACCTCTCCACAAGTAGGACCTGTAAAAGTAGCAGCCCTTTTCCTCTACCACCCCCAGAGTGGTAGAGAAGAGGGCACAGGAAGAACAGAAACAGGCCAGTGCACTCTACCACTCTAGAGGACCAGAAAAGTTTCCTGCCATCCCAACCATCAGCAAAGGGAATATCTGGGGGCTTGGGGAATTTTCCAACTGGGCTTCAAATCCACAATTCTTGTGCACGATGCAGGAAAACGTACAGATTTAGGAGTCAGGCAGAACTCACGTTGGCTCACAGGGTGTATACGCCACTCCAAAAGATTGTGTGAGCTGTCATGGGCCGAAGAGATGTGAATTATGAAAAGCGTTCTACCACGTAAGAATAGAAATTCTCAACCCATCACCCAGGACACAGGCTGAGTGTCCCCAGTGTGAGCAACAGAGGTCATGTGAGTGAGCCTGGTGGATGAAAAAAGGTGTGAAATCATTGTTCTCACCTCTCCGCCTGCTCTATTATAGCAAGCATCAGAGGTTCTGCTGGGAAGACCTGCCATATTCTGGGATAAAGCTGCCCCATTGCAAAGTCCTGAAGGGTTAGCCCACGAATGGCCCCAGCTCTTCCTATCCAATCCTTCCTTCTAGAATAAAACAGCAGAGGACTTTCTTCTCCCTCCAGACGCATCCTCTAACAGGGGCCCCAGGAAAGAGCTCCCAGAATAATTGAATAATCCCAGACGAGTGTGAACAGCAGTCGAGGAGGTGTGTGGAGGAGGAACCCAAGGTGAAATTTATTTCTGTCAACTGGTGGTCTATTTCCCTGATACCATTTCCTTGTATACAGATAAGGAGTTATCTTAAATGACCATGTCTTTTTCAATTTGTACTTAACAGTCAATCCCATTTTCCTTATATGATACTATCGCAGCTGGATGAAAAATGCATTCAATAATCCCTAAGGATCTTCATATATCAATATCAAATGGTCTGAAATTGACCTGTTATAAAATCCAGTCCTTCAAGCTAGCAAGAGACTAAATCAAAAAGAAGCAAATTTTAGCATTCACGGTGTTTTGCGTAAGCTGAATGCTCTAGCACCAAAGCCCATGTTTTCCAGGGCCTTAAAGAGAATAAATGCTTATTCATTAAAAAACAAAAAACAAAAAAAAATTGCCTGAAAGATATATCTGGATTATTGATACATCTGCCTAATGAATGAAGCTTCTTCAAGGGTCACACCTGGCAGAAATACTAATGAGCAGGGGGTGTTAACAATATCCTTCCAGTGAAAGTTCATAGGAACTCCAGGTTTGTGCTCCAAGCTGAAGAATGTTGTGGAGCCCTTGGGGAGGGAAACATCAGGAGAGAAGGCACAGATGTGCACTTCACAGAATTGTCTGTTCGTGTGTCTTGATCCCTTCTCAGTAGTAAATACGTAATAGGTATTCTTCCAAAGCTTATTTGATGGCTTGATGTGAGCGGTTAAACTAAGAGGGGTTAGTTCACAGCTCTTCATCCGCTCTTAGCAAGTCATCAGGAATTCTACTGGGCAGAGCGATTTTCTTCCTGGCTATATAGCTGGTGTGCTCTGAAGTCTCCCAGATTCACTCTCTTAATTGAAAGAAACTCACGCCTGTAATCCCAGCTCTTTGGGAGGCAGAGGCAGGTGGATTACTTGAGGTCAGGAGTTCAAGACCAGCCTGGCCAACATGGTGAAACCCCGTCTCTACTAAAAATACAAAAATTAGTTAGGCATGGTGCCATGCATCTCTAGTCCCAGTTACTCAGGAGGCTGAGGCAGGAGAATCACTTGAAACCTTGAACCGGGAGGCAGAGGTTGCAGTGAGCTGAGATCTTGCCACTGCACTCCAGCCTGGGTGACAGAGCAAGACTTTGTCAAAGAAAGAGAGAAAGAGAAAGACAGAAAGAGAGAAGGAAGGAAGGAAGGAAGGAAGGAAGGAAGGAAGGAAGGAAGAAGGAAGGGCTACATTGTATCTTATTTAATTTTCAGAAGAACCTTCTGACATTAGAAATAAAGAAATGGAAGGTCGGGGCAGTAATGGGACTTTCATAGGGCCACATCCCTAATGGCAGAGCTTGAGTTCAAGCCCAGGCCCTCTGAACCCAGAGATCATGCCCATAACCACTGCACAGTTCACCGCAGGAGGTGCTTAATTAATATTTGCCACTTAGAGGAGCGGGAGCGAATGCAAGGGGGAGGAGAATGGTGGCACTAATGATGCCTCAGAGAGTCTGGGCTTCTCAGGGTCAGAGACAGGAAAGTAAGGTCCCCATTGTTGGGGCAATCAGGGCAGGCTTCATGTAAAAGGTGGGTTAACCAGGGCCCAAAAGGGGACGGATGCTGGAAGGGTTCTGTTTGGTGCCCTGATGTCTCACCCTTGCTGCCAGTTTGGCAACATGCTGGAATCTGCGGGGAACCAGGATATAGAAGACGTGGATATTGTCCTCAGGCAGATCCAGGTTAAGAATCGGAGCACCACAGAGGTGGGACAGAACGGCAACCTCCAAGTTGAAGGTAAGCTCCCTTTTACAGAAAGATGGGAGATATAGGGGAACCAGACAGGCTGGGTCCAAATTCCAGCATGACCACCCTCAAGCCTGTGACCCTGGGCAACTGACATCACCTCCCTGAACCTCACAGGTTGGTATCTGGAAAGCAGGGCAACAAAACCAACCTTGAGTGATGGTGAGCCCAAAAAAATCACGTGGGAGAAATGCCCAGCGCTTATCAGGCGCTCACCAAACACCGGCTCCTTTCTTATTCTGCAGGGAACATCAGCTCCATGAGGCCAGAGATGGCATCTGCCTTGTTCTCTGCTGGGTCCCCAGTGCCAGACACAGGCAGTGCTCAGTGAATAATCAACTAACAGATGGACAGATGGACGGACAGATGGATATGGAGTGACCCAAGCTCCAAACATCCCATCTGAGGGACAATGTCCTACCGTCCCCGTCCCCTCCCAGGGAAAGTGTCCTCCTGTACTTTTAACCAGGGAATCAGCTTTGGGGGTGGGGGTCCTGTGATCCCCAGCCCCAGGCCCTCTCCAGGCTCTTCTGGCTGTTTCACTATAAAGTGCCCAGGTCACCACAAATCCCCACACAGATCTCCAAAGTGTATGAGGACCGGAAATCCGAGAAACTGGAAGTAGCAGCCAGATATCAAACCTGACACATCCTTATCCAGCACTCAAGGATTTGATGAGCCAAACTCCTGTCCACAGGAGGGTGGGAGCAGGCAGTGGCAGGGTGGTGGGAGCAATGAAAGGGTAGCGGGGCTGCCCCCAAAACCTTTATTCAATAAATATCTGGGTACAGGATAACAAGCACAGCCAACAGCCATCAGCACTCTCTGTGCACCAAACACCGTGGTGTGTAGTTTGTAGGCACTTGCTCTCCTACTCATCACAGCACACACCTTGACAAAGACTACTATTTCTTCACTCCTCATGGAGCCCTCCAAGGTTGCACAGCTAGCCAACGGTAGACAAGGATTTGAACTCAGTCTGATTTCACCATTGCCCACCATGCTACGCACACACTCCTCTGTGCCAGGCCTCACTCAGTGTTTGGAAGACACAGATGAAAGATGAGGCTGAGCCCTCTTGGATTCTCCCATTCAGCAAAACGGGCACTGGCTACAGTTCTGCAGATATATTGGCATGTCATGGCATATTCATGTATCCATCACGAATGCTTTGGTGGAGGTGAATACGAAGCTGTTGGAGCAGAAGCACAGACGGCTTCCTGGAGGAGGTGGCATCTAAGGTCTAAGTCATAATAGTAGTAATTGCCACATTTACTGCAAGCTTCCCAGGAAATGGGTAAAATGCTAACGCTTCACTTGCCAAAGGATAGGGATCTGGTCCAAAAAATGGTGTGCTGTTAGCCTTTTCACTTCTTTTTTTTTTTTTTTTTTTTTTTTTTTTTTTTGAGATGGTTTCTTGCTCTGTCGCCCAGGCTGGAGTGCAGTGGCACGATCTCAGCTCACTGCAAGCTCCGCCTCCCAGGTTCACGCCATCCTCCTGCCTCAGCCTCCCGAGTAGCTGGGACTAGAGGTACCCACCACCACACCCGGCTAATTTTTTTGTATTTTTAGTAGAGATGGGGTTTCACCGTGTTAGCCAGAATGGTCTCAATCTCATGACCTCATGATCTGCCCATCTCGGCCTCCCAAAGTGCTGGGATTACAGGCTTGAGCCACTGCACCCGGCCAGCCTTTTCACTTCTAACCATGCAACACTCTCTGACAGCTTCTTGTCTGATTCAGAATAAAACCCAGACTCTGCTGCAGTCTGTATGTGGTGTGCTCCATGCCCATCTCATGGTGCTCTCCCCTTTACCCACTCCACTCCAGCCACGCTGGCCTTCTTCCTCTGCCTTGAACACTTCTGGGTCTTGTCTGCCCCTGGACCGCTACACATGCTGTTCCTCCTGCCTGGAACGGCATTTCTCCAGTTCTCAAGTAATCAGCCTCCTCTTATCTTTGGATCTCAACCCAGAAGTCCTCTCCTCGAAGAGCCCTTCTCTGTCCAGCCCTGTAGTGAAAGTAGCTGCCCCCCAGGTCCCCATCTATGTTTATCCCCTTGGGAAACATACAACTTACAGATGTTTTATAGAGTTGTGTCTTGGCTTGTTTGAGCTGTCTCCCCCATTAGACCTTGGACTCTGGGAGGGCAACAGTTACAGTTACCAAATCTGTCTCAGTCATTGCTCTGTCCTCAGTGCCTGGCATGCAGCAGGTGCTCAATACAGACCTGGCAAATGAATGAATGAATGAATGAATGAACTAATGGCTTCCACATTTGAAGAACTGACATCAGGCAGAGGACTCAGACCTCAGGCTCCCCTTGTGTAGTTCTGAGAAACTGAGCCAGAAGAAATGAGAGGGATAGGCGCAGCAGTGTCATTACGAGTGCGACCTATTCTGTGAAAGAGGGGATCAGGGATGACTTCCTGGAGACACAGCCCAGCTGGGCCCTGACATGACCAGGAATGTGCTAGATCAAGGGAACAGAGGCCACAGGGTCTATCTTCCACATCACGTGTTTTTCCAAGAGTGTTTTCCCAGGACCACCTGCATTAGTATCTCTAGGAAGGGGAAGGTGGGTATTTTTAAAATGCAGGTACCTAGGCCACCTCCCTAGCCTTGTGAATTAGAATCTCCAGGGTTAGGGCCTGGGCATCTGCATTCTCACCAGTTCTCCTACGAGGCTCTGAGCACAGCAGAGTTTGAGCAATACTGTAGTTCTGAAAGTCAGCCAGAAAATCGGGTCTGAAACTATGCCAAGGAGCGAGCCGATGACACCCGATCCAGAGGTCTAGTACCCCTCACCCCCAGATCTTTCTCTCTCTCTCTGCCTGAAAGTGGCACATCTCAGCGCAGCCCTTCCTCCCTTGGGTCACTGGAAAGACCCTGAAAACCCCTCCCTGCTTGGTTCAAAAGGACTTGGGCTGCCCCTGGGTCTCCATAGCCGCACCCCAGGAACCTGCTAAATCAGAGAATGATCTGCAAACACAAAGCAAACATCACTCATCCTGTTTGGTGGTGGGAGAGCTTTTCTTTTCTAAAGAGAAAAAACAATCCCTGATGATTGACTGCATTTTTGCATCTTCCAGCCATTTGTTGCCATGTAATATAGACATTTGCCTGTCAACAAAAACGCCGTCAGTTTTACAAACACGCTTCTTCTACTGGCTTCGTTGGGGGGAGTGTTTTGACTGGCTTCACTTGTTGAGTGTCTGTGCACTGCTCTGCCCCAACCAGCTGCAATACAGACTCGGGCTGCCCAGAGTTTCTCTTCCCAGCAAGTCTCCCTCCCTTTGGAGCAGCAGAATCCAACCACCATAGTTACTGGGTCCATGAGAAGCAGGGGCAGGAGAAAGAACTCAGATCTGGAATTCAATGCTTGGGCAAATTGCTTTCCTTCTCTGGGCCCCAACCGCCTCTGTAAAATGGAAATCAGCCTTGAATCTCCCTTGAGAAGATTAAAGAAGATCATAAAAGTCATCACAGTTTCCATCTTGCTCTCTTGGATCACGCATTCTGGGGAAAGCCAGCTGCCATTTTGTGAGGATGCTCAAGCAGCCCTGAGGACAGACCATGTGAAGATCCAGAAGAACTGAGGCCCCTGATCAAAAGCCAGCCATGAGTGAGCCACCCTGGAATTAGAGCTTTCAGCCCTGGTCAGGACTTCAGATAACTGTAGCCCCAGACACACAACTGCAACAGCAAGAGAAATTCAGAGCCAAATCCATCCAATGAAGCTGCTACCAGATGCCCAAAACACAGAAACTATGAATGATAATAAATGCTTATTGTTGTTTTAAGCTACTAAGTCTTAGGAGTGATTGGTTTCACATCAACAGATAACTGACATACACAGTAACTGACAGCTATATACCCAAAGATAAATCATCACCAATATTGTTTCCTGTGTGCCAGGTACTGTGCTCAGTAATTTACATACATATCTCATTCCATCCTTACCCCACACTGCAAGGCAGATGCCAGTATGAGGCCTGTTTTACAGATAAGGAAACCGAGGCTCAGAGAGATGCGGCAACATGCCCAAGGTCACACAGCCTGAAATTGGCAGAAGCAGGATTTGAACCCCGGTCCCTCTGACCCTAGAACCAAAATTCTGAATTACTACACTACACAGCATTCCAGATATCCATATAAATTATTATTATCACTAGTATTAACTTTTAAAGGAGTGCTTTTCTCAGTGGGAGGGCTTAGAATAAAAGCAAATTGCCTTTGAGCCCTTCAATTACTCCATGGTTAATCAGACAAACTGCAGACCTCTCCTGCTCTCAGAACCTGAAGTCGGGCAGCTGCAGGTGACTGTGAGGAGGAGGAAGGAGGCACAGAGATGGGCGGGAATTCCCAGGACAGTGCAACAGGAACAGCCTGTCTGCTGCCTGCCGGGGCTGCAGGGGTTAAAGAGAACTGCCTGGCCGCAAGAAAATCTCTCCAACGGTGTTAGAGCAGGGGAAAAAGGCAAAATGATTGTAAATTCCGCCAGGGGAATTCTGCCATGAATCCGGCTCACCTTTCGAAGACCCCCCCGCTGCCGCCCCCCGCCCCGCCTGAGAGGATAACTGACCTTTGGAGGGAAATAATGAAAAGAAGAAATTCCTTGGAGAAAATAATGTGTCCGGGCCCCAGTAATGAGATCGGCTCCTTTTATGTTGCCATGGAGACAGCAGTCATTTTATAATACAAAATACATGAATGGGTGCGGGCGGGCGCAGCCTCGCCAGCCCAGGGGGGGGTCACCGGCAGTATTCGGGGGGCAGGTTAGCCTCTTGCAGGCTGTGGTCTGGGGGTCGGGAAAATGGCTGGGGTCAGGGGCCACTGTGCCTCACTTCCCCAGAGAAGCAGGCCTGGCTCCTGGGGCCTTCTCAGGCTGGGGCCTTGGGACTCAGAGAGGGGCTGGGGGCCTGATGGGTGACAGCAGCCTCCATGACTGCTGGGAGCAGGGGGGGCCCAGGCTCCGGCACATTCATAACATTAACCACAAGGCCCACCTTTCTCGGCTGTGCCTGCTGCGTGACCTAAGTCAGGGTTTTTCTGCAGCTGTCCTATGAGGGAGAGGATTGTAGCTCTGTTTTACAGATCAGGAAACTGAGGCACGGAGAGGCAAATCAACTTGATCGATGTCACACAACAGGGATTTCAGCCCAGATACGGCTAGAGCTGAAGTTTTGAGTTAAGACCAGGGACTCTGGGTGTCAGCTGGGAGGCTAGCACAAGGGAAACTTTCCGGGTGCTGAAAATGTGCTATTTCGTAATGGGTGGTGTATACATGTAAAAATGCATTGCGCTGCTCTCTTATACTCTGTATGCTTGAGAGTTTGTAAGTTAACTCTCCTTTTTAAAGCGTGAGTGTGTGTGTGTTTACTACAACATGAAGTCTCTGATGTCAGCCAGATCTACACTGAGACCCCAGCCCAAGCCCCAGCTTCATGTGTGACCTTGGCAGGTGGCTTCCTCCTCCGGGTCCCCCTGTCCTGTCCTTGCCTGTAAAATGGTGAGATATGGTACCCATCTCCTGGGGTTGTTGAAGGACATCATGCATGGGATGGACTGGGTGCAGGACTTGGGCCGGGGGGAACCCAGACATGCTGCTGAATGTCATCTCTCTCTCTCCTGATGTGTTTCCAATGTTATAATGATGATGGCGACAGGAAAAGCCGGTGGGGTAAGAAGACGTCTAGAGAAAGACCTGGAAGAGAGGAGGGAAGGGAAACTGGAGCTGAGAGAGGAAGAAGGGGAAGAGGAAGGAGACAGGGAAGAGAAGGAAGGAAAGGAATACAGGAAGGGGAAGAGGAGGAAGAGTTCAGGGAGGGGAGAAGAGGCAGCAGATGAAGAAAAGAGGCAGCCGGGAAAAGCGTTTGGAGCCGGGAGTCCAGGAGAACCATGCACTTTTCTGCTGTGTGTCCTTGGAGAAAGCGCTGTCCCTCTCTGAGTCATGGCTTCCTCATCTGTAAAAAGATTACCCGGGAGGTCCTCGGAGCATAGAGTAGGTACTCCGGCTGCCGAAAAATAAGAGAGAAAGTAGAGGAAGGGCTGAGGGTGGTGGGGCTGCTCTTCCTCAGAGCATGAATTTAGCCCCCATCCCCAGGCAGTGGCCGCCACTCTCTGTCCATTCCTTGTCCTTGAAAGCCAGCTCAGAGATCTGCCACCAGCCATGGGAACGGCAGGCCAGTTCCAGCAGGGACCCTCGAAGGGAAATGCAGTGACAGCCCTTAAAATAACAGCTCCGGTCAGCTTTTTATAGGGCTGAGACTGAGTAGGTAGTGCAGGAACTAGTTACAGGGATCTTTGTCTGCAAAGAGAAATTAGGATAGGCGAGCATGGTGGCTGCAGAGAAGCTGAGGTCTTTTCCAGAGGGAAAGCATGGAAAAATGAAGTCACACGTCACCCAGGAGGCTGGCCTACAGCCAGAGCCAAGCTGTGGGCTCATCTGGCCCCGGGTTCTGCCCAGTGCTCACCTTCTGAAGGTGGCCTACCTAGGACTCGTCCCTTTGTCTGTCTGGAAAATGAGCTTAACTGCCAAGCACTTCCCGTGCCAGCCCTGCTGAGCACTGCACATCTGTTATCTTATTTAAGCCTCAAGACATACGTTCATCCCCATTTTACAGATGAGAAAACTGAGGCTCAGAGAGGTTAAGAAACATGCCCAAGGTCACTCAGCTGGTGAGAGACCTGGCGGGGATTTGAGCTCACATCTGCCTCACTCGGAAGCCCATACTCCTGACACTGACATTCTCCCTCCTTGCCACCTCCCTGAGAAGAGAGAGACAGCCCAAACCCAGCCTATAGTCGCATCAGTACGGGGCACTATAATGCAATGTCCTTGCCGTTGACCCCAAGCCTCTGAAATCTGGACTGGGGAGTCTGGGGTGAAACAGACCAAAGCCCGGGGTTTGGGAGAAGTAAATGTTATATTTGGGGGCACTGGTATTTGGACCAACTGGATGCGTCTCAGAAAAAATTCCATTTTGTTCATCAGTAACCCCAGAGAAAAATGTCTTAGGGCAAAAAGGAAATGTCAGAACAGGCCTGCTAGCAAGAAGACAGAACAATCTTTTCATTCCTGTGTTCCGCTACATGCTGCCGATGAAGAAGCTGGTTAAGTTAAATATGAGACATTTCCAGCCAAGATTTGTAGGAGCCGGTTTCCAAGCTCAATTTTGCCACTGACTCTCAGTGTGATACGAACCTTAGTTTCCCCATCAGCAAATTGAGAACTAAAGATATCTTTAAGATTCCTTTCCATTTTAAATGTGTTCAGTCCCCAAGACACCCTCGAGAGGCCAACCTGGCCTGGCTGTCCCCATTGCACGCAGTGGAAACTAAGGCTCAGGAAGGGCAGAGGGCTAGCCCCCAGTCTCGTGGTAGCTTCAAACTGGACTCAGCCTTAGAATTCCTGCTTGGAC
Source organism: Homo sapiens (assembly GCF_000001405.40). NCBI lineage: Eukaryota > Metazoa > Chordata > Mammalia > Primates > Hominidae > Homo > Homo sapiens. Next base: position 27,576,347 of record NC_000022.11, read on the forward strand.
CACAAAATTCAGCTCTCGTGGCAAACTGCCCCCCGCACCATGAGAGCCCAGCAACCTTGCAGAGCAATGGGTCCCTTTCAAGGGTCTGGCTCCTCTTAGCCTGGGGCCGGATGGTGTCACGGAGACATCTGGGGGCAGTCTGGCAACCCCCTCAGCCTCTGGGTCTCTGAGACATCCTGGGCCGTGGCGCACATCTGGCTAGTTGGCCGGAACCACAGCAAACATCTGTGGGAAGGGAGGGAAGGGAGGAAGGAAGCTGGTGCTCCCAGGGTCTGAGGGACAGAGTCCTGGCCCTGCTCCAGATAGCCAGGTAAGCACTTTGGCTTCAGGTTTTGGAATGTGTCTATGAGTCAGTGCATGCACACACATGGTATACGTGTGTGTACGTGTGTTCGTGTAAGCACTGTGTCCATCGTGTGTTGTATGTGCATGCATGTTGCATATGCATATGTGTTCTTGTGCTGCATCCATGTCTTTGTGTGTATGTTGTCTGTGTGTTTGCATGCACACATGTATTGTGTCCGTGCTTGCTTGTGTGTACATACATGGATAGGTGGATGTGTCTAGGTGTATGTAACAGGGATGTATAGCAGCAAAGACTGAGCTTGAATTCCAGGCCCACCACTTCCTGGCTGTGTGACCCTGAACCAGTTAGTGTACCTCTCTGGGTCACTAACAATAGCACCCACCCCATTCAGCTCATGAGGCTTTGGGGAGCTAACCCATGAAGACCAATGAACACTGGCCCACAGCAAAAGCTGCATAACTGGCTGCGATTATTCCGCTTCTTTTCCTGCCGGCTGCGTCTCTGGGTGCCGCAAAGATCCAGCCATCAGGGCCGGCTGCTTGTTGATGGGCCTGCATGCCGCCCCCCGTAAATTCAGGAATCGCCTGCCGCAGGAATGCCATATTTCTATCATCTCCCAGACAGCGTCAGCCTTCTCTGAGCTGTTTCCCTTTGGCTCACAGCCAGGTTTAAGAGTTTTACGAAAATTCCCAAGACCTTTAGCCGTCTCGACTTGAGAAGACAGGGCTGCTGGGCTGGGGAGAAAATGAGAGGCTACTGAAGGCAGGAAGCAGGCTGCATTCCTGGTCCCAAGGAGGTACGGCTGGCGGGAGGCTCAGAAAGCCCAGGACATTCTTCTCCAAGTTAAAAATACGCAGCACGTCAGCTGCAGCAAAGGCCTCTGCAACCTAAATCTATTCCAGAAAGCGGAAAGGTACAGCAGCATAGATGTTTCAGGCTAAGAGGAAAAGAAGGCCGTTCGGTCCCAACACTGAAGGCTCCCAGCCAACCTGTGTCCTCCGCACCGTCACCCCTGACAGCGGTGTTCCTTCCACCAAGTCCGCGCGTCCTTAGCGACATTCTCCAATGCACAGCACCCAGATCTGGGGTTCAAATCCCAGCTCCACCCCTTACTGTGTGTCCTCTGGAGACTTGCTCTACCTCTCTGAGCCTCAGTCCTTTCAACTTTAAAATAGGAACAAGAAGGCATTCCTTAAGAGGTGCGCTGAGGGTTAACAGAGATGGTGTCTGTGAAGCGGAGCCTGGTCTCCTTCCAAACTCAGGCAGGGCCTACCCCTGGGTGAGCTCCGCCTCTCCTGACATACACACTTGTTTGAGGGGCAGGGAATGCCCCAGGCTCGGGAGTCAGGAGGTCTCAGCTGTGTTTGCTGTGTGGCTTTAGGCAAATCACTGAACTTTTCTGTGTGACACTCCCATTTCCCCACCCATGAAATAAGATGGTTGAACTGGATCAGTAAATCCCAAAAAGAGGTTTAAACACCCCAGTGGCTGGGAGATGGTGGTACACAGGCATAAAACTTTTTGTTTTTAATTCTCAAATATTTATTTTTATGTGTATTAAAAATATCATCACTTCCAATTTGGGATGTCATGGATATTGTTGCTAAGGCTGAGGCTAAAATCTTTTTTAAGTGAGTTAGTGTAAAGTGGATTTAAAGAATGACGTTGGGTTAATAATGGGGCAAAAACTACCTAGGTGGCCATGAAAGACCGAGACTGGGGGATATTCCACAGAGAAGGTAATCTCAACCCCTGGCTTCTCTCCTTCTTGGTTTTGATATTATAAGTAAGGACCTGGCACAGTGGCTCATGCCTGGAATCCCAGCACTTTGGGAGACCAAGGCAGGAGGATAACTTGAGGCCAGGAATTTGAGACCAGCCTGGGCAACATAGTGAGACTGCATCTCTACAAAAAATTTTAAAAATAGCCAGGTGTGATGATGTGTGCCTGCAGTCCCGGCTACTCAGGAGGCTGAGGCAGGAGGATCACTAGAGCCCAGAAGTTGGAGATTGCAGTGAGCTAGGATTGCACCCCAGCACTCCAGCCTGGACTACAGAGCTAGATTCTGTCTCTAGAAAAACTAAAAAATAAAATTATGGGTAAGTCATGGCATCTATGAGCCTTAGTTTCCTAGTCAGTGAAATAGGGATAATAAAAGGTGCCCCCCAAGGCCACGACGAAGGTCTAATGAGAAGATGTCTTGAAAAGCACCTGACAAGATGCCTGGCAAATAACAGATGCCCAGAGGAGTGACTGTTATTGCGGAACTTGTATCAGAAGCCTAAAAAATTAATCATCATATCCTGAATTACTATTAATTGTATTATTATTATTTTCCAGCCACTGTTCCAAGCACTTTATATGAATACAGCAGGGATCATTTATGAAGCACTGATTGTGTAACAGGCCCTAACCACATTTTATCTCATTTAATAGCTCTGTAGTTCACACAAACGGCTCTGTAGTTCACAATTCCAACAGATGGCTATTGAGCATTTACTTGATTCAAGACACAGAAGATTCCAGAGTAAACAAGCCAGGAGAATCCCTGCCTGGTGAGGCTTCAGTGATACAAGGGCTGTTTTATAGCTGAGAGGTCTTGGAGATGAGATGAAGCTCTAGGACAAGGCAAAGGGCAAATGTGAGCCTGAGTCTGTCTGATTCGAGTATTCAGGCTGTCCCCACAGGGACTCCCCATCCCCGGGAACAGTCAGAGCATCTTCACACCCAGGCAGCTGTGAAGGAGATTGGAGACCCATCCATGTAAAACACAAGAGCAGGAGCCGACAGTTACCCTCATCTTCGATGCTCCCTCCCTTGACCCCACTGGAGGACATAAGTGTCCAAGAGGCTGAGACAGCCCCAACTGCCATCATCTGCAAACAGAGAGATGGGGTTACTGTCACCCCTTGCCCATGCAAGGGGGATCACCATGGGACAGAGAGACGCCAAGGGCATGTTAATGAACCATGCATGCTGAACTTGACACACACTGGAGGCTCCAACTCGTTCCTAAGGGACCTGTACCCTAATTTTTGCCCATAATGGGCTCCAGGTACTGTCATTCGAAAGGAGTCAGTTTGTCACTTACAGAGCACTAAGGATTGAATGAGATGGGGCTGGGTGTGAGGAAGGAGGAGAAGGCAACTGCAGGAGATGTGGACACCGTGCGGGCTCCTGCAAATCGGGCAGCAGATCTGGCATTCCTACCTAGGCTTTAACTTCCCAGCTCTTTGACATGGGCCATAAAACCTAAGCCTCAGCTTTGCCATCTGTAAAATGGGGATAATCCTATCAACCTTGCAGGGTCCCGTGTGTGGAACTGCACACAGGGTGCACATCACAGGCAGCAGCACAAAAGTGGCCCAAGGTCCTGCCACAGCTTTCCCAAGCACATGCCATGAAGGGCAGCTCAGTTCTGGGTTCTGTTTCAGCAGGAATGGGCTATGCAGTCTGGCACAAGTGCTCCTCCTCCAAGAAGCCTTCCTTGACTGCCTCTTGTCAGGCTGATTTCTCCTGCCTTGAATCTACTGCAGGGCTTACCTCAAAATCACAGGTCATTCCACTGCCTCATCCTCAGGTCGTGGTAGAATTTAGTGGCACACGATTGCCCTGCTCAGCTTGCAGATGAGGAAATTGAGGCCCAACAATGGAAAACGGAGCCAGTGTGGCTCTCTCCACCTCCCTGCTTCTCTGGGCTTTGCCTCCCCACCACTCAAAAGAACAACATAAAGCAAGCAGCCGCTCACTGAAATCAGCCTTAAACCTGAGCCAAGGCTGCCCCTTGACTTCTGCAACCAGGAACCCTGAGTCATGCCCTGGCCTCAGCCCTGGCGGCTCCAGATGGGGGCACCAAGGCGGGTCGGCAGTTTGCCACCTCCTGGCCACTTCTGCTAAGTGGAAACACCAGCAGGAAAGGGGTGAGGCCATGTGTGTGCCAAGCGGGCACCACACATGGGTGTCCCTCTGTGTGCAGTGCGTGTGTGCCTAAGAGTTCACCCACATGCATGTTACAACAGGAACCACACATGGTTGTGCACAAATGAGACCAGATCACACGTGTGTGCCTGAGGGTGTCCCGCATACATGTGTGTAGGCATCATATAGCGGATATGGAGGTCTTAGAACAATCTCTAAGCTCACAGTCGCACTTGGAAGAATCTGAACTCCGCACCAGGACCGCAGGAACCTGAATGTGCTGCCTTACCACTACCACTGTCACTGGCCTCATTTCCACCTGCTCCGTCCGGCCTTCCTGCCACTCCTCAAGGCCTTGTCCCTCTTCTGGAACATTCTGCCCCCAGATCTTCCCAAAACCGATTCCTTCTCATCCTCCACTATTTCAATATGGGCTTCAATATGGGGTGGGGGAGGTGGGAAGATGTCTCTTTGATGCCCCCATTGTGCCCCCCATGACCCTCACCATCCTACCCCAGGTTATTTCCAGCACAGCTCCTCCCCAGTCTAAATGATTTTGTTCTATGTGGTTTGTTTTGGGCTCTCTGAGAGCTTGCCTCCCCCATTAGACAAGATGTTCCATGAGGATGTGGACTTCACCTGCCTTTCTCAAAGTCGGCAAGAGCTGTCTAACGTGACCTGCTTGAAATACACTCATCGGCTAAATCATATTGAGTGTTCACGTGTGTGTATGTGTGCAAAGGTGTGTGTGTGCATGTGCCCATGTGTATAGGGCTGGCATGTGCACCCGTGTGCTAGTGTGTCTGCATGCATCTGTCTGTGTCCATCTCTGAATAGATGTGTGTCCATGGAGACAGTGGGCGTGTGTATTCGGGGAAGATGCCCCAGAACTAAAGGCACTGGCTAGAGTCCAGGAAGGGCCCTGCCCCTTGGGTAGGTTTCACGGTTCCATCTCTGCACAGCCTCCAGTGTGGAGAAGAAAAGGTGGCCACGACTGCTGTGCCCTGAATGTCTGGGTGCATGGTCTCATTTCATCTTCCCTACTCTAGAAGAGGTGGGTCTTACTAGTCACTCCCATCTTACAGACAAGAACTTGGGGACGGGGAAGTCATGCACACAGGCCCCACAGTGAGCAAGTGGGAGTCAGAATCCAAACCCAGACCCTTGGGCCTGAGCCCTCTGGGTCCCACTGCCTCAGCCAGAGTCTTCCAACAAGACCAGAAGAGGCAGAGGGAGCGCGGGAGGGAGAGAATTCAGAAGGCTCCAGTCCCCGCCCAGCACTTGGCAGCACTTCCCCACACATGACAACAGTGTGAACACAGAGATGGGAGTAACAGCTGGTCTCTGCCCCAATCCAGATGTGGGAGAGACAGTTTCTCCCAAAATACTCTCGCTGTGAAGTCAGAAAGCCTCCCAGTATAAACAAAATGTGCTGCTCAGTGCTGGGAAGGAACTGCTCACGTCTCCGCCAACGGTCCACCTGCTCCCGAGAGCTCATCCAGGCCCTCAGCCCTCCTGTCATTCCCTCTTAGGGTCGTCTCCAGCTAAAAGTCTCTGGGAAACCCCTGTTAAAATACAAACCCATTCATCCTGGTAGAACCAATTACAAATGCTCCTTGACTTACACTGGGGCTGTGTCCGAATAAACCCATGGTAAATTGAAAATATTGTAAGTTGAAAATGCATTTAATACACCTAACCTACCAAACAGTACAGCTTGGCCTAGGATACCTCCAGCGTGCTCAGAACACTTACATTAGACTGCAGTTAGGCCAAATCATCTAACACAAAGTCTACTACATAATAAAGTGTTGAATGTCTCATGTAACTTCTTGAACACTGTACTGAAAGTGAAAACCAGAATGATCGTATGGGTATCCAAGGTACAGTTTCTACTGAATATGTATCACTTTCAAACCATCTTTATTCTATTTATGTATTTATTTATTGAGACAGGCTCTCGCTCTATTGCCTAGGCCGGAGTGCAGTGGTGCAGTCACAACTCACTGAACCCTCAAACTACTGGACTCACGCGATCCTCCCACCTCCACCTCCTGAGTAGCTGGGACTACAGGTGCGGACCAGCATGACTGGCTAATTTTTGTTTTAATTTTTTGGAAAAGACAGGGTCTCACTATGTTGCCCAGGCTGATTGTAAATTCCTGGGCTCAAGCAGTCCTCCCACCTCCCCCTCCCATAAGTTCTGGGATTACAGGCATGAGCAATCACACCCAGCCTTGAGCCATCTTAAAGCCAAAAATGTATAGGTTCACCTAGGGACTGTCTATACACAATTGGTTCTAAACAGAGGACAGGAACACGAGAGAATGGGACGTAGGACAGACATGTTTTGACAGGGCAAGGGGCCCAGCAGGTGATCCTAAATTTTAACTGTTCAGCCTCTTTCCTTGCCAGTCCCTAATGCTGCCTTTGTCTCCAAGGGAGAATTTTCTAGATCCCCACCTGTGTCTTGGTCTGCCCCCCTCTTGTTCGCGCTGTTTCACCTAAGATTTTATTCAAAGGAAAGATGTTGCTGCAAATTTAAAAAGTAGGGTGTGCGGGAGAGGGAGGATAAAGTCTAAAATCACTGACCTGACCTGACCCAAACATTGGACCGGAAACCAAGGCCCAGAAAGGAGCTATGACCTGCCGAAAGCTAAACAGTGGAGTTTAATAAAGTAGCGTAGCATTCAGGTTCCCCATCTGCTGAGCCAGTGGTGTCTGGCCCTCCAATGGGGGGTGGAAGGGACTCTGGGTTCCACAAGGTCCAGGAGGGACAGAGCATCCTGGACACAAGCCCCACTCCGGGCCTAAGGTCAGGTGAGAGATGGGAGAGAAATGACGGGAATGTCAAGGGATTTTCGGGAAACAAGCAGGCCCATCGGTCATCATGGACACCCAGCCTTCAGCCTGGAGTCAAACAGAAATCCACTACGGTGGGAATGTCGGGGTGGGCGCTCTAGGCTCTGTTCCCTCATCCCAAGAGGGTTTCCTCACCACCCAAGCCTGTCCAGGTTCCCCAGGAGAGACTAAGCCTTGTCATCATTGAGATAGACACAGGGAGGGTTTAGACACTCTAGCTAAGCACGTCCATAGGGAGGATTAAGGATCCCGCAGGATTTGAATTCATACAGCCCAGCCACAGAGCCTGGGTTTGAACTTCACCCTACCTGGCTGGGAAGAAGGTCTCACGGCTGGAGCCAGAAGGAAAAACCAGGAGCTCTTGTGAGCCCAGGGTGCTTGGAAACACCCTCATCGATGGGTTTTCATCCAAGAGACCCACTCAGACAGGAGACAGGAGTAGCTGCTATGTTCAAAAGCCATGAAAAAGCCCAAAAGTCAGTGGGCTCCGAGTGGGGCGTGGATCCAGCGTCGCTCCAGCAACCCTGGACAACAGCCTCATAAACAGGAGGGGCCCAGGAGGAGGCAGTGGGGGAAGGGCCCCTCCCAGCCAGCCCCAGGATCCAGGGGTGCCCTGCAGAACCAGACAGGTTTGAGGAGCCAGAAGTCAGTGTGAGGTGAGCTGGGAGCGAGGAAGGCTGAGTGCAAACGGGCTCACAGCCATCAGGCTTCCGGCAATTCCATAGCAGGGGAGCCTGGAGAGCGTCCAGCCCATAGTCACGGACACCTGGAGCTGGGAGGGGCTTTAAAAGTCTCCCAGGCCAACCCCATCACTGATGCCAGGAGCCCTGTCAAGGAGTTGTCTAGGATCTGCTTGCACACTTCCAAAGACAGGGAGCTCATTCCCCATTTTAGGTACAGAGTAATGTGCTGTCTTTCCATTGAGCTTAATCATCTTTCCATTCATTCCTCCACCCCTTGGACCACACTGAACAAAGCCTGAAAAATTCCCAAGTCCCATTTATAATTTTTTTCTATTTGCCTATGCCTTCATTGAAAAATACAAATACCATGAGAATTGGATGAGTATTTTTACTGTTAGTTTCCTACTTCCTAGAACAGCGCCTGGCTCATGGTATAATAGATTCTCAATGCATATTTATTGAGTGATTAAATGAATGAATGAGATTGGGGTGAACATACAGAGAGCATTCCTCCTTATGTGTTTGAGCTAAAGTGTCTAGGCTGGACTGGTTCAGGAAAGAGTAATTTATCCAGGGCAGACAAAGGCACTTAGAAGAAGGGATGCCTAGGTGTCAATTCCAAGGTAAGACAAGGACCAGGTGAAAGGAAAGAACAATGGAAGCAGGCGGAGGCGAGGAGGGCTGAGTGTGTGGTCCAGGACCAAGGCTGGGAATAAAGTGGGAAATCAGGGTCTCTTGTTATGCCGTGTGGGGGCCATCCTAGAGGTGATCGCAAAAGCTTCATGAAGCCAGATGCATGACCCTGCAAGGACAGCAAGAAAGATCCTGCAGGGTCAGGGATAATAATCTCTCTCCCAAGAATACAGCAACCTTGTGATTCATCACAGCATCCTTCAAGGGCAGATATAAACCCAGTTTGCAGATGAGGATGCTGAGGCCCAGGAAGTAGCAGAGGCAGAACTAGAAGATGGGTCTCCTCTCTTCATGACACACTTCCCTCCCCTCCTCCCCACCATAGACCTCCAGAGGGCAGAGGAGGCAGGAAGAGCTGAAAGCACCCTGGCCCTTTGGCGAAGATCACTTGGGGCTGCCAAGTAGGTAGGCTAAGGCCAGAATGTGAAGGGGAAAGTTTGAGCTCCCTCCTGCATAGGTAGGATGCCACTGGGCAGCATTAGAGGAGCAGTGGATTAAAGTTGTGGCTGAAGCTTAGTCAACTGCTCACTTCCTTGCTGTGTAATCTGATGAGTAAACAAGCCTGTCTGAGCCCCCTTTTACTCATCTACAAAATGCCGATAATAGGAGTAGCTGCCCAAGCAGTTGATATGGACACAATGAGATGCATGTAAGTCACAGCCCCTTTCACACAGTAAGTGCCCAATAAATGTTGGTTACTTTTTTCTTTTTTTCAGACAGAGTCTCACTCTGTCGCCAGGCTGGAGTGCAATGGCGCAATTTTGCTCACGGCAACCTCTGCCTCTCGAGTTCAAGCGATTCTCCTGCCTCAGCTTCCCAAGTAGCTGGGATTACAGGCATGCACCACCACACCCGGCTAATTTTTGTATTTTTAGTAGAGACAGGGTTTCACCATGTTGGCCAGGCTGGTCTCGAACTCCTGACCTCAGGTGATCTGCCCGCCTCAGCCTCCCAAAGTGCTGGGATTACAGGCGTGAGCCACCGTGCCCCGCCAGTGTTGGTTACTCTTATCAGATCTTGAGAAGTGGCATCACTCCAGCCTCTCATCACAAATTGGGCCCTCCAAGGGGAGCCTTGTCTTCAACCTTCGAGAGCTCTCTCTCTACCACGGGACGCATTTGGGCAGGGGGGTGTCGTGGATGTGGCTGCCTGTTGCTGCACCCCAAGAGTCTTAAGCCAGCTCCAGCAGGGCAAGGTAAACCAACTTACTCTGTAATCTTCACAACTGCTCATTAATTCTCCTTTCAGGGACACATTTTTCCCGGCGTTCTGCCAACTACCTGTCCTGCTATATTTCCTTAGTGTGAAAGGAGGAGCAGATAGTTTACTAATTTTGGATTTGTTCACACCCAGGACCGGAGAAAGATGGAAGTCCTCAGAAATCATGGCTCACTCTCAGAATTTATCCATCCCTCCGTTCTTCCACCCATCCAGCCACCCATTCTCCCATCAACCCACCCTTCCTCCCACCAACCTATCCCTCACCCATTCACCCACCCACACACCCATCTATCCATTTCTTCTTCCATTCCACCAATATTCATTGAGCACCTTCTCTGGGCCAGACCATGTGTCAGGTACTGGAGGATACAGGAGTGGACTAGATAGACCAGACTCTGATCTTGAAGAATTCACAACGCAGATATCAATTGAATAATCAGCTGAATAAATGCATCTCACCTTCTAACTCATTCCCCACTCTGGAGGCAGAGAGAGCCTTTGAAAACCCAAATCTCTGGTTCCCATTAGCCTGGAAACAATGACCCCCACTAGACTGGGAAGAAAATACCCTCTCAATCATCGCTGCTGGAGATGTAAAGTGTTACAGCCTTTTAGAAAAGCAATCTTGCTACATCTCTGAAAATGTAAAATCTACCTTATGCCCTAGCAATCCCCCTCCTGGGGATCTCTCCCACAGAAACAAACACACAGCACTTAAAGCCATGTGCTCAAGAATGTTTCCTGCAGTATCATTCATAGCAGCAAAAAGAAAGGAAAGGCAAAGCCTCAGTCAGGGAATGGTGAAAGCATCAGGGTACAGCCAAGCCATGGAGTATTATGCAGCCAAGGACAGGAGGGAATAGAGTTGTACCAATCAGCTCAAGATATTACCAGGAGATGTCTGGCATGGAAAAAGCACTATGGAGAAAGTGTGTGCAATGTGATCCCGTTGTGAAAAGAACATCAATCGCAATGCTTCACATATGTGATGACATGAGTATGAAGAGAATTATGAAAATTATAGGAGAATTCAGACTAGGTAGTTAACTTGGGTGACCTGGCTTGGGGGGTGGTCTGCAATGGGAGGAAGCAGTGGAGGAAGCCAAGGAGAAAGAAAAAAGGAAGCAAAACTGTCAGCACTAAAGAAACACATAAGTGACATGACACTTAGGCAGGTATATAAAATTACGTATTTGGTGTCTTAGTTCGTTTGTATTGCTATAACAGAATACCAGAGACTAGGTAATTTATAAAGAAAAGAAATGCATTTGGCTCATGGTTCTGGGGGCTGGAAAGTCCAAGATCAAGGAGCTACATCTGGAGGGCCTTCTTGTTGCATCACCCCCTGGCGAAAGGCAGAAGAGCAAAAAAGTATGTGCAAGAGAGAGACAGCAAGAGCCAGACTTACTTTTATAACAAATCCACTCTCGCCATAATGAAGCCATTCCCCATGACAGCAATATTAATCTACTCATGAGAAGAGAGCCCTCATGACCTAATCACCTCTTAAAGGTCCCACCTCTCAACACCATCACACTGAGGAGTAAGTTTTTAACACACGAACTTTGGGGGACACATTCAACCCCATAGCACATGACTAGTGTATAAAGGAATTAAACAAAATAAATATTTAAGAAAAAGAAAACCCTAATCTGATTGTACCTCCCCATGTGCTACCCCCAAACCCTTTCTTCGTTCTCCCTGGCCTCACTACCTGCAATACTGACCCTGCTTCTTGTCACCTAGAATGTGTCATTGTTCCCTAACCAAACCCAGATTCCATCCCACTTCCAGGCCTTCACATGTGCTGTTCCCTCTGCCAGGGATGCCCCTTCTTGCTGCTATATACATCATGGCCTCTTTTTCAGGTTCCCTGAGAGATGTTTCTCAAGCCTGAAGGCTAAGCATGAGCTGACACTGATGGGTGCCTACTGCATGCCAGGCATGAGGTGGGCTTCATCCTCACAGTGCCCTTGGGTTTCTCTGCTCTGCTCTGCTACCCAATATTTGTGCCAAGCACAATCACCTCCATGCAATTTTGGCTCTTCTTCAGGAATCTTAGCTGCATTGATTCATTCCAGTTTACAGAGGAAGTTACTGAGGTTGAGTGGCAAAATATAACACCCAAAATCACATAGTTAATGAGCCAGGATTTGAATCCAAGACTGATCTGAGGCCTGGCCTTCTCCTCCCTATTCCAGGCTGCTCTTGGAGAGGAAAAACAAGATGTGAATTGGATTCAGGTACTGCAGTTTAAGGATTAGTATCTCCCTTTCAGGTGAGTTTGTTGCTCAGACGCACACTCTGGAGTGAGGAATATGGATTGCAGCAGCTGTCACAGGGCCCTGATACAGTCAAGACCTCTCAGGCTTCCCAGCTGGAGACACACCCTCGGCCCAGCTCCCAGCCTATGGTCATCGCCACTGCTCACCTAATATTTACCCAATATCATTAAACACCTTCTTCCTGATACCTTCCTGGCCCCCCTGCTTCCTACGTCAAACAAGTGCAAACATCACAGCCTCCAGGGCAGGTACATAAATCACCGGGTCTAGCAAAAGAACTATTATGTCCATCCCACCTCTGGGAGGCAGTGGCTGGGCCCTGCCAGGTTTTAACCAGATGTTCGCATTTTGGGGCTCTGCCTGGGTATTTACACCAGAAGTTTCCCCCAGGGTTTGAGGACAGAGGTTGCCTCAACACAGCCTTACCATTCAGAACCTCAGCAAAACAGGCAGGCCTAGCAGCCATAGGAGATAAAAGGACGTTGTAGTCCACTAACATCTCGAGTGGGTGAGTGGTCCAAGCCCAGAAAGGGGGAGGACTTTGCCTGAGGCTGCATAGTAATTTAATCAAAAAGAATTCACATTTCTCAATAACACAGGAGGTGTCCCCTCAACAACAAAAAGTCACCAGCACCATCATCATTATCATCACCATCACCATCATCCTCACCATTATCATCATCCTCCTCATTACCATCATCATCACCCTCATTCTCCTCTCCTCCTCACCAGCACCATCACCATCATCATCACCATCACTATTATCATCACCATCACCATCATCACCATCACCATTGCCATCATTATCATCACCATCATCGTTACATCATCATCACCATCACCATCATCGCCATCACCATCACCATCATTATCAGCATCATCATCACTATCATCATCACCATCATCATCATCACTATCATCATCACCATCATCATCATCACCATCACCATCATCATCATCATCATTGTTTTGTAGCCACCCATCCTGGAGGCCATGGTGAGCCCTTAGCGTGATGCTAAGTACTTCACATGATCTCCCTTGGAACCTGACACACTTTGGCCATTCATCCACTCTCACCATTTCTGCCCCTTCAAATAAATCCTTCCCCCACTATTTGTCCATCATTTTTTTAACTTTCGGGGACACTTTTTTAATCTCGGTGTCATCTGAGGCAAGAACATCCACGAAAGTACTGGTAGAATGTGCTCATTCTATTTGTGTCCAATATACACTGGAATAAATACATGAAAGTGGAAAGTTTGCTCATGTCTTGCTCCTTCTGCTGATGAAATTCAGACCACCCCTTGGCAAATGCTGTGTCCTTTGGTTCAATCTTCAGGATGACCTTTCACATTTAGTAAACTACCCTTTCATGGACCAGACGAACTGAGACTTGGAGGGGTAAAGTAGCTTGGTCAACCAGCCCTAGAGCAGCAGAGCCAGAATTCAGACTAGGGCGTGTGTGATGCCGAGACCTAGGTCAAAACTCCTCCTTCTGCTGACTCTTTAAGTCAAACGTGCCAGGAAACTTTTAGCTCTACTCAGCAACTAAAGAATAATAGAGGTGAAAGGGACCGCCCAAATAGAAGTGCACCCATTGTACAGATGCAAAAACTGAAGCCCTGATGGCTAAAGTGTAAAATCTCAGACGGGCCAAGATCCAGACCAGACTGAGGTGGCCCAGGAGGTAAACAATGAGCCTCTCTCACCCCCGGAAATTCTGGAATCACCATGACTCCCCTTTGGAGTCTTGACCATCCCACCACGGACCTTGGCATGACCCATCTTCTACTGGGATGCTCCTCACCCCAATTTGCCCACCTCCATTCAACTTAAATGTACCCTCAGCCAGGCGCAGTGGCTCATGCCTGTAATCCCAGCACTTTGGGAGGCCGAGGTGGGCGGATCACCTGAGGTCGGGAGTTCGAGACCAGCCTGACCAAAATGGAGAAAACCCGTCTCTACTAAAAATACAAAATTAGCTGGACATGGTGGCACACGCCTGTAATCCCAGCTACTCGGGAGGCTGAGGCAGGAGAATCGCTTGAACCCAGGAGGCGGAGGTTGTGGTGAGCCGAGATCGTGCCATTGCACTCCAGCCTGGGCAACAAGAGTGAAACTCCGTCTCAAAAAATATGTATATACCCTCCTCTGCAAGACCTCCCTCTCCAGATAGGACTCCCTGCTTTTCTGTATCCCAGACTTTTTATTTTTTCACTTTATAGCTCTTCAACACAATTAATAATCATGACTTCATTGGTAGATTGATTTGATTAATGTCTCCCACTGAACTGTGAGCTCCAGGGGGGTAAGGGCCCTGTCTTCCCAGTGCCCTGCTGTTTACCAGAGCCAGGCACAAGGTCAGGGGTGAGTAAATATTTGTTGAATGAATAAATGTGTGAATGAAGGAAAATCTGCCTTGAGGGCTAGGACCCTTGTAAGACTTACCCCTTTTTTTTTTTTTTTTTTTTTGAGACAGAGTCTCGCTCTGTACCCAGGCTGGAGTGCAGTGGCACGATCTCGGCTCACTACAAGCTCCACCTCCTGGGTTAAGACTTACCTAACTCTTAGCACCCAGCATAGTGTATAACACTTAGGAGCTTTCATGAAAGTCTATAGGTAGAGGGAAGAGGAGGGAGGGAGGAAGAGAGGCAGAAAAAGGAAAGGAAGAGTGAGGGAAGGATGGGAGAGAGAAAAGGAAGAAGGGAAGGAAAAAGAGAAGTAATGAACTTCCACATTTTAAAACAAGAAAGACTGAGGCCCAGAGAGGAAAAAGAGGTTCCAAGGACACACAACAAGACAGCATCCAGGTCCCCAAGTGTCACAGCCTTTCGGTACAACCCCATTTGTCCACCTGCTCTCCCGTCTTTTGTGCACACACCAGGAAGGCCTGCACCGGCCTTGAGCTATGTGCTGGCAAGGGCGTCCAGAGCTGGGGGAGGCACCAGGGCAGGCAGCCAGCCCCCTTGCCGGCTCTGCCCAGGGGCTGGACCTCTCAGAAGCTGGGCGATTGCAAGCCAAAGGACTTCCAGCTCCCCCTCCTGTGGGCCACAGGGTCCCAGGAGGAAAGCAGTTGGGGAGATCAGCCCTTTTGTCACAGACAGTTGAATTCTGACCAATTTATCTGTCAGGATGGCACTTGCAGACCCGAATCCCGGAGCTCATGACGCTGTAGTCAAAATACGCTCCTGACACCTTTCCCGTGTGAATTATGCCCGGCGTCCGTCCACAGGCAGGAGCTGCCATTGCCCTACTTTTGTCTCATTGCCCCAGCTGTCCTGAGCCTCAGAGTGGGAGGAACACACAAGCAGTGGCCAAGAGGGTCTTAACTCACTGTGGACAAATTTCTGCCCATCAGCTGCAGGAGGACTGGGCCCTGGAGTGATACCTGGTCATTCCCTGCTTGCTGGAGTCCTGGCAACTCCAGGCAAGAGTGCCTGCCAGGGCTGAGGGACCCAGCATCCACATCCAACAGGTAGCTCTGACCCAGAATTCAGCAGCATCTAGATAACCAAAAGGAGCTGTGAGTCAGGGGATGAATGGGGCTCGCCAGGAAACCAAGGCTGCCCGGGGCCCCTAGAGCCACATGGCTGGAGAGGGGACTACAGCATCTGTCTTGGGGTTGGTGGCATTGAGGGGACTTGTTGTGGAGCAACCCAGATGTGGGTTTCTGCATCTTCTGTTCTTTGCTTAATTCATTCATTCATTCCACCTGTCACTTGACAGGTGGTCATTCTACCAGCCATTCCACCAGCCATTCATCATCAAGTCAGTCTATTCATTGGCCACGGGATACAACTGAGACTCAAACATTGGAGTCAAGCAGGTATCAGGCACAGCTCCTCACCTTTGGGAGACCCCGGGCCCTCCACTTCACCTCTCCATCTCTCCATGCCTTGCCTTGCTTATCTGCAAAACAGGATAATAAGAGTTCCTACCTCACGGTATCAGTGGGGGCATTTAATGAGATGGTGACGGCACTGTTTAGCACAGGGTTCAGCAGGAAGCAGCTGGTGTCAGCCTTTACAGTTATCACTCATCCTATAATTTGGTGACAGGAAAAGAGCACAATCCTAAGAATAGAAGGCTTGAGATTTCAACTTGCTGGGTTCTGCCGGCCGGTTCGTTGGCTAACCTCTTATTAAAGGGTATGATGGAGTGAGTAATTACTACACACAAGCCACTGAAGATTAATGGAGAGAGACTGGCAAACAAATAGATGTGGCAGGGCCTGTAGGTGGGCCTTGGGGTTGAAGGATGATCATGAAGAACCTCCTTGAGAAGGTGACTCCTAGACTGGATTTTGTAGAAACAGTAGGAGTTTTCTTGAGAAATGGTGGGGAAGCTCATTCCAGGCAGTGAGAACAGCATGGTTAAAATCTTGGAGGCCTGAAAGGCATACTGGACTTGGGATCATAAATAGTTCCAGATAACTGGAGCGTGGGCTGTTCCCGGGACATAGAGGAAACAGCAGGCGCCTGATCAGAAAAGGCAGGAACAGCAAAGCTTAGAAGTAGTGACACCTTTCAGCATCATGGCTCCTGGTGATCTGGTCATTGGTTCTAAGAGCCACCATTTCCTAAGTCTCACTTTGTGCCAAGTTATTTATCAACATTGCCTTCCCTAAACACACGGCCACTCTGAGAGATGATGGTTCTCATGACACCCTTTGGACAGGTGGGAAAACCAAGGCCCAGAGAATTAAAATATCTACCAAAAGCCAAACAGCTAGGGAGCGGCAGAGCTGGGATTTGAACCCAGGTCCATGTATCTCCTCACTCAGGCCCCCCTCACATCTGCAGGCCAGTTGTGGAGAAGCAAAAGGGCTAGTGTGTGTGGGGTGTGCATGAGTGTGCACACACATCAGAGAGGCATATGTGTATGTGCATGCATGAGCATCCACAAGTGTGTGGGCATGCCTACAGTGTGGATGTAGGAGGGTACAGTGTGTTTGGCAGTTTGGCATTCATGTGTATGCATAGGCATGCATGTCTACTGGGTGTGCTTGCATGTATTGGTGCAAATGTGCCCATGCACTAAGGCTAGGTATACGCCTAGTCACTCATGGGTGTGACTGGGTGCATCCCTGAGCACATATGTATGGCTTTGTATGTGCACATGTGGATACATGTGGGCATGACTGCAGCATGTACACATACATGTACAAGTATGCACATGGCCTGTGGCTGGGTATAAGCATGAACATATGTGTAACTGTGTACATTCCCTCTTCCACATATGTGCATGTGTGAATACATGTGGGCATGCCAAAAGCATGTGCACATGCATGTGTAGGCATGAACATGTACTACCAAGTACATGTTCATATACGTGCACCATATACAGGTGCATGCATTTCCAGAAGGGTGTGGGACTCCCTGCGTGTGCATCTCCTGCCATCCCCAGGCAGCTTCAGCCACAACCCACAGACAGAAGCCACAAAACAAAATTCTCCTTTTCTCTCAAAGCTTCTCAAGCTTATGGCCCAACACTTGTCAATACTAGGAGGACCAGAATATCATCAGGTAGTGATTTTCCTATTAAAAAAAAAACAGCTACATAAATCAGGCCAATGCTGTGGTCACCACAGCCTCAGGATTAAACATATATGGTGGCTTGTTTCAGCATAAATCGCAACCTTTCACTTGGGCCAGGCTGGGTGAAACCATGTTACGTAAGTGCAGCCTCAAGTGGTGGCTCCTGTCGTGGTCCATGTCAGGCCTGAAACAACAGCCCTGCTCAGCATGTCCCTAAGAGGCTGAACGAAGGTGGGTCAACCACTTCCAGTTCTCCTGCCATGCTGGCCTCAGAACAGATGAAGGGAGGGACTGGAGGGAGGAAGGGCCCTGTGTTTATCTTTCAGCCCTGTTGCCTGCTGCTGAGTGTCTTTGGGCAGTTCACTCAACCTCTCTGTGCCTTAGTCTCTTTGTTCTGCAAAATGGGCATATTGATCATACCTCCTTGGGATGTTGCAGTATTCAATTAGATAATGAGGCAAGGGCCTGGCTCTGCAAAGGCCCAGAGTAGGAGCACAGCCCCTGCCCTCTGCTGTTGTTGCTGCCAAGGAAACTAGCCAAGATCTGGAAGGAAAGCCCCACCTTGGGGAGAGGAACCGCCTGGCTGGCTTAACCAGTCCCGATTCCCTAGAACCTATGTATCTCTCAGGCAAGGGAAGGGGGACATGTTACTGGATGGCCCAGTCAGCTCTGGTTCTATGCTGCCTAGAGTCTGTGGACAGGACAGATGGCCCAAGGAGTCACATTGGCCATGCCCCTGCCTCTGTGTGCTCCTGAACCCATCACAGAGGTGGATCTTGCACAGCATAGGGTGATGTGTAAGTGACGCCAGAATCCCAGGCCCTTCTCTTCATCTCCCTAAACCTCAGTTTCCCCATCTGTAAAATGGGGATTATAAATGTACCTGCTTCCTAGGACTGCTGTCTGGATTCAGTAAGATAATCCACGAAACACACTCAACATAAGGCCTGCCACAGGCACAGCGTTCAGAGAATGCCTGCTCGTTATCATTATTATTTTTGCCTGTGTCCTTCATGAATGTAATTCCATTTGCTGTTCCTTTGACTTGCACGCCATTCTTCCTTATCCTCCTCTCCCATCTTATCTGTAGCTTGCAGCTTCCACGGCCCCACTGGTCAAGCTGGGTCTAGAGCCAAATGCTGCAGAGGTTACCTGGAGGCATCAGTGATAGTCAAACTCTCAGATCCCAAGCTGCACCCAGAGACAGGGACCCACAAAGGTCAGGGGCAGCAGGGAGGGCTCCGTGCTGGGCACAGTGGCTCATCCCTGTAATCC
This sequence comes from Homo sapiens, assembly GCF_000001405.40. Taxonomy (NCBI): domain Eukaryota; kingdom Metazoa; phylum Chordata; class Mammalia; order Primates; family Hominidae; genus Homo; species Homo sapiens. The sequence continues at coordinate 27,595,129 of NC_000022.11, forward strand.
CAGCACTTTGGGAGGCTGAGGCGGGTGGATCACTTGAGGTCAGGATTTTGAAGCCAGCCCCGCCAGCATGGCAAAATTCCATCTCTATAAAAAATACAAAAATTAGCCAGCCATGGTGGTGTTCACCTGTAGTCTAAGCTACTCAGGAGGCTGAGGCAGGAGAATCATTTGAACCTGGAAGCTGAGGTTTCAGTGAGCTGAGATGGTGCCACTGCACTCCAGCCTGGGAAACAGAGCGAGACTCTGTCTCAAAAAATAAATAATAAATAAATTTTAAAAAGGAACAAGTGACTCGTGAACAGAGCTGAAAGGAGGCCATGATTGGCTCTGCCTGGTATCCAGATCACACCCCTCATGGCACCCTGCAAATTAATATTTTTTAAAATATAGTCATTTTCCCCTCACAACCCAATTTCCCTGCCTTACACCCTTACTGCCTTAAAAGCTGCACTTTGGTCAAAGCGAGCATGGAAAAGACCCCTGTGTACTTGTCACCCTGGGACCCCTCTCCTTGGTTGAGAATATAGATCAGAAGGCACAGAAAGCCAAAGAGCCAGGGCTGGCCGCTTCCCTTCTCCCTGGAAAGCCCTGAGTATCAGGCACCTTTTCCCCCGCCACCACCTCCCCTCAGACTGTGGGCCCAGGAGCTCCGGCTTGCTGCACCCCCATCTCTTTCCCACTCATCTTCCTCCTAACACAGACTCCCTGTCTTTCCTCTTCTGCCTGCACCTTTTTCTTTTACTTCTTACCTAGAGCCTCGTGGATATTTTACAAAAGTTCTGTTTCTTCCTCTAAGACTCTTTCAATCAAGGATGCCAAGACATAACTCTATTTCTCTCTCTTCCTCCTCCAAATCCTCTCCTCTCACCTCTCTGTCTCATCTCTCCCTTCTTACTCTTCTCCTTTACCACATTTCTGGCCATGGATTCCAGCCAGGCCTTCCCAAATCCAAGGCCTGTTCCTTCCCAGATAGCCCTAGGTTCAAATCCCCCCTCCTCTTCTTCACAGCTATACTCCTTAGGCAGATGACCTCATTTCTCTGTACCTCCTCCCCTGTAAACTGAAGATAATAAAAGTCTCTACCTTGTAGGATTGCTGAGAGAATTTAATGAGAAAATGCATGTAAATAAACATTTAGCACTGTACCTACGCAGAGTGGGCATGCAATACACGTTCACAGCCATAGTTGTTGCTGCTGGTTCTCTGGCTATTACTGTTACTATTACCCTGGGGCATGAAAAATCTGAGAAGGGTGATCCGGAAGATGGAATGGCATGAGTAAAAGCCACTGAAGTATAATGTAACATAGCCCATATGGTGGATTTGGGGAAACGGGCCATCAAGGGAGAGGAAAACAGGGCCCTCAGAACTCGTAGGAATTTTCATAATATCTTTAGACTCAAAGCCTCCACTGTGGTGGGAAAGGATTGGTTCCCCCTGGGAACTACTGCAACATCCCCATAAATCACAGCCAGTTAAATGGAGCCAGCAGAGTCAGGAATTCCTTCCCCATCCTCCTAATTTCCACGAAGCGGCCTCCCAGGCCCCCTCCTCAATGTAGTGCTCAGATTCCAGTGCTGAGAATGGTGAGGCCTAGCCAGCTCTGGAATGCAGACTGTGGAGAGCTGGGATCCTTCCAGAGCCGAATGTCTGATCCCCCTCACCTCCTGCCTCATACAGAAGAACCAGAAGTCTCAAGCACAGCCACCCAGAAAGACTAATTTCCCTCCCACAGTCTCTCCTATTCCCAGCAAACAGCCCTCCATGGGCCCTGCTCCTCTCTTGCTCAAGAATTTATCATGGCTGCCCAGTGGCTGCCAGCTATAATCCAACTCCTCGCTCTGACATTCAAGGCTCTTCACAGTGGGCCTCTTCTGCTTTTCCATGTCCTTTCCTCAAGCCTCCACCTTCTCACAACCCACAGGCTGCCTACTTTAGCCACACCAGACAATCCAGTCTTCCCCAAATGCCTTCCAGTCTTTCCACGTTGAGGCCATCTGCACATGCTGTTCCCTCTGCCTGGAATCCCATTCACTTTCTCTTTCTCTCTGGAAAACTCCTATTAATCCTTCAGGATGCACTTCAAATGGTCCTTCTTAGTAAAACTGACCTGGAGTCAGTCCTCCCTGCTCTGTGTGTGTCAGCACCTAATTCATACAACTGTGGACACATGCACACACACACACACACACACACACACACGCACCTATGTCATTACCTAAATATCACGGCAAAGCAAGCCCCTTGGGAATCATCTAGTCCTAGTCCTACTTTTTAGTGACAGAATCCTGTGTTCAAGCAAAATTTTGAAATGGAATTCCAAAGTATAAAATGGATAAATGTAGATTGGATCCATTTGAAGTGCGATGAAAGAAATGCAAGAGATGATATTCTTTGCGTCAAAAGTTACAGAAATTCAACTGGAAGTTGCTGAAGCCCAAAAAAAAAAAAGGAATTTATGGGCCCATGTAACAGGAAAGCTCAAGACATCAGGTAGACCTGGATTCAGGAGTTGAAACAATGACATTGGGAATCTGCCTTGTATCTTGGCTCTCCTCACCTTTGCATTGGCTTCATTCTCAGACATTCTCTTCCCAAATCATGACCCAGATGGCCTCCAAAGCTGTAGCCTCCCATCCTCCTTGCTCAGCCACCCCCAAAGGAAAGAGTCTCATTCTAGACAGTTCCAGCAATGGTGCTAGGGAAAAGGTTAATCAGCTCTGATTGCCCAGGCTTGAGTCATGTGATTGTTCCCAGCCAATCACGGTTACCAGGGCAATGCACTGATCTCATGGGCCACTCCTGCTGAGTCCTATGGCACCCTCTGGAGTCAGAGGTGAAATAATCCCTCCAGAACCACATGGACTAATAACAAGGAAAGAGTGATTCCCTAAGGTAAAATCAGGGTGAAAGCACCCAAAAAGGGAATCTTGGTGGGTCCCCAAAACTGATGCCCCCTCCACTGAAACTTCACCCCACCTGCCTCTCTTTTAGCCCTCATGACATTTTCTGAAGCCCTAGGGCTCTGCAGAACATGGCTTGAAAACTACTCATCTGGTCCTGTTTTATAGAAGAAAAGTGAAGGCCCAGAGAGGGAAAGTGTCTCCCCAAAAGTCACACAGCACACTCTATCCTCAAGCTCCCAATTCCTTAAAAGTGCCTATGCCTCCTTGATGAGCCTCCTTCCCACTGGGTCTGTAGCATCTCCATTACCAGGTTTGGCTGAAAGGATTTGTCAGTTGTCAGCTTGCTTGTCTAACTAAATTAATGTTTTACATTTCTCTTCCAGTTTGCAAACTTTTTAAAAATTAATCCCATCATTTCAACAAGTGTAACAACTAAATTATCATCTTTACATGATTAAGGAGCCTGCCGCATCATCTCTTGGCAAACACTGCATGCACGTAATTTTACTAAATGTAATAAACCAACCATAGAACTATTAATTTTGCCATGGTATTCATAACAATTAGAAACGCATGAACCTTAAAATGATAAAAACTGAATGGAATACTGAAATTGCAGGAAATCCCCAATCCTCTTGCTGCAGGCTGAAGACGATATCATGAGATGCAGATTAAGGTTGAGAAACAGAAATTGGATGTCATTTTCCTCTTAGCTCCATTGTAATACACCCAGAATGAGATAGACCAAGATGGGGGCACTTGACTAACTCAGTGAAGCTTTCCCCCAAATCTAGACATCTGTGAGGAACAAAGCATCAGGAAAAACTCTCTGCCTTTTCAGAGCTTGAGGAGCCTCTAAGAGTGTCTAGTCCTGGAATAACAAATACATGGCAAAAGTACCACCATCCCACTTCCCACAGCTGTGGCAGACATTATTAATTTATCACAGCACTCTTTCCTGCTGAGTTCAGACAGCTTGACAATCTCAACACAGACCTCCAAGATAGGCACTACCAATCAATCATGAGGTGATCTTATTTGCCATTCCAGATTTAGCCCAATCTTGCAAGTTTGCAGGAAGAGAAACTTGGCTGCAGAGAGGGAAATGACTTGCTCAAAGTCAAATAGAGATTCAGGGCAGAGTCGAAGGTAGAAGTTGGGATGCTGTGGCTTTATTACAACAGACCAGGAGGCCGCACAGTCACCAACAGACTGTATTTCTCTCAACCTCTTAAAGAGGAAGCCCACTCCACAGATCCCTAGGAGGTCAAATACCCTCATGATACCCTCTCCTTTTCCTCTTCCCAGCATTTTTTTTATCAAATTTACCTAGGTCTTTTCTTTCCTGCATTAATGGTGGAACAACACACTGCTGGAACTTTCCTAGAGAAGAATTTGGCAGCTTGTATCAAATGCCTTAAACATCAATTCTCTTGCTTGAAATATATATATAATTTATCTCAAAAACATAAGGGACAAATGCCCAAAAAGAATGTACATCATGGTATTGGAAAGAATAAAATAAAAAACAGCCAGTAATTTATTTTAAACATTATAAAATGAGATTTGTATTAACACAAAAGATGATGACAGTATTTTTTAGTAAGAAATACAATTTTTCGGCCGGGCGCGGTGGCTCATGCCTATAATTCCAGCACTTTGGGAGGCCAAGGCGGACGGATCACGAGGTCAGGAGATCGAGACCATCCTGGCTAACATGGTGAAACCCCATCTCTACTAAAAATATAAAAAATTAGCCAGGCGTGGTGGCGGGCACCTGCAGTCCCAGCTACTCGGGAGGCTGAGGCAGGAGAATGGTGTGAACCTGGGAGGCGGAGCTTGCAGTGAGCTGAGATCGTGCCACTGCACTCCAGCCTGGGCGACAGAGCAAGACTCCATCTCAAAAAAAAAAGAAAGAAAAGAAATACAATTTTTCAAACAGTATGTGTAGTTTGGTGTCATTTTTGTAAAGAATAAATATTGACAGACATATACATATCCAGGGTTGCCATACACAGTTGCCCAGGCTGTGAAATGGATTACTATGGCCACTCAGAATTTGACATGTATGGTGGCTTCCAGAGTCAGGGAATGCAACAACCCTGCATTTAGCTTAGAAGAATTGAAAGGTTATTTGCCAAAATAGTAATAGTGGCTATGGGGGAGTATGGAGGGTGAGTGTGTAATTATTGCCCTAATTTTCTAGTATTTCTATAATGAACATGGCTCACTTGGGTAAACATAAAGTAGTAGCCCTTTCAAAGCACTTTCCTGATTATAATCTACTTATTACATGTCCTGGCTTACTCAATTACATATCCTGGCTTACTTTGGGGTGTGTGTGTGTGTGTGTGTGTCTGTCTGTGTGTGTGTTATGATATTAACCAAGAGTTGATGGAGGACTTATGAGTGCCAGGCACTGTGCTAGGGATGCAGTCCCAGGCTTCATGAGTTTCAAATCTAATGAGACCCCAGGAAGGCATCCTTTGGGATGTTCTGTAAGGTATATTATGGGAAGCCTGGCCTTCCCAATAGATCAAGCATCTGGGGGAAGATACTGTGCCTTGTCAGTATCCTTAGATCACAGAACTGAGATGCCCACACACACTGCAATGGAAGCTGGGGCCAGCTAGTTTCTAGCATGCAGCGGCAGTGAGAACATTGAGCCTCAGTCTCCAGAAGATCCATGACACTCAGAATTTAATCCCTGAGATCTTTGAAGCCAGAGCACCTGGATTTGAAACCAGACAACCGAACCTCCACTTCCTCATCTGTGAAATGGAGAGAATCACAGATCCTTAACTCCTGAAGTTTAAAAGAAGTAAGACTCACAATGCACAATGCCTGGCTTAGAGGCAATGTTCAGTTGATGGTAGAGATTATTATGTATTGTTATGATGATCATATCTGAGCCTCAGCTGATGAAGGGTCTAGACAGAAGCCCCATCCAGCCCTTCAGGACAGGGCTGGAACAGGATCAGAAAGAAAGCAATTTTCCAAGCTGGAGATCTCCAGTTGCCCTGGCCATGGACAGCAGGGCTGGCCCAGAGGACGGGCGCAGCTGCTGGCAAGAAAAGTGACATACAGCTTTGTCAGGTTCACTTCTCTTTGTTCCCCCCTCTCTGCTTCAGGTCCCCAAGCATTCAGCCCCAGGTCTTTTTCTCTGTAGACGACAGCTCGTTTCCTCTGGGGAAACTGCAATCAGTGTATCTAAAACACCCACCGCCCTTTAAGTAAAATGGAGGTGATCTGAACGGGTCTGAGAATTGGCGACTCTCTTCCTTGGCCTCCACACGCTTTCTTCTAGGCCAAGAATCTCCCAGTTTCCCCCTGAGAATGAATCACAAGCCTATTCCTGAATAAACAGAGCTGGACTCAGAGTTGGAAGTCCTGGCTTTCAAGCCCAGCTCTGCTATGTGACTAAGCAAGTTCCCCCATCGTGGGTCTCAGTTTTCCACCTGTACATGGAGGATTAGATAAAAAGTCTCTTTTTATTTTTTTGGAACAGAGTCTCACTCCATCACCGAGGCTTGGGTGCAGTGGCGCAATCTCACAATCTCGGCTCACTGTAACCTCCGCCTCCCAAGTTCAAGCCGTTCTGGTGCCTCAGCCTCCTGAGTAGCTGGAATTACAGGTGCGCACCACCACGCCCAGCTAATTTTTGTATTTTGAGTAGAAACGAGGTCTCACCATGTTGGCCAGGCTGGTCTCGAACTCCTGACCTCAAGTGATCCACCTGCCTCAGCATCCCAAAGTGTTGGGATTACAGGCATGAGCCACTGCGCTCGGCCTGCTAGATAGGATGTTTCTACAGGTTCTTTCAGCTTTGACAGTCTTACTGACATTGCACCAGTTGTGACTTCAGACAAGCCTTGGTGTTTGATGTCTCCCTCCCTGCATCCTGGAGCCGTTTCCTTTTCAAGCCTCAGTGCCTTTGCACAAACCACTGCACCTTTCAAAGTATGCCTTTCGCAGGTAGGGCTCCCTTCCCTGTCCCCTAAACAAGACTCAAACCACCTTAGCCTGACAGTCTTCCCTGAACAACCATGTGCTCACAGCTCCCAGATGGCAAGCCCATTTTACCCCCAGCCCTGAAGACCACCTCCCCACAGCTGGACCCCATGATACTCCTGTGCTGAATGTCCAGGCCCCTGGAACCCACCAAGTGCCTTGTCAAGCCCCAGTGCTTGAGACCACCTCTTCTTAGGACTTGATTGACCAAGAAGATGGAGTCATTCACTCACTCAATGAGCATGCACCCAGCCTCCAGGATGTGTTAAGGTCTCTGATGGATGCTAGAAATGCAAAGGCGAGTGAAGCCCAGACTCTGTCTCCAAGGAATCACAGCCTGGGGCAGGACAGCAACAGGAAAGCAGATCATTTCAATGTATTGTGGCTTTCCAGGCAGAAAGGGCAAGGGGTTGCAGGTTTGAGGTATGAGAGAGAAGGGAACATTCAAGGAGACGGAAGGTGGTTTGGTCTTGAGAGAAGTGAGATATCCAGAGGTGGGCGGGGCTGGGGTGGGCGGGGCCTGGAGGGTAGGGAGGGGCATTTGTGGGCGGGGCCTGGGAGGTAGGGCTGGCAGTGGACGGGATCTGGTCCTGTAGATCCTCACGGGCTTTAGTGAGAAGCTGGGGCCCAAGAACCAAGTCCTTCCAAGAAGAAGGACTTTAAGCAGGGTGTAATCTGCATTTTGAAGAGGTACCTCTGGCTGCTGGGTGGAAGATAAGTTACAGGAGCAAGAATGACCTTAGGGAGGCCATAGTAGTCATTGAGGAGAGAGAAGATGGTGATCCTAAGGGAGTGGCGGCAGTAGGGTGGGGAGGGGCAGGACAGATTCAAAAGAGATTTAGTTGGAAGAATCTTAAGGCTTTGAGGTGGTCGTGACTGTGGGTAAGGGGGAGAAGAGTCGAGGGGGACTCCAGGAAAGACTGAGGTGGCCCTGCTATGTGTGAGACAACCCCAGAGGAGAGCCAGGTGGGTGATGGTGAGCTCGGTTTGGGACGTGGTGAGTTCTAGATATCAAGTGCCCACAGCTAAACACATAACCAATGTTCCAATAGAAAAACAGAAAAATTGAAAATCACATTGGTCAGATGACCCAGTAAATGAAGGACTAGAGAATTGACATTTGCAGCAGAAAATAGGTCAGGAGGTGTGAAATGCAGGTCCCCAAAGCAGCTGTTGAAGCCCAGAAAACTAGCCAGGATGCCCTCATTTACCCAGAGACTGCTGCCATTCAGAAGACACAGTGGCCCAAGAACCAGAAGACCTGGGCAGCGTTGGGCCAGCCACTGGCTGATTGTGTCAGCTCGGGCAAGTCCCTTAGCCCTCTGAGCCGGGTGGGGTTGCTAGAAGGGTCAGAAATAAGACTGTGTAGGTGAGAGAGAGCAAGACAGACAGACAGACAAACTTTCTCAGTGGAAAAAATGAAAAATGCTGGGCAAATTGTGCCAGCTATGGGTATCAATTTTATAGCTTATCCCACAGTGCCCAGACAGTGCCCCTGCCCAGCCAGTGCCCTAGACCAACAGCCCCCAGGCACCCAACTTGCTTGGCACTTCTCTTTGAAGAGCCTTCTTGGCCTCCCTGATTCGATCCCTGAAGATGTCTTGAGTCTGCATTTGCTGAGGAATTGGAGGAAAATCAACGTGAACAATGTAGTCAAAACAGTGTCGGCAGGCGTCGCGCTGGGCCAGGAGTGAACATTGCCGGGGACTCGATTGTGCCCCTTGTCTAGCAGTTTGTTCTCAAAAGTGAGCTCTAGCCTCACTGCGAACCCAGTAAGTCTTTCAGCTTGACTGGAAACTTCACATTTTTCCTCTTTAGAAAAATGTCACCGACATTCCTCTGTTTCGTTACTCTTGGTTGCGGCTGCTCTGGCCGTAGGGAAATTGCTCAGAGGGGAAGCTGCCTATACCAGCCACCACCGCCAGACCAGGCCCCAGCTGGCTGTGGTCCCAGGCTCCTGCTGGACGTGGCCTTCGCTTGCCTTGCCTGTGACCCCCCTCCCTGGGCTGGCACTGCCTCAGCTCACAGGCTGCAGTCCCCAGAAGCTGCCCAACTCCTGCCTCCCCATAGCAGGCCCGGCAGGTGTCCCCCCCACTTGCCTCCCCTCCCCCAAGGCCTCCTTGCCATTGGACCAGGTACCCTCAGCCAGGCCCTGACCGTATCTCACCAAGTCTGTCTCTCTCTGTTTCCCCCTTTTATGTCTCTGTCTCTTTCCCCTTCTTTCTGCACTTTTCTGTCTTTTTTATATCTCTGTCTGTTTTTTCATTCATCTCTCCATTTAGGTTATCAGCAAACATTTATTGAGCACCTATTTGACAGGCTGTGTTCCAGAATCCAGGGATATAGCAGTGAGTAAGACAAGGTCCCAGAACTAATGAGGCAGACAGTAAATAAAGAAGCAAATAGACGCATGCAGATTGTATTTTATAAAGCTGGCCACAACAATATCTTCTGCCTCTTACGTTCAAGAGGTGGACCCCTTATCCCCATTCTTTTGAAACTGGGCAAGCCTTTATGACTGCCTGACAAACTGAGTATTTTACTTCCAAGGCTGGATCATAACAATGTCATTTACTTCCACCTTATGCTTTCAGCCTCCATGCTCTGAGGAACCCCAAGCAGCTCATGGAGAGGCCCACATGGAGGGGAAGAGGAGCTCCCAGCCAGCATTCAACTTGTCAGTAACGGAAGTGAACCATCTTGAAAGGGGATCTTCCAGTCTCCAATCAAGCCCCCAGCCCACACTGCTTGGAACAGAGAAGCCGTCCATGCTGAGCCCTATTCAAATTATAGATTAATGAGCCAAATAAATGATTGTTGCTGTTTTAAGCCACTAAGTTATGGGGTAGTTTGCTACACAGCAACGGATAACTGGAACAGCATATGAAATAGGCATAGTAATGAGTGCTAAAAAGTGCTAGAGTGCTAGAAAAATCAAGGCCAGGCGCGGTGGCTCATGCCTGTAATCCCAGCACTTTGGGAGGCTGAGGCAGCCGGATCACGAGGTCAGGGGTTCGAGACCATCCTGGCTAACACGGTGAAACCCTGTCTCTACTAAAAACACAAAAAATTAGCCGGGCATGGTGGTGGGTGCCTGTAATCCCAGCTACTCAGGAGGCTGAGGCAGGAGAATTGCTTGAACCTGGGAAGTGGAGGTTGCAGTGAGCCAAGATAGCACTATTACATTCCAGCCTGGGCAACAGTGTGAGACTCCATCACAAAAAAAAAAAAAAAAAGAAAGAAAGAAAAAGAAAAAAGAAAAAAAAGAAAAATCAAGCCAGGTGAGGAGGTAAGGGCAGTAAAGCAGGGAGGTAGCCACCTACTCCTGCCTTAGGCTTGAGATTATTGGATTAATCACCAACCCCCTGGACATGCTGGGAAGAAGAGGTCTTAGAGACAGTCCCTCTCCCAGGGTGGGAATTCCAACCACAAGGCCCCCCAGCTGCTGTTTGCACACTTCCAGTGATGGAGAGATCATTCCCTGCCCAGGCAGCCCTACTGAACAGCTCTGGCTATGAGAACAGGCTCCCTGCACGCCCTCTGGGGCCATGTGGACACATGACCGGAACACGTGTCTCCTAACCACCTCTAGCCTCTCCTGCATCCATGGTGGTCCTTACAGAAGGGGCCAGTTGGACTGCTGGGACACTATGAACATATTCAGGAGAAGGATGGAGTCACAGCCAGGGAAAACATCTGTCATCATCTAAGGATGGGGATTCATGAGGACACGGTGGCAGAGTGTCTGCAGAATAGGACACTTAGAATTGGTGAGCCTAAACCACCAAACCTCTGAAATTGTATTCCCATAAGCTTTGCTGAGGAAATAGTCCACCAAGAAGGCCCTGACCTTCACCCCAACCCACTCCAAAATGTTAACGACCCCTGGAATAAAGCATAGGTTTTGAAGTCACAAAGACCTGAGTTTCAGTCTTGCTGTGTGATCCTAGGCAAGTCGCTGCCCCTGTCTGAGCCCCAAAGTCAAAGCAACACAGAAGTGTTGGTCGCCTCTAACTGCTTGTCCAAACTTCCCTGGTTCAGATGCCCTCAACATGATTTCTGTCCTAGTCACACTTCCTCTCTGTGATCATCTACTTAGTATTTTTCCCTAAATTGACCTCCTTCTTGTACTTAAAAAAAACTTATCTATTGAGTAAATAAATAAGGACATTTATTTTAAAAACTTTTTATCATTACCTTCAATGGGAAACTAGCTCTGCATGTCATAGATATAAAAGAACCATTAAAATGAAGACAAAACAACATCGCCAGCTTAGAGATATCCTCTGCTGCCCTCCCCACTCCACCACCAGGTTTTACAAAGGCAGATTAGCAAGCTTTGGAGAGAAGTGTTAAGATACATTAGCACCCAACGGAGACTTTCTCCCATGTTATAAGAAGGTTGATGGAGGCCAAGGCGGGGCGGATCACAAGGTCGGGAGATGGAGACCATCCTGGCTAACACGGTGAAATCCCGTCTCTACTAAAAATACAAAAAAATTAGCCAGGCGTGGCAGTGTTCACCTGTAGTCCCAGCTGCTGGGGAGGCTGAGGCAGGAGAATGGTGTGAACCCAGGAGGCAGAGCTTGCAGTGAGCTGAGATCACACCACTGCACTCCAGCCTAGGTGACAGAGCAAGACTCCGTCTCAAAAAAAAAGAAACAAAAAAGAAGGTTGATGGAGAACCACTTTCTCGCTGCCTGATTTGGGCTGTTTAATGTCCTCTGTGTCAACAGCAGGTGATCCAGCCCTTGGAAAGACCTGAGGTCCTGACCTACAAGTGGCCGAGGCAGGGAGGGGGTGATCTAAGGGGTCCCTGTGCTCACACACCCAACAATGGCTTTTGACCCAAACCCCCCACTGGATAGTCAGCAAGAGGCCACAAAAACACAGATACCAAGAATGAGAGGCCCTTGAGCTGGCTTCTGGGAGGACAGGTTGGGAATGTCTCGCCTTGTGGGCCACCGTGGCCTCACAGACAGGAGACGTCAACCAGCATGGCAGCAGCTAGGCCCCAGAAGAACATTGAGGGAGAGGGGGCTTGGGGACAGGTGCAAACCCTGGGGCACAGCAGGGGTACCCCCATTTTCCTGGGGGGAACTTGGAAGCAATATGCACACACTACGGGCCTGGACTCTTTTCAGCTTCTTTGCTAACAGGTTGTGTGTCCCTGAGTGAGTGGCCTTACCACACTGAATCTCAGGTTCCTCACTGTGCCTCAGTTTCCCCTCTATAGAGAGCCTATTTCTCCATCATGCATGGTAAGCACCGTCCCTAGGGCCCAACGATACTTTTAGGAGCTTTAAAAATGTTTTAATTTATTTAAGAATCAGAAGAAAAAAGACTTTTTGATGAAAATGTTTTCATATACAAAATTAATGTTTTCATTTTTATACCCACAGTCATGAAATATAATTTTTAATATTTTTAATGTAGAAAGGGGCCCAGGAAAGCCATCATGTGGCCTCTATAAAGTGGTGAAGATAAAAAATATTTGCATGGAGGCTGGGAACAATGGCTCACAGCTATAATCCCAGCACTTTGGGAGGCCGAGGTGAGCAGATCGCTTGAGGTCAGGAGTTTGAGACCAGCCTGGCCAACATGGTGAAACCCCGTCTCTACTAAAAATACAAAAATTAGCTGGGCATGGTGGCGGGTGCCTATGGTCCCACCTACTCGGGAGGGTGAGGCTGGAGAATCACTTCAATCCAGGAGGCAGAGGTTGCAGTGAGCCGAAATCATGCCACTGCACTCCAGCCTGGGCAACAGAGCAACAGATCAAGACTCCATTTCAAAATATGTGTGTGTGTGTGTGTGTGTGTGTCTGTGTGTGTGTGTGTGTGTGTGTGTGTGTGTGGAAAGCTCAGCCTGCACCCAGCATCAGGTGTGTGTGTGTGTGCGTGGAAAGCTCACCCTGCACCCAGCATCGGGGTGTATGTATGTGTGTGTGCACGCACGCAGGGAAAGCTCAGCCTGCACCCAGCATGAGGTGTGTGTGTCTGTGTGTGTGTGTGTGTGTGTGTGTGTGTATGTGTGTGTGTGGAAAGCTCAGCCTGCACCCAGCATCAGGGGTGTGTGTGCACGCACATGGAAAGCTCGGCCTGCACCCAGCATGAGTTCAACAAATGCTCTTAGCATTTTGTTGGTGTTGACCTCAGAGGAAGGAGCACTAGTTTAGGAGTCAGGAAAGATAGTGTTCTGGGCTCTGTCCCGTTCTGTGTAACTTCTGGAAGCTGTCTCCTTGCCGCCCTCAGTTTCACCAGTGGTACAGTGACAGCCTTGGAGTTGGGGGTCTCCTTCTGGCTCGGATCTCTGCCTTTCCACCTGGGGAAGCAATGAAACCTTGCACCCCACCCCGGGGCAAGTGAGCTGGCAATGCGCTGGCCCACTCTGAAAAATCATCTCATCTAAGTATTACAGGTTCAGACAATAACTGTGGCTTCTCTAGTGCTTTTTTGTTGTTGTTTTGTTTATTTTTATAATTCCCGGATGTTTGATTAGGCCGAGGCCCACTCATAATGTTTTCCCTGGACTGTCTCTGATCCCCCTGCTCCCAGCACCAGGTTTCCCTATAGGAACTGGTAAAGCATCTTCGAGGGGGTTCCTGGACACAGCCTGGGGTAGGGGAGGCACCTAATGGAGCCAGAGTTTGCAGGGTGTAATTACAACTAACACTTCCCGAGCGCCTACTCTGTGCCAGATGCTGTTCCATCTGGAACACTTGAGAGGTAGGTCTGGGACCTTCTTCAGCTCACCGTGTGGCAGGTAAGGCAGATATAGAGTGAGTGCATGGGGTTGTAGGGAGGGGAGTGGGAGGGGAGCAAGAAAACGCCCCAAGGAGGCAAGTTCAGATGGGTCAGCAAAAGTTTCTCCTAAAAATAAAGTGATGTCTAAGCTGAGCCCACACAGATGAGAGATGGCTAGGAGGAGAGAGGAGGGAAGGGCCTATTAGGTAGAGGGGATAGAGTATGCAAAGATTGAGGTGACTTTCAACCCAATGAAGGAGGTCATCCCCATTTTACAGGTGAGGAAACTGAGGCTCAGGGAGGTCTCAGAGCTGGTGAGCAGCGGCGGTGTAACTTACACCCAAGCCTGCCTGGTTCCAAAGTGTGTTCGTAATTATTAGGCGATACTATTCCTCCCTAGCCCCCAGCTCCTGCACCCTGCATTCCCCATCCTTCCTGGCTTCCCTGCAGGAAGATCTCAGAATCCAGCAGGGAGCTCTGGGAGTGGTTTTAGGGTCTCCATAGAGGCTGTCACCTCCATGGAAAAGTAACTGCCAGTACCTCAAATTCCACCATCTGAGCTATGATGGCCCGTCACCTGCACATGCGCCTCCCCCAGCGGGAATAGAGGCCTGGGTGCCTGGGGTGGGCAGTGCGCCTGTCACATGGAACCCAGGTGTGGAAACTGAGGCTCAGATAGCTGAAGCGCTTTGCCCCAGGCCAGTGGCCAGGGAAAGGGGCGTGGAGTTCCCAAAGGCTAAGTTCCTAAGCCCCAGCCCTGTCTGTGGGCGCGACACCCCCTCCTCGGCCCCTCAACCCGGCCCCCAGCCCGCTCCCGTCCCTTCCCCCAGGACAATGGGGCCTTTCACAACCAGACAAAGGGAAAAGTTTAAAAGGCGAGAATTATATTTCCACCGGCGAAGGGGGAGGGGCAGGGAGTGGGGGTGGGGGCGGGGGCGGGGCTACTGCGGCTGCAGAAACCAGAAACCGGCTGGTGTGTATTTATTCACGTCTGACACAACACAATTTGATTTTCCACATAAAAGATCAAATAATATTTCAGTTACAGTTAATTACACACCCCAAAAGCACATCAAAGGATGGTCCGCGTCCACCCAGCCCATGCTTTGCAGTTCTACATGCGCCTAGATTTCATGCCCGGCTTCTCCGTGTCTGCTGCCCAGCGGCTCCTGAATTCACTCCCACAGGGGCCTTTGAGGCTGGGACCCAGGGCCCAGGGTGCCTCCTGGGCCCTCAGACCCCTCCTGGGTCTTCCAGGACACTCCCCGTCCCCACTTGATGCCTTGTCTCCCCACCAAAACAGTAGTCCTGGAGTCTCATTCCAGCCCATGTCTTCTCCTGAAGGGAACCTTTCTCCAGCAGGCAGAAAAGGAAGGATGGTGGGCACCATTGTCGCATTTGTTATATGGGGAAACTAAGGCCTGGAGTGATGCAGTGACTTGCCCAAGCTCATACAGCCTGAAAGCCATCGAGGAGCCCTCCCTTCCTTGTTCAAAAAAGGTTCTGGTGTATATGTGCCACATTTTCTTAATCCAGTCTATCATTGTTGGACATTTGGAATACTATGCAGCCATAAAAAATGATGAGTTCATGTCCTTTGTAGGGACATGGATGAAATTGGAAATCATCATTCTCAGTAAACTATCGCAAGAACAAAAAACCAAACACCGCATATTCTCACTCATAGGTGGGAATTGAACAATGAGAACAAATGGACACAGGAAGGGGAACATCACACTCTGGGGACTGTTGTGGGGTGGGGGGAGGGGGGAGGGATAACACTGGGAGATATACCTAATGCTAGATGACGAGTTAGTGGGTGCAGCGCACCAGCATGGCACGTGTATACATATGTAACTAACCTGCACATTGTGCACATGTACCCTAAAACTTAAAGTATAATAATAATAATAATAATAATAATAATAATAATAATAATAAAAAGGTTCTGGGACATTTTTATGTCGTTTAAAGGGAAGCCCACAAATCACATAAGAGAGATTATTTCTGCGTTGTTTGTTGAATGAATAAATGATTGGATAAAAGAGTGAAGGACTGAGAAAATAAATGTGAAGCAGAAAGGGAGGGGAGGAAAGAAGGGAGGGAGGGAGGAAGGGAGGGAGGGAGGGAGGAAGGGAGGGAGGGAGGAAGGAAGGAAGGAAGGAAGGAAGGAAGGAAGGAAGGAAGGAAGGAAGGAAAGAATTTGGTTCTGCCTCAAGCATGTCAGCAGAGGCATACTTTTCTCATGGGAGCTCTGCTGCCTGGCAAGCCACAGTGTAAACAACTTTGGGGGTACAGGGGCAAGTCCTAAGCAGGGGTGACACCTCTGAAGCATGACCTTGGAGGGAATCACTGGACTTCTCAGAGCCTTAACCCATCCTGCACTGCGTCTCACCCGAGATTAACCCGTCCCGCACTGCGTCTCGCGCGAGATTAACCCGTCCCGCACTGCGTCTCACGCGAGATTAACCCGTCCCGCACTGCGTCTCACGCGAGATTAACCCGTCCCGCACTGTGTCTCACCTGAGAACACTCAGGTGTGCACATGGTTAAGAAAATTCCAAAAAGACTTTTGAATTCTGGAGTTGGAGATTCACAGCATCTTAAAATCAAAATATTTGTGAAATAAACTTGCAGAACCTGAAGGTAATGGGATCTTAAAAATCATCAAATCAGAAAATTCAAGAGCAAGAATCCCCATGGTGTCTTCTCCATTAAGTGAGTGGTGAGGCCCAGAGAGGGTGTGTGTGACCCTGAGATCACCCAGCAGGCAGGGCTGGGTTTCCCAGGGGCAGGCTGGGTTGGAGTCCAGTGTGTCCCCCAATCCCAGGCCCTGGCAGAGCTGCTGGTGTCCCGCTCTTCTTCGAACTGGCAGTTTGCATGGTGCAAGAGGGGGAAACCATTGGGATGGGTTAGACTCCAAGTTTGTCAGAGGCCGAGAGGGCTCAGCTGACCTTTGGGGTGCAAGGAGGATCATGAATGCACACCTTGTTGTGTCACCATGCCAGAAATCCCACATCAGAGCTGCCTGCCTTCAGAAAGAGCCTTTGCAGTGACCTGGGAAGAGTCTGTCACCTGCTGCTCCCCAGTGGCAAGAGTTCTCTGAGAGCCCTGGAGAAATGGGGTGCAGTGACAAGGGCTGGGAGCCCCAAGAAAAGGGGACTTGGATCTGCCTCCTCAGATGCTAGCTTCGCCAGAGGGTAGACCCCCAAAGGCAGCTTCTCTTTCTCCCCACCCCAGATCCTGAGAGAACCCTGAGTGCGGAGCTGGAAGTGGGTTTAAGTCAGGGGTCACCATGCACCAGCTGAAACAGGCAGGGTCAGCTGCCATTCCCCTCTGAGCCTCCATTTCCTTTCTGTGGGCTCACGACTGTGGGAGGCTCTAAGGAAGTGGCCTCATTGGTGAAGGTTCCCTGCTGTGGGCACTGGAGGGAGTTGGGGACTGCAGAAAGGCTGGCAGGGGCCAGGCTAGGAGCAGGGGTCATGGGGAGGACAGTAGCTATTCTAGGTCCCTCTCCCTCCCCCAACCCCCCGGCACCCGTGCACCCCAAGGCCTAAGCAGCAAACGACCATCCTGTTTGCCAGGCAAAGATGTTTCCTGTGCAGGCTGCAGCCAGGCTGAACCTGCCCAGTGCCCACCGCAAGCCCTCCCCAGAAGCCCCCACTCCTCAGCCGCCTTGGGACAAAGCTCAGCACACCCCACCTGGCTCCCACTGCACCCCACAACCACCCCATCCCCCAGCCTCAGTTCCCTATTTCACAGCCAGAGTCAAAATACTCTGACCTCGAAAGACTGAGTTGATCAGTAAATTAGATCAACTGTGTAAGGCCTGCCACATGGTAGGCTCTCGATAGACTTTTGTGGGAGGAGCGGAGGATACTTCTCACCGTTTCTGCCACACGGAGGGGAGATTCGTAGCCATGAAAGATGATGGCTGCTGCCATTGTCATGTTTAGGCTCTCATTATCAGCACCCAGCACGTTGAGACACCCAGTGGGTGCTTTGGGGGTGTTTGCGACCTTGTCCCTGGGGATCTTTTTCTTTCCTTGAGGACAGGGCTGTGCATTCTCTACCTCTGTGCCTTGTATGTAGTCTATGCTTCAAAATGGTTATTGAAGGCA
The DNA here is from genome assembly GCF_000001405.40 of Homo sapiens. Classification (NCBI taxonomy): domain Eukaryota; kingdom Metazoa; phylum Chordata; class Mammalia; order Primates; family Hominidae; genus Homo; species Homo sapiens. The sequence continues at coordinate 27,612,913 of NC_000022.11, forward strand.
TAGGTGAGTGGGTGGATGGATAAACGGATGGAGGGACAGGGGAGTGGATGGATGGATAGCTGGAAAGAACAATGGGTTGATGAGTAGACAGAATTTGAAAGGAGAGAAACCAAGAGTGAAAAAGTACTCTGTTGCCATAAGACTTGGGGGTCCTAGATTCAAGTTTACCACCTCAACTTAATCCGCTGTGCACCAGAGAGGTTCACCCTCTCTAACCGTTTCCTCATTTGTCAAGTGAGCATGGTAACAGCTCTGCCAGCTCCCTGGGAGATCTGGAAGATTCCTCCCAGCCTGGTGGGAATTACTTCCTAGGCTGTAAAGCTCTGCCCTGGGCAGGTGGTAGCCAGTCCCAAGTCTCTTGGGGAGGCAAGCAGGGCAGATGAGCCCTGGGGCAGAGGGGGTGCAGCCTGGCAGGTGACGGAGGCGCTGACGGCTGCCACCCTAGCGGGTTCTAATCTTGTATGGCCTCCCCAGTGGGCAGCAGCTCTTGCTCTAGTAAAATTTTACAGTCTCTGAGAACAGGCAGAGAACTGCCAGCCACAACTTGCTGAAGATTTATGGCCGGCCTCCCCACCCTGGTCCGGGCTTCTCTGCCCAACTCACGCCAAAGCTGAGTGAGGTCACTGGGCTTGGCCAGAGAGACCTGAGCCCCTCTCGGGGGCAGGGGGAAAAGAGTCGAATCAGGAGGGATAGATGCCGACTTCGTGGTTAAAGTCAGAGTGGAGGCTGGCTGAAAGACTTGGACCTGAGGAGCATTTGCTTGGCGAGGCTGTGACAGAGACCGAATCACACCCTGCATTAGGTTTCAGAAGTGCCCATTACCTGGGGTCTTCTTGGGGAAAGCCAGGGAATGTGGCCAAAGCAGCCACATTGTCTCTTTCAGTCCCTGAGCACACTCGTCCCCTCCCACCACAGGGCCTTTGCACATCCTGTTTCCTCTGTCAGATGCACCTTCTCCCCCAGTTGATTCGCATAGCTAACCGGGAGGCACGTGGAGATCTCACACTTGTAGACACGTGGGCACATGTTGCATAAATAAATGTGTGTGTTCATGGCACATGTACCTGGCACACACATGGGCATGGGAAGAGGCCTGGCACGATCTCACCTACAAGAAAACCAGAGGACTGTCATGGAGGGGTGGGGGGAAGGCGGTGTGCATGTGTTGAGGGCTGTGTGTGGCCACACGTGGGCTGGGGTGGGGGTGGAGTTCTCACTGCTGAGACCAGGAGAGAGGAAAAAAGAGAGAAGAGACGGAGAACCCGGAGATGGAGATAAGGAAGCTGGAGAAAGCCGGAGGGGCTGAGAGAGACCCTTGGAGACCGGGGGGGGGCGGGGGGAGCCCGTCCCCGCCCCCCTGCCCCAGGCCTGCTCCACGGTCCTGGAGACCCCCTGACTTCCGGGGGCTGCGCTCTCATCGCACGGCGGCCGGCGGCGTGGTCAGCACCCGTCAGGCTGATTTACTGGCGCTCGCCGCCCGCCGCGCGGCGGCAATCAGCCGCCGCCGCCAGATCTATTATTGATGAACTTTCCGAGGCCCGCTAATTAACTGCGCGCACCCACGGCGGGCGCCGTGGCGGTGGCGGCTGAAATACGGCCTGCATGTCCCAATGTCACGGGCGCCGCGCCCGCGGGATGGTCCCGAGAAGAGGGACGGGATCTCAGCCGCCGGCTCAGTCCCAGCACCGCCTCCCCCACCACCCGACCCCGGGGTGGGAGCCCAGCGGGCTCTAGGAGGGCCCCCTAGCCACCCCATGCGTGGCCTTGAGCAAGTGGCTTAATCTCTCTGGGCCTCAGGCACAGATCGTCCCTGCTCCCTGCAAAGCCCTGCGCACTCCCTGCAAACCTTGGCAGGCAGCGGGTGGCAGAAACCTCCAGTGTCTGGCCCATCCACGGAGCTGGATTCCAGTCTCGATTCTGCCACTTCCTGGCTGTGTAGGAATTTGACCTCTAGGAGCTCCAGTTTCCTCATCTAGAAAACTGGAATAACGAAATCTGGCGTGGAGACTCGAGGTGAGAATTCAGTCTGCTCCCTGGTTGGGACACCACAGGGATGAGGGACCCCCTGAACGGTAACCTTCTGGGCCCCCTGCCTGGTATCATCCAGAGATGTGTGGGGAGCTCACTACCTCTGTCCTCCTTCTGGGTTGAACCCTAGCCTCACAGGCACTGGAGGACGCATCTAGTCTATCAAGCTATTTACTGAGTGCCTCAAAACCCAGATAGAGGCTCCAGAAGAAAAGCAAGCATGAGAGAGTCAGGGAGGCCAGGGTGGGGGTCAGACCTCGATTTAGGTTGTGGTCCAGGAAGGCTTTCTGGAGGCAGCTGAAGCACCAGGCAAGGAGTGGTGGGCAAGTGTTCCAGGCAGAGGGAGCAGCTAGAAGTAGCAAGGAGGTGGGCAGATGCTCCAGACGGTGCTTGCAAATGTGCAAGAAAAGGAGACCTTTCTTCCCCTTCAGTGGGACATAACATCTTCAGCCTCTCACAACCATCTGGGGTCTCCTTAGCGTGCGGTGGGCAGGTGGCCCAGAAACATGTGTTCCCTGAGTTCCTGGGTGCTGAGGAATTAATTACCCTCCCCGCTCAGCCGGTCCTGCTGAGGTCAGGGGTGCAGGCCTGTGTGGGTCAGGGTGAGATTATCCGGGACAGGTCTAAGGAGCAAGGGGACAACGACAAAAACAGCTTCTGCGGCATCGCGGGGTCTAGAAATGCTGTGTGACCCTGGACAAGTCACTTTGTCTCTCTGGGCTTCCCCTGTGTCCCCGAAGCCCTCTGTGAGCCAGGGAGAATTCTCCATATGGAAAGAGTATTATTATTCCTGTCAGTACCGTTGTTCGAAAGAAGGCTTAAAAGACTCACCTCAAGTCTCCACACCAGATTTTGTTACTTCAGTTTTCTAGATGAGGAAATTGAGGCTCCCAGAAGTCAAATTCCTGCACAGCCGGAACTGGAACCCAGCTCCATGGATGCGCCAGTCACTGGAGGTTAAGATCATAACTCTGGAGCCACATAAACCTGGCTTTGCCACCTCCCGGCTGAGTGACCTTGAGCAAATGTCTTCTTCCTGAGTCTCAGTTCTCCCATCTTTAAAATGGGTGGCAGCAATACTTGATTCAAGGGTTGCTGGAAGGAGTTCAGAAGTTAGGGTATGCATGGCAGCTGGTACACAAACAGGTAGACAGTAGGTGCTCCATCATACAGCATTTTCCTTTCACTCCGTCCTTCTGAAAAGCAGGCACATCTGGCCTCCTGCCAATAACAGCTGCCCCAGGGCTCCCACCTCCCCCTCCTCCTTCCAGAAAACACCTGTGCAGACCCCCCCTTTCCGGCCTCATGGAATGAAAATAATGCAGAGGCCCACGCTTCCCCCTCACAGACAAAAACCAAAAAATAAAAATTCCAAACTGTCCCAGGAGGTGTCTGGAAGCTCAGGAATGACTGCAGCCAAGATGCCTTCCCAAGGCATGAGGGATTCACCCTCTGGGCTCCCAGTTCATCCTCACAGCTGCCTGAGAGAGAGGCACTCGTGCCCAGATTGGCATTCCCATTTGCCAGATGAGAAAACTGAGGTCCCCAAAATAGAAGCCAGTGCCCCCTCACTGGACCCCCAGGACCCAGAGTTGCCTCCTGGAATGTGGGGCAAGAATGCCAGGGGATGTCAAAGGGCAACCAGGAGAGACTGGAAAGGTGCTTAGCTCATTCCCTGGGACTGGAAAGTCCTGGGCAGGAAAACAGATGCTACAGAGTGGGCTGGGGGCTGATCACAGACAGGGAGACAAATACATTGAACATCAGAGTAAGACAGCCTGGTCATTCTTTCAGCTCTCGTGATTACAGCAAGGAGAAAGCCTCAGCTGGGTGCTGCTGGGTCTTAGACATCTAACAGCGAGGCCACCAAGCCCAGCCCAGGAGGCTCAGAGCGGGCCACTCTAGCACACTACACTTGCATCTCTTTTCCTGTTTTTTTTTTTTTTTTTTAGAAACAGGGTCTTACTCTGTCTCCCAGGCTAGAGTACAGTGGCATGATCGTAGCTCACTGCAGCCTCCAACTCCTGAGCTCAAGCAATCCTCCCGCCCTGACCTCCTGAGTAGCTGGGAATACAGGTGCATGCCATCACACCCGGCTAACTTTATTTTTTGTAGAGACGGGGTCTCATTATGTTGCCCAGCCTGGTCTCTAACTCCTGGCCTTAAGCTCTCTTCCCACCTTGGCCTCCCAAAGTGCTACAGGCATGAGCCAAGGTGCCTGGCTGACACTTGCATTTTTAATTCAATAGTTAACACTTCATTTATGGGCAGTTTCCAATTCAAAATAGTGATAGAAAGTTGCCTGTTGAAAGAAAAAGCAAGTCCCTCTAAATGCACATTAAGTGAAAAACAGTATCAGAGGAGGTGCATGCATAAGGAAAGCATTGGGAAGGAAGGAAAGCAGTTTGAGAAATGTGTTTTCATCTCAATAGATTGGTGGTTTGCAGGTCTTACCTGCCCCCTGGAGGGTGCCCCATACACACCCATTCACCAGCCATCTGCTAACATTTAGTAGGTGCCTGCCTTGTGCCCAGTGCTGGGCTGGCCGCTTATAATACTCTGTGCAATCAAACAGAAGTAGCCCTGTCCTCTGGAACTTAAGGACTAGCAGAGAAATGGACATATGAGATCTTCACAGGTTATGATACAAGTCCTGAGGTCCCAAAGTTGTGTTAGAGAAGATTGAAGGAGAGGGGTAAGATGAGGGCTGGGGAGATTAGACAGTGTAGACAGGGAAGGCTTCCTGGAGGAGGTGTCATATGTAAACTGAACCCAAGGGTAGAGGAAGTGCCAGCTGTGTTGAGGGTAGATGGGACAGCAAATGCAAAGGCAGGCCCTGAGGCAGGAAAGGGCCACCCCTTGGAAGAACTGAAGGGGGAAATGGGAGTGCGGCTGTGGGAGATGAAGCAGGACCTTGAATATACTGGAGAAGAGTTTGGGTTTTGTTCTGAGAGCTATAGGGAGTCATTGGGTTGTTTTAATTTTGCTTTGTTTTTTAATCAGGAGAGCGAGTTGCTTTTTTTTTTTTTTTTTTTTTTTTTTTTTTTAGTTTTAAGAAGAACCCTCTAGCCATTGCTTGAACCCAGGACTAAAGGGATCATAGTGGAGAAAGGGAAGGAAAAAGGGGAAATAGGGAGGACAGTGACTTTATCTGGAGTAGTGAAAGCTGGGTGCAGAGAAGTGGTCAGATCTGAGGAGGATCTGAGGTTATATTGGAGGAAGGGCTGGGGGACTTGTCGATGCACTTAACAGATAATTTTGAAGCACCTACTGTATGCCACACCCCAGACTGGGCACCAGAGAAACAGGGGCAAATGCCACAGAGAAGGAGCCCTGTCCTCATGGGGCTGACTGCCCAGGGGGTGCACACATTATACCATTAGGTCCCAATGAATGAGTGGCACATGCGTGCACACGCACACAAACATGCACGCTTGCACAAGCCCACTCTCACCCCTCCCAGGGCCACACGCACACACACACGTACACGTGTAAGTGCCCCAGGCAGCCATGTGCACATACCCAGCCCTACTCACCCTTGCACACATACACACTCACCAGCTTCGCTTATAAATATAACCTCAGTGGCCGGGCACCGTGACTCACACCTGTAATCCCAATGCTTTGGGAGGCCAAGGCAGGCAGATCTCTTGTGCCCAGGAGTTTGAGACCAGCCTGGGCAACATAGCAAGACTCTGTCTCTACAAAAATTTGCCAGGTGTGGTGGTGCATACCTGTAGTCCCAGCTACTTGAGGGCCTGAGGTGGGAGGATAACTTGAGCCCACCAGGTCGAGGCTACAGAGAGCTGCGATTGCACCACTGCACTCTAGCCAGGGCGACACGGCAAGACCCTGTCTCAAAAATAATAATAATAATAATAATAATAAAACCTCGGTGATTGTGCTTAATTGTGGCTGACATTGTCAGGGAAGAATTGAGATTCCCTCACTCAGCCTTTACCGGTGATTCATTGAGAATGTACTGCACCCTTTCCTCAGCCCCACCGAAGGCTGCGAGCACTAAGAATACTTTCCTTTATTGCAGCAAATGACATGTGAATTCATTTTTCTACCTATTATGCACAGAGACAGGAGAGGCTGAGTGGTTATTACCTGCCTGCCATTATGTAACGTGACAGAAATACGCCACAGCTGGCTGCTGTCGGACACCTTTGGGGCCTCCCAGAACCTGCTGGTCTGCAGGACACAAGGCAAGAGCCTTGTTCCGTAAGCTAGGTGCCAGCGCGGCCACTGTATCACCTTGTGACTTTGGGCAAGTTACCTTGTTGCCCAGGGCTTCAGTTTCATCATCTGCTAAGTGGGGGTGAGAGGCATGAGCTGAATGACCCAACCCTCCTGTAGATGGTTCTGGGGTCAGATTAGGCTCCTCCTAGACCTCCTCTCTCCAGGGCATGAGGGTTGCCTCTGTCAAGTTTAAGAGCGTGAGTCCTCCCCTGTGAGTCCTCCAATTCATCCATTTATTGAGCAAGGGTGGTTGAGGGTCTGCATCTGCCAGCCCGGTTTCAGGGACAGGGCAGAGGGTGGTGAGCAGACAGAAAACGTTCCTGCTTAATGCAGCTTACATTACAGTGACAACATTTCAGCCACAAATATCTGTGGGTGGAAGAGTGAGCAAATGAATGAATGAATGAATGAGTCTGGGCTGGAAATGGAGATTGGAGAAGTGTTAGTAGATGCCAGATACCAAACCCTGGGAGTGGGTGAAATGTCCCAGGAGAGGGAAACAATAAACAGCCTGAACTGAGCCATGGGACCTCCAGCCTACAAGACAAAAAGAAGAGGAGCTCACAGCGTTACCTGAAAAAGAGTAACAGGGAAATGGGACAAAGAGGAGGTCCCTGATAGGGGATGGAGGAATGCAGTGGGGAGCCTCAGAGACAGCAGAGAAGAAGGGACCCAGGTTAGGAGTGGGGCCAGAGCCTCATCTTGCCTGTGTCCCCACCAGATGCAGGATCTGATCTTCATCGGTCCCCATGAATGTTGATGGGATGCATCCATCAGTGGGTCCCACACCCCAGCCTCTGTGTCTTAACCTCAGAGCCACCACCTGCCCAGACAAAGCAGTGAGCAGACAGTGCCAGTGCCTTAGGACCATCGTCCTCTTGTTACTGTGCAGCTGACACTTCTTGGGCACCTACTATGTACACGACCATGAGGGCACTTTGCCTGCAATCCTATCATGTGCCTTTCCCAATATAATAGTCAGTGGGAGGAACGTGACAAACCTATTCCACAGAATACCCTCAGATAAAATGAGAACTTTTCCAAGATCAACTAGTTTTCAAGAAGCGGGAAGATTTGGATCCAGCAGGGCTTCAGAACCCAGAACCACCACCACCACCCACCACCACATTACGCTAGAGGATCCATGGGCACTGTGTAAAGTGAAAATGCCTGTGCACACAAGGGGACCCTCACCACTAAGCCTCCTGAGCAGCTTCCCTGGGCCAGGTTTCTGCTTCCAATCCTAGATCTCCACAGGCCATGCCCGGGGCTGCACCTTGTTCCTGCCGACTCACCCACCCCAACGATGGGAAATCCAATTGCCGGTCAACTCCCTGAGCCGGATCCCTGGTTCCTGGCGACATTCCGTGGAGCCTGCAGGTCCCCTTCACAGCTGCTACTGATTACAGCTACTTAACTGGCACATTAACCACAGAGTCAGAAATTAGGAGCTGCTCTCAGCTCTCCGCTTAACATCACCGCATCACTTGACCTGCTGTTTCTTCAGCCTCCCCTTGGCCTCCTCTACCTCCAGCCATGCGGGCTGCTGGAATGCCCCACTCAATCACACCTGGTGTCACAGGCCCTTGCTCCAGGCTCGATGTTCCCAAACAACAGCCCTCTGTCACTCGTCAATACCAGCAAGTTTGCCATACATTGGCAATTGTCGTCTGGGTTTAAGGTATCATCCAGTGCTCCCAATCTAAGTCTCTGGGGAAACTGCACACTCCTTGCCATGACTCACAGGGGTGTGTTTCACTGGGTGCCCAAGGATGCCCTGGGCTTTCCTCTCGCCACTGCCCTCAGGCACGGCCACCCAGCCTTGCTGAACTTCCTTCTACACTGGATCAAGTGGTGATCTGCTTCCCTTCCCTTCCTTTGCCTGTGCCATTCCCTCTGCCTGGAGCACCATTCTTTCCCTCCTGCTTTTCCACCTGGCCCACCCTACCCTCCCTCACCCTCCCTGTTACCACCAGTGGGTTTAGCACTCATGTCTCTAACTGCTGATCCTGCCCTCCTCTCTCTCCCCTATTTCTTGTCAACTTCTTGGGAGGCAGGGAGTGTGTCCTGTTCAACCACACTTTACGATAATAATAATACGTGAAATCACTGGAGCTGTGATGGACGGAGCACCTACCATGGGCCTGGCACAGTGCCGAGCACAGGTGATTACTCGTGTTTTAGAGAAGGGGGGATACCCAGGTTCAGAGAGGGAAATCACTTACCACTCCCCGAAGGGGGCTCCCAATCCTTCATTGGCACCAGTAGAACAAAGCTGCTCCTGGTTCCAGCCCCGGTGGGCAGGAAGGCACCCAGGTCACTCGGACCCTGGCAGGGAGTGAGTAGGGGTCATCTCAAGGCCCCCAGCCCCTTCCCCAGGCCCTGCCTGAGCCACAGACACAGGGTAGGGCCCAGTGGCCATTCCACCTTCCCCTGAGAGCCCGGTGTTTACACCGTTACACCCTGGAGAAGGAATTTACTGTCTTAATCCTGAAATAGCAGGGAAGGCATTCTGGCCAGACAAGTCATCAGCAGAGCCCTGGAGAGCTGCTTCCCACTTTTATAGAAATAAAATAAATACCCCAAGAGGGCTGCTCCTTCCAGCTAGGAAAGAAAAGCACCCTGTGGCTTCGGGGGAGCAGAACTGGTGTGCATGCCGACGTCTGGCCTGCTCCGGTCCTGCCAGGTGAGGACAGTGTGGAAGGCACCCACCTGGGACAGACAGGGATCTCCCCTTGATGTGGGGAGCAGCCCTGACCTCCCCAGCGGGGACGTTTGCTGCCCAGGGATGAGGCTGTGTGCCCTGGGCTAAGCGGAGACTCCTTTCTGGGCCTCCTGTTTTCCTTGCTGTTGGATGAGAAATTTGGGTTTTTTCATCTTGGCCCCTCTGAACTCTGCAAGTCTGTAGTAAGTGAAGAAACTGAGGCCCAGAGAGGAAAGAAACGGGTCCACATGGCAAGCCCGGGGCAGAGCGAGCCCTCGGACCAGGCTGAATCCCAGAAGGGGAGTCAGAGTTCCCACCAGTAGTTTTCAAACTGTCTGCCGTGGAACACTGGGAGTTCCATGAAGCCTCCTCAAGCATCTCCGTGGAGTATGACTGGGAGGAAGCCGAGCAGGAGGGTTCCCACCCCACATCCCACCCCAGCCAGGTCAACCTTTCTCATCTGTCTTATCACCGGAATTCTCCAAGATTTTTCTTGACCAACATTGCCACAGATAACAAGATAAAATAAGAATACCAATAGAATCCCCATGACTGAACCAGCAGGATGGAAGGAGAGAGAATAACAGGATAGGAAATGAATGGTACTTCTAGGAAACAGAGTGGGGTTGCATCTTCCCTGAGGGTGAGATTTTTTTTTTTTTTTTTTTTTTTTGAGACGGAGTCTGGCTCTGTTGCCCAGGCTGGAGTGCAGGGGCGCAATCTCGGCTCACTGCAAGCTCCGCCTCCCGGGTTCACGCCATTCTCCTGCCTCAGCCTCCCGAGTAGCTGGGACTACAGGCGCCCGCCACTACGCCCGGCTAATTTTTTGTATTTTTAGTAGAGACAGGGTTTCACCATGTTAGACAGGATGGTCTCGATCTCCTGACCTCGTGATCCGCCCGCCTCGGCCTCCCAAAGTGCTGGGATTACAGGCGTGAGCCACCGCGCCCGGCCGAGGGTGAGATTTTTAATGCGTTAAGGGTGGATTTCCTGGTTCCTAAAGAGAAATCAGGAGCCATTCTTCTCCATCATACGGTGGGTGTCACCAAAGCGATGACACAGGCTCACCAGCTCTGTATAACAAGCAAGTTTCAGTGTTGCCTCCTGCCCCCAACCCCAGTGGGGAGGAAGCGTGCCCAGGCCACTGGGATGGAGGTTCAAAGGCTCCCACTCGAACTCTGGTGGGGAAGGGTGGGCGTCATCCCAAGCACATCTGTTGAGCGAGGGAGCAGTTCCAGGATTTCAGGGGCTAGTAACCTGCTGTCCCACCATGGGCTCCCAACCCCCTGGGTAGCCAGCAGCCCCACGTCTCCAGAGCTAACCAGGTAGGTCCGTGGTTCTTACTGAGTGTAGCTGGGCATTCTTAGGCCCAGCCACATGCACAGAGATGGCCATCCGACTCCCTCAAATCTATCACTCGAACCCTGAGTTACACTGTTAACATTCTAACACGGCACTTGGGCCTAAATTCAACCCAATGCGCTATCATAAATTAGGTGGCCCTCTATGGTCAAGGACCCACAAGTTAATTGAGGGTCGGCCCGGAGACTTGTCACAAGGCCATCATGTGGGCGTGGAGAGGCCAGGGAAGTTTTCTGGGGCCCCTGTCCTTTAGGGGGGAGGCTGGTTTCTAAAGTCAGTGTGTGTCACCGAAGTGGGGCTTGCAAATTTCCTAGGAAGGCCCCGCGATGAGACCCGCATGCAGTCGAGTCAAACATGGGTGCAATGAGCCATCACTGTTTTCTACCTTCGTGTATTCAAATCCCAAGACGGGAGACAAATGACAGAAAAAGAATATAATTAAAAGACAACGACAAGCATTTTTTCCATTTCTTTGCAATTTCTAGAGTGTCTGGCGTGGCTGACTTTACCCACAAATGAAGAAAGCCTTCTTCACATGAGGTCAGATCAGGGGGTACATATCTCTCTCCCTCAGCCCTCCAAGCCCAAACCTCCTACCTCCCTTCCCCTTTATGCCCTGATGTCTGGAATTCCTTTAACCAACACTGGATAACGTTTCTGTTTGTTTGTTGGTTTGTTTGTTTGTTTGTTTACAAGTCGTTTTCAGCCATTGTCAGGCTTAACCCCACCCCCAGCCCAGCCCCTGGGCATCCTCTTCTGTGGATCTCCAGACCCTCCAGGACATCAGGGGTCGTAGCCTCAACCCCAGTTTTTGGAGGATCAGAGGTGGGTAGCAGACCAGGCCAAGCCGATCCACCTGGATCCTCAAAGTCCCATCCAGAATGGATGACTAGGGGAGGGCAGGCCCCTTGGTGCGCAGAGTCCAGGATTTCCACAGTGAAACATGAGAAAATTTCCTGCTTTGTCATGGATTAAAATTCCAGATTTGACATCTTGGTCATGGAGCTTTGAACTGGCTGTCAGGGCCAGTTCAGCCCTGACCAGAGCCAGACAGCACAGACCTGGTGTGGCCCCTGGAACTTTGAACCACATGTTCTCAGGAACTGTGATCTGAGAGTTTTGAGAATTTTGAATCTATGCACTAGAGATGTTTTCATCAAAAGGGCTCTGAGGGCTGCATCGTCACAATCTCACAGGCAATTTCACAATTTCGAAAAGAAATCACTTGCATTGTTTTCTGATTTCAGCTTATTGAATTCATTTACTGAATAAATTGTGGGAAAGACCAATAACTGAAACATCATGAAGGAAAATTGCGTAAAATCAGCAAGCCTGGAAATCACCGAGCTTATCATTTTATTACCTTTAAACTTTTTCTCTATACCTACATTATGCATATTTACACAAAATAGGATAACACGGATAATTTGACTATAGCAAAATGATCTTTCCCTGCTGTTAAGCATTCATTTATTCACTCATCCACCAACAATTTTTTATTGAGCACCTACTCTATGCCAGGCACTGTTCTAGATTCTGAGGATATAGCAGTAAAAAAGCAAGTGGATGAACAAAACCCTTGCTCCTGATGAGCTGCCACTGACATTCTTTCACTACATTCTGCTAATGGGCTGAGCATATCATATTCCACTGTGGGGATGTAGCATTCCTCATTTAACCAACCTCCTATGGTTGGGCAGCTGGGTTACTTCTAGATGTTTGCTGTGATAAATATACTTTTACCACTGAATTGTTATGTGATGTGTGATCGTTTATTCCTTAAAGATGGAACCCTAGAAGCTGAATGGCTGTGCAGAGAGAGAAATAGAGGCTTATAAAGGATGCTTTGGATGTCTACTTATAAATTGCCCTCCAGAAATAATTGGGCCAAAATGGACTTTCACTAGCAGGGAAGGTGGGTATGCAGTGGGACTGGGTTTATTTAGACTAGAGAGGAGAAAGTTAAGAAGTTTCTGAGTCTTAAGAAATGAAAGTATGATACAGTTCCCAAGACATTGGAGGCGTGGTTAAAGGCCATTTTGCATGGAGCAGGAGACGAGGGACCAGGAGGCCTCACTGCTGCAAAATCAGGAATCATCTTCCTTTTTGGAGCCTCCTTTGGAGAAACAAAGTCACTCCTCTGGTGTTTCCAAAACCCAACAATGAGCTCTTGAAAATGGATCGGCTCATAAAACAATCACCCATGTCACATGTATAGGCACACAAAATCCCAGAAAGAAATTATACAAAAAAGACTTTTTTTTTTTTTGAGACAGAGTCTTGCTTTAGCGCCCAGGCTGGAGTGCAGTGGTGAGATCTCTGCTCACTGCAACCTCTGCCTCCCAGGTTCAAGTGATTCTCCTGCCTCAGCCTCCTGAGTAGCTGGGACTACAGGCGCATGCCACCACACCTGGTTATTTTTTTGTGTTTTTAGTAGAGATGGGGGTTTCACCACATTAGCCAGGATGGTCTCGATCTCCTGACCTCGTGATCCACCCGCCTCTGCCTCCCAAAGTGCTGGGATTACAGGCGTGAGCCACTGCTCCCAGCCCAAAAAAGATTTTTTATTCCAATTTTGTAAGTATCTTTGGCAATTCCCTTTCCAATGTTCTTTTTTTTTTTTTTTTTTTTTTTTGATACAGGGTCTTGCTTTGTTGCCCAGGCTGGAGTACAACAGCATCACGATCATAGCTCACTTTAGCCTCCAACTCCTAAGCTCGAGTGATCCTTCAGCCTCAGCCTCCCAGTAGCTAGGACTACAGGTGTGCACCAACTCACCCAACTAATTTTTTTATTGTTACTTTTGTAGGGATGGAGTCTTGCTATATTGCCCAGGCTGGTCCTGAACTCCTGTCCTCAAGTGAACCTCCTGCCTCAGCCTCCCAAAGGGCTTGGATTACAGGCGTGAGTCACTGTGCCCAGAGTCCCTCTCCAGTCTTCTGACTCATATCACACAGTGATACAAGACTGAGAAGCCCACCCTTGGCTGCACAGGGACATTCAGGCTGTGGGCACGTGTCCTTCCTCCACGACATGGCCTTGGTCCTCAAGTCAGTTTGTTTTGAAAGAACATTTAGTATCAGCAGCATATGATGTGGGAAATCAGTGTCGATTGTGACAAAACATAAGTAACCCTGAAAGAAACGAGCTCACTGAAGATGTGTTAGGAGTTTCTAGCCAGCCATCTTTGCCTGCCGCATCTCCAGCCTGCAGCTCGGCCCCTCTTGGTTAAAAAGGAAAATGAGCAAGTGTGAGAGCCGAGATAGCACCCAACTGAGAATTTCGCCTTCACCTAGACAATGACTCAAAGGACTGAATGTGAATGTAACACAGGAATATATTTCTCACTGGGGTTTGATGTTATTTACTGCCATGTCCAATGTGCCAATGAACAGTCACCCTGGTCTCACCAATAGTATATGTCTCTTGCCCTGAAATCAATGTAAGGATATCAGTGCTCAAAGGGGAGTTTCCTACCTATCAGGCCCCATTCCAAGCACTTCACATCTATTAGTTCATTTAATTCCTTTGACAGTCCTCAAAGTAGGTCCAATCACCAACTCCATTTTGCAGATGAGGTAACAGAGACTCAGAGAGGTTAGGTGACTTGCCTGAGGTCACACAGCTAGTGCAAAACAGGGACGAGGTTTGAACCGGACAGCGTGGCATCAGAGGCCTTGTTTGCTATCACCTGACTCTACCTTCTTCCTGGTAGGGGTGAATCAACGTGGGGCCTGCCCAGAAGTCCTGGGTATCATTTTTTTCCCAACACCTTTTAGCTGAGTGGCCCTGGGAAAGTCTCTTCACCACTCCTAGCTTGTTTGCTCATCTGTGAACCAGGATATGGGGGTGAGGGGAAGGCCTCTGAGATCTGTATCCCAGAGAGGGGGGAGGGCTCTGGAATCCAGCAGGGTAGGGAGGGAGAGGCTGAGCCCCAGAGGAGAGTCTAGTCCAGGCAGGATTGTAGCAGGCTGTGTGGTTTTCTGGTTCTAAATTCACTCCCCAAGAGGACACATGGCGTGTTAGGAGCACAGCTGCTCCTCGTGAGAACGAGAGCCCACCTCCTGAGCCTCATGACAGGGTCCACAGCCACTTGGGTGCCCACAGACTCACCACCTGGTACACCCTGAATCAGAGGCACATCTCAGAGCTGTGCCCTTCAGTCTAATTTAGGAGGTACTCTTTCTTTCTGCTTTTAACAAACTCGTTCCCTGAGGTTTAAAAGACCCCCTTAGAGCCCCCCTAACCAACAACAAAGGGGAGAGGCAGGTCCTACAAGAACAGACAGGGCTGCAACAGGAAGTTCAGGGTCCAATCCAGGGCCTGCCATCCACAACCGCACACTGTGTGTTGTTCAGTCAGTCCCGTCCAACACTGGTTTCGTCATCGTTAAATGGGAGCGCATTGGAGTGCTCATGATTGCTTGTTGGCGCCTCCCATGTATGGGCTTGGGATTGCATTTGATTTCTTCCTCAAAAGGGCCCTGAGAGGTGGAGGCGCCCTGAGCCCCACTGAGGAAACTGAGGCAGAAATGTGACTCCTTTATCCACGACCTCACAGCTGAGAAATGGCAGAGTTAGGAGGTCCATCAAGACCCTGGTCCCATGATCTTTTGTCTCTGAAGAGCAGCTTTTGGAGATGCTCTGTGCCCTGGTTTGTGGAATCAGGGTTCAGCTCATCCCCTGGAAAGGGAGGTCTGCTCCTTGGCTCCCTCCAGAGATCTGAAGCTAAGCAAGGAAGGAGGCTGCAGCTGGGCCTTCAGGATACCGGTGAGGTTTTACACCAGCCACAGGCAAGGGGAACAACTGACTGCTTTGCCGAGGAGAAACCTCACATCCACCCCGTGCAGAAGAAAGGACCATCCCCATTTTACAGATGAAAAACTGAGGCCCGGAGCTTAAGTAACTCACCCAAGTCCACTGTATTAGTTTCTTATTGCTGCTGTAACAAATCACAAATGTAGCGGCGTCAGACACCACAAAGTACCTTATAGTTCAGGAGATCAGATTTCCAAAATGAGTCCTGCAGGGCTGCTATGGTTTGGTTTTGCATCCCCACCAAATCTCACAGTGAATTGTAATCCCCAGTGCTGAAGGTGGGCCCTGGTGGAGGGTGGTTGGCTCATGCAGGCAGTTTCTAATGGTTTACATCCCCTGGTGCTTTTCTGGTGGTAGTGAGTTCTCACGAGATCTGGTTGTTTAAAAGTGTATGGCACCTCCCCAATCTCTCTCGTCCTCCTGCTCCAGCCTTGCAAGACATGCCTGCTTCCCCTTCGCCTTCTGCCATGATTGTAAGTTTCCTGAGACCTCCCAAGAAGCAGAAGCCGCCATGCTTCCTGTACAGCCTGTGGAACCGCGAGCCACTTAAACCTCTTTTCTTTACAAATTACCCAGTCTCAGGCATTTCGGGTTTTTTGTTTGTTTGTTTTGGTTTATTTGTTTTTTGGGATGGAGTCTCACTCCGTCACCTAGGCTGGAGTACAGTGGTGCGATCTTGGCTCACTGCAACCTGCGCCTCCCGGGTTCAAGCGATTCTCCTGCCTCGGCCTCCTGAGTAACTGGGAGTACAGGTATGCATCACCACACCCAGCTAATTTTTGTATTTTTAGTAGAGATGGGGTTCCACCATGTTGGCCAGGCTGGTCTCGAACTCCTGACCTCAGGTGATCTGCCTGCCTCAGCCTCGCAAAGTGCTGGGATTACAGGCGTGAGCTACCGCACCTGGCCTTCAGGCATTTCTTTATAGCAGTGCAAGAACAGACTAACACAGGGACTAAAATCAAGATGCTGGCAGGACGGCATTCCTTCTGGAGGCTCTAGGACAGGATCCATTTCCCTGCCTTTTCCAACTTCTAAAAAAGCAGCTTCCACCAGCATTCCTTGGCTCACGGCTCCCTCTTCCATCTTCAAAGCACGTCACTCCCTCCTCCTTCCATCGTCACATCTCCTTTTCTGACTCTGACCCTCCTGCCTTCCTCTTATAAGGACCCTTGTGATGACATTGACCCACCCAGATAATCCAGGATAATTTCTCTATTTCGAGATCCTTAACTTCAAAGTCTCTTTGGCCACATAAGGTAACATATTACAGGTTCCAAGGATTAGGAAGTGGACATCTTGCAGGTGGGAGATGGGGCATTATTCTGTCTACTACAACCACATGGGAGGAAAGTGGCAAAACCAGTTTGAACCAGTCTGACTGGCTCCAAAGTTTGTTTCCTCCACCCCCAGATTCCACCAAGGTCCTAAAGAATAATGGCTAGTGTTGCCAGGTAACATACAGAACAAATCAGATTTTCTTAGTATGAGGATATCCCAAATATTTCATGAGACAGACATACTAATTTTATATATTATTTATCTGAAATTCAAATTTAACTGGAAGTCCTGTGTCTTTTTTTCTTTTTTTTTTTTTTTTGAGATAGAGTCTTGCTCTGTCACCCAGGCTGGAGTGCAGTGGCATGATCTCGGCTCACTGCAACCTCCGCCTCCCGGGTTCAAGCAATTCTCCTGCCTCAGCCTCCTGAGTAGCTGGGACTACAGGTGTCCACCACCATGCCCGGCTAATTTTTTGTATTTTTTTAGTAGAGATGGGGTTTCACCATGTTAGCCAGGATGCTCTCCATCTCCTGACCTCGTGATCCACCCGCCTTGGCCTCCCAAAGTGCTAGGGTTACAGGCGTGAGCCACTGCGCCTGGCCTCCTTTGTCTTTATTTGCTAAATTGGGCAATCCAGAAAAAAAGAATATATATATATGTATCAATCAGAAAGAAAAAGGAGAAAATCTGGGTTCAAGTCTTGGATCCAGCCAGGAATGAACTGGGAGGCTTCATTTCCCCTCTCTGGGCCTCAGTTTGCCCATCTGTAAAATGGAGCAGTAATAGTAACTGCCCCCATCCCCCAAAAATATATGCCATCGATAACACACAGGAGAAAGTGTCTGCACACTGTAGAGAGCTGTGCCCACCAGAGGAGCCAGCTCCACCCCCTCTCCTAATCCACAGGGCAGGGACTGAAGAGGCTATTCCCAGGGCCCAGCCCAGATGGGGCTTAAACTCCAGTCAGACAGGAGCCAATTTCCCTGGCTCATTATCCCAAACCAAATTAGGGGCAGCCCAGGCTGTGCCACTCGTGGCTTAATTGGGACTCACAGACACCCCGCCCCGTGCCTTCTTTCTTTCCCACACCCCTGTCCCCAGCCAGGCCGTGCCTTAGGGGAGCCAGAGGCTGCCTGGGCCTTGCCACCTGGGCCCTCGCAGACGCCCCAGTGTAATCAATTAGACCCAGGCCAGGCCGGCTCGGGATGGGGGCGCCGCTGGGCAGCTGGGCCCAGCATCGATCCCGGCCCCTCTCGACCCCCAGGGAGGGGAGGCAGCCAAGAGAGCCGTGCAGATGGCGGTCTCCACGGCCCTCTGCCCCCACCCCCCACCCCAGAGCTGCCTGTGGGTGTACTCAGCCCGGACAGAGAACGGTGCACCTGGTGGGCTCCGCATGAGCCTGGAGGCTGGACTTTGTTGCTTGGTCCCCAAAAGGGGCAGAAAATATTTAGGAAATGCTGTCCTGCTGGGATCCATGTGTCCCCCCCAACTGGAGCATCCTTCATCCCTCTAAGCCACCTGGAGGCCTGCTCAGGCCCCTATTCTAACCAGGCCAGGCCCCCCAGGGGGAGCCACTCCAGAGGCTCTGTACGCAGCAGGGCAGAGGTGGGGGCAGGGACTTTCTTTGAAGAATCTTCTCCTGGGGCCTCCCCCCTGCTCCCATCCCCCATCACAAAGGTTGGTCAGGCGAGCAGGGCGGGGGGTGGATGGAGGGAAGACAGGGGACAGGGCTGCTGGCAACGAAAGGATTCCCATCTGGGGATCATGAGGAGGCCTGGGGACCCTGGAGGACACTGCCGCCATCAATGCTATCTGAAGCCCCACCCACCTCCCACCACCCCAGGCAGCAGGCATGAAAGCTTTGGAACCAGAGAGGGTGGTATGGAGGGGAAAGGGACCTCCTACATGTGTGTTTTCGGAGGGCTGTGGGGGTAAGACTCTGTTTGCAATGATGCAGTTTCAGGGGGTCCATGTGCCTGAGGCAGGGATTTCTCTGTATCTGGATGACTCTGTATTCCCATGCCAGACACACAGTAGGTGTTAAGAATCATTTGCAAAATGGGAGGCGTGGGGGTCTCTGTTTCTAAGCTCTTATAAGTTGGCCTGGAAGGGAGTATGCATGTGGGGTGTGTGTATATGTGAATATATGTGTACATGTGAGTGTGTGTATGTATGTATGAGTGCGCATGTGTGTATATGTTAGTGTGCATATATGAATGTGTGTAGATGTTAGTGTGTGTATATTTGGATGTGTATTTTAGTGTGTGTATGTGAGTGTGTATACATGTGAGTGTGTGTATATGTGACTGCATGGGTGTATATGTAAATATGTGTATCTATGAATGTGTGTATATGTGTGTAAGTCTGTGTATATTTCAGTGTGTATTTTAGTGTGTATGTGTGTAGATGTGTGTGTAGATGTGATTGTGTGTGTATATGTATATGTGAGTATGCATGTGTGTGTGAGTGTGTGTATATGTAACTGCATGTGTGTATATGTAAATATGTGTATATATGCATGCGTGTACATGTGTGTAAGTTTGTGTATATTTCAGTGTGTATTTTAGTGTGTATGTGTGTAGATGTGATTGTGTGTGTATATGTGAGTATGCATGTGGGTATGTGAGTGTGTATATGTAAATATGTGTATATATGCATGTGTGTATATGTGTGCATGTTTCTATAT
The DNA here is from genome assembly GCF_000001405.40 of Homo sapiens. Taxonomy (NCBI): domain Eukaryota; kingdom Metazoa; phylum Chordata; class Mammalia; order Primates; family Hominidae; genus Homo; species Homo sapiens. The sequence continues at coordinate 27,632,036 of NC_000022.11, forward strand.
ATTTCAGTGTGTATGTGTGTATATGTGAGTGTGTGTATGTGATTGTGTGTGTATATGTGAGTATGCATATGTATGTGTGTGTATATGAATGTGTGTATATGTGTGTATATGTTAGTGTGTATATTTGTGTGTATTTTAATGTGTGTATGTGAGTGTTTGTATATGTGAGTGTGTGAGTGTGTGTGTGTGTGTGTGTGTGTATGTGTGTGTGTGTGTGACTCCACGTGGCATTTTTCTCCCTCTGGGCCAGCGTGTGTATTTAACAAAGGACTTGGGGGCTTTGCCTCCCACCTTGGAGTCCCCAGGCCCAGGAGTGCCACTCCGTGTAGACCTCAAGCCTCAGCCTCCATGCTTAGGGAGCTTCTCTGCTCCAGCCCTGGTGTCACACTTGGTGAAAGACACATTTAGAAGAACGAAATGATGTAAAAATAATAAGATAAAAATCACCTGTGGTGACACCACCTAGAAATATGCTTGAACCTGAGCCTTTACCATGGGTCCCCTCCGTAAAGGAAGCATTGGAAGTAGGGAAGCATGGCTTGAAGAGGAATAGGCATGGAGACTCTGCGAGTGAATACATGCAAAGCGCTTAGAATAAACAGTGCTGGCAGCACGCAAGCACCGTCAGAGTGTTTACTAACATCATCAATCATCACTATCACTCACTGAGGTTTCCTTACCTTAAGATGTGTGCTCTTCTTGTCAGTTTCACTCGTTAGTCCTCAAGCAGTCATTATTGCACCCACCTTGCAGATGAGGAAACTGAGGCCCAGAGACGGAAAGCCACTTGCCAAGGCCACCCAAAGCCTCCTGAGCAGCCCCAGGACTACTCCTGCTCCTTGTCAGTCCCTCCTCATCTGTCTGAGGCTGAGCTGGAGAAGGCTGGGAGGACAGAGAGAAGGGGCAGAGGCCAAAGCCCCCCTCAGGCCCTGCCAGGGCTGTGCTCCTGGACTAGAGGGCTGCAGTCCGGCCACCGGGCACAGGCTGGCTAATTGCCGACGCGCAGCGCTGCCCTGGACTATGACACAGGCCCCTGACAGACATGATTTATGAGGGCCCTCGGCAAAGCGGAACCCACTCAATTGCCTATTACCTCACTTAGCAGACACCTTGTCACCGCCCGAGAGCCGGGTGTTAAAAATACAAACCAGGCGGCCAGTCGGCCCCGAGTGTGGCCCCTCCACCTGCTCCGCACCAGATAACCAGCCTTCCAGCCAGCCAGCTGATCTCTGCTCGGCTGAACTGGGGAGAAGACGCTGAGAGTGGATTAATGAAGTAGATGTCATCAGGTCTCAGTCTCTGGGTTGAGGAGGTGGACAGCGGGAGCAGGGATGGGACCCCAATATCCAGACTGGTCCATCTGCTGGTAGTGCCTGCTGCAGAGATGGGGACAACTGAGGCACAGCAAGATGCAGCCACTCATCGAGGGTGCTGGCAAAGCCAGGACTGGATCCCAGAGGTCCCACATCCCCACCTTCTTTGCTCATGAACTCAACTTTTTGTTGCTCTGAATATACACGGTGCTTGCTACAAACCGATCTGCAATGTCTGGGCTGCCAGGGTTTCCCAGCCCCAGCCTCCAAGCCCAACATTCTGCACCCTTCCTGGCTGGCCTCATTGCCTTTCAAACAACCCTACAGAAGTCAGGGTTCATGTAGACTCTCTGTCGGTGTTTCCAGGCTGCCAGTTAAACTAGGAACACACACAACGCCAACTCCGAACTCACAGGACTCACACAATAAAAATGCAGGGCCTCTTGTTCAAATATTAAGGATTTCAACATGGTGACAGGAGGGCATTAAACCAAGCGTGGACCCTTCTGTGCTCAAGGTCCTGCATGACTGCAGGGGTCCCACACTCATGATGGCCTTGAACACCTACTCGGAGCCTGCATGAAGCTGGACTTTCACCGCTTTGGCTCATTTAATCCTCACAACAACCTTGGGGAAGACGTAATGGTGGCCCTCCTGCTCGAGAGCTCATAAATGTGTGTATTTGTGTGTGTGTGTATGTATTCTATGTGTGCTCATGTGTGTCTGTGCATGTCTGTGTGTTTCCATGTATATGCATCCATGTATGTCTGTGTGCATGTCCACATATGTGTCTCTGGGTGTGTGTCATGTGTATTTGTCTGAATATGTGTTCGTGTGTGTCCATGTCTGTGTGGGGGTGTGTGTACCTGTGTATGTGCCTGTGCGTGCGTCCACGTCTGCGGGTGCGTGTGCCCGTGCGTGCGTCCACGTCTGCGGGTGCGTGTACCTGTGCGTGTGTCCGTGTCTGGGTGTGTCTTTGTGGGAACATATGTGTGTATCCTGGCAGAAGTTTTAAACAGCCAAAGAGAAGATCAGATCAAAAGCAGTTGGCACACTGGATGAAGCCTGGCCCTGAAAGATGGGATCAATTCCCCTGCCCGGTCCTATGTGGGTCCACATGGGATCATCAGCTGGGTCTGAGGGAATTCCCTGGGTGGGGCCATTTGGGGGCAGAAGGGAGCTGTGTCTGTGGATCCCTTGGGCAGGCACCAGGCTCTGCAGGCTTCACCCTCAGCACAGCAGAGTGGGGAGCAGTTTCACTCACTCCCTCATTTATTCAGTTACTCACTGGGCACCCCCTTTGCACTGACGGGAGCCAGACCCGGCCATGCCCTGTGGGAACTCACAGCCTAGTAAGCAATTCAGGTGGCACAGGGAGTTGTAGGGACCTAGAGGAGGCCACTGACCCAGCCGAGGGACCATCAGGAAGGCTTCCTGGAGGAGGCAATGTCTCACCTGAGACTTGGAAAGGAAGCAGGAGTGATATCAAGAAGAGGGAAAAGTGTCACAGGCAGAGGAACACACCAAGCAAAGGCCTGGGGGTGGGACGAACCCAATCATCCGGCCCATGCGAGCTTCTCCTGTCCCCCTGCCGCTGCACCCTCACCAGCTCCCTCTCTCTCCCATTCCTCCTTCAGGTCCCGATTTCAACTTCTCTTCCTCCAGGAAGGCTTCCCTGATTTTGCACGAGTACACACACACACACACACACACACACATACGGTGAGTGCATTTACCTGGTCTTTGCCTTCGGGCACGTACCAGAGTATAACTTAAGCTCAAAAGTCATCTCCTCTGCATGGGGTACTTTTTTCCATAGCCCAATGCCGAGAACAGTCCTGGCTCATAGTAGGTACTCAACAAATGTTTGTTGATTGAATAAGTGTGAGAGAAGACACGAAGGCATGCGTGCACCTGTTGGAACGAAAGAGCTGCAGGAGCTTGAGAGTTTAGTGTGGGAGTGCCTGGCCCCCTCAATGCAGGGGCTATGACCAACCCAGACACCACATATTATCGTGGTCAGAGGCACAGAGGCCCTGAGACAAATCCTGCCTCTGTCTGTTCCCAGCTCTGTGACCTTAAGAGACTCTCTTAGCCTCTCTTGGTCTCAGTTGCCTCATTGGTAAACTGGGTTCTCAAGAGGTTTAAATGAGGTCATATAGAAAGTGCAATCAAAAGAGTGCCCAGCACATTCAAGATACTCAATCTGTGTGGTCGGTGTGTTATTATTTTTCTCCACCTCCCCGGCATTCAGCCCTAGACCAGGCAATCATGAGCTGTCAATCAATGGAGATACTACCATCATCACCATCACTCAGAAAGATGGATCAGACCATGAGAACTTGTCACCTGATGATAATCATAAACCCTGACATTCACATGGGCCTGAGAAGTTACCAAGAGCTTTTCCTGGGTGCTGCTCCTCCAGGTTTCAAGGGCAGGTGGGGGCCCAGCCCAGAACTCTCTCTCTTCAGCCTCCCTTTGGAGCTTCATACAGCAGGCTCATCCTCTGCTTCTCCACCCCTCACTACCTGACTTCCAGCCAGTTCAGTTCCACTGTGAACTCTGGGAGAGATGGACAGCTTGGCGATGGGAATGTCAGTGCAGCCTCAGGCCAGAGAGCCACTGCTCAGTGGAAAAGTGGTCTCTGGTCCTGGGCGATGGAACAGCATTTCCAGGCCTGGCAGGACCTGTCAAAGGCCCTGTCCTAGAGACACATCTGTACCCTCCACGCCTCACCCGTCTCTGGGATCCTCAGCCTGGGTCCCCCAGCCATGCTGGGATTTAGAACCAATATTTTTAGAAAGCACAGCTGAGGCTTTTTAACAAGGTTATGCATTAATTCAACAAACATTCCCGGCTTGGGTGCTGGAGAAGCAGAAATGAAGTCGATACAGCCTCTGCATCAAAGAGCTCACACTTTAAGTAGGAAGGAAGGTGGCAGCTTTGGCGAGAACATGGGGCTTTGGGGGAGCAATCAGGGCAACTCACAGCCAAAACATTGAAGCAAAGATGTGGAGAAGAAGGAATTAGCAAAGGCAGAGGGAGTTTCAGGCACAAGGAACAGCAGGTGCAAAGGCTTGGTGGCTGGAGAAAATGGAGAGAACTTGAAAAATGTGGCAGGACTGGAGTAAAGACAACGGTTGGGGAGGCAGAGTGTGGCAAGAGAGGGGCATCTTCTTCCAAGACTTCCCTTTATTGGAAGGCAAAGCCAAGGAGAGATTTGGTCTTACAGATACTTCATTCATTCATCTGCATGGTCATTCAACAGTTACTGACAGCATCCTGAGTCAGGCATAAGGTGGGTCCTGGGCAGAGGGAAACAAACAAGGGAAGGGCATGAGATGGGTGGGAAAGTAGGGGATGTGGGGCACAGCAGATGGGGAAGGCATCAGGGACGGCTCCCTGGAGGAGAGGGCTCCAAGCAATCTGAAAAAAATGCCTCCTCCTACCTCTAAACTGAGCTCAGGTATCCAGGGGAATATCAGCCCCAAAGCTCTCACCCCCATCAGTGGCAGGGAAGGTCCAAAATTCTCCAGGGAGCTGCTTATCCACTCATTCATTTGTCCATTCATTCATTCATTCATTCATTCATTCATTCATCATTTCACCCAGCATTTGCTCAGACAGACAGAAAACCCAGCCCTGCCCTTAGAGGCTCCCAGCACCACTGAAAAGGAGACAAAGGCATGAATAAGCAAACAGAAGTCAGTATCAATGGCGGTGGAACATGGACATCCAACACTAGCTGTCAGCACAACCTCCTGAGAGTTTTATAAAACACAGTTTCCCTGGGCCCGACTGCGAGCCACTGACTCTACCTCATGGAGTCAGTCCAGGGAATCTGCATCCTAAAACTCCTCAGGGACTGGAGATGGCTCAGCCTGGCACTTGCCTGCTGACGGTCATTTCAGAATCCGTCTGTGCCAGGAGCACCAAGTCCCTGAGGGACTGGTAGAATCAGGTGGCAGCCGGGGACAGGCCTCTGCTGACTTCAGGTCTTATTTTAGCCTCTGGCATGTCCCCAGGAGGCCCCACAGGAGGGGGCCGAGGATTTTACAGGAGGGATTTGCACGGGTATTTTCAGTCTAGATGGAGGATCAGCCTGGCCATAGCCAGCCCCGCAGTTAGAGAAACCAGGCACTGAAGTCTAATAGTACCCACCACCCACCCTGGAGAAGCTGGCCTCCTGGGCCTCCCTGAGCCCTGGGGTGGAGACTCGCTGTCAGAGATGAGCTGAGAGACCTGTGTGGGCCTCTGAGCAGATCTGGCATCTGGCAGCTTGGAACAGCTAGAGACTATGTTTGCAAAAGATGGGTGAGGGAGGCTGGGGGTATCATCTCCATTTCACAGATGCAGAAACTGAGGCTTGGAGAGGCCAAGGCCATTGCCATACCCTGAGTCAACCCCAAGTCCTTGTAACAGTGAACTAGGTCTTTGCTAAAAAGACAGCCCCGGTGCCTAACAGATGTCATTCCAAGCCAATGATTAATAAATAATGCTAACACTCGATGCTGGTAACCAGCCAATGCTTACATGAAGCGTGGATAGGCCAGGCACCATTCTCAGCACTGGGCATATTTTACCACTAACTCCTCTTCATCCTCACCAACACCTACAAAGCAGGCAGTAATAGTATGCCCATTTGACAGATGAAATGAACTTGGGAGTTGGGCAGAAAGATCCACGGAGCCCCAAGTCCCCAGTGAGTCTTTCCCTCCCCAGACCACCTTCCCAAACCCTCCCAGCCCTCATGCTTATTCTGATAAACCCTCCAAAGCCCGGATTAGTAAAGGGGTTAACAAGGTGGATGGCACCCCCCAGGCTTGGTTTGCACCTGCCAGTTAGAGGCAGAAGGCAGTCTGGGGTCAATGGACAAAGCCAGGCACGAAGTCCAAAGCATGGGTTTGAATCCCAGCCCCGCCCTGGCCTTCCTGAGCCTCAGTTTCCTCTGCTGAGAACTGGAAGCATCTATTCCCACCCCAAGTACCACCTAGCATGGCAGGTAGGGTCAAGAGAGCAGGAATACGCTTCTCCACCTGCAGATGAGGAGGCTGAGGCCCAGAGAGGGGTTGGCAGATGCTCAGGGACCCCTGGCTGGGCTGGGAGCAAATGAGCTCTTGTGAATCACATGCCCCTGTCAGAATAACAATGAAGGGGGAGCCGAGAAACAATGAGGGCCCAGTTGACTCTGCCCAAGGGGCAGTCGGCACAGGTCTGTCTGACTCCTGGGCTGATCTGACCGTTCTCAGCAACAGAAGTAGGGGAAGGCATAGGTACTGGGGTTTCAGCCAGTCTCCTACTAACCAGCTGGGTGACCTTGGACTACTTACTAAACCTCTCTGAACCTCTCTTTTCTCAGCCTCAAAATGGGGACAATCACAGTAAGGCGGTTGCGAGAACCCAGGAAGGCAGGAGGTGTGGAGTTGCCTTTTCCAGATGGAGCACTGGGAACTCAGGCTCTGGGGTGGGGAAGGGACTTGCCCAAGATCACAGGGCACCCATGCAGCTGAGCAGAAGCTTGTCTGCGGCTTCTCCCCCACCCACAGGCCTGAGGAGGAGGGGCCCCGCCTCTGGTGGTGGGGAGGTGGGATGAGGGAAGGGTTCCCTGAAGCACGGGCATCGCAAACCGCAGGACTGGCATTTGCAGGGATGGCATTCCAGGTGGGGGAGCCGGCCTAGGCAAAGGCCGAGGGGCTGGACGGCACTGAGAATGTGCGGAGACCAGCATGACATTTAGACGGCTAGAGCGAAGGAGGCGGGAACGTCTGCAAGTAGGTGTGTGCAAGGTGGCTTTTCCATCAGCATGTGTGCGTGTGTGTGCTTACACACGTGCATGAGTGTGAGTGCGACTTCTCGGCCGCAGAGTCCCCCATTAACGCTCCGGTATTTGTTTGTTCAGTTCCGCTGTCCCATCGGCCCTGCTGCCTCTCTGCACCCCGTTTGCCAGTCGGCTCCCTCTCCCTCTCCCGAGGTCTCCATGCGTCATTAAAACCGAAACAAGCCCCTGCTCTGATGGTTAAACCAGATGCCCAGGCCCCATCCTGCCTGGGCCCCATCTCAGGGTCAGAATGAGCCACGGAGCTGCTGGGGAGGCCCCGTCCAGCTGCATCAGCCCGTGGGGGGCCTGGGGTCCCAAGAGGGACAGGGCCAGACGAGGGGAAACCCAATCCGTGACACATGGAGATCATTTGCAGAAGGAACAAAATCCGTGACCAACTCCAAACGGATGCAAAGGGGAGGGGAGCGGGGCTGGGTAAGGAGTTCTCAGGGCCAGTGGGAGATGAGGACTGAGGCAAACCCTGGGCCAGCCCCAGGCCAAGCTCTCAGGTTGTCTCAGCCACACTCTCTAGGAGCTCCTGGCAAGGCTCCCACCCTCCCTGGGCCCTTGTGTTCTCCTTTCAAATAGGGTGAGGACTGAAAGAAAGATTCAGAGCAAATGTCTGACCCTGTGCCCAGCAAATGGTTAGCCTGAAGCAAATAGATTGATACATAGATGAGACAACTGAGACTCAGAGAGGTTGTGCAACTCAGCAAAGGGCACACAGCAAGTCAGCCTAGGAGTGGGGCTCGAATCTCCCAAAACGGAAAATGTCCACAGCAAAGGGACATGGGCAGCCAGTCATGATTTGCAAAATCAGACACACCGTGGCCTTCATCTCCCCTAAGATGACTTTCCCTTCTTCCCATTTTACTGAGGGCCTCAGGACTCCAACCCACGAACTCCACTCATTTGGTTTTTTGTTTTGTTTTGTTTTTGTTTTTGTTTTCTTTTGAGACAAGGTCGGGCTCTATCGCCCAGGCTCACTGGGCTCACTGCAACCTCCACCTCCCAGGTTCAAGCAACCCTCCTGCCTCAGCCTCCCAAGTAGCTGGGACTACAGGTGTGTGCCATCACACCTGGCTAATTTTTGTATTTTTTGTAGAGATGGGGTTTCGCCATGTTGCCCAGGCTGGTCTCGAACTCATGAGCTCAAGCGATTCTCCTGCTTTGGCCTCCCAAAGTGCTGGGACTACAGGCTTGAGTCACAACGCCCGGCCCTGGTTTTTGAATTTAGCTTCATTGAGATAGCTAAACTCATAGCATACAACTCACCCATTTCAATGCAATGTATTAAATCAATGTCAATGAGTTATACAATGAACAATTCAGTGGCATTAAGTACATTCATAATGTCACACAACCATCACCCCATCTCTCTCTCTTTTTTTTTTTTTTTTTTTTTTGACACAGGGTCTCGCTCTCTCACCCAGGCTGGAGTGCAGTGGCGTGATCTCAGCTCACTGCAACCTCTGCCTCCCACTCTCAGGGATATTCCCACCTCAGCTTCCCAAGCAGCTGGGATTACAGGCACACACCACCATGCCCAGATAATTTTTGTATTTTTTTTAGAGACAGGGTTTTGCCATGTTGCCCAGGCTGGTCTCGAACTCCTGGGCTCATGTGATCCACCCACCTCTGCCTCCCAAAGTACTGGGATTACAGGCATGAGCCACCATGCCCAGCCACAACTGTCTATTTCTAAAACTTTTTGATCACCCCAAAAAGAAACTCTGTACCTATTAAGCAGTAACTCTCCTATTTCCCCCTCCCCCTGCCCCCTATTAACCACTTTCTGTCTCTGTGAATTTGCCTATTGTAGATATTTCACATGAGTGGAATCACGCAATATTTGTCCTTCTGTGTCTGGCTTCTTTCACTTAGCATAATGTTTTCAAGGTACATTCATGTTGTAGCATGTATCAGAACTTCATTCCTTTATATGGCTGAACAAGATTCCATTGTATGGATATGCCACATTTTGTTTATCCATTTATCCGTAGATAGACACCTAGGCTGTTTCCACAGCTTGCCTACTATGAATAATGCTGCTACAAGCACGGGTGTACAAGTATCTGTTCAAGTATCTGTTTACAATTCCTTTGGGCATATTCCCAGGAGTGGTATTGCTGGGTCATACGGCAAATCTATGTTTAGCTTTTTAAGGAACCACCAAAAAGCAGCTACACCAAGAGTCTGAGGCCCACTGGTTCAAAGTCCAGACTGTGTGAAGGTTCAGGGACTGCCGCTTGACCTAGCCCTCATCACCTCTTGCCTGGACCTTTCCAGTAGACTCCTGGCTACCCCCTGCCTCTGCCTCAGCTCCTCCAGTGGCTCCTCACAGCCAGGAGATCATCTGCAGCTCTTCAAAGCCACCTCCCTGGATAAAATCAGCAGACACTGTGCCCTCCGTGGGCCCCTCCTGTCCCCTGTGAGGCCCCACAGCCATCTCCACCCATGCACCCCAGCACTTACCACGGGTGCCAAGTCATCTACAGACTCCCTCTATTGGTGGGCTCCTTGAGGCTAGAGACCATGTCTAATTTATGTCTCGTCATGGTCTTGAATAGAAAAGGTCCTTGGTAAATAAGTGTGTTGCATAGATGAAGAAACCGGGGCTGAGAGAGGAAATTGACCTGCCTGAGGACCCGGAGCTGGGAAGTGAAGGACCTGATTCAATAAGATGGCAGGTGTCAAGTAGGTGTTCAAAATTATTAAGCACCAGTTCTCTTCCCACCTCTTACCTTGGGGAGTCAAAACACCCCTGGGTCCAGACCAAGCCCTACTTCTAACTCGCTGTGTGACCTCAAGCAAGGCAGTTGCCCTCTCCGGGACTCAGTTTCCAATTTGTGATCGGGACGATCTCTTTGGGTTGGAATTTGAGGCCTCTATGGCCACACCACCGTCACCACCCCCTCCCCCAGCAGATTCCTCAGGGCTCAGCTGGACCCCTCAGCCAGCCCCTCCTGCCCACAGGTAATTAGAGGAACACAGCAGGGGTCGAGGGCAGGGGGAGGCCCCAGCAGGCGGCTCCTTCCTCTGAAAGGGGCCCCTCAACGCTGCCTGCCCAGCTCCTGCTGCGAGAACAAAAGGCCTTGTGGACGTTCAAAGCAAGGCGCCGGGCGGGAGGCCAGCGTGGGCGGCCGCAGAGATGGCCACGGGGCTCGTGGCGGGGATGGCCGGCGACTGGAAGCTGTCCCCATCCATCAGTCAGCAGTGACAGCTCCCGGGGACCTGCAGCCCCCCCTCGGCCCTGCCAGCTGACCGTCCGGCTGCAGCAGGCCTCCCTCGCCTGCCTGGTGGCTCCAGCCTGATGACCTGAATAATGGATCTGCCTTGAGCGTCCCGTCACAGTGACAGACACATCTCTGATCCAGGCTTCTCGCTTTACCTTCTCAGCCACATCCCTGGCCAGCGGCCCCCAATGTGGAGAGAGAGATGCAGCACATGTCACCCTCATTCTGATGGGCCATGGATACCAAGCCAGCGTGGCCAGGGTCACAGTGGCCTGGGAAGTCCAGGAGTTTACAAGAGCTTGACCTTATCTGCTACCAACTCGCTGGGTGATCCTGGGCAAGTCCTGGTCCTTCTCTGGGCCTCACTTTCCCCTCTTGTGAAGTGAAGGCGTCATCACCAAACTCTGATATGTGAGTTCTGTGATGCTCAAGTCCCCAGGAAGACATGGAGAGGCAGTGGCGAGATGGAGCAGGGCAGACCTGGTTCCAAATCTGGCCTCTGCTTTCCCTTGTTGCGTGCACTGGGCAAGTTACTTAATGCCTCTGAGAGCCCCTGATCCTCTTCCTCCTCTTCCTCCTTGGTGTATAATGAAAACCATCTTCCCACTTCAAGGGATAATTGTGAAGGTGAAATGAGCTTATATCTGCAAAGCACTCAGCCCAGAGCCTGGCATGGTGCAAGCACTCTGTCAAAGTATCACTTACTGAGCATCTACAATAGTCTGTGCCATGCTAGGCTAGGTTATAGCCATAAATGAGATCAAGAAACTGCCCAGAGGTGGGACACAGTGGCTGACGCCTGTAATCCCAGCACTTTGTGGGGCTGAGGCTGGTGGATCACTTGAGCCTAGGAGTTGAAGACCAGCCTGGGCAACATGGTGAAACCTGGTCTCTACAAAAAAATCAAAAAATTAGCTGAGCATGGTGGTGCATGCCTGCAGTCCCAGCTATTCAGGATGCTGAAATGGAAGGATCGCTTGAGCCCAGGAAGGTTGAAGCTGTATTGAGCTATGATCATACCACTACACTGAGAGACAGAGCAAGACCCTAACTCAAAAAAAAAAAACAAGAGAGAAAAGAAAGGAGGAAAGGATCCAGGAAGGGTCTGAGAGGCAGCCTTGGAGATGAGACTGGAAAAGCATTCTGGACAGAGGGAACAGCTGGTGTGAATGCTTAGAGGCAGGACCATGCTGAGGGTGTTTAAGGGATATAATGAGAACACTCTGATGGAGCAGAGCTATGGAGAGAGAGGGACCAGGCAGTGCAGTGGCGACGCTCAGAGTGTCCAGGTTGGCATTCCAGCTGTCCCTTCCTAGTCGAGTGGCCTTAGGGAACCTGCTTAACCTCCCTGTTCTCCGGGCCTGTGTCTGCTACGTGAGAACAATCCTGGAGTCTACCTTTTATCATATGAGGATGGAAAGGAGGTGGTGGGCTAATGTGACTGGAATGATCCTACATGAAAGAAGCCCTCAGTCCCCGGAGCTATTTTTTTTTCAACATCATCATCGTCGTCATTGTAGACCATGTTGGGCAATTTGACAGATAGTATTGGCTTTCTGTCGCCAGGTGCTTTTCTTTTAGAAAACACTGGAGTCCAGGGGTGTCGACTGGTATAAGAAAGTTCCTACAGCTTGGGTGGTAAGAGAAAAAAAAATTGGAAACAACCTAAGTGTCCATCACCGGAAAGATGACTCAATGAGTAGTGACATATTCATACTGCGGAATAGTCTATCGCAGTGACAGTGTGTCAACTGGAGCGTCACGTATCAACAAGGATCAGTCTCAAAATAGGATGTCGAGCCAAAAAAGCAATCACAGAATATGCATATGGGATGCTTGCATTTATAGAAAGTTTTAAAACCTGCCAAGCCGCACAGTATACCTTTTATGGATACACGCGTAGGTAGTGTATCCGTAAAGTACAGGCCAGGCGTGGAAATGGTATGAAGTAATTCAGGATCTCAGTTCAGTAGGGCACTGACTACCCCACTGCTCTCTTTTGCTGCCTCTGCCTTATTTTTATTGTTATTCTGGCATATTATATATTTTAGCCTACTCTGTTTATCCTTCGTCATCCTTCTGCTCTGGTGTAAGCTCCATGAGGTCAGGGCTGGGATTTTTGCCTGATTCATCCTGTGCTGTATCCCCAGTGCCTAAAACTGTGCCTGTAACATAGTGAGCCCTCCGTAAATAAGGACTGAGTGGATGGACGGAAGTAGGGCGGGAAGGAGGGAGTGAGCATTGCAGAGAGAAACTCAAGGTCTTCCTTATACAAAAGAACACACAGAGGGCCCCAGATCAAACCAGAGGGCTGGACTGAGAGATAGTAGAAAGGTCACCCCTCCCTCACCTCTGCCCCCAAGGGCTCCGCTGCCCCACCCCAGGTCGTGGACTCCCATGCCCCCAGCCCCCTGCCTGGAGTGGGAGGGTGGGGCTTTTGCTGCAAGGGTAACCCTCATTCCCATCTCACTGGGAAAGAAGACAGGAGCTGGGGTCCACCCCAGGGCACGCCAAGGCCGCCTAGCTGATATACAAGAGATTTTTCAACTCTGAGTCAGGGTAGCCAAAGAAAAACAAATGCAGCGAGAGCGCGCCCAGCACAAATGTTCTTTACCGTCCCCTGATGGTCTGAGGTCCAGGACCCCCACCCTACTGACACCCACCAAGCCACAAACCCTCTGCCCTGGTCCAGGTCCCACGGATACCACCCCATAAATTTTCCAGGTGTGTCCACTTCGCTCCATCCCCAGTCCTCTCTTGTCTCCTGGACAGGGCAGCGGCCTCCTCGCTTACCTCCCTGTGTCCACTCTGACCCCTCCCTCCTCACAGCTGACTTCCATTCCACTTCCTTAATGACTCCCCACCACCTTAGAACACAGTTCTTACCATCGTCCAAAGCCTTGGGTGTTCTTTCTTGTCCTTCAGTCACTCAGCTTATATTCTCTACCACCACCATCACCACCACCACCAGGAAGCCTTCCTGGACTTAGATGCTCCTTTTTGTCCTTCAGTTGCTCACTTATATGCCCCACAACCACCATCATCACCACCAACACCAGGAAGCCTTCTGGGACTTCCCGGGTGGGGCCAGCTGCTTCTTCGGGCTCTCACAGCCTCCTGGGCTTCCTGAGACAAGGGAATCCTGTTGCCCATAGGAATGTGAGGTCCAAGAGGGCAGGATTCACGTTCTTTTCATAACTAGACCCCCAGGGCTTGGCCTAGGGCAGGCACTGGTTAAATACTCGTTGAAGGAACACACGAATGAATGAATGAATGAGTTACACATATGAATGACTGAATGAATGAATGAGTTTCCTACCTGGAGAAGTTCTGGATCCTTTGGAAGGTTTAGATGTGGATGATAGGGAGTTTCAAGCCATCTGAACTCAAGGCCTCCCTAGGGTCTTCAGGGCCCACAGCCCCTTCTTGCAGGGAATACAGATGTTGGGAGTTTATCGCCTGTTCCAAGCATTTGTCCAACCCCCCACCGGCAATTTCCCTGCCAAGTAAAGTGAGCATGATGTAGCTGATAAAGCTGCATTAAAATTCCCCTCGGCCCGATTTGCCTTCAGGAAAATGGTGGAACCCTAAATCTCAATGGGCATGAAACACAGAGGTGTTGGGGGTTGGCAGGCAGATGAGAGCCTCCCAGCTGGGAGAAACTAGGGAGGATGGGACTGCAGGCCCGTAAATTACTCCAGAGGGCTCAGCCTAGATGAGGCAACCCTTCCAGCTCCCACCAGGGCCAGGTGAAGTAGGTGGAGAAGGAGGTGGAGAAGAAGGTGTGAGGGTGTAGATGGCCAGGGAGGTGCTACGCTGGGCCTAGGGACCCTCCCCCTAGCAGCCTGGAATGACCGTCCCTATAGGCCTAGAAGGAATTGCAAATCTTTCAGTTCACCTGAAGCACTTACTTTAATCAATCCCTACAAGAGTGCCAGGAGAAAGGTGCCTTCATCATCCCCTTATTTCCAGATGGGGAAACTGATGCTCAAAGAGGTAAGGTGATTTGCCCTAACATCACCCAGGTCCTCCCTGCTGGGGCCCTGGAGCGGCAGGCTGAGGCCAGGCCCGAGGATTTCAGTGGTACAGGGAGGATATTTAAATCATTTCTTTTTCTTTTTCACCTTCTTTATAGCCTGTCTGCTTGTGGTGGCTCCGACACTTGCCAATTCTCCTTCACAACAAAGAGTGGGGGCATGCAGTCCTCATGCTCCCAAAGAGACAAGGAACAGCATCAAGCCAGGTTTCTCATTACAGGATTTTATTTCCACTGTGCTTCTTTTTTTGGGGTTTTTTGTTCGATTATTTGTATTTATTTATTTATTTTAGTTAGTTTGTTTTTGTTTTTGTTTTTGTTTGAGATGGAGTCTCACTCTGTCGCCCAGGCTGGAGCACAATGGCGTGATCTCAGCTCATTGCAACCTCCACCTCCCGGGTTCAAGTAATTATCCTGCCTCAGCCTCCCAAGAAGCTGGGATTACAGGCATGCGCCACCACGCCCAGCTGATTTTTGTATTTTTAGTAGAGATGGGGTTTTGCCATGTTGGCCAGGCTGGTCTCGAACTTCTGGCCTCCAGTGATCCACCAGCCTCAGCCTCCCAAGGTGCTGGGATTACAGGCATGAGCCACTGACTGCAGCCCTTTTTTGGTTGGTTTTTTAGTTAGAGATGGGGTCTTGCTATGTTACCTGGGCTGGCCTCGAACTCCTGGGCCCAAGCAATCCTCCCAGGGTAGCTGGGACTACAGGCTTGCACCCACTGTCCTCTTTTTTTTTTTTTCTTTTGGGATGGAGTCTCTGTCACCCAGGCTGGTGTGCAGTGGCATGATCTTGACTCAATGAAACCTCTGCCTCCCAGGTTCAAACGATTCCCCTGCCTCAGCCTCCCAAATAGCTGGTATTACAGATGCCCGTCACCACGCCCAACTAATTTTTGTATTTTTAGTAGAGATGAGGTTTCACCGTGTCACCAGGCTGGTCTTGAACTCCTGACCTCAAGTGATCCACCTGCTTCGGCCTCCCAAAGTGCTGGGATTATAGGCATGAGCCACCGTGTCTGGCCCATTGTACTCATTTTTGAAGACACTTTCTGCTGGCGGACACCGATATTGGTTTCTCATTATTTTCAGCAATATATAGCTTCCTTTTAAAAATATATTTGTGTGTTTTAAAGTGAGTCTACTTAAAGAAAAATATGAAGTAAAGAACACAGGCAGTACATGGTTATGCCAAAAAATCCATAGCACTCACCTCCCACCTGTCTTATCAGTTCACTATGTGTTAGTCCCAGGCCCTGCCTCGTCCCTGGGGCAAAGTCCAGAAAGCGGGAATTTTTGCCTGCTTAGTTCATGGGTTTATCCCAAGTAGCCCAAAACAGTGCCTAGCACATAGCAGGTGCTTTACAACAGTAAAGAGTTGTTAAATGAAGGTGGTGGCAATCTAGGAACGGCATATTGAAAACTTGCAGAGCCAGCTCCAAGGAAGTCAGTGATTCTGAACTCCTATTCTCCAGACATTCTATTGTTTTCCAAGATTCAATAAGCCTTAATTTTAAAGTTCTAGAGAGCTTAGCTCTCATAATTCCTGACACTGTGGTCCTCTGATTCCATTCTTCTCTGTTTCAGAGGCCCTCTGCAGCTCAGATGCCATATAGGGGCACTCTAAGATTCTAAGAATGTGGTGTAATGATGTTATTTTCTGGGAAGCCAGGACCAACCAAGACTGCAGAATCAGATCCTCCATCTAGTGCTGAGCAAACAAGAAGGAGAAGAAGGAGGAGGGGGAAGAGCAAAAGGAAGGAAAGACAGAGGAGAAGGAGGAGAAAAGGAAGAGAAGGAGGAGGAAGCAGTGAGATAAGAGAAAAGAGAGAGGAAAAAAAGACAAAGAGTGAGAGTTGGGGAGAGAAATAGAAGTGAATTGAAGAGAAGGGAATGAAAGGGAAGGGGAGAGAGATGGGAACAAGGGGGAAAGAAGTAAAGAAAGAGAGGCAGGGAGATCTCCAGAGAAAAAGAGAGACGTGCCTACATTTACATGCGCACGCTGGTCCCTCATGAGTATCTCCCCTGTCCTTCACAGGGCAATGGGACAGGCTGTCCAATGCCCACCTCCTCCCTTGGGTTGTGGGTCACCTGGGCAGCAGCTCCTCTCCTCCTTCCACAGAGTGGTGTGATGTGACTGAGCCCTCTAGGAAGCAACTTGCTGGGGGAAGAGAAGGTAGAAGCTTAAAGAGTACAAAGGCTAGAGGAGCAGGCTGTGTACCAAAATCCAGGTGCTTCTGAGAGAAATGTTGGCTGAGCCTTTCCTCTGTGCCAGGCACACTCTTAGCAACTGTGCACACATCATCTCCTGTGATCCTCACAGCAGTCCCATAAGGTAAGTAGGGTTGCCTCATTCTAAAGAAAAGATAACTGAAGTACAGCAAATTACATACTTTGGCCAGATCAAGATGGGATGAAGGGATGGGGGGATGGATGGATGGATGGATGGATGGATGGATGGATGGATGGATAGGTGTATGGGTGAGTGTGTGGATAGGTGGGTGGATGGATGGGTGAATAAGTAGGTGGATGGGTAGATGGATGGACAAATGAATGAAAGGATGGATGGGTGGGTGCGTAGGTGAAAGGATGGATGCATAGGTGAATGAATGGATGGAGGGATGATAGATAAGTGGATAGATTGATGGATAGAAGGGTGGGTGGGTGGATGGATGGATGAATGGATGTAGAGATTAGTAGCTGAATAGATGGATAAGTAGGAGGGTAGAATGGATGAATGGATGGATGGATGATAGATAAGTGGATAGATTGATGGATGGATAGACGAATGGATGAATGGATGGATGGATAGACGGGTGAGTGGGCGGGTGGATGGAAAAATGGGTATATGAATGGGTGGGTGGGTGGATGAATGGATGAACGGATATAGAGATTAGTAGTTGAATAGATGGATGAGTGAGAGGGTAGGATGCATGGATGGATGGATGGATGGATGGATGGATGGATGGATGGATGGATGGATGGATGGATGATGGATGGGTGGATGGATGGATGGTGGAAGGAAAGAGGGAGTATAGTTCAGTGGGTGACTACGTGGCAAACAGCCCATCCTGGTGAAGTATCCCTCTCCACTCCTCCCAAATCATTCCAACCACCCTCTACCTTCTTCATCGCAATCCTGTCCCAGACATGTCCCTATAACTTAATATCAAGAAATGACTGCGAGAAAAAAAATAATAGGAAGATAAGAACAAAGCTTCAAATATAAGGAGCCTACCAGACAAGAAAAAACCAGCCCTAAAATCATGAAGATGGGTCGGAAGTGGGAACCTAGCCATGCTTGGCACGGTTAAGGAGAGCAACTGAGAGCAGTGGCTGAGGCTTCATGAGTAAGGAGAAGATGGAGGCACCCAGACAGAGTGTGAATTTTAACTCAAAAGCCACAGGTTTTTGTTTTGTTTTGTTTTTTGAGAGGGAGTCTCACTCTGTTGCCCAGGCTGGAGTGCAGTGGTGTGATATCGGCTCAACGCAACCTCCGCTTCCCGGGTTCAAGCAATTCTCCTGCCTCAGCCTCCTGAGTAGCTGGAATTACAGGCATGTGCCACCATGCCCAGCTAATCTTTTGGTATTTTTAGTAGAGACGGGGTTTCACCATGTTGGCCAGGCTGGTCTCAAACTCCTGACCTCAGATGACCTGCCCACCTCGGCTTCCCAAAGTGCTGGGATTACAGGCGTGAGCCACCGCGCCCAGCCAAAAGCCACAGGTTTTAAACAGAGGACTGACAGAGCCACTCACACTTTGCCAAGATCACCTGGTGGAGAAGGAGGTGGTGGGAGTGAGAGAAGAAGAAATGAGGTTCATGCAGAGGTGGCCACAGGCATCCAAGTGAGAGATGCTGGGAAGGGTGGATTTGGGGTACATTTTGAAGGGAGAATTTGCAGGTCTTGGAAATAGGTGGGTTGTGGAGATGAACCATTGTGGGAAAGCAAGCATGACTCCCAGGTTTCTGAATTTAGGTTTTGAGATCATGGGAGGAACATATATATTGAGTTATGGAAGACTGGTTGAGGTTTTAGGCAATGAGATCAATAATTTTTTGGTTGTTTATTCATATAAAAATATTTATGAAACACCTACTATGTGCCATGTCCTACTGTCCTGCAGTGCTGGGCTCACAAGGAATGTACCAACTTCCCTACCTCCCAGCCACCCAGCTCAGCATGTACCCGACCAAGTCACCCACCAGCTCACCAAATCCTCCAGGAGTGACAGGACCAAGTGTTTGGGGGTGTCAGGTTCTCGCCCCTCCCGAGACAAGCTGGCCCAATGGCTGGAACATCCGGCCTCCCACGGGGGACCAGGCAGCCTCCTCTAGCGGCCATGTGCCCTATGAATGCTAATCCCCCACCCCCCGCCTCCTGGACACGCACACATAGGACATGCACAATGGCGGCTGGTGTCACCCACCAGGGTCCATGCCCTCACAGCAGAGAGAATAGCTACCAGCTGGTCCTCACCGGCTGTGTGACCTTGGGTGGGCCACATTCCAAAAATGATCACCCCAGGAAGGTGTCATCCATTCAACCACCAACTGCTTGGCACCTTCTATGTGCCTGCCAGGCTCTGAGGAAACAAAAGTTAAGCCCCCTTCTGAGCCCCCTGACCATACCTCATACTCCCCTTCCCAGCCACAAATTAATCAATAAAGATTTCTAGAGCCAGGGCTTCTGGGAAACTCAAGAGAAGACGTAAGTGAATCACAGTTCATAAACACACTCCCATCTATTGAATCCACATGGTGCCCTCAGAGACAACCAGGGGGGAGGAACTGAAGCCTCCATGGATAAGTGGGGAAATTGAGGTCCACGGAGCTGAAGGGTCTTGCCCCAGGTCATGTAGAGACCCCGAGGTGAGTCAGGTCTCAAACCTGCATCTTATGACTTCCAGTTAAGTATCCTGGCACCAGCTTCATGTGATCAAAAAAAGGAGGGAAGTGGCCAGGTGGCATAGAGGCTCTCGAAAAGAGAGAAATGATTAAGAAATGGGATGTGTCTCAGGGAGAGACTGAGGGGAACTTTTAGGGTCTCTTGGCCCCTCTGTTTCCTCTCCTGATCATTTAGATTCTCTTCCTTTCCAAAAAGGCTGGAGCGGGCCCCAATTGCCACACAGGAGCCAGAGTTGGAAAGACAAATCTGCCAGGGTTACATAAGGCTTCGCGAGTGGCTAAATTTAAAACTGAAATGTGAACCTCAGGACAGAATAAAAACACTCAGGGGGAAGGACTGGGGCCAACACCTCCCTTGGCCTTCATAGTACACCAGAGGGAGGTGGTTCCCCAGTGGACCCAGGGAGAGGCTCCTGAAGCCAGCCTTGCAGATACATAGTTACAGGCTGAGCAAAGGGCCTTACCAGCCCACCCTGGGCACGTGAGCATTCCCTAGTTCCTGCCTAGGGGGCAACGTCCCTGATTCCAAGCTGGAAGGGGCAAGAGAAGTCCCTCTTTCTAGTGGGTCTTCAGGCAGATAATACTACTTCCTGCAAAAAGAGCAAGTTATATTTTCCTACAAACTCTTCTACACGAAGAGTAGAATTGTTAATCAATTGAATGAACACTGATATGAAATATTTAAGCAAGCACAAATCCACTCCTTGCAAGAGTCTCTTGTCTACCAGGTCTGACCTACTCATCACACATGTACAGCTCACATGCGGTTCACACAGGTATAAAAACACAAGCGTAATATATGAACCTGCTTGCATAAGATTCTGGGCCCAATTTGCCACATCCACTCATAGATACACATACTTACATGTACACACACCCACACCCACAAACCATTCTCACCAGGGCTATCTCTTACAAGAGTTTACCATGGGCCAAATGCTCTTCTCAACAGTTTGTCTGTGTTATTCATTCAATTCTTACAACAAGGCTAAGTGCTGTTTTCATCCCCATTTTACAGATGACACTCAGAGAGGTTACATGGTTTGCCTGAAGTCACACATCTGGTAACTAGCAGAGCTGGGATTTGAACCCACGGCAGGCTGGCAGCAGCATTCATGTTCTTCACCACCATGAAGACACAAGGGCCCTTGCACGTACATGAACAAAAACAAACAGGCACTGAAGCATGTTTTCCTGCTTGCGGGACAGAAACACACACACAGCAACCAACATGTGAGAATAGAAGGGAAAAGGACCCCAGACTGTGTGGACCACAGGGCCTTTGCACCACATTCACTCATCCAGGAACCTGGTGGATGTGAGAAATTTAGGAGCATAGTGAGAAAGGGGAGTATACAGACCCAGGGACCCAGGGGTGAGGTCAGGACCAGGTATTGAACGGTCGCAGGGTCAGGAACAAGGTGCAGGATCAAACATTTATGTCCTTGCCCCACCTCTAAAGCACCTCGACTTCTTACCCACCAAACCCACACATCCCTGTTGAGATACGGCAGGGCCTAGCGCCCTGGCCCTTGGCCCTGCCACAGAGCTGCCCCCTCCCACTAATGCACGGCTTTAGGGATCTGGGGGCTGCTCTATAGGCATGGGTGAGACTTGAGTCCTCCCTGGTGGGGAGGCAAATAGGCAGAGGCCACGGGCAAAGTTCTCTAGGACATGAGAGTTTTGCCTCTCCAAAGCCTGCAGAAAGCAGAGGTGAAGGCCTGGGTTTGAGCCTCTCTGTCCCTGATTGTAAAGTGGAGATCACACTAAAACATGAGCCGCAGGGTGGTCGTAAGAACAAAATGACAAACGAGGGATTCAGGGCTTAGCCCAGTGCAAGGTTCTCCGTTGCATACTCTATGAATATTCATATTATTATTCAAAAGAATGGAAATCAGTCTATCGAAGAGATATCTGCACTCTCATGCTTATTGCAGCTCTGTTCTCAATAGCCAAGATCTGGCAGCAGCCTAAGTGTCCATCAACAGGTGAATGGATAAAGAAATATGGTACCTATGCATGATGAAGTACTATTCAGCCATGAAAAAGAATGAGACCCAGGCATTTGCAAAAACATGGATGGAACTGAGGGTCATTATGTTAAGTGAAATAAGCAAGGCCCAGAAAGATAAACTTCACATGTCTCACTTATTTGAGAGAGCCAAAAATTAAAACGATTGAACCCATGGAGACAGAGAGTAGAAGGATGGTTACCAGAGGCTGGGAAGTGTAGTTGAGGGATGTGGGGAAGTGGGAATTCTTAATGGGTACAGAAAAGTAGCTAGAAAGAATAAATAAGACCTAGTATTTGCTAGCACAACTGGGCGACTATAGTCAGTAATAATTTAATTTTACATTTTAAAATAACTAAAAGAGTATAATTGGATTGTTTGTAACATAAACGATAGATGCTTGAGGGGATGGATACTCCATTTACCCTGATGTGATTATTAGGTATTGCATGCCTGAGGCTGGGCACCGTGGCTCATGCCTGTAATCCCAGCACTTTGGGAGGCCGAGGCGGGCGGATCACAAGGTCAGGAGATCGAGATCATCCTAGCTACCAAGGTGAAACCCCGTCTCTACCATGAATACAAAAAGAAATTAGCCAGGCATGGTGGTGGGCGCCTGTAGTCCCAGCTACTTGGGAGGCTGAGGCAGGAGAATGGCGTGAACCCCGGGAGGCAGAGCTTGCAGTGAGCCGAGATCGCGCCACTGCTCTCCAGCCTGGGCGACAGAGCAAGACTCCATCTCAAAAAAAAAAAAAAAAAAAGGTATTGCATGCCTGTGTCAAAATAGCTCATGTACTCCATAGGTATATATACCATACCCACGAAAAGTAAAAATTAAAAAATATATTCATATTATTATCATCATCCTCATTAGCATTATCATCACTATACCTTGGCTTTTGTTGCAATTTGCTAAACACAGGAGTAAGAGGGGAGGACTAAAGGGCACCAGCCTTTGGAGCTGGAGTTCCACCACCTTGGGGAAACTGAGGCCCAGAGAGGGAAAGGGGCAGGGCAGAGCCAGGGTGGACACAACTGGTCGTGCAGAAGAGGGTGTGCCAGGCAGTGCCACCAGCTCAGACGTGACAGTCCCTTTGCCATCCGAGGTCTGCAGCAGGAATGATCAGGGGAGCAAGCACTGAGGGGCCACTGCATGCCAGGCAATGTCCACACAGCCCCCTGGGAGTTCTCCAAGCAGCCATAGGTCAATGGTGTGAGAGTACCATGTCCCAGATGGGGAAACAGAGGCATGAGCCTCCCAGTCACCTGCCCAAGATCCCAAAGCCAAGTAAATGACGAGGCTGGGATTTGAGCCAGTTCTGACAATTCCAAGATCCTCTACTCCAGCCAGCCCTGAGGCCCCGTCCCTCTGTCGCCTGCTTCCCCAGGGTCCAAACTCCAGACAGTGGTATTTTCTTCCCTTCCTGTTGCCCAGATGGTGCCGGTCTCTTTGTCTTGAGGGTTTCTTCCCCTTTCCTTTTTCTTTTTTCTCACTTGCATTCTTTCTTTTCCTTTTCTTTTTTTTTTTTTTTTTTTTCCATCTTTGAAGGATGAAGGAGCAACTCCCTGGATGGCATGGGAAAACAAAAGGGACTGCTGTCCCACAGCCCAGTGGCAGCCTCGCCACCCAGAGCTGGAAGGTATGGAAATGAGCTGTTGTGGATGCAAATGAGGCTTCTGGGTGATTTGCACAGAGCCGGCCTGGGCGGGGCCAAGGTGGAGCAAGTAGGGAAGGCTGTCGGGAGTTTTCCCAACCTTCCCCCAGGTACCTGGCTTCTCCAGGCCAGCCTTCCCTTGAGAAGGCCTCCCTAAAAGCTCTGGCCTCTGCAGCATGAAATATCTGGGCAGCTGTTGGGATTTCGTCATTTCTATCTGTGTACATAAAATTAATTTTCTGTTTGTTATCTCATTGTGCAAACAAATGGCTGATTGGAATTCTTTTAAACCAAATTTGAGGGGTTAGTTTGGGATAGTGTGACTTAACAAGTTTGGGATAGTGTAACTTGACTAAGAGAGACCACTTCCATAAGGTGCCGTGAATGGAAAATACACAGAGGAATCCTACTGATCCCTGGGCTGAGTCCCAAGAGCAGACTTTGGTGTGCTTTGGGTAACGCTTTGGCACAGAGTGCAGTGCGACGGTGAGGGTGGCACTGATTCTCCCTAGAGTGCATGGGTGGGATGGAGGATGGTGGATAGGAGGAAGGGTGTAGTAGAAGAACGGGTAGATGAAGGGAGGCAGGGAGGATTAGCCAATGGATGGATAGATGGATGAAAGAATTGAAGCATAGAAGGATGGAAGGGAAGAAGGGAGGGAGAGAGGGAGGGAGGGAAGAAGGGCTGAATGATGATGGATGGATATGGATGGGTGGATGGATAGATGAAAGGATGAAAGGATGGATAGGAGGAAGAAAGGAAGAGAGGAAGGAAGGGGAAGGAAGTGGGGAAAAGAGGGAGGGAGAGAGGGAGAAAGAGTTGAAGGAGTGATGGATGGATGGATGGATGGATGGATGGATGGATGGGAGGAAGGAAGGATGGGTAGGAGGAATGGTATACTAGAGGGACAGATGGATGAGGGGAGGGAGGATTAAAAAATGAATGGATAGATGGATGAAATGATTGAAGGATGAAAGGATGGAATGGAGGAAGGGAGGGAGAGAGGGAGGGAGGAAAGAAGGGATTAAATGATGATGGGTGGATATGGACGGGTGGATGGATAGATGAAAGGATGAAAGGATGGGTAGGAGGAAGGAAGGACGGAAGGGGAAGGGAAGGGGGAAGAGAGGGAGGGAGAAAGGGAGGAAGAGTTGAATAATGGATGGATGGATGGGAGGAAGTAAGGATGGGTAGGAGGAAGGGTATACTAAAGAGACAGGTAGATGAGGGGAGGGAGGGAAAATTAATTAATGGATGGATAGATGGATGAAAGGGTTGAAGGATGGAAGGAAGGAATGGAGGAAGGGAGAGAGAGAGGGAAGAAGGGCTGAATGATGATGGGTGGATGTGGATGGATGGGTAGGAGGAAGAAAGGAAGGAAGGAAGGCAAAAAGGAAGGAAAGAAGGGAGGGAGGAAGAGTTGAATGATGGATGGATGTGAATGGATGGGGGGATGGATGGATGAATGGATGGATGGGTGGATGGAAGGAAGGAAAGGAGAAGGGAAATAGAATGTGTTAACTTACTCAGGCTGTATTATGCACTACAAGTTTATGTGCCCCACAAAATTCATATGTTGAAACCCCACTCCCCAGTGGGAAGGCTTTAGAAGGTGGGGAGTTGGGGAAGTAAGTAAGTCATGAGGATGGAGCCCTCATGATGGGATTAGTGCCCTTATAAGAGGAGACAGGGGAGTACTTGTTTTCTCTCTTTCTGCTCTCTGCCACGCAAGAACTTGGCAAGAAAACAGCCATCTGCAAACCAGAAAGAGGGGCCCCACCAGAACCCAACCATGCTGCTACCTTGATTTCAGACTATAAGAAATACATTTGTATTGTTTAAGCCACCCAGTGTAAGATCATTTTTATAGCACCCCAACTGACTAAGACAAGCTGACATAACAAAATACCTAAGACTGAGTGGTTTAAACAACAGAAAGTTATTTTCTCACAGTTCTTGAGGGTAGAAGTCCAAGATCAAGATTCCAACTGATCTGTTTCTGGTGAGGGCTCTCTTCCTGGCTTGAAGACAACTGCCTTCTCATGGTGTGCTCACATGGCCTTTCCTCTTTGTGTGCCCAGAGACACAGAGAGAGGGAGAGCTCTGGTGTCTCTTCCTATAAGGACACTAATCCTATCAGTTCAGGGCCCCACCCTTATGACCTAATTTAACTTTAATCACTTCCTTAGAGATCCCATCTTCAAATGTAGCTACACAGAGGGTTAGGGCTTCAACATATTAATTTAGGGGGACACACACCTTCAGTCCATAGGTTGATGGGTGAATGGGGAAACCTAACATCCTTCCTTTGTTCTTTCATTCATTCAATAAGACTTTCTTAAGCCAGGCTATAACAAGGAAGGAGACAGGCATGTTCCCGGTGTTCACAAAGCTCACAGAATACCTTGACTTTCCCCCAAGAGAGGGTCTAGCAGAGAAGAGTCTGGCTTCAGGGTCAAACAGTCCCGCCTGGAGATCCAGGCTGTGTGGATGACGATGTGACCTCAAGCAATGACACCTTCTTTTAATCTGTCATCTCCTCATCTGTAAAATAAGGATCATGACAGCCCCTGCCTCCTACAGTCACTGTGAGCATTCGATGAATTAGGACATAAAACTCCCTGTTAAGAGTAAGTAGCTGCTATTGTAATGCATGCTGCCTTTGCCACTGGTTCACTGCATGGTCTTAGGCAAGGCTGTGTCCTCTCTGAGTTGAACCCAATCTCCTCATCTGCAAAATGGACATCATAAGGCCAGCTCCAAGGCACTGCTTGTTGGATGTTCAAATGAGACAAACGAAACACACAGGCTGTGTAAGCTGTAACACGCTTGCCATGCATGAGAGTCTGGGCATTGTGGGTCTCAAGCCCACAGCCACACTAGTATATGAATCTGGGTTCCTTAATAGATTGTGTACTCCCAAAGTGCAGGGTCTCTGGCAAACTTATCTCAGCTGCCTCAGTATCCAACATGCAGGAGATGAGTAGGTGATCTGTGAGTTTCTGTTGAATTAATGAATTAAGGGAAGTGATTACCTTGCCAGACCCAGAATTCAGAGGAAATCATAAATATGGTCCCTGAGCTATCACCTCTTTCTCACTACGTCTGGCTCTTATGTGACCTTGGACACAGTCTCTTTCTGGGATTCCTCCTCTGGAGAGACCCTGGAGGCTCATCATCCACAAATTCTGGGGGTGCTAGGGAGGGATCAGTATAAGAAGAAATTAATAAGAATATCAGTTTTGTTATTATTATATTACCAACTAATACAATTATGGCTGGGATGTAGTAAGGCTCACTTTGGATTCAAACAGTTCATTTATTTGTGACCTTGGAGGTTGCTTTTCTTCTACGAACCCGTTTTCTCATCTGTGACATGGACACAGATGGATGCTAATTCACTGGAGATTGATTCACTGTGACCCAGGTCTGTCAGCCACACAGGCTAATCCCCAATGGTAAGATGTATTTTGGCCAATTCCTATGGGCCCAGAAACAGCCTGGAGGACACTGACCTGTTTGCCTTGCAGAATGACCCCAGCAGGTTGGTTCTGATTCCATTATTCCCAGTTCAAGATGAGAGGCCCAGGTGATGGGGCAAGGTATGACATTCCCAGGATTACACAGGGCCAAGGTGGAACTCAAACTCGGGCCAATCTAACTCTGAGCCTTAGCTGGCTGCCACCGTATTCCCGCCTCTCCACCCAGCATTCCCATGAGTCCCAAACAAGAGATCACAGCACAGGCGTTGGAGACAGAGATTCCAGGAGACCCAGGCTCTGCTGGGTGCCTTTGGGCAAGTGCCTTGATGTCTCTGGGCCTCCCCAGGCTCACCTGTAAAACGAAGCAACATGA
This sequence comes from Homo sapiens, assembly GCF_000001405.40. Classification (NCBI taxonomy): domain Eukaryota; kingdom Metazoa; phylum Chordata; class Mammalia; order Primates; family Hominidae; genus Homo; species Homo sapiens. The sequence continues at coordinate 27,658,871 of NC_000022.11, forward strand.
TGATGCCTTGCAGGTTGGTTGTGAGTGTTAGACCATCCAGTTAACACGCTAAGCATGGGCATGCCCAGCTCATGCCTGGTGAAGAGTAGGCTTTCCTTCCCGCTCCACACCTCTGCCTGCAGGCCCACCTCCATCCACCGACCACCCCATGGGCCACTCAATCAGCTCACAGCCAAAGCCACTGTCAAAACAACAGAACCACATATGCCAGCCGCAGGTACCACTTACCTACCGAGCACTCAGGATGTGTGAAGCCCTTTCTGTGCATTAAGTGTGAATGGCCTAGAGACAACCCTATCCCCACTTTGCAGATCAGGAGGTGGATCCCCAGTGTGGTCGAAAGGACTGGACACATAGCCAGCGAGCTGCAGTCCGAAGATGTGACCCAGGTCTGCCAGCCACATACACCAAGCAGCCTCGGTGACAAATGGCTTCTGGCATTGAGGTGACACTCCCATGTCACATGTACTTGCTCCCTCTAAGCAGAGGAAGTTGGGCACTGGCCCTTCACGATTATTCCACGGAGAGTCCATTTTATGGCTTTGGAAACTGAGGCCCCCAAGATGCTCAGAGATGTTCGACTCCATCACTCCATATTTACTGAGCTCTTTTTCTGGAGATCAGTGAGGTTGAGACACAACAGAGTGTTTATTTTCTTTCTTTCTTTCTTTCTTTTTTTTTGAGATGGAGTTTCGCTCTTGTCGCCCAAGCTGGAGTGCAATGGCTCGATCTCTGCTCATTGCAACCTCCAGCTCCTGGGTTCAAGCAATTCTCCTGCCTCAGCCTCCCAAGTAGCTGGGATTACAAGCGTCCGCCACCACGCCCAGCTAAGTTTTGTATTTTTAGTACAGATGGGGTTTCACCACGTTGGCCAGGCTGGTCTCCAACTCTCGATCTCAGGTGATCTGCCCCCCTGGTCCTCCCAAAGTGCTGGAATTACGGGCATGAGCCATCGCGGCCGGCCGAGTCCTTATTTTCAAGGTCGTACAGGGAAGGGCATCAGGATAGTCCAGGCTGCCTTAGCCTCCAGCCAGGATAAAGGGGAGTTTGGGGATGAACAGAATCCAGCTGCTCCATCCCCCACCCCACCTCCCACCCCAGGTGTGGACAGGAACCATCACATTTCCACATTTCCTTCTTTGTCTCTACCTCTGCCCAACCTCCCCCACATCAGTACCCAGCCAGCCAAGGGACAGGCAGGCCACCTCCTCGATCCGGACATGCCCCATGGAGACGGTTACACTTCCGGGTGTAGTCACTGTCCAGCCATATCTCCTGGGCCCTTCAAATGGGTTTGCTGGTGATTTAAGGTGTATTCGTGTTCTATCAATACATGAAGTTCTCAGGTCCACATTTCAGCGAAAAATAGTCCTGAGCATCTGGAAGGCAAAAAAAAAAAAAAAATATATATATATATATATATATATATATATATATATATATATATATATATCATCGCTAAACCGCAATCTCTTGTCGTATTGGATTCTGTGACTTACAATTCTCTCCTCTTCGCTGCACTTGAATATTAAATGTTGTATTAATAGCTCACTCTTAATTATCTGTGAGTAATGTACTACGACCTGGAAATTAATGAAGGGAAGGGCCCAATCGAGAATATTTCCCACTCCTCTGAGTGCCGCGGGGCTGATGGGAGGGGAGAGATTTGCATATGATTTGCATGAGAAGCTGCGGGCAGAAAGAAGATGTATGAGCTCAAATGTGGGGGCTTACTGTGGACCCAGCCACTTTCCAGCACTTTCCAAAGCGAGAATTCCCTTCCACTTCTCACTCCTAGCTCCCAGCATTTGTCCACACTGATCCTTCTGCCAGGAATGCCCTTCCCGGCTTCCTGTGTGTGGGAGAAGCAAGATCATGACAACTACTACTTACAAAGGAGATATATATATATATATATATTTTTTTTTTTGAGACAGGGCCTGGCTCTGTTGCCCAGGCTGGGGTACACTGGTACAATCTCGGCTCACTGCAACCTCTCCCTCCTGGGCTCCAGCGATCCTCCCACCTCAGCCTCACCAGTAGCTGGAACTATAAGCATATGCCAACACGCCAGCTAATTTTTGAATTTTTTGTAGAGATAGAGTTTCACCATGTTGCCCAGGCTGGTCTCGAACTCCTGAGCTCAAATGATCCACCTGCCTCAGCCTCCCAAAGTGCTGGGATTACAGGCGTGAGCCACTGCACCCAGCCATGAAAGACAAGTTAACACAGACACATATACAATTGTGTTCACATACTTAACGCATACATATAAATACAAGTGCACATGCAGATGCACACATATTATATATTCACTATTTTTAAAAAACCTGTATTAGAAAAGCCTGTCAATTCCTCAAAGAGTTAAACATAGAATTCCTATTTGGCCCAGACATGCCCCTCCTAGGGTCATGCCCGAGAAAATGAAAACGTGAACACACAAATGCTTGCACATGAATGTTCATAGCAGCATTATTCAGAAAGTGAATGGATAAGCGAGATGTGGTATATCTATCATAATTGAATATTATTCAGCCATAAAAAGAAATGAGGCATTGACACATGCCACAAATTGGATGAACCTGGAAGACATTGTGCTAAGAAGCCAGATGCCGCCAGGCATGGAGGTTCCCACCTATAATCCCAGCACTTTGGGAGGCCAAGGCGGGATCACTTGAGCCCAAGAGTTCAAGACCAGCCTGGACAACATGGCAAAACCTCATCTCTACAAATCATACCAAAAAAATGATCTGGGTGTGGTGGCACACACCTGTAGTCCCAGCAACCCAGGAGGCTGAGGTGGGAGAATGATCTGAGCCAGGGAAGTCGAGGCTGCAGTGAGCTATGATCGTCCCACTGCACTCCAGTCTGAGTGACAGAGTAATACCCTGTCTCAAAAAAAAGAAGCCGGACACAAATGGTCTCATATTGTATGATTCCATTTATCTGAAATATCCAGAATAGGAAAATCTGTAGAGACAGAAAGTATTAATGGATTAATGATTGTCAGGGGGTAGGGGGTGATAGCTAACATTATAGGATTTCTTTTGGGGGTGATGACAATGTTTTGGTATTTGACAGTAGTGATGGTTACACAACTCTTGACTATACTAAAAACCATTAAGGCCGGGCATGGTGGCTCACGCCTGTAATCCCAAGACTTTGGGAGGCCAAGGCCGGTAGATCACCTGAGGTCAGGAGTTCGAGACCAGCCTGACCAACATGGTGAAACCCCATCTCTACTAAAAATACAAAAAATTAGCCGGGCGTGGTGGCACGAACCTGTAATCCCAGCTACTCGGGAGACTGAGGCAGGAGAATCACTTGAACCTTGGGGGCAGAGGCTGCAGTGAACCGAGATCACACCACTGCACTCCAGCATGGGTGACAGAGTGAGACTCCGTCTCAAAAAAAAAAAAAAAAAAACCATTGAATTGTACTTCAAATGGGTGAATTGTATGGTATGTAAATTGTATCTCAATAACGCAATTACAAAAAAATATATACACTGTCCACCCAGGACTTGGTATATGCTGTTCCCACTGGCTGGAACACCCTTCCCCCACCTTTCTTCCTCTCACCTAGTGTTGGGCATCCCCAAGGGCTGAGAGGTACAGCCTAGGGTGGAGCAGGAGGGACCTGCAGAGATGTGTCCTACACTGCACCCATGATGGGCTGTGTGACCCTCAGCAGGTGACTTCGTGTCCCTGAGCGTTGGTTGAGTCTGAGCCTGGGGGGGCCGGTGTGATATGCCAGAGCTGATAAGAGGTGCTTAGTTCAGGCTCTGGCCTGACCTGGATGCCCAGTGAGTTGTGGTCATTGGGCCCCTCACATGGCATGACACTGAAGTCACAGGGAAGCTGAGCAAAGCAGAACACAGCCAGCCTTGCTTTGGCAGATGCCTGGAACGGGAGTGGGATGTCACTGGGAGCGTGCAGGGCAGGCAGGCCCCAGCCAGGCCGGGGAAGGGATTTGCTGTTCCCATCTCCCTGCAGTGAGGGCAGGCGCTCCCTGACCCCCATCCACTATCTCCCTGATGCAAGGAGGCCTTGGCCTGTGGCCCAGCCAATGGACCCACCCACTGCGCTCTCCCTGGGAGAGATGCCAGAGGGCTGGAGGGAGGGCAGGGTCCCATCAGAACCATGTGCCAGGGGCTGGACTTGCAGAGCCTCGGCAGAACTCCAGCCTCAGCCCCACGGCAGCCAGTGGCCTTTTAGGACATGAATCCAGTCACGTCTCCCCCTTGCTTAAAACCCTCTGCTCACCTTTTACCATGGCCTTCAGGACCCTGTGTGTCCTGGCCCTGCCCAGCAATCTGACCCCGTCTCCTCTCACTCTTTGCCTTGCTCACACCAAGCCAGCCTCCAGGCCTTCACCCTGGGCATTTCCTCCAGCCTTCCTGCCGCTCCTCATTCCTCAGGCCCCAGCTCAGAGGTCACCTCTCAGAGAAACATCTCCCACCTGCTTTGGAGCCTGCTTTGCTCTTTTTTCTTTTTCTTTTTAGAGATGGGATCTTGCTCTGCTGCACAAGCTGGAGTGCAGTGGCGAGGTGATAGCTCACTGCAGCCTTGACCTCCTGGGCTCAAGCAATCCTCTCTCCTCAACCTCCTGAGTGGCTGAGACTACAGGCTTGTGCCACCACTCCTGGCTATTTTTTATTTATTTATTTTGTTTGTAGAGGTAAGGTCTCACCATGTTGCCCAGGCTGGTCTCAAACTCCTAGCCTCAAATCGATCCTCCCACCTCAGCCTTCCAAAGTGCTGGGATTACCACTACACTCTTCTCTGCCTCAATTCTGTCTTCATGTACAGATAGCACCCAACCACGATTGTCCAATAAGTGCACAAGGCAGGCAGCACAGGTCCCGGCCCCAGGCCTGCCCCTGGTTCACTGAGAGACCCTGAACAGATCGCACCTCCTCTCCACATGACAGACCAGACCTTTGTGAAGTGTGAAGAAGCGGAGGAATCTCCTGTTTGACTCAAATTGTAGGTGGCCCCCAACACCTAAAGCAGCTAGAGCTGCCAAATGTCAACCCTGATTGTTCTGCTGGTGGAAAGGTGAAAGGTGGGGCAGGGGCAGCGTTCTGCTCCATCATATTTTTATCACTCTTCCCGTTTTCCCCAGTGACTAATTCTTTGTTCATCAGAGTGAAAAGATTGTTTGAAAAAAAAAATGCTAAATCTCAACTGAGAATGTAAGGTGAGATCGTTTCTCAGGGTTCCTCCAGGTCTGGAAAATGCAAAGGGGAACTTCAGCAGAAGAGGGCAGGAGGGGCTCTTGTTTTTTTGCAAACCAAGAAGGAAACACGAGTGGGGGAATTTGAGAGAGTGCAGTGGGCTGGTGGGGAGACACCAGCAGTTGTTCCCATACCGTTGCTCATTTATTTATTTATTTTTAATTTAATTTTTTTTTTTTTTGAGATGGAGTCTCATTCTGTCGCCCAGGCTGGAGGGCAGTGACACCATCTTGGCTCACTGCAACCTTCGGCTCCTGGGTTCAAGCAATTATTCTGCCTCAGCCTCCCGAGTAGCTGGGATTACAGGCACGTGCCACCATGCTCAGCTAATTTTTGTATTTTTAGTAGAGACGGGGTTTCACCATGTTGGCCAGGGTGGTCTCGAGCTCCTGACCTCAAGTGATCCACCTGCCTCGGCCTCCCAAAGTGCTGGGATTACAGGCGTGAGCCACCACGCCCAGCAGGCACTATTTCTCATTTCTCCAGATCCCTCCTCATCTTGGCCACTGGCTTCTGATTTCATTCATTCATTCACTCACTTAACTCATGTTCCTTGAGCTCCTACTTTTGGAGCTTTGCAGGGTTCTGGGGATCCAGCCAAGCACACAGCAGACACGTCCTGTCCCTTGTGGAGCTGAGGGTCTGTAGTCAGTGCCCCCAGGGGTCAAGGTCTCTCTGAGTGTGATGTACTACTGGCCCCACATGGACCGTGACAGTCACTCTCCTCGGTTCCCACTCTGCACCACTATTCACGCAGCCTCCTATGATGGTCATCGTCCCATAAAATCAGGCCCATTAGAATCCTCAAATCTATCCAGGAGCTCCTGTCTGCCCAGGGCCCCATCTTGGATGACACCATTACATCTTGAGGGTGGTTACTGATCTTCCGTCTTTCTTTTGTTAAAAATTAACTTCAGGGTTTTTTTTCTAATTTTATCAAGACAGTAAATGCATATTGTAGACAATCTGGCAATGTAGGTATTTGCCTATATTACTAGCTGTGGAACATCAGGCAAGGTGCTTCTCAAACCCTTAATGTCGTCATCTGTGAAATGGGGACAGTCCTAGTACTCACATCACAGATTCATTGTAAGGAGTAAAAGAGACTCCAAATGTATGCATCTGGCACAGAAGAAGCTTAAAATAAATGCACTAAGATGAAGACCAAAAAGAGACTTGTAGCCCAACATCAGGGACAAACCCAGACAACATCTTATAATAGATTACTCTCTTCCAGATATTTTTTTTCTGCACAGATTTAAAGAAAGAAAGAGACAGATGTAAAACAACAATTTTTCAGGTATATGGAGATCACAATGTAATTCTATTTTGTAATCTGGTTTTATTCTCATTTAACAGCCTGAACATTTGACCCACAAAATGATAATATTACCTTGAACCTATAAAGACCTTTCCATCTTTTTGTTACTTCAATGGAAATGCAAAGTTTTAGCAAACTGCCCCTCTGCTGGTTATATGTAAGAAAGTGTATTTCCCTATGTCTATAAGTCCTCTTCTAAGACCTAATTTTATGGCTGAACTGAATTTCAGCCTGTAGCTAGACCTTAATTGATTCAAGCAATGTAAGTAAAAATAAGTGGTAATAAGCAAAAACAAAACAGCAAAATAAGTAACAATGGTTATTACTAGTGTTGTAACAGCATTGGTCAGGTTGTTTGTTTCTACTGATCTGCTATAATCAATGCTGTCATGACATCCTCGTTGATAAAATCTTTGTCCATAAGAAACAAATTCTTTAGGATTTCTAAAGGAATCCATCCCCAAAACAGAGACTATGAATAAGCTTTCCAAATGTTGTTGCCCTTTGTGATATGCCCACAGAGAAGGGACCAAGACATGTTGGGCATTTTTTAAGTGTTAAGTGTTATGCTAGGCATTTGGCCCAGGCATTGAATCTCCAAGCAGTGGCTCACACCTGGAATCTCAGCACTTTGGGAGGCCAAGGCGGGAGGATTGCTTGAGGCCAGGAGTTCGAGATTAGCCTGGACCACATAGGTAGACCCCATCTCTACAAAAAATTAAAGAAAAAGTAGCCAGGCTTGGTGGCACACATCTGTAATACCAGCTACTCAGGAAGCTGAGGTGGGAGGATCACTTGAGCCCGAGAGTTTGGGGCTGCAGTGAGCTATGATTGCACCACTGAGCTCCAGCCTGAGTGACAAAATGAAATCCTGTCTCTTAAAAAAAAAAAAAAAAAGAATCTCCATAATAACCCTTTCATTTTTTGTTGTTGTTGTTGTTGCTTCAATGGATATGCAAAATTTTAGCAAACTGTTCTGCTACTTATGTGTGAGAAAGCCTATTTCCCCACACCATCACCAATACTGGGCATTATGATTTGTATCAGTCAGCTATTGCTGTGTAACAAACCATTACCAAACTCAATGGCTTAAAATAGTAAGCATTTATTATTGCTCATGCATCCACAGGTCAGTCAGCTGGTTCTTCTGATCTCAATCAGCCTACTTGTGCATCACTGGCTGATTTTGCTGATTATTACCGGGCTCTCTCAAATGTCCAGAGCTTGGCTCTACTCCACATGGTCTCTCCTCCTCCCCCAAGCTAGCCCAGGCTTGTTCCATGGCAGCAGCAGAATTTCAGGTTAGCAAATCGAAGCTGCAAGTCCCTTATGGCCGAGGTTCAGAACAGGTACAGAATCACATCATCACATCCACCACATTCTATTGGCCAAAACATGTCACATGACTGAGGCTTGATTCAAGGAGTGGGAAACAGACTCTATCTCTTGATGGGAGGAACTGCAAAGCCACATTGCAAAGGATACAGATACAGAGAAGGGAGGCAAATTAAGAACATTTTTGCAAACAATCACGTAATTTTTTAATTTTTAATTTTTTAATTCTATTTTTAAAGTTTTTACCAATTTTCTAACTTCAGAAAATGTTTTAATGTATATTATTGGATTATACCCTGCTTTCCTTCCCTCTGTTTATTGGCCACTCATCAATTGACTCTTTGCACCCGAACACTAATCTTTATATACACCCTGGCCCACACTCCGCCTGGAATTCCAGTCCATGCTCCTTCTGGAAGCCAGCCGTCACCCCCACGCTTCAGCTCCTCCTTCGCATAATGAATAGCCCAGGAGCCTGCAGGAGAGAGAGCCATGGCCGACCACCACCAGCACTTCCCCCGGGCAAGCCCCATGATGACACCATCCATCACTGCCACCCTCGGTGGCTGTGCGCCCCAGGCCCGGCCAAGGAGGAGAGAAAACACTGCCCACAGCTCAGTGGAGCCCTTAATGATTACGTCAAGTGGCAAGCCATTTATTAGTCTCCTTAGCGGCCAAAAAAAATAAGGCCTGAGAAGCCAGAAAGCACATCAGGGGACTGTGGTTTTATTTTTTATAACCGCTTCAAGCCTCAGACACCAAGGGGAATATGGGTCAGGAAGGGAGGCAAGGCTTGGGGGCTGGGGAAACAGGAGTTCTGAACCAGTCTCTGCAGAGGGACTGTGGGCACAGAGAGTTTGCACGGCCCATCCAAGGTCACACAGCTCCCAGGCCGGCGTCCTCCCTCAGGGTCATGGTGTGCCTTCCACTGCACCTGTGTTAACAGCTCCTGCATTTTACCATCAATTGCTTCGAACCCTTCTCTGGAGATTGGTGAATAACAATTAGACATGAGCAAGCATTGGAAGGGGGTGCAGAATATAGGGGGTTCTGGAATTGGAGTGAGAATACCAGGATATTTCACTTCTCTGAGCTTCAGCTTTCTCCTCTGCAGAATGGGCATGAATCAGGGCCAACTTTACGGCCATGAGATCTCTGCAGTTGCACAGAGCCCGGCGCTCAGAAAGGCTCCAAGCTGGGTTTATGTTTTGCTGTTACCGTCTTGAAATTCTTTGTGTGTGTGTGTGTGTGTGTGTGTGTGTGTGTGTGTGTGTGTGTGGCAGAGTCTTCCTCTGTTGCCCAAGCTAGAGTACAGTGGCGTGATCTCGGCTCACTGCAACTTCTGCCTCGCAGGTTCAAGTGATTCTCCTGCCTCAGCCTCCCAAGTAGCTGGGATTACAGGCATGCGCCACCACACCCAGCTAATTTTTGTATTTTTAGTAGAGACAAGGTTTCGCCATGTTGGCCAGGCTGGTCTTGAACTCCTGACCTCATGTGATCTGCCCACCTCAGCCTCCCAAAGTGCTGGGTTTACAGATGTGAGCCATCATGCCCGGCCACCATCTTGAAATTCTTAATTTCTGCACCTATCTATGTTTTGTAAGTGAAGCCCAGTGGGGCAGTGAAGCATGCAGGTGAGCAGAAGAGACTCACGGAAGAAGGGCAAACATTTCCTATTTTAGTACCTTTACTGTACATTTTTCCTGCCTTTTAAACAAGGAGGACTGCAGTTTTGTTTCACACGGCAGCCTGCAAATTTTGTTGCCACCCTAAGCATGATGATACCTCCTGGGCCAGGCTGGGCACCTCAGAGACTCTCAGAGAGTGGCTGGCCCCACCAGTCAGGGGCTCCATCTCTCCCTTTGTAGGTTCCTCTCCTCCACTGGAACCCGGGACGGTTCTCCTGGATGACACCCCTCCTCTTCCTGCCACATTTAGACAGGTTCCAAGCCCCTCCTTTCCACCTCCTTCTCGTCCCTGCCTCCATTTCTGCTCTAGTTTCATCGCCCCAGTATTGCTCACCTAGAATTCCTGCCTCCTGCCAGAACCTCCCAGCCTTTACCCTGCCCTGCCCCCACCCACTCTCTTTACAAGGCTAAGCCCTGGTTCCCCAAGCTTCCACATGGGGCCACAACACCCCACTCTGGGCTCTAGACATTCCCTACCAACCACTGGCTGGTGGTTCCCATGTTCCACATGTCCTTCATTCCCCATGCCTTCCTAACAGCTCCTGTTTATTGAGCACCTACTGTGTGCCAGGACCCATGCTAAGCATCTTGCATGAATGAACTCATTTCATCCTCATAAGACCCCTATGACATAAACACTGTGAATATCTTCAACTTACAGGTGAGGAAACAGAGGCACAGAGTAGTTGATTCACTTGCTCTAAGTCACACAGCAAGTGCCAGAGAGGGCTTGGATCCCAGCAGACTGGTACCCACACCCTTAACCATCACAGAACTTCTCCTCTGTACCTTTGTCCAAGTCAGTGCTTTCTCTAGGTATGTTCTTCCCTGATGGACTTAGTCCACTCTTCAGAGTCCAGAAATATTTGCCAAGTCAGTGAGTGACCAGATGATTTTGTCCCTCGCTTGCTGTGCAGCTTTGAGTGGGTCACTTCCCCTCTCTGGGCTTCCATTTCCTCTTGCATCCAAAGAGAGTGAGCTGAGACCCACTCAGTAGGCAAAGTGAGGCCTCAGACCCACTGGGATTGGCTGCAGCTGCTGTGAGACAGTGAGACAGAGGGAGCCGCCCCATGGGGCCCAGGTTATATCTGGGCCATGACTAAGCGTGCCCAGCCCTAGACCATCTGTCTGTCCACATCCGTCACTGTGAGGAGGGGCCAGGGGGCCACGTCCCTTAGCTCCAGACCCACATGACACCTCCTCTCAAAAGGGCAGAGCCCGGCCTGGAGCTGGGTGGCACATGATGCCTACTCCTCCTGCACTCAACCGCCTCACCCCTGCACTGCAGGACTCACACCCTTCCTTCCTGGGCAGAAACAGCCCAGAGGAGCCTGGGCTGATCCCAGCGCACCCTCGGCCATGACCTTGGGAAAATCCTCTGTGCAGCCAGCAAGCAGATAGCCATTGTCCCACTAATCCGAATAACCGATGCCAGGCTCTGTGCAGATCATCTCCTTGAACTTGCCCATCCCCTCCTCCAGGCAGTCTGCCCAGATAGCTGCTGCCTCAGGCTGATTTAGGGACCTTCTATGGGCTCCTCCACGGCCTGTGCACGTGAGGGGAGTCCTCATATTAGATCCGTTTTACAGAGGGGCAAACTGAGACATGGAGAGGATCAGGACTAGCCCAAGATCACACAGCCCCAGGTGGTAGCCGCCTGGCCCCAGAGGCTGTGGGTTTAAATCATTGAGCATTCCTGCCTACCTGTGCCAGGCACCGAGGGGCATGGGGACAGTAGTGACCAAGGGCAAACTCAACGCCCACCCTGGTGAGGCTTCCATGAGCAAGTGCATACATTCAAGGGACCACCTGTCATTCTTGCTTGCCACATCAAAGGGCGCAGCCTGGGATCCCAGCCTCGTTCTGCCCCACCCCCTCAATGCTTGGCAAACACCCGACTGCATCACTCCTTCCAAGGTCAAGCTGTGTGGACCTTGGGCAAGTCACTTGACCTCTCTGGGCTGTCTTTTTCTTAGTCATCAATATGCCTTGCAAGTCAAATCAACCATATGACTTACTTGGCTGGAACCTCCAAACTATCCATAGAGGTTGACAGATGATCCCCATCATCCAAATGAGGAAACTGAGGCTCAGAGAGGAGGGAGCTGCTTGCCCAAAGTCAGGAAGTGCCTTAAGGGGATGGCAGAGGATGTGGGTGTCCACGGGGGCATAGGTGCTTCCTGCCCAGAGCCAGGGGGTTGGGATCAGCCAGGAGGTGATGGTAACCCCTCCCCTTCCCCAGCCTGCTTCTTTCTGCCCCTTCCCCACCTTCCCCCTTCCCCCTTCCCCCTCCTGAGGTCTCCAAACAAAGCTGCCTTTATCTGGACTGTAGCTGCATTCCTCAGTGACACATGAGGACAAAGGCGGGGGCCACCGGCAGCGACAGGAAAGCCCTACCGCCCCAAGCCAGTTTACAGCCTTCCCACGCCCCGCCCCCACCCGCAGGGCCTCCCCGGGGCCTCCAGGCCTGGCCCGGGGGAGCTCTGGGAGGAAGTTTTCCCCAGGACCCTGCCTCTCTTGCCCCACCGGAGCCTGGCTGTTTGTCCTGGGGAGGAGGCTGAGCTTCTGCAGCCTGGATCCAACCCCAGCTCCGCCCTGGGCCCCATACACACTGCGGGGCCTAGGTGAGTCTCTGAATCTCCAGGCCTCTGCTTCCTGGTCTGTAAAACAGGAGTGGATTTCCGGAGGGGCTTAGTGAGATCATGCAGGAGGCAGCTGGGCACATCGAGAAGGCCACCATGATTGTTGATGGTGGTAGTCTTATTGGTTTTCCATTTCCAGCCATTTTTGAGCCCCTTTCAGTTCCTGAGAGTGCTGCTGTCACCCCAGAGGATTGCACATGCTGTTCCCTCTGCCGGGAACACTTACCATCCCTTGCTTCCTCCCCTGGCTAACTCCTGCAGGTGTCTTCCTAAACATCCCCTCCTCCAGGCAGCCTGCCCAGATAGCTGCTGCCTCGAGCTGATTTAGGACCTTCTATGGGCTCCTCCATGGCCTGTGCATCTCCATCACACAATATCTTGAGTGAACACTGCCTGGGGATCACAGACAGTGACCAGGAGAGATGGGGAGGAGAAACAAAGGAAGTGGGGCTGGGCACCTACTGTGTGCCAGACCTGTGCTAAGCATTTCTCTCTCATCCAGGGTGTTGGGAACCCTCCCAACAACCCTCCAAAGCCAGCTTTATCATTCCATTTAAAACATAAGGAAGCTGAGGCATACGCCTGAGACTCAAGCCTAGGTCTGTTAAATTTCAGAGCCTGGACTGAACACTGCCTGCTGATAGCGGTCACCCCACCAGGCTCAAAGCCCCTTAAGGGCAAAACCAGGGTGGTTTTGTTCTCTGCTGTATACTCATTGCCTGGCACTGGGCCTGGCCTCGCTCACCCATTGCTGATGGGATGGGTTGGTGGGTGAAGTAGCAAGTGGGTGTACAGGGCCCTTTTTTTTTTCTCTTGCTAGACCAGGGAGGGAAGGAGGAAGGAAGGGAGGAAGGAAGGGAGGGAGGAAGGAAGGGAGGGAAGAAGAAAGAAAGGGAGGGAGCAGGGAGGGAGGAAGGAAGGAAGGAGGGAGGGAAGGAAGGGAGGAAGGAAGAAAGACAGGAGGAAGGGAGAGAGGAAGGGAGGGAGGGAGAGAAAGAGGGAAGGAAGGGAGGGAGGGAAGGAAGGGGAGGGGAGGGGGGAGGGGAGGGGGAGGGGAGTGGGGGTGGGTTAGGCGAGAGAAGAAGGGGCCGGGCATGGTGGCTCATGCCTGTAATCCCAGCACTTTGGGAGGCCGAGGTGGGCGGATCACGAGGTCAGGAGATCCAGACCATCCTGGCTAACAGTCTCTACTAAAAATACAAAAAATTAGCTGGGCGTGGTGGCGGGCACCTGTAGTCCCAGCTACTCGGGAGGCTGAGGCAGGAGGATGGCGTGAACTCGGGAGGCAGAGCTTGCAGTGAGCCGAGATCGCACCACTGCACCCCAGCCTGGGCAACAGAGCGAGACTCCGACTCAAAAAAAAAAAGAAATAGGGGTCTCTGAAGCCAGAGCTGGCCCCCTAATCCCACGTCATCTAGGAGTGGAGGCTGGGGCTGCAAGAACAGGATAAGGCCTTAGAGGTTCAAAAAAATAAGAAATGCAGTAGCCTCTCCCCTCCCCCACCCCACCCTGGCCCAGCTCTCCCAGAAGAATGAGCACCATTCTGACAGCCAGGGCCTCCAAACCAGATCTGCACAGTTTGGTGTCCAGATATCGCTAATGACCCACTCATCTCATTTCCATGTTTGTCCCTGGAGCACCTACTGTGAACCAGGCAGGATAGAAAGCACACAGAAAGGGGAAACTGAGTCCAGTTCTCCCAAGAGGTCACAACCTGGATCCACAGCACGAGAAAGTGTTCTTGAGATGATCTGGCCAGACCAGAGAAGGCCAGATATTTGCCCAACATTGCACAGCAAGGTCCAGAAAAGTGAGAATTGGGACCCAGGGTTCTAGTGCTCCTGGCCCAGTGCTCCCCTCTCTATAGAACATGTCCAGGGGGTAGTAGAAGGCCAGGTGACAGTGACCAGGAGAGATGAGGAGAAGGAGAAAGAAAGGAAGTGGGGCTGAGCACCTACTGTGTGCCAGACCTGTGCTAAGCATTTCTCTCTCATCCAGGGTGTTGGGAACCCTCTCAACCACCCTCCAAAGCCAGCTTTATCATTCCATTTAAAACATAAGGACGCTGAGGCATGCGCCTGAGACTCAAGCCTAGGTCCGTTAAATTCCAGAGCCGGGTCTTCTGACAAGCAGAGGTTGTCCTATGGATTTGTTCATATAGGCCCAGACCCAAGACTGCTAGGCTCTAGTTCATGGGAGGTGCAAAATTAATGTCAAAGGAAACAGTTTCTGGCCGGACACAGTGGCTTGCGCCTATAATCTCCGTGCTTTCAGAGGCCAAGGTGGGAGAATCGCTTGAGCCCAGGAGTTTGAGACCAGTCTGGGCCACATGGCGAAACCTCATCTCTACAAAAAAATTTTTTTTAATTAGACAGGCATGGTGGCACACGCCTATAGTCTCAGCTATTCGGGAGGCTGAGGCAGGAGGATCGCTTGAGCCCAGCAGCTGGAGGCTCATGAGCTAGGATCGCACCACTGCACACTCCAGTCTCGCTCTGTCACTCCAGCTAGGTGAGAGAGCGAGACCCCCACTCCCAAAAAAATAAATAAATAAAGGAAGAGAAGGGAGGAAGGAAAGATTCCTTCCCTGAAGCTGTTCTCAATGTCAAGGTGGGTGAAAATATCTTCAAACACCCAAACAATTCTAGTGTCACCTAGATGCAGGAAGCCTGAGAGTCCTCCTAGGATTCAGTGTCCATTCTTGAGTGTGAGAGGCTGCACCTGGGCCACCACACCCAGCCTAGGCACCCAGGTCCCTCTGTCCCTTCAGCACCCAGGGACGGTCCCCAGCCTGGCTCCAGCTTAGAGGGGTGGCTCCAGGGAGGCTGGTGTCCTTTCAGCTGGACATAAACGCTGTGTCTAAAAACAAACGACTTCTAGGGCAGAGGGCAGGGAAGTGGTTCCAGCAGGGTGTTTGGGCAGCACGCCGGCCATTCAATCAGACCCACGGGGCTGTGAGGGGAGCGGCAGAGAATCAATCATGGGCCGTGTGTGTTTGCAAAAGGACGTGTGTGGCAGTGACAGCAGCGGGAGCCCCGGGGGAGGCCCCCCGGGGACACGTGTCCACCACCTGGGCTCCCGTGCCCGCTGAGCTCTGGGAGGCAGTGGCTGCTAAAATACAGATTCCTAGGCCCCAGACCATCATCCTGAAGCCAAATTGCCAGAGTCAGGCCCAGGACTCTAGAGTTTCTTTGAGGGTCTCCCAGACACTTCTGGTGAGCAGCCAGGCTTGGAAACTCCTGTGCAGCCCACCCAGCCCCAGGTAAGGTCCTGAGGGTATAATTCGAGGAGTGGGGAGTGGGGGGCCAAGTCAGGATCCATCGTGGGAGGAGCTGCAGCTTTGCAGTCAGACCTGGCTCTGTCTGTGTTTCCATAACATTCTGTACCGCCCAGCTGCAAACTCCAGCCACCAGGTTCTAGTCTCATTCTCTCTCCACCCCTTCCTCCCTCTCCCCACTCCTTCTTTCTCTCTCTATTGCTTTCTCTCTTTCTCCATCTCTCTCTCTCCCTTTTCCCTTCTCTTTTCCTCTTCCTCCCTTTCCCTCTATCTCTTTATCTCTCCCCCTTTCTCTCTCACTCCCTTTCCCTCTTCCTCACTCTCCCCTTCTGTTTCTTTCTGTCTCCCCCCGCCATTTCTCTCTCTCTCCTTTCCCTTTCTCCCTTTCTCTCTTTCTCTTTCCCTTTCTCTCTCTTCCCCCTTTCTCTCTTCCTCTCTCTTTCTCTGTCTCCCTTTCTCCTTCCCTCTTTCTCTTTCTCTCCCCACCCTTCTCTCTTCCTCTCTCTCTTTCTCTGACTCCTTTTCTTTCTCTCTCTTCCTTTCTCCTCTCCCATTCTGTCTCCCTCTGTCTCTCTTTGCCCCAAACACAGCATCTGGCACCTAGTAGGCACTCAATAAATATTTGCCAAGTGGACGGCCCTCTGCTTTCTCTCCTGCCCCTGGGTGTCTGCCTGTCCCTCGTGTCCCCTCCCTTTCCTTCTTGCTCTCTCTGTGTTTCTAGTGCCTCTGGATTCATCTGCAGTGGCTGGAACCCCGTTCTCCAGTTGTTCACCCCAGCATTCTGAGGCCAGGACTGGGCTGCTTTACATTTCAGAAAGGCATGTTGGGGCTGGGAGAAAGCAGACTTGCCATCTGGAAAAGCTGTCCCAGGCCTGTGCTTTCGGGACCTGAAGCCACAGCGCACTGCGTGCACCTTAGCCTTGCATCGTGCAGCGTGGCTGCGATCTTCATTCCCAGCAACCCTCCTTCCTGGGCCTGGTGATCACCGTCCTCTTCTGTAGCACCAGGGACCTTAGCAGAGCCCCTGTGTCCCGCGTCTGTCCAGTGCCTGCAAAAAGAGAACCATGGGACAAAACCCCCATTGCACAGATGGGGAGGGCAGCCAGAGAAGGGACCATTGACCTGGGTCACCCCGAGAGTTGATGGCAGCCCTTACCACCTGCATCGTGTGGTGTTTTGATCTCCCGGAGGGCAGCTTACAATCCCAGACTCTCCAAGTGACAGAGAGGGCCCATTCTGTCCAAGTCCACATGCCCCCCAATTTACAGATGAGGACCCTGAGGTCTGGAAAGATGAGGTGACTTTTTGGATGGCTCAAAGAGGAGCAATGGAGTGACTGGGGAAGAACAATTGGTTAATCAAGAGGTAAGACCTTTCCACGCTGGTCTCACATCATACATGAATTTAATTTAACTGAGTTAAGATCCACTTAACTAAACACATTTGCCCCTCACACCCCAAAGGGGACATTATATGATGGGGAAATCCCCACACCACTCACTTTGAAGGTGTCTCTTCCAAGCCAAACCCTCCCGTTGGGTCCCACGTGTCTCTGAGTAGGAGCACCTGGTTCCTCCCTCTGCCTGTGAGTGTCCCACTCCACTGTGTGGCCCCTAAACACAAGACTTTACTGTATCTGGAGCTTGACAGGAGAAACAGCGATCCGTCCCAACGCAGGAGGAAAAACTGGCTGTGCTGAAATTATTGAGAAATAGTGGTTGGCTCCAACATGACGGCTTCCCAAGGAATTTTCAAGGCCATTTTGACTCTTAAGCGATTTTGCCCTTAAGGACCTGTCCTCTGCAAAAGATGCAATCCCACTGGCTCTCCAGCAACTAGAAAAGAAACAAGAGACCTGATATTTTTAAATCTTTTTACCAAAGTATAAACTACATGCACAAAAATGCACATATGTTAAGTATACAGCCCAACAAATGGTCACCAAGTGAACACACCCCAGTAGCTAACCCCCTCCTATTTAGTCCCCCCTCAAAGGTAACCACTACCCTAACTTATCTCTCCATAGATTACTCTCACCTATTCTTGTACTTTTTCTATAAAAGGCATCTTGTAGGATGCACTCTGCCTGCTGAGCTTCCTTCACCCGGCTTAGTATTGGTGAGGTTCATCCATGTTGTCTTGTGTAGCAGTAGTTTATTTATTCTCCTTAATGTTTTTCATTCCACGTGTGCCTGTACCACAATTCATTTATCCATTTTACTGTTGATGATTTATCAATTAGTTATTGCTGGGAAACAAAGCCTCCCATAGCTCAGTGGCTTAAAACAGCAACCATTTATTTAGCACGTGCTTCCAGAAGTAGATGTGGACTGGGATCAGCTTGGTGGTTCTTCTGCCCTGGGATGGGCTTGGCTGATCTTGGCTGGGTTTGCTAAGTGTCTGCCTTCCACAGCTAGGGCTGGCTGGTCTCAGATGAAGCCAGCTCTGAAAATTCATCTCTGCTTCACCCATCACTCATCCTCCAGCAGGCTAGCCTGGACTTTTCACACAGCAACTGCAAGTTCCAAGAGAGCAAAAGGCCTCTTAAAACCTAGGCTTGGTACTGGCACATGTTGCTTCCACCACATTCTATTGGCCACAGCAAATCACGTGACCAACGTAGATTCAAGGGAGAAGAAGTAGACTCTGCCTCCTAATGGGATGGGCTGCACAGAACTGTGACTATTTTTGCAATCTGCCAAGATAAGCATTTCCAGTTTTCAGCCAAGAGAAATAATTCTGCTGAGAACATTCTAGTATATGTCTTCCAATGGCCATAAGGACATATTTCTAATGGGGATATTCCTAGGAGTAGAGTTGCTGGGTTAGAGGAAATGCCTTCATTCTTATATGGGCCCCATAGAGGCCTATTTGTTGGAAAGAACAGAAGCTGCCGTGAGCTTTGCTATCTTAAGGAAGTACCCACAAAGGGGCATGCACAGATTTTGAAGCCCCTCTCACCTCCAGACAAGCCCCTTCTTCAGACAAAAACTTCCCTTTTCCCTTCTGTGCCAGATGGAATATTATCCTCCCAAAATTTGTCACCCTGGATCCTCAGAATGTGGCTCTATTTGGAAATAGGGTCTTTGCAGCTGTAATCAAGATGAGGTCAGACTGGTTACAGCAGGTCCTTATGTAGTGATTTGTGACTTTCTAGGAGAAAAAGGAGAGAGATTTGGATACAGTGACACAGACTCTCAAGGAGAAGGCCCTATGACCACAGAGACAGAGACTGGAGTGACGCATCTAGAAGCCAAGGACCACCAAGGATCGCAGAAACCATGAGAAGCTGAAATAGACAGGCAAGGATTCTCCCCTAGAAACTTCAGAGAGAGCATAGCCCTGTGGACATCTTGATTTTGGACTTCGAGCCTCCAGAACCATGAGCGAATAAATTTCTGTTGTCTTACACCCTTCCATGTGTGGTATTTTATTATAGCAACCCTAAGAAACCAATACACCCTCCTACCATCCTGTTGTTCTATCCTCTGGTCCAGAGCAGGAGCAAAGGGCAAGTTTCCCTGTGCCCCTTGTAATTGACCTTTTCATGCCGTTTCGTCCCCAGGGTCACACGCATAAGCACGTTACTGAGAAGATTTATCCCAAAGCACGTACGGGGCTCCGGCCCGTGCAAACACTTGCCTGCTGGTTTACAGTGATTTACTCACAGATTACCCTCTGACGAAGGGGGCCCCAGCCTACGCGCCTCTCTCGTATATCAAAAAGGAAATCCTGAAGACATCCCTATAAACGCAGCGGGGAGGAGAACCTGCCGACGCCGTAAACTTACACGATGTGGTGAAGTCAGATGGGCCATCTGCTTCGCTCCCCAATCCAGATGCGCACAGAGGCTCGCCTGCACAACTCCTCGCACGCTCCAGACACACGCCTTCTCCCGCCTCTTCTCTGCTGCATGGGCAGCAGGGTGGCCCATGAGAGGAGCACATTGGACCAAGGGGCATCAGCTCCCCGTCCTCTGAAGGCATGCAGTGGATCAAAATTATAAAGCAGAGCCATGTTCAAACTTTGGCTATTTCTGGGCTAGTTCAATGCCTTCTCTGAGTTTCAGCCACCTCGTCTGCTGTGGGGGACTCCAGTGAGAAATCATCCCACCTGACCCAATCAATGACTCCCCACTTTCACTCCCTTCTGCTAGGTGGTATTATCAGGATTCCTGGCTGCAGGTGACAGAAACACAACTCACAGTGGCTTAAGAAACAAAAAAGAATAATAAATCTGTTTTCTTGAATACCTGAAAACTCTCGAAGCTACAGTTTCAGGTGTGGCTGCATCCAGAGTCTCCACAATACCAACAGGAAGCTGAGTGTCTCTTTCAACTTAATTTTTCTCTCATTCTACTTTGTTGTCAGGCAGGCTCTCCCGTCAGGGTGGCAAGATGCCCCCTCAAGCTTACACCCTGTTGTTTAGCAAACCCAGCAGAAGAGAAGGTCTCTCCAGTAGGCCCTGGACTGAATGAAGAAATGCTGAGCACTTAGCAGCAAGATACCAGGAGGTCAGAACCAATGCCCAGCTTCATGGACTAGGATATTTGTGAGATATTAGCCATTGCTTTCACCCTAGCTAAACTTTGCATCCTCACAAAAGAAAATTTGCTTCTCTATGAGTCTACCCCTCCAGCATATGAGGTGAGGTTCCCCCTGCTCTCTGTGGGGACTATCTCATCTCCAGACCCTCCCTCTGTCCCCCACCCAGGAGCTGCCCTCTCTGCTGAGATGCCAATACCCATCTTTGACTCATCACAGTCTTCCACGTTGTCTGTTATTTTCTAAATGTTGTACCCTGGATCCTTCAAAACTCATACTTTTAAGGCTCAAAAGCCAGACTCTAGTGACTTAAAATAAGCTTTTGAAATCCAAAAACCACATACTTGACTCTCTTATCCTCCTCTTGTTGTAACATCTATCCCTGAGGCAGAAAATACAGAACACCCTGTGGCTGCCTGAACGGAGGAAGGATGGGGGCGGGGAGACATCGGTCAATGTATCAAAGCATCTCTCTGCCTGAAAGACCTCTCCTGAAAGACATGAGCTATTAGGAGCTCTGGCAAGGGCTTTGTCTTATCCTCCTTGCTATCCCTGATGACTGGGCAAAACAGTAGCTGCCCTGATTCCATGAGACAGAAAGGGGTGACTTATTTAATCCCAGAGCCACGGAGTGGAGGCCCCGGGAGGCAATTTAAGGAAGGACTTTGAGCCAACAGAACCATGCAGAGATGCAAGGGGCTGCTTCACTAGGTGGTGAGCCCCCTGTCACTGGAGGCAGACAAGCAAAGACAGCTTGGCAGAGACACTTGAGTGAGGATTCAAGTAACAGATGGGTAGTCAGTCACCTGGAATCTGACCTCTAAGAGAATTGGGCAGTGTCTCTTTTTGCTACTCATTTGATCTTCTTCAATGCTTAGCACAATGCACAGGTCTCAAAACACTTAAAATACTCTTGGCTAACATCCAAACCCCTTTGTATAATCTCCATTGTCTTGCAAGTGTGATTCCCACCTCCCATTCCAAACCCATTTCCACTCACTCCTCCATTCTCTCCAGCCACCCTGTTCCCTCCTCAGGGCCTTGCTAATGCTGTTCCGCATGCCTGGAATCCTCTTCCTGCAGATCTAGGTACAGCCAGCTTCTTTTCAATCTTCAAATCTCACGGCAGATATTATATTCCCTTTGCAAGGAAAGCTTCCCTGATGACTTGATTTAAAAACTCCTTTCCCACCCCATCCCTCTCTCTGTCATGACCCTGCTTTCTTTTTCTTTGCTGCACTTACCACCACATGAAATGATCCTATTTGTTTATTCCATCTCTCCAACTACAATGGAAGCTCCCCACAGGGTAGGAACTTTTTCCACCCGTTCACTACTATCTCAGAGCTTAGCCCACTGCCTGGCACATAGTAGATGCTCAATAAGTACTTGCTCAATGAGCTGTATTCGCTGGGGTAACATTCGATGCTCTAACAGGTAAGCCCTAAGTTCTCAGTGGCTTAACACAATCATTTTGTTCTCTGCCTCTGAAGGCCACGGAGTGTTTCCCATCAGTGGGCATCCATCCCAGGGCCCAGGCTACTTCCATTTTGTGGCTCTTCCATCCTCTAGGATGTCAGAGTCTCCTCCTTCCAACTGCAGTTGGACAAAGAGAGAAAGTGGAGGATTGTGGGAGTGGGGGGTGGTTTATGGGCCAGGCCTACATGTGGCTTATGTCACGTCTGCCTCCATGGGCCAGAACTCAATCACACAGCCACAGCTAAGAGCAAAGGAGACTGGGAAATGAGGCCTCCTTGTGTGCCAAGAAGAAAGCGATTGTAGTGAAGAATCCGTCTCTGCCCCAGAGGGAATGGACGAATGAACAAATGGAATGATCTCTCACATACCTTCCAACTCAAGATCTCGTAAAATTCCAAGTCCTGCTGGTCCTGGAAATCCGATGCCAATTGCTGCCTGCCCTGTTTCATCTCCACTGTCGGAATAACTGAAGGCAAGGGCTCAGGGCTGGAAATGTGCAGCCCCAGGGACAGACAGAAAGAGCTGCCAGGGCCTGCTGGCCCCAGATAAAAGCAGCCCGAGAGATCTGGGCTTTCCTGAGAGACACCTGTGTGGAACAGTTCTCACTCCTGCAGAGCAAGGGGGAATTGAATCCATTTGCTCAGGATGACTTCATACTGGGTTCTACCTGGGATACAGCAGACTTGGGAAAATTGGGGGCAGCCCTGGGGTCCCTGAAGGGCCTCCAGTGGAATTTAGCTCCATAGGCATCCGGAAGCATGTATTAAGTCCCTTCCTTGTGCTACTTCTTTCTCCAGTGGTGGTTAGTACGTGGGAGTGCTAAGAGCAGTGCCTGGCACACAGTAAGCACTCAATACTCAATAAGTGTTTGCTAACATGAGCTTTTCCACCTTCACAGTGACTCCATGCATTCATTCATCCACCTAACATTTTTGCCCATCCCTGCCCTTCACTAGGTCCTGGAAACGCAGCAATGAACAAGAAAGACAGAGTGGGGAGTGATAAAAGACATCAACCTTGCCCTCACAGAGCTCCTGCTCTGGAGGAAGACCAACATTACCTAGGAATGGCTCTAACAGGAGAAAAACTGCACGTGGTGTGTGCTGCTTTAGAAGAAGGTGCTGGAGCTCTAGGGAGAGCACCTGGGGGCTTGACCTGGCCTGCGTAGGGGAAGGGTCAGAAAGACACTCTTTGTCTTGCCCTTCCTGATCCTTCACACACATACCTTGGATCTAATCTGGGGTGCCCCTCCAGCAGATACGTTCTCCTGGACAAACATTTCTCCCTGGTATGTGCCCAGAACCAGCCTGAAGCTGGGGATCTCAGCCCACGCCAGTACCCATGGCCTGGTCCTTTCCTGCTGTGTGGCCGTAGCTAGGCTGGAATGGGGGAGGACTCAACCCTGGGAGATGCAGGGGCTGCAGGTTGTGGGGTAGAAAGTGAGGGTGGGGCTCCATGCTTCCTGAATCTTGATCCAAGATGAAGATATCCAGTCCAGGGCCCTGGTGAGGAAGTGTCCAGTGGTCTCTGATTTGTGTCTCCCTGAACACACCGAAAGCTAAGTCTTTTCCTTGGTGCTGTCCTGTGCACATCCCATGGGGTTAGCTCAGCTGGTGGGGACCCCAGCTCCTCCCAAGGGGCCCACATCCCTAAACCAGGCTCCCTCGAGCCTCTCTCTACATTTGCTGATGCTCTGCAGAACGTTCTGTGCAATTGTTTGAATATTATCTTGTCCTTGGTTTCATACAAGTGTTACCAAAATGAATGAAGACCCGACACCCGGAAGCGTTTATCCCCAGAGGAAGAAGGACTGGTCTCATAAACCTGGTATGTTGGAGACCAAGAAGGAAACTGCCCAGAACAGGCCAGAAGTGGCAAATCTTTCACCTTAATCAGCTGCTTATTGGATGAAAAGTCACCCCGATAAATGTTCAACTGGGAAGGAAAAGAGCTAACGAAATGGACATGTGCCAAATTCTGGAAATAGACCATCAACGACCGTGCCTAAACAGTTTACTCGGAGACTTGATCATCTAGTTTAGCCCTCCAGGGATTAAATGCTCACCTCTTTATAACACAGGGGACCAATGCTCGATTTCCACACATTTGAATTTCATAGCATGCATGCAAATCTGTAATGCATGAAACTGGGTGAGGCGGAGGAGTTGCAGTGTCCTCGGCACAGCGCCTCCTTGGGGCTTGCACTGGAGCTGCCTGGAGCCCGGGGATCCCACAGGTTAATGAGTGGGACCAGGACCCGGCCACCAGCCCCTGGAAAATCTTCCCCAGGGAGAAGGCCACCAGATCACAAGACCCCAAGTCCACCCCCAGGAACGAAGGTCAGCCTGCCGCTCCCTCCAGTCTGCATCCAGCCCCAGGAGCAGGTGACGGGGGCATCTGACCCTCCAGAAGCCCCCTAGAAATGGGGGGAGGGGACATTAGATGGAGTGCAGCACAGCCCATTGCGTCCTCCTCGGGAGGCCAAGGGCACCCAGGACGTGGAAATTAAAAAGGAGGAGGGGAGGCCCAGCATATTAACCTCCTTAATCTTTCATTTCTGACACAGATTGTGGTCCCTCATTTCAAAGAATTTCAAGCTAATGTCTGGAGGGCAGAAAAATCTATTTCCCAATACGCGCTGCAACTTTTTCGCCAATCGACTGCCCTTCCTGGTACAATCAGCCGAGCATTGATTTTTTTTTCTTTCTCTCTCTTTTTTTAATGCTAAAGCATCATCCAAAAATATATCAATAGGAACAACATCTTTGAAGAAAATACCAGGAGGCCCAGGCTGCTTCTTCATTAACCCCAAAGCTGCCGGCCTGAGATGGGGCCCAGGAAGGGGCTGCTACTGGGAGACCCAACCTGAGGGACACACTTGTGACACTTCCTGGAATGCTGGGCTCTCTCAAGATGTGTGGATGTCAGCATCTTTTGTCCTTATGTTAGAATCCTTTAGAACTGGGGCCAGTGAGGTTATTTCATTGTAAATGAATTAACATTCGATAAGATTTAAAATTCAGTGCTTTGGCCAGGTGCAGTGGCTTATGCCGGTAATCCCAGCACTTTGGGAGGCCAAGGTGGGAGCAGGGCTTGAGCTCAATAGTTCGAGACCAGCCTGGGCAACACATTGAGACCCCATCTCTACAAAAAGAAAAAAAAATTTTTTTTTTTGAGACGGAGTTTTGCTCTTGTTGCCCAGGCTGGAATGCAATGGCGCAATCTTGGCTCACTGAAACCCCTGCCTCCCAGGTTCAGACGATTCTCCTGCCTCAGCCTCCCAGGTAGCTGGGATTACAGGCATGTGCCACCACACCTGGCTAATTTTGTATTTTTAGTAGAGATGAGGTTTCTCCATGTTGGTCAGGCTGATCTCGAACTCCTGACCTCAGGTGATCCACCCGCTTTGGCCTCCCAAAGTGCTGGGATTACAGCCGTGAGCCACCATGCCCAGCCAAATTTTTTTTTTAATTAAAAAGATTTTTAAAAATTAGCCAGGCATGCTGATTTGTGCCTATAGTCTCAGCTCCTCAGGAGGCAGAGGTGGGAGGATCGCCTGAGCCCAGGAGATTGAGGCTGCAGTGAGCCATGATTGTACCACTGCACTCTAGCCTGGATGACAGAGCAAGACCCTGTCTCAAAAATAAAAAGAATAAAAATAATAAAATAGGCCGGGCACAGTGGCTCACGCCTGTAATCTTAGTACTTTGGGAGGCTGAGGCGGGTGGATCACCTGAAGTCAGGAGTTCGAGACCAGCTTGGCCAACATCGTGAAACCCCACCTCTACTAAAAATACAAAATTAGCCGGGCGTGATGGTGCATGCCTGTAATCCCAGCTACTCCAAAGGCTGAAGCAGGAGAATCACTTAGAACCTGGGAGGTGGAGGTTGCAGTGAGCTGAGATTGCGCCGCTGCACTCCAGCCTGGGTGACAGAGTGAGACTCTGTCTCAAAAAATAATACTAATAAATAAAATTCCTCAGTCAAATGAGCCAAGTTTCAAATACTCCATGGCCGTGTGTGGCTCATGGCTCCCTCATTGGACACCGCAGGCCCAGAACAGCTCCACTGTCATAGAAAGTTCTAGAGAATAGGGCTGCCTCAGAACAGGGCTCAGCACACTTTTTCTGTAGAGCCAGTGTTCTGAAAATGCTTCATATCTTGATTTCAGTGATGGTTTCATGGGTGTAACATGTAATATTTGTGCTGTATATAAATTGTGTATATATATATTACTGTATATAAATTATGTCTCCATGAAAAGAAAAAATATCTTTAGAAATCTTAGATTGTCTTAGGGAGATACAATGCCTGGAAAGTTCGAATCCTGCAGGATCCCTGAGCGCATCCTTACCCCATGGGACCCTAATGGGGTTTCAGAGGCCTCCAAAGAGGGAGGATGCTGGGCAGGGGGCTCTCATTCATAAACCCCTTCCCCAGATTGGTATCCTTTATAAGAGTTCTAGGGGCCGAGAAAGAGTTTAGCAACAACAGCAATGGAAAGGTCAACTCTGTCTGTTTCCTGCTTTTAGGAATGTGAAAATTCTTGAGAAAAGTAGGAGGCAGAACCCGTGGGAAGAGGGTACACGACGGGGATGGGGTATGTGGGAATGAATGAGTGTGGCGGTCTCGCAACCCTAATTCCCACTTCAGTCAGGGAGGCTCCCATGGCCTGTATTTTGCACGTAGGGTTTCTGAGCAATAAGAATTCACTCATGGAAAGCTTCGGCTCCGTTTCAAAAGTGTACACACCACTGCCTTTTAGTCTTGGCTTTTAGCCCAAAACAAGCAGTACAGTGGACAGTTAAAGGCATCACGCTGTGGAGCCAGAAGGCCAGGTTCAAATCCCAGCCCCAGCTGTGTGAATTTGGGGAAATCTCTTCATTTCTCTGTGCCTCAGTTTTCTCCTCTGTAAAAATGGGGATAATGATAGGACCCAACTCGTGGGTTGTTATAAGAATAAGAAGCATTAACTCTTAGGAAGCACGCTGAACCAGATTGAGCATCTCCTGTTTGTTTGGGGTCTGTCTAGGATGATACCTTCATTCATTCCTTCAACAAGCTTGCGTGATGGAGACGCCAGGCCTTGGGAAAGAAGGCAGCCAGGCCAAGTCATGACAAACATCCCTCTTTCCCTACCCCAGGTCACACCTGTCTCTCACCTTCCGGCAACCCCACCTTCAAGTCCTTCCTGCTCCACCAGGCAGGTCCCTGGAGCTCGGCCTGACAAAGGCTGTTGGCTTATCAGGACACCCAGGCCACAATCCAGAACTGGCTCTGACCCAGGAGCCACCAGTGTCTGATGTCCCCATGTCAAAAAGAGAGGCCACACTGTCCCAGACCTGGACTGGCTGTCCTCAGTGCCCTGTTGCACAGAGCCCAGACTCCCTCTCCAAGAGGCGGGATCCTACTCCTTGACCCCCTACATCTGGCGGAGATCCCGCTCTGGGGCATACAGGCAACCTGAGGCTCTGTCCCCATAGATGTTCACCTGTTCATCCAACCTGGTGGCTTCTTGCCCCGGGAAGCCCTCACCTTCAGTTAGTCACTCACTTAACGACTATTTTTAGGACAACTACTTTGTGCTAAGCTGAGTCCCCGAGGCTGGAGACATAAGGAACAAGAGAGACACAGTCTGCCCTCATGTAGTTCACATCTAGTTGAAGAAACAAGCAATAAACAGGTAGAGATCATTTCACCTGGAGATCAGTTCAAAGAAGAAAATAACTCAACAGACTGGAAGCAGGTGTGGTCAGGGAAGACTTCCTGGAGGAGGTGACAATTACACAGAAACCTGATAGATAAGAAGGAGCTGGACACAGGAGGATATGGGTGAAGGGCATTTCAGGCAAAGGCAAAGGCAAAGCCATGTGCAAAGGCCAGGAGGTGGGAAAAAATTAGAGAAAGAGGAAAAAGGAGCAGAGTAAGCTAGGAAGCCAGTGGTCAGAGGTGAGAATGGCCAGTGCCCACCAAGCCTCAGCACACCTCTGTCCTGCTGGCTCAGTTGAAACCTTCCCTTGATCTAGAAATATACAGCTACCACTGATCACTGACAGAGCCTGGTGGCTACCGGAGCTGCAGAGGTCTATGCTCAAATCCAGCCTCAACCTCCTCCCAGCTGAGTAACCTCAGGCCAGGGCATGACCCTCCTGGGCCTCAGTTTTCTCCTTGGAGAATGGGGGCCTAGTGGGGTTGCTGCAAGTGTCAGGGAATGCATGTAATGGACTTAACTCAGTGCCTGGCACGCAGTGAACGATAGGCCGACGTTGGCCAAGCCAGAAAATCCGTCTGCCCTGACGTCAGGCAGGGCCTAATTATAGACGCCCAGAGGTCACTTTCAGCCTCTTGTGACTCAGAGGCAGTGCCAGGCAGCAGACAGTGGGAGGGACAAAGAATCAGGCCGGCTCGACCAATGCAGAGCCACAGGGGAGTGCCTCCGTTTCCCTGTCTATTAACCAGAGATATCAGTGGGACCTGCCTCCCAGGGCTATGAGAAGACTCCAAGTTGGGCCTAGTACTTCATAGGAGCTCTGTCAACCTCCACAGTCCACAACTGCACGCACAAATGGAAAAATCGTTGTAATTTAGATAAATTTTCCCTTGAGGCTTTCTTTCTTTTATTCAACAAATATATGCTGAGCCCTTTGGTGCATCTGGCTCTGTGTTAAATACAGTGTGTACAAAAAATGCCCGCGACAGCCACTGAGGGTTTACAGAGCCAATGAAGAGAGTCAGCAAGGTTACAGGGGCATATTTAATGTGCTCAAAGAACAAACTAGAGGTTCCAGAAAGAACCATTCTTCTTTGTTCTTCCACTGGTTTGCTTATTCAGCCTCACAGCAGCCAGGCCTTGTCCCACAGGCCTTGGTGTCTGAAAATTTGCTGGGGCAAGTGGAGAATCCTTTACCCCGTCCCTGCATGTGGGACCCTCTGGTGTGACCCTGGCCTCCAAGAGGACCGTGTTCACCTTGAGATCTGAGTTCAAGGCCTGGGTCTGCTCCTGCCTTGCTGTGAGAACTTAGGCAAGGCATGGAGCCATGCTGTGCCTCAGTTTCCTCACCTGTGCATGACATGAGTGATGGTAATAATGAAAATGCCCTGTTGGGGCTATTTAGGGGTTAGATGTGATCACAGGGACGGAGTGCTCTGTGTCCAGTGCTCCAACGGGAATCATTGCTCTGTGTCCGGCACTCCAACGGGAATCATTGCTCTGTGTCCAGTGCTCCAACGGGAATCATTGTCGTTACCCTCTGTCTAGGGCAGGGCCGTCCCATTTTTTGGCTCCCTGGGCCACATTAAAAGAAAAAAATTGTCTCGAGCCACACATAAAATACACTAACACTAATGATGGCTGATGAGCTAAAAAAAAAAATTTGCAAAAAAAAACTCATAATATTTTAAGAAAGTTTACAAATTTGTGTTGGGCCTCATTCAAAGCCATCCTGGGCTGCACGCGACCTGCAGGCACCAGGTTGGACTAACTTGGTCTAGGGAATGATGCAGCCTCCAGCACCAACATCGCCCCTGGCTCAAGGAAAGGAGACATACCCTGTACACACCCCCAGCTCCAACCCACTCTTGGGTCACTACCCAACTCTTGAGTCATTTCCAGGTCACCCCTTGGAAATGAGGGTGCTGGACTAAGTAGAGGTGACCACCACGGATTCTTGCTTTCCTTCCAGAGTTTTTCTTGGGCAGCAGTTGATCATGCATGGACTACATTTCCCAGGTTCCTTTGCATCTAGGTAGGGCCATGTGACTAACTCTGACCAAAAGACTGTGAGAAAAAGTGATGTGCATCACTTCAGGGCTGAAATGATTAACAAGCAGGTATGTCTCCTCGGTCTCTCTTTCCCCACCTGCCTGCTGAATGGAACAGAGTTCAAAGTAAGTGTTGAAAATGGTAGAGCCACAAGATAGAAGGAGCCTGAGTGCCTGAGTCACCGCATGGAGGCAGATTGCCCAACCAGAAATGCCAGCAGTGGGTTGTAACATTAGTGAGAAATAAACTTATACTGTGTTAAACCACTGAAGTGACAATTGCATCTGTTACAGCAGCTGGCATTGCCTTCCTTAACTATCACATATACATTATACCTTTTTTTCAGTTGTATATGCATTATCTCATTTAACACTCAGCAAATTTCTAACACCAATGTGAGGTACTGATCTTTTGAGCATTTAATTTGGGCCAAGCACTGGGCTAAGTCTTTTGCATACATTTTCTTGTCTTAACCACAATTCTATAAGGTGGGCTTATAGGATTATTATTATAGCCACATTACAGATGAGAAAACTAACACTCAAAAACATTTGGAATCCTGCCCAGGGTCCTCAGCTAATGAGTAGAAGTGGCTGGACCAGAACCCAGAGTTTACTGTTTTTTTTTTTTTTTTTGAGACAGAATCTCACTCTGTCACCCAGGCTGGAGTGCAGTGGTGTGATCTTGGCTCACTGCAACCTCTACCTCCCGAGTTCAAGTGATTCTCCTGCCTCAGCCTCCCGAATAGCTGGGACTATGGGTGTGCGCCACCATGCCTGGCTAATTTTTATATTTTTAGTTGAGATGGGGTTTCACCATGTTGGCCAGGCTGATCTCAAACTCCTGGCCTCAAGTGATCCACCTGCCTTGTCCTCCCAAACAGAGTTCACATTCTTAATGACTGCACCCATGGCCTCCCAGAACCTGATAGGTTAGATATTTCAAGCCTTGATCTATAAGTGATGACAATGAAGCTCAGAGAAGGTCCATAACTTGGCCATGCTCCTGGAACTAGTAAGTGGCAGTGATTGGCTTAGAACCCAGATTTGTCTGGGTCCCATCTAGTGCTCTTGACCTACCCACATTGCTGCCTTGGTTGCCCTTTCCAATGGGCACTAAAGCTCTGACCCTGTTCCCATTCCCCAGTGTTACAGCGCCATGGCTGAAGGCAAATTTGGCATCCATAGAGTCTGTTATAATGCTAAATAAATTTTTCTCTTGGCAGTCTTGACACTTATTAAGCACCTGGGAGGCTATTAGTGCCTTGTGCTGTCCAAAACACTCTTAATTACTGTCTAATCAAGGTATCTTTCACTCTAGGAAAAAAAAAAAAAAAAAACAGAAAATGGGGGGAGATGTTCATGCACACCACTTTTGAATCCTTTGCTGTGCATTTCCCTCCAGCCACCACATCCCCTGGGTGTCATTCAGGAAAGGGACTAAAGAAATGAAGATGGAGGGAAATGGTCTCTAAACAAGGCTTCATTTTCATCCAGCAATCTCACTCCGTGGACTTGATCTGGAGGCAAAATGGAATGAGTGAATGATGAAGATGGACTTACCAGGATGCTGATCACAGTGGTGTTGGTCTCACAGAAAAATTGCAAACATCTGAAATGCCTGCCAACAGGACTCTGGTTAAATGAACTGTGGTGCATCCATGCAAAGGAGTACTATGCAGCCATTAAAAAGAAGAACATGGAACCATTTGGGCTGATGCAGGCCAATCTACAGAAAAAGGGTGGTGCAGAACAGTGAGCCTCCTGTGAACCCATTTGTGTAAAAACATAAGGACATAGTTTTATTACAATTGTCAACATTTATTGAGGGATTAATACACACTATTTTAGGTAGTCAAATTCATTGCCTTATTTAGCCCTTGTAAGACTCCTATGAGGTAGAAAATATTGTCATTCCCAATTTATAGATGAGGAAACTGAGGCTCAGAAAAATTTAGTAATGAGTGCCCAGGGTCACTTCTTTAGTGAGTGGTAAGCCTGGGATTCAAACTCAGGAAGTCTGAAAGCCACCACTAACCATTAAATGACACTGCTTCCCCAACACACAAGGAGAATGATTGACAGGAGAGTTCCATTTCTTTGAAATGGGGGAGATTTGGAGGTGCAAGGCATATAAGAGACTTCTGGGAATTGAGGGGATAGAGTTTTAACAGCCATATGGGGACAGGAGGCAAAGCCTGGAGCCCTCCAAAGGTGGAGTGCTGGAACTGAGACTGCTACCTAAAATCAGGGTCCCCAAAAGGCAATATTCTCAAATAAATAATGAAGTAAGGGAAAAATTGTATGGCAGCAAAGGACAGCAACAAGGAATTTTGTCTGTCTTGGCTTGGGCTCAGGAAAAAAACAAACTCCCCTAAGACTGTATAACTATGGACCTGTGATCATGGGAATTTGGTGTTTAAATTTGAACTACATGCACAGATGGGAACGCCCAAACTGAGAAAAACGTAAAAGCCAGACCAGGGGTGATGATATTATGGCAAGCAAGGCAGAAACAAATGCTCCACCAGACACCCTCAACCATGACATTCAAGATTCCCACAGATAATGCCATAAGATAAGCTTGCAATCCCAAATTATAAAACCCATGAGAAAGCAAACACCATGAAAATGCCTGTAAGGTCACATGAGGAACTGTTAGCAGTGGTTGTCTTTGGAAAGTGGTAATGCAGGAATGAAGTAAAGCAAGTCTGGCTTTTTACTTAATACACATCTAAGGCAGTTTGAAGTTTCTTAGAGTAATGAGATTATAATGCTTTCTTCTTTCAGTTTTAAAATCAGAGAATCACTTATCGGCCTTTTGGCTAAGAACAAGTGTAAAATAAAAAATATTTGAACTGAAAAGAAAGAATGGAAGGAAGGAGGGAGAGAGGAAAGGAGAAAAATTGGCTACAAGCCTCAGCCCCTACCTCCAAGATCACCCTCCTACCTCACCGTACACCAACTACGGGCTGTGGCCAATGAGTCTGGTGATGCTTCACAGGAAAGAGCTGGGGTCCTTCCCATTTGCCAAGCATGCATTCATGTATAGTAATCTGCCACTTTGTCTAAAATCCATGATTGAGGTTGGTGCCACTCAATTTCCTCCGACAGAAGGAAGTTCCAATTTTAATTCCTCTTTGGGCACCAATCTATCGACAATCTCATTGCTTCTACCTCTTCAGTATTCTTCAAGTCTCATTACATTTGTCCATCCCCAGCCCCCTCTTCTGTCCCGAACACATCTCATGCCAGGCTCAGGACATGGTCATCCTGCCTCTCATGCTCACCCCACTAACCCATCCTCCAGGCAGCAGCCAGAGTGAGAGCCCCAAAATACAAATCAGATTACTGCCCTGCTTGGAATGCTGTGACAGGTTCCCTTTCACTCAGAATAAACTCTGAGACTGGCCAGGCATGGTGGCTCACGCCTGTAATCCCAGCACTTTGGGAGGCCAAGGTAGTTGGATCCCCTGAGGTCAGGAGTTCAAGGCAAGCCTGGCCAACGTCGTGAAACCCCATCTCTACTAAAAATACAAAAATTAGCTGGGCATGGTCTCCTTGAACCCAGGAGGCAGAGGTTGCAGTGAGCCAAGATCACACCACTGCACTCTGGCCTGGGTGACAGAGCGAGACTCCATCTCAAAATAGTAAAAACTCTGAGATCCTTCCACAGCCAACAAGTGCTGGGGGATGCAGTCTCACTGATGGGTCTCAGGTCATCACCCTCCACTTCCCTGCCCTCTGTGCCCATGCCCTCACTCTGCTCCATTTACACTGGCCTCTCATCAGGCCTCACATACACCAGCTCAGGCCACCAAGTCTGCACGGAGAAGACACATCCTCTGTCTGGTCACTTTTCTTGCACAGAGAAACTCTTTTTCGTCTTTCACATTTAATAGTGATGTCCTTGCCCTTGGACAGGCTCTCTGCACCCACCTAAAGCAGATGCTGAAGATCTCTGTGGTAGACAGAATAATGGCCTCCCAGAGACATCCATATCCTAATCCTCAGAACCTGTGAATATGTTACTTTACCTGGCAATAGGAACTTTGCAAATGTGATTAAATTAATGACCTTCAGATTGGGGGTGGGAGGGCAGCGGTTATCCTGGATTATCTTGGTGGGCCAATGTCATCACAAGAGTCCTTGTAAGAGGAAGGCAGGAGGATTAGAGTCAGAGAAGGTGATGTAATGACAGAAACAGAGAGACTGGAAGATGCTACAATGCTGATTTTTAACATGGAGGAAAGTGTCACAAGCTAGGAATGTGAGTGGCCTGTAAAAGCTAGAAAAGGCAAGGAAATGGATTTTCCTCCCCCTAGAGCCTCTGGATGGAACACAGCCCTGCTAACACCTCGATTTTAGCACTTCTGACCTCCAGAATTGTAAGATGGTAAATGTATGTTGTTTAAAGACACTAAATCGGTGAAAATTTCTTGCAACAGCCACAGGAAACTAATACAGTACCCGACCTGTGTTCCTCATACCTGACCATCTCTGTATTATCCAGGAAGTCCAAACACCAGCTCCAGGATTGCATTTCTGTTTTCGTGTTTTGTTTTGTTTTTTGTTTTTTGAGACGGAGACTTGCTCTGTCGCCCAGGCTGGAGTGCAGTTGCATGATCTCAGCTCACTGCAACCTCTGCCTCCTGGGTTCAAGTGATTCTCCTGCCTCAGCCTCCTAAGTAGCTGGGATTACAGGCATGTACCACCACACCCGGCTAATTTTTGTATTTTTAGTAGAGATGGGGTTTTGCCGTGTTGGCCAGGCTGGTCTCAAACTCCTGACCTCAGGCGATCCTCCTGCCTCGGCCTCCCAAAGTGCTGGGATTACAGGCGTGAGCCACCGTGCCCGGCCAGGATTGCGTTTCTGGAACTGCAAAAGGCACACTGGAAGTGCTAAGAACTAATGGCTCTGGGAAGATAGTGTATCAATACCTCAGCTCCCTCTCCTCACAGGGCACACACCTCTGAGGAGTATATTCTACATGGTCTCCCTGAAGTCCTACAGGCTTGAACTCCAGCTGCCCATCATGGTAACTGGCTCGACCCACACTCCCTGTATTAGCTGCCTCCCTCTCCCTGTCTCACTGCCCCATCCCCCTTCAAGCACTTCCTGGAATCATTTCTCAAACAAACCACTTGCCTTTGAGTCCTCACCTCTGAGCAACCCAAACCAAGACCCTTCAGAAAGGGTTTTATTCTACACTGCACCCAGCACAGCTGTACCTCTGCATCTCCCCAACGGGTACGGCAGCCCCTCGAGGACAGGATGGTGTCTCCAGGTCCTGGCACAGGGCCTGGCATGCTGAACACACTGGATAAATATTTGTTGAGTTGCTGACTGAATAATTCAGCTCTTTAAAGAAAACAGAACATCTTCTGGAAGATGCACAGGCACTCATACTGCCAAAGGGGCTTCCAAATTAGTGGTGGGAGTGGGTGCTGCTTTAATGGAGCCCAGATTTCTACTGCCATTAGTGGCATCCATTTGCATGCAGAGAAAGGAGGCACCAGAATACTGGTGAAGAGTTTGTTTCCCTAAGTGGATTAAATGTGCCCCCCAGCAACCAGCACCCGCAGGTAGAGATCAGGCTTCTTGATCTCTGCAGATAGTCTTCCTGAAGTGCCCCTAGAAAGAGCCTGACTTGCTGGGTGCGGTGGCTCACACCTGTAATCCCAGCACTTTGAGAGGCGAGGTGGGTGGATCGCCTGAGGTCAGGAGTTCGAGACCAGCCTGGCCAACATGGTGAAACCCTGTCTCTACTAAAAATACAAGAATTAGCTAGGTGTGGTGGTGCACACCTGTAATCCCAGCTACTCGGGAAGCTGAGGCAGGAGAATTGCTTGAACCCAGGAGGCAGAGGTTGCAGTGAGCTGAGATCATGCCATTGCACTCCAGCGTGGGTGACAAGAGCAAGACTCCACCTCAAAAAAATAAAATTAAATTAAAAAAGAAAGAGCCTGACCCTGCCACTGGTTCATCTGACACTCTAAGGGAAGCCTCTTAGTGGAATCAGGTGGTTTTCCACCTTCATGCCTTTGTCTCGGCCATGCGTTCTGCCTGGAATTCCTTTTATCTATCTCTAAAACAATGGTTTATCTTTCAAGATTTGCCCCAAGCAGGATCTCTCTGGGGTCTTTTCTTTTCTCCTTCTAGGACTGCCCAACCTGAGTTCCCCTTTTCATCTCCATTGACACTTCGGGTGTTTTTGGGTGTCTCTGACACTTCAGAGTGTTGCATCTGGAGCAGGAATCCTGTCTGTTTCTCTCCATGCCCCGACGCCTGGTATACAGTAGGTGGCCAATGCTTGCTGACATGTACAGCTTTTTCCTCCTTGGCTCTAAGCCTGAGAAGCTTGGAGGCTCACCCCATGCCCTCACCATACCTGGTCATAGCTGGGATCTCAGAGGCCCAAGGTCAAGTGCCAAGAGGATTCCTAGACTTCTGTAGAAGGAGAAAAGAAGAGATGGGGAGGGAACGCAAAGGAGCTGGGATGGCTGGACAAGGGACAACACCCCCCCACCAACAACCCACTCCTAGATCCTAGGGTGCCAAGTCAGCACTGGGTACCCTCGTCTTATCACCCATCAATACTGCAAAATACCTGGAAAGAACTCTCTCCATCCTGGCCACAAGATCCTACTGGGAAGCAAATTTCTGAATAAAGAGATGGAGACAGGGACCCCAGGTTCTGGATTTGGGGCAGAAGGCCCAAGACTTAGTCCATCATGTAGCTTCAGAGAAGTCCCATGAGCCAAGGTGGAAGAGACCAATAGACAGGTTCCAAATGCCCCTCCCGGCTGTCCCTCCTTGGCAGGAACTGGCCTGTCTCAGCCTTCCCACAGGGCAGCTGTCATGATTCAATGAGATGTGTTCACCTGCAAGAGGTCACTCATCCAATCTGCACCCATCTAATGAGCACTTACTGTGTGCCAGGCACTGTCCTAGGCCTCCAGGGTTGGGCAAAAAACAAAATAGACAGGGACCCTTCATTTGTGAGGAAGAGGAAGACAGGGCATAGCAGAGTGGACAGGAGGGAAACAGGAAGAGGAGAAAGAGGCGGGCAGGGCAGTCCCTCAGAGTCTGGCAGATTGCTGACAAGGTTGGGCTTGATTCTAAAGACAACAGGCTTTTGGAGGCTGAGACAGGTGGATCACCTGAACCCAGGAGAAGTTCAACACCAGCCTGGGCAACAAGGTGAAACCCCGCCTCTACAAAAAATACAAAAATTAGCCAGGTGTGTTGGTGCGTGCCTGTAGTCCCAGCTACTCGAGAGGCTACGGTGAGATAATTACCTGAGCCCAGGGAGGCCGAGGCTGTGGTGTGTTGATTGAGCCACTGCATTCCAGCCTGGGTGATGGAGTGAGACCCTGTCAAGAAAGAAAGGGAAGGGAAGGGAGAGGGAGAGGGAGAGGGAAGGGGAGAGAGAGGGAAGGGAAGGGGAGAGAGAAGGAAGGGAAGGGAAGAGAGAGGGGAAGGGAGGGAGAGAAGAAAAGAAAAGAAGAAAGGAAAGAAGGAAGGAAGGAAGGAAGGAAGAGAGAGAGAAAAAGAAAGAAAGAAAGAAAAAGAAAGAAAGAAAGAAAGATAGAAAGAAAGAAAGAAAGAAAGAAAGAAAGAAAGAAAGAAAGAAAGAAAGAAAGAAAGAAAGAAAGGAAGGAAGGAAGGAAGGAAGGAAAAAAAGAAATGGGAGGGAGGGAAAGAAGGAAGGAAGGAAAGGAAGGAAGGAAAGAGAGGAAGGGAGGGAGGGAGGGAAAGAAAGAGAGAGAGACAGAAAACAGGACACCCAGAGAAAATTTCTAGCACAATAGTAGCCTCCCCCAATTTGTGCCCCTCCAAGGTGCCCAAAACGGGTGTATCCTTGTCTGGCATCCATGGGCATCTGGCCTTTTCCCCCTAATAACCATGCCTCCCCTTTCTACAGGCAGCTGCTTGCAACCTTTGAATGTTCCTGGCTCAGTCTCAAAAACTAGAATCCTTGGCCGCCCTCTGAAAGGGATTAAATCACTCAAAAACAAAGTTAAACAACTTAGAGATAGTAGCAAGAACCACAACAAGGTGTAGCAAAGGATCCGCAGCCATCACACTGAGCCCTTGGTCACTGTCTGGGTGGAAGCACCCTGTTCTGCCCTGTCCTGGTTCTCTTTTATACTCCCAAGGAGAGTTCGTGCATTCTAGTAAATGCATCATCTTTCTTTGGGCCAGTTTGGCGTTGCACTTCCCTTCTTTCCAGATTATTTCATGAGGTGATCCTTGCTATTAACCAAACCTGCTCTGTACATGCCATGCTGGTATGAAGTTCAGTTGGCCACAAGGAGTGGGTGATCAAAATTTACAGGCTGAGGCAGGAGGATCACTTGAAGCTACGACTTCAAGACTGGCCTGAGCAACATTGCAAGACCCTATCTCTATAAAAATAAAAAATAGCCAGGTGTGGTGGTGTGTATCTAATAGTCCTAGCTACTCAGGAGGCTGAGATGGGAGGACCTCTTGAGTTCAGGAGTTTGAGCCTGCAGTGAGCTGTGATTGTGCCACTATACTCCAGCCTGGGTGACAGTAGAAGACTCTGTTTAAAAAAAAAAAAAAAAAGGCCAGGCCAGGCGCAGTAGCTCGCCCCTGTAATCCCAGCACTTTGGGAGGCCGAGGTAGGCAGATCACGAGGTCAGGAGATCGAGACCATCCTGGCTAACATGGTGAAACCCCGTCTCTACTAAAAATACAAAAAATTAGCCGGGCATGGGGGCGGATGCCTGTAGTCCCAGCTACTCGGGAGGCTGAGGCAGGAGAATGGCGTGAACCCGGGAGGTGGAGCTTGCAGTGAGCCGAGATTGCACCACTGCACTCCAGCCTGGGAGACAGCAAGAATCTGTCTCAAAGAAAAAAAAAATTAGCAGCCTCCCAGGGAAGGGTTTCTAGCCATCTGTTGATGTCCACTGACTCGGGAATCTTGGGGATTCCTGTTCTTCCTCCATCTGCACCCCCAGACTCAGGCATGTGAGTTGCTACCAGGCCACCTTCTCACCAAGAGTCAGAAGATCTGCCCACAGAGCTGGGGAAGAGTTGGAGCTGTCATAAATAGTGAAGACTGGTGCACTCATTCTGGAAGCATCTTATTGACAAACGAGTCAATGGTGTAGCTATAGCAGGCAGCCTTTTCCATCAGATTTCTCCTCTCAGCCAAACTCCTTGGCCTGTCCTCCAGGGCTTTTCATGGACTTGTACCCACTGACTTTGTCTGACTCACATCCTTCCATATCCCAACTTCCCCTCTTTATTCCAGCCCCATCAGACCAGCCAGCAGTCCCTTTTCAGCCTCTGCACCTGTGCACATGCTGTTTCCTCTTTCTGTGCTGGGTAAATTCATGCGCAATACCCAGCTAAAATATCCCTTCCTCCAGGAAGCGCCTCTGGTCCTGAGTCTGTCTCTCACCTTAATCTGACATTCTGGGTCCATCTCCCCGACTGGACTAGAAGGTTCTTCAGGGTGTGAACTTTGTGTTTTACACCTTCACATTTGGCCAGTTCCTGGTACCAGACGGTCCTGTGGAGTTACGTAACGTAAGCTTCGGAGACTCAGTTTCGTCAACTGGATAATGGGATTATCATGCCAACCTCCTAGCATTGTGGGGAGGAGGGAATGAGCAAGGCCTGTGAAGCTCCGCACAGAAGCTGCCCCTCATAGCAGTCCCAGGGGTGGGCAGAACAGTGCCAGCCCCGACCTGGGGGGAGTGAGGATGACAACCAGTGTGCATCAGTCCCCTGCTGCAGAGGTGCAGACTATGGGTCATTCACTTCTTGTGGCTCAAAGCCACCTTCGTCTCCTGTCCTCCCCCTGACCCTGCAGAGGGAGCAGTCCCTGCCAGGTTAACACTCACTGACCTCATACCACACCGGTCAAGAGACCAAAAGGAGAACTCATTTCCCAGCCAGGAGCCAGCTGTCCACACAGAAGTCACGAGGCTCAGCCCAGGTGAAAGCTGAGCCTGAGTCACGGAGGCGCCTGCCTCCTGCCCTCGGCCCTAGCAGGACTCAGACAGAACAGGGTGAGGCTCTCCCAGTTCCCAAGGACCTCCTGGTGCCAGGAGCTTCCCAGACGTCATCTCAAATCCCCGCACCAGCCTGGTGAGGGGTGCACCCTTAGTATCCCCACTGTACAGATGGGAAAAATGAGGCTGAGTGTTGAATGACGTGCCCAAGGTCTCACAGCTGCTAAGTGGGGGAGCCAGGATTTGAACCCATGTCCCTAGGACATTCTAGTCTTCTCCATTTCCTGACCTTGGTCAATTTCTGCTGTGGGTATTTTCAGCCTGGGCACACCCTCCCCACCCCAACATCCACACTCTTTATTTAGGCGTGTAGCTGAGTGGGCCTTTGAGAAACAGCAGATAACGATACAGGTTCTCACCCAAAGCTCCGGGATGTTGTCTCCACCGAGGGTCAGAGGGTTGGGAGCCCAGCTCAGCCAGCCCCATAACTCACAGCCCGGACAGAAGGGGCTTGTGCTAGAAGATCGAGCCCCAGCTGATCCCCCTGCTGTGTGGAGAGGGTCAGGAATGGGCCCAGATCCACCCTCCCACCTGGCGACTGCATTTATTGAGTGCCTGCTCTAGTCGCCACCCAACAAGTGGCTTTCTTTCACTTCCATGCATGTGTCCCACATGATCCTGCCTCCCAGTCTTTATGCCCGCAGGCCTTCCCTCATCTACTTAGCAGACATGCATTGAGCCCCTACTGTGTTAGGCACTGGGAAGAGAGCAGGGGACAAGGTGAACACAGTCTCTGCTCTGTTACCACGTGGAGGAAACACAATACACAGCAAAGTGAACCAGTCGCTAAATAAGTCAAGATTGCATGGGGCTGCAGAGGAAACGAACTGAGCACTGTGCATCACGTGGGGGCAGTCAGGAGGGCTCCCTGGAGGAAGAGGCACCTGAGCTGAATGCCTAGAGATGAGAAGGCAAGGGTCTGGAGGAGGAGCATGGACTAGGGTTAATAAAGCAAGAGAAGCATTTGCACAGTTCCTGCCATACAGTAGGGCTCCCTCAATGTCATTCATGCTGTCTGCCTAGTATAACACCATATAACCACACCATCCTTCAGCTACCGAGCACTTTATAATTTATGTAGTGCAGAGCACTTCACAGTTTATATCGCATGTTCCCACTGAAGACCTTCTTAGCTCCTCACATCTGCCCTGAGGTGCAGATGAGGACACTGAGGTTGAGAGGAAAATGTCACCCAAGGTCACACAGCCAGATGTCTCCCTCCTAGCCCAGGCCTCCTGCCTCTCTCTACCTGCCTCTCTACCTGCCTTTCCCTAGAAGGCAGCGGCTAGAGGACCTCTGCCTTCACCCCCTCACAGGCCCACCAGCCTCCTGGGAGGGAGGGCGGCTCTGCACCAGCCCATATATAACCCACTCCATGCACCTTCTCCACATTAATAAATGGGGAACAGTGGGGTCATAAATCCTGGGGCTGCCAATGTCCCCGGGACCAGCTCTTTCTCTGGCCACGCACTAGTACTTTTTACAACCCATTAATTAGTCCCTCTAATAAAGTTTGACAAAATGATAACTTGCCCATGAAAAGTGTTGTAATAAATACATTTTCCCTAACTTTTGACCGTTCGAGCATGGCCGCCTCATAAACCCTCTGCCACGGTTCACTGCCTTATTGTCTCTCTATATTTCTCCATCACCATGGAAGTTCAGGGCCTGGGGCCTCATGGACTCAGGACAGGCCTGGGCCTGATTCTGGGAACCCAGCATCACCAGGGAGACAGCCACGGGTGGTCCCTCCCCTGCTCAAGACCTGCAGCGGCTCCCACTCCCACAGGATGGCAGTTGCCAAGCTCCAGTCTCTCCTTCCTGAGTCCTGTTCTATCCATGTGGCCCCTGAACAAACTGTTTCTGGACATTATGTTTCCTTCAAACTGATTCTCTTAAATAAATTTATTTTGCAAGGAAGCTTTAGAGCATCATTATGGAAAACTGGAAAAGCCGTATAACAATCACTGAAAAGGAAATTAAAACAAACACAATGCAAACAAAAGATGTCATTAGGCCAGGCATGGTGGCTCACGCCTGTAACCCCAGCACTTTGGGAGGCCGAGGCGGGCAGATTGTCTGACCTCAGGAGTTTGAGACCAGCCTGGGCAACACGGCAAAACCCCGTCTCCACAAAAAATACAAAAATTAGCCAGGCTTGGTGTCATATGCCTGTAGTCCCAGCTACTTGAATGGCTGAAACAGGAGGATCACTTGAGCCCGAGAGGTCGAGGCTGCAGTGAGCTGTGTTCGCGTCACTGCACTCCAGCCCTGGGTGACAAAGTGAGAGCCTGTCTCAAAAATAAAAAATAAAAAAGTCACTAAATCTCAGACAACCATTACTGCTTTTTTTCCTGGCAATTTGAGCCCGAGGCCTGCCTTCTCTCTTTTTGTTGTAAAGGAAGGTCCATGGGGCTAGAGAGGCATTAAACACACATCAGCACCAAGCTGAGAGACTTTCTCCCCAGTGTAGACAGAGGGTCTGAAAAAGAATTTCAAGAAGAATGATGTCCCTTGGAGAGTCTCTGGGACTGAATGCCACATCCCTGTGCACCGCCCAAGAGGGTCCCGTGCAGCAGCCGGGATGGCACCCCGGTGGGCCTCGGGGTGGGAATCTGGTTAGAGAAGGGACTGAGGTCCCATCTGTAAGACCCTGGTACCTCGCCAGCCCACTGTGTTCCACATAGTAACATGAGACAGGGTTATTCCCATTGCACTGAAAGTTGAGAGAATGGTTATTGTTCCTAAGAAAGGGTAACAACTCAAGAGCGGTTTGTGGGGAGCAGGCTGGAGAATTATCAGCGTTCACTCCCAGCCATCCAACATCATTTGTCTCTTCCCCCTCCCCATTTAGGGGAATTTATAACCAGCCATTGGCTTGGCATCTGATCGGCACTGTCCTCTGGATCTGCCTGGGATTCCCAGATTTCAGACCCAGGCTCTCTTAGGCTTCTCCACGCTCCTGTACTATCCCAGCAGCAAGACCAGGTCAGCTCCCTAGGATCATCTGCGTTGGAACTCCAGACATTTCTTTCTTTTTTTTTTTTTTTTTTTTAGACAGGGTCTTGCTCTGTTGCCCAGGCTGCAGTGCAGTGGCGCAATCTGAGTTCACTGCAACCTCTGCCTTCCAGGTTCAAGTAATTCTCCTACCTCAGCCTCCTGAGTAGCTGGGATTACAGGCACCTTCCACCATGCCCGGCTAATTTTTGTATTTTTAGTAGAGACGGGGTTTCACCGTGTTGGCCAGGCTGGTCTCTAACACCTGACGTCAAGTGATCCACCCACCTCAGCCTCCCAAAGTGCTGGGATGACAGGCATGAGCCATCACACCTGGCCCGACCTCCCGACATTCCCCACTCATGTCACCTAATGTAATGAGTTTGTTGTAGGATTATCATTCTCCATCTGTGTTCCAGCACCCTGCTCTGCACAGAGGAGGGGCTCAAGCAGTGTGGTCTGAATGAGTGAGTGCGTGAGAACTGGAATGTCTGATGACGTGTCACTCCACTTTACAGATGAGCAAAGCAAGGCCCAAGAGAGAGAAATGACGAGGCCAAGTGCCCAGCATGTCTGGAGCAGAGCTGAAACCCTAGAATGCTACCTTTGAACCCTGCTCAGTGCTCATTCCTCTGCAGCCACAAAAACCCACCAGAGATATTTTTGGCCCAATCACTGCCCACCTGGACAGGTATGGGTTTCCTATTCCTGTGCCAACTTCAAAAATGTGAAA
This sequence comes from Homo sapiens, assembly GCF_000001405.40. Lineage (NCBI taxonomy): Eukaryota > Metazoa > Chordata > Mammalia > Primates > Hominidae > Homo > Homo sapiens. The sequence continues at coordinate 27,701,937 of NC_000022.11, forward strand.
ATCCACAAAACCAACAGCTCACCATGATAGCTGACGCGGGTTGCCCAGTCCCAAGCCCTGGTCCCAGCCCACCAGAGTTGGCCTTGAGCTCTGCGGGCCTTGCCGATGGAGGGCACCCTGCCCAGGCCTGCGTCAAGTGCCCCAGGTGGGTGCTACCTGTTCATCGCTGCCAAGCCTCCCAATACTCCTTCAAGGATGGGCTGTTTGTGCCCATTTGACAAGTAAAGCAACTAAGGTTCCAAGAGCAGAAGGCACAGAGCCTCACCTTAAAACCAGTCGTCCTCACCTCTGAAGGGTGATCACTGGGGCTGGTCCTGTTCTGAGACTGTAGCACATGGGGAGTGATGTGTCTGCCACATAATGCCTAACACCCCACCACTAGTCTCGCTCACATGGAAAAAGCAATGTATTACTGAAAGCCTCTTTTAAAAAGCAGCAAGGGAGTCTAGTACAGTGGAAAGGGCAATGGGTTGGGAATGAAAAGATGTGAATTCTAGTTGCGGTTGTGCTATCAACTCACTTTACAGCCTTGGATGAGTCTATCCAACCCCCTCTCCAGACCAGTTTTCCAGGAGTATGGATGGGGGAGGGGTGGGGGAAGAATGCTTGGCCAGAGCATTGTTTCCCATAGCGTGGGGTGTGTGCCCTGAGAGATTAATTTAGGGGGATACATGGACTCAACATTAACAATTACATAATGAATGCCCGGGTGTGGTGGATCATGCCCGATATCCCAGCACTCTGGGAGGCTGAGGCAGTTGGATTGCTTGAGCCCAGGAGTTCAAGACCAGCCTGGGCAACATAGCGAGACCCTATATCTACAAAAAGTTTAAAAATTAGTCAGTTATGGTGGTGTGTGCCTGTAGTGCCAGCTACTTGGGAGGCTGAGGCAGGAGGACGGCTTGAACCCAGGAGTTTGTGGCTGTAGTGAGCCATGATCACACCACTGCACTCCAGCCTGAGTGACAGAGCAAGACCCTGTCTCAAAAAAAAAAAAAAAAAGAATTTTGTAAATGAAATCATTGTTTCCTCTCTGATCACTTTCCTGATTACTAACAAGAAGAAAACCTCGGTTTGGTGCTGATGTGTCTTCAACGCCTCCCCTTTTGCTACCTCCCTTTTTAACAAAAACCAAGCAGACCTCAGGCCGAGAGCCCTCGGCAGACGGCAGCGCCTGGCTGAACTTTCACAGACCACTCCGCTTTGTTTTCGTTGCACTTTTGTTTAAGGTCACCGTCTTTTCAGGGCAAGTGGAACGTGCTTTTCATTTACTCTAGCAGTATAAAGTGTCCTTTTTAAATACGCTCATTTAAGCTGAAAGAATGAGTTGGTTTCATGAAAAGTACCGAATCAATATGAGCATCGGTAGAAGTGAAATTAGGAAAAATGGCAAAGTGGAAAGTGGATGATGGGCTGGAGGGGCTCTCTTGGGGCAGCTGGGGGCTCCCAGGTTCACAGCCCAATCAACATAAGGAGCAGCCCCTCACTTCACAGTTCGCAAAAGCCTTTTCCAAGCACAGTCTCAGTCAATGCATCCTGTGCCCGGCAACCCTGTTTTCCAGGGCCTCACCCACAGCCACAGCCACGTCTTGTAAGCATCCCAGCTGCCAATCACAGGCTATTGCAGGCACTTTATAGACATCGCTGAACCGCGCCCTACACCTGGCTTGAGTGGAAGGCACAACTCGAACCCCACATGCTAGAAGAGGAAACTGAGGCTCCAAGAGTCACGTGGCAGTTTTTTTCCTGCAGCAGTTGTAACAAATTCGCACAAACTCAGTGGCTGACAACAACAAAAATGCATTCCCTCACAGTTCTAGAAAATGGAAGTCTGAAATCAAGGTATCAGCAGGGCCATGCTCCCTCCAAAGCCTCTCAGCAGGATCCTTCCTCATCTCTTCCAGCTTCCGGTGGCCCCCAGCATTCCTTGGCTGGTGGCTGCATCCCTCCAGTCTCTGCCTCCATCCCCACACGGCCTTCTCTTCTGCGGCCTCCCTCTCCTTCTCCTTCTCCAAGAACACCTGTCATTGGACTTCAGGCCCTCCCTAATCCCGGTTGATACCATCTCAAGATCCTTTATTTATTTACATCTGCAAAGACGTTTTTTCCAAACAGTGACATTCACAGTTTCTGGGGGACATTTTCTGGGAGATTGGGTTGGGGTCACCATTTAACCCACGACAAGCAGTATCAGGATTGATGCTTAGAACAGAGCCTGGTTTCCTTCACTGGACACACAGGCGCACACTGGAGCCCACCTCCCCTGCCCGTACCACCATGGGGGGTGCCCACTCTGCCTCCTCAGACCCAGAAACCCAGGGGACCCGGTGAAACAGCAGGCACCTGGTGTGGCAGGGACCAGGCCTCGCACCATCTCATGCTCCCATTTAATTAGGACAGAAGACTGAACTCTGCTCAATGATACCAGCATCATCCCACTCACCTGCCTGGGGACCCATCTCTTTGAGGAAATTTATAGCCACAATTTAGTAGGTGAATTATGGCCGCTGGCACCTGAGCCATGAGAATTGCCCGGGCACATTAAACCCACCCGCTAACACCCCTTGATGCTGGAACCACCCTCACAGCGCCTGTAAAACAGGGAATGGCAGAGAATGGGGACACTCCTGGGAGCCGCAGGGCCCCCAGGACCACAGCAGCCTCCTGAGCTGGGGGCAGAGAACTGGGTTTTCCTCCAAGCGCTGCCTCACTGGGTGAGCTGTGATGGGTCCTAGGCCCTTTCTGGGTGCCAGTGGCCTGGCAATGCCATGTGTGGTGTGCAGGCCAGCAGCATCCAGGAGATGGTTAGAACTGCAGAAACTCATCAACCCACACTGAATCCAGACCTGCACGTTACCAGGCCCCCGCTCCAGGGGCGTGTGGCCAGAGTGACGCTTGGGAAGCGCTGGCAGGAGCACAGGATGGAGTATGCCTTGGTCTATGGGAGGTGCTGGAACAAAACACCACAGAGTGAGTGGCTTATGAGCCACAGGAATTCACTGCTCACAGTTCTGGAGGCTGGAAATCCAAAATCAAGGCACCTGGGCAGGTTGAGAGTCAGGTGAGGGCCCACTTCCGGGTTCCTAGACTGACTTCTCACTGTGTCCTCACCTGGTGGAACAGGCAAGGAAGCCCTCTGGGGCTGCTTTTATAAGGGCACTAGTTCCATTCACAAGGGATCGACCCTCATGACCTAATCACCTCCCAAAGGACCCACCTCCTAACACCATCACCTTGGGTGTTAAGATTTCAACGTACAAATTCTAGGGTGATACAAACATTCCAACCACAGCAGGGCACAAGCCATGCAAGCCTGGCACACTGTGAATCCAGCCCCCGACATGGACCATGCACGCGCCCACAGTCCCTGCCACCCCTCAGAGACACCACACATGGTGCACACACACCTCACTTCACACATTCATGGAAACGCATGCTCCAAGACACAACACACCCTCATATATGCACCTATGCACAATCTGTGCCCATTCCCAAATGTGTCACTGATGGTAGGATTGCAGGCAGCTGAGAAAGACAGCTTGAGGTTCTCATACACGTTTGTCCATTCAGCATATTTACTAGCCAGTGACTGGTAGCCAGGCATGCACCAGGTGTCTGCGTGTGAAGTTGAAGAAGGAGGAGTCCCTGGCCCTCAGCTCAAGGTCACGATGTGGTCTGACTGATGCAATAACAGGTGGATATGCACAGTAATGGGAGAGGGAAGGGGAGGAGATCGACCAGCCCTTAGGGAGAAGGTGGACCAGAGAGGCTTCCCAGACAAAAAGACCTGGGCTGGATCCCAGCAAATAAGTATGAACGTTCTTGGCAGGCAAAGTAAGTGTATTCATCTGTTTTCACACTGCTGTAAAGAACTTCCTGAGACTGGGTAATTTATAAAGGAAAGAAGTTTAATCGACTCACAGTTCAGCATGCCTGGGGAGGCCTCAGGAAACTTAGAATCATGGCAGAAGGCCAAGGGGAAGCAAGGCACCTTCTTCACAAAGCATCAGGAAGAAGTGTTGAGCGAAGTGGGAAGAGCCCGTTATAAAACCATCAGATCTCGTGAGAACTCACTCACCATCACGAGAACAGCCCAGGGGAAACTGTCGCCACGATTCAACTACCCCCACCTGGTCTCTCCCTTGACATGTGGGTATTATGGGGATTACAATTCGAGATGAGATTTGGGTAGGGACACAGAGCCTAACCATATCAGTAAGAAAGGACATTTTCAGTAGAGAGAACAGAAGCAGCAAAATCCTAGAGGCATAAATAGGTGGCTCAGGGCAGGCGAAGGTACGGAATGCATGCCATGCCTGATACCAAGTTTCCTAAATTGGACTCAAGTCCTCTAGTCCTCTCCACTCCCCTCCTGGCACCCCAATCAGGCCACCCTCACCTCTTCTTCGCACCAGAACAACAGCATTCTTGCAGGGCTCCTTGCTCGACTTAAGTCTTTACTCCTTCCAGACCCACTCACCTCCCTCTACAGCCACAGGGACCTTCCTACCATGCAAATCTGATCATATCGCCCTCTTGATAAGCCCTGCCTTGGCTCCCTGGTGCCCTAAGACTAAAGACTAAAGTTTCCAGGTAGGTCTTTCAGGTTCTGTCCAACTTTCATATCAAGTTGCATCTGCAATGCTGTTTTAATCTCACTCAGCTCCCTCACACTGCCTTACCTTTACATGCGCCATTTCTTCTGCCTGAAGGTCCCTTTCCCAACCCCCTTCTCCACCTGTCAAACTCCTACTCACCCTGCAAAACCCACGCTGCCAAAGGTCTTTTCATCCAAGATGCCTTCCATGAGAGATGCTTGGAAAGGAGAAATAATTAAGCGCTGGGGTCAGGTCTTCAGTGGTTTCTCAGAAATTCGGGCTCTGGGATGAGACAGAAGCCGGAATATGAAGGAGTTTTAAGGTTCAAACACATCCACAAGGCAACCCCAAAACAATTTTCGGAGGCTTTTTTCTCTTTCTTTCTTTTTTAAATTAGATTTTCATATTTCAGAGATTAAGAAGCTCAAAACATTTTCCGTGATAATCTTTCTTAGTGCCTCAGGACAGCCAAACTGGTTTTACTTTTATTCCCTCAGACCTGAGCTTTTTGAGCACTTAGGACAAATGAAGCCCTATTTCACAAAGAAGGAAAACGCACAAAACCCACCCCCTCAAGGCCTGCACTAGATTGAGGCCATGAGGAAATAACAACAACAATAATGATAACAATAGCTGTCAGGGCTCTGGGAAGGGGTATTATAGACAAGGTCTCTGACCACAAAAGAGGCTGCACAAATCCACATAAAACAACCTCAAACCAGCGAGGCTGTAGGCCATGAGCTGAACCGGGGTGTGAGGATATTCCAGAGGCTGTCAGAGGGCCGTGTGGCAATCCAGGAGGGCTTTATGGAGGAGGGAAGTTTCTCCTCCCACAGCCTCAGTGACCTAAATTCCCCCTAACGAAGGGACAGGCCACTGGGGCCTGGCCTGGGTGTGCTGGTCCCCTACAGCTATTTCAGGCACCCCGTGCTCCATCAAGGCAAAGATACACTCCTAAGTGACTTTTCAAATTAGATTGTTTGGAATTCCTAGCCAGTGCAATTAATGGATCCCAAACACTGTTAATTATGTTTTCTGTGGTCAGTGTACACAGAGGCTGATCGATTCTCCCTGAACAGCCTATTACGGAGGCACTGCAGATCAAGCCCGCCTGGAGAGGTAAGGAGACCAAGCCTGGCGCCGGGGTTGGGGGCTTTAGAGACTTTTCACCAAGCAAGGCTCCATGCGAACCCACCTGCCTGCCTTCGGAGTGTGGCACCAGCACACTCAAGCCAGATGGAGTTGCATGTTCACACCCAGAGAGCAGAAGACCCTGAGACCTTTTCACTTGGGAGGGAGCAAATGAGCCTGATTTCTAAGTGTGCTACTGTGTGTGCATGTGAGGTGTCTTTGTGCCAGGTGTGTGCACGTGTATATGTGCAGAAGAGGTGGCTGCAGGTGCTTGTATGTGAGTGTGTGCGGGGGCATGACTGGAAGGATGTATGATTGAAGAGATGAGTGCGCACCTTTGTGTCTGAAAGCTACATGTTATTGAAACTGTGGGCATGTTTGAGTCCAATCAATCTGCTATAACAAAATACTGTAGACTGGATGGCTTGCAAATAACAGAAACTTACTTCTCAAGGTGCTAGAGGCTGGGAAGTCCAAGACCAAAGCTCTGGTAGATTCCATGTTTGGTGGGGGCTGGCTTCCTGGTTCAGAGATGGCCCCTCCTTCTCAAAGTGTCTTCACATGGTGGCAAGGGTGAAGAAGCTCTCAAGGGCCTTTTATTTTTTATTTTTATTTTTTTTTTTTTTTGCGACAAAGTGTCGCTCTGTTGCCCAGGCTAGAGTGCAGTGGTATGATCTCAGCTCACTGCAACCTCCACCTCCCGGATTCAAGCAACTCTTGTGCCTCAGCCTCCCAGGGAGCTGGGATTACAGGCATGTGCCACCACACTGGCTAATTTTTTGTATTTTTAGTGGACACGGGGTTTCACCCTTTTGGCCTGGTTGGTCTCAAACTCCTGGCCTCAAGTAATCCACCTGTCTCAGCCTCCCAAAGTGCTGGGATTACAGGCATGAGCCACTGCACCTGGGCTAGAGCCTCTTTTTTTATGATTATTGTTTTGAGACAGGGTCTTGCTCTGTCACCCAGGCTGGAGTGTAGCGGTACAATCACGGCTCACTGCAGCCTCCAGCTCCTAGGCTCAAGCAATCCTCCCATGGAATCCCATGTAGCTGGGACTACAAGCATGTGCCACCACATCCAGCTAACTTTTATTTTTTTTTTTAGTAGAGACACAGTCACACTATGTTGCCCAGGCTGGTCTCAAGCTCTTGAGCTCAAGCAATCCTCCCACATTGGCCTCCGGAAGTGTTTTGATTACAGGTATAAGCCACCACACCTGGCCTGGGACCTCTTTTATAACAGCGCTACTATGGTTTGAATGTCTCCTCCAAAGTTCACATTGAAGCTTAGTTGCCATTGTAAGGGTATTGAGAGATGGGGCCTTAAGAGGTGATTAGGTTATGAGGGCTCTGTCCTCATGAATGGATTAATGCCATTATCACAGGAATAGGTCAATTATGGTGGGAATGATAAAAGGATGAGTTCTGTCCAACTCTCTCTTGGTCTCATGTACTCACTTGCTATGTGATGCCTTCTGCCATGTTCTGATGCAGCACAAATGTCCTCAACAGATGCCAGCACCATGCTCTTGGACTTCCTAGCCTCCAGAACCATGAGAAATAAATTTTTCTTTATAAATTACCCAGTTTCCAGTATTCTGTGATAACATGAGAAACGGGACTAAGACAAGCACTGATGCCATACATGACATGAGGGCTCCATACCCATGACCAAATCACCGCCCAATGTCCCCCCCTCCTAATACCAATACCTTGGGGGTTAGGTTTCAACATATGAATTTTGGGGCAACACAAACTTTCAGCCTCTAGCAGGGTAGATGTAGGTGTTAACCAAGTTAAGTGTGGGAAAGTGTGCAAAATTAAAGTGTGCCTGTGATTGTGTGGAGCAGTGACAAAGAGGGTGTGTAGAGCAGTGACAAAGAGGGTGTGTGGATCAGAGCTGCTCTGAAAAAGTGTGTTCATGAGTGAGGGATGGGTATGAGTTAAGTGCAAGTACATACATGTGTCACCAAGGGTATGCACAGTGAACAAACAGTATGTGGCTGAAAATGTGTGTGTGACTAGCAGAGGTGTGACTGCCAGTGAGTGTTTTAGTGAAGGGGTTCCCATGGGAAGAAACGTGGGTGCATTAGTGGCCTGTAGTATTCATAGGCATAGATAGTCTTTGCCCCTCCATGCAGAAGGATCGCTCTGTCTTGACATCCAACATGGCCACGGGACTTGCTCAAGCCAATAAAATGTGAAAATGCCATGTGTCACTTTCAGGTGGAGTTTCAAGAGTCCCTTCCTGGTTCACCGTCTCCTTTGCTCTTCCACAACCACAAGAAGAGAGAGGCTGCATATCAGTGTGCTGGGAGGAAAGATGAGGTGAAAGAAAGCCCTCACCCAGCCACGATGGATAGAGCGTGAGCAGGAAACAAGCCCCTACTGCTGTGTGGTGCTAAGGTTTGGGGCTGCTTGTTACTACAGCCAAATCCAGCCCAGGCTGACTGATACAGGGACTGGGTGTGAATGACGGGAAGTGGGAGTGGGTAGAGCAGGGGGAGTAAGATAGCATAGGTGTGAGTGAAACCTCTACTGCTGAACAGTGCTGTGTTGGGGGATGTTTGCTACTATGGCATAACCCATCCTGCACTGACTGATAGAGGGACTATGTGGACTGGTGAGTAAGGGAATGTAAGAAGATGAATTTGTGAGTGAGACTGTGCATGTGACTATGTTGAGTTGTCTGTGAGGTTGTGAGTGGGGGTGTGAGGGAGGTCTGAAGGAGGTATTAAGAGTGTAAGGGGCACCTTCCCCCGCCTTGCACCTTCTCCGTATCTGGGGCCCCAGGCAGGGGTTGTACAGAGTATCATCCCACTGCCCACACCGGATACCAGTGGCATCTGCACTCCTTCCTCTTTACCATCGAAATTTCTCTCAAATCTCTCAGCTTCTCCTCCCCATCATGCCACCTGCTAACCTGACCTAGTCTCCCTACTGCTGGCCCCTGTCATGTCCATCTGGAGGGCACAGCTGCCCCCTCTAACTGCACCCACACTCCCAGGCCTTTCTCTGCACAGCAACCAGAAGTCTCTTTCTAAACCCAAGTCTGCGTCTGCCTTTCCCTTCTTTAAAACCCTCCATGGCTCCCATGGCCCCATCGCCCTCCTCCCCACAGCTGAGTCCTGACTCACCCTGTCTCTCTCAGGCTGCTGCCACACTGACCTCCATTCAACCTGTCAGAGCCCATGCTTCCTCTCCCCGAAGACCCTTCACACATGCTGTTCCCTCCCAGCCTAGAATGCTTGTCCCTTCTGCTCTTTACCTAGTTCATATCTCAGCTGCCACTTCCTCCAGGAAGCCCTTCCTGGTATACACTCTCATCACTCTATATGTCTCCCTCTTGAAGCACTGTGTGCTTACTCTGTGAGCTCCCTGTTGGGGAATGGGGAGTGGGGACTGGGTAGGGCCAGGACCTGCTCTTGTTCACCACTGTGTCCCTAATACTGGCATTGTAACCGGCACACAGTAGGCACACAATAAATGCTTGCGAATGAGCAAATGAGTGAGTATGCATGTGTGCATGTGTGTTTGTGGGTGTGATGTGTATGTGGGTGTGCCCCTGCGGTGACAGCTGCTAGAACCCAGTCTGGCCCATCCTCTTTCTTCCCTGCCTCTCCCTCCCCCAACAAGAACCTCAGAGGATGGGGCAGCCTCCCCATCTTTTCTGCACATCTCAGGGGCAAGCAGGGGCAACCTAATGGGAGAGAGGGGCTGCAGGACTCAGGCAAGGAAGGGAAGGTCTGGCTGCAACCAGCAAGGCAGGCTTGGAGGGGATGGCACGACCCTAACTAGACCTAGAGAGACAGGGAAGATTGGAACACAGGTCACTGGGGACTGAGACTGGTGGGGGTGGAAAGGGCTGTCCAGGTGGAGGGTAGAGCAATGAGCAAGGGAGGCCAGAAACTGACTTCTTTAAGTTTAAGCTCCATCAATGCAGGGATCACATCTGTCGTATTCACCACTGTAATCTCCAAAGTATAGTACCTGGCACATAATTAGTGCTCAATAAATATGGGGGAGAGAAAAGAAGGACAGTTTATTGCTCCCTAGGGCTTTTGGGGTGTTTTTTAGAGATGGGGTCTCACTATGTTGCCCAGGCTGGTCTCAAACTCTTAGCTTCAAGCAACCCTCCCACTTCAGCCCTCCAAAGTGCTGGGATTACAGGCAGGAGCCACCGTGCCTGGCCTCCCCAGGGCTTTTATAAGTCAGTCCTGGAGTCCTGAGCTCCAATCAAGGTTCTGCCACATATCAGCCTTGTGAGTCTGGGCAGCCCATTTGCCTTTTTGTAACTCTGTGTCCTCATTAGTAACATAAAAGTGAGATTTGCAGGCCCCTGTGAAAGACAATTGTTTCTGCCTGTCCAGCACCCTGATTCTCCCTCAGGGATCATCCGTCATTCTCCCACCTCCCTTGGACTGTGATGTTAGTTGTTTTTCGATTTTTTTTGTTTGTTTGTGTTTGTTTGTTTGTTTGTTTGTTGAGATGGAGTTTTGTTCTGTTGCCAAGGCTGGAGTGCAGTGGCGCAATCTCAGCTCACTGCAACCTCTGCCTAGAGAGTTCAAGTAATTCTCCTGCCTCAGCCTCCCAAATACCTGGGATTACAAGCATGTGCCACCATGCCTGGCTTATTTTTGTATTTTTTAGTAGAGACGAGGTTTCACCATGTTGGCCAGGCTGGTCTGGAACTCGTGACCTCAAGTGATCCTCCTGCCTTGGCCTCTCTCTGTGATGTTTAAGAGAGCCTTATCCCAGTCCCCAGCTCTTGGAAGGGCACATGACCTGGGCTTGGCCAATCAAAATGCTCCATTCCTGATCCTGTGATTGGCTCAGGAACATGCACATGACCCAAGTACAATCAGTGAGAATGAGTCCTGGAACTTGTGCTGAAACTATTAATAAAAAGCTTTTTTAGGTTTTTCTTGTCTTAGTTCTGACAAGAGAATATAGTTCTGGAATTACTCAGGATTCTGTAAAAAGAGCTTGCCTGTGAGAGGAAAATGGGACCAGGTCCTGCCCTGCAGACATTGTTGGAGCACCTAGATCCAGCCATGCCTGAAGCCAGTCCTGAGCTTTGTGTGTGTGTGTGTGTGTGTGTGTGTGTGTGTGTGTGTGTGTGTGTGTGTGTGGCTGGCACGTAAGTAAAGGCTATACAAATGGTAGCTATAATTAGCAGAATAGGATATGGCACACAATAGGTACTTGGTGGTGTTAGTGCCTGCCTTCTTTCATTCCCCTGCCCCTGGAAACATTGTAGCCTTACTGCCATCCCTTTTTCTGTCCATTATAGATGCTTCCTGAAGGATTGTGGGGCACGTTCAGGGCATGGGAAAAATGTGTTAATGGTAGAATGTCTGTCAGAGCATTTTCCTATCAAGCTGTTCTTCTTCCCCACAGAAGATGCTTAAGGAATAAGACAGATGCCAAAAATAATGAGGCCAAGAGCTGTCGTGGTCCTTGCCTAGCAAATTCACAGCTTCAAGCCATTCAGGCCCTGGGGCAGCCATAGAGAGGGAAGGAGTAGAGAGCCCTCGGGGGTCTTCGGGGGCTGGGCACCTCTCTGCATTAGGCTAACAGTGGGGCCTGGGGTTTCAGAGCTGAGGGCAAGTTCCCATCAGCAAGGCTGTGAGAGCATTTAGTGAATGCCTACTGGATGCTAGGCCTGTGCACTAGTGAATAATAATAAATGAGGAAGCTAGATCAGAGGGAGAAGACCTACACTTAGTAGGTGGTTTTTAACTGCTTATTGGTTGAATGAGTGGACCTTCAGAGATCCGATCCATGGATAGCCTTCACGCCCCAAATGGCCAGGTCAGTATGGGCAGGGGAGGCACTAACCTGGCTGAACATGGGGAGGGAGCAGAGAAGGCTCATGAACTGAGTTGAGCCTTAAAGAATGAGGTCTTAGCAACGAGAAATCCTGTGTGAAGGGGTGGAGAGAAATTCCTGGGAGGAGCAAAGGAGCAACATGCCTCCAGAATACACAGGGAAGAGGGGAGGCTCCAAGCGCAGCAGGGACCTTACAGATCATGCTAAAGAGCTCAGGCTTTGGAGTGGAGCATGGGGGAGCTATGGGAGGGCTTTGAGCAAGGGAGTGGCCTGATTTAGATTTGGGCTTAAGAAAAACCTCTCTAGCCACTATCAGATAGCTTAGAAGGAGAAATCCCGGAGGATGTTAGCATCAATCAGGTGAGTGATACTGGGGGCTGAGACTGATGCCAGAGATTTCAGAAGCAAAATCAAAAAGCTTGGCAGCTTTTGGAGTCAGATGGAAGGCAGCGTGGAGAAGGGGGCCCAGGGAAAGAAATAGGAAGCTCAAGTTCAAGGCCTGGCCTTCTGGGGCTGGGGTGCAGTTTCCTCTTCGGAAAATGGGACTTCATAATGTCTGCCCTGCTAAACTCAGAGAGTTGGCATGAAAAGCAAGTGATAGGATGACTGGGAAAATGCCTTGAATTGTATACAGCAGGGTCGGCAAAGGTTCCCTGTAAAGAGCCAGACAGTAACTACTTTAGGCTTTGTGAGCCATAAGTTCTCTGTCCCTCCTACCACTCAACTCTGCACCACAGACCATACATAAACACGTGGGTGTGGCCGTATTCCAATCAAACTTTATTAGCCCGGGGGTTGTGGTTTGCCAACCCGATTTAAGGCGATATGCAAATACCACCACTTTCTTCTGAGCACTCCTGATATCTCTTCTCTCTTGGCCCTGATTTCTTCCTATTTGTTCTGTCTCCAAAGATCACAGCCCAGAGAAAAAGAAAGTACACTTGGCCCTCCATATATGTGGGTTCCACATCCATGGACTCAACAAACCAGAGTGAAAATATTTGGAAAAAATAAAATGGATGGTTGTGCCTGTACTGAACATGACTTTTTTCCTTGTCATTATTCCCTAAACAATACAGTATAACAACTCTTCACATAGCATTTACATTGTATTGGTATTATAACTAGTTTAGAAATGATTTAAAGTATGTGGGAGGATATGCGTAGGTTATATGCAGATAATACTCCCTTTGTATATAAAGGACTTGAGCATCTGTGGATTTTCATACCCATGTGGTATCCTGGCACAAATTCCCCCTGGATGCTGAGGGATGACTCTACTTCTCCCTAGGTACTCATTGTATAAATGAGGAAACTAGATGAGAGTGAGAAGACCTACACTTAGTAGGTGGTTTTTAACTACTTATTGGTTGAATGAATGTACCTTAGGAGATCCAATCCATGAATAGCATTCATGCCCCAAATGGCCAATCTTATATTCGTGGCAGACATCACAAATCAATCCCAGCATGCTTCTCCGTGGAGCATTGATTCGGCTTCTAAATTCTCAAGTCAACGTTCCAAGTAGTCACCTTCTATTGAGATCAGCACATAAGAAGAAATGCAAACTAGTTCAACCCTTCTATTTTGTAGATGAGGAAATGGAGGCAAAATAAGGTGTCATGGGGGGTCTGGGTGGACCAGCTGGTGCCCTCTGGCTGCCTGTTTCATCCAGCCTGTCCAGAAGCTCCAGAGAAGCCCTCGTCCAGCTGGGAAGGCAGGGGGTGCCAGAGAGAAGCACAGCTGGACAGCTGGCATGGGCTCATCCCAGCGCCTCCCTGCCCAGCCACACTGCGATCGGCTCTGGCGGTGTCCCTTCTGTCCCCCACCCGCCTGCTCCCCACAGCTGCTCTTTTGAAAGCCCTGCATGGGAAGCTGTTGATGCGTCTCTCTGTTCCCTTTTCAGACCATTGTCCCCTCGCTGGCGCCAGCCGTGTTCTTCTCTTGGCTGCTTAATTAACAGTATTATTAAAGCCTAGAGGAAAGAGTCACCCAGATCCTCCCTCAAAGCCACTCATGCTTGGGAAGAGGAGCTGCAGGCAGACAGGAAGCAGGGGCTGGTGCCAGGAGATGCCCCCTCCCCGCCTCCAGGGCCCTTCACTTGCCAATGCCCAGTCGAACCACTTTTCCCCACCTTCCTGGGGCAGCCATTGAGGGCCTGGGAGGGAAGAGGCAGGGAGGAGGTGACTTGCAGCAAGCTTGTCTGGAAATACCCAGATCTGGTTGATAAACCCTGCTCTCAGCAATGGGTGCCAGTCTTCGGGGAGAGGAGCTAGTCCCCCAGCCCTGGGATCAGCTCAGAACTCAACAGTCACATCCTCACTACCTCCATGCAGAGAAGAAGCAGAAGCAGTAGCGGGAAAACATGTCCAGTAGCTGTGTGACCTTGGGCCAAACCATCGCTGTCTCTGTGCTCAATTTCTCCTGTGTAAAAAGTGCTTCTAATGCACCTAGTCCGGTGCTAAGCACTTCATGTGCATTATCTTACCTATTCCTTGTTCCAGTAATCTACTGCTGTATTACAGATTACCCCAAAACATGGTGCCTTAAAGCAACAACAATCATAATCTGTAATTTATGCAGGGTGCAGCGGGATAGCTCATCTCAGCTCCACATGGCATCAGCTGAGACAACTTAACTGTGGGGCAGAGAACCCACCTCCAAAATAGCTCACTCACATGATTGGCAAATTGGTTTTAGCTGTTAGCTGGGAGCTCAGCAGGAGCTATCCACTGGGGGCATGGGGGTGGGTCTCCATTCCTCTCCATGGGCTTCTTGGGCTTCCTCACAACATGGCAGCCAGGTTCTGGGAAGGAGTAACTTAGGAGAACCAGGCACAAGTGCATGGCATTGTCATGACCTAACCTCAGAAGTCATAGCATCACCTCCATGCTACTCTGCTGATTGAGGCAATTCAAATGCCCACCCAAGTTCAAGGAGAGGGAACTTCCACTCAACTTCTTGATGAGAAAATGGTGAGATTCTACAAGGGCATAAGGAATGAGAGATGTGGTTATGACCATCTTTGAAAAACACAATCTGCCACATTCTTCAAAACAACTGGAAGGTCAGTGCAATTATTATTTCCATTTTACAGATTAGGAAACTAAGAATTTAAGTCATTCAGAGAAGTTAAGTAATTTACCCAAAGCCACACAGCTTTGTGGCTGAGCAGGGTTGTGAACATATGCAGCCTGACTTCAAAACATAGGGTTTTTCAAACTTTTTTTTTTTAGCTGCAAAACATATCCTCCTAATAAAATCTTCTGGGAGAGATTTGTGAAAGGAGGTCAAAACAGAGTCAGTGGGGACTTGAACCCTGCCATTGCCTCCAGGATCCTCTCAGGAACTCAAGTTTCCAAAAAAGTTTGAAAATCCCAAGGTACGCTGTTCTCCAAGTCAACAGGCAACAAGGAAAAATCCCCTCCATTGTCTGGCTGGTCTACCTGGTCTAGACTCTGCTCCTGTCATCTTATTTTATGGGCTTCCTGGATTGCTGTCTATGTTAGCCCATTCTCACACTGCTATAAAGAACTATCGGAGACTGCATAATCTATGAAGAAAATAGGTTTAATTGACTCACAGTTCCACAGGCTGTACAGGAAGCATGGCTGGAAAGCCTCAGGAAACTTACGCTCATGGCAGAAGATGAAGGGGAAGCAAGCACATCTTTACCATGGGGAGAAGGAGAGCAAGGGAGCAAAGAGGAAAGTGCTACACACTTTTTAACACCAGATCTCACGAGAACTCCCTCACTATCACGAGAACTCCCTCACTATCACGAGAACTCCCTCACTATCACGAGAACAGCAAGGGGAAAATCCGCCCCCACGTTGCAATCACCGCCCACCAGGTCCCTCCCCTAACACTGGGGATTACAAATCAACATGAGATTTGGGTGAGGACACAGAGCCAAACGGTATCACTGTCCCTCCTCTGAGTTAATCCCAGCAACCCAGGTGGCTTCTCCATACCTGCCACCCTCATCCCAACTCCCAGTTCTTGTTGGAAGTGATGTTTAAAACAAACAGCACTGGCCGGGCACGGTGGCTCACGCCTGTAATCCCAGCACTTTGGGAGGCCAAGGCAGGGAGATCACAAGGTGAGGAGATCAAGACCATCCCGGCCAACGTGGTGAAACCGCATCTCTACTAAAATACAAAAAATTAACAAGCATGGTGGCGTGCGCCTGTAGTCCCAGCTACTTGGAAAGCTGAGGCAGGGGAATCACTTGAACCCGGGAGGCAGATGTTGCAGTGAGCCGAGATCGCGCCACTGCACTCCAGCCTGGCGACAGAGCAAGACTCCATCTCAAAAAAGCAAACAAACAAACAACAACAACAACAGCACTCTGCCAGGTAAAGGAAGTTGGAGGAAGGGTGGTCTAAACAGAGGGACTACCACATGCCAAACCCTGGAGTACAGGGCAGCCAGGGCAGAGAGTGGGCAGGGAGTCCCATGAGCAGGGAGCGGCATGAGATGAGGCTGGCAGGAAGGCAGGATTAGAGAACGCAGGGTGGAGAACTTTGTTTTGAAGGCAATGGGAGTGGAACCATGGAAGGGTTTTGAGCAGGGGAGAGCGCTATTGGATCTGTTCTTTTGAAGGAGCACTCTGGCCAAGGTGTGGACAATAGATTGTGGGAAGGAGGCTGGACTGCCAGGGTTCCACCATCCTAAGGCTGGTGGCAGGGGGCAGGCAGCACCATCAGCTCTTGGTGCTCAGTGGAGGTGAAGAGAGGGCACCTGGGACTCAGGTTAGGAGACTGAGTGAATGGTCAGTTCTGGCTGGACTTACTGTCTCTGTCCCTAGGAAACTCCCAGCAAGACAGCTCAGAGTGACGGGGAGCAGAGAGGAAGAGCGGAGTGACTCATCAAAGCCCCACCCAGGCTGCATGCCTGGCTGCTCCAACATCAGCCCGAGGCTTCCACCCAGCTCTGTCTGCCTGAACGTCACTTCCCAGGACGCCTGACGTATTCCTTGCGTGGTGACTTTGACATGAACACTACAAAAAGAGGGGTTTAAAAATAGCCACCTTGTCACGAAGAATAGGGAGGAGAGATACCCCCTCCCCACGCAAAGGAATGAGATGGAGAGTCACCCAAGACTTCTTGGAGCTGTGCCCATCAACGCCACTCCCTCCTCCACACTTTGCACCTGATCAGGACCACTTCATGGAGATTTACTGAGGCCCCATGCTCAGGAGTCTTTCTGCTGCTTTAAACAAGTCATCTCTGTGCATCAGTGTTGTCTGCCTCCTTCATTCTCTCTCTTCCCAGGACTCAGCAAAGCTGAGAAAAACAGCTCACAGGGCTACCTGGTGACCCAGGAGACCCTGCCAGGGCATTGCTTTGAGCCTGGCTCTGTACACATGTGCACCTGGCTTCAAATTTTCTCCCTCTCCCTCCCTTGCTGGGTGATCTTGAGCAAGTGATTTGACCTCTCTGGGCCTCAACTCCCATATCTGTAAAATGGAGCCCAAAACACAGGAAGAACAGAGAGGCATGGGAGGCATGGGGGTGGTACCTGGAAAGCTGGAGCTGGAATCTCCCACGTCCACTAGACAGGTCCAGCGAGTACCTACTTTCCATCCAGACACTCTGCAGAGCACACACCCCTTGGGGACAGCTTGAGTGCCTTCAAGCAGTTTGATTAATGTTCCATTTAGTGCAATAAACAATACAATTACTCAACTCCTGCAAACTCTACTCTGAGTGCAGTGCGCAGGCTAGGATGGGGCTTTGGAGTCATCCTTGCTATTAATTACAGGTACTTAAGCACAGCTGTAGAAAACCAATGTCACACCTTCTCTGTGGCTGAAAGGGTGGATGCAGGGAGTGGACAAGAAGGTGTCTCAGGGTCCACCATCGTGGCATCCAACAAAGGAGACACAGAAATGGCTTAAGGAAGACATTTCCTCCCTCCTTTCTCTCCCACTGTCCCTATCTGTTCTCTCTGTCACGATAAATCTGCAGGACAAAATAATGACATGTCCTCAGTGGTGCCCATGCTAAGCATTTATTTATTGCTTGCACATCAAGGATGCTTGGCCAGGTGGCTCTGCCAGTCATGGCTGCATTTGCTGTCATGTCCGGGGCTTGGCTGGCTGTCGGTTGGTCTAGGCTGGCTTCAGCTGGAACAACTTGAGTAACTCGGTTCTGTCCCCCACATGCCTCTTACCCTCCCGCACGCTAGCCCAGGCATGTCCTTCTCTTGGCAAGGGCAGAAGGCAAGAGCAAACGAGCTCAGTCACAACAGGACTTCTGAGTCCTGCTGCTAACATCCCATTGGCCAAAGCAAGTCACATGGCTGAGTCCAAAGTCAGAAGAGGAGGACACTACAGGGTCACATGGCAAAGGGTGTGAACACAGGGAGGGGTGGGAAATGGGACCGTTATTGTAATCAGCCTACCAAGCTGCCTAACCTCTTCCTGGTCCAAAAACAGAGCTGAGAAAGGGAGAATAGGCACCAGAGAAAAGCCTTTTTATAGCGAGATAGAATGTTTTGTGTGTGGTTTTTGTTTTGTTTGGTGTTTGAGACAGAGTCTTGTTCTACCACCCAGGCTGTCACCCAGTACTATGATGTAATCACAGCTCACTGCAGCCTCAACCTCCTAGGATCAAGCCATCTCAGCATCCCAAGTAGCTGGGACCACAGATGTGCACCACCATACCCAGCTAATCTTTTTTCCTATATTTTTAGTAGAGGCAGGGGTCTCCCTATGTTTCCCAGGTTGGTCTCGAACTGCTAGCCTCAAGTCATCCTCCTACCTCAGCCTCCTGAGTAGCTGGGACCACAGCTGCATGCCACCATGCCCGGCTAATTTTTTTTAAAAAATGTTTTAGTCCGGGCACGGTGACTTACACCTGTAATCCCAGCACTTTGGAAGGCTGAGGCAGGTGGATCATGAGGTCAGGAGTTCACAACCAGCCTGGCCAAGATGGTGGAACCTCGTCTCTACTAAAAAAAAAAATACAAAAATTAGGCGGGCATGGTAGTGGGTGCCTGTAATCCCAGCTACTCAGGAGGCTGAGGCAGAGAATTGCTTGAACCCGGAAGATGGAGGTTGCAGTCAGCCAAGATTGCACCACTGCACTCCAGACTGGGCGACAGAGCGATACTCTGTCTCAAAAACAAAAAAAATTTTTTTTTAGTAGAGGTGGGTCTCATTATGTTGCCCAGGCTAGTCTCGGACTCATGGCTTGAAGTGATCCTCATGCCTTGGCCTCCCAAAATCCTGAGATTACAGGTGTTAGCCACCATGCCCAGCCTAGAATATTAACTGACAGGAGTATATTAGGACTGTGCAAAGGACATGAAATCCAGCATCTAAAGGGCAGAACTGAAGGTTGGTTTTGTGTGTTCTGCAGCAGAATGAGGAGCACACATTTTTTTCATCAAGTTTGAAAAGCAAAAATCTAGGCATGTTTGGTTTGCTTCTATTCAACCAATGCTGAGATTTCAATCATGGAATCTCTGGCAATCTAAAACAAATGGCCCATTAGGAAGTTGTTGCCTGGGGAGTCCTTATTGAGCCTCTGGCTTGCCTCGGCGAGGCTCTCATGCAGAACGCTGCCATGGGCCAAACCCATGGAGGAAACTGCACCTCTCCTGAAATGTGAGTCATCCTGAGAGCTGGCACGGGTGACCCCCATTCCAGAGAGGTTAATTACAAGATCTTGGACCCAGAGCTAGAACTCCAGCTACCCCCCAACACCCCCCCCGCCACAATAAGAAAGCCAACACTGACAAAGAGAATCTCCTTGAATTCTCCCCACTTTGGGAAGTAGGTACTATTTTTGTCTACATTTTATAGGTGATGAAACTGAGGCTGAGAAAGGAAGATTGGCAGCTGGCAATAAAGTGGGAGCCAGGATGCAAGCTCAGGAGGTCTGATACCAGAACGTTTGCTGCTGTGTCCCAAGCCTCCCTGCAGTGGAAATGCACAGGAGATGCCAGGCCTAAGCTGGCTGTTGTAAGCATCCAGCCCAGTCCACAGTGGGTCACAGGAGACCCACAGAGAAGCCCACCTGCAGAGATCTAGTGTCCATGGACTGAGGGCCCAATCAACCTGCTTATCTGCTCAGAGCTCATCAATACAGACTCATACTGTCTCGATTTCTATCTCTTCCTAAATGCCTTTTCCCAGCTTGATACATTAAAAATATATTCTCCAGCTTTCCAACCTAAGCCCCTACCCCTTCTCACTTCCCCTTGGCTTGACTCCATGCCCCAAAATTTCTTAGAAACAACCCCGATTGGGCTGGGCATGGTGGCTCACACCTGTAATCCTAGCACTTCTGAGGCCAAGGCGAGTGGATCATGAGGTCAAGAGGTTGAGACCATCCTGGCCAACATGGTGAAACCCCGTCTCTACTAAAAATACAAAAATCAGCCAGGCATGGTGGCGGGCACCTGTAATCCCAGCTACTTGGGAGGCTGAGGCAGGAGAATTGCTTGAACCCAGGAGGCGGAGATTGCAGTGAACTGAGATCGCGCCACTGCACTCCAGCCTGGCGACAGAGGGAGACTCCATCTCAATAAAAAAAAGAAACAACCTCAGTTGGATTCACTCACAAGAACGTCTCTGTATCCATTAGATTTTGCTATGCAACAAACTATATCAAAACTTGCTGGCTTAAAACAAGAAACATATTTAGCTCACAATTCTGCTGATCTGCAGTTGGGCTGAGCTCAGTATGGCTGTTCTTCTGGTCATGACTGGGCTCACTCCTATATCTGCAGTCAGCTACCAGGTGGGTCAAGGCTGGCCTCAACTAGGACAGCTTGGCTCTCATCCTCCATCATGTTACCCCAGGCTTATTTTCATGGCAGATGCAGGTTTTGAGAAGGAATAGAAACTGAAAATTTCCTTTAGGCCCTACTTGGTAGCACAATGCCATTTCTGCCACACTCTACTGGCTAACACAAGTCCAGTGCTATGGACTAAATTGCTTCCCTCCAAAATTCATATATGATGCCCTAACCTCCAATGTGACTATATCTGGAGACAAGGTCTTTAAGAGGTGATTAAGGGTAAACAGAGTCATAAGGGAGGGGCCCTAATCCAATCAGACTGTGGCCTTATAAGAAAATTAACAGAGAGATCTCTCCCTCTCTCTACCACATGAGGACACAGTAAGAAGGTGGCTGTCTGCAAACTAGGAAGAGATCCCTCACCAGCATCCAACCATGCTTGGCACGCTGATCTCAGACTTCCAGGCTCCAAAACTATGAGAAAATAAATTTCTGTTATTTAAGCCACCCAGTCTATGGTACTTTGTTCTGGCAGCCTGGGCTAATTAAGACATCCAGAGTCAAGACATGGGGAATAGATTCCATCTTTTGATGGAAGGAGCTGCAAAGCCACATCATAAAGGGGCATAGATAAGAGAAGGAGTGGGTAAAGAGAAATTGAGGACTTTTCCAATCAGTTTAACACCACAGAGCCTACAAAGTAGAATTTCTGTGCACCAGCTTTGAAATAACACAGTCATTGTGGCTCTGCCATTTTCTAGCCACTTGGTATTTGGTAAGTCACTCAACCTCCCTAAGCCTCTACGTATTCATCTGCCAAATGGGAATAAAAATAGTGTCTACCTCATAGGACCATCATGAGAACTAAAAGAGACAACATGTTTGAAGTGATTGCCACCCTGTAGGTGCTCAATAAATCTTTGCTCTTCATCATCAATACCACCTGCACAGACTAGTAACATGGAGGTTGAAAACTGGACCTGAGTTTAAATTCTAGCTCTGTCATTTGTCAGCTGTGTGACCTGGAGTAAGCCCCTTGACCCTCTGCACCTCTATTCCCGTATCTGCAAAATGGAGAAAATAATAAACACTACCTCCAGGGGCACTGTAGGATTCAGTATAATAATTTCTAAGAGAAGCTCAGCTCAGTAGCTGGCACAGCATTGAGTTCTTGGGAAATTGACATGATTATGATTATTGACATCTGTAAATAGGAATACCCATCTCAAGAGTGGCTCTGAGGAACAACAAGGGTAATGAACCACACAGCACCTTGGAAGCCAGGAAAGGCTTGCATTTATCAATATGGTTTTAGTTGTATGAGACAGAAACACAAATCCAGTTAGTTTAAGCAAAACAGGAGTTGTTCTTAGCTCTTGTTACCAAAAATTCTGTGAGAAGGACAGGTGTGAGACAGGCTCCCAGGATGCCAACCTCATCTAGACATTGCCTTTGACTTCATCTGCCTCTCTTTTTACTGGTCACTTTCTTTTTTCCTTATCTTCACAGAGTGGGGGACACAGCCACAGACAGCTCAGGACTCATCTTCATGGAGGAAAAGGGGCTGCCTTCATCCAGCCCAAGGGCAAAAATCCCAGAGAAGAGCTCCGATTGGCCCACTAAGAGTCACATGACCATCTTTAGCCCAGTCACAGCAGTCAGAGAGTGGGATAGTATGATTGGCAGCCCCCAGCAGAAGCACTTATTGAGAAGAGGAAGAACAGATGCCTGGAAGGAAAGGACGGTTGTGGGATTGGTGGGGGTATATTCTGTGTAGATGAAACAAAAAGGCCTGCTTTTGATGCAGAACAGGTGAGCCCCAAAATTTGGGCTTAGCCTGGGAGGGTTCTTCCCTTTGCCTAGGAAAGAATTCAAGCACAAGCCAGTGGTGGTAAACAGCAGCTTTAATTGAAGTGTCAGTGTGCAGCAGCAGAGGTACTGCTCTTTGCAAAGCAGGGCTACCCCATAGGCAGTGTGCCCAGAGTAGCAGCTCAGAGACAGTCCTACAGTCATATTTATACCCACTTCTCATTACATGCAAATTAAGGAGCAGTTTATGCAGAAATTTCTAGGAAAAGGATGGTAACTTCTGAGTCGTTGGGTTGTTGTCATGGAAAGGGGCATAACTTCTAGGTGTTGCCATGGCAATGGTAAACTGAGATGGCACACTGGTGGGTGAGGGGAGTCTTGTGGAAAGCTGCTTCCATCCTGGCCCTGTTTTAGCTAGTCTTCAATTTGGTCCAGTGTCTGAGCCCCACCTCTGGAGTTGAGTTCTGCCTCCTACTTCAGTTTGGCTCTGTTCCATTCCCTCCAAATCTGCTTTCCCCATTTGACAGTAGAAACCCTTAAGGCTCAGCCAGGTCAAGAGACTCAGGTCACACGAAGTAGGAAAATGTAAAAATAACTTCTAAACTTCACTCTTGACACTATGTGATGCTGTGCCATTTGGAAGGGTCCCTTTTGCCTACGCAGCCCTGCTCTGCACGTCACCCAGCCTGGCCCAATTTCCCTGCATCTTGGTCTCTGTCCATGTGTCCTTGGCACACATATGGAATGAGCTATGGCATTCAGTTGCTCCCTCCCGGACCAGTTGCCACAGCCCGGTACTGCAGGCCCATTCAGCTGAGTCTTGGAGTTGTCAAACATCTCAGAAGCAGTCACCTACATATTTCAGGTCCAGCCAATGCAGCCTGCCTTTGTCCAGCACCATTTGCTGCATATTTCAAGAGAAATTAGATCCACATGACCAAATTCCTCCACACTCATCTCACTCAGGCCAGGGTTTGGCATGAAAGGGCTGTGGGCTGTGGAAAGGTTTCCCTCCCTCCTGCTTGGGACCAGAGCACAGCTACTGATGCGAAGGGGATGACAAGCCCCCAGCCGAAAGTGCAACCAGAGCCTTCAAAGGCTTAGCCCATAGGGTCAGAGCAGGACAAGGGCCTAGGAAGAGAGAAACCTGACATCTCAGCACCCTGGGCACAGGGGAAGGCTAGGGTACAGCCCTTCCCAGCTGCTGGCTGGAAACAGGATGCATGGAGTCCAGAGCTCAGTGCTCAGAAGTCAGGCCAGGCCAACCTGGCACCCCAGCCCCACTCTGCCACTCTGTAGCCAGGTGGCCATAGGCAAGCCTCAGTTTCCTCATGTGAAAAATGGGGATTAAAGTGGTGTCAATCCCACGGGAAAGTGGTCTCATAATGACATTGAGGTGAAGAATGCAAAAGTAAATGTCAGTTGGTACTATTATTATATTGTTACCACCATCATCATCACCTTCATCAGCACCATCACCATCATCATCATTAAAATCATCACCATCACCACCACCATTATCACCACCATCGTCATCACTATTTTCTTCACCATATGGTTACCATCATCATCACTATTACCATTATGCAAAACTTAGTGGTTAGGCCAGGTCTGATGACTTCATCACCACAACCACTGTCCTCCTGCAGATCACCATCATCTTTAGCCTGGAGTACTGATAGAATCCTGTAACTGCCTAGCTGCCTCTAGTGTCACTCCCTCCAAAACCCTTGCTTCTGCTCAAAGCCATTCCATCATCCATAGAGTAAAGCCCAGGCGCTTTCACGTGGCATCAGGGGACTTTCCCCTTGTGCCCCTTTCTGCCTTATCACTCACACCTACAGTCACATCAAGTGGTTCCCCTTTCTACAAAATGTGCCACGCTTCCCTATGTTTCCAGTACTATACACCAGCTGTTCCCGCCACACAGAATATTCTTCCCAGTTGCCTCTCAAGCTCCCAGTGACCTTTCAGGGTTCAGCTCAAATGGCTCCTCGACAAAACTCCACTCTATCCTAGCTGGACAGCATTGCCCGTAGAAGGCTCTGGACTTCTTTGTCAAAAAGGGAGACAAGCATGAGTTGGAGACAGGTGTAAAAGAGGTATCAGCACCAACAGGAGTCTTTCCCTGATGCCATGAGAGGAATTGGGAGGAAATAGCTGTCTCAATGGGGAATTCAAAATTATTTATCTCACGTCCCACTAAGGGGAATGCACCCAGCCCTTCAGGACGCACTGGCATGCATGATGTACCAGGGAGGGGCTCCACACAGAAGTCTACCTCCCCCACGATCCTCTCTGAGCAGAGCCAGCCCCACATTTGTAGGGGACGTGCCTGTTTTATGGCTGAAGTTATATAACTCATCCTTCTCTGAAGCAGACATTCTTAGTTCAAACCCTGACCCCACCCCTTCCCGTCTATTTGAAAGACTTAGTTTCCTTGGCTATACAATAGTTGGTTGTGCTCAAGGACCTCTGGGAACCCTTCCTGTCCTAAGCAGAGAGACAATAGCCTGTGAATCTGGCAGTCCTGTATTCCATCTGACAGATCCGTCCACCCTTAACGTGAGAATAGGAGTTACCCTGCAAGTGTGCTGGAAGTTCCAGCCCTCTGCTTGCTGTGAGCAGGCTCTGAGCCTCGGTGTCCCTAGCAGGGCAGATAATGGGCTTTCCTCTTGCACAGGACTCTTGTGAAGTCTGAATGGCTCTTTCTGAACATGGAGCCAGGCACAGGGGATGCCCCTGTAGCCCTAGTTGTGCATGACTCACGACTCTTATCCATTCCACAACAAGAGCCCAGCCCCAGTGGCCTCTGGCTGGGAGGGGGTTGGAGAGTGAGTTCAGGGAAGCTAGACGCCAGGAAGGGCCACACCCAGTGCCTATTGCTCTCCCCCAACCCCCCACACTCTTTTAAATCTGCAGCCTGCGTGACAGTGCATTTGGCTGGATCCTTAAAAAAATAATTTCAGAGAAAATGCAAATGACACAGGAAAACAAGTTGCAGATGGTGCGTGACTCCCACAAGAGCACCGCCCTGGCTCCTCCCGGGTCCTTCAGCAGCGCCCCTGTTGTCCACCCCCCACCAAGCTGACTTATGGTGTTCCTTAGGGTGGCCCAGGGGAGCCAGCCATGCGGGAAGGGCCCGGCCTCTTTCTTGAAAGGAAGAAAGGAGGGAGGGGGCGGAGCTGTCTACCACCTGCTGGCCGACCCTGCTTCAAGCCATCTCAGCTGCACACCTCCTGGGTGTCAGGCCCTGCCCTGGCGACACCACTAGGATTTGATCTGATCCCTCTGCCCCAGGAAGGAGGCAGATACCTTTAAACTTCAGTGCCTTAGGGAACTATGCTAAGGGAGGCTTGCCTGCTTCATTGATCCACCTCCTACCAGTCTTTCTTTTCTCCTTGTGCTCCAGTCACACTGGCCAACTTGTTGTTTCTTCACACACATCAAACTCTCCCTACCTCTAGGCCTTTGCACTTGGCTTCCTCTGCCTGGAAGGAGTTCTCAAATCCTTCCTCTTCCAAAGACCTTCTCTGATCACCCACTACATAGTAGTCCCACCCCATCATTCTTTATTAAAGCACACAGTTCGTGTCCTTCATAACTGTTTTTACAATTAATAACAATGTACTGGTTTGTGTTTCCTTGTCAATTGGTGGCAACAAGTCAGTGTATTCATCAGTGTTTCCCCAGGGTCTACCACGATGCCTAGAATATGAAGGTGCTCAAATATTTGTAGGAGGGAGAAATGAAATGTTCCTTGTTGGGTGCTTGAAAAAACAAAGAGGCATTTGAGCAGGGTTCTGAAGGATGTTTAGGAGTTCATAAGCAGGGGGGAAGGTAATGGAGGCAGATGAATAAAATGAATGAAATGGAGGCAGATGAATGAAAGAGCAGGGAAACTTGAGCATGCGGGCCTAAACATGAGGTTCAGGGCCCACAGGTGAGCTTCAAATGGCGTGGACTTAAGCCCAGCTCCCCCATTCACAATGATCCTGGGGTTGTAACTTCAGCTCCCTGAGCTCTGTTTCCTCATCTCTAAAACAATAGGGTTGGGTAAGGATTTGTAGAAAAGATACACGGGCTTGGCACACTACTGGACATATAGTCAGTGGGATAAACAAGGCAGCTGCTATTTTCATGCAGGGATTCAGCAGAGGGACTTCTAGGCCCCAGGCTAGGAGAGAGAGAGAAGGGAGGGAGGGAGGGTGGGAGAAAGAAGGAGACAGAGAGAGGAAGAGAGGGAAAGAGAGAAAGAGAGAGAGAGGTGGAGAGAAAGAAAGAAAGAAAGAGAAAAAGGGAGGGAGACAGAGAGAGAGAGAGAAAGAAAGAGAGAGAGAGAAAGAAAGAGAGAAAGAAAGAAGAAAAAGAAAAGAAAAAGAGAAAAGAAAAGAAAGAAAAACAGAAAAAGAGAAAGAAAGAAAAAAGAAAAAGAAGAAAGAAAGGAAGTAAGGAAGGAGAAAGAAAGAGAAAGAGAGAAAGAAAGAAAGAAAGAAAGAAAGAAAGAAAGAAAGAAAGAAAGAAAGAAAGAAAGAAAGAAAGAAAAGGAAAGGAAAGGAAAGGAAAGGAAAGGAAAGGAAAGGAAAGGAAAGGAAAGGAAAGGAAAGAAAAGAAACCTGAGACATCTAGGCCATCAGCAGGGCTGTGAGGAATTCCTTCAGCTTCATGCAGAGAGCCAAGTTCCAAGTCGAAATCGTGGCTGGGGGCCTGGGCCAAAGAACTGGGGGGATAGAATTTGGAGTCACATGACCCTTGAGCAATGCTTTGAGAGACTCTGGCTTAAACCTCCATCTTTGCCTTCACCTAGTCCTCAAGGTTCCAGGCTTTGGTAGTTTCTGCTGAAACTCTTTCAGCTGCCCTTTGCCCAGGCTGCAACCTCTTCCAGAAATGCCCTTTCTCCAGCTGTTGAAACTCCCAGCAAATTTGCAGCCATCTCCATGGCACTTCAGTCAGGCGCTAGCACTAATGCCCAACCCTCTGGCCACTTACAGGACAACCATAGTCCTGACGTTTGTCTCAGGGTCTGAAAGTTTCCAATCAGTGCACTTAGGCTAGGAATAGAGAATCCCATCCACCAAACTAGAAGTTCCTCAAGGAGTGGGATCAGGTTCGCCTTGCCCAGCACGCAGGAGGTGGTGGTCAGCTAATGTTTGTTGAATGAATAAATAAGCAAATGCTTGAACTGTAGAAGGCAGGGGAAATGAGCTTAACCCCACCTCTGCCTTCACCAATACCCCTTCCCCATGACGCAAATCTTATTTCCAATCCAATCAGGAGAAAACTGAGGTTCAGGGAGGTCCTAGTTTGGCCATCTCTGATCTCATCTGAGTCTGTCCCTTTCTGAGTCTGTTTCCCCATCTGTATGGGAAGTAGCACCCCTGGTGCAGGGCCAGCTTCATGAGTGTGTGACGGGGGCAGTCATAAGCCGGCTGTGTCTAAGACTAGGTGGGAGTGGTGACGTCCCCAGAAGGCCCCACTCTCCATGCACTTTTCCTTACCCTGAAGGCAGAAAGAGGCAATGATGTTCTAAGACACACAAAGGACCAATGTTTACTTAAAGGACTCATGTTTACTTCTGCAGGAAAAGAATGAAGGGAAGAGGAAGACAGAGCAACCCACAGTTCCTTCTTTCAGCCTTTCCTCACTCTTCAGTAAGCCAAAAGTAGAGAGTGTTAGTACAGTATGCATGTGGCAAGAAGTGAAATAAAAACAGTTGATTTGGTCAGGCTCAGTGGCTCACACCTGTAATCCCAGCACTTTGGGAGGTCAAGGCAGGAGGATCACTTGAGGCCAGGAGTTTGAGACTGGTCTGGGCAACATAGCAAGACACCCACCTGAACAAAAAATTTAAAAATTTAGCCCAGGTAGGGTAGCGTGTGCCCATAGTCGTAGCTACTCAGGAGGCTGAGGCAGGAGGATCTCTTGAGCCCAGGAGTTTAAGGCGGCAGTGAGCTAGGATAGCACCACTATACTCCAGCTGGGGTGACAGACCAAGGCAATGTCTCAAAATAACAATAACAATAATAATAGTAATAATAATAATAATAACAGTTGAGTTAGTTTTGAGCAGCGTTTCTGCCATTCTGGTAATAATGAAATGCCTGTGTGTGTGCAAGCTATAAATATGAATTTTGTCATTTCAGTGATTCCGCTTACAAGTTAAATGCTCTAATATTTGCGCTTAAAACAGGCATTGTATAATATAAAGATGAGTGGTAAAATTCATGCTAATAACTTATAAAAGTTTAATTTTTCTTTACTTAGAAGGATATTAAATAGCAAATAAAAAATGCCATGACAAGGCAAGAGAGAGAGACTACGGAAGAAAGGAAAAAGTCTTTATATTTTAGTACATTTCTTAATGCCATTTTTCTCTGCTTTTTGAACAAGGGGCCTGGAATTTTTTATTTGTTTTTCTTAGAGAAAAGGTCTCACTTTGTCGCCCAGACTGGAGTGATGTGGCACAATCATAGCTCACTGCAGCCTCCACTCCTGGCCTCAAGCCATCCTCTTGTCTCAACCTCCCAAGTAGCTGGGACTACAGGTGCACGCCGCCACGTGCAGCTAATTTTTCTATTCTATTATTTGTAGGGATGGAGTGTTGCTGTGTTGCCCAGGCTGGTCTTGAACACCTGCCCTTAAGCGATCCTCCTGCCTCAGCCTCTGAAAGTGACCCATGACAAATGTAATCCAAAAAGCCTGTGTTTTTATTTCGTACCAAGGCCTGCAAATGATGTGGCCAACCTGCCTTGAAATGGCAAGAAGCCCAGCCCAACCACATCTGAGCTCACAGCTCACAGCCCTTGATCCCCCACCCCCATGTGACACTGGCCTGGCCACCTCTCCACCTCCCCAGCACAAGAGGTCATCAGGCTCCAGGACGGAACAGTTGAGCGGTCGGGGAATCTCTCAACCTGGGATATGCCGCCTGCCTAGAAGACCTAATTCCAGAGTCTACATCCAGTGGGGTAAGTCAGAGGGTCTGGACAAGGGCCTGGGCCTCTGGGGTTTTTTAAGTGTCCCCATGTCCCCAGCCCCGAGTGATACAGATGCTTTCTGAAGGGGGAAATCCCTGCTCCAAGCTCCAGGGAGAAAAGCCACTTCATTCTGGAGCCTGAGCAGCTCTAGGTCCCTTCCACACCCATCAGAGAATTCAGTCCTTCTGGAAGGCCTTCAGTGGGAGCCATGGAGCCCATTATACAGCTGACAAAACTGAGGCCTCCAGAGCCACCTGGCTTGCCTAAGGCCACGCAAGGAGCAGAAAGTCCAGTGGAATTCCAACCCAGGATCTTCCGATACTCTGGAGTCACACAAAGCATTCTTCTAGCCCAGGGGGAGCCAGGCTCTGGGGATCACAGAACTCAGGCTGTGGGCACCCGCTGCAGGTCCCTTCACGCCCTGGCCTATTCCCTTATCTTCAAGTCGGCCATGTCAGGAGCCCTTCACCATCCCATCCCCATGCCCACCTTTAACTCAACACGGGGAAAAGATTCTAAGAAAACACAAGTGTTCTGGATGGATAGCACTGGTTCAGATCCTGGCTACTGACCCTGGGCAGATGCTCTCCTTCCACACTGGCTTCCTCATGTGTAGCAAGGCTTGATGCTTCCACAAACCCCCAGGCCCACGTAGACACAGGTGTAGACATTGCCCCACACTCCCCATCGTGAGCCCCATGGGACAGGGGCTTTGCTCCGTCTACCAGTGAATCAATCCCCCAAGCCTGAAACAGAATCTGGCACACAGCAGATGCTCAATAAATATTTGCTGAATGAATGAATGAATGAATGAATGATGGCAGTAAAAGTTCACACTCTATTATGTGCAATCCTAAAATCTAAACCAGCTCTCAAAACAGAGAGATCTTCTCAAACTCATATGCCTGAAGGTCTTTATTTATCCCAACCTAATGTGAATATTCCACTGAGTTCTCATATTGGATTTCAGCCTCCTGGGGATGTCACAGAGCACATACTCTACAGCCCTGGCTTGCTCACCTTTCTGGGTTCTCCAAGATTCTGAGTTTTAAGATACAGCTGGCCCCAGGGAGTTCCAGTACACCATGATGATCTCTGTATCTATATCATCAATATCCAACCCCACACTTCATGACCAGAACAGTTAGAGGTAATAACCAGCCACTGAAAACAGTGCACGTTATCTCACTGTCCCCCAGTCATCTCCATCTCACAGATGGGTAAATCGAGGCTCCCAGAGTCAAGATCCTAGAGTTCAAGCCAGGTTTGCATGGCAGAAGCAGGATTTGAACCCAGCCCCTGTGGGCTCCTGCCTTATCAGCTCCCGTCTGTTGCTCTGCCCACCTCTTCCCTCCCCACATTTGTTCTCCAAAGGGCTCAGAGCTCCTGCAGGTCCCTTCCTGGGACAAAGCCATAAGGGGTGGGGGCTGCTTGGGGTGCCCAATGGGGGCTCCAGTAGCATGGTTGGAAAGAATGAGCCCTGTGGGTGAGATTTCCGTGGGGTCAGACTCCTCCAACCTTTCAGGAGGGGCTGAAATGGTGGGGACAAAGGCTGCAGCCACAGCACACACTGAAACTGATTTGAGCAGTCCCCAAGGCTCACCAGCCTCCACCCCACCAGCCTGACCTGGAGAGGCCAGAGAAGCAGGAGTTCCCACCTCGCCATAGGAGGGAGGCTGCCAGGAGCTCCTTTCTGGGCCCAGGATCTCAGCCTTGTGCCACCCAGGAGCAGGGAGCCATGAAAACCAGGAGCCTCTTTCTGTCTCAGCCTCTCCTCCCTGCCTCCCTAGCAAACAGCAGCCAGAATAACAGGAAAAGAGTTGGCCTGGACCTGCAGGAATAGGGGGCTTGGGGTGGGGGTGGGAACAGGGCATTTATCCAGCACTTACTGCATGCGGGACACAGAACAGGGCAGGGAGAGCAAAAAAGACCTGGCCGCTTGGACCCTGAAAGACCCAAGTTAGGTTGTGTTCTGCCCTTGACTGGCTGTGTGGCCTCAGGCCAGTGGCTGTGCCTCTCTGAACCTCATTTTTATCCCCCAGTGGAGGCTTTGGAGCTAGCCCGACCTGGCCCTGTGAGGCACGTGCTCTAGCCGCAGTCTGATTGAATCCTCATTACCCCAAGAGGGGAGCTGCCACTGTCTGCCAGGGTGACCTCTGTCAACACTCTTCACCTCTCTGTGTCTCCGTTTCTTCTTCTGGAAAATAGAATTCCTAATGCAGTCTGGCTCCTAGGCTGTGAATATAACCCATCAGTGAATGTACAATGCTTGGATCAGGTCTCTGCATGTAGCAGGCATCATACATGTGTTTCCCATTATTGTTAATTACTAGTCCCCCCATTTTGCAAAGAGGAAAACTGAGGCACAGAATGGTTAATCCTACCACCAACAGCTGCTGACAAGTACCAAATGTTCCCTCAGAGCAGACCTTGTGCAAGGCCTTTTTACTGCATTTAAGTTAATTTCCACATTATATGCAGAAATCAGCCCCATTTTGCAGGTGAGGAAACTGAGGCTTGGAGAATGGCCACTCAGATCATTAGCAGGATATAGAGCTGATGAGCTGTCTCCTACCCAGACACCCTACCTTGGTATAATAAGATTAACGCCCACTGCCAGACCCAGGCTCCAGTCCCTCCTAGGTCCTCCCTCCCTGTAAAAAAAACAAGGTGACCACAGGGCCTTGCTGGGTGGGGGCAGGGTTATCCCTGTTTGCTCAAATCCCTACAAAGCTGCCAACAGGAGAGACTCCCTTGCCAGGCCACAAGCTTGGAGCTCAGAGTTTCCCAAATGTACATCCAGCCAGCCATTCACCTCCTGGACAAACTTGGCCAAAAGACTGCACATCCCCAAGCTTCAATTTCCCATCTGCAAACAAGGAAGGATTGTGAGGCCTTTGCTTGCATGGCTGCCTGAGCGTTGATTGTGCAGTGAGCGGCTCACCAGCACTTCGTGCATGGTAGGTAATCGACAACCTCTAGCTGCATAGGTTCTGATACCAACTAAGGGGATCAGGAGTGTCCTCCCACCCCCAGCTGCAGTTTACCATTTTCAACATCCCCCTTTTCATCTTAATCTCAGGTAAGTCTTGCCTTGAGAGGTATCTGGGACGGGTGCCAGTTTAAGCCCATCTGTAAGATGAGGAAACTGAAGCCTAGGGTGGGGACCCTCAGTGCGGGCTTACTTGCATCATCTGTCCAAACCCCACCATGTACCCTGCCCTGCCGGGACAGGGCCTTCTGGCAGCTGCAGAGCAACAGGCAGAGGTTTGGATGGGGAGGTGGATGGACCTGGGTTCCATCAGTTTTGTGTGTGACCCCCAAGGCAAATCACTCCCTATCTCCAAGCCTCTGTTTCCTTCCCTGGAAAATGGGGTTGTTCCATGAGAAGTCCCTGGACATGTACTCCATGAGTGGCAGCTCGTGTCAGAGGCAGCACTTGCAATTCCCTTCCCCATCCCAGCAAGCCAGGATCGGTAGTGGAAACCCCAGACGCATTATAACATGGAGCTCCCAGCTCAAGTGAGGGAAGCAGCACGACCATTCCCTTATGGATCTGAAGGTCTCCTTTCCTGCATCCCTGGCCCCAGCACTGTCCCCTCGGGCCCATCCACTTCTGCACACACAGATCCTTGTGTCACCTTACTTGGTAAAATAAAGTGAGATGAGTGGCTGACACCTAATGAGCTTTGTTGAATAAAGACAGAGAACCCGGGAAATAGATGAGGCCCAGGTAATGAGGTAGCAGATGAGGTCAGGACCAAGGCAGACAACTTCAAGGGGACAGTCTGGGGTCCCAGGAGACAGTGATGAGGCAATGATGGAGCTGGCAGTACACTTCAGCTAGGGTTTTCTTTTTTTTTCTTTTTTTTTTTTTTGAGACGGAGTCTTGCTCTGTCACCAGGCTGGAGTGCAATGGCGTGATCTCAGCTCACTGCAACTTCTGCCTCCCGGGTTCAAGCTATTCTCCTACCTCAGCCTCCTGAGTAGCTGGGATTACAGGCATGCGCCACCACACCACGCTAATTTTTTGTATTTTTAGTAGAATCGGGGTTTCTCCATGGTGGTCAGGCTGGTCTCTTTTTTGTTTTTTGTTTTTGAGATAGAGTCTTGCTCTGTCAGCCAGGCTGGAGGGCAGTGGCACAATCTTGGCTCACTGAAACCTCCATCTCCTGGACTCAAGCAACTCTCCTGCCTCATCCTCCAGAGTAGCTGGGATTACAGGCAAGTGCCACCACACCCAGCTAATTTTTGTATTTTTAGTAGAGATGGGGTTTCACCATGTTGGCCAGGCTGGTGTTGAACTCCTGACCTCAGGTAACCCGCCCGCCTCGGCCTCCCAAAGTGCTGGGATTACAGGTGTGAGCCACTGCGCCCAGCTTGTCAGGCTGGTCTTGAACTCCTGACGTCAGGTGATCCACCTGCCTCGGACTCCCAAAGTGCTGGGATTACAGGCGTGAGCCACCGCACCTGGCACAGCTTGGGTTTTCAAATGCACCAGAGTAAGACGTTCAAGGGATGGAGACTGGATTCTGGAAGGCCCTTCCTATCCTGCACCTTTGCAAACTCTGGGCCTAGTGGAATCGTTATCATCAAGGCCACGTTCATGGTGCCCCAATTTGCCAGGGATGCTCCCACCACAGGGGCTTTGTACATGCTGTTCCCACTGTCCTGATATCTGCGTGGCTCACTCCCCAACTTCCTCAGTCTCTTCCCCTGGCCGTCTTCAGGGAAGTATCTCTGAGAAATCCCCCGTCACCCTCTATTGCCTTCCCCGCTGTATTAGTCTTCATAGCAGAATTCACTCAGGATCTGTTGTGCAGTTTTGTGAGCACAACCATGAGCGGCCCCAGGCGTACGCATGAGCCAGAGTCAGCCTAAGCCATCAGCTCTGGTCCCCAGCCCCAAGCCTAAGGTCTCCATTCATTAACCTCAACAACAGCCAAAGATGGGGAGGGCAGAGGGCATGGAGGAAGCAAGGGGAAACCACCAGTGGCCCCTTTCATTCCACCCATATCTAGTGAGGACCTACTAGTTGCCAGGACCTGTGCCACCTCCTGCGGACCCCGACATGAACAAAACAAGGTTCGTGCTACGTGGAGCTGCTCTCCTCTCCAGTTACCCTGGAGCCAGGCCACAGGATAAGACACAGTGCAAGGGAGGAGGCAAGGAGGGGGGTATTCCATTCTGGCCCTTGCTTTGTTGGTGACCTTGAGCGAGACGCGTGATTCTCTGAGCCTCTGTTTCTTCACGTGTAAAATGAAGAAATTGAGCGACATTTCTCGGAAGTCTGGAGCAGGGTGGCATGCAAGGTGCCCAAATGCAGTCTTAAGCAATTCCCAGCCTCCCAGTGACGAAGTCACTCCTTTTCCAAGTCTTTCCAAGACTTCCTCTTGCTACGTGGAGAAGGTCTCAGCTCAGTGCTGCTAGGTCTTCAACACTCTTGTGAACATGTTGATCGTGTAGAGAGAGTAGGTCTCAGGCCAGAGACCTTCAGCAGACAATGGTGACATTGCCGAGTTTTCAAGGTGTTCAGTGTCTTTTTTCTAGATTCCCTCTCTTATCCATTCTCCTGGGTTCTTATCCATTCTCCAATGTAACCCCAGCTTAAAATCTGTACTCGTGGCAAAAGGATGGGACAAACAGATGAGTAGAACAGAGAGTCCAAAAACAGACCCCCACATACACCATCAAATGATTTTCAACAAGGACACCAAAGCAATCCAACTGGGGAATGAAAAATCTCTTCAACGCATGGTGCTGGGACAGCTAGATATGGAAATATTTTCAAAATCACCTTTGCCTCACACCATTTGAAAATCTAAGTCAAAATGTGTCATAGAGTTAAACACAAGAGCTAAACTTAAAAGCATAAAGCTACTAAAGACAGACCTTAGAGAGGGCACAAAAGAAACTTGATAAAACAAACACTGTAAAATTTTAAAACTTTTGCTTTTAGAAAGACACCATGAAGAAAAGCCACAGACTGGGAGAAAATATTTGTAACACAGAGAAGGTGCTTGTATCCAGAATAGATAAAGAAACTTTTACAACTCAATAATAAAAAGGCAAACACAAGGTAATAAAAAAAAATTGGGCAAAAGATTTGAACAGAAAGTTTCACCAAAGAAGACAAACGGATAGATAAAGAAACTTTTACAACTCAATAATAAAAAGGCAAACACAAGGTAATAAAAAAAAATTGGGCAAAAGATTTGAACAGAAAGTTTCACCAAAGAAGACATACGGATAGCAAATAAGCACATGAAAAGATACTCAATATCATTAGAGAAATACAAATTATAACCTCAATGAGATAGCACACACCAGAATGGCTAAAGTTTAAAAGACAGACAAAACCAAATGTTAGCAAAGATGTGAGAAGAAACTAGAACTCTCATACATTGGTGTTGGGAATGCAAATGGTGCAACCACTTTGAAAAACAGCTTGGCATTGTCTGAAGAAGTGAAATGTATACCTCTTATGTAACTCACCCATTTCAGAAAGATGTTTAACTATATGACAAATTTTGATTTCGATTTTCATATGGTGTACGTCCATAAAGTTTTTGTCCACACAAAGACTTGTACACAAATGTTCATAGTAGTTTTATTCGTAGTAACCAAAAACTGAAAACAGCTCAAATGTGTATCAACAGATGAATGGATAGACTGTGGTATGTCCATACAGTGAAATACTACTCAGCAATAAAAGGGAACAAATTACAACTAATATGCACAAGCTCAAAAGCATTATACAGAGTGAAAGAAACCAGACCCGAAAGAGTGCATGCCCATTTATATGACATTCAAGACCCAAGAACAGGCAAAACTGATCAATAGTGATAGAAACTGGAGCACTGGTTGCTTTGGGGATTGAGGGGCTGAGTGGGAAGGAGCAATGGAGAAGTTTCTAGGGAGCTTGTCATGTTATATCATCTCAATAGTGGTTTAGGTTACACAGGTGTATACATTCTTGAAAAGATATCAAATTATACACAAGATCTGTGCATTTTATTGTATATAAATGAAACCATTGTTAAAATGTGAAAAAGGAGGGTAGTTCTGGGTTAAATCAACAAAGGAAAAAATCCTTGCAACATGTAAAATGGTGCAGTGCTGTAGAAAAGAGTGTGGCAGTTCCTGAAAAAGTTAAACATAGAATTATGGTGCAACCTAATAATTCTACTCCAAGAGAATTGAAAACACATGTTCACACAAAAACTTGTATATCTTCATGAAAACATTATTTGTAATAGCCAAAAGGTAGAAACAATCCAAATGTCCATCCACTAATGAACGACTAAACAAAGGTGGTCTATCTATATAATGGAGTAGTATTCAGCCATAAAAAGGGATGAAGTACCGATACATGCTACAACTTAAATGAACCTTGAAAACATTATGCTAAGTGAAAGAAGTCAGACATGAAAGACCACATATATGATTCCATTTATATGAAATGTCCAGAATAAGCAAAATCGTAGAGACAGAAAATAGAAGGCTGGGAGCAGTGGCTCATGCCTGTAATCCCAGCACTTTGGGAGGCCGAGCTGGATGGATCACCTGAGGTCAGGAGTTTGAGACCAGCCTGACCAACATGGAGAAACCCCATGTCTACTAAAAATGCAAAAATTAGCCGAGTGTCGTGGCACATGCCTGTAATTCCAGCTACTCGGGAGTCTGAGGCAGGAGAATCGCTTGAACCCGGGAAGCAGAGGTTGCAGTAAGCTGAGATCATGCCATTGCACACCAGCCTGGGGAACAGAGCAAGACTCTGTCTCAAAAAAAAAAAAAAAAGTAGATTTCTGGTTGCCATGGGGCTGGGAGAAGGGCAGGAGAATGGGTAGTGACTAGTAATTGATACAGGGTTTCTTTTTGGGGTGATGAGAATGTTCTGGAATTGGATAGTAATGATGGTTGCACAACATTGTGAATATACTAAAAAGCCACCAACTTATATACTTGAAATTATTAAAATGGTGAATTTTATGTTACATACATTTTAATGTACATGTTATGTACATTTTTTCTTCCATACATTTTTGGAAGAAAAGAAAGATTCTTCCAAGATTCCTGGAGCACCTCATCAGGCTGTGTTTTCATTGCAGAGTTAGAGTCTTATCCTATTTATAATTGAAGAATTTAATACTTACCCCCAATCACCTCCAGGTCAGGTGAGGTCAGACTGGAGGCAAAGGCTTGGCATCTACCACACCCTCTGTCTCCTCTTCAGCTCAATCATAGTGGCCCCATGGTGGAGTCCTCCCAGCTGAAACTCTTGACAGCTAGGAAAATCCATGCTGCACTCTGGTCTTGCTATCCTTTTCTAATCTTTGTAAAAATAAACTGGGATGAGCTTCCTTCCTTGAACCTCCTCCAGCTCACTAAGGACAGAGTGTTCACCTGACTCCTCTCCCATCCCCTCCTATGAGGCACTGGGGTACGCTGGGGCTGTCGCCTGGTTAGGTGACCTCTTTACATTTTCCTGCTCCCTTTTGTGGGTGAGTATTGTCTCTTTTGCAGCCTGCGGACACAGCCCCGCTGGACTCCCTACCCACCTTCACCCTGCCCAAAGCACTTAGAATGCATCTAACGGCATTAGGAGATCACGTGGTTTGACTTCTTCATTTCACAGATGGGGAAACTGAAGCCCTGAGATGTGAAGTCCTTCAGCCTCCTAGCAACAAGCAGCAGAGCCAAGTTTCAGATTGGGGAATTTATAGAGCACCTACTAAGTGCTAGGCATTAGCCTAAGAAAGACTTTACAAACATTACCTCTTTGGATCTTTCAAGGGGTAGATGCCACCACCCCTTATAGCTCATCTTATAGCTGAGGGAGCTGAGGTTCAGAGAGGTGCAGTAACTTGCCCAGGGATGCCCAGTAGTTATCCAAAGCCCATTCTATTTTTTTAATTTTTTATAGAGATGGGGCCTTGCTCTATAGACCAGAGTGAAGTGCAGAGACACAATCATAGTTCACTGCAGCCTCCAATACCTGGTCTTAAGTGATCCTTCTGCCTCAGCCTCCCAAATAGCTGAAACCACAGGTGGATACCACCATACTTGGCTGATTTTTTTGTGTTTTTTTGGTATATATTTTGTAGACATGATCTCACTATGTTGCCCAGGCTGGTCTTGAATTCCTGGCCTCAAGCAATCCTTCTGCCTCAGCCTCCCCAGTAGCTGGGATTATAGACGTGAGCCTGGCAGTCCATTCTCTTATCCACTCTGCTCTCCCTGCCCAATCAGAGGCTGAGTAATCCTCAAGGCACAATTTAATAGAGCCTCTAGACTAGCATTGTCCAATAGAAATAAAAGCCACATGCATCATACTCCAATTCGAATTTTTGAGTAGTCACATGTGTAGGTGTACACACCCTAAGATGACCCCCCATGAGTCATGTCCTAGTGTAATCCTCTCACCTTAAGTGTGGGTGGAATCAGTGATTTATTTCTCACTGACAGAATATGGCAAAGGTGATGGGATGTCACTCCTCTGATTAAGTTGCCTTATATGTCAAAAGGTGATGGGATGTCACTCCCATGATAACATTATGTTATGTAAGAGTCTGTCTTAGCAGGCTAGAGTGAGAGACTCTCCTGCTTGCTTTGAAGAAGCAAGCAGCCATGCTGTGAACAGCCGATGGCCCACATAACAGGGAACTTTGAGGATGTCTGGGAGCTGAAAGCAGCCCCAGTTATCAGCCAGTAAGAAATTAAGGCCCCCAGTTACACAGCCCCCGTGTAATTCTGCCAACAATTTGGATGAGCCTGGAAATGGACTATTCCCCAGATGAGTCTCCAGATGAGAACACAGCCCACCAACATCCTGATTGTCATCTTGTGAGTCCCAGAGCAGGGAACCCGAATATGTCAGGCCTGGATTCCCAAAACACAGAAACTAGGAGATGATAAATGGATGTTGCTTCAAGCCACTATGTTTGCAGGCATTTGTGATGTAGTAATAGAAAACTATGCTGAGTGCACTGGCTCACACCTGTAATTTCAGCACTTTGGGAGGCCAAGGCAGGCAGATCACTTGAGGTCAGGGGTTCAAGACCAGTCTGGCCAACATGGTGAAACCCTGTCTCTATTAAAAATACAAAAATTAACCAGGCTTGATGGCACACACCTGTAGTTCCAGCTACTCAGGAAGCTGAGGCAGGAGAATCGCTTGAACCTGAGAAACCGAGGTTACAGTGAGCCGAGATCGTACCACTGGACTCCAGCCTGGGCAACAGAGCTAGCTAGACTCTGTCTCAAAAACAAAAAACAAAAAACAAAAAAAAAAAACAACAAAAAAACGAATACAGCACATTTTTAAAGTAAGAAAAAGAAGTGAGATTATTTTATCAGCATTTTAAAAGTATACCCAAAGTATTATTTCAACATGCAATCAATATACAAAATTTTAACTTTAATTAATGAGATACTTTAAATTCTTTTGTGTTTTTCCTACTAAATCTTTGAAAGCTGGCATGTATTTTATACTTACAAAACATCTCAGTTTGGGCCAACCACATTTCAAGCAATCAAGAGCCACATGTGGCTAGTGGTCACCATGTTGGGTAGCATAGGTCTAGACATTTAGTGGGCTGTTACCATATGCCTGCATCACCTCCTCTTCAGTGCCCAGCATATGGCAGGTGCTCAAAGGAATCCATGATTCCTAAAGTTACAAAGGGTTGATAGTCACTGAGCACTTACGGTCAGCAAGACCTGTGCAAAACCCTCATTTGAGCCTCACAAGCTCCCTATGAAGTGATCATTACTGTGAACATTCTCTCCACTTTACAGATGAGTAAGCTGAGGTGCAAAGAGGCAAGGCTCTGCAGTCCAGACCCTGGGCTATGACATGCTCATCATCCACCCTAGGAATCTGAGGCCCACCGGCATCCCACCACATCCAAAAGCCCCCTCTTCTCTTCACACACAACCCAGGTGACCCCAACCCAGAGTGACTTTAAGAAACCCTACGCAAACCCCCATGAAAATGTCTCCTAGGCCTCAAGAGGGAGTGATGTCATTACTTCCCTGCCCCCTCTTTTCTCCTTTCCCTCCTAAGGACTGACCCATCTCTAACCAGGGCCCTCTATTCTTCTAAATCCCTTAAAAACAACTTGATCTCAGAATGAAGCTTCTGATAACTTGCAGTAGAGGGCATAGGGCCACAGATGTCCAAAGTCACTGGGGCCTTGGGCCACCAGATCCCTGTCACCTCAGGGACCACCATGATGCAACCCTACTGTAGAGAAAGAAAAATGGGGCTGACTCTCTTTTCGGACTCAGCCCGCCTGCACCCAGGTGAAATAAACAGCCATGTTGCTCACACAAAGCCTGTTTGGTGGTCTCTTCACACGGACGCGCATGAAATTTGGTGCCGCGCATGAAATTTGGTGCCGTGACTCGGATCGGGGGAGACCTCCCTTGGGAGATCAATCCCCTGTCCTCCTGCTCTTTGCTCCGTGAGAAACATCCACCTACGACCTCAGGTCCTCAGACCGACCAGCCCAAGAAACATCTCACCAATTTCAAATCCAGTAAGCG
This sequence comes from Homo sapiens, assembly GCF_000001405.40. NCBI lineage: Eukaryota > Metazoa > Chordata > Mammalia > Primates > Hominidae > Homo > Homo sapiens. The sequence goes on from NC_000022.11 coordinate 27,742,588, forward strand.
GCCTCTTTGTACTCTCTTCTCCAACCTCCCTCACTATCCCTCAACCTCTTTCTCCTTTCAATCTTGGCGCCACACTTCAATCTCTCCCTTCTCTTAATTTCAATTCCTTTCATTTTCTGGTAGAGACAAAAGAGACATGTTTTATCCGTGAACCCAAAACTCCGGCACCGGTCACGGACTGGGAAGGCAGCCTTCCCTTGGTGTTTAATCATTGCAGGGACACCTCTCTGATTATACACTCACGTTTCAAGGGTGCCAGACCACGCAGGGACGCCTGCCTTGGTCCTTCACCCTTAGTGGCAAGTCCCACTTTCCTGGGGCAGGGGCAACTACCCCTCAACCCCTTCTCCTTCACCCTCAGCGGCAAGTCCCGCTTTCCTAGGGGGCAGGGGCAAGTACCCCTCAACCCCTTCTCCTTCACCCTTAGCGGCAAGTCCTGCTTTCCTAGGGGGCAAGAACCCCCCCAGTCACTTATTTCTACACCCCAACCTCTTATCTCTGTGCTCCAATCCCTTATTTCCACACCCTGACCTCTTATCTCTGTGCCCCAATCCCTTATTTCCGTGCCCCAACCCCTTCTCTGCTTTTCTGGAGGGCAAGAACCCCCCACCCTTTCTCCGTGTCTCTACTCTTTTCTCTGGGCTTGCCTCCTTCACTATGGGTAAGCTTCCACCTTCCATTCCTCCTTCTTCTCCCTTAGCCTGTGTTCTCAAAAACTTAAAACCTCTTCAACTCACACCTGACCTAAAACCTAAATGCCTTATTTTCTTCTGCAATGCCGCTTGACCCCAATACAAACTCGACAGTAGTTCCAAATAGCCAGAAAATGGCACTTTGAATTTTTCCATCCTGCAAGATCTAAATAATTCTTGTCGTAAAATAGGCAAACGGTCTGAGGTGCCTGACGTCCAGGCATTCTTTTACACATCAGTCCCGTCCTAGTCTCTGTGCCCAGTGCAACTCGTCCCAAATCTTCTTTCCCTCCCCCCTGTCCCCTCAGTACCAACCCCAAGCGTCGCTGAGTCTTTCTAATCTTCCTTTTCTACAGACCCATCTGACCTCTCCCTTCCTCCCCAGCCTGCTCCTCGCCAGGCTGAGCTAGGTCCCAATTCTTCCTCAGCCTCCGCTCCTCCACCCTATAGTCTTTTTATCACCTCCCCTCCTCACACCTGGTCCGACTTACAGTTTCGTTCCCTGACTAGCCCTCCCCCACCTGCCCAGCAATTTACTCTTAAAAAGGTGGCTGGAGCCAAAGGCATAGTCAAGGTGAATGCTCCTTTTTCTTTATCCCAAATCAGATAGCGTTTAGGCTCTTTTTCATCAAATATAAAAATCCAGCCCAGTTCATGGCTTGTTTGGCAGCAATCCTGAGACGCTTTACAGCCCTAGACCCTAAAAAGTCAAAAGGCCATCTTATTCTCAAAATACATTTTATTACCCAATCTGCTCCCGACATTAAAACTCCAAAAATTAAATTCCGGCCCTCAAACCCCACAACAGGATTTAATTAACCTCGCCTTCAAGGTGTACAATAATAGAAAAAAGTTGCAATTCCTTGCCTCCACTGTGAGACGAACCCCAGCCACATCTCCAGCAACACAAGAACTTCCAAACGCCTGAACCGCAGCGGCCAGGCGTTCCTCCAGAACCTCCTCCCACAGGAGCTTGCTACCTATGCCGGAAATCTGGCCACTGGGCCAAGGAATGCCTGCAGCCCAGGATTCCTCCTAAGCCGCGTCCCATCTGTGCGGGACCCCACTGAAAATCGGACTGTTTAACTCACCTGGCAGCCACTCCCAGAGGCCCTGGAACTCTGGCCCAAGGCTCTCTGACTGACTCCTTCCCAGATCTTCTCGGCTTAGCGGCTGAAGACTGACACTGCCCGATCGCCTCGGAAGCCCCCAGACCATCACGGACGCCGAGCTTCGGGTAACTCTCACAGTGGAAGGTTCCCACGCCGACCCTAATCCCGCTTGAAGCAGCCCTGAGAAACATCGCCCATTCTCTGTCCATATCACCCCCCAAAAATTTTTGCCGCCCCAACACTTCAACACTATTTTGTTTTATTTTTCTTATTAATATAAGAAGGCAGGAATGTCAGGCCTCTGAGCCCAAGCCAAGCCATCGCATCCCCTGTGACTTGCACATATAGGCCCAGATGGCCTGAAGTAACTGAAGAATCACAAAAGAAGTGAATATGCCCTGCCCCACCTTAACTGATGACATTCCACCACAAAAGAAGTGTAAATGGCCGGTCCTTGCCTTAACTGATGACATTACCTTGTGAAAGTCCTTTTCCTGGCTCATCCTGGCTCAAAAAGCACCCCCACTGAGCACCTTGCGACCCCCACTCCTGCCCACTGAGCACCTTGCGACCCCCACTCCTACCCACCAGAGAACAAACCCCCTTTGACTGTAATTTTCCTTTACCTACCCAAATCCTATAAAACGGCCCCACCCTTATCTCCCTTCGCTGACTCTCTTTTTGGACTCAGCCCGCCTGCACCCAGGTGAAATAAACAGCCATGTTGCTCACAAAAAAAAAAAAAAGAAAAATGGAGGCCCAAAGCAGTGTCTCTCCAAGGCACACTTTGAATTTCCTGTGGTATTTCGTCCAGAATCTTTCTTCAGATAACATGGCCCCCTCTGAGGCTGCAAAAATGGAATTTGCTCAACATCCATCTGCCACAGATGGATAGTGCACCTCTCTCATACTCTATGCACTATGCATGGGACCTGTCCAGGTAGGGTTTTGAAGGATGAATAGGAGAGCCACCACCCTCCTAATCCAAGCTGGGCCAGGGTCCTCGGCTGCCTTCTGCCCCTCGTTCCCCCAGACTGTCAACTCAGGACGAAGAAGGCAGTCTTTCTGAGGTGTGAGATGGGTGTTTCTCTGTCAGTATGGAAAGGCCCCACCAGCAAGGTGGGCCAGCCTACTGCTAGACCCCTATCCTGGTCCTCCCCAGGGCCAAAATGTACCCCAATGTCATGTGCAATCCCCACAATGTGCCAGTCTGTGCCATAGTCCTTTGGTTCTTAGGCCCTCTGAGAGTTCCTTCTTTCACTCATTTGTTCATTTCACACCAACCTGAAGTCTCCCAAATGCCCATACCCAATGCTCATCATTCTTTCACACTTCTTTCTCCTTCCTTGGGTTCTGATCGTGATCATATACCACTGTCACTCTGAGCAGGAGACCTTTAAAGGTTAAAGAGATTTTTTAAGCTTCTCCAAATTTAGGTGACTATAGAGGCTTCATCTGTAAAACTTTATATTCTGATAAATATTCCATTACCTATGTGAAGAAAACTTGAAAAGTTGAAAGAAAAAAATACAATAAAACTACAAAATTAGGCTCAATTTATGTGCTGGGATGAATAGGATGAACTCCTATTCATCCTTCAAAACCCTCTCTGGACACGCCTTACTGGAGAAAGCCTTTTCCAAGCCTCCCACATGGGGTTCATGAATCTCTGAGTGGCATCCATGTCTTGTACCACCATGGGTTACTGGGCATATTCCCTTCACTTTTAATTGTCAACGTACTTGTCCATCCACTCCTATTCCGCCGTCTATACCGTATTTCCCGCAGGATGATTCACGATCTCCATCACAACTGGACTCAAAGCCACTTTTTGACTGCTCATCCTTGTCCACTTCATCTCCCTGAGCCTATTGCCTCATCTGTGACATGGGATGAATCTGCCCCAGCATGAGGTTGCCGTGAGAATTAAATGAGATAATATGAGTCTGTAAAGTGCCTAGTACTGAGTGTGGCTCTCCATTCATGGCAGTTTTATTACCTGGATCCTCCGTTTCTGCCACATAATAGGAGCTGAATAAATGTGTTGAGTTGGAATGAAATGGTTTGAATTGCCTGCATCTGTATGGTGTCCTTTGGTTACCAGTGAGGGGTGGGAACCCAGGTCTCTGAGTCAGTCCCAGGGAAGCAAATTTCCTCCATGGTCATTCTATCCTGTAGATGGGTCACAGGAAGTGGAAGCAGCATGTCTAACTCTGGAGGGTCTGGAAGATGTGTCCTACCAAATGCCAATGGAAAGGTGTCACCAGGTGTCAGAAAGGGGCTGGCACTGCCTGTTTCCCCTCTGTGCCTGGCACTGTGCTCAGGAGTCTTCCCATAGACAGCTCTGTGGGGTCATAACACTCTTTCTGTCCACTCTACAGCCAAGAAAACTGAGGCTCAGAGAGAGTGCACTGCCTACCTCCCGGAGACCCAGTGACTGCAGAGGTTTTTCCACTCAGGATTCCAGCCCCAGTGACAAAGTAACTATGGCAGGTAATCTTCCTAAATGTGTTCTTTGCTCCTGAGATGGGGAATTTCCTGGATGTAATTAAACGTTTTACCAGCTTAATGCCAGTCTGGGGAGCTTCTGTTCACACTCTGCCTTAGTGTGATGTTTTCCAGGGTAGAGTCATTGGAGACACGTGTAAGCTGTTTGCCTCCACACTGAATGGCCGCGCTGCAGCTCTCAATCTGCCGCCATCATTTCTGACTCATCTTCCCGCTCCAACCTGGCATTGGGCGCCCACCTACATTAGCCCTCTGATCTGCTGTGGGCTGTGAAAGAAGGTAACTGCACCTGTTATAATTAGGTGTAAAATACAAGTTCAGAGGTTCTGATTCAGTAGTCTAGCACAAGGCCAGAAATCTGGAGTTAACAAGAGCCCTTAGGTGTTTCTGCGGCCAGGGTTCTGTGGACCATGCTTTGAGAAACACTGAGAGGTAAAGGTGCAAAAGGGAAGGACAGGAATGGTCTGCAGTGGCCTCAGGTCTGAGGCTGCAGATGCCGGAGTGAAGCCACTGCCCAAAGAGTGGCCCATAGGCAAACCGATCCTTTTACAGGGCTGGTGCTCACAGTGAGCTTCCAGCTAGATGTTACTTGCTCCACTTAAGAAACAAAAAAACTGGGGGCTGTAGTTAAGCCGCTTGCCCAAGGTCCATGGCTGTAAGGGGAGGAAGCAGCATGCGCCCCAGGACAGCGTGACTCCAGACCGCCATCGGCTGCCCTGTGGTAAGATTATGGTGCTGATGCTGACGCTTTATGCACATGAAGCCCTTCCTACATGTTGTGTCCAGTGCATTGTCTCCGATAACAACCCCACGAGCTAGACCCCTTTCAAAGATGAGGAAAAGGTGGAGCTGAGAAGCTGCATAACTTGCAGGAGATTCCCAGGCTTACTAGGATCTGAAACTGAACACTAGAACCCAGAAGCATAAGCATCACCCTACACAGCCACTGGGGGGGGCACTTCCGTTGCCCCCTCCCTCCTACATGAGTCAGATACAGGGTTCTTGGCCCCCAAAGGATCTTTCCCCCAAGGAGACATTGGGCAATGTTTAGATAGGTTTTTTTTTTTTTTTTTTTTTGGCATCTAGTGGGTGGAGGCCAGGAATGCCGTTCAACCTCCTCAAATGCCTAGTTGCCCCCCTTACACTCCAGCAAAGAATTAACAGGCCCAAAATGTCAATAGTGCCAAGGTTGAGAAATACTGAAATGACCCAACTTAGAACATCAACACACACACAGACACACACACACAGACACACCCACTACAGCATCCAAACCTACACCCCTACGTCCCATAGAATCTGAAGAGACTGATGTAAAAAGGGGATAGAGTTGGGAGGAAACAAAGAAAGCGAGCCCCACCCACAAATATACCACAGTCACCATTAACGTCATATTTATTGTTATTTAACTGCTCAGGAAAACATATACAGGTATATACAATATGCAGGAATACAGAAGACTGCACTTTACATATTTTTTTAAAAAAGAAAGAAAAAAATAACACTCAATTTCATGAGCTATTGTCACAGTCTTCCAACCAAGCATTTCAGAAATGAATTTCTTTTAAGAGTCAAAAAAGATTACAGGATTGCCTAACACACAGCAGAGTTAAGTTTTCATATTTTACATGTGCAATAACATTTTCGTTTTCTTTCCCAAAGAGTTTGCTATGCAGTACTGATTACCAGTGTTCGGAGTCTAGTGTGTAGGGTGTGTTTTTCATTTACTTTTATTCTTTCCATTAAACCAAATTTAATGAAATAACATCCTTTTGCTTAAGGCTATTTTTAAAGCTGTTTCATTCTGGGGTCGTGGGGAGCGAGAAAGTTTTTAAAACTTCAGGGGTTTCTGAGGTTGCCAGGACCATGAGCTAATTGGCAAAGTGTTGATGACTCAACGCTGGGAAAGTCAAAGACAGAAGTTAAGACACTTTGCTCCCCGGCCTTAAGCAATTAAGGAGAAATCATTCCTGTTTCAAAAGTAAAATGATGAGGCTCTCAAACAGCTGTACACTGCAGAATCAGAGGGGTCATGGAGTCTTGCCCAGAATACGGTCAACTCTCCCACAGCCCATGGTGGGGGGAAATTCCCTTCCCTTTCCATTCCTTTTGTAGCAGAACGCAGGAACTGCCTCGGCTCACACCTTTCTCGCTGATCAATTCATGCCACCTGCTTTGTCTGCCCTCTGAAGGCGGGGTTTGCTCCTCGTCAAGACTGCCCAGGCGAGAACCGCAGACTCAGACCCCAGCCAAAAGGACCGGCAGAAGGAAAGAGGGGAGAAGGGAGGGGAAAGAGTGAGGTTTTTCTGAAAGCTCCTCTCCCTTCGCTGAAAAGTTCTTTGAAATAAACAACGTGGGTGTTGTATGGTGAGCCCAGAGCCTTCAGGTCACTTGCTTTAGAAAGCCCAGATCTGCAAACTCTGAGGACCTGGAGGGGGTGGGGGAGCTCAAAGTGGAGCGTTTTAGTAAGACACGCTCGTTAACAAAAACTGAAATTAAATAGATAACCATCACGGTTATATATTTGGGTGAAGTGATATCAGTTACTTCCTGTCTAACCCACCGGGGAATCTATGTGCCCCCCACCACAAGCCATAAATGGCTTTTGCAGGCATCAGCAGCACCCAAAGTTGCCTGCCCCTGCCAACCACCACTCATCTCTGCTCAGAGCAGTTATTCCTTTGTGAGATGCTTGGGACATGGCTCTAGTTTTGCAACAGGGTGAGATTCCAAAAAAATGTTGGGGAGGGGGCAGAGGAATTCCAGAGTTCAAAACTAAAAGGCGCAGGAATCAAAGTCATTTCATTCTATTCTCTTTCTCTGTCCTCTAGCCCTCAGGAGTCTGCAGATCCCTGCAAAGGCTCAGAGAAGGCTGAGCAGGCTGAGCAAGAGGGTGCCTCATCCCTCCCAGGGGTGGGGTTGCCCAGGCTGGACTGGGGATGGAATGGGAGAGGTGGAGGAGATACACGCAGTCCCCTCCTTCTTCCCTGGGATGCCCGGCCAGGAACAGCTTTCAGAAAAGGGAAAGGGCTGAGAACAGCCTCCTCCAACTCCAGCACCCAAGGCACGGGCAGCAGCCTTGCTCCAAAGACTGCAGGCTGGGAGCACACCATCCCCCATGCAGACCAAAGGCTGCTTAGCACAGCGTGAAAATGCAGGGCCTGGGCATTTGCGAGGAGGCCCAGAAAAGGAGAGAAAACACTGCTGTCGAACATTCCAACTCCTTCCCACAGAGCAGAGCTGGACACGTCCTCACGTCCATCGCAGAGAGGGGCGGCTTCCAGCAGGAGAAGAGAGAACTCAAGTGGAAGGGAACTGAAGGCTGAGCACTGTGTTTGCAGGAATGAAAATATATTTTCTTAGGGAACAGACAAAACAAAATCCCAGGCGGAATACCTAAGAGGGGCATTCATTGTTTGGCTCCTGCCTGACTGATGACACTGGGGTGTCAATATATAACATTGTGATGACAATTGGACTTTCACCCGGCAATATTCCAGAACTACTATTCTCCAGGATTTCCATTTTAATAAGCAGTGAACAAAGCAAAAAGAAAATAAAAGGGGAGGGGGTAAGAAAAGGAAAAAGAATAAAAAAGAAAGCAACTCTTGTCTTATTATGAAATAACAATACTTGGACATACAGCAGCATGAAAACAAAACAAGGAAAGAGGTCATCTAAAAAATGTATGCCAAGATTACCGAAACATGGGGAGTATCTAGAGGAAAAAGGCTTAAGCAAAAGTTTGCTAACTGCAGAAGGGTTAACACTGGTAACATACTGTGGCAGACAAGTTTCTTTTTTAAAAAAACTTTTGAGGTTCCCCCCCTTTAAATTAACCCTTTCCGGTCCATATGCCACTAAGCAGGTACCAACCTAGAGAAAAAAAAAAAACTCATCCACTCAGCAATAGTGGCCCTTTCAAATTAACAGAGGGGTGGGGTAAGGTTGAGGGGGAAGGAAACAGACAGGGGGAGAGGAAGGGCCTGGTAGAGGAGGGGATCTTTCTTGTCATTCAAGTTAGGGCAGCCACGAATGTCCCAAATCTGTTGGAGATGTCAGAATGCAGGGACCGCCAGGTGGGCACGGAGGCTCGAGCCTTGGCGTCACCCACGTCGTCTGTGCAGTGGACAGACAGGCACTGCAAGTGGCTGCCAGGCTGGGATGCTGAGGCCTTGTTTGCAGGGAGGTCGTGGGCTGTGGAGAGAGAAGGAAGAGAGGACATTAGTGGCACACTCGTCTCTGAGGGACACCATAATGGGGGCCAAAGTGGCAGAGGCATACAAGACAGGCACCGTCCACGCCCTCTTTCCATGGCTAAAGCTGGTCCCAGAGGATCTAGAGATGTTGTTTTGAATCTTCTTGCTGTTACCCCTGATTCATCTGTGAGATCTCAGCCAAGGGAAGACCTCCCTGTTGGGCCTCAGTTTCCCCACTGGGAAATAGGAAAGTGAGGCAGGATAAACTCAGAGTTTGCCCATCTCTGATGCACCAGAGTTCCCAAAAGATTAACTGGACGTGATCTAAGTCAGGAATGCTTCCTGGAGGAGGGGCATCTAAACTGGGCATCAAAGGATGTGTAGGAGTTCGCCGCATGCAGTGAAAGGGTGGAGGGGAGGATTGTCTGGGTCCAGAACACAGCCTGTTTGTGTGTCATCCTCTGGAGAGACATTTGCTTAGGGCCTACCACGAGCTGGGAACTTTCTTAAAATGTGCCAGACTGCATACCAACTCCAGGGGGGAAGGATGATCACCTCTACTTTACAGCTAAGAAAACTGAGACTCAGAGAGGGAAGATGACTTGCCCCGAGTCACACAGGAGAAAGTGTGGAGTCACAGCACCCTTTCCAGAGGAGCAGGAAGGATGGAGAAGGTGCCTGTGGATACCCAGCTTGGCACAGCTGAGCCACAAAGACTAGACGCCCACAGCTCCCCAAGCCCCATGTGCTCCCCAATCCCCAAGCGCTCCCCAGTGCTTTCCAATCACTCCCTTTTCAGCCCCTCTCCCACCTCTGAAGGTTCTGCCCCTCATTGGTGTGCAGGGGCTGAGGCTCCATAGAGGTGGCTTTGAGAGTGGGGGCATGGGAGAAGAGGAGCCCTTCGGGACACCTGCCTGTGTCTTTCATTCCCTCCTACGCTCTGGCCTTAGCTTGCTCATACTCCATTTTACAGATGAGAAGTCTGAGCCCCAGAAAGGCACAGAAACTTTCCTGGGGTCACACAGCTCCAACCTAATGGCTGAGAGAATCCAGTTGTAGCTCCGCAAAGGGACCCGAGGCCAGTCCCCTCCTCTGAAAAGGGGAGTGTCCACCCGGCTCATGCACCTCCTTATGATGGCTAGTCAACCAGGCTGTTGATATGTACAAGGTGTTTGTATAAACTGTAAAGTGTTGTCCTCACAAGGACAGAAGATGAAGTGTTCAGAGCAGGAGAGACAGAGAATCTGAGCTCCCCAATCAGACCAGCACAAAAGCACCATTCTCAGCTACTACGTGAAAGGACTCTGGGTGCCTGGGGTGGGGGAGTCTATTCCTCTCCCATACCCTTAGTGAAACTCCCCTGAACCCTCTTTTCATTGAGTCACACAATGCCAGAAAGCACCACAGATCACAGGGATGTCTGTGTTAGACACGCTTGAGGAGAAAGGAGCCTGACAACCATTCACATCTTAGTATAAATTAGACCAAAGCAGGGAATTTGCAGGACTTCTCATTTACGGCTACCACATGACCACTGGCTCTGTCCTGAGACCTGCCATATGTCAATGAAGAGTCTCATTATTCTCATTTCCTAGACTCTGACTTTAGAGTATGTCCAAGGTCACACAGCCTGGAAGGGACAGAAAGCTGGGTTTGAATATGGGCTGATGTTGAATTTCTGCCTCAGTAGTAGTGAGAAAAGCTGAAATTGGGGGTGGGGGGCTCTGCTCCAGCTGAGGGAGCACACCCAGATACTGAACTCCATGACCGGCCTGCCCTCAATCCTCTGTGCAAGCCCAGCCAAGGGCCCTGTGCCAGGCAGGAGTCACCGGCCCGCCCTGCCCTCTGGGATTAAGCAGGAGGCCTCCCCCAGGAGCTGAGCCACAGCCTGCAGAGAAAATCCTCCCAGAGGGATGGGCCCAGGCAGCTGAGGACAGGCCATGACTAACTGGGCTTGGGGCCCCCACCCTGGAGCCCCAGAGACACTCAGCTTTGGGACCTGCATGCTGGGAGGAGCCGGAGCTGGGCAGAAAGGAGACTTCCTTGGCCCCTTCCCTCATTCATGCAACTAACATGCCTTTATTGAGGACCTTCTATATGCCAGGCATGGTACAAACCCTATGGATCTAGCATGGAATAGGACAGACACTATCCCCACCCTCCTCCTGGAGCTGATGGTGAGGCCAGGAAACAGTGTCTCTTTGTGACCAAAGCACGGTCACTTTGAAGTCACAGCCCCACTACTGTGTGGCCAAGGCTCTACCATGTTCCCTCTCTGGACCTCAGTTTCCCCATGGGTGAAATGGGGATGATGTCATCTCCCCTGGGGCCTTGTAATGGCCTGGCACACAGACAGTCCCCCAAACAGTGCTGCTGGGACTGTCATTCATATCTGGGAGGGTCGGGGGTGAGGGGGGCTTTGCAGCCACTTAGAATCCCCTAAAGCCCCACTACTTCCTGGGGCCCAGCTAGGTGGGCGTGTTCCTGCCCATGAAACAGGAGCCTTTGCCCCATTTCACAGAAGGAGAAACTGAGGTTCTGAATCCAAGGTTTCAAAGCTAGTTAGTAGTGGTGAAATCTGGATGTTGTTAATACCCCACCCAGGGCTTCCTGGGGAGAAGGTACACCAGGAAGCTTAAGGCATCAGATGCAGGGTTTCTAGGAACATGGCAGGCCCTGGATTCTGGCAATACTGAGGCACAGTGCCCCAACCTTTGCTCTTGAACCCATGCTTGCCTTGTTCCCAGCGACCCCTCCACCCTACCCTGCTTAATATCTCCAAAGGAATTTTATTCCAAGCACTGCAAGATCTGGACTGGGGTGGGGTGAGGGAAGTAGTACCTGCCACAGAGAGAGAGAAAGAGAGAAAATCTGAAAGGGGGTTATTTCCCCCACTTTGCACAAATTATCTCAAGGAATGAACGTAGCAATGCTTGAGCCCACTTTACAGATGAGGAAACAAACTCCGAGGGATGAAGCTCCTTGCCAAAGGAGAGATAAACTCTTTGCTCTGGGGCTGCAAACACCCAGAAAGTGAAAGAAAATTCCTGAGCAACACACCGGGCAGAGGAAGCTGGGTCTGCCAAGTGATGGGTAAGACAGACCCAAATGGCCAAATTTTCGAAAGACGCTTTCATCCCCAAGTTACAGCCATAAGCGTGCCGTGCACTAACGCCAGAAACCATTGCTGTTCTTATTAGGGGTGGATTTAATGAGGGCATCCCAGGCACACAACTGAACACTTCTGTGTATTATCTAAGCCCATCACCCAGCAAGCCCATCAGTGGGGGTGCCCCTTCTCCCCACCCCAGCAGGGCCACCCTGGGCTCAGAGAGGGTGAGAGCCTTGCCAGATGTCACAGAGCATGGGTGCAGGATTCCCCAGCCTCCGCCTAGAATGAGAAAGAGAGCCAACCAGTCTGGTATCCACAGGGAATATTTTTAAGAGAGAATATTATTCTTCAGTTCTTGACAACCCAAGCATGACCAAACTCATCCTCCCGCTGGATTCATTCCAGCTAGGGGGACCTAACACGCCCTCAGACCGCGGCTCCCCAGGGCTGCCGAGTCGCTGCCGATAAATCAGTCCCACGGAAGCCGCCTCAAGTCATGGCCTGCCCCAGCTCAAGAGAGGCCCTCAGTCTCCGCTCCTTGAGGCGGTAAGCACGCCAGCCCCCACGCCAGGACCCAGAGATAAAACCACCCCCTTGCCAAGCTCCCAGGGTTGGCGGAGATCATGGAGTCACTCAGCGCCCAGCACTGGCAGACATCACAGGACCCAGTGAGTGCTGTTCTGTTTTCCACTTGATTGTCAGCCTCCCCCATCAGACTGTGGCCATGTGGAGAAGGGCAGGTTTGGTCTGTTCACCCCCCGACCCTGCACACACCAGGCCCTCAGTTGGGTCCAGTGTACTGACTGTGAAGCGCCCTTCATCCCCATTTGACAGACGAGAAGACTGAGGCTCTAAGGGGCAGGAGCTACCCAGGGGTCACCCACGGCCATGTCACCAGCTCTGGTGGTGTGGCTCTCTCCTCTCAGCCCAGGATTCCCAGCTGCTCAGGCCAGGGTGGAATCCCAAATGCCCTGTATCTGGGCAGCTCCTGTCTGCAGAGCCACAGTTTCCTCATCTGCAACTTGGGGGTGGTGATTCCTGCTGAGCCCGGCTAAGAGCAGCATGGGAGACCTCACGAGAGACTGGCAATACCATGTGCATGTTGGGGGGTCAGTCCCAGAGGCTGGGGCAACATCATCTCAAAACAGATAACCCTGTGTGTGCCTCACCCGATTCAGGCAGCACAGGGGGCCGAGGGCAGGGGCCTCTGGTTCTTGGGGACTGATGGGCATGCCTGCCCAGCAAGGAAAGACTGCAGGACAGTTTTTAAGGACAGCTATGGCCAGAAAGAACCACCTCACACTCCATGCCCAGGGTCAAGGCCCAGAGCTGAGACAGACACCCCTGCTCTTTCTCCTCCCAAAAGCACTCCTCAGCTTTTCTTCATGGCACAAATCCTCGCTGATCTTCCGGCCTCTTCCTACTACCCCGTCACCCCTGCCCTGAACACCACAGCACTTCATTTGGTCATCATACTGCAGAGGTTCAGTCTGCCCCCTGCTCACCCCGCTGCGATCACGAGACCCACGTTGGATTCTGTCTTCCAAACTTCTCCATCCACAATGGAGACAGTCAGTTCCATTAAGGGAAGGAGAGAACCAGGAGCAGGTGCCAAAAAAAGCAATTGCGTGAATAACTCAACTCACTCCGTTTCTCTTACAGGGTTCAACAATGATAGTGGCCACCATTCGTGGAGCAAGGAACTTTTGTACATCACTTCAGCTCTCAGAACCTCGGTTCTAGGAAATGGGGGAAATAATAGGACCGGCCGTGATGGAGGCAGTTAGGAGAATTAAGTGAAATGATCCATGCAAAACGCTTAGCACGTGGGGCGCTCCTGCCAACGCTGGCTATGAGTACAGCCTGTCAATGTTGTTGGCCAGCCTGCAGGTGACAGTGGGGACCTGCAGGGCTGGGCCCGGGGAGGGCTGAGTGACCCTTCTGCAGGCTGTGCCTGGGGTGAAGGGAGAATGGAAAAGAGGGGACGTTTACCTGGGGATGTTGCATTTTAAATTTTGCTTCTAGAGATGCCACCCACCCATAGAGGGGGCCGAGTTTTCTTTTTTTCTTTGAAGTCAGCAAAACAGGCCTCGTCATCACCCTGCTCTGCACTAAAATCCGCGGACCAGGTTCCAATGTGGGTGAGCCACGTGCTCAGGCGTCGTGAGCCGGGCGGAGGTGGCTGCCACCTCCCACGCCAGGCAAAGGGCTGCCTCGGTGGTTCTCCCAGCCACGGTTCCACCACTGAGCCCCAGGGAAGGAGACTTCTGACCCAGCCACCTCCTGCCCCGCTGCCTACCTGAGGGAAAGCCAGGGGTATTCGGGAAGAAGGACAGAGCCCAACAACTGCCCATATCAAGGGCTCCCTGGGTACTCCGGGCTAGGTGCTCACCTCTTCTCTAGTACGGGAGGAGTAAGAGAACCTACCTTGCAGGCTGCTAGGAGGATTAAGTGAGATGACAGCTGGAAAGCCTTCAGCATAAGGTGAGCCCTTTGTCAAAAAAAGGGTAGCTGCTCTGACACTTATCATTCTTTTGTTGTTGTTGTTTTTCTTTTTCTTTTAGAGATAGAGTCTCGCTCTGTCATCCAGGCTGGAGTGCAGTGGCACAATCATAGCTCACTGCAACCTCAACCTCCTGGGCTCAAGCAATCCTCCCACCTCATCCTCCCAAGTAGCTGGGACTATGGGTGTGCACTACCACACTCGGCTAATTTTTTAAAATTTATTTTGTAGAGATGAGGTTCTCACTATGTTGCCAAGCCTAGTCTTGTATTCCTGGGTTCAAGCAATCCTCCCATCTCAGCCTCCCAAAGTGCTGGGATTACAGGGGTGAGCCACCATGCCTGGCCACATTTTTCCTTCTAATCCCCTAACCTGGTACTACTGTTGCTCTTTACAGATGAACTGAAAGATGGTCCAGAGAGTCAGAGCCTGATCAAGGTCACACGGAGTCAGGGGCAGAGCCAGGCCTGCAATCCAGCCCCTGGTTTTTCTTTTGTTTTTTGTAGAGATGGGGTCTTGCTATGTTGCCCAGGCTGGTCTCAAACTCCTGGGCTCAAGTGATCTGCCCACCTTGGCCTCCCAAAGTGCTGGGATTACAGGCGTGAGCCACCGCACCCGGCGCACTCTTACTGTTCGTGGCACTGGAGGCAGACAGAGCTAGAAGTGCCACGTGCCAGCGTTGTGCCATGGGGCAGTTTCTTCATCCCTGTGGGTGCTAGAAGCTGCCGAGGCTGGGGGTCAGGGTGCAATCCCAGGCAGAGCTTGAGAATGAGAATTCCGGGCATATTTTTAACTCGGGGCTTATGTAAGAAGCAGTGTGGGCCTCAGCACACAATAGCGGATGACTCTCGCCCAACTCACCCTCGCTGGATTCCGACAAAGGGAAATGTATTTTGGTTTTTCCTTTATTTGGACCTGGTGCGGGGAGACATTGGGTTCTGTGACAGCTGCCACTCAACTGGGGGGCTGGGCGACTGGGCCTGGAAGCTGAATCAGGTCTGGTGGGCCACAGGGCTGAGCCACCACTTCTTGGAGCCTTCGTGCTACAGCCTGGGAGTCTCTTAGGCCCCCCACACACTTATCTGTGACCCCCAGACCTTGGTAGCTTTTCTGTTCCTCACCTCCTTAGAAGGGCAGGGCCATTGCATCCAAGCAAGCCCCGGGCATTCCAGGTCACTCTTCCCTCCTCCCCATCCCCCACAGTCAGCCCAGGCACCAAGGAGGGAAGAGGCTGCCTCCAAAGTCTGCCCACTTTTCTCCTGCCCCACTACCCCACCCTGGCCCACATACCAACCATCTCCTGCCTGCAGCTGCCACCTTGCCTCACTCTCTGCTTACACACTGCCCTCCAAACCTGTCAGCTGGGGGAGTTTCCTGAAGCACCAACCAGAGCAGGCCTCTCTCCTGCTTGAACCTTCCATGGCTCCCCAGTGCCTCGCAGCTTTGCATGCCCCAGGCTGACTCCCTCTCGGGCCTCTGACCTCATCTCTCAGTGCTCTCTCCTGCACTGAAGCCCCAACTATACATTCTCTCAGCAGAGCCCTGATCCTTCCACCTCCACACCTTTGCTGCTGCGGTTTTTTCTGCCTAGAGCACCTGCCCCTCCTCACCCCAGGTGACTCCTGCCATCCTACCTGGCTGTCAGCCCCATGGCGATGTTTCTCTAACACCCCTACTCTGAGATGTGCATACTTCTCTCCCTGCTGGCAGATGGCACCCCTGGCTCCGGCTACCATGATGGTAATGATACCGCTAGCTGCAGGCTTGCTGGCTTCAGGGATGTGCTCACACATCTTGCTCTGGCAGAGGGGTGTTCTGAGGGCAGGGCCCCTCACCAACAGGCCACCAAACACAGAAAACATCACGGGGGACTTTGGAGTCAGATGACCAAGGTCTGTATCCTGGTCCCTGGCATTGTTCCCAGCAGCTCAAGCTTGGGCAAGTCACTTTCCCTCTCCGAGCCTCACCTTTCTTCTCTGTGAAATGGGAAGAAGATAAGGTTCTATTGTGCCTGGCATATGGCAGGTACCCAGGAAAATGCTACCAGCTATCAGGGCAGACAGAAGTCACAGGAGTAGAGAGCCTTGCCCAATAGAAAGTATAGTCACAGGTTTTTGTTTTTGTTTTTTTGAGACAAGATCTAGCTCTATTACCCAGGTTGGAGTGCAGTGGCATGATCACAGTTCACTACAACCTCTGCCTCCCAGGCTCAAGCAATACTCCCACCTCAGCCTCCCAAGTAGCTGGGACTACAGGCATGCGCCACCACGCCCGGCTAATTCTTGTATTTTTTTTATACAGATGGGAGTTCACCATGTTGCCCAAGCTGGTCTCGAACTCGTGAGCTCAAGCAATCCACCTGCCTTGGCCTCCCAAAGTGTTGGGATTATAGGCATGAGCCACCGTGCTCAGTCACAGGCTTTTGACTGCAGTGCTAAGACCTGTCTCCAAGAACCTACCACTGAGAAAGGTGGAGGATTTGACCCCTGTGGAGTTGGCCCCCACAGCCCAACTAGAACCCGTCTGCGGGGCCCCACAACCCCAAGAATGACCTGCCTTGGCTGCCTGTGCACACTTGATCCCTGGGCCACGTCCCCTTCTATAGAAAGATAGATGGGGCCTGGGAAACTCAAAGACTCTGGGCTCAGGGGCAGGAACAGCAAATCTCAGCCAGATATCAGGGATCAGAAAGAAGGTCTACACGGCCACCAACCAAGCAGGAAAACAGCAAACCTGAAACTTCACGGTTGGCTCCCACCCCAACCCTCCCAGACACGCATCAGCTTAGAGGTTGTCCCAACTCTGAGCTTGGAGGCCTGAGTTCAAAGCCCACCATGGTCTGAATCTCAACTCTGCCCCTCACTAGCTCTGTGATCTTCGGTGGGTCCACTTGCTGAGCCTCAGTTTCCCTATCTGTAGAAGGGGATAACAATCCCTCCAGTGACAATGGCCTGGAGACCCTAAGGGCAGACATGCCCATGTGGCTCCCACCTGCTTCCTAGCACACAGTAGGCACCTGATAAGTATTTGTTAAGTGTTTTAATGAATGGCTCACATTTTCATCTCAGCTCTGTCACCTTGCTTGCTGTGTGATCCTGGGCAAGTCACTCTCCCTCTCTGGGCCTAACTGGCCCTCTCTAAAATGACTAGTGGTTTGGGTAGATATACAACCCTCCCCCCAAATCCCTTCTATCCCTCTGGGGCAATCAGATTTCACATTTGAGCTGGGCAAGGTGGCTTACATGTGTAATCCCAGCAATTTGGGAGGTGCAGGTGGGAGGATTGCTTAAGGCCAGGAGTTCAAGACCAGCCTGATACTGTCTCTATAAAATTTTTTTAAATTAACCAGACATTGGCTGGGCGTGGTGGCTCACACCTGTAATCCCAGAACTTTGTGAGACCAAGGTGGGTGGATCACTTGAGGTCAGGAGTTCATGACCAGCCTGGCCAACATGGTCCCATCTCTACTAAAAATACAAAAATTAGCCGGGAGTAGTGGCACATGCCTGTAGTCTCAACTACTTGGGAGGCTGAGGCAGGAGAATCGCTTGAACCCAGAAGGCAGAGCTTGCAGTGAGCCGAGATCACACCATTGCACTCCAGCCTGGGCCACAGAGCAAGACTCCGTCTCAAAGAAAAAAAAAAATTAACCAGACATGGTGGTGCATGCTGGTAGTCCCAGCTGCTTGGGAGGCTGGTGCAGGAGGATCTATTGAGCCCAGGAGATTGAGGCTGCAGTGAGCTGGGATCATGCCACTGCACTCCAGCCAGAGTGACAGAGCAAGACCCTGTCTCTAAAAAAAATAAAGAAAGAAAGATTTTACATTTGATATAGGCAAGAGTCTGGGGCAGGAGCCTAAGCAAAGGCCACTGAGACATCTTGACCTGAGCTCAGGGAACCACACCCACAACCCCAAGGATGGGGACCAAGAGATAGTGGCCAACAGCCTGCGTGACACTCTAGGCATCCCACCGGGGCCACGCAGAGCCCGAGGCAGGCCCAGGGGACTAGCCACTCCTTGGCCCAGCCCTATGCCTGTGTCCCCTGCCCCTTCTCTGCCCTCCCATCAATGACAACTTCCATCAATAGTGTCACCGTGGCAATCGAGAAAAGGAAAAGGGAAAGCAGACCACTGTCTCTATGCGAGTCGGCTCCAGGGCGTGACCGTGAACATGACCTGCAGGCTCAGTCGGTCACAGTGAATGACTCCAACACCCAGAGGGAGAGATGGCCCGACACACTAGCCCATTTTACAGCAGAGGACACTGAGCCTCAAGGAGGCGATGCCACAGGCGCAGGGTCACACAGCCAGCCATCCGCAGAGCCAAGGTCACACCCAGAGACGTCTGATGTCACAGTGTGTGGTTTTTATCAAAGTTGCATGAAAAAGGGAAACATCATTGGCCAAAGTGACTGGCACGACCTCTCCCACCCCACCACCACCCCCAATTTCTCTCTTGCAAGCATTCTCCTCCTTTCAATCTGTCTCGTTCTCGCTCTCTCTCTTTCTCTCTCTCTCTCCCTCATGTCTTGCTCTTATTCACCCTCCCTCTGTCCATTATCCATCCTCTCTCTCTCCCTCTCTCTTATTCTTCCTCTTTCTGCCCCTCCATCCGTATCTCCCTCCCTCTCTCCTTCTCCCCCTCCCTCTTATTCTCTAGTTCTTCTTATTTCTCTCTCTCTTTCTCTCTCTCTCTCTCACACACACTTTTTGGGGGAAAAAAAAAAAAACCCAAGGCTCACAGATGGGATGAGAACTTCCCAGGGTGACACAGAAGCTGAGGACAAAACCGGACAGCCCCCGCCCCTTAACGTTTCTTCCCTCACCACTGATGTTACCAAAGTTTCAGCTGCAACCTTCCCCCATCTGACAGGAGGCAGCACACGGCAGGGATGGGGGCACCTGGGGGCAGGGAGGGCCTGCATTCCCCTTCTGCCCTGGGCACAGAGCCAGGTGCAAAGACAGCCCCCCAACTCATGATGGGCAGGAGGGGTCTGCAAGGCCCCCCCGTTCCAGGCCCCACGAGGGTGAAGCAGAGGCCTCGCGCCGGCCGCTGCAGCAGTGCAGTCTGGTGAGAGGCTGGGCCAGGCCCCTGGAAGCCTTAGGAAATTAATTTGAGTTGACTTGGCTGAGGGCAGCTGTCATTTAGATTGAGAACTGGCCGAGGGCTCCACAGAGGAGAGGCTGCAAGGGCATCATCGGAACCCGGCTGCCAGGAGCTGGGGGCAGGACCGGGGAATGCGGGGGGAGGCTGAGTCCTAGGGACTGTCCCTGGCCCTGAAGGAGGGGATGAGGTGGTGCATGACAGCCGCGGACGGCAGGATGGACAGAGTGGGCTCCTCGCACCAGGCCTGGGCATCTCTGATTGGGCTCCCTGTCCTGCCTGGCACCTCCGGCCACGCAGCCAGTGACCTGTGACAGATGCAGCCCTGCACACCCTGGGGCCACTCCTGACCTGTATGCTGCTAAGATGTGACAGGCCCCGGGGGGCTGAGGGCCAGTCGCTTAGCCTGCACCTTCCTCCTGATGGTGGTGTTGCCCGCGTGCTTATGCAAAAGCACAGCCCGTCGGTTCTGAGGAAATTGACTCCTCTGAGCCTCAATTTCCTCATCTATGAAATGGGGATGGAGACAGTATCATTCTCATAGGAGGGAAGGCCTGGGGGCAATACAAGCAAAGTGCTTAGCACAGTGCCAGGGGCTGACTTCACCCCATAAATAGTAGCTGCCATTCTGGAAAGACTCTCAAATATAATAATAGTATTTGCTGGTAATACCGGTAATGCTGGTAATAGTATTACCATTAAGTACTATTATTATATTTGAGAGTCTCTCCAGCCCTGTCTCCAGCACAGCCCTCCCCCTCTCTGTTTTCTTGCCTTCTTGCCCAAGATTCACCCACATAGTGTTAGACCCTATACTGAGTGGCCTGGGCAGGATGCTGTACCTCTCTGAGCCCCAGCATGCTCGCACAGAAACTGGAGCAACTAAACACCAGGGCTGACACCTCACTGAACTCCTAGCACTCTGCCTGGCAAGTGGTAAGTCATTCAACAAATAATGATTTTTATCTATAATAAAAAAAAAAAGTAAACAAATAGAGGCCGAGTGCGGTGGCTCATGACTGTAATTCCAACACTTTGGGAAGCCGAGGCAGGAGGATTGCTTGAGCCCAGGAGTTCAAGACCATCCTAGGCAACATAACAGGACGCTGTCTCAAAAAATAAAAATAAAAAATAAAACATTAGCCAAGCATGGTGGTGTGTGCCTATGGTCTCAGCTACTTGGTAGGATCACTTGAAACTGGGATTTCGAGGCTGCAGTGAGCTGTGATGGTGCCATTGCACTCTGGCCCGGGTGACAGAGCAAGACCTTATCTCAAAAAAACAAAACAAAACAAAACAAAACAAATATACATTCACATTTATTTGGAATTAGAGCCTCATTGCTTCCAGCCCATTGGAGGAAACATGAGGTTCAGTGCAAGTCTGGATTTTAAAAAAACACATTTTCAAAGTGCTGATACTTTGGGTGGAGGTCCTATGGAGCACCTGCCTCATCCCCCCCATCCATGGGTCTGCCAGGAGCTCTGGGGTATTTTCCTGTGTCGGGTCAGCACAGCTGGCAAGGGGCCGGCTTACCCACATAAGTTCCCACGCACTGCTTCATCGCCGGGGAAGGGCTTTGCATAGGGGTCAGTTGTGCACAGTCACGCACTTTGGAGACAGAGGCCTGAGTTTGAAATCCATCCCTGCCACTGTTGGGTTGTGTGACCCTGGATCAGCCACTTTGATGCCTCCACTGCCTCCTCTGAAAAATGGGTTTGGTCATTCCTTCCTTGCAAAGAAGGGGATGAATTGGTACCCAACCGACGGTCAAAGTCCTGCTACCATTATCAATTCCCCAAGCCTGGGCCTAGGGCAGCCTAGAGGAAGGGAGTCCTCGTGAGGCCACTAACAACGTGGCAATGAGCTGATCACAGCCACATGTGTGCCTGCAGCCATGTGCTGGGCACTGAGCTCAGAGAGGTGAACCCAACACAGGTTCCACCACCTTCCAGAGCTCCCACCCTATGGGAGAGATATTCCGGTAAACATGAACCTGCAAAATAGAGCAGGAGCTCCACCAGAGCAAAAGGCAGGCCCATGTTGTGAGATCTGAGGGGAGAACTGGGGATCCTGGAAGACTTCACAGAGGAGGCGGTGTGCAAGTAGGGGGTTAAGCAAGCTTTGCAGGAAGAGGAGGCGAGAGGAGCACGCCAAACCCAGGCGTGACTCCTTCCAAAGCAAGAGACTGGCCCAGGGACCCTGATTTAGGGATGGGTGTGAAACGAGGGAAGAGGAGGCTGCAAAATTCAAGTGAGGTCAGTCATGGAGACCCCTGGAAGAAGTTAGACCGTGTTCCTGCCAGCAATGGGGAGCCAAGGAAGGCTTCTGAGCAGAGAAGGAGCATCGAGAATCCATCAAAATTAATAAAGGGGCTTGCACCTCATCCATCTAACCTTGCCGTAGAACACCTGACTTAGAAACATAGCCCCTTATTGAGAACCAAGTCCCTTGTATTCTCCAACTCTAAGCAAGGTGAGGGAAAAGAGTCCCACTCCCATGGGAACGGTACCTTGAGAAAGCTTGGGTCTCACTGGGCTGGCCAGGTGCCCAAGGCAGCTTCTAAGTCAGATGCCTCTAACTTGGGGCCCCAAGAAATCCAGCTTAGTTCCTCATTCCAGCCCTGCCACATCTCAGATGGTGACCTCTACAAGGGGCTCCACCTGTGCCTCTACTTCCCCTCTGCACAATGGATGTGATCATCATGCTCTGTGCATTACATCACCAAGTCCTCTCTGAGGCTACAGGTAGGGAATCAGAAGCCTGAGAGGAATGGGGACTCGTGCCAGGTCATCCAACAGTGAGCAGAAGGGCTGAGGGCAAGTCACTTAATCTGTCTGTGTCTTGGTTTCCCCATCTGTGAAATGAGATCTTAGACCTACCGGGCAGGGCTGCCAGGAGAATGACATATGATATTACCAATAACATAATTACCGCTAGTACCTATCACATGTTCATTCTTTTAAACTCAATAATTCCTCATGTAACCCTGGAGGAAGCATCTATTCTCCTAGTCCCATTTCTCAGATAAAGACGCTGCTAGGGTCAGCCCACTACAGCACACAAGTCAAAACTGGCCCACTCCCTGTTTTTGTAAATAAAGTTTTATTGGAACACAGCCTTGCTCATTTGTTTACATTTTGTTTATGGCTGTTTTCCTAGAGTTGCATCAGATTGTAAGCATTGGGCAGAGTTCTCCAGAGAAATGGTTAAACAAATATCTGGGCACCTCATGACCCAGTCAAGGTAACACATAAAATTAACCATCACAGTATATAACCCACAAACCTAAAATATTTGCTATAGATTGGGCCCTTTGCAGAGAAAGTGTGCTGACCCTTGAACCTGAGGCTCAGAGAGGTGATGTCACTTGTCCAAGTTCGCATAAGAGGAGGTTGCAAGCCAGGCACCCAGTAGGTGCTCAGTCCATGCTCCTGATCTATGAAGATTCGTGCTGTCACTTTTAGGGAGTCAGAAATGTCCTCGTCATTTGCTATGGCCCTCATCTTCCCTCTTGGGCTACAGCAGAAACCTCTTTGTCTTTCTACTTAAAAATCAATAGAACATTATTAGGAGCAGAGGGTTGCTGTTAGAAAAAAAAAAGTCATTCCAGAACACAGCCACAAAAAAGGAGAAAGGTGGATTTTCTGAAGCCGAATGAGTCAGCCACGTCAGGCAGGAGGGAGACTCGAGCGGGGGCTCCCAGCACTTACCCCTGCAAGGCCTCTGAGGACCCCCGTGTGGGCTGCATGGCCTGCCCAGCAAACAGCAGCTCAGCTTCAACTCTGAAAGGACAGACTGATGGGCAAAGCAGACAGTGACCGGCCGGGCAAGCGGGAACTGAGTGGACAGTAGTGGGGGGAGCACTGACCCGGGTCTGGCCCAGGTTCTCTCCACAGCACTATGAGAACCAAGGCCACGCAGCGAAAATGGCAGAGCCTGGATTTGAACCCAGGTCTACATGAGTCTAGAGGCTGTGTCTTCTTACCCGCTCCCTGGTGTGTGCCTGGTGAAGGGGGTGGAGAGAGACGGGGAGCAGCAGGAGGTGGTCTGGGCTTAGAAGGAGCTGGTTAATTATTTCCATTAAAACGACAGGGAACTAAGCCCCCGGGGTGCCTGTGCCCGGCACACCCATCCTCAGTGGCAACCACCCTAGGGTCCCGGCAGATCCAGCCTTTGGCTTTCCAGGAAGAAGCGCACCTGCCGCAAACAACCCCCAACTTGCTTTCCCTCTGGACTGGGCTCTCCTCCCCAACTCTGGGAGCTGAAGCTGGGCTCTGCCGGACGCTGGCTGTGTGATTTCAGGTGCAGCACTTGCCTTCTCTGAACTGACATCCCCTTTGAAAGTGGCAAGAGTGTCAGCTGCCAGGACCGGGACTCCGTGACCTAAAGATGCCACCCAAGTGGGTGTTCCCCACCTCAAATTATCCTGTGGACTGCTGGAAAATATTCGCTGGTCTCCACCTTGGGGGTTGGAGAGAGGATTGAGCGATGCTGACTGACTTGGCTCTTCGTGCTCTCACTGGGCCTGCAACGCCCAGTGTCATCTCTGGCATTGACCTAGGAAGGTGGTGTGTGGTCTTTAAGGGGAAGGTGGGGGCTGCCACACTCCTTCCAGCAGGAGGTGTGGGAAGAGGCGGGTGCAGGGGAGTGGGGTAAGTGACTGAGTCAACCCTGGCCTCACCTTCTGTCAAATTTTCTCCAGACAAGACAAATTTTGCAACACCTATACCCCACCTCTCAGAAGGATTTGCCAGATTTGGCCTATGTCTCTGGTATAGAGAAGCAGGATTAAGACCCAGTGCCTCTTCCTCCAAGGGCAGAAGTCACAGCCCCTTGTCCCTGTGGTCTTCTAAGGATGGCAGAACCAGACCTAGGAAGACTGGGCTGACAAGTGCTATTTATTAGGGAAACCAAGGCCACAGAGGGGTAAGTCAAGGGCAGAAGTGTGACTAGATCAGAGGATTTTGGCCCTACTGCCAAAGCCAGCACCAGACCCCCTCCTCGTCCCGAAGGCTTCACCATGGAGTTTGTAGTACGCTGTCACCAAGGGGAGGCAACACTATTCCTGTCATTTTTCCCCTCTTCCTGGACCACCACTTTCCTTTCTCTCTTCACCTGACTAACTCTTCTCCATCTTCCTTCATCAAGGAGGTCTCTTCAAGTCCCTCAGTGGGCTCCAGTGCCCCTCATACTGTGACACCTCACACCAACCCTAATTGTGCTAAACTTTTCCTTCTTGCCCTGCTCTCTGCCATGGCCCCAAGAGTATGAGTTCCATGAAACTAGGGGCCTTGTATCACCTATTTACTTCCCACTCTGACCCTAGCACCTGACATATAGTAGGCCCTCAGTGTGCTGACTACATCAATTCCTGGGAACAGGAACAAACCCTAAAGAGTCCCTAAAATGAGAAAGACTCACACCACATCACCTGAGCCCCCGGACAGACCTGAAAAGGAGCTTTTCAAGGCTTCCTGGGTGCCAATAATACAAGACTTAATTGGAAGGCTTGCCAAATTTACTGAGAGGGGCGACGCCCTCTCACAAACCATGTAGAGATTAAGGAATTATATCCACTCACTTCCCACAACCCCAGCCCAGCCAACAGACTTCCTTCAAAGTTTGAAGGTTAGAGTTCTTGTTTATTTTAGACCCTACTGGTGTGTGCAAAAACCCCGAAATGGAGGTGCCTGTAATAAAGACAAAAATGCAGGAGTCCCCTGGGATGAGCTGACAAGTGCCAGCAATTTCCTCCTGCCCAGTGTGATCACCCAGAAAGGCCACCTTCCCAACCAACATGCCACCCAGCCCTGAGACTGGACCTACAGGGATAATCTCTGAGATGAGATTTAAGTCAATTCCAAGCATGGAAATCGGTGAAATTACCCTCCACCGCTCCAACAACATCTCTGGGCAGGCAAGGTTGGGTGGGTGGAGGTGTTGGTTAAGGGTTTGGGGGGTTTTGACAAAAAGAAAAAAAAGAGAGAAAGAGAGAGACAGTATCAGCAAATTGGAGGGTAATTTTTTCCCAGGGAAGAGAACCACATGCCAGGCACTATTCTAAGCATTTCATGTATATTACTTCATCGGGTCCTCCCTTCAAAGGCAGGGACTGTTATTCCTTTTTAAAGGATGCAGAAACAGGTTCAGAGACGTGGGGTGACTTGCCCAACACCACACAGCAAGGGAGCAGCCAACTCAGGATGAAGCCATATCAGTTTCCAAAGCATCTTCTACTTTTTCCCCACACCAGAAAGAGAGACAGACAAGGAGAGGAGGAGGGAAGAAGGGAGAGAAGGAGGGAAGGAAAAATAAAACATGTCTCCCACTCTCCCAAACACCCATCATCCTGCCTTCCCCTTTGGCCCACCGACTCTGCATCTGGAAACACCTTCATGTTTCCTGGATTGTCACAGAGGGTGAGAGATGGGCATACTCATCCAGGGGTTAGGGAGAGAGTCTGATTCAAGCCAGGTCTCACCCACTTACAGGGTCTGAGCCCTGGAGAACCAGGCCCCCAGGGAGGCATGCAATGCAAAAGACAAAAGCATTTACCCTCCTATGCAGAGCTCACCCACCTGAGCAAAACTCCTGCAGAGGTGGTTTCCAGCTGCCTGTGGGTAGAGCTACAGAGAGTACTGCTTGGTGTCGGTTGCCAAGCAACAGGCTTTTACCCAAGGACCCACCCAGACTTTATGCACACTGGGGTGTAACAAGTAGATGCCTTGGGAGCTCCTACAAGCTCAGGAGCTCCATGAGTCTAGAGTTGGGTTGTCCAACATGGTAGCCACTAGCCATGTGCAGCTTTCACATTTTTTAAATAAAATTTGAAAATTGGCCAGGCATGGTGTTGCACGCCTATAATCCCAGCACTTTGGGAGGCCAAGGCAGGAGGATCACTTGAGCCCAGGAGTTTGAGGCTGCAGTAGGCTATGATCATGCCACTGCACTCCAGCCTGGGCCACACAGTGTGACTCTGTCTCTAAAAATAATTAATTAATTAATTAAAAATAAATTCCTCATTCATGACTAGCAATATTTCAAGTGTTTGACAGCTGTGTGTGGCCAGTGGATACTGTACAGGACAGGGCCTATGGAGGACATTTCCATCATTCCAGAAAGTTCTATGGGACAATACTGATCTAGAAAAATAATCTACAAAGTCTCTCCCAGTCTGCATCAGTGGCTGCCATGACAACTAGTTTTCTTACAAAAGGCAAGCCCTATCAGTTTCAAGTAGGCAGGTTCCATAGACTGATGTAAATTTGGGGCTGAAAGGAGCTGGTCATCTTTTCTAGGATTATCAACCACGCGGGGCTCCCACCAAAACATATTTCACCTTAAGTCCATGGCAGACATTGCTAATCAACTGCAGCACTCCCTCCTAGGGAACCTTCAGAGTCTTTCTTGACACAATGCTGCA
This sequence comes from Homo sapiens, assembly GCF_000001405.40. Classification (NCBI taxonomy): domain Eukaryota; kingdom Metazoa; phylum Chordata; class Mammalia; order Primates; family Hominidae; genus Homo; species Homo sapiens. Next base: position 27,769,246 of record NC_000022.11, read on the forward strand.
GGTAGCCGAAACTAATCCAGATTAGCACTTGATATTGAATCTGTAATCTGACCTATTGCAATCACAAAGAGTGGGAAACTGAGGCCCAGTGAAATAAAGTAAATTGCCTGAAGTCAGATGATGAGTCAAGGCCAGGACAGGATTAAAATTCACACCCCCAGCCTCCTGTTCTCTCCCAGCATGTTTCCCCCATTAAAACTCTGGATGGTGGAAATTCGCAATCCTCAGAAATGAGGCTTGGAAATGCAGTGACTGAGGATGAAGTAGAATGATGATAATAACGAAGCAATAATATCAAGGATGCCAATTTTTTTTTTTTTTTTTTGAGACAGAGTCTCGCTCTGTCACCCAGGCTGGAGTGCAGTGGCGCAATCTCGGCTCGCTGCAAGCTCCGCCTCCTGGGTTCACACCATTCTCCTTGCCTCAGCCTCCCGAGTAGCTGGGACTATAGGCACCCACCACGCCCTGTTAATTTTTTTTTGGTATTTTTAGTAGAGACGGGGTTTCACCGCGTTACCCAGGATGGTCTCGATCTCCTGACCTCGTGATCCACCAGCCTCAGCCTCCCAAAGTGCTGGGATTACAGGCATGAGCAACTGTGCCCGGCAAGGATGCCAATTTTTTTTTAATCATCTGCTATGTGGCCAGCCCCAAGTCTCAGTTTTCACTGGTACCTTCCTTTATTCTCATGCCAATCTATAATGTATGCATTACTATCCCCCAGATCATGAGGAAAAGGAGAGTCGATGGCTCAGTAAGACTCGCCCAAGGCCACATAGTCACTAATTGGCAATCATAATCCAATATTGACAATGAGTATCCAGGGTGTTCAGCACTGACCACGCACAGTTTCACAGTCCTCATCCTAACCTAGAGAACACAGTCCAAGCTTCATCTTACAACCTTCCCTCCCAAATCCTTTCCGGCCAGCACAGCAGATAGCTCCCACAAGCCTCAGCCACCAGGCAGGGCAAATGCTGATCAGGTGTAACCTGGATTTTAGAACCACTGAAAGGATGATGGAGAGAGATTCTTGTCACCCCAGAGTCACAGTCCATAGACAGTTGGCGGTTTGAAAGGCAGCCATTTCCAGGTTGAAACACTGAGGCTCAGGGAAGAGAGGACTGAGGTGGCTCCCAGTCCAGTGCATTTTCCAACACATAAATTTCTGGAGAGGACTCTGAGGCCCTCTTGGGCAGAGAATCATGTGGATTCAGGATCCACCTCTGCCTTGTCCCAGCTGTGTGACTTTGGACAAGGCACTTTCCCTCTCTGGGCCTCAGTCTCCCTGCAATGGAAGTAATAGTCCTGACTTGATCAAAGAACACACGAAGAGTTTACAGATACAAGCATAAACTGAAAAAGGAATGATTATCACCTGAACTTCACAGTACAAACCTGGTTATTTTATTTTATTTTATTTTATTTTTAGAGACAGGTTCTCACCTTGTCACCCTGGCTGGAGAGCAGTGGCGCAATCACAGCTTACTCTAGTCTCAACCTCCCAGACCCAAGCAATCCCCCACCTCAACCTTCCCAGTAGCTGAGACTATAGGCATGAGCCACCATGCCTGGCTACTTTTTTTTTTTTTAAGTAGAGATGGGGTCTGGCTATGTTGCCTAGGCTGGTCTTGAACTTCTGGCCTCAAGCAATTCTTCCCACCTCAGCCTCCCAAAGTGCTGGGATTACAGGCGGGAGCCACCACATCCAGCCCATTTTTAACTTACTCTTAAATATGCCCATAAAAGGTATTTCGAGTCCAGAAAATAATAATAGTCATTGGGTCCATTTATTGAGCAGTTTGCCTGTGCTGAGCACTGCATTAAGCACACTTCATCTGTCAACTTGGGGGTGGCAAACTACAGCCCAGTGGCCAAATCTGGCCCACCATCTGACTTTTGGATCTTGGAGGGTTAAAAAAAACTCTATAACCCCATGAGCTAAGAATGTTTTGGTGGGGTTTTTTCCCTAACTTTTTTTTTTTTTTTTTTTTTTTTTTAGAGATAGGGTCTCACTCTGTCATCCAGGCTGGAAGGCAGTGGCATGATCATAGCTCATGCAACCTCTGTCTCCTGGGCTCAAGCAATCCTCCCACCTCAGTCTTCCAAGTAGCTGGGACTACAGGCACATGCTACCATGCTTGGCTAATTTTTTATAGAGGTTGGTAGGGGGGTCTCACTATGTTGCCCAGGTTGGTCTCAAACTCCTGTCCTCAGGCAATCCTCCTACCTCAGCCTCCCGAAGTGCTAGGATTATAAGCGTGAGCCGCCACCCTGGCCTTTTTTCATTTTTTAATGGTTGAAAAAAAGTCAAAAGAAGATACTTCATAACAAATGAAAATTATATGAAATCCAAATTTCAGTGTCCATAAATAAAGTTTTATCAGAACACAGCCACACCCATCCATTGGCACACTGTTTGTGACTGCTTTTGCATGACAGGGAAAGGGATAGGTAATTAAGTAGAGACTTTATGGCATGCAGAATCCAAAATATTTACTCTCTGACCCTTAACAGAAAAAGTTTGCCAACTCCTGCGTTAACTCATTCAATAGTCAAAGTTACCCCCATTTTAAAGACTGGAAAAACTGAGGCTCGGAGAAAGGAGGTAATTTGCCCAAGGTCCCACAGCTGGTGGGAAGTGTTGCTGGGGCTTGAACTCCTGGGGAGGAAATCCTATACCTTGGGTTCCACCGCCGTATATCAATTATTGGAATCTTCCAGAGAGGTTGTTGGACCCGACACATGTCAGGCCACTCACCTGCTGGAAAAATCAATCCCAGTACTATTTGCTGAGGCTTCTCGGTTATAAAATAAGGAGGGACGAAAGGGGCTGTTATGTGTGTCCTCCTGCCCGGCCCTCCCTAGTCCTCCCTGTCTTGGGGAGAAATCGCTGCTGTGGGTTTAAGTCCTGGCGACAGGGCATTCTCGGGCAGAGCACACACAGCTGCCAACAGACTCAGCCCTCAGCCCAGCAGGGGCTGGGCCAACTCAGCCCTTTTTCACCCCACTGCCTCGCTGTGTCTCAGCAGAGAAATTGCCCAAGACTAATTGCAAGTAATATTTAATTTTGTCAGGGATAATTACATGAAATCAATCCGGCTTCTACCTGGAAGCACTTCGTTACCATTTGCCTTTCGAGGGAGTTGGGGTGGAAATAGAGCAGTTAGAGTGTGGGGAGGAGGGAGACGGTCATGAAACTTGGACTTAACAGGCAACAAGTGTGACGAAGTACAGTCGTCAAGTCATGATAGAGTCTAGCATTTAAGTAGTGCCGACTGTATGCCTCTGAGCAGTGCTCCACAGCTTGACATCACTTAACCAACCCCAAGACAACCCTGCAGGTGCAGACGTCTGTGGGGCACCAGGAGAGTGGTGTGCTGGTGAGAGCCTGGGTGAAGCCCTGCTAGGCTACTTCCTAGCTCCATGATCTCTCACGCAGCTGCGCCCCTTTGGGCCTCAGTTTCCTCACCTGTCAAATGGGAATAAGAATAGTAAACTGTTCCCAGTGGTTTCCAGCCGCCAATAAGCTAGCAAGACAACACACTCATCAGGGTTTGGTACTTAGCAATTGCTCCATGGATGCTGCTGTCACTATCACCATTGCCATCATCATCATCATCATCATCATCATCATCATAATCAAGCAGTGTGGCTGGCAGCTGGGGGCTAGCAGCCTAGTGCCTGCACTAGGCCCAGTTTGAGGCTGGGGTGGGGGAGAATCAGGAGAAGAATTTGGGGAAGGCCTAGCTTTCTCGGCCTCCCCAAGGAGGCCCCATACACAGAACCTCTGAGCCAAGAAGCACAAACAAGGCCCCGAACAGGCCGGGAAGCCCAGGCCGCCCCTCCCCAGACTCCCATCCCCTACCCAGCCCCCGAGGAGCCCCATTTGCAGGTCAGAGGCTCCCCCGAGACACCAAGAAGAAAAGGGGGCCCCTCTTCCACAGCTGCTACCGTTGCCAGCCTCCCCGAGGCCCAAGGGGGGTCTGGAGCCACTCTGAAAGGCCACCGGGCGCCAGGGGGTTCATTCAGCTGTTTTCGGGTGGCTCCAATGAGTTCATTTTACCACGGCAGAATATTAAACAGCTCCTGGGGAAGCAGATGCTGGGCTTTGGTTTCAGAGCGAGGGAGAGAGGGAGGCCGCAGGCCAGCGAGGGGAGAATTCAAGCTCTGCTTCAGGCGACTCCAAACCTTTCAAGGCTCAGCTGGGCCCGAGTCATGGGAGTGCACCGTGCAGAGCCCAGGCTGGGGCCTCACGTGCTCGCCGCACTTAGTCCTCACCGCCTCCCTATGCCCATTTCATAGCCGAGGAAACTGAGACATAACGTAGCATTGTGACTCACTCAAGGCCATACAACAAGAGAGGATGCTAGGACCCAAACCCTAGGCCCCAAACATCATCTTGGTCCATTTATTTATTTATTCATGAATGATAGAGTCTCGCTCTGTTGCCTAGGCTGGAGTGCAGTGGCACAATCTCAGCTCACTGCAACCTCTGCCTCCCGGGTTCAAGCAGTTCTCCTGCCTCAGCCTCCCGAATACTGAGGCACAGACACACGCCACCATGCCCAGCTAATTTTTGTATTTTTAGTAGAGACTGAGTTTCGCCATGTTGGACAGGCTGGTCTCAAACTCCTGAACTCAGGTGATCCACCTGCCTTGCCTCCCAAAGTGTTGGGATTACAGGCGTGAGCCACCGCGCCCGGCCTTGATCCTTTGATGTACATGAGTATCTCTCGCCACCCCCACGGTGCCCTCTCAGTGGTAGGGGCTCAGGGGCAGACACAGAGCAAACGGCCCCCTGGACAAACCTGCAGCTGCCAAATGCTTCACCTCCCGTGTGCCCAGATTCCCCCCAACTCTGCAGAGAAATGATCCCACTTTCCATTATTCTAATAATAATCCCTGAGGTCTAAAGAGCTCTCTGGGAGAATGCAAAACACGTCTGGGCAGATCGCTTCCTCTATACTTCACCGTCGTGAACGGGGATATTCCAGACAGGGCAACAGAGGCCTGGCCAGCAAGATAGATTCTAAGGCCACTGCCCAGTTAAAGGCAGAGCCATGAAGCAAATCTCCCTCCCCTCGCCCTGAAGACTTGAGGTCCACGCTCATCCCACCAACTGAAGAAGCTGGCATTTCCTCCCCACCAGAGGGAGCACAGAGAGGTGAAGCAACTTGCCCAGGGCCACACAGCCCCAGGTCGGAGGTCCACCCCACGGGTCAGACTAGGGCAGGGCCTCCTGCTTTCAGCTCCCACTGGGAACCCCCACCCTCCTGGCTATCCACGGAGGTGTTGATTATCACATGGGGTTTCTTCCCTCAGAGACTTCCTTGGTACCTACATTTTTTTCCTCCAATATTAGGAATAAATGATAATAATACCAATTAATGTGCACTGAAGTTTCCCAGGTGCAGGTCATTGCTGGTGAGTCTTTCTGCGCATGAACGGGTTTCGTGCCCGCAGAACCCCAGGGGGTTGACACTGCCATCATCCTCATTTCACAGATGAGGAAACTGAGGCTTAGACATAGCAACAGTCGTGACAATTCCATAAGGGCCCTGTGTGCCAGGGGCAGCTCTGCCAGGTACCAACCTAAGCCACTGGCAGACTAGACCCCCTGTCACCCTGACAATACCCAGGCCAGCTATACCCCCTCCTGAGCCCCCCATATCACAGACCATCCAGCTTGCATAGCCCCTGGGCAACTCCACAGGTGATGGGGAGCCGGTAGGTGGGAGGCCCCAGTTCTGTGCTCTTGTTCCTGCTTCCAGGGGCTGGTGATGTCTCATGCTGAGGAGCAGTCAGACCCAGTGGGCAGAAAGAATGGGGGATACATCAGGCTTTGCCATATGTCGGCTGTGCTCTCAGGCAGGTCCCTTCTTTCTCTGTACCTCGCCCTCCTCATCTATAAAATGGGTCCACAGCGGTAGCTGCTTCACAGCGGCTGGAGGGTGCTGTGGGTGACATGGCACATGCTCCACCCTCCAACCTGGCCCCCCGCCCTTTCGATGGCTACAGAATGATGGAAGGAATCCAAACACTGTATGTGAGTCAGGCTTCTTCTCTGACCAGACTCCAGAGGGTGGGAGTGGCCAGGGGTTCTTGGTACGCAGGAATCGAGGGTTCAGAACTGGGAAAGATGGGCCTCGCGTCCACTCCAACCTATTAGCAGCTGGGGAACTCAGCACATCACCACCCCTTCGAGGCCTCGTTTTCCCCATCTGTAAATGGGGCTATCTCCTGGGATGCTGACGAGGTTATAGCAGTGCATACCGCCGTGGCCCAGCCTGCCCTGTGTGACCACATGCATATGAGTGGCATCTTGCTCCTGGTCCGGAACACACCCACAGGTGCTCAGGACGTGCTGATGGAACCAAAACTCCCGCTTCACACTCTCCTAGGTGATGCTGCTATGACTGCCCTGTCCCACCCCAGATGTGATTTGTAGCTTAAAATCCTGAAAAAGGAGTCCAGGTGCCAGAGTCCCCTCCGACTCTAATGAAGAGAGGGGAAAGAAGTGCCCAGTATCCTTGAACCCAGAGGCAGGGCCTGGGCCCCAAAGGGTTAAGCTCAGCTCCGCTCTCTCCCCGAATGGAATGGCACCGACAGCAGCTGAGGCTGCCCCTCTGCTCCCTGCCGCCTGAAGCCTGACCCCTGACATTTCTACTCCCAGCCGCACTTGCATTTAAAAAAGGGAAGGAAAAAAAATCTAACCATCCACACAGACAAACAAGTTGGGCAGAAGGGAGGGGGAGCCACAAGGAAGCAGTGGGGGCTGCAAATTTCCTTTAGCGGAGTTCAGTTCACCCAAAAAAAATTTTTTAAGACCTAGAAGGGAGGCAGAAGGGGAGATGGGAGAATTCAAAGGTGGCAGACAAGTCCTCCGGAATCACCGGGCACCACTAAATTTTCTGATTAATTAACCCTGAAAGGGGCCTCTCTCCCGGCTCTTCCTGGGGGAGGCTCTGGCTAGAAGAGTTTGCAGTGGGGCAGGCTCTCTTGGGGGATTCACTTAGAGGTCCCAGGGGGAGCTCAATCCCGTCTCGAGGACGCGCTGTAGTTAAAGCCAAGGCTGATAAGGAATTTATCAAATGAGATTTACACAGGGAAACCCTAATTAAGAGGTTAGTCTCCAGTTTAATTGCCTTCAAACCTAGGCAGGCAGGCCCAGGCAGATGGATTTTCAGTCTGACCTCATTAAAAAATAATAATAATCAAATAGAATACAGAGCACAATCCAAAGTCTACCACAGGGCTAAGAAGGGCGGAGGCTGGGGGGTGGCTCTGAAAGGGCGGGCCTGGCCTGACCTAGAATCTGCCGGTCACCTCGGCTTGGCTGTTTTTCCCCCACCCTCTCCCTCTTTCTCCTCTCTTGAAATTCAGTGGTTCTGGCCTCCCCACTTTTTGAGGTTTTTTTTTTCCTCCCCTAGCCCCATCTCGCCTTGAAGCTGGCATGCTGGAATATAAATTGGAAGCATACATGCCCCCCCTCACCCGCCCCAACTCGGGCGGACGCCACATACCAGACAAAACGACTGCAGGCCTGGTCATCTGGGGTTAAGAATGGTTTTTGTTTTTGGCAAAGAATGTGGAAGAGCCCAAAGGAACTGGCCAGGACGATTGTTCCAGAAATGAAAGGGAGAGAAGAAAAAGGAGAGGAGGGGGAGCCGGTGGGGGAGAGGGAGACAGAGCAAACACCTGGGGAACCAAAGCCTGAGAGATTTTTCTGTCCCCCAGGAACTGGCATGCAAAAAGTTTTTGCCTTGGTCTTTAAAACGCAAGGGAGGGCATGGGTATTCCCCACTCTCTACAAATAGGATTTTGCTCCCTACAATCCCTTTACCGCCCCACCTTTATTTGATTAAACCCTAAATGAACACTTGAGGCAGACAATCACAAGAGATTTCTTCCGAAAGCAAAATCGAGATGAAACCTCCGGTCAAATGGGTTTGCTCACCATAGCGTGGATTTGGAGAGAGACGCAAGCAAGAAGAAAAGTTCTGGCTGGGTGCAGCATCTCACGCCTGTAATCCTAGCACTTTGGGAGGCTGAGGAGGGAGGATCGTTTGAGACCAGGAGTTCAAGAGCAGCCTGGGCAACACAGCAAGACCCCATCTCTATGAAAACATAAAACATTAGCCAGGTGTGGTGGCACACACCTGTAGTCCTAGATACCCTGGAGGCTGAGGTGGGAGGATCGCGTGAGCCCAGGAGTTGGAGGCTGCAGTGAGCTATGATGGTGCCCCTGCACTCCAGCCTAAGTGACAGAGCTAGACCTTGTTTCTAAAAAAAAAAAAAAAGAGAGAGAGAAAAAAAAAATAAAAGTCCAGCCCAGCACTGTGGCTCATGCCTGTAATCCCAGCACTTTGGAAGGCCAAGGTGGGCAGATCACTTGAGGTCAGGAGTTCAAGACCAGCCTGGCCAACATGGTGAAACCGTGTCTCTACTAAAAATACACACACACACACACACAAAATATTAGCTGGGCGTGGTGGCGCATGCCTGTAATGCTAGCTACCAGGGAGGCTGAGGCAAGAGAACCGCTTGAACCCAGAAGGCGGAGGATGCAATGAGCCGAGATCACGCCACTGCACTCCAGCCTGGGCCACACAAGTGAGACTGCATCTCCAAAAAAAAAAAAGAAAGAAAGAAAAGAAAAATTCTACAGGGTACATCATTTTTATCCTGAGTCAGTGACCCAGGCTGATGACAAAGCAGTGGGAACAGCTACCAGGGATTCCTACCCACCAGGCACAGCTTTTAAGGGCTACACATGGTTTGTCTGGTAACTGCCCGTGGAGAACCCGTCACCATATATATGCAGAGTAGAAGGTGTGATTAATGCGCTCTTAAATATTATTAGCATTGTTGCCGTGATTTTGAGGAGTTTCCCAACACTAACGAGGGACTGATTTTTCCAGCCCTACACAAACAGGGAATCTAAGAAGTGGGTATATGGGGCCAGGGTATTTAAAACTCTAAGGAGTTCCAGAAAATGCACAATTTTTGTCTCAGATTCATTTTCTCACTGGTTGGCGTTGTAACACATCTAGCCGTTGAGGGAATTTCTGCCAGCTGCCGCGGCCACTTTCTCTTTCCTGAACGGCACCCAAGACCACCCTCCTAAATTCCGCAGGCAAATCTCTCACTGCCCACTGGAGAATGAGCCATCCCACAGGGGGACGCCCACTCCTCTCCACTTCATGCAACGTGTCATCCCCCTCCCCTCACAGGTTCCCGATGCTTCCTGTGCAGGAGGAGAAGCATCTGTATTTATGCCAAGGCTTAGTGACGTCTGCAATGTGCCAGACGCTGGGCGGAGTGCTTTTCATTATCTGTCTTAATCCTCGCCACGACCCCGTTTAACCCAAAAGACAGATGAGGAAACTGAGGCCCGGGGCAGTAAGGAGATCAGTCCAGTGGAAGGCCACAGGCCTGGCTTCCTGCACTGTCCTCCTCCCCGAGGTCTGGGACGTAAAATCTGACTCCAATGCCTAGCCATCAGGTGACTAATGGAGGAAATGTGAGCATCCTCGTGTAGCCCACCACAGTCAGGTGGGCCCTGATGTCTGTAACAAGCCTCACTCGGGTAGGACAGTGGCTGAAGCCCAGACCACAGCGGCCCAGGCAAATGCAACCTACGAAAGCAGAAGCTGGCTAAGACCAGTGTTCTCAAGGATAAGGGAGGAAGAAATGAGGTGGGCGGGGCTGGGACAAGGAATTCCCATACAGGGGCATCCCTTCCTTCCCTACCCACCCCTGCAGAGATGGGGGTGAAGATCCCTGACCCCGAACCAGCCCCATCTGGGTCCATCCCGGTCCCTCTGCAGGAAATCCTCATCACCCCTCCTACACCTCAGGGGCCAAAGGCAGCAGGGTGCCAGGGTGACCATGATGAATGCTGTCTCTGGATGGGGTCCTCACCCCCTAGGCCTGGGACCAGGATAGGATGCACTCCTGCAACAAAGCACCTGTGCTCCCTGGCACTCAGCAGGTACCAGCTATACCGGCAGGCGCTTCCTCCTCACTGGGGTCCTAGGAGATGCCAGAATTGAGCCACTGGATAGAATAGCTGACTGAGGATCAGTGAGGCAGCACGGCCTTGCCCCAATCACATCCCGGCCCCCAGGCTAGGGGTTCGAACCACTGTCCCGTCACCTGTGGGGAACAAATGGGAAGACCTAAACAGCCAACGGCATGACCTGGTGACGGCCATGAGGAGGCAAGACACAGAGTTGGTTTTTATCTCCAGCATCTGTTGGTAGGAAATACAGCTCCTCATCTCCGTGCCCATAAGTGGTTCTAAGCACGGGCTCAGAAAGGCCTGGATATGAATCCACACTGCACCCCTGGGCAGGTCACTTGGCCTCTCTGGGACTCAGTTTTCTCATCTGTAAAATGGGGCTTGGCATGATGGGTGTTTAATAACTGTAGCTTGTTAGGATTCCTTTGCCACTCAGGGAGTTGGGCAGGAATGCAAAAGAAAAGCTGCCAGAAAGTGAACGCCAGGCCTGGGTCACCCAGGGGCCCAGGCCTCCACACCTCCTCGGGCTGGCCCCAGCTGGGCCTGTGCCTTCCTGTCGGGGTGACCTCTGCAAGGCCTGGAGAACAATGCCTGGGGGAAGGAGGAAACAGAGTCTCCCTGGACCAGGACATAAATTGTGGCCTGCCCAGCTCAGGGAGCCACTGACATGCCCCATGCCCTCCCACCTGTGGTAGGCTGAACCCTTACCTTAGGACCCCAGCACCCTGTCCTAGGGGACAGCCTAACTTGCCCTAACCTATGGCCCAGGGGCTCCAAACCAGAAGGAAAGTTTCTGCCATCTCAGAAAGGGCCAGAACATAGGGAAGGGAAACAGACATTTTCTCAGACACCTTGGGCTCAGATGAAGCACCGTTCAATGCACATCTACTATGTGCCGTCAGATCCCAGCCTGTCTGTGCTCCACACCCTCCCCTGGCTCCCGGCCACACTTTAGAATGGACTCCAAACTGCTAATCTGACCGTGCCTACAAGCCCCGAGCAGTCGGGCCCCTGCCTGCCTGAACTGTCTCTCCCCTCTCACCAGCAATGCCTTTTTCCTAAAATAGGCCCACTCCCCGTCCTGCCTTAGGACCTGCCCTCACTGTCCCCTTGCCCAACCCACTTCCTGCAGAGCTTGATACAGCTGGCTCCAGGGTGCCGGAGCCCATTGTTAAATATTCAGGAATTTTGCAATCCGGCTGACAGCTGACATCACTTTGGTGGCTTGAAATTAGGAGTATTTACACCACGGGAATCAGCAGATGCTGCATATCAGAGCATTTATTTTTCTCTCCCCCTACCCCAGAGAGCCAGGTGTTTAAAAGTAGAATCACCAGAACACTAGTGGCTGGCTCCTCGTCATCACTCAGGGATTCTACTTCACTGTCACTGCCTCTCAGAGACCTTCCTGGTGGCCCAGACTAGGAACTCTCACGCACATCCCCTCTTCTAATTCTCTGCGTTCTTCTTTGTTGTCTGTCATTCTGGCCCCTCCCCTAGAATGTAAACTCCATGAAGGCAGGGCATTTGTCTTTCTCCCCACTGCATCCCACCACTTAGAACAGCATCGCCATGTGGTTAAGTGCTTGGGAGTGTTTGTTGAATGAATAAATATGCCAGCCCTCTTGAATATAGACTATACTGCCTAGAAAGTTTTGAGTATTTTTTTTTTCTTTGAGACAAGGTCTCACTTTGTTGCCCAGGCAGGAGTGCAGTGGCGTGATCACAACTGACTGCAGCCTCAACCTCCCAAGCTCAGATGATCCTCCCACCTCAGCCTCCCAGGTAGCTGGGACTACAGGTGTGCGCCACCATGGCCAGCTAATTTTTTGTGTTTTTTGTAGAGACAGGGTCTCACTTGTTGCCCAGGCTGGTCTCGAACTCCTGGGCTCAAGTGATCCAGCAGCCTTGGCCTCCCAAAGTGCTGGGATTACAAGCATGAGCTACCATGCCCAGCCCTGAGTATTATTTTGAACCTAACCTCAATCACTCACTGTAGTTCAGAGTTTCTCAATCTTAGCGCTATTCACATTTGGGCCTGGAAAGGAGAGTAGTGAGGCCTGTCCTGTGCATTGTAGGACATTGAACAGCATCCCTGGCCTCCACCCATCAGGGACCCATAGCATTCTTCCTCCCTGCAGCCACGACAACCAAAGATCTCTCTAGACATTGCCAAGTATGCCCTGGGGGGGGCAATATTGCCCCAGGGTGAAGAGCATTCCCACTACCCTGTGGGAAGGGTGTTACTCTTCCCAGTTTGTAGCCAGGGACACTGAGGCCCAGAGAGGAACTGGACATGTCCAAGAGTCCCACATGGGAACAGAATAGCTACCTTCTGGCTGACACCAAAGCCCATGCTCTCACCAACCTGTCCAGATGCTCAGGCCCCACAGCAACCCTCTGAGAGGGTCCCAAGAATTATACCTATGTAACAGGTGAGGAAACTGAGGCTCAGAGAGGTGAATCACCTGCCCAGAGTCACACAGCACACGAGTGGCAGAGCCAGGATTCGATCCCAGGCTTGTCTGCCTCCTAAACCCTCCCACTATCTCCTGGGGCAGGGACGCTCATTCACTCTCAAGCTCTCTCTCTCTCTCTCTCTTGCTCTTGCTATCTCTGTTCAGCCCGAGCCTGCCAGGTTCCTGAGGCCCCACCTGAGTTGCCAGACGCAGGGGTTTAATTTTTCTATTGCTGGCTCCCAGACTGTTTATGGTTGACTCGGGCTCCTGGCAAAATGATCAGGGGCCGCGGACCAGCTCATCTCATGGATTCCCTCCACAAGAAGGCTGACCATTACTCACACATATCAGGGAACTATTCCTTGGGGGGCACAGGGAGAGCTGTCGGGTGGTAAAAAATACCTTGGCGCTACCATCCCACTGCTAGGAACACGTGCCCGATGGTGGCAGGCTGTGACCAGACCACAGGGTCTGAATGCCCCGAACAAGGAGAAGGTCTGCACATATAATCCTCCCCTCCCTTCCCCGGCCCCACACCGGCCCAATAGTGAGGCCTGAAATTGCTGACGCAGGGGCAGTGGGTCCCAGCCCGGCCCCGCCCTATGACATTGTGACATTTACTGAGCAAGTCCCCAGTGCCAGGCCCGGGGCTAAGTGCCTGAAGTACAGCCTGGCATCGTTTCCCCTCCAGCCGGCACCACTTGCAAGCCAATCTGTGCCTTTCATTTCTTCATCCCTAAGATGGGACAAACAATAGCGACAATGCCACCATGCACTTCCTAGGTTCACTGATGCCCTATATACGAACCACCTGGTATATAGTCAGTGCTCAGTAAAATCTGGTGCTGGCATATAGTACTTTCTCTGTGTTAAGCAGGCTTCTGAGTATCAACTCATATATATATTAACTTGCTGAATCCTTCTAGCCCCATGAGGCGGGAACTATTATTATTCTCTTTCACCGATGAGGAAATGAAGGAACAGAAAGATTAAGTAACCTGCCCAAGGACACACAGCCAGGAACTGGAATTGCTGGGGTTTGAACCCAGGTAGTCTGGCTTCAAAGCCTGTGCCCTTAGTCACATAATTATAATGCTAGCTAAAACATACTATTTGGTCCTCACAATATTTCTGTGAGGTACACACTTTTTTTTTCCTCTTGTCAATTTTATCTATGAGGAAAGAAAGCTGGGAGCAGTGAAGTGGCTTGTCTGAGATCACCCAGCTCGGAAGAATCAAAACGCCAGGGCTGAAACCCACAGCAACCATCTGACAGGCTATGGTGCTACTGCGGCTTCCCCAAGGTCAAGAATTCTCTCCTGCACGATGTCCACCTCCACAAGAGGAAGGGAACAAGGGTTGCCATCACCAACCACCAACCAGGGGATGTACGTCGTGCTGCTTTTTTTTTTTTTTTTCTTGAGACAGAGTCTTGCTCTGTTGCCCAGGCTGGAGTGCAGTGGTGTGATCTTGGCTCACTGCAACCTCCACCTCCAGAGTTCAAGCAATTCTCCTGCCTCAGCCTCCTGAGTAGCTGGGATTACAGACACCCACCACACCCCACTCATTTTTGTATTTTTAGTAGAGATGGGATTTTACCATGTTGGCCATGCTGGTCTCGAACTCCTGACCTCAGGTGATCCACTTGCCTCAGCTTCCCAAAGTGCTGGGATTACAGGCCTGAGACACCGTGCCCGGCCCTGTCATGGTGCTTTTTAAAAAGGCTTGGAAACCTCTAGTTTAAGACCCAGTTCTGGTCTGCACGAGGCTTAGCCAGATAAAATCAAATCCTAGCTCTCAGGTGAGGGCATTAAGGGGCAGGAAGGGAAGCCCAAGGCCAAAGGTCAACTATAGTCCTGTCCTGGCTCTGCGCCTGTGCTGTGTGACCTTGGCCAAGTTGCCTGCCCTCTCTGGGCTTTCGTTATCTCAACTGGAAAATGTTGTAGGGGAGGGGCACAAAAAACAGGAGAAGGTCTTTCCCATTCTAGAATTCTACCTAAACTTTCACATCAGTGCCATATTGATAGTGAAAAACCACAAGCTTGTGTTTTAGATGTTCACCTACTACAATGTCACAGGGTCTATCACTGTCAAGTCTGGACGTCTAAGCTGCCAAGGCGAGTCCGAATATCTCCACGTACACACACCCAGGCAGGGAAAACTGGGTCAGCAGACACTGGCCCATGGCGGCCAGTGCAACAAGCTCTCAAAGACTTTCCACGATGATGCCGCCGCAGGCTCCTGCTGGTCTGCCTGAAGTCAGCCTTCTAAGAAGTTCTGAATTTCCATTCCTCCCAAAATGGCCACAGAGGCCTTGGCAGAGAGCCGGCCCCTGAGAACTGCCCCTCAGAGGGTACTCGGGAGCTGGAAGCAGCCCCTTTCCCAGAAGTCGTATAAAGGGGAGCAGGACTGGGGACCCTGGATCTCCCCTGCAGTCATACAGAAGCCAGGAGCAGGGGATGCACCTAGGGGATCACAGGCACTCCCAGGGAGCAGGGAACTGAGCCTCCTCCCAGGCCAGGCCAGGCCTGAGTGCACACGGCTCAGATTTCAGGACCAGTTTCTCTGTTTGTTGAAACCGCCAAACACCCCCATATCCACCCAAAATGTGGGCAAACCCAGCCTTTCTCTCTATTTCAGCCTCAATGTGGATGGACTGTCAAAAAACACAACCGCCATTACCATCCGCTACACAATCTAATGTCAAAAATCTCAGACGCAGAGGAGGGAAGGTAGGGGCCTGCTGAGAACTAGGACACCAGTTTTTGCAGGCTTAAAAACAGATCAATTTTACTCTAAAGTTTAAAATGAAACATGCTCTTGTTTGGGGAAAGAATTTCATTAGGGGGAAAATATAATATAAAAATACCCATTTAGAAAGAATGTGCTATTAATTCTTAGCACTCTATGCAGAGGGGAAAATTGCATTTTTATCTAAATGGTTTTTCTGCATAAGCCATTTACAATATTCTTTGCCTGTCTGTAATAGGCCCTGCTACCATTAGTACTGGGACAACCAGGCTGAGGGCTGAAATCGCCCTCAAACACATTTAATACATAACCTCTGAAAATCTATTCCAACAGGGACCTTAGCGAACAGGCCGGCATTCCTTTTTTTAAGGAAGAAATAAATACTGCTGGGTTGTGGGTCGGGGGGAGTTGGGGAGTGGTGTGCTGATGCCGAAGGAAGGGACAAGATGGTTTAAGTTAAAAACAAATGGTATGAGTCCCTTTAGCCAGATGTAAAATTGCAATCGTTTTTTGGTTGGACGATTGCAACTATTTGATCGCCGGCATCTATATAGATGTGCGTGCTGGCATCCGCCACACACACACACACACACACACACACACACACACACACACGGGTTTCCATCAAACAAGCAAACAAGGAAAGGATGAAATTTGGGATATGAAAACAAACTATTTTTAAACGCTAAAGCAAACACACCAAGATAGTAATACTGCTATTTTCCCATTAAACCAAGTTTGTCTCAATTTGAAAAGCGAGAATAATCTAAACAATACTTCCAAACAAACTGCTCGGAGTCTGGGTGTTGTGGCCTCCGCCGTTCCTAACAACGGAAAAACCCCCTCTGTCGAGAAGCAAAAACACAGGCAGGGATGGGGCCGGCCGCTTCTCCACGTCCGGCCACGTCGCACCAAAGGAGTCCTCCCCCACATCTTACGCCTGGACGCCAAGACGTCTCAAACTTAAAAATGCAATACTTTTTCTTTTTTCCAAAAAGTTTTTTTAAAGTCTTCCAGCTCTTTCTCTCTTCGATTCCCAAAATAACTACTTACTTAATACCAAATGTTGGGGAACTAAATTAGTTCATTAAGGAAATGCAGGGGCCGTGATGGGCACCGAGCGTGGGGGCTCTTGCAACTTCGCTGCCATAAGCCAGAACGCCTCTGGCTGCTCTCTTCCGGCTTTACCTAGCCCATAAATTCTTCCTTTAAAACCAGGAGTCTAGAAATGTCATAATTATAGCTGATACAGGTAACAGGTGTGCCCCCCCCCCATGGCCCCTCCCAGCCCCACCACGGCCATCCAGACAAGCCTCTGGAAGATTTAGTGGTCTTGCCTGGGGTGTCGTAATTACCGGAAACGACTCCAGTTTTAAGGGTTA
Source organism: Homo sapiens (assembly GCF_000001405.40). NCBI lineage: Eukaryota > Metazoa > Chordata > Mammalia > Primates > Hominidae > Homo > Homo sapiens. The sequence goes on from NC_000022.11 coordinate 27,785,865, forward strand.
GATAAAGACCCTCTCCAAATTTAAGGCCAGACACCAATGTCCATTAGACTTTAACGGGCCCACATAAAAAAAGAAATTGTATCCTCATCTCTCCAAATGCCTGTTTCCTCAGCGCCTTCAGTTCATTTCAGGCTGGCTCAGCGCCGCAAAGACTCCGTCTGGCCCTCACTCTGCAAAGGCAAGGCCTTGGTGGGAACCGACGAGATGAGCGAGGAATTAAGCAAATGGTGGGGGGTGCCGAAAACACCATTTCTCAAAAACTGTTATGGCCGAACCCTGGCATTTTGATGGTTGTTTTTTGAGTGGAATTTTAGCCCATCTTCTGAAGGCAGAGAGACAGGAAGGCTGTGGGGAGCCCAGAGAGGAAGAGGGGGGCCCCCCAAAGAAGCCAGGCTGAAGTGCTCGCACCATCAAAATGACACATGCTCCCCTTTACAGACTCAGTGTTAGGAAAGGCCAAAGCTGAGGGCTGTTTTGCTTTGTTATTCCTTTTCTCAGCTTCCGAGACTTATGCATACTTTTTCTTCCTTCTTTGGAAGTCAAACGATGCATTTCTTAAAAGTTAAACACACACACACACACACACACACATCCTCCTACCACCACCACCACCATGTGTCAAGGAAGCAGCATAAAAGGTACTGCAAAGAGGTTGAAGATTCCCAACTGTCCACCCATGTGCAGAGACCTCTGGCCCACACGAGTGCTCAACTCCCAGTCAATTAAGAATTAATGCTGGGAAACTCTCAGGGTCGGAGAACCAAGGCACCAGAAGGAAGCCCGTGTTCTTTGGCCGTCTCCAAGGTTCTGGGAGGCTGGGTTTGCTCAACGACTGGGCTTTTTCTCCCTCCTCCTGGACGAGTGATGGTGAAAGGCGCCACTCGCCTCCTCTTCCTGTCCTGAGGAGGTGGTGGGAACCTAGACTACTGGTGGCCATTATTCTATGCCAGGCAATCCGGGCCCATTAATGCCCGTGCGCACACACACACACACACACACACTTCTAATCCCAGCAAAATGCTTCACAGGCGCTGAGCACAAAATAAATGCTTATTAACTAAACTGACCCAAAATAGTGAAATGTACAAGTAAATTAATCATGCCTTTCCCGGAGGCCTAACAGGATTACAAATTCGGCAAAAATTGACCGCATGGAGATCAATACGCGTCTACTTCAAACTGAACGAGGCCAAAACTTTGCATGAGCTTCTTCTTGGGGGAGAAAATTATTTATTCATTTCTTATTAAGACTTCTCAGGCCTGTGTGGTATGTGTGCACGTGCACGTGCGTGTGTGCACGCAAGCAAAGCCCGGCAAAAGGCATTCAAAGCTTTCTGCCCAGACAATTTAGAAATAGTCATGGCATAAGGATCGTGAAATTGCTCCTGTTCTAAAAAGCCAAATTTTGATCTGCAGCCTCCCTTCCTTCAAATACTAAACAATCGCCAAAAGTTACATTGCAGGGGATGAAAATGGCCAATTTGTTTTTAGTCAATTAGGTCTCACTGCAAAAGCATTAAGGGCTTCTGAAGGCTGGACCTGGGGTCTCCTGGAAGGGAGGAAAGAAGAGACTCTTAATTTCTCCAGCTCCTTTCCACACTTGGCTTATCTCAAGTCAGGGAAATCTTCCTCTTGCTGGATTTGTCACTTACTTTGGTCCCCTTTTTGCCTACCATTCAGAGAAAGGAAAAATATATATATTGTGTGGGAGGGCATCATGGGGCACACTTGCATTTCAAGGCATTGGGACCTGCCTACAAGGTCTGTGAAAGCCAAGATCATCCCTGAGGGTCTTGCTAGGAGGGAAGCCTTAGTGGCCACCTTACAGGATCACCAGGGGAAAGGTCACTCCCTTTTCCCACCCCCATCATCCCTCTTTTATGGAAGGATCTGGGCCTCAAGGGACCAGCTCCTCTGCAGGAATTGGCCACAGGCACGTCTGGGTCCTGACCTACCCAGGGCCCATCTGGGTCTTCATCCCCTTGAGCCTGCCTCGGCCACTAACTCAACAGAAACGGGTCCTGACTGCTAACAGACCCACAATGCGGTCATCCAGTCTCAGGCTGGGTCCTCCGGATCTACCTCCCCCATGCATGTGCAGCGATGTGGGAGCCCCGAGCCCCACAGGGAAAGCTTGGGCAAGAACCTTCTGTCCTTTGTGACGGCCGACACCAGCCGCCAAGTAATTCATACACCCTCAGCCTAGCCCAGGTGATGTTGTTATAAATGAATTCCACATTTATAAATTATTTTCCACTCGCGAACCCCAAGAGTCAGTAAACGACACTTCAACTCATGTTGACGCATTTCTCCCTGCCCCATCCGTCCCTCTGCCATGCCCCTATCCTGAGAAAATACGCCGCACCCCAATTTCCATCTAGTCTTCCTCACTGGAGGTGCTTCTCTCTCTGCCTTCTGATTTATTTGGAAATGAGGACCTACAGTGTCCACATCAGGATCGGGGCCCTAAAACTTGCAAGGACGCTTTCAAACAGCACACAGGGACCAGGAAGAACCCACTAACTTCTCAGCAAATTCTCAACCAACCCCTGCTTTCTCTGGAAGACTGAGCTTTGGGGATTTCAAAGCAGGCTAGGTTTTCTGCCGACTTCCCCACCCCTTCTCTGATCATAAGATGGTCCCTCAGAAGTATTTTACTCCTGGTGGTCGCTGCCAATCACTCAACAATGCTTGTGTTCCAAGATCCAAGGGCGTCTGAAAACACTGCTTCACAGTAACTGAAAAGGGTCATATCTTTTTTTTTTTTTTTGACATCTCATCCTTCCCTGAATGACTGGATGAGCAAGAAGTTATGTGTGTGTGTGTGCACGCGTGTGTGTGTGCACGCACGTGTGTACGCATGTGCGCATGCGTGGAGGGGTTCACTTATTAACTGTCATCTCACGTTCCAGGAGTTCCCAAATAGGACCAAGAAAACCAGACCAGGCACACTGGGGCCCTCAACTTTGACGCAGAGAGATTTCTCCTAGTCATACCACGCAAAACGAGTGGCATCAGAAAGACCCCCCCAGACGGTGTCACTCCAGGGAAATTTTTGTCCCAAGTGTTGAGATCAAACAAAACCATCATGCCCAAAACTCTTTAAATTCTTCTCAGCACTGAGAAGAAAAAAACTACTTTTAAATCCTCACAATTGAATGCATCAACGGGCCACTTAGTTCTCATGAGTCAGGCTGCTCGAAGAGCGAGCAGGAAAAACAAAGCTGCAAGGGTGCCTCAGCACCAAAGTTAGTCCACGTTTCCTCCAAAGACATGACCATGGCCATATACTTCTGAGTAACTATGCAGATTGTTTTTGAGACATGCAGGATAAAAACAAGACCTGGTTCTCTTGTGGGTATCTTTGAAGTCCCCAACTTTCCAAAGATCTTCTATAGCAATGGGTCCCAAATACGCCTCCGCCAAGGGGTCTCCCTGTTTCCCTAAACTATTTCCCAACACACCTTGCATCTCCCAAACCAAATACCAGCATAGGTAAGTCAAACTGTAGCCCAAGAAACCGAGATAGACAGAAGGAGCAAAATCCTAGGAGCAAACATTTTGGGGGAGTCCAAGATTTTCCACAGAGAGATCAAAGATGGGAATAAGATGGAAGCTTCTGGGCACATAGTTGATCCTATAAACTCCAGGGGAAGTAGGGCAAGGTGAGTTCGCTGGACTCAGAGCTTTCAAGATGAGAACACGAAAACGTGATTTCCCTCAACAATGTGAGTTTATATGGGGATGTTTATTGGGGAATTTTTTCTCCCTTTTTGGACAAGTCCATTCCATGGAAGATGTTCCTTCTGGGACATTCACAGAGAGCCAGCATGTTATTACAAATGCTCTAAGACCTCCAAACTGCTAGATTCAGTTGCCTTATGTTTAAAGGGCATTTGGGTCCCTACGATGATGCGTAAATCGTGAAAAGATACGCATGCAATCACTATAAAGTTCTCTCTGCTCCGGCTTCTCAAGGAAGTGGTGATTATGAAATCCCACCAGCTTTCTCAGCCTAGAGAGAATGACAATTTGGGATGCTGTGGCTAGGACAAGTCCTGACTCAGGAGGTACCTAGGGTGCCAGTCCAATATGGTCTTGTCAGGCCCAAACTGGAAGCTATCGGGAACCCAGTTTCAACCCCTTGGATTTCAAGACTGGGAGAAACCCGTGGCCATTTCTCCCCTCTGTGCCCTTTTGGGCAAACACCGGGTTGGGAGCAGATACTTCACTGGCTGCTCAAACCTCGGAGGCTGCTGATTAAAATGAAGGCCGGCACACAAAGCGGGTCTCAGCATCCTATAATAATTACATCCCGAGAACATGATGCCTTTCAAAAGTCCCTCCCCACACAAGTAAATGAAACTTAACTCTGCTTCTCAATCCTGGTCACAAAATAAGTTTGGAGGTTTTGCCCCCTGAAGCGCACACTTGGCAGGGTATCATCTCACCCACGCTCTGCAAAGCGGCTGATCACCCAGGTGAGGCTGCATGCTGTCCTGTCATCGGAAGATGGCAGGAAATGACCAGGGCCACCTTCGTGCGGGGTGACCCATCGGGCACAATGTGCCAGGATCCCAGAACCATCTCTCCTTTTGAGGCCTGTTCACAGTTTCTCGGGGCCCTGGGTGGCTCTGAGCTGGGGACTGTGGCTGAGCTGTTCTGCATCAGGACACAGAGGGTCCCTGCAGGCAGGACCATGACTAATTTGAAAGCCCAGTGTCGTCTCCGCCACGTCGTTGGTACAAAAAGATTACAATAAAGGCTAGGAATTTCCATAAATGAGAAGCAGCGTCCGCTTCCCACAACTGGTGGGGGTAGGTGGGGGGGGAGTAAAGAAGGGGAGGGGGCACTGATTCAAAGATTCCTCTCCTGGCAGGAAACTGGTGTTAGCTGAACTCAGCCAGAGAGACACCTCCACGTACGCTCACGCACAAAACCCAGCGAGGGGCGACGTGCGTCTGCTACTGAAATACTCCAGATCAAAGTCACCCACAGCCCAGGAGGCCCGGGAGGCTGAGATTTCGTAATTAGGATCTTCAAAATCCTCCCTCTATTTTTAGGACTCACGCTCATTCAGTCCTTTACAGAATCAGAACCTGTCAGCTAAGGCCATTGAGACTGAAGGGTGAGCTCCTTTCCCCGCTCGCCTTCAGAAAGCAGATTAAGGGTAAACTGGAGGAGTGACTCCAGATTGGATGGAAATACACTCGGCCATGCATATGTATATATGCGGATGCTGGGATGGGGCGAGGGGGAGAGAGGGGGGCTTCTTCACACACTGAACTGCATGGGGCCCTGCTTTGCTCCCCTGAGATACAGACCCAGAGCTTCCACCCACCTCAGCTGTGCTCTTTCGAGCTGGCCCCCAGACCACTTCATTTGGCTCCAGTGTGTGTGAGAAGGCGAGGAGGCTTGAAAAATTTCCTCCAAATGTCCCTCTTCTCAATCACGCACTCATGTATACATCAACATCTCCACCAAGAGCGATCAAATCCCACACTCAAATCTGTCCACCCAAGACGCGCCTAAATATAGACACCATCCTAAAACAAACACATCGTCGGCAAGTCAAAATCCTGACTTGAGTCAAAATGATGAGGTTGGGCGATCCTGGCCCCTCCAGACCAGAGAACTGGGTGGAACAAGCAGCGGGTAGTGAGAAAAGGACAGAAGGTGAAACCACTGGTTGCAGCCCCCCACCCCCTCCGACAAACAGAGGACCGCTCTGGCATGAGAGGATTTGGTGTTTTTATGTTGCGGTGTGCTTGGGAGGCCTGCTTGCTCCCACACACTCCCCAGACATTTGATCCTATTATATAAAGCTACAGCCTTTTAATCTCTAAAAATAACCAAACAGAGGTAAATACAGTATTCCTTACCAAGAGTGTTTATCTCTCCTAAATGCTTTCGGCAAAGCTGATCACTCCCTGGGCAAAGAACACAATCCGACGTCATTGTCATTCAGGTGGAGAGAAACGGGTCACAAGTGATTCTGCTACATTTTCCAGCATAAAGTGAGTTTAGGAGATCCTGTGAAATCCCAGTGACCCACTCAAGTTGGCCCTTCCACAGTGGGAAGAATTTTCCTCCTCTAATTTCACCTGGTCCTGCCGGACTATTTATTAAAAATGTATATTTTATATCAGCACAGGGTATCAAGTAACTTCTTGGCAAGAGTAGCCGCATTTTCAAAACCTATTAAGATTCTTTGTGGAAATTTAAATACCTCTGTCAGGCAAACAAAATCATATCAGGAATCATAGAATTTCCTTGCTAGAAAGAGAAATTAGATTAACTAACTCTCACTCCTTTCCTAGAAACCTCAATAAACTAGAAGTACATTTCAATAGTTCCTTATTTCCGGTCTGAAGGGGCCTCACAAGAAATCTAAATGAATTTATATTAAAGAAAGCTATACTTGAGGAAAGCCCTTCAATCTATAAAAATTGCATATATATATATATATATATATATATATATATATGAATATATAAATATATTTTGCATATTAGAAAGCAATGGCTATTTAAAATCAAAACAGCCAGAAAACCCAGTGGTAGAAAACCATGACAAGTTCAACACTGCCAGCTTTCAGCCCCTTAAAACATCCTTGTCCTTTATTAATATTTAGTAGAAATGTATGATTGCAGATGTGTGTTAGGTTGGGGTTTTATGTCAGGAGGCGGGCAAAGTAGACAGGTTTATTACAGCCATGAAATATTAAACAAGCACCAAAGAACAGTAGTTTGATGTCCTGGGATATCCAGGGAGCAGGGAGGCCCAAACGTCAGCTGCACAAAGGGGGCCCTATCTGTTTACATTATCCCTTATTAACACCTGCGAAGTTTTGGGTTACATCTTCCGGAGGCGCAAAAGTCACATGAAGGCATACAACTCGTGCTGGGTAATTTCACAGGGAAACAGGATTGCAAAGCTCTTTGCCTTCCCCCAAACAAGTTCAAATGAGCCTTAAAAATTCTCTCAGGAAAACAGTGCTTTGCTCTGAGGCTAGGACCTACCTGCCCCCCCGCCCCAAGTCTGCCCTATGTCTAAAGAAATTCCATGTTCAAATCTTGCCTGCCTAGGATTGCTCAGTGCTGTTACTGTGTTCTGACTGCAACACTGAGAGAAGCATGAAATTCCAAAAATTTCTCTGGCATCACTGTAAAAATATCATACTTCCAAAAAGGGCAGGATTGCTTGCAGAGTGTGTACCGAGACTGCTCCCATTTCAATGTATGTGAAAGAGTACTTCAAGACTGCCCTGGGTTTCAAGATAGAGCTACCAGGGGAAAGGAGGTTTGGCAAAGATAAACGTATTACAGAATACGGTTAATTCAACTTTTGAAAATTGTAAGGGGCAGGAGGGGAGAAAACGTACTTTTTCCAACTTAATATGCATTATCTATAATCTATCATTATCTCTCCTCTCTGTGTTGAAATTCTTCCGTAGCCACACACCTATTACAAAGATAGGTGGATGAAGACTATACTTTCAGGGATCATTTCTATAGTGTGTTACAAAGATAGGCGGATGATTTTGCAAACTCTTTTTAAATCCATATAATTCTCACCAATTTAATTGATGTTTGAATAGGCCCAAACTCAGGCTGGGTTTTGTTTTTTGTTTTTTGTTTTTTTCCTTTCCACAATCTCACCCTTCCCCCACCACAACTTTGTACAAATAGAGCCTCATGCTCAGAGGTAAAGTTGCATTATATAAAAGTTGTTGGGTGGGTTGATTAAGAAGTCAAGAGAAGCATGATTTGGAGAGACTAGCTAGATTTCCTGGTTTAAAAAAATCATCATCCCATGTGATGTTGGCCTAGACTTTGCGAGAACGACAACTTGCCAGTCAAGTTCCCTCCCCTCCAAAGGACATCTCAAGCCCATAAGACAATCTGGGCACGTCCCAGTGGCTGCACGCCTTGTACAGTTCTGAAGACTTATTCGTTCCCTCCAATCCGAGCACGGATCATTTTGTTAAATACCGACTAGTATTTTGTCATTGGAGCGAAGAATTTCAGAAACGGTGTTAATATTTAATCACATTAGTACTGGCATGTTTTACGGCGTGACAAAATAAAATATCATTACAAAAATGGGCTTTGCCTGCAAGGGGAGTAGAAAAAAAAATGCTGGGGCTGGTACCTAGAGAAGGTCCATTCAAAGCCATTGGACACCACTGCTCAAGGCTAATGGGACCATGAGCATGTTTTTAAAGGAAAAGCAGAACATTTTGCTATGATTTTTTTTTCTGTCTCTATTTCGAAGTGGCACACTTCACTCTGATTTTCAGTGAGGGGACTCAGGGGCCTGTAGAAAGCTCTGTGTACCTATTTATACAACGTGTGCAGATGGAACTACAGGGTGTTATCATAATGAAAAGTTTAATCATCCTTATTTACTACCAGTAAGGGAGCAGGATTCAGATGCAGATACCTTATAAAGCCTTAACTAGCAACCCCAAGGCTACAGAAGCTTCGAGTGACCTCAATTCGCTGCTTTATCGAGGAAACTGTCCTTCCCACACCACAGAGTAGAAAACAAAGGAGGTCAAGTGGGTGTCCCTGCTGGTGCTTATAAGACAGCCAGCCCTGCTGGTCCCTGATGGAAGTCCCTGTCGCCCCGCATGCAGGGGAGGGCTTCCTTTAGCTTACAGGAGAAATCAACCCTAAAGTGACTAGCATCTGTTTCTAAAAAATATTTTCATTCATCTGACTGTGATGATGACACAAACAAAACATTTCTTTGGTGACATTTCTTCATTCACAGCCTGCATCTTCATCTCTAAAGGAAGGACTGGAAAGGGGATGGGGAGAGACAACTTCTAAAAATCTCATTAAAATGACCCTATACCTGTCCACCTAGTCTATGAAGGCCCTTTAAAAGACTTGAAGATGAAGTGCTACTGTTTTTCTTAAATGGATTCTTTAAATCAGGGTTGTTGTTTTTTTTTTTTTTAACTTTTCTCACCTCATTTTGGCCAATATGTTCTTAATTACTAGGAGTGGGAGGGGAGGATGAGAAGGGGAAGGGGGAGGGGCGGCTAGGCCAGGCCAGGCCAGGTAGAAGTGACAGGGGCTGAGATTTGTGCTAACCAGCTATCGATCGGGCCAGATCGAGATGTCGTGTACAAGAAAATAAAGGGGTGGGGGGAGCAAGCAGGAGGCTGTGTCCAACTCGATTTTAAAAAGGGGGGGAAAAAAGGGAGAAGAAGCTGAGGGTCCCAAACTAACCAATTTATGGCCTTGCCTGGGAGAAGCCTGGAGAATGCTGATGCTGGCCGCAGCGTCTGCTGTGCATGCTAAACACCCGGCTTCAAATGAGAGAGTGCGTCCCGGGCGTCCTGGGCTGGGCAGTAACCGCGGAACAAAGAGAAAAAGCAGAGAGGCCGCATTCATGAATTAGAAAACCTAAGCGGGAAAGCTACCCGGGATGCGCGCCTTGAAAGCCCCAAGTTCTGAACCACCCAACTCCCAGCCCACTCTCGCTTCCTCTCCTCTTGCCTCCCCCAGCCCCCATGCCATTCTCCTAAAACCTACCCTCACCTTAAATCCAGGGTCAAGACATGGCAGGATGTGGGGAGGATGAGGGAAACGAAGGCAGAGGAGGAAAGAACTGTAAAAGAGGGCAAGAATTGCACTGGGGGGGGACACATTTTCAAAAACAAGGTTAAAATGCCAGCCACTGGTTCCATGGTGATAGTCTGTCTAGGGAAACCAAGGGAATTCAACTATAGTTTAAAAGAAAGACATAGAAAGAAAGAAATGATGTTACCTGATTTTAAGAAGCCATTAGATATATATAGATACATATATAGACACACATACCTATATATACACCTATATATATACACACACACACACACACGCACTTTATATACAGACATTTTAAACCTCCATTCAGATAAAATAAATATCTACGGCAACCCAGTCATCCTTAGGTTAAAAAGAACTGTTATTACTTTAACTGGAATGGCAGCCCATTTACTAACCCCACCCCTCCCACCTTAAAGGCCTCCAGGCCTGGTGGGGAGGGGGTGCTTAGAATGCAAACGAAAGCTGGGACAGGACATCTGTCACCAAAGCCAAGCGAGATATTGACAAACACGGATCCTTTGTGTCTTAAGAGTATATATCCATATCCCCATACACAAATGATGTCCAAGCCGACCCCACCCCAGCACTCCCCCTCCCCAACCCCACCAAATGTCAAGGGGATGCGCCCTGAAAAGGTTCCCTGCCTCCTGCAACCCCCACAGGTCTCCCGTTTTTCAATGAAACTCTGATAGTTAAGAAGAGACAAAATAGCTATTCATTAGGAACAAATGTCAAATTAGGCGTTGCCTCTGAGTGATGCTGCCGACACCAGGGCTGGTAACTTTTTTTTCCTAAAAATGCTGGCACCTAAAAGAACTAGCGCTAGAGGCTGACTAACTAGGAAAAGGTGGGAGGCGTTAACACAACTTCCCAGGTGTCCTGCCAGGGAAGGCGGCACACAGCTGCTAAAAAGTGGAGCCAGCCTCAATGTTGAGGGTGGGGAGGGGTCTTAGTGTGAAAGGGAAGGGGCAATTCAGCTAAAACTGGGGGTGTGGGGGCGGCTGGGCGGGGTACTCTACAAGATTCCCAAAGGGCTGCCATCTAAGTTTTTGCCACCCTGTGGCACTAGAATCTACCTGGTAACATGTGGGGGGCTTGGGGGCAGTGTGTGTGGGGGGGTCTGTCCTCACAGCCCTTGGTGTAAGCAAAGGTGGGATAACCAGCTCCTAGTTGGGGATTAGGAGGGTTTGTGCCCTCCAAACCTCAAAGGACCCCAAAAGGCGAAGGCTAAGTCCTGCCCTGGGGATGGGGCGGGTCACCCGGGAAGTGAGAGGAAAACGAGTGTGCATATACCTTCTTTGCTGTTGGGGTTCTGGGGTTTGGCCTTCTCCCAGGGCGCCAACGTCTTGTCGTCGTCCGCGCTGTCCACCAGGGCCTTGTCAGCGGGCATGTACCAGGCAGCGCTGTGCTCTGCCATCAGCGAGTCCAGGTCAATGGTGCTCATGGCGCTCTTGACCGCCTCGGAGCAGCAGCTGCCCAGCTCGCTGTCGCCATTCTGCGCCCCTGAGGCCCCGACGGCGCACTCACCCTTCTTGCCACCCTTCAGCCCCAGAGGCTGGTCCTCGGAGATGCTGAACTGCTGCCTCTGTAGCTGGATCTGCGCCTGAAGGATCTCCAGGGGGTGGATCTCGTCGGGTGGCGGGGCGCCGCTGCTGCTCGTCGGGGTGCGGACCTGCTCCAGGCCCGGAGTGCCCGGATGGCCCGGGCCCCCACCGCCGCCGTAGCTGTCAGGGGTCGAGGTAGAGTTAGACATGATGCCCAGGCCGAGGGCGGGCGGGGGCGCCTTCGGTCCGTGTTCCCCGGCGCCTACCCCACGGGGAGGGAGTTTGGGCGAGCCGGTCACCAGGGGACTCCTGCTCGCTTTAACTAGTGCCTGGGGGTTGTCAGAGCTGGACGACACCTCGTCCTCATTGGCGTAGCTCGTGCTCACCTCGTCCGAGGCGAACTCACCCACGTTTGGCGAACTACTGTCCGACTTGGCCCCGCCGTCCAGGGACCCAATGAGGTCCGGCTGATCCCCCAGGAGCAACTCAGCCCCCTTCCCCCAGGATGGCGACGTGAGCGCCTTTTCGTGGGGCGTCGGTGCCCCGCGCGTCTCGCCTGCGGAGCTTCCCCCGACGGCTGCGCCTGACGCTTGCTGCTGCCCTGGGCTCACCCCAGGTGCGCCCCCGCTGTCCGGAGCCGCCGAGTACTTGTCAAAGAAGGTGCCAGGGCTCACGTGACCACTGTCCCTTTTTCTGCGACCCCGTCCCCGGCCGCCGCCCCCGGAGACCGGCTTGCCGTCATTCCCCGACGTGGATTCCAGGGTGTAGTTGGGGGAGAGGCTGGTGCCGTCCCCCTGGGCTGGAGGGTTGGGCGGCCCCGAGGCTTTGGAGCCGCTGCTACTGGTCCCGGACGGGCCTCCGGGTCCTGGGGCCCCAGGAGCAGTCCCTCCTGGGAAGTAATCCGAGCCCGGGTTGCCGGCCACTGCCGCGCCGTCGGTCTCGTTCTGGCTCAGTTTCCTCTTGCCCTCTGGCGGGTTCTTCTTGTTGAAGGTCACGTTGAGGTTGGGGGCCCCGAGGCTGGCGATCATGTTCTGGCAAGCGGTGGAGAGCGCAGCCAGGCAGCTCTGGCCGAACAGGTTGTCCTTGGAGCTGGGCTTGTTGAAGGAGCCCAGCGAGAGCGCGCCCAATTTACTGGCCGAGGTGCGCTGGCTGGGCTGGAAATCAGGCTGCGGCGGGTAGGCACCCCCGCCACCGCCGCCACCAGAGCTGCCACCGCCCCCTCCCGCGCTGGGGGGCGAGTTCACGCCTGGACCGCTGTGCGGCGTGGACTGCCGGCCGGCTGCACCAAACGGAAAGCCCGGCTGGCCCCCGAGCGCAGACGTAGCAAAGTCCGGCGGCGGGGGCCGGCGCTCCGAAGCAGCGCTGGGGAGCCCCACGCCCGCCCCGGGCGACTGCAGCTGACCCAGGCCTCCCAGACTGCCCCCGAACTGCAGGCCCGGTGAAGGCAGCGCGGGCACGTGGCCCTCTCCGGGCATCCTCATCGGCTCCTGCAGAGGGCCCCGGAACAGCACCCCCGAGCCACCAGGCGGAGGAGGGGGCGCCAGGCTGGGGTCGTGCGGGCCACAGTCAGCGGGCAGACCCGAGCCGCCCATCCTACGGGGCAGCAGGTCTCCGGGCGGCGGATGCGGACCTGAGAACCACGCGCTCTCTTGCGCCAAGTGCGGCGCCTGCTGCTCGAAGGTGCCCAGACGCCCGGCGCCCGTGCTGCCGCCTTCGCGCTCAAAGTTCGGCTGGGCCAAGCCGCCCACCGGGCCGCCATGCACCAGGCCGCCCTGGCCCACGTCCCCGGGGTGGCCTAGCTGAGCCAGGTTGGGCTGGCGCAGCCGCTGCTGCTGATTCCGCGACGCCATCTGCTTAATCATGAGGGCCGCGTTTTGGCGCTGCTGCTGCTGCTGCTGTTGCTGTTGCTGTTGCTGCTGCTGCTGCTGCTGTTGCTGCTGCTGCTGCTGCTGCTGCTGCTGTTGCAGGGACTGGTGGTCCGGGGCCGGATGCTGCAGGGGCGGCCCCGAAGGGAAGCTGTCGGGCACAGGCGGTGTGAACTCGCCGGGTAGGCCTGGGTAGGCGGAAGGGGAGAGGTGATTATCCAGAGCGCCGTTGTGCATGCTGCCGTTCCACGAAGCGCAGCGGTCCACTCCCGCGCTGCCCGGAAAGTCGAAGCGCGGCCTCTTGGCCACGTTCATGTAGGGGGGCGCGTCGAAATGCTGCAGCCGCTGGTTGGGCGCCTGCTGCGGAGGAGGATGCTGCATGCTGAAAACAGGCTCGGAATAAGGGTGCATGCTCCGGTTCTCCAGCCGGTGGATGGGATACTCGAATTGCGCGTGCTGGCTGGGCAGCATGGGGCCTCCGTCCTGCAGGCCGCCGCTGGGCGTGCCCGCCTCGCCCTGCTGGGGCCGAGGGAGCGCAGGCGGGCACGAATTTTGTCGGACTAGAAGCCCGGGTGGCGGCGGCGGCTGCTGCTGTGGCGGCTGCTGCGGGGGCTGCTGCTGAGGGGGTGGCGGGGCCTGCTGGGGAGGCTGCATTAACGGGTGCCTGGAGCCCACTGAGGGCTCCAGACCCACAGGCATCTTTCTGGCCCCACTGAACCTCTCAAAGAACACACCATGCTGCTGCTGCTGCTGCTGGGGCTGCTGCTGCTGCTGGGGCTGCTGCTGCGGTGGCTGGGCGTGCATTTTGGACAAGCCCACCATGCCCGCAGCTCTGGGCATGGCCGAGGCGCCCGGGAAAGCGCCCCCAGGAACCTGGCGACCCGCTGCATAATGAGGCAGCTGCCCTTCGGAGTCAGAGGGCGAAAACATGTCAAAATGTCCCGAGGGCGCCTCGCCCGGGTAATTGTATTCCAGCGAGTCGACGGCTCCTTGGTTCGTCACCCTCCGTGGCTCCAGACTGTGGGAATCGGAGCCGCTGGAGGACGGCAGGCCGTGGAAGGAGGCGGCTCGGTTAGGGCTCTGGTCCAGCGGCAGGCATGGGGCCGGCACGGCGTGGCTGGAGGCACCTGAACTGTGGAAGTCCGGGAGGTTCCCCGGTCGCTGCGGGCCGAAGCTCTCAGGCCCCTGGCTCTCCGCCATGTGCTCATAGCCCTCGGCGAAGGGCGGCTGGCTGCCCAGGCCTCCGGCTGCGCCGCCGTAGCCGAGCAGGCGACCCCCGTGCAGGCACGAGGCCCCGGGGTCCGGGCCACCGAAGTTGCCCCCAAAGTGGGGGTGATGCTGGTGGGGATGATGACTTCCCGGGTGGCCGTGGTGAGGCTGCTGGCCGCCAAAGAAGCCGTGCACAGGCTGCGCTTGCAGCCCCCCTGCGTGCAACTCCGAGTGGCCGCGCGCGTGGAAGCCGTAGGGCTCCATGTTCATGCCCAAGATCGGGGGTTCGCCCAGCGCGCTCATAGCAGGATCCACAGGGCCAGGGGGCCCCCCAGTGTGGAAAGCCGGGGCCTTAAAGTGGGTGTTCATGCTCAGTCCGGTCTCGTTAAAGTTCCTCTCGCCCTGGCCAGCGTTCCTGCTGTTGACCTGGGGCTCGAATTGGTCCAGCCCAAACATACTTGGCGGGGGGCAGAGGGGGATCAATAGGGCATGACAGCCGGCTCTCCGCGGCGCGCCTCCGGCCAGCTACTCGTTCCAGCCCAGGATTGGGCGCTCCGGGACGCTCAGCACCGCGGGGGCTCAGCGCGCACCTCCACCCCGCCTGATGTGAGGGACGGGGGGCGGGGTATTAGCTCCTCTCCTGAAGCTCCGATTCTGCCCGGGGAGGGCCTCTCACATCTTGCGAGGCCGCGGGGCCTCTAGGAGCCGTGTTGGGGGGCCCATGCCCCGGGCGGTTGTCACAGCCGCGGGTGGGTCTGCGGGGAGGGGACGAAGCCGCGGATGAACGGAGACAAAAAGTTAAGTGGGGGGAATGGGGAGGGAAGGGGGTTGGGAGAGCAGAGCGATCACCTTCTCAAGTCCGATTGGGTCTGCTGGGGAGCCCTCAGGACGCCGCCCGCAGCCTCCCGGAGTCCGTGGCAGAGCTGCTAAGGGCAGGGGAGGGAGACCCTTCAAAGCCGCGGCTGGCGCCGGGCACCGACAGAGCGGTCCCTCCCCCCGCCCCCCGGAGTCCCCGCGCCCCGCAGCCCGAGCCTCCACCGAGCACGATCCGCTCGCACAATCCCCGTAGGCTCCGGGCGAGCGGCTGCTGCTTCTTCAGCGGGTCGGAGGACTGGAGGCTCCGCTCGGCATCGCCGGTGCCGGCCCCCGAGCCGAGGACGCAGAGGGGCTGCGAGGCGGCAGGCGCCGGGGGCTGGAGCCGAGGGTCGGGGAAAGGCGCGGCTCCTCTGCTCGGCAGCGGGTGCGCTGCGTTCGGCGCGCAGCTTCGCGGCCACGTCCGCCGCCTGCCGCTTCTGTTCTCCGCCGTTGGGTGTCTGAGTTCGCCGGAGTCTCCGCGCACCGTTGCAGGCGCGGGAGGGCAGCGAGACGAGGGGTTGGGTCGCTCCAAGGCTCCGGTTCCCTGCCTCCGCGCTGAGGTGCTTCGCGAGTCCCTCTCGGACCTGAGGGAGGGGGGCGTACGCGGGTCGGGGGGCCACGCCGGGCGAGCAGGCTAAGGCGTTCCCGCTGCGCTCTCAGAGCCCGGAATGGGGGGAGGGGGGCGCGGGGGCAGCTCTGGGGGGTCTGCGCACCCCTCTCCCGACTAGCGGGGGGGCTCTGCGTGGGGCGTTCCGAGGGTCTCGGCTCCCCTCTCTGTGTCTGCCTCTCGCCCAGCGCCGGGAGAAGCAGCAACAAGTTTTGCATTTCAGCAATCAATTTCAGCCATTACATTTGCACCAATCAGCGCCGCCCAAGTTCCGGGCTCGGGGCGGGGCTCGCTCTTAAGGTGGTCCGGGGTCCTGGCTGCCGAAGCCCCCGCCACGAACCCGCACTACCCCAGCTCTGGGGTCCCCTGCGCCCGCCTCTCCTCGGGGTCCGGCGTCAGTGCGCTGGGGGCGCGCCCCGGCCTCCGGGCGCATCGAGCTGGAGAGGGTGCAGGCGGAGGAGAATGGCGGGAGCTTGGCTTTGTTCACCCCCTTCCCATTCACACTGTTCCCAACTCCCCACCCCCAACTGGAGCGAGACCCACCGGGTGGGCAGGGGGCGGGGAGGTGGGCGGTGAGCGGTACGGGGCGCTCAGACAATGAGGTCGCCAGGCAAAGACCCTAGACTCGCCACGGAAAGTCGCTAAGTGTCTACTGCACTTCGGCTCCGGGGTGAACACTCCGTTCTCCGCTAGCGGCGCCCAAGTTAGCCGGCCCTGGGATTTTCTTGGAGGGTAAAGCAGACGGGGAACCTCGAAGTTAGGGTTCTCCTCGAGAGACCTGGGCGCTTGCTCACTCCTCCGTCACTAGGGCGTTCACAATTGTTCCCCTTCCCCACTGCCTGGGGTTCCCGGTTCTCACCGGCCGGCGTGGGCTCCAAGGAGTCACAGTCACTCAGCCACTTTATGGGGGAGCACATCGGTTGAGCCCAGTAACCGGAGCGACTTGCGAGGCGGCTGGGAACCCCGAGAAGACACGCACGAAGAGGGCGCACCCGCCGGGCCGCACACCTTGCCCTGGGCCACCCGGTCCAAGACCCAGACCCTCTGCGGGTGCGAAGTTGGCCTCCTTAAGAGATCAATTAAACTGAAGAGGCCGAGGAATGGAATTGGGCTGTGATACTAAAATCAATAGGAGTAATTTAATATCTGCCCTGCTCTTTATGAAATATTTATCCCAATAATCTTAGTTAAAATGTTTAGATCGTCCTGATCCCCACAGAGGCTGAAATCTATCTTGCAATTAGAAGTTGGAAGTTAGAGGTGATGGAGGATAGAGGTGTTTATTCTGTGCGCCTGTGTGCGTGTGCTCGCGCCTGCGTGCGTGTGTTTGTGCATGCGTGTGTGTGTGTGTGTGTGTTCCTCCCTAAAGTGTGTGTAGGGAAGGAGGGGGGAGAAGGCCTTTAATTTTCCTTGCCATAAAATAGCACGAGGCGATTTTGCTAGCAGATTCGCATTCTTAGGAGAAGGGCGAAAAAAGAACTTTCTTTGAAGTGCCCCTGATATCGCTATTAAATCTAAATAAAATTAAGCGTGGTGTATGAAAATGCCTTTCCCCCCCCACAAAAGAAAGTGTTTATCGCCCGAGTCTGTCTAGCGTTTGCTAAATTACGCATGAAATCTGAAATGAAATAAACGTTATAATAAAACCAACCCCTGAGCCCTTTTTATTTAAAAACCTTAGATTAAGCACTCCACCGTCGCGGGCAGGAGTTAAAAAGTTACCATGTCGTACGCGCAGATTCATTGCTCCCCTGAGTTGCGGCTAGGAAGGCAGTGCTAAGTATGCCAGAACCGACATGCCGGGGGTGGGGGGAAATGGGCTCAACTTTGGGGTAGCGGCAGAATTCCTAAGAAATTGCCCCCCGCCCAAAAAAAATTTTAATTAAAAATAAACAAACAAGAAAAAACAACAACTTTAAAACTCAGCCAGAGCAAGCTCAGATCCAAGACCTTTCCCGGGGCCTTCCTGTTGTGGAAGTTTACAGACATATATATTTTTTCTTTTTTGAAATTAAAAATGAAAATTACCCCCATCAAAAATGGGGTCCATAAATAAGCATAGGGAATAAGTATTTGTACAGGGCGGTGGAGTTTTTAAAGGATTTTTCTGCAGGATCAGGTTGTTGGTCTGTGATTAAATATTGATTTTGTGTAATTAGTTTTCATGTGAACTATCCTCTTGCTGATAGCTTAGAGGTTTCAGAACTAGAAAAGAAATGGAATTGGACATGGAAATTATTACTTAGCAAAGTGACAGGGAAGTGAGAGCCAGAGAAAAGACTGAGGCTTTGCTGATTTAGGCACAAAGAAATAAAGGCTTGGGTAGGCCCTCCAGTGACACCCCCCCCCCGCCCGCCCCGGGGCCTAGGACCCTGGGGCTCTGGGGCTCCCGAGACAGAGCAGGGGGGATCTTGAACCTCCTGGACAAAAAGCGGGAGGCAATAGGAAAACCTGGTTGTGAGGAAGAGGCCCCCACATGGGCAAAGGCCTGGGCATAGTCCAAGATACTGGGTCACACACTCAGTCTGCTCTCGACTATGGGTGTCTCCTGAGGCACCTATGAGCCGCCTGTGTTTCTGTGTCTGGAGGAAATAGGGAAAAGTGGGGACCTGTCTGGAGCCTGGGGGTGGGCCAGGAGAGTGGGAAGAATGGCTCACAGGCCTGTCGTCTGGGGAGACCCGGATGGGGGCGTCTGCAGAGCTGAGGCATGACTTCACACAGGGCTGGGTGGGGGTCTCCAGCACACCTGGGCAGGTTTCCTGTGGAATAATTCCGTGTGCTCCAGGGAGGGGGGGTGTGGGAGTATTTTTCTGGGGCTGTTTCCAAGAGTTAGCTCCACAAGGTGTGTGAGTGGCTGAAAGAAGGGAGTGTTTGGACCTGGTGAAGTTTCTGTTCAGGATGTGTGTCTCGGTCACCTTTCTTTAACACTGCAAATGTTGTGCGGGTGTGTGGCACACGTCTGCATTTTGTGCCTTTGCTTGTATGCGGGTGGCGGGGCATCTGCGTGTGTTTCTGTCCATGCCTGCGTCGGCGTTCGTGCATGGATCTTTGGGGGTCTTGGTGCATGTTCTCTGTCTGTCCCCCAACCCCGCATTTCTGTGTGTGTGAGCCACTGCGTTTGTACCTGTGTGTGTGCAGCTGCCTCACCCCTTGCATGCCTGTATCTCTGCTCCAGTGTATCTGTTTTTTCTGCGAGTGTGAGGGCGTGTGCCTCACAGCCTGTGCCCATCTGTGCCCGTGTATGCGCCGGCGTGTGCGCCTCCACAGTGTGGGCACCCCTGCGTGTGCCTGTGTGTGCTTTCGCCCGCAAGGTCCCGCAGTGTTTCTTTGGAACAGACACATTGCCCCCTAGCGCTCAGATGAATTCAAAGTCCCCGCAGGCGCAGAGCCGGGAGCAGTAGGAGCCTCAGGGCCCTCCACCCGCCAGGGCTTTCTCCATCCTCCTCCCTCCCCAGGTCCCCCTCCGGGGGCACTGAGTGTGCTGGCAACGGCCAGAGGAGGCCCTCTGGGCAAGGGAAGGAGGAGACACAGCTGGATGGGGCCCCAGAGCTGGAGAGGGATGTTTTAAGCTGGTGACAAGTGGGGAACTGCCTGGGATGGCCCCCAGAACACTCACCGCTGATATGGAGAGCCTGGCACACCTCAGCTAGCCCAGGAGCCTCAGCCTGCAGCCCACCAGTGAACTCTCACTCTATAGAAACACAAAGCAACCCACACCCAATACCCGTCACCCAGGAGACACACAGCCTTCGTGCCTGCCCCGTTGGCCCCCAACACCACCAGCACAGACACATGTACACACTTACCTCCATAGTGTGTGGCTGTGTCAGCAAACACATGCACTCACATGCACACACAGAGCAATATCAGCATACACGTACTCACACACACACACACACCCCTCCATAGTGTGTGGATGTCAGCACACACACACATATACACCTCCATAGCGTGTGGCTATGTTAGCACATACACACCCCGCCATAGTATGTGGATGTCAGCATCCATGTACTTATACACACACTCACACATACATCTCCATAGTGTGTAGCTGTCAACACACTCACACACACGTACACCTCCATAGTGTGTGGATGTCAGCACACACACACACACACACACATACACCTCCATAGTGTGTGGCTATGTCAGCACACACACACACACACACATATACACCTCCATAGCGTGTGGCTATGTCAGCACACACACACACACACACCCCTCCATAGTGTGTGGATGTCAGCATCCATGTACTCACACACACACCCCTCCATAGTGTGGGGATGTCAGCACACACACACACACACACACACACACACCCCTCCCCATAGTGGATGAGTCTGCCCACTGGCTTCAGGACATGGAAGGCTCCTTCCGTGTCAGGCTGGTGCTTTGTGCATTATACCCATGGTCATCCTCACGGCAACGCCATGAAGTGGGGACTCAGAACCCATTCTACAGATGAGGAGATCGAGAAAGTCAAGGGACTTTCCCAAAGTCAAACAATGGCAGAGCTGAGATTCTAATCTCCCTGACACTGACGCCTGTCTCTTAACCACGGCCTGCTCTACCTGAATGTGATCGTTCAGGTAAAACACTTAGCACAGTGCAGGGGACATGGTAAGTGCCAACAAGTGTTAGCAACCTTTATTACCACTGTGATTATTACCAAATATTATCAAAATTATGATTCATATTATTCTCAGTGTCTCCCTCACCCACACAAACATGAGAAACTAGTACAAACACACACACACACACACACACACACACACACACAGCAATATCCTTAGCCTTCTTCCTCTAACCCCCGTATCCTTTGGAGCTTGGAAACTCACCGGGACCACAGAAGCTCAAGCCCTTCTTGCAGGCAGTGTTCCTAGAAGGACTGGAGGGGAAGCTACTTCTCCGGACACCTGGGGTCAGCAGAACAGGCCTCTCCAGTGGGCCAGTGGTGGAAAGGTCAAGGATTTGGGCATTACAGATTCAGATTCAAGTCTTGTCTTCACCACTTATGAGCTGCGTGACCTTAAGCAAAATACTTTTTTCTCTGAACCTCAGTTTCCCCTGTTGGAAAGAGACATGAAGGCCAGTTGATATACAGCATAGGGACTGGAGACAATGCTTTCAGAGTGGAACAGAGCACGGCACAGGACAGACATTCTTTAAATGGCAGCCCCTCTTATGACCATGATTATTTCTTCTGTGTTTGGATGCGGGGAGATGCAGAACAGAACCACAATCCCAGGAAGCCCCAGCTATGACCAGGACAGAGGAGAGGGCAGATGACTAGAGTCAGAAGATATGAGACCCTCATGGAGCTATAGTCTGCTGTTTGCCAAGCAACAGCACCTCGTCTATCTTGCTACACACAATGTCTGTCTTTTGGGGTCTCTCCTCGATCTGTTCATTATGTACATACCAAATGCTTATAATATGCCAGGGCCTGGTCTAGGAACTCAAGAAAAAATGTAGCAGACACAGTCCCAGCCTTCAAGCCAGATCAAAGGAAACCTACTATTTGATGTGAAAGGACTACATTACACACCTGTAAGGGACAAAATAACTGCCGGGAAGGAGGGATAATAGAGAAGGATTCCCAATGTTGGGTTTTGAAAGTAGAATAGGAGTTTGACAACCAAATAGGGTCACAGGACTTTCCAAGAGGAGTAATCATGTTAGACGGGGTGCAGGAAGGCTCAAGCAGAAGTGAGTTTAGAGCAGTATGAGGAAGGGGCAGGATCAGGAGGACCTCAAGGCCGGGTGGGAAAGTTTGGACATTGTTCTGGGGAGCTATGGAAAGGTTTAAAGCAAGACCAAGAGACATTGTCCAAGGTGAGTTTTAAATATCCCTGGAGACCTGAGGGTCTCCCTTTCTTTGCCTTCACTGTGGCCCCAGGAGCCATCTTTACCTAGTTTCCTTGGAAACAGGGCTTGGGATAGGGGAAGTCTCAGGTCTGTACCCAAGCAGCCAGCACAGAGCAGGACCGTGCCTGCTGCCTCTTCCATCTCAGGCCCGTGCACAGACAAGAGTCCCCTCTTGGTTCGGTGATTATAGATGCTGCTCTCTGCGGAGCAGGACCTCCTGCCCATTTCTCAGTTGGGGTAGGTTTAGGGGCATTTCTAAATGAGAGCCAGATCTCCTAGGTTCAAAGCCCAGTATCACCACCCCCGACCTGTCTCCAAGCGTGTGAGGGAGGCAAAAGTGTGAGAAAGCACCCAGTCCCCACTATATAACTTATATAAATTATATATGTACAGTATATTTTATAGTGTTAGTATATTACATAGCTACCCTGTGAGGTAGGTTCTATTCTTTTTCCATTTTATAAAAGTGAAAACTGAGGCACAGAGAGGTGAAGGAGCTTGCCCTAGGTCACACGGCAAGTAAGAGTCAGAGCCAGAACTCAAACCAGGCCTAGCCTAACTTCACCATTAGCCCACGTATCAGTCACAAAGATTCTCCCTTTCTCAAACCCAGGGCTACCATCTGGAAAGAGGACGCCTTGCCCACAGTTCTGATGCCTGGCCCTGGGTCTAAGCCCCTGGAGAGTCCCAGCCCTAAAGAGGGGTCCCTGCTTTCTCTATTGTTTTACTTCGCTGCTCCCCTGAGGTCTCTGGGGTCTGATCACAAGGTTTCAGTGTAGGGAACTACTGAATTTCCCCTCAAAAGATACCTGGAACAAGAAGTATCCCCAGCGCACTTGGCCTGGCAGGGCTACCTGTGCAGGAGAAGAGCTGTGGCCACTATAGGGCATTTCAACTTCCCAGGTACCAGACACATGGGGCTGAGGCTCCATAGCTTGCCGCTAGTCTCCAGATCTCCTGGACAACCCAACCTTCCCGGGGAATGCTCCATTTTCATGAGTCTAGCTCAGAGCCAGAGCCAGTATCTCAACCGCACAGCAACACGCTTAGCTTGTGACATGGAGGATCAGAAATGAGACCCTTGCTTGAAAGCATGAATTGGAACGATGCTACAAACCTCCCCTTTTCTGAACACAGAAACTCTCTTAGACCTCACTGAATCCAGAAAGCAACCCTAGGAAGTAAGCATCTCCATTATCCTCTGGAATGGAGGCTCTGATTGGTACAAGAACGACGTGTTCAAAGCCACATCGCGACTGCATGGCAGGGCCTGGTTTCATACTCGGATCCGTAGGGTCCTAGAGCCATCCTGCCAATGTCTCCATCTACGTGGGTTTCTCTTCCCCAGACGGCATCCAGCTATGAGCTTCTATTTTCCATTCTCTAAGTGAAGTATGCTGAACCCAGGCCCTGCTCCCAAAATAACTCAAACCAGCCCCACAGGCTGGAACGGAGGCCCCAGCGACTCCAGGGCCCAGTTAGCCTCCCCTTGAAAAAGTCCCTATTCAGCAAAAAAAGGAGGAATAAAAAAAACAGCCATCACTCATAAAGCGTCACATACCACACAATTAGTCAGAAAATGCAAAAGTTCAGCAGGTTATTCAACAAACCTATTTAGCATGCTCACAAGCCCCTCCCTCCCCACCTCTTCATTTTCCCTCCCTGCGGCCATCAGCAATGTGGGCTCATTACCACCGAGAACCTCGCTGGAAAGCCAGCCTCATAAACAGAACAAAATAAGCATCTATGATGGGAAAACTTTGGATGGACCAGTCATTAGCCGACACCTTTCAAATCACACTGTCGATTGTCACCTGCATCTCCTGTCCCCCACCCTCTCAGACACCCATGGCTGCATGCCCTGTCTCCACTGAGGTAAAGAGCAAGTGCTGGAAGGAACCACCCCCAATGCCAAGACCCAGGCTGAGCTTATCTTCCAGGAAGGAGCCCTGTGTGCAGCTGGAGTCTGCAGCCAAGCTCCTCCATGTGTCAGCAGCGACGGCAGCCGGCATGTGGCAGGTGCGTCCCTGTTTGCTCTACAGCGCCCCATTCCTCTTCACTTTCCTTACAGAGGGGTGTGCTGGGGTGGTTTAGAGCATCACACAGATCTGAGATCTGTGACCTTGAGTGCATCATTCCCTTCTCTGTGCCTCAGTTTCCTCATCTGTAAAATCAGTTTCCAGCAGTACCTACAGCAAAGGACATACGTGAAGACGGAATGAAATGGTGTAGGTTAAGCACAGCAGTCACACGCCATCCCTGGGAGGCGAGTAGAGGCACCTCCTCTCTAAGGCTCCCTGGAAGTGTGCTCCAGTGTAAGAAATGGGGGGTGCCTTGCTGACATCCTCCAGAGATCCAGGATAGGAGGAAAGCAGCCTCCCATCTCTGAGCACTCACCATAAGATGGACTCCTTTCCATAGGTTATTTCTAATTCTCGCACCAATTGTACTGCAGGAATAGATGTGTGCCCATTTTATGGACGGGAACCTAGAGGCAGGACACCACTTTGAGAAGGAGCTTGGGGAGAGTTCCTCCAAAAGAAGATCCCACACTTATTGCCCAAAGGGCTCAGGAAGGAAACGAACGGAACCCCCAGGGAACCCTCAGACACCCCACCTCCCACCCCCACCATCAGTCACACTGTCTAAGGGATTGTAAAGTGGACGACAATGGGGCTGATGGGCTTTGAATGGCCCTTCCCACCCAACTAGGAAACAGAGCCCAGAGGCAGTGAGTAATGTGCTTATTTGATCAGATTCTTGGAAACGTTCACAAATCATCACCATTCGCCCTGTGACAGTGTTACCAGCTCTTCCTTTAATTGTTGTTGTGTGCATAGCAGGAAGGCAGTGCAGTCTGGAGGTGAACAGGGTCGGCCTCAGGCTCGACTGCACATAGTCCCTTTACCTCCTTGAGCCTCAGTTTCCCCATTTGTCAAATGAGGAGGATAATCTTCTCTGGAGTTGTCAGGGGGGTGAACAAGCACAGAGCATTTAGCACGTAGTTAACACTCAATAAACGGCAGCTACTACATGGAGCCAGGCCCCTGCAGGGCGGGTGGCTCCCTGCGGGGCAGCCCTGAATTGATGAGGTGCCTGCTCTCTTTGGTCTCCCCTCAGACCCTGGCTGCATGGTCCTGAGACTCCTGGCTCCGGTCCGGTCCGGAGGCCTTGTCACGCCAAGGCCCTGCCAGCAAGGAAAAGGAGCGCTGAGTAGAGAGAGGACTCACCCCGGGTTCTCTGGGCCAGGCCCCAGCTGTGCAGGCCCCACCCTCTCTTGGCCACCTCCACCCCAGCTGAGGCTTAGCCGCCAGCCTCCGACATTTGCCACCCGGCCACCTGGTGAGCTCCAGGCAGGCTGCAGGCGCCAGCTGCCCCCACCTCTGGCTCCGATGAGCTCATCTGGGTTTCCAAACTTCCAAAGCGGCCAGGAATGTTTGCTCAAATGTTCCGAGCCCAGAGAGCGTTAAGAGCAAACCAGTGCCCTCCGCCCCCCTTCCCTGAGCAGAAAGCAATCTGCTATAACTCAGACAGGCCGGCCTCACCAAGCCCAGGAGATGGATGCAGCGTTTTGGAATCTATATCACCCAAAAGGAAAATGCCTCTTAAATCACAGGGAGCTGGGAGAGAGCGGGAGCAGGAGGCACCGGGACCCAGTGATGTTCCAGAGGTCAGGCCTGGAGGAGGGGAGTATCACCAGGCATGGAGTCACCCTGGTCATCAGTGTGTCTGCTGCACCTTCTTGGCTCAGGTGGAGAGAGGGAGGCCTGGGGACGCTCCCCTAACTTGAATGCTTGCTGGGTGTGCACACACACGTACATGCACTCATGCACACCTGTGTCCACATGCACACACACATGCACAAAGTGCCCACACTGATTCAGCCCACTCCCAGGTCTGTTGAAATCTCTGCCCATTTTATCCCTCCCTTCCTGGCCCTGGCCACCGCTCTCCAGACCTGGGCAGCAGCTGGGCTCTAAACCTGATAAAGTCAGGTCACAGACAGCCCTTCACTCATATCCTTAGAACATTCAGTGGATCTATCTTTTGAGAATAAAGATCAAATTCCTCACTGCAGTGTGCAAGGCCCTGCATGCCCAGCCCGGGTGACCTTGCCATGCCTGGCCCAGTCCCTCCACCAGAGCTGCACTGGCCCCTACTGTGCCCTTCTCACCTTCTCCCATCACAGGCCCTGGCAGGGGTTGTGCCCATGGCTGGAGGGCTTTTTGCTCAGTGAAGGCACAGCCACACCTCAGCTCAGCCGCCACATCCTCAGGGAAATGCCCCCCGCCGCCCCCGGCAACTCCTACCAGATAATCCCGGCACTGGAATGCTCTCTTACCCCCAAGGTCTGGGTAGCGCAACATCCAGCAGTGTTATCTTCTGGGATCCTTAATGAATCTCAGTCCACCCCACTCCATCAGGAGCACCCAACCAGCAGGGGTTCTTCCTGGTTTTGGCCACTTCTGTTTGCATTTCATTCATTTTCCGAATGAAGGAGTGAAGGGCCCTTGCAGTCCAGTCTTATGAACTCCTATTCATCCTGCAAGGCCCTACTTGGTACTTTTCAAACTGCAGATTGTGACCAATTTATAGATTAAAAAGCCATTTAGGGAGTGTGGTATACACATACAATGGAATACTCATCAGCCACAAAAAGAAATGAAATTCTAGACAGGCACAGTCTTGTAATCCCAGCACTTTGGGAGGCTGAGGCAGGAGGATCGCTTAAGCCCAGATATTTGAGACCAGCCTGGGCAACATAGGGAGACCCTGTCTCTACAAAAGAATTAAAAATATAGCCAGACATGGTAGCACATGCCTGTGGTCCCAGCTACTCAGGAGGCTGAGGTGGGAGGATGTCTCAAGCCCAGGGAGTTGAGGCTGCAGTAGCTATGATCATATCACTGAACTCCAGCCTGGGTAACAGAGCAATACCCTGTCTCAAAAAAAAGAAAAAAGAAAAAAAGAAAGAAATGAAATTCTGACTCATGCTACAACATGGATGAACATTGAAGACATTATGCCAAATGAAATAATCCAGGCCAGGCACGGTGGCTCATGCCTGTAATCCTAGCACTTTGGGAGGCTGAGGTGGGTGGATCACCTAAGGTTGGGACTTCGAGACCAGCGTGACCAACATGGAGAAACCCCATCTCTACTAAAAATACAAAATTAGCTGGGCGTGGTGGTGCGTACCTGTAATCCCAGCTACTCAGGAGGCTGAGGCAGGAGAATCACTTGAACACAGGAGGCAGAGGTTGTGGTGAGCCGAGATCGCACCATTGCACTCCAGCCTGGGCCACAAGAGTGAAACTCCATCTAAAAAAAGAAAGAAAGAAAGAAAGAATCCAGACACAAAAAGACAGTGGGTGATTCCACTAACGTGAAGTAACTAGAAGAAGACTCATAGAAACAGAAAGTAGAATTAAAGTTTACCAGGGGACGGGGTATCGCGGAATAGGGAGTTAGTGTTTCATGGGTGCAGTTTCTGTTTGGGATGATGAAAAAGTTCTGTGGATGAATAGCAGTAATGGCTACACAACAATGTGGTGGTACTTAATGCTACTGTACTGAGCACTTAAAGATGGGTAAAGTGATACATTTTATGTTATGTATATTTTACCACAATAAAAACAAAACGTAAGCTATACAAGTAAGTACACCTTATATTACAACAATTATCTAGTGAAACTTTTGTTTCATTATGTGTGAATTACTGCATTTGTGAAAAATATATTTCCAACTTCTTTGAATCAAGACCCACTAATTTTTTTTTTTTTTTAAGACGGAGTCTCGCTCTGTTGTCCAGGCTGGAGGACACTGGTGCAATCCTGGCTCACTGCACCCTCTGCTGCCTGGGCTCAAGTGATTCTCCTGCCTCAGCCTCCCAAGTAGCTGGGATTACAGGCACCTGCCACCACATCCAGCTAATTTTTGTATTTTTAGTAGAGACGGGGTTTTGCCATGTTGGCCACACTGGTCTCAAATTCCTGACCTCAGGTGATCTGCCCGCCTTGGCCTCCCAAAGTGCTGGGATTATAAGCGTGAGCCACCACACACAGCCCAAGACCCACTAATTCTTTTTTTTTTTTTTTTTTGAGATGGAGCCTCACCCTGTTGCCCAGGCTGGAGTGCAATGGCACTATCTCGGCTCACTGCAACCTCCACCTCCTGGGTTCACACAATTCTCCTGCCTCAGCTTTCCGAGTAGCTGGGATTACAGGTGTGCATCACCATGCCCGGCTAAGTTTTTGTATCTTTAGTAGAGACAGGGTTTCACCATGTTGGCCACGCTGGTCTCGAACTCCTGACTTCGTGATCCACCCACCTCAGCCTCCCAAAGTGCTGGGATTACAGGCGTGAGCCACCGCGCCCAGCCTAAGGCCCACTAATTCTTAAAAACACTGTGCTCAGGAGTCACGGTGCCTCAGAAGCCTGATGACCTCGGGCAGGGTGACATCCTCTCCTCTCTGCACCCAGGCCCCTTCGTGCTGCTGACTTATAATGCACCGCAAGCTTCTCCTTGTAGTCTAACCTCACGCTTACCTGTTTATTGCCAAAACTGGACTACAAGCTCACCAGGGGCAGGGGCTGTGTCTCATTTTTCTTTGTGCTCCCAAGGTGCCAGGCTCAGTGCCTGACATATAGTAAGTACTCAGTATTTTCCAGAAATGATCAAGATGCAGATGAAGTCCAGCGGTCCCAGATTTGGATTCACCCTGATTTCAAGCCCCAGCTATGTGAGCTGGGGCAGGTCACTTCTCCTCTCAGGGCCTCCATTTCCTTTAATAAGAACAGTAGGCCAGGTGCAGTGGCTCACACCTGTAATCCCAGCACTTTGGGAGGCCGAGGCGGGTGGATCACGAGGTCAGGAGATCGAGACCAGCCAGGCTAACACGGTGAAACCCTGTCTCTACTAAAAATATAAAAAATTAGCTGGGCGTGGTGGTGGGCACCTGTAGTCCCAGCTACTCGGGAGGCTGACACAGGAGAATGGCATGAACCCAGGAGGCGGAGGTTGCAGTGAGCCGAGATCACACCACTGCACTCCAGCCTGGGTGACAGAGTGAGACTCTGTCTCAAAATAATAATAATAACAGTAATATTTGGCACAGTGCCATCGTGCACGCCTGTAATCCCAGTACTTTGGGAGGCTAAGGCGGGCAGATCACTTGAGGTCAGGAGTTCAAAACCAGCCTGGCCAACATGGTGAAACCTTATCTCTGCTAAAAATACAAAAATTAGCCCGGCGTGGTGGCAGGTGCCTGTAATCCCAGCTACTCAGGAAGCTGAGGCACAAGAATCGCTTGAACCCAGGAGGCAGAGGTTATAGTGAGCTGAGATTGTACCACTGCACTCCAGCCTGGGCAACAGAGCAAGACTCTATCTCAGAAAAAAATAAAATAAAATAAACACACACACACACACACACACACACACACACACACAATAATATTAACCATAGTCATTTATTAAGCACTGTCTATATGCCAGGCTAAGTGCTTTATAGATATTGACTAATCCATGCAATAAATGTCTTGAGCACCTACTATGTGCTGGGCAGTAATTTTCATAAAATTGTTGCCTCAATTATAAAAACTATTTACTGAGCACTTACTATGTGCCAGGCACAGTGAAACCCGTGGAAATTCAAAGGTGAGCAGGACAGTGGGTCCTGTATCTTGATCTTTACGGATCTTTCTCTTCTTGAATCCTCACAGCACCCATTTTATAGACAGGAAGACTGAGGCCCGAAAGTTCTGTCTGACTCTGAGCCTGGCCTCTTTGCTGCCTCCCGTTGTCCTGTGAGGCTGTGTGGTCACAGCACCCAGGACTTGAGAGGAGTGAAGTTCTTCCTCACCCCGCAAAGGCTTCATGAGCCCTACTGTGTGCCAGGCCAGCCCTGCTCAGTCTGGGGCGATAAACACAGGGCAGATTCTGAAAGCCTGTGTGAGGGAAGTTCTAGGCCTGCAGGAGCTGAGAGGAGACCCTGGAGAGGAAGGGAGTCAGGGCCAGCTTCCTCGAGGAGGTGACACCCCAATAGAGTTGCAGGAGAAGCAGGGAAGGCATTCTAGGCAGTGGAACAGCATGCCAACAGGGAAGAGCCCCAGATGGCTCCTGGTTTCCTGTTTGGCAGGCTGGGATGGGAGAACTGGTCCTCACTCTAGTTTGCATGGAAGAAAAAGGTCATACATGACCTAGATACACTCACTGGCCAAGAGGCAGGAAGATGCAGAGAAGAGGCAGGTGTGGGGGATGGGTGCAGGTTGGAGAAGGGCAGCAAACCCAGTGGAGTTGGAGGGGAGGCAGGAGCACACAGCCCTGCATGGCCCCAGGCAACCCAGCACCTGCATTCACAACACCCCCTGAAGGAAAGAACCAGAAGGATCCCTGCCAGCCCTTCCTCCCCTTGGGAGGGGAAGGTCTCACACAGCCCTAACTACACATCCAGACCACCCCTGGGCTAAGCATGAAGTGACTTCCCAGGAACCATGCAAACTGGGTTCTAGTAAGCCCTTGCCATTGGGGAAATTGAGGCTCCCAGAGAGGAAGAGCTAAGGTTAGGACTGCTGCAAATGACAATTTATTTCAACAGACTTTAACTGAGCACCTACTATGTGCCAGGCACCAGGAATATGATAATGGGTTAAAGCAGGCGTGGTCTCAGCCTCCTATGGACTCACAGTCCAGAGGAGACAGGTATGAACGTGACATGCTCACCACCAGTATAAAATGACAAAGAGATCAAGCCCCTAAGGTCCTTAAAGGGAAAAAGACAGTAAGTGCCTTCAATGAAAGAGTCTGACTAAAACTAGGGCACTGGGGTGAACAAATAGAAATTAACTAAGGGAAAAAACAGAAAAACAGAGAAGTGGTGTTAAAGGCAGAGAATGGCATGCAAAGGTCCTGAGGCAGAAAGGAGTGTGGAAAGTTCAGGAGCTGAGGGCAATCAGAGAAGCTCAGGGTGGTGGCAGGGCCAGGTTTTCAGGACTTGTTGACCAAAGGAAGCCTCTGAAGATTAAGGAGAAGTGACCTCCGTTCATTCATCCATCCATTCAGTAAATACGCAGGTAGCATCTACTGTGGGCCCTGCTTTGCTTAGCTCAGTTCTAGGCTCTGGAGAGACATCAGTGAATGGAATTGACAAGGCCCCACCCCTCCCGGAGCTAACCCTCTCAAGAGCGGATTGCGATATTTCATACATCCTGCTTTTCCTCTCTCCCTCCTTTCTTTCTTTCTTTCTTCCTTCCTCCTTTCCCTCCTTCCTTCCTTCCTTTCTTTTTCTTTCTCCTCTTTTCCTTCCCTTCCTTCCCTTCCTTCCTTCTTTCCCTCCCTCCTCCCTCTTCTGATCCTTTTTTCTTTCCTTTCCTCCTTCCTTCCTCTCTCTTTCCCTCCTTCCCTCCCTTCCTCCCTCCTTTTTTCCCTTCTTCCTTTCTTCCTTTTCTCTTTCTCCCCCTTTTCCTTCCCTTCCCTCCCTCCCTTCCTTCCCTCTCTTTCTTCCTTCTCTTCCTTCTCTTCCTCACTTCCTCCCTCCCTCCTTCCTTCCTTCTTTTCTCTAAGCCATTCTCTTTCCATCAGTCTCAACACTATGTCACATAGAAAAAAATCATCTTTGAGCAGCTGAAACAGGACGGGTAGTGACCTCCTGCTTGGTGGCTTAAAACAACAAAACTTTATTTTCTCAGTCCTGGAGACCAGACTTCTGCAATCAAGGTGGGAGCAGAAGCTTGCTCTCTCCTGGGCTCTAGGGGAGAGCTTTTCCGCACCTCTTCCAGCTTCTGGTGGCTCCCAGTAACCTTTGACTTTCCTGAACTTGTGGAGGCATCCTTCCAATCCCTGCCTTTGTCTTCATGTGGTGTCCTCCTGTGTGTCCCTGTATTCAAATCTTCCTCTTCTTCTAAGGGCGCCAGTCATATTGGATTTATGTCCCACCCTAATCCAATATGACCACATTTTAATGTGATTGCATCTATAAAGGCTCTATTATCAAAAAAGGGTCGCATTCACAGGGTCCAAGTGGATGTGAGTTTTCAGGGTAAACTAGTCAACTCAGCACACCTTGATTCTTTTTCTTTTCTTTCTTTTTTTTTTCCTGAGATGGAGTCTCGCTCTGTCACCCAGGCTGGAGTGCAGTGGCACGATCTTGGCTCACTGCAACCTCTGCCTCCTGGGTTCAACCAATTCTCTTGCCTCAGCCTCCCCAGTTGTTGGGATTACAGGCATGTACCACCTCTTCTTTACCAAAAATAAAAATTAGCCAGGCACAGTGGTGCACCTGTAACAATCCCCGCTACTCAAGAGGCTGAGGTGGGAGGATCACTTGAGCCCAGGAGTTTGAGACCAGCCTAAGCAACATGGTGAGACTTCATGTCTACAAAAAAAAATTTTTTTAATAAAAAAATATATATCGTGGCTGGGGCCAGCACTTTGGGAGGCCGAGGCAGGCAGATCACCTGAGGTCAGGGGTTCATGACCAGCCTGGCCAACATGGTGAAACCCTGTCTCTACTGAAAATGCAAAAAAAAATTAGCCAGGCATGGTGGCAGGCGCCTGTAATCCCAGCTACTCAGGAGGCTAAGGCAGGAGAATTGCTTGAACCCAAGAGGCGGAGGTTGCAGTGAGCCAAGATGACGCCACTGCACTCAGCCTAGTCTACAGAGCGAGACTCTGTCTCAAAAAAAAAAAAAAAATATATATATATATATATCTAGGTGTGGTGGTATGCACCCATGCTCCCAGCTCCTCAGCTACTCAGGAGGCTTAGATGGGAGGATCACTTGAGCCCAGGAGGCTGAGGCTGCAGTGAGCTATGATTATGCCACGGCACTCCAGCAGAGACCCTGTCTAAAAAAAAAAAAATCCACATGCAATTATAGTTTTGCCCGAAGAAGATGAGGTCCAGCTCTGGGTGGTGACAATCATATTTCTATAGTATGTGGCATGGGTTGAAAGAACAAGCTGAGACCACATTCTCCTTCCTGGATCCCTCTAATACTCTGGCCAGAACAAAGCACCATAAGGAAGATGAAGTTCAGAGTCGAGAAGGCTTCCCAGGATCACAAAGCAAGCTAGAAACAACTCCCCACTGAGGCTGGAACCCACCTCCTGACCTCCAATTGTGAGATCCTTTAGTCTCAGAAAATCAAAACCATCTTCTTCCAACCCCCAGAAGAAATATCAGGCATGACTCCTCCAACCAAAGACAACTACCCAAGAAGTACTCGAAGTTCAGCAGAATCTAATTTTGCACTGGAGGTGACTAGAGCATGGGGTCACCTCTACACTCGCATAGAAAAGGCCTGGGTTTGAACAGCGAGAAGGGGCCATGCCCTCTCTGAACGTCTTAGCTACAGACCTGTCTCCACGGGGCCTGGGATGCCCAGAGAAATGTGGATCCTCTGGCACAGGCATTTGAGTGTCTCCTGGCAGTTACAGGCGTATACGAAGGCGGCCGAAGAGCCTGGCTCACCTGCCTGATGGAAATACGTCTCAGGAACACCAGGCCCTTCAAGTTGGTTTGACAAGCTCCCTTCTGGAGACGCTGGGGTCCTCACTGCTAAGACAAATTCCTGACAGAACCCCATACTCACCTTGACCTTGGGCCGCTGGGGGAAGCCTGCAGAGGGTTTGACAGAAGCGCACAGCGCAATGTCAAGGCTGCTGCAGAGGGGTCTGCAGAAGACAGGCCCAGACTGCCAGAGGATCATGGTCCATCCCGGCACTCAGCAAGGCCAGCACCCTCTTGGAGCCTTTACTTCCTCATCTGTAAGAGGGAACAGCTGAAATCCTATCCCTGGAGTCACTGTGAAAAGTCACATTTTGGGTTTTCTAATTTATTTTTTTTAGAGACAGAGTCTTGCCCTGTCACCCAGGCTAGAGCACAATGGTGCAATCACAGCTCACTGCAGCCTCACCCTGCCAGGCTCAAGCGATCCTCCCACCTCAGCCTCTCAAGTGGCCAGACTACAGCCACACGCCACCATGCCCAGCTAATTTTTAAAAAAAAATTTTGCAGAGATGAGGTCTCATTATATTGCCCAGGCTGGTCTGAAATTCCTGGGCTCAAGCTGTCCTCCCACCTCGGCCTTCAAGTCATGGTTTTTTGTTTGTTTGTTTGTTTGTTTGTTTTACGGAAGCGAAACTCACAGGATGTAAAATTGACCATTTAAAAGTGAACAATTCAGCCGCGCATGGTGGCTTTTGCCTGTAATCCCAGCACTTTGGGAGACAGAGGTGGGCAGATCATTCGAGGTCACGAATTTGAGACCAGCCTGGCCAACATGGTGAAACCCCATCTCTACTAAATACAAAAAAATTACCCAGGCGTGGTGGTGCACACCTGTAATCTCAGCTACTCAGAAGGTTGAGGCAGGAGAATCG
Organism: Homo sapiens; assembly: GCF_000001405.40. Classification (NCBI taxonomy): domain Eukaryota; kingdom Metazoa; phylum Chordata; class Mammalia; order Primates; family Hominidae; genus Homo; species Homo sapiens. The sequence continues at coordinate 27,819,805 of NC_000022.11, forward strand.
CTTGGACCCAGAAGGAGGAGGTTGCAGTGAGCTGAGATCACACAATTGCACTCCAGCCTGGGTGACAGAGGCTCTGTCTCAAAAAAGAAATAAACAAAAATAAACTAAATAAATCTAAATAAAATTGAATGCTAAATAAAAGTGAACAATTCAGCAGCAATTAGTGCCTTCACAATGTTGTACAACCACCACTTCGATCTAGTTCCAAACATTTTAATCACCCCAAAAGGAAACCCTACACCCATTAAGCAGTCACTCCCCATTCACCCCTCCCCCAGCCCCAGGCAACCACCAATCCACTCTCTGTCTCTATGGAGTTGCCTATTCTAGACACTTCATATAAATGGAACCATGTAACTATGTGGCCTTTTGTGGCTGGCTGCTTTCACTTAGCAGAATGTTTCCAAGGTCCATCCATGTTGCAGCATGTCTCGGTATTTCATTCCTTTTTAGGGCTGAATAATACTCCATTGTATGGATATACCATGTTCTGTTTATCCACATCAATGGACATTTGGGTAGTTTCTACCTTTTTTTTTGAGACGGAATCTCGCTCTGTCATCCAGGCTGGAGTGCAGTGGCACAATCTCGGCTCACTGCAAGCTCCGCCTCCCAGGTTCACACCATTCTCCTGCCTCAGCCTCCTGAGTAGCTGAGACTACAGGTGCCTGCCACCACGCCTGGCTAATTTTTTGTATTTTTAGTAGAGACAGGGTTTCACCGTGTTAGCCAGGATGGTCTCGAACCACCTTTTGCCTATTGTGAATAATGCTGCTGTGGACCTGCGTGTAAATATCTTTTTTTTTTTTTTTTTTTTGGAGCACCTACTATGTGCCTGGCATGGCCCTGCGCACTGAGAAAAAGACAGGAAAAAAAGCTAGAAACCTGGTCATCTTTCTGAGCCCTGGGTCTGTGTGATACAGCATGCGTGAGGCAGGTGGATTACACGGTGTGGTACCTGCTGGACAGCTTCTCTATCAGTTCTCCTACTCACCTCAACCAATATTGGATGAATGAATGAGTGAATGAATGAATGAATGAACCCATGTCTTCACTTTATTCATTACTGGATCCCCAGTGCCTGCAGAGGGGTGACACGTGATAGATACTCAACATATGTTTGCAGAATAATTGGACCTGAAACCCAATGCCTGGTCCCACAGGGGAGCACAGGGCTTACATTCAGATCCAAACTCAAATCCTAACAGTGCCACTCATGTGCTGGGTGACCTTGACTCAGTCCATCCCCTGCTCCCTGCTCCACGTCTGGAAATTGAGGACGGTGCTAGTGCCCCCTCTCCAGGCTACTGTGATGAGATCACCAAGGCTGGGAAATATTAGGGAAGGGGGGTTGCCAGACTCCGGACCTGCAGAGTTAAGCCTTCCTCCCCCACCCCCACCACCCCATGTCATGTGGCTGGTGGCAATTCCCTCCAGGACAAAAGGCCCGATTTAATCCAGCCCACCATCACCACTGTCGCCACTGGGACACAATGCGGCAGGTTTGTGGCCAACGTCTGCCGATCTGGTTTCGTGTAACATCCCTGCCAGCCTGCCCGGGCCAGCAGACAAAGGCCTCTTTGTTGCAAATATGTTTTTTAAATCCCTGAAGATATTAGCAGTGCGGGTGAACTCACACTGTGAAACAGTTCAGAAATTGTTTAAGGACATGTTTCAAACTGGGGGTGATCATTTAAATGGAATCTGCCCTCCTGCTTTCTTATCGAGAGCAAGATTCCTCAGAGCCAGCTTGGGCCCTGGACCTGGGCAGGGAAGTTTCCGAGGCCAAATAACCCTAACACTCATCGTAACAACAATGCCAGCAGCCATTTATGGAGTCTGCAAGGCCAGACGCCGGCCCACTTGTGCATTTGTGCATGTGACCGCCAAACCTCGGCACTTAGAGAGATTCAGATGAGCAGTCCCATTCTACAGATGGAAAATCTGGGGTCTAGGGAAGTGTTGGCGCACGTCACAGCTGGCCTTGAACAAGGTTTGTTGGATCCTCCACACAGCCCCTGTGCCCTCTTCATGCTGTTGATGGCCACAGGCACGGAACACATCCTCACCTCTGAACTCTGTCCCATCAGGCACCCAGGAGGGCATCCGACGGGCACCTGGTCCCCTCACATCCTGTTCCTTCAAGTTCACACAAGAAGGCCTCCTCCAACACATCTCTCCACCTACTTCTCTGTTACCTGGGCTGAGTGCAGTGGTCACAATCATGGCTCACTGCAGCCTCAACGTCCCAAGCTCCACCAATCCTCCCACCTCAGCCTCTCGAGTAGCTGGGACTATAGGCACACATCAACACACCCAGCTAATTTTTGTATTTTTTAAATTTATTATTATTTTATTTATTTATTTTGAGATGGAGTCTCACTCTGTCACCCAGGCTGGAGTGCAGTGGCACAATCTTGGCTCACTGCAACCTCCACCTCCTGGGTTCAAGTGATTCTCCTGCCTCAGCCTCCTGAATAGCTGGGATTATAGGTGGCCACCACACCTGGCTAATTTTTTTTGTTTTTTGTTTTTTGTTTTAATTTTTGTTTGTTTGTTTGTTTTTGAGATGGAGTCTCACTCTGTCACCCAGGCTGGAGTGCAATGGGGTGGTCTCGGCTCACTGCAACCTCTGCCTCCCGGGTTCAAGTGATTGTCCTGTCTCAGCCTCCCACACACCTGTGACTACAGGCGCATGCTACCACACCTGGCTAAATTTTGTATTTTCAGTAGAGACAGGGTTTCACTATGTTGGCCACACTGGTCTCAATCTCTTGACCTCGTGATCCGCCCACCTCGGCCTCCCAGAATGCTGAGATTAGAGGCATAAGCCACTGCGCCCAGCCTTTTAAGGTATTTTTTAGTAGGGACGGGGTTTCACCATGTTGGCCAGGCTGGTCACGAACTCCTGACCTCAGGTGACCCACCCACCTCCGCCTCCCAGAGTGCTGGGATTACAGGTATGATTCACTGAGCCCGGCCCTAATTTTTGTATTTTTTGTAGAGACAGTTTCACCATGTTGCCGAGGCTGGTCCACCTACTATTCTCACCTCCTCTGGGCAACTCCATTAGTCCCAGACTGTGCCATAAACTTCAGTTTTTAATAAGTGACAGTGATGACTCTTCAGAGCTGTGTGGGGGCCTAACCTGGGCAGGCAGTTCCGTACCCCTCAGAACCAGGAGAGCACTGTGGCAATGAACTCAGGCTCAAGTCAGAAACGCCAGCTCTATCTTAATTTTCACAAACTGTGACCAAGGGCAAGTTAAAAGTTAATTCAGGTTTATCAATAAGTTAAACTTAGAATTACCCATAGGCCCCAGCAATTCCACTCCTAGGTATAATAAACCCAAAAGAACTGAAAACAGGTCTTCAAACAAAACTTGAGCACACCTGTTTATAGCAGCATTATTCATAATAGGCAAAAGGTGGACACCATCTAAATGTCCATCAGCTGATGAATGAATGAAAAAAATGTGGTACATGTATCTATGCAACAGAATATTATTCAGCCATGAAAAGGAATGAAGTCTTGATGCATGCTATGTCATGGATGAAACTTGACAACACTGTGCTAAGTGAAAGAAGCCAGACACAAAAAGTCATTGGTTATATGATGCTATTTATAGGAAGTGTCCAGATTAGGCACATCCAGAAACACAGAAAGTAAATGAGTGGTTGTCAGGGCCTGGGGGTGGGTTGGGCAGGGGAATAGGTACTGACCGCTTAATGGATATGGAGGGTTTTTTTTTTTTTGTTTTTGTTTTTTGGTGTGAAGATGCCCTGGAACTATTTAGAAGTCCTGTTTGCATAACACTGTGAATGTACTTAATGCCACTGAATTGTACCATTTAAAATGGTTAAAATGACAGGGCACAGTGGCTCATGCCTGTAATCCCAGAACTTTGGGAGGCTGAGGAGGGCAGATCACTTGAGGTCAGAAGTTTGAGACCAGCCTGGCCAACACAATAAAACCCCATCTCTACTTAAAAATACCAAAATGAGCCAGGCATGGTGGTGCACATGCCTGTGGTCTCAACTACTCTGGAGGCTGAGGCAGAAGGATTGCTTGAACCTGGGAAGCGGAGGTTGCAGTAAGCCAAGATTGTGCCACTGCACTCCAGCCTGGGTGACAAAGCGAGACTCTGTCTAAAAAAAAAAAAATAGTTAAAATGATAATTTTATGTTATGTACAGTTTTTAAAAACTGCATGTCACTCACCTCTCAAGAGGTGGTGTGGGAGCAGGAAAGAAATCATCAGAAGACACAGGTCCCCCAGTTGATCTCTGCACACCGTGCTGGGCACCCTCAGGCAGGTCAGCGCACCTCTCTGAACACTATTATCCTCTGTGTCCTGGGACTATTGCCTTTGGCTCTGCAGACCTCACAGGCTCAGGGGAGGCTCATGCGGGAGACTACAGGGCACACCATAAAGTGCTACAACGAGGTTAGAATCGTAAAGGAATAGTACCACGATTATGAGAGCACATAAGAATAGAGCATGATGTAGTTTTGGATATCTGTCCCCACTCGAATCTTATGTTGAATTGTAATCCTCAGTGTCGGAGATGGGGCCTGGTGGGAGGTGTTTGGGTCATAGTAGAGGATCCCTCATGGCTTGGTGCTGTTCTCACGATAGTGAGTGAGTTCTCTTGAGAGCTGGTTGTTGTAAAGCATGGCACCTCCCCAACCCTTCTCTCTTGCTCCTGTTCTCATCATGTGATGGAGGTACAAGTTCCCGCTTGGCCTTCTGCCATGATTGGAAGCTTCCAGAGACCTCCCCAGAAGCAGATGCTGGAGCTATCTATGTTTGCTATATAGCCTGTATAACTGTGAGACAATTAAACCTATTTTCTTGTAAATCACCTAGTTTTAGGGATTTCTTTTTTTTTTAGATGAGGTTTCACTCTTTCACCCAGCCTGGAATGCAGTGGTGCCATCTCAGCCTACTGCAACCTCCATCTCCCAGGCTCAGGTGATCCTCCCACCTCAGCCTCCTGAGTAGCTGGGACTACAGATGTGTACCACCACACCAGCTAATTTTTTGTATTTCTTTGTAGAGACAGGGTTTTGCCATGTTTCCCAGGCTGGTCTCAAACTCCTGGCCTCAAGTGATCTGCCCACTTTGGCCTCCCAAAGTGCTAGGATTACAGGTGTGAGCCACCACACCCAGCCAGGTATTTCTTTATAGCAATGCAAGAACGGCCTAACTCAGAACCCTTGGGCTCCATTCTGACAGCTAAACATCCCTTCCATTGGTCAAGCTTTCCTCCCTTTCCCAAAGGGCCCTACCCCGCGTTGTCTCATAAAATCCCTGGAAAGAAGGCAGGCCAGAGATGAGCAGGGGTTCTTCTCCCAGTGTGACCTGCCAATGTGGCTTCCCTAGCTGGCTTTCCAGAGGACGCCCCCTGGGTGTGCACATGGAGGGGGACGGGGAGCCTTCAGATGTCTACTGATGTTGGTGAACCTGGACCTATCTCATTGCCAATGTGTCTTGTTAAGAGAGAGCAGGAAGCAGGAGCAGGCACACCAGCCTTGGCGCCCCCTGCTGGCACTCTGCTGCGCAGGCCATGTTCTTACCTCCAGGCCTTTGCACATGCTGTTCCCTCTGCCTGGAACTGTCTTCCACTGTATTAGTTTCCTAATGCTGCTGTAACAAATTACCACAAACTTATAAGGCTTAAAACAAAACCAATTTATGAATTGACAGTTCCGGAGGTCTGAAGGCAGCCATGGGTCAGACTGGGCTAAAATCGAGGTGCTGGGGCTGTGCTCCTTTCCAGAGACTCTAGAGGAGCTCCTGTCCTCTTGCCTCTTCCAGATCCTGGAGGTTACTGCATTCCTTAGCTCCTGGCTTTCTCCTTCCATCTTCAAAGCCAAGCAGCGTTGCCTCTCTCCAGCCATTCTTCCGTAGTCACACCTCCCTCTCAGCGTGGTCAGGAAAAGCTCTCTGCTTTTAAGGACCTAGATGGTTAGATTGTGCCCACCCAGATAATCCAGGATAATCTCCCCATCTCAAGACTCCTTAACCCTAATCTCATCTGCAAAGTCCCTTTTGCCCTGTAAGGTAACATAGTCACAGGTCCTGGGGATGAGGAGGAGGATATCTTTGGTGGCTATTATTCTGTCTACCACAACCACTTTCTCTTACCTTGCCTACTTGTTCAGTGATTCAACGCATACATTTTGAGTGCCTACAATGTCTCAATGCTGGGCAACCGTGGTGAACAGGATAAATGCAGCCTCTGCCATCATGAACCTTCTAGGCTGGTATTTCTTGGTGTAATCACCACCTCTAAGAAACCTTCCCTCACTGCTCCCTCGGACCCGCAAGCTGCTCCATTCCAGCACTGTCACTTTGCAAGGTCTCTGGCCTATCTCCCCAGCCAGACACCTTAAGGACTAGGAGTGTGTCTCATTCACCTCCACATTGTCAGAGGCCTCACCTAGCAGCATGAGTATTTGGGACACATTGATTGAATCGGGTGAATGTGGGTTCCATCTCCACTCCACTGTCTCCAAGCTGTGTGACCTTGGGCAATCCCATTCCCTCTCAGAGTCCAGGTTCCCTGGCTCTACAGTGGGTATACATGGCAGCACCTGGCTTCAGAGGTTTTTGTAAGGATTAAATCAGATAAGGTCCATCATGCATATAGAAGGTGTTCAGCCAACTGGCAGCTCCTTTCTCTCTTTGAACTGTTTCATGGACGCAGGCTCTGAGTTAAGTGTTTGCAATTCTTGATCTGGGGCCAACACTGAAATTATCCCATCCCTCAGATTTCTCCATCAGAGAACCAGGTTATAGGAGCATTCACCACAGGCCCATTGGTAAACACAGTGTGGCTGCAGGTGCCAGCCTCTCGAACAGAACTCTCCCCACCCCAAAAACACCAAATACTGGCCGGGTGTGGTGGCTCATGCCTGTAATCCCAGCACTTTGGGAGGCCGAGGCGGGTGGATCACAAGGTCAGGAGATCGAGACCAGCCTGGCCAACATAGTGAAATCCCGTCTCTACTAAAAATATAAAAATTAGCCAGGCATGGTGGCGGGTGCCTGTAGTCCCAGCTACTTGGGAGGCTGAGACAGGAGAATTGCTTGAACCTGGGAGGTGGAGGTTGCAGTGAGCCAAGATCATGCCACTGCACTTCCAGCCTAGGCGACAGAGTGAGACTCCATCAAAAAAAAAAAAAAAAAAAAAAAAAAACCACCAAATGCCACCTTTTGGAGGACTGGCTAGAAGTATGGAAGCTGGCCAGGTGCCGTGGTTCATGCCTGTAATTCCACTTTGGAAGGTGGGTGGATGGCTTGAGCCCAGGAGTTCAAGACCAGCATGGACAACATGGTGAAACTCCATCTCTACAAAAAAAAAAAAAAAATTAGCCAGGCATGGTGGCATGTGCCTGTAGTCCCAATTACTGAGGAAGCTGAGGTGGGAGGATTGCTTGAACCTAGGAGGTCGAGACTGCAGTAAGCCATGATTTCACCACTGCATTCCAGCCTGGATAACTGAAGGACACTGAATCTCAAAAAATAAAAAATATAAAAGAAGTATGGAAGCTGAGTCTTGGCTAGATATTCATCAAGAAAGCCCCATGAAAACTGAACATGCATCTATCTGCACACAGTAGGTACTTCATCTGACATCATGCAGTGGTGGTCTATATTTTGGAGTCAGGCTGACCTCGATTCAAATCGCTACTCTCCAGTAATCAGTACACTGACCTTGAACTAGGGTCTTCCATTTCTCTGAACTTGATTTTTCTCCTCTGCAAAATGGGGATAATAAGAGGACCCGTTTGTGAGGAAGAAATATGATAAAGGAGAGAAGTGTCTCACCTGGAACCTGGCATGTAGTAAGGACAAGATCACGGTGAGCTGTAATGATCACAGGAAAAAGCCCACCACCGTTGAGGAAGCAGCCAGGAGACGGGGCCCCTGGAAGTTACACCAGGTCAGCCTCCAATTTCCCGTAACTCGGCGACTCCTACTCGCCTGGTAACTTTGGAAAATATTATCTTAGTGTTTGCAATTCTTGATCTGGGCCCAACACTGAAATTATTGCAGACTTTCTTCTTCTTTTTTTTCTTCTTCTTCTCTTTTTTGACAGTTTGAGCAAAAGGAGTTGTTTTTGAACTTCAGGAGGGGAAAAACACGCGCTCACGCACACGCCCCAAACAGCATCATTTTGCAGGACAAAATGTCCCCTGTGCTCCAGAGCAGGCAGCCCCAGCCCCACTTCAGCAGGCCTCACAAACACTTAGTGTCACTGCGGGTTATGTAAGCGTGGTTTGGGCCTGTGAGGTTGGACGTGGCCTTGGGTTTTGAAAGGAGGCAGGGGAGTTTGGGTGAGGAGCCGTTCGGCTCAAAATAAATCCAGGAACTCAGTGCAGAAAAAAAATAAATAAATAAAATCTCCTAGACTCTACCAAAAGGAATATTCAGATGTATAGTCTGGAGTGTCCAGAACTGAGAAAACACAAGCCAGACTGTGGCCAACATGGCTTTCTTGGCCCCACCACGCACATGGGTGGGGCTGAGAGGTCGTGGAGTGTCACAACGTGACCTGTGCCGTGGGACAAGGTTAACATACAGACCACGTCACTGCTGGAAGGAAAACGCCAGTCCTTAGTATTTTCAAAACTGGTTGGTCCTTTTGTTCCTGGAGTTCCCTGCCTTTCCGTTGTGGTGCCAGATTTAGTGATTCCTACTGAACAGTGGGGTCAGGGCAGGCAAGCAAGATCTTTGTCCCAGGGAAAAGAAAGAAGGGGATGCAGGGTAACCAACTCATCCTGGTTCACCTGAGACCTTTCCCAGTTTCAAAACTGAAAGTCTCACATTCAAAGAAACCCCTCTGTCCTGGGCAAATGGGGACAATGAGTTGCCCTGCAAGACAGCATAACCCTAATGACCATCATAATCACTCTGGAGCCCTGATTAAGTGTCCCTCGACAGGCTTATATACATTGTCGCACTTCATCCCCCCAGCTGCCTTTCCAGGTAGATTTCTCATATCCATTTTACAGACAAATGAGGCTCAGAGGAGGAAAACACATGGGGCAGTGGGGGAGACAGGAAGATGCTCAGGGGTCTTATTAAAATCAGAGATTCGGCAGGGAACAGTTGTTCACACCTGTAATCCCAGCACTTTGGGAGGCTGAGGCAGATGGATAACCTGAGGTCAGGAGTTCAAGACCAGCTTGGCCAACATGGTGAAACCTTGTCTCTGCTAAAACTACAAAAATTAGCCGGGCCTGGTGGTGGGCACCTATAATCAAAGCTACTCGAGAGGCTGAGGTGGGAGAATCGTTTGAACCCAGGATGCAGATTTTGCAGTGAGCCAAAATCATGCCACTGCACTCCAGCCTGGGCAACAGAGTGAGACTCTGTCTCAAAAAAAAAAAAAAAACATTCCTGGCCCCCACCCCAGAGAATCCAGCCCAGTAGTTGGGGGGAACTGCATTTATAATGCACACTCCTGGTAGTTCTATGAGCAAGTAATTTCAATGTGCAAAACCCAACCCAGCTCCATTGGAAATTACCTTGGAACTGAGCATGGAAGGTGAAGTTCAATGGGGGCAGGCATTTGAGCTGAGGGAACAGCATGAGGAAGGGCACAAAGGTGTAGTGACAGGGGAGTGTATAGCTAAATATAATGTCCTTGATGGACAAAGTGGGAAAGGAGGCTGCCATTGACAGATCTGGGGCTTGAACACCAGGCTAAGGAGTTCAGGCTTTATCCTGAGGGGACTGGGGAGCCTCGCACGGCTTTAAACAGTTGTGACAAGGTCAAATTTGTGTTGTGGAAAGATGATTCCAGCTCTTATGCAGCAGTTATGTTGCACAGGAGTATGAGTGGAGGCAATAGAATAGTCAGGAGTGACAGAAACCCAGCGCAAACTGGCTGACACCAAATGGAAATTCATTGACTCATATAATTGACTCCTGCTTCAGGTATGGCTGGATTCAGGTGCTCAATTTAGAAACCAGCCTCTCTCCATGTCTTGGCTATGTTCTGGCTTCTTTCCAGACAGGCCCTCCCTCTGTGATGACAAGATAGTCTCCGGAAGCTCAAGGCTTGCCTCCTGTGGCTTAGCAACCCCACCAGAGAGAAAATCCCTCTTGCATAGAACTTTCAGCCAAAGTCTTAGAGCTGGCACTTGCTGGCTCTGATGGGCCCATCCCCCAGCCAATTACAGTGGTATCTTGTCGGCCAGGTCTGCATCAAGGCCCACCCCTAGAGTTAGGGCGTGAGATCAGCCCTATCCCAAATCTGCAGTCTGGGATGGGAGAGCGGGTGCTGGGCCCCAAAGGAAAATCTGGAGTCTGTCCCCAGGAACCTTGATCATGGACCATGTAGGGGAGAGAGCGAAGTGCCCCAGCTTGGGCTGGAACCCAAGGATTATCACCACCTGCCTGAAGTGGAAAGAGAACAATGAAGTGAGTGGCAGAAGGACACACAGCGACCCAACGGCATCAGGTCTCAAACTTCCTTCAGACAACCACTAAGGCCAGCAGTTTGTGATGGGAGCCCCTGCAGGGTGGGATTTCTGCACACACCCTGGACTGACCACAGAAGCTGCTCAGCGATTCTCAGAAACTTAAGAAGTAACTTCCACAGCTGCTATCTCAAAAGCCCCATTGTGATCTTTAATAACTGCAATTTTTTTTTTTTTTGAGATGAAGTCTTGTTCTGTCGCCCAGGCTGGAGTGCAGTGGCGCCATCTCAGCTCACTGCAACCTCCACCTCCCAGGTTCAAGCGATTCTCCTGTCTCAGCTTCCCGAGTAACTCAGACTACAGGCACACACCACCACGCCTGGCTAATTTTTGTATTTTTAGTAGAGACGGGGTTTCACCATGTTGATCAGGCTGGTCTCGAACTCCTGACCTCGTGATCCACCCTCCTCGGCCTCCCAAAATGCTGGGATTACAGGCGTGAGCCACCGTGCCCAGTGTGTATTTTTTTTTATGCATTAATTTCTTTTGATTGATTGAATGATTGAGCTAGGGTCTCACTCTGTCACCCAGGCTGGAGTGCACTGGTGCAATCATGGCTCACGGCAGCCTCAAACTCCCGAGCTCAAGCAGTCTTCCCACCTCAGCCTGCAGAGTAGCTGGGACCACAGGTGGGTGTCACCACGGACCTGGCTAATTTTTTATTTTTTTTGCTATGTTGCCCAGGCTGGTCTTGAACTCTAGGCTCAAGCAATCCTCCCACCTCAGCCTCCTGAAGTGTTGAGATTACAGGTGTGAGCCACCGCACCTGGCCTTTATATTTAATTGACAAACAAAAATTACATGCATGTATATACACACACAAGGGAATATTATTCAGCATTATAAAAGACAGAAACCCTGTCGTTTGCGACAACATGGATGAACCTAGAGGACATTATGCTAAGTGAATAAGCCAGACACAGAAAGATAAGTACGGCGTGATCTCACATATATGTGGAATCTAAAAAAGTCAAACTCACAGAAGCAGAAAGTAGGAGACTGGTTACCAGAGGCTGGGGGTGGGGCATGGGGGAATGAGGAAATGTTGATCAGAGTACCCAGCAATTAGACAGGAGGAATAAATTCTACAGGTAAATATTAAAAGGGGAGAACCCTCGAGTAATCTCTGGTCTAAAGTCAGGATTGAATGGAACAATCATATCTCACGCAATGGCCTCTCTGAATTGCAAGGTCACCAGGGGAAGACAGAGCCAGAGGCTGATGGAGCTGAGGTTCCTGAAGCATGGGATACCATAGTCCTTGCCCAGGCACTATTCATCCAGACATGCAGAGCCGTGGCTGCATGGAGTGCGGTCCTCACAGCATGAGCCAGGGAGTCACCAGTCTTGAGCTTCCCCAGCCCCTAACCCTGCCTGGTACACTGTGAGACCCAACAAATAGTTGTCAGATCAATGGATTGCCGCCCCAATTGTCTTGCACACCTCCGGGCATGGGAGGCTCACTGCCACCCAAGGCAGCCTGCCCCTTTGTTGAACAGCCTGCTGGAAATGCCGCTCTTGACCCCAAATGGCAAAATTATGGAGCAGCATCCAGGGAACTCTGGCTTTGGAATTTATCCCCACGAGATAATTCAAAAGCAGTAAAAACAAGTAATCAATAGGAAGGTGTTCATTCTAGTGTTGTCTGTCATGGTAGAAATCTAGCAGTGATCTGAATGCCTCACAGATGGCAAAGATTCTCTCTCTCTCTCTCTCTTTCTCTCTGTGTGTGTGTGTGTGTGTGTGTGTGTGAGAGAGAGAGAGAGAGAGAGAGACAGAGAGACAGAGACAGAGAAAGAGTGTGTGTTACTCCTGAGACACCACCACAATGGACAACCTAGCAACCATTAAAAACGTGAACTCTGAGAAGCATGTAGAAACATGAGGAATTGCAATCTAACAGAAAGTTAAGAAAAGCAGAATGCACATTGTGCCTGCAGCCACGTAAGCTGAATGTGCACAGACAGGAGGGGGTGGAAATAAGCAGGAGAGGAAATAGCTGTGCGGTCAGAGTGGCTGCACCTTAGGCTGTTTTAAAAAGCTTATTTACAATTGTATCTCCTCATTTTCTATGTACCATTATTCCCATTTTAGAGAGGAGGAAATTGACGCCCAGAGAACTGAAGCCATTTGCACATAGTGGCTGCTGGGACAAACCTGGCAGTTGACTCTGAGCCCCTTTATGATCCTGTTTGTCATCCCCTACCTGGGCCTGCAAGTTCTGCAGCCCTTCTGAGAGCTGAAGGCAAAACCCTTGCCCCGAGAGCCTTGTCTTCTTCTCGATGACCGTCCCTGTGCCCTCATTGTCCCCACTTGGAGACTTGGTCTCAATTCTCCCTATCACAGACCAAGAAGGAGACATGGCCAGAGATGCCTCCCCGATAGACAAGAATTGCCTGGAAACATTCATGCTACCACAGCCTGACCTTTGCATGAATCTCGGGAACAAAGACCCCTTGCACCCACCAGGGCAACCCTGCCAGGCGAGCCAACAGAGTGATGTGTGGAGCCACCCGGCGTGGCGATCTGCTCTCCAGGATGCTATTAAATCTGACCTGGCAATTATAACTTTGCAATAGGTGACGGCCTCATGACCACAGTACATCCCTGGGCTCCAGGCTCTGGGGTCTGTGGAGAATTCTAGAGCATCAAGGCCAGGTAAACAGCCCCTTCTTTGAAGAAAAGTAGAAGACATAACCTATCTGCAGATACAGCTGGCTTTGCTGAGCCATGTATTAGGTGGTGCAAAAGTAATTGCGGTTTTTGCCATTACTGTCAATGACAGAAACAGCGATTACTTTTTTTTTTGAGATGGAGTCTCACTCTTGTTGCCCAGGCTGGAGTGCAATGGCACGATCTTGGCTCACCAAAACCGCCTCCCGGGTTCAAGCGATTCGATTCTCCCGCCTCAGCCTCCCGAGTAGCTGGGATTACAGGCGTGCACCACCACACCCGGCTAATTTTGTATTTTTAGTAGAGACAGGGTTTCTCCATGTTGGTCAGGCTGGTCTCGAACTCCCGACCTCAGGTGATCTGCCCGCCTCGGCCTCCCAAAGTGCCGGGATTACAGACCTAAGCCACTGTGCCCAGCTGTGATTACTTTTGCACCAATCAAACCACAATACTTTTGCACCAATCTAATACTTATCTCCTCTCCCTGACAACTCGCTAAGGTGCATGTTATTCTCCCTGTTTTACAGATGAAGAGCCTGAGGCTCCATAGGTGGGCAGCATCGCTGAGCTTGCAAGAGCCACAGCTGGGCTCCGAACACAGGCTCATCAGGCCCCACAAACATGCCCCTTTCCTCCAGCCTGGACTAAACAGCTGAAACAAACACAACTCTCTTCCCTCACCCACCCCAGCCCAAAATTCTTTACATTTGAGCCATATGTTCAGGAGTTTCCTGAAGACACAAGCCTCCTATTCAGACATTCACTCAACAAACATTCATTGGGCATTGATTGTATGCTAGAATCTGCATGCAGAGGTAGGGAAGCTTTCACAAACCAAAAAGCCATGGCCCCTGCCTTCTTGGGGCTCAAGCTAAAGGGAGAGGCCACCTCCAACAAGCACATGAAGCTGTATAGTTGGAACAATGGGAAGGAAGGTTATGAGATGCCATTTGGACGTCAGGGTTCTGGAGGGCTTGCAGGCAGCAGAAACAGCACATGCAAAGGCCCTGTGGTGGGAACAAAATAGGCCAGTGTGGCAGGAGTATAGTGAATGTTGGGGATAAAATACATTTTTATTAACTCCTCATACCAGTGGTTCCAACATCGCCACATGGCCACTGCACACTGCCTCTGAGCCTCTTGTACATAACCTCTAAATCTTTACAGTGCTTTCATGGTGAGGATATTTGCCCCCACTTCCCATTTTACAGGTGAAAGAAAATGGAAACTCAGAGAGACATTGAAAGTTCCTGAACCCAGCAACTGACTCTCAGCCTGCACACCCAGCCTCCGTGGTGAGGGTTTACCATGTGCCCGGCTCTGTACGAAGCACTTACACATCTTATTGCAACGAGTCCTTTCAGCAACCTGTGATGTGGAGACTCTTGCACAGACAAGAAAAGTGAGGCTCAGAAGGAGATGCGACCCACAGAGCCCAGAAGCTGCGGGGCTGGAATCTAAACCCAGGTGGGTCTGACTCCAAGCAAGCCAGCGCTGTTTCCCCAGGACCACAGTTGCAGCAACTTTGAGGTGTCTCTCGGGGCCTCGGGCAGAAGCCAGCCCCACTCTGCACACAGACATGAGTGATGAATTCACCTGCGGTTCCTCGTCTGGCCACTGACCTGCCGCCTCGGCAGATCCCCAGGCTTAACAATCTCCAGCCACAGAACTAAGAACTCTCCCGGTGACTGGGAGCATCTTTCTGTGAGTCATCTGAGGGCCTGGCCCCCCTCTTCATCCTGTAGGTCCCCTTTATCATCAGCCAATCCTTTGACACCTGCCACTACCTTGGCTGGCGCCATCAGGTTGAACCCCACTTCACTACTGCCTCAGTCTGGGTTCCCCCAAAAGAAGACCCTCGGGCAAGGATCTCGGGGTGAGCCCCTTGTCTGCCAGGTAATTCCAGGAGTAGGGTCGGGAGTGGGGAAGTGAGAGAGGAGGAAACCAGCGAAGGATGCATTAGGGAGTGGCTGACCACTGTGGGAAGCGGGCGCAGTCCTGCTGGGGACCTCTGGGAAACTGTGCACACTATGCTGCAGCTGCCCCAACAGAGGGGCGAGGGAGCTGGGGTATTTACCCACCAGTGCCCATCCCTCTCTGGCTGAGGGCTGCTCCTGAGGTGGGGCTGGGGGTGTTAACTCTCCAGCCCTTCTAGCCAGCCTGTCCAGTCACCCGGCCAAGAGCACAGGGGCTATCTCTCCGCAGATGACCTGCAGGGAGCCGAGACATGTGAATGGGGCATTGATTAGGGGAAGTTCATCCGTCCTTCCAGTCTGCCAGGCAGCAAACATTTCTACAGCCTCCATCCTATGCCTGGCAGTGCTACCATCTGAAAAGAGGCAGCCTGGAAGGGCAGAACAATCAAACGCCTACTATGCGTGAGGCACCACACTGAATACTTAAATATGCAATCTTTTCAAACTACATGTACATGTATAAGCATCAACACCACCTCACGGGGCCATGTGTGGTGGCTCACGCCTGTAATATCAACACTTTGGAGGCTGAGGTGGGAGGATCACTTGAGCCCAGGAATTTGAGATCAGCCTTGGCAACACAATGAGACTACAAACAATAAACAAAACTAGCCGAGCATGGTGGTACGTGCCTGTGGTCCCAGCTACTCGGGAGGCTGAGGTGGGAAAATCACTTGATCCCATGGGGTTGAGGCAACAGTGAGCTGTGATCACACCACTACACTCCAGCCTGGATGACAGAGGCAGACCCTGTCTCAAAAAGACAAAAACGAAAGCAAACGCTTCAGCATATTTTGCATTCCCTACATACTGATTGTGACCAGTATGAGCATGTGAATCCCCCTTGGAACCCTGGCTTTGCCATCCATAAAATGAAACCCTGTCTCCTAGGGTTGATGAGAGGGTTACATTGTAAAGTTCACAGACACAGTGCCTGACACAGAGTAAGCATTCTGTGCTTGGTAGCGATTGGTAGCTATTCTTCTATTTTTCTCTTCTTATCATCATAGTTCACCAAATCTAAGACACTGCCAGTTGTAAACCACATCACAATTTTAGAGATGTTAAAATGAGGGAAGAAAAGCACTTCTTAGAATTGATGGGATATGGTCTTGTTCCCATTTTCCAGATTAAGGCGTTATTGAGGCTTGGGGCAGGAATAGCACTGGCCTGTTTTCCCCCTTTGATCCCTGCTTCCCGCCCCCGGGACAGGACCCTCACTAGGTCACCCTGGTGTCAGGTTCAGGCAGACTTTGCTGTTCATGCTAAGTTACAGGAGGAGAATCAACACTTTTCAAGCGGTGGATTAACTTATTTCAGTGCTGTGCCAAAGAGAACCAGAAGTCTGGAGCAATTATGCTGATGGGGCCCACACCCACCCAACACCCTCGTCCCGGCCTCCACCAAGATGACTCAGCCCAAATTATCCCCCTAATTGTCTCAACCCGTGTGGACTCCAGCTGGGGCCCTCCTTCCCCCAAACCCGCATGACTGGATCCTTGAGGGCTGCAGACAGGCAGAGCGCTCCCCTCTCTCTGAAACGGAATGTTGCTTTCCAGGCCCTTCCACCATTGCTCATCAACTCAGTTTCCACTTCCCTCCCGCTTCGGCCCACCCTCCTCTGCGCACAGGCCTGGTTGTTGATGGTCTTTATGAAAGCTCCTGGGCCAGGCATGCACTTTGGGAGGCCAAGGCGAGAGATTGCTTGAATCTGGGAGTTTGAGACCAGCCTGGGCAACATAGTGAGGCCCTGTGTCTTTAAAAAAATAATAATACATTATTTATTATTATATATATATATATTTTTTGAGACGGAGTCTCGCTCTGTCGCCAGGCTGGAATGCTGTGGTGCGATCTTGGCTCACTGCAACTTCTGACTCCCTGGTTTGAGCAATTCTCCTGCCTCAGCCTCCTGAGTAGCTGGGATTACAGGCACGCGCCACCACGCCCGGCTAATTTTTATATTTTTAGTAAAAACGGAGTTTCACCATGTTGGTCAGGATGGTCTCTATCTCCTGACCTCGTGATCCACACGCCTCGGCCTCCCAAAGTGCTGGGATTATAGGCGTGAGCCACTGCGCCCGGCCAATAAATTAATTTTAAATTTTAAATTAATTTTTAAAAAATTTAAAAAGTAGCCGGCATGGTTGCATATGCCTGTGGTCCCAGGCACTTGGGAGGCTGAAGTGGGAGGATTGCTTGAGCCCATGAGGTTGAGGCCGCAGTGAGCCGTGACTGCACTGCTGCACTCATCCTGCGTGACAGAGTGAGACCCTGTCTCAAAAAAAAAAGAAAGAAGGAGAGAGAGAAAGAGACAGAAGAAAGAAGGAAAGAAAGAAAGAAAAAGAGAGAAAGAAGAAAGAAGGAATGAAAGAAAAAAGAGAGAAAGAAAGAGAAAGAAAGAAAGAAAGAAAGAAAGAAAGAAAGAAAGAAAGAAAGAAAGAGAAAGAAAGGAAGGAAGGATGGAGGGAAGGAAAGAGAAAGAGAGGAAGGAAGGAAGGAAGGAAGGAAGGAAGGAAGGAAGGAAAAGAAAGAGAGAAAGAGAAGAAAGAGAAGACAGAAAGAAAGTTACTTCTCTGAATAGACCTCCCTTTGGAGATCCCTGTTTCTTCACGCTGACCCTGCCTTACCCTGTTGCTAGGCCTGGGGGAGGGGAGTACTGAATTTTAAGTCCCTTGAGGGGAAGAACTATCTTGCACTGCCATCTGGATCCCACCCAGCAGAGGTCATGGCACAGAGATGATGTTCAAGTTAAGTGGGATTGGATGGAGAGAAGGAAATAAAAAAAAACCAAAGAAGTTTGATCATGGAAGAACAAAGGGGGCCTCTTAAGAAGGAGGGGATGTGCTAAGGCTGAATCAGCCTCCCTTAGCAAGAACAAGAAGACATAACAGCAAAAACAAGCAGACACAGTGATGTTTCACATAAACCAAAGAACACACAGGATCTCCAGGCAGATGGGAGAATGCACTCAGGGGTAGACTTTTGTATTCAGGATTCAAAAGAGAATTTTTTGTTGGCTAAGAAAGCTTTCCTAGTATGTTGATTTTATGAATGCAGAAGTCTCATGAATTGGACAGGTGTTTTTTGAAGACCCATTGGGGAGGCAGATTGGGAGTCATGGGCCCCTGGCTCAGGCTGTGTTCATTGCAGACTGGGAGACACTGGGAAACTTACTCACTTATTTTAATTGGCAGGGACACAGGAATGAATTGATTCCCTCAAGGACACTTGTTTGTGAGAGGCTCAATATCATCATTGGTCTAGACAGCCCCTCAAACCCAGTCAACTCCCCTCCCCATAGCCACAGACATGGGCCATCCTGTATTCAACATAGTTTTGTTCTTCCAGGCTATCTGCCACCCTTTTATATACACACATGTATATATCCAAGAACTGCCGTGGGTAAATGGTTTTTAAAATGAACATATATGATATTACCAACTGTGGCTCCTTTGCAACTTTCTTTTCTTGGTCAATATTAATTTTTAAGATTCATCCTTGCTGGTAAGTGTGGTGATAACTCACTCCTTTTCATTGCTGTATAATAATCCATTTTACAAATATCCCTTTAAAAAAAAAAAAGTTTAAGAGACAGGTTCTTGCTTTGCTGCCCAGGCTGGAGTATAGTGGCATGATCATAGCTCACTATAACCTCGAACTCCTGGGCTCAAGTGATCCTCCCACTTCAGCCTCCCAAGTAGGGGGGACTACAGATGCACTACCACACCTGGAGAATCTTGTTTTTTAGTTTTTATAAAGACGGGGGTCTCACTCTGTTGCCGAGGCTGGTCTCAAACTCCTGGCCTCAAGCGATCCTCCTGCCTTCGCCTCCCAAAGTGCTGGGATTACAGACGTGAGCCCCTGTGCCCACCCAGTATCCGTTATTATATCTATCCATTTCCCCACAGATGAACATCTAAGTTGTTTCCAAACCTGACCCACTAGACGCTTCACTTCCTCCTTTCATGGTCTCATCTATAAAAATGAGATGCCACAGATGACTTCCAAGTTGCCACAGGCTGGCTGCTTCAAATGCAGACTTCACCCCCAGGAAGCTCACAGTTCAGCCAGGGAGCCATGATTTGTACATAAGTGAAAGAAATCTCACTCCATGACTGAATTGGGTGATAACTGGCATCTTAATCCTCATCTCTGTTATTGGCCTTTAAACCCTTGCCACCCAGAGAATGCTTTGCACAGTGTCTGGCACTCCTGGAAGAGTGAGTGAGGCCAGTGGGTGGTATGGCATGGGTGAGACAGGGAGGAGTGGGGTGCAGCTCTGCCAGTTGCATCAGTTGCATCGGGGGCCCCTGCCTGGTGCATCCATAGCAGCCCAGCCTGGGCAGCTTCCTGTCCCAGCCCGGCAGGATGCACCTCACGTCACACAGCGGGAATCCTCTTGCTGTTATTTACATTGCTTGCAAAATCCAAGAAATCATCCCTGAATATGTGGCCCAATGTCTTGAGATTAAATCCTTTTAGCAGGATTCTCTTTCCCCAGTATTCTCCTGTGATCCAGACCACAGAGCCCGCCTGACGGTGGATCCGGATTTGATGTTACTGGGAACAAGAAAGAAACCGTGTTGCGAAAGCTCGGAATCAGATCTCCGGCCCAGTGGAAACACTGCCATATGCTTAATTGTGCTCCAATTACACAGAATGCTCCAGAATCGCTGCTCTGAGGTGGAGAGACGCTAATGGCCATCATTACATTTGGACAGCCCTGTTCAGCTTTATGTGATCTTTGCAACTACTGTGTGGTTCACTGAGAGTTGCTGGCCTATTTTAACACAAGAGAGACGGTGGAGTTTCTCATTTGCAAAAGCTGACTGAGCACCTAGGATGGACCAAGCCTGGTTCCAGCCACTGAGGACAGTGCAAACCAGGCTCTCATGGAACTTCTAGTCCAGTGGGGAGACAAGCAACACACACACGCACGCGCGCACACACACACACACTGCCCGTAGAGATAAGTGCCGTGAAGAATTAAGAGCTATGAGAAATGGGAACAGGGCCTAAACAGTGGTCCAGGGAGGCCCCCTGCAGAGGAGCATTTGGGTACCTATGTGAGGTAAGGGAGGGAGCTGCGAGGAGGAGATCTGGTGGAAGAGTGTTAGCAGCGGGAACAGCCAGTGCAAAGGCTAAGGGGACCTGCTTGGTGTGTTGGACAGCCGGTGTGGCTGGAGTGGGGAGAAGGACTGGAAGATGGGGAAAGGATGACACTTGTAAGGGCCACAGGAAGGAATCTGCACTTCACTATGAGTTGCATGGGACAGCTCTGAGCAGAGGAGGGATGTGACCTGTTTGATACTTAGAAGAATCTCCCCCACTTTTATTTGAGACAATGTCTTGCTCTGTTGCCCTGGCTGAAGTAATGTAATTACAGTGGTGTAATGATACTTCGCTGCAGCCTCAAACTCCTGGGGCTCAAGAAATCCTCCCACCTCAGCCTCCCAAGTAGCTGGAACCACAGACATACGCCACTGCGCCCAGCTAATTTTTAAATTTTTTGTAGAGATGGGGTCTCACTTTGTTGCCCAGGCTGGTCTTGAGCTCCCGGGCTCAAGCCATCCTCCCACCTCGGCCTCCCAGAGTGCTGGGATCACAGGCATGAGCCACCACGCCTGGCTAGAATCTCTGTGGTTCCTCTGTGGGAGGGGAAGGGGCCAGTTAGAAAGCTCTTGAGCAACAATCCAGGGAGGGAGGATGGCAGCCGGACAGGGTCAGGGTGGAAGGGACAGAAGTGATGGGAAGACGAGAAGAGTCAGACCCTGGGCAGATTCTGAAAACAGAGCCAACGGGATCCACTGATGCATCCAGTGTGGGCATGAGAGGCACATCTGACCCAGTCAGAGAGCAGGGAGTTGAGCCAGGTCTCCAGCTCACCGGTGCCCAGGGCTCTCTGCCACAGCCCGTCACTAGAGCTTTAGTGCATGCATTTGAACAAGTATGATGACTGCCACTAAATCCAGTGGGTTCGATCCCTTGTTAAGGGGATCACTCGGCTTCTTTTCCATTTGCAGACTCTATTCCTCACCTCCATTCTCTCTTGCCAACAAGAGAGAATGTGTGGGTCTAGGCCCCTGGGTCAACTGCAGTGTTTCACGGAAAGATAAAGCCCATTCAAATAATCCTGTATGTTTGCACCTACTTTGAAGCCTCACCTCAAGAGAAGAGAAGGGTCTTTTCATCTTCACTGCACAGACTGGAACAGAGGTGGCAAAATCTGCTGCTCAAGGCAACAGGGCAACTTGGAGTGATGGGGAGATAGTCAGGACCTGGGTGAGCCCTGTGTAAGTTGAGTGAAGGATCACGGTACTGGGATCCTGCTGGACCCAGACACTGGTTCCCACTCCCTCCCCATGGCTTGGCCTATTTCCCAGTTCCCACTGCCCAGCCTGGAGACCTCACACTTGAGTCCACCTTCATGCATAGCTGTACTGGAGGAGCTTCGAACTTTAAACATTTGAAAGCACCCAGGAATGTTGAACTTCGTTAATCAGGTACAAGGGGTCCAGCTTCTTATTCATTCTGCCAATAGAAGCTCCCATGACGATTTAAGGAAGAGAGAGCAATTCCATCTCAGAACATTCACAGTTCTAGTCCATTCTGTCTTTGAATCTCTTAGGTCTAATTCCTTATCTGTTCCATCTTGAAACTTTCAAGGTTTTCATTCCTTTGAAAAAAGAGCCTAGATCAGACGCCTGCCCTACTAGAATTTCCGTGATCTAATTTCTAATACAGTCCACCCCAGAACTTTGGAAAAGTGTGTGGCAAAGAATTGTGTGTCCCATTCTCTACCATGAATATCTGCTTGTATCCAATTATTCCTCCAGTCAATCTTTTCTGAGTGGTGACTGCAAGCCAGGCACAGGGCTGGGAACTGAGAACAGAAAAGGGACCCGGACAGAGGGAGACAAACACCGTTAAGTACATGATGATGGTGTTGTGTACTAAAATCGTAAGAATGTCCTCTAAGTCCACTGTGTGCCAGGCACTGGAGAGAGAAAGCATGGGTCCTGCAGGCACCTGTGGCTGAACGGCTTTTAGAATCACCATCAGAATTACACATGAGAACAAATTAAAATGCAGGTCTTTAGGCCTGAGCCCTCAGAAGTTCTTGTTCTGCCAGTCTGGATCAGTAGGTGGGTCCAGCTAGGGTGACCCATCGTCCCAGTTTGCCCCCAATCTAAGGGGTTCTACAGGAGGTGGGGCTTTCAGTGCTAAGACCAGGACAGTCCTGGGCAAAGTGTGGTGGTTGGTGCCCCCTAGACCCAAGAGTCTCTATTTTTAACACACTCTCCAGTTGATTCAGACACAGGGAATCTGCAGGGCCAGGTCAGGACAGAGAGGAAGCCCTGAGTTCTCATCTTCCCTGGGACAGACTCTGAAATCCAGAGGAGTTTGTGCAGGCAAGGCTGGCTGGCAAAGGATGGGTAATCCAGGCAGAGGGGGCAGCCAAGGCCCCCCGGAGTAAAAGTGCTGGTGAGGTCTAAGACCCCAGATCTGCTCACCTAGATCTGCTTCAGAGCATTCCCAGCACAGCAGGCCAGTGCAAGGAGAAGTAGAAATTAAAAAGGATTTGATGAGCCTAACTGAGTGGAGAGGTCCAAGCTTGCCCATACTGCCAGGCCAAATTTCCCTGCAGCCCCCAGCTGGGCACAGCTGAGCTATGGCTTCCGTGAGCTGCAGGATATTTGGAATAAAGGCTCAACCTTGGAAAAGTATTAATGAAAATGTCACAGGCACTAAAGTCAAAGCAGATGTGAAGCCAGCTACACGGGCAGACATAACTGATAAGAAACAGCCCAGGAGAGAACAAAACCTCTTGAGATTAGGTCAAGGGCAGACAAAAAAAAAAAAAAATTACATCCGGGGGTTCCCCATGGCAACTCAGAGGAACACTGTCGCGCCTGTGGAACAAGCTGACATTTTTGTGCTGCTGTGTTATATATTGACATCCCAACAGGACAGCGTTCAGAGGCCTCCACATCAGCAAATAAATATTACGTCTCCATCTTCAGCTAAGCAGAGCTGTGGTGCATTCCTATTACTTCATGTGGATTAACCATCTGGAAGTTGAATCAAGCCACAGAGTAAAGAATGAGATCCAATTTTGCATTCACCAAAATAAGCCGTACTAGTCTCAATTTATGGCAGATGGTTATGCAGTCTCAGCGGGCCAAAAAATCTCTCTGCAAAAGAATAAAGTTTATGCCAATTACTGTAATAGGAAACAGCACAACAACTGTGTGGGGTTGAGTAAGATCGCAGAGATTGCCGTACAGCTCATAAACTGCGGGGGGCCAGGGGAACTATGGGGACCCAGTTAATTCATTAAGATAACGCGAGAGAAATCAGGAGCAGAGTTCGTCATAAAACAGAAATATTTCCCCGCAAAGGATGGGAGGGAATTGAGGTACAGTGGCTCCTATCTGGGTGGGGCCTGGGTCATGCTGCAGGCAGGGCCAGGGAAATGGTTAATGGTCACAGGGAGGCTGCCTGGTGACCCGTGGGAAAGGTATAGGAAGAGAGCCGTTAAACTCTGGGTTTCTCCACTCCATTCATTCAAAACAGGTCTGTTGAGCACGGGCTAGTCTGTGGCAGGCAATGGGCAGGCCTCGAGCCTACCATGGCCAGTGCCCTGCACTCCTGGGATCTGGCCTTAAGGAGCTCCCAGCTTGGTGCCCAGGAGGGAGGCTGGTCGAGTCGGAAGGTCCAGGGAGGCTTCTTGGAGGGCAGGGCCCTGGGGCTGAGGATGAAGGATGAAGAGGAGGGAAAAGGGCTCCGGGCCTACAGGACACACTGTGGGCTTTGGTCTCAGAGAACCTGGAAGAAGGCTATCCTGGCTGCAGCCTGGTGGTGAGGGGCAACAGCTAGGCAGAGATGGAGAGGGTGGCTGGGCCTCTTGGGCCCAGAGAGGTTTGTCTGTGTCCTGAAATCAAAGATGGAATGATATGCTCTCTCTTCCTTTTGGATAGGGATCTTTGGCTACAGGAGCTCTTGACTCTTTGCAGCTGAGAGAAGCTTTTAAAAATTTTTTACTTTTATTTTGAAACAGGGTCTCACTGTTGCCCAGGCTGGAGTACAGGGGTGTAATCTTGGCTCATTGCAGCCCCAACCTCCTGGGCTCAAGCTATCCTCCCACCTCAGCCTCCTGAGTAACTGGGACTACAGGTGTGCACCACCACACCTAGCTAATGTTTTATTATTATTTTTTTTTTGTAGAGATGGGGGTCTTGCTATGTTGCCTAGGCTGGTCTCGAACTCTAAGGCTCAAGTGATCCTCCCGTCTCAGCCTCTCATAGGGTTGATATTACAGGCATGGGCCCGGCCTGAGAGCAGCTTCCTGACCTATGTCTGCTCAAGGAGATGGGAGGGCAGTAACTCCTCACTCCCCAGGGTGCTGTCATGATGGAATGAGGCACTACAGCACAGAGGAGGGATTCACTCTTTCTCCATCATCCTGCCTGAGGAAAGCACTGCCGGTGACCTCCTGGCCAGCACCTCCTGGGATAACGGCTTCCATATAACCTGTTCCCCACCCCCACCCTGGGAACTTTCGTGCCCTGCTAGGACTCAAGTGGGAGGGTTTAGGCAGTTGGTCTGGGACACATCAGGTTTCAAAACAAGGTTGCCCGTTTCCTATACAATGTTGGTTCAGCTCTCGTATTTGTTTTTAAATGAATGCTGACATTTGGGGTTCACAATAGGGTGACCAACTGTTCCAGTTCCCCCAGGAATGTACTGGTTTTAGCAGCAAAAGTCCAGCCTTCCAGGAAACCCTCTATCCTGGGCAAACCAGAATGGCTGGTCACCCTCGCTGAATAACAGACCAACCAAGAGGCAACCCCAGTGTTGCAGAGATTTCCACGCATCACTGTGGCCAGGCCTGTCGCACAGCCACATTCTGTGTTGGTATAATGACCTCGAGTTCCACCAGCAGGACACTGAGGCTCAGGGGGACTGCGACCACTTGGGGGCCTGTTGCTTGGTAAGTGGAGGCAGTGGGCTTGGAATGCAGGTGTTGGATGCTAAAACCCCAGCAGCAACGTCAGTCACGACCACCGAGCTGCACATTCTTGAGATAGGTTGACAAGTAATGGAACGAAGCTCTTCCCAATCAACAGCAATCCCACTGTTCCTTGCTTGGCCAGAGGTCTCTTCCCTGTTCCCATGAAGGCCTGAGCAGACAGAGGCCATCTCCTCTTGGTGGCCCGGAGCCAGGCTGGGACTGGCTGCCTAGTCACCCACAGAGTCCCCCTCCTGCCCACCCCCCCATCCCCAAGGATACTGGATGCCCTGCGGCATAACCTGCGGGGACAGCAGACCAACGTGGAGAGTGAATCGCAGGGCAAGTGGGAGAAGCCCCCGCCTGAGGCAGGGAGCTCCCCAGCAGGAATGCAGGAGCTGACTTCAATCGCACAAGTGGAAAATCTGAGCCTGTCAGGTTGGAAGAGGCCGGGAGGAATCCTGAAATACAGCCCCCACCCCCACATGGGCTTTCTGGCACGCACTGTGTGGAGGAAGGGGAGTGAGCTCATGGGCCATGAGATGCCAAACCGAAAAAATCTGATCCCCAGTGTTAGAAGGCACCGCTGGACAGTCACATATAGAAAGGGTTCTTGAGGCCTTGTGTCTTACAAAAAGTTTTAGTAAGATTCTCTTGTCAAGTAAAACACTGAAGACAGTTCTGGGGGTAAGGGAGGCGTCTACCCACGATCCCCCCACGCTAACAAAACCACCACAGAGGCTCCCTTCTGGATGCTGGCAGGCCGGGAGACTTCCTGCCTGGCCATGGCAGGAGAGGGAGGGCAGGTATTCTGATTTCTCACCCTGCTGCAGCACAGTTCCTGTCTCTGCATTTCATTATCATTAAACCTTGCCCTCCAAGTACTCCGAGGCGGCTTACAATAGGAGGCATGGATACAGGAGACCTGAAACCCTCAAGCCTCCCAGCACCATTGCAAAAACCAAGGATGAGGGGTGGGAAGGGGGAATGAGGAGTTATGGCAGAAAGCCTTGCCTGAGGAGGGTGTCTCGGTTGGATGTAAAATGCAACATGGGGGTTCCTGACACCAAGACTGAGGGGATGCTCAACACTGTCTAGGAAGAAATGTTTTCTTGGCTCTGGGAAGAATCAGCCATGGAAGTTTACTCCTAAGGGGTGTTTGGGAGCCTAGGGTGTCCATAACAGAATTTATGTCATTAGGGTCGCCCCTTGCTGAACGCCACAAGCATGGCGCTTTGCAGTTCTCAAAGACAAGGCAGCAGGATGAGCACCTCTGAAGTGGCCCCTGGATGACAGCCCTGGCTCCACCACTTTTAGTAGTAAAATCTGGGGCAAAATATATTAATCTGCGCCTCAGATTCCTCAAGCATAAAAGGATAGTGACAGCACCCACTTCATAGGGTGATTGTGAAGATTAGAGGCCAATTATGTGCTGTACCTGACTTACAGTAGGTGCTAGCTATTAAGTGCTGGTTGGTACTGCTATTATTGTTTGCAATCTGATATGTTAAGAGGAATAACCATGAAAAGAATCTTAAAGCAGGGGTTTGGGAAACTGTGGCCCTTGAGCCAAATCTGGCCTGCTGCCTGTTTGTGTGAAGTTCTGTTGAAACAGCCATGCCCATTTAGGTAATGTCTATGGTTATTTTCCCACTATAAAGGCAGCGTTGAGTAGTTTAGTTGCAACAGAGACTGTATGGCCCACGAAGCCAAAAATATGTACTATCCAGCCCTTTATAGAAAGTTTGCCGACCTCTGATTTAAGGGAATGAATGGATTGAGTGACGTCTATGCATGGCTGTTCTGGGCTTGATCCCGAACCTCCCTCCAGCCTCACTTGGGAGAAGTCTCTCGTCCTACACAGCACCTCCCTTAGAATGACACTGGGAGAGAAGACTATAGGACACATTGGGTGGGGAGCACTCGCAGCACCTCTTGGTAGGCTGAAAAGTTGTTTCAGGGACTCCCCGGGCCATGGGAAAGTGGAGACGGCGCTGAAAACCTGGCATCACTATTCTGGGCTGCAGAGAGCCAGCATGCAATGGGATGCCTGGAGGCGAAGCTTTTGTTTAGCACATACATTAATAAACACAGGAGGTCACTCCTTCGTTCCACTTCATGAACCTCCCTCAGTCTGGAGTGCAAGGCAATTCTGCTATCGACTGATTAGCAGGTGGTGTCAGAATATATAAGGGATCAACAAGGCGGAAGCATGTCATGGCGATTTACTGCTTCCTAGAAATCCAAGAAGTAAACAGATTCAACCCAAGGTGGAGTGTCACTGACTCGCAGAAACTCTGGGCTCATTTTCTAAGCAAAGGCCTGGACTTAGCACATCCCATCAGAAGCCAAGACCCCAAGCCCAGGGTAAGGTGTTCATATAGGGAGTTGTATTTCAATCGTGGAAAAGGTACAGGATAGCTATGAGCCTTTTTATGAGTGTAGGATTTAGTTTAACAGCCACAGACAGCATTTTCTGGACAACAGATGTAGAGAGAAACTATGCCAGTTGAGAAGAGTTTAATCAGAATTATCTTCTTTTTTTTTCTTTTTTTGAGACAGAGTCTTGCTCTGTCGCCCAGGCTGGAATGCAGTGGCGCCATCTCGGCTCACTGCAACCTCCTCCTCCAGGGTTCACACCATTCTCCTGCCTCAGTCTCCTGAGTAGCTGGGATTACAGGTATGTGCCACCACGCCCGGCTAATTTTTGTATTTTTAGTAGAGATGGGGTTTCATCATGTTGGTCAAGCTGGTCTCCAACTCCTGACTTTGTGATCTGCCCGCCTCGGCCTCCCAAAGTGTTGGGATTACAGGTGTGAGCCACTGCGCCCAGCCTATCTTCATTCTATTCCATACATCAACTGCTTTTGTTAACCCATCATAGCTCTGCCCTTCAGCTTTCTGTGCATATTGGTGGGGGATCAGGTGCTTAGAGCTATTTCTGTGGTCAATGTGCATGTTTAGGGCAGCAGAGAAATCAGTTTGATTCCTTCCACCTGTGACTGACCCTGTACAGGCAGTGAGACTGATGAGCCTCATTGGCTTCACTTTAAGAATGGCAGAAGGACACTGGCTTTGGCTGCAGTAGTTTTTTGGGCCTCAGGAAGTCATGCACGTGTTCCAGAAGGGGCACAGCACCAAAGCTAACTCTGGCAGAGACTGATTATACACACAATCCCCTAACCAAGGCTTGGCAAATGAGGCATGGCCTCTCCAGTCAAATCCAGCCTGCCATTTCTCTGTGTAAATAAAGTTTTACTAGAACAGGTACAGTGCTCATTTATGTGTCTTCTGTGGATGTTTCTGCATTGTGAGGGGAGAGCTGAATAATTTGTAGTAGACCATATGGCCCACAAAGCCTAAAATCTTCTACAGGAACTTTTCAGACCCCACCCTAGATGAGAGGATGGTGCATCAGAGCATAGTTTGCATTGGACCAGGACATACAAAAGGGGCAGGATTTCAGTCATTTGGGGGCGTTTTTTAGACTTAGGGGCCAGTTAGGATTTCTGGCTTGGGCAGCACAGCCAGTGATACAGTTAACCAATAGTAAATGCAGACAGTACATTTTGGGGAAGGAGGAAGGACTAAAAAGAGTTTTGCTTTAGATTCGTTTAGTTTGCAGTCTCTGAAACCTCTGGTTTAGGTGCCTGGAAAGCAAGGAGGGAAATGCAGACTTGGAGCTCTCTCCTCTGTTCTCATCGAATTTTCTACAATCAGCTACCAAAACTACTACTTCCCACTGCTAGTTGGTAGGCTTCAATTCTGAGGGCAGAAGTTACATCTTCCTGACTTTTTGGCTATTAATCCCTCTGCTCGAACCCCAGGACTCAAAAGGGTCCTTGGCACAGGGAAGGCAGATATCTGTTATAGGTAAAAAGGAGCCATTTTCAGAGTCAGTTTCCATCAGGGAAAGTTACTTGGGGGCACAGCTGTGGCGCCTACCTCTAAGGAGCTCCCAAACTCTTTGGGACACAAAACACACAGAGATCTAAAGATGACATCTATTAACCAAAGCGTAGTCTGTATGAGCCAAATGAGGGGTGTGGACTGCTGCAGAGGGAGTCATTCCAAGTTAAGGTCTCCTAGAGGAAGTGCCACTTGACGCCAGAGCTTTGAAGAATGGGTAGGGGAGAGAAGGCAGTCATCTCAATGATCTTCCAGGAAGAGAGAACAGGAATTCTCTTAGCAATTTACCCCGTCCTTTGAACAGAGAGCACACCAAACCCAAGCCACAGAAAGACAACTGGTAGATAAGTGATATTTTCTTTTTTTTTTTTTTTTGACAGAGTCTCACTCCGTTGCCCAGGCTGGAGTGCAGAGGCACAATCTTGGCTCACTGCAACCTCCACCTCCCGGGTTCAAGCGATTCTCCTGCCTCAGCCTCCCAAGTAGGTGGGACTACAGGTGCTCGCCACCATGCCTGGCTGTTTTTTTTTTTTTTTTTTTTTTTGTATTTTTAGTAGAGACGGGGTTTCACTATGTTGGCCAGGCTGGTCTTGAACTCCTGACCTCATGATCCGCCCACCTCATCCTCCCAAAGTGCTGGGATTACAGGCATGAGCCACTGCGCCCAGCTGATAAGTGATATTTTCAAAGGCTCCCCACATGGGTTCCCCACAGGGTGGAGGGCACAGGTTTACACGAGCTGAATTTTTTCAAACCAGTCTTTCTAGCACAACAGAACTGACAAGAGATGAGAGTCCTGAAGACATAGTCTGGGTACAGTGAGAAGAGCCCAGAATGGAGGAAGCATTCTTTTTTCCTCTAGGGATAAATTTTAGTTCATGATTTAAGTCAACAGAAGAGAAAAATGTAAATGCCTGAGGAAGTCATGAAGCAGCGATTCCTCCTAAGAGGCTGTAACCCCCACTGGGGAGTGTATGTGATCTTGAGGGAGTGGGGGAAGTAAAAATGAGTCCTAAAATATTTTTAAAACAACAGATGCCTTCCAGTGGGGGCCCTTTTGGATGGAAGAAAGGGATGGCCACCAAAGCATCAGGTGTCCCAGCTGCTGAGTACTGCATTCAATATTTAGCCTGGCCTTGGAACTTCTGTGAGAGGCAGTTTTAGAAGAGCTGCAATCTCTGCTTTCCAGGGCAATCCGGCTGAAGAACCAGTTCTGAAGAGACCTGCTACGGCTTAATGTTTCCAAATCAGAAAACATAACCCCAAGTGACACTGGCAGGGTTCCTGGGAAGCACTCCGGGTTGGCAGGAGATGCTCCAAGCTCAGCGGGACAACTTTTAACCTGTTCTCCAGCACTCCCTCTCCCTCCCAATCATGCAAAGTCCCAAATCCTAACATTGGCAGTAAGTCTAACTTGAAAACATTCCTTCTGTATCCACAGAACTCCACCTCGCAACATTCTATGGCTCTCACATGAGAGCTGAGGGTCTAAGAACAAAGAACATTCTCTTTCCAAATGAGCAAGAACAGGAAATCCCACACGGTGCCCTTGTCAACTAAGCTGCTGAGAGGTACAAAACAAATGTTAACAAATGTCTCTTATTTCCTGAGACAAGATTTGTGGAGGTTGGGCTGCAACACTTTTCAATTTAGCAAGCTGAAGAGGGGACAGAAAGTTAAACTTTAAAAGCCAGGTGTTAGGTCCACAAAGACAAAAGATCCAAGTGATTTTAGATCATTTAGGAGGCCATTTGGTAAATGAATGAAACAGGAGGGAAGAAATCACCCCCGCTGTGCTAAAGGATATAGTGTCTCAAGTGAAGCTGACCACCTTACAGCTGGGCATCATGGCCTCCAATTAGAGACAAAGAGTCCAAGAGTCAGCCAGGAACCAGGAGGGCCCTGGGTGTGCCTAACCCCGCACTGCCCAAGGACTGGCACCCTAGGCTTCTTGGGTCCCAGCTGCCAGGCTGCCTTGGTGACTTTTGCTTTCTCATCTATACAATGAGGATGGTGTCTAAGATCTCTCTCAACCAACTCTCTACTCTTTATCACACTGCCTTGTAATTTACCTGTCCACATGTCTGTCTCCCACACTGGAATGTACACTGCTTTCATCCATCTTGGCAGAGAGACCCGAGTGCCCGCTGTATCCACGCTCAGATGGCCAAGTGCATGAATGACAGTGTCGCCATAAACGCAAACACAATGTCTCAAACACAACACTAAGAAACTTACCTCAGAAAACAAACCACTAAGATATCCCAACATATAACATTATATATTAAATCCGACCATACAGCTGGCTACCTCTCCTTATGTTCAGCAGTTCTACAATATGAGCCAGAACCACAAGAATATGGTTGTGACACGCACAAAAAGAGCAGACTGGAAAGGACTAAATCCTAAAAGGAGAGGTGAAAGGTGACCACGCACCAAAAAGCCCTAATCTTCAAACAATCAGAAACAAACGGCAAAATCCTAAGTGCTTTACAAATACGATGGGTTTTCCCTGTTTTCCCCTTTAAAAATAAATCTGAAAACCACTGAGACTAATAATATATAATCCTTTAGTTTACTGCTTAGCTTTTAAAGACAGAAAATTACTTAAGAAATCAAACGTAACCACTTAGTGTGGCACAGGTACATTTCAAGAATAAGAATTTGCAATTAAAACAAAATAATTTTCCCAGACTGGTAGTGCTGCGAATTACAGAATTCATGAAAAACAGAGTAGTGGTCTGAGGTGTTTCAAACCAGACATGGCTCAGGGAAACAACCACTCAAGCACACAAGTGGCATTTTGTGATCAAATTTATTTTTTGTTTAAATTTCATTTACTTTGTTTTACTGTAATTTACACAAGAGACTGGCAAGTAAACTAGGTATTTTACATTCACCACACATTCCCTCAAATCTCCACAGTTGTTAGAAAAACATTAAAATCCATGCGCCGGGCTCTCATTTCCATGTGCGCCTAAGCTCCCAATGATACTACAGATGCCAGCGAGAGTTAAGTTCATTAAAAGGAGAGGGCTAGACTCTTTATTTCACAAAATTAGCAATAATCTTCCTCGCACCAAACACTTTGCAGACAATGATTATGCTCTGACAAAACCTATCTTACAACAGTGCCCAGAGAGTAAACATCAGTCTTTATCCTGAGTACACAAAGGATGTATGAAATGTGGGTTTTGTTGCTGAGGATAACAGGGTATTGCAATGCAGTAGTGATCCTACACATCCTTCCTTGTCTGATTCACTGAAATCACTCCAGTGGGGGAGGGATGCAGGACATGTGGGAAAACGAGGAGCAGGCAGGGCAGGACTGTCAGCAAATCAGATTACTAATGTGATTTGACTGCAGGGGTTGGCGTGTTTTAGGAGGGACAGGAGGTTACAAAAGACAGTTTGTGACCTGAAGGCTTCAACAATATAATTCTATTCAAGCTTCCAGGACTGACAGAGGAAAAACTGGATTCAGACAGAGAAAGCTGATAAAAATCTTACCTAGCTATTGTTCCTTCCTTTAAATAAAAAATAAAATTAAATTAAAAAAAGTGGCAGCCGTTTCTGACCAGCACTCTCATGATGCCTATTCAGAATCTGTCCTGATGACGTCCTACTTGAGAGCACATCCCACAGTCAGATGTCCACCAGTCTCTTGGCGGGGCCTCCTCACCGCACGCAGGCCAGACTCACACTGCATCTTAAACTGTTCCTATCTCAAAGTCACTATCTCCTCCTTGAAGTGTGTGTTCCCACAAGAAGAGCAAAATGTCATCACTAACTATATCCTATCATGTGAGCTCTGAGGAATCTAGACCATTTGCATAGTTTCCAAGCTGTAGTTACAGAAAACTGTCATCTTCAAAACAAGACTCCATGAAGTGCTATATTTCCAACTTTTCTACACAGCCTACAATCCTATTAAGACTAATTTCTTCATCAATGTGTTTGTCTAACAGGAGCCTGAAAACTGTCTAGTATTTATTATAAATCAGAAACCGTCATCTCCATTTTTGCTAGGTTTGATGTAGAAAAATATTTGAAATTTAAAATACAAAAATCCAATAAAAACCAGAAATTTTTTTTAAAAGGATTTTTCCCTCAGGGCAAACAAGTAAAAACTGGCCTGTAACTTTGCTCCTTACTTTATATTGTCAAATTTGGCTACAAGATAATGACCATCCAGAAATAAATAGTTATAAATACATTCAGAGTTTACATCCCAGATTCATTGGAACACCAAAAAATTTTGAAGAAATTTTCTGTGGGAGTCTACTGCTTATGGGACTAAAAAAAAATTTATAACAGACTGACTTAAAAGAAGAGAAAAATAATAAAAGGCTATATATGTTGGTCCACAGCTTGACATTTATGAAACATACCAGCTAGTATTACATTGCAGTCAATTTGTCCATTAATGGTATTACTCTGATAATTATTAAAATCTGTTCCAGGTATATATATTGAAAATATTTTCTTTTGCATTCTTGCTGAAGATAGGTACAGTACTTTGGAGAAATTGTACTAATCCCTTCAGTATGTCTGTATGTACATATATACACAAGTGTGTGTATCTGGATCTGTAGCTCTACATGCGCTTTATATACAGCTACAGACATATGCACACATACATATATACACACGTGGTTGAGAACCTGTGCATGTGTGTGTATCATCACAAGCACACATCTGGGAAACGTCAACACTGCAAGATACTGGTCAGATTCTTCTTCACTCATCACTGGCTGCGCTTGTTCCCCTCACTTGACCTTGATTACGTAACTGTAAGAAAAGTGAAAGACAGTGCAAAATGTGTTAAAATACAGAGACAGGAAATGTTAGCAGCTCGTCACACACACTCTCCAAATGCATCAAAACTTTTGGCAGAAAATGTACCCCAACTACTGCATCTTACAATTTTCATCTGTTCAAAAAGATTTTGGTCTTACTACTAATGCCACAATATATTGTCTCATCAGAGGGGAAAATAAAGTCGAGGCAGAAATAAATCACAAAAACTTAGGAGAGTTTAACAAAAGTAACAATAACTTAAATTTTTTTTTTTTTAATGAACATGGAATTTAAAAGTGTTTGGGGGGAATCTTGGAAGAGTTACTTCATTCTTATTTGGCACAACTAGCTTTTCTCACAACTGAACATTTCATTCATCCCAATGTTCAAAAATTAAAGAGCAGGTAGCTCATGTGGGGCAGCAAAGAACCACAGTGGAGGGAGGGGAGTGCTACATCTCGTTCTCTTTATAATAAACATTATAGTTCAGTATAAACAAATGATGACAGCACACTGTTGATTTTTGTTTACTCACACTGGTTTCAATTTGTGAGGGAGATTTTGATTTTTTTTTTTTTGCATCTCTGGGAAAATTTGTTATATGGGCATATAATGTGTTAGAGAAATAAGACCACAAAAATGGTTCACACCATAAATTAAAACTAAAGTGCATTTACGCAGAGTAAAGCTAACTGTAACAACTGAAGACGAAATATCAAGGAAGACTTTCTGGTGCACAGAAAATATTGCAGCCAAAATAAATTATTGAGGTTGGCTCGTATGGTATGGGATAGAGGATCTTTATTTGATCTCAAGTGATTTTGCATATTTCCTTACTAACCACAAATGGTTCTACAAAGAACCAGGTCAATTAACTCAGTATTGAAAAATCAGCTGGCTTCCAGGACAATGTGCTACATGATGAGTAACAGCACCTGGCAGCTGGGTTCTAACCCATAACACTAAAAACTAACCCAGGATTACTAAATTCAACCTGGTCCACAGGTAAAATTTTTAAAGACTATTAATAAGTGTTCACTATTAATTTCTAAAATATTTATCTTTTAAATTCTAAAAATAAAACCACATTTAACACTTAGAGCTTCTGCTCAGCAAGTTAACTGCCCATCACCAAAAAGGTACAGGTTTCGAAACATCTTTTTACCCAGGTCTTCACTTACACAGTTTGACATTGTCTCTGACCCTACAGGGGACTCATCTAGACATCAGCAGCCGACGTGCCTCGAACGGAACCCCTCTTACGCATCTAAACGTAAAATAAAATTGTGAGCTGCTGAAATCAGACTCTAAATAGGGGTTAGTAAGCAAGGGGAGAAAAAAGATCTAGAAGAGATTATGAAGTGATGTTCATAACCATATCCACATTAAGAATGAAGTTCTGTGGCCCCTCAAATAACCTTGGTTTGAAGACATTCTTGCAAAAGGCTTTTCTTAGCACAAAAAAGGTTTATCTATCCTTAACTGTAAAAAACAAAAGCCTGCAGACTGATAAAAAATTATCAAAAACAGCCAATGGGTAAACAAATTGTTTGCCAATATAATGTGAGAAAATACCCCAAGGGTCTGGTCCATATTTGCATAGTCCCTAGGCCAGACAAGCAAGCCATGAGGGTGTGGGCCACACCTCTTTGCTGCTTCTGAGAACAGGGTCTCTCAGTGGAGTCCTTTAAAGGAAGTTTACTGAAAGGAGGGAGAATGAAAGGGAGAAAAGGCAAGGAGGGAGAATGAAAGGGAGAAAAGGCAAGCACAGAAACAATGTATGGCAAACCATGAAGGGCACACAGATGTATTAGAAAGGACAGGCATTCATAACAATAGCCTCCAGACAAGTGACACCACTCAATGAGAAAACAAAAAACGAAATGAACAGAAAACAAACAAATGCAATAAATACGTTAAAACTCAACACATCCTCACCCCCACCCCGGAACCGGAGGTGCCAGTTAAGAACAAACAGGTAAAATGTTTACCTAAAGTCCTCCTTCAGCTGCTGAGCCTCAACTCCAGGGCAGTTCCCTGCAGATCATAGGCAGGGGCATTCCTCGTGTGCCTAACCTCTCAAGATGCTAGTTCTCTCCAGGGCCAAAACCCATTTGAAAGAAATCCAATTCTTAAAATATTTGTGAATTAAGAGCATTATAATGTCATTAAAATCTATCATCAGGTGTCAGGGGTCAGGACCTCAAGGAAAAAGAAATTTCTGCGTGTGAAGAGGACTCTAAAATGGGATGCCTCTTCAGGAGGCAGGTGCTTTCTGGGTAGGCATTCTTGGCCTGCAGGCTTGATGCTGCCCAGATTCTGAGGATGCTTTCACAAAGCCACCATTAGGACTCAAAGCAGCAGCATCTTGATTCTGTGTGTGGAACCAAGCACTCCCCAATGACCTACAGCAAAATAACTTAAATGGGATTCAACGTTAAGATGCACCACTTAATGGTGAAATTTGTCTTAAAATGTTTTTGAGATATTTGACAAAGCAACTGCTATGTACCCTCACTCTGAACCAATGATAGATTTTCCACCAGCTTTATGAGGGGGTTAATCAGTTTCAGCAATGTGGGTATAAGAATGGTGACACTAAGGAATTGGGCTTTTACTTGTCTATCTTACACCTTCTTCTCGAGTGCAATTCCCAACTCACAAATAACTGATCTGCATGGAGCAGCAGCTGCACCTGCAGGCCCACTGCCATAGGTGAGAGCAAGAGTCACCAGCTCCACAGCGGAGGGTCACAGCGTGTTGAGGCTGGGACCATTCTGTGTTCAGGTATCGTGAGGCTGAGGACTTGTTAGAGAAGCAAGAGCACTTCCCTGGGGGAAGAAATCTCAGTCAAGTTCTGTCCAAGGGGTCCAGAGATAGGTAGGGTTTAGAGTCCAAACCAGATAGGGCTTATCACCTGGTCAATGGTAACTACTCTTCCCCATGTGACACACAGTTCTTCAGCATAAAAATTAAAAACTGAGAGAAGGGCTCTTTCCCAAGGGTTTGAGCTGTTGGTAAATCCTTGTAGGAAATGCCAGTGCTGCATCATGGGCTTAGCGTGTTTGGGTGTCTCTTGCTGCTTCTGTTTCATGTTCAGTGGACACCCACCAGCTGCTTGGAAGAGCCAAAGGCAGAGCTGGCAGGTATTCCTGAAGCCTTGGGCACTTGGAGGGAGTGAAACCAGACAAGGCAAATGGGACTAAAACTGGATAGGGTAGCGAGGGCCAGGGGGGTGCTTGTTAGAGTCAGAGAAAGGCACCTGACTCTTGAAAAAGGGAACACAGAAGTGGGAGAGAGGCCTAGAAAGAAAGGTAGGAAGTGCCCATGATCTGCTCTTGCCTATTTAAGTGTTTTGCCTGTGGCTAGACTAAAAATAAGGAATGAGGGGGGTATCTTCCACTCTTGCCATCTCATCACCCTATTCCCTATATCCAGAACTCAGAGTCCTAATATTAGTATGAGAAATTGGGGTCAAAGAGGCATATTATGCTGGCTAGTCTAGAAACCAAACCCTAATTTATAACATTGTCTCTATGGGAAAATATGTTCCAAATTTCAAACAATCAACTTAAAATTTTTTGGAACAAAATCCATTCATAAGTTGGAGTCTGCCTATAGTTTACTTTATGTATAAGATAAGGTTAAAATATTTTATTGCCTTATAAAGAAAATATGTCCTAGTCCTCTCAGAAGGTTTATATAAAACTAATTAGAAGCAGATCTGCTGTAATCACCAAAAGTAAGCAATTTTAAACAGATTCTTTACGATGCTATGTGCCAGAAAAATAGGTTTCCTTTTGTGCCAAAGAATCTGATTTGCTGCCATTCTCCTGTGATTAAATGGAGTTTCTGCCTCACACGCAGGCGTCTGTCAAACGCTCACACCTGCAGGGCTTCCAAAACTGGACCTGCTGGCAGGACTCGAGATGACCACATGGAAACCACTAGCAGGCCCTGGACATTCCTTGGGTTTGTTTCACCCATGGGGCCTTACTGCCAACTGAAGACAAGCATGGCCCAGGGCAAAAACAAAACCAGACACATGCAAGAGGAAGCCAGGGAAGAATCCATCCCGAGGAGAGAGAAGACACCCACTGGCTGCCGGCCCTGCCCACTGGTGGTGGGGAGCAGCTGGGATGGGCTGTAACACTGAACTGTGGCATGCTGACCTCCTGCCCAAGGATCACCTGAATCTGCCCAAAGCTTAGGAAGAAATAAGGATCACTGCCAGTTGGGGGAAGCAGAGGAGGCATTTCCAGAATTAGTAACAATACCATTAGCCTTACCTTTTCTACAAAAAAAGCGAACTAGGACTTATCATGTTAACATTTGTTAAGCTTGCTGTGATACAAACTGAGCCAAAAGCAACTTAGTCTGACAAAGTGTCTAAAACGACTGTGAACCAGGAACCAGCCTACAGAACTAAAGCTAGTGTGTAAGAAAGAATACAGAACCATTAGATATTTAACAGGTAACCAATTCTAGACTGAGAAAACTCTAGTCTACCTTCACGCAAGATGCTCAACAAAAGAGAGATCAGAATATGTGAAGGAATAGCAGTGTCTAAGAAACTCCATTTTGATGAGAATAAGTAGAATAGGGAATGATTTTTAACAACACTCTTCCTAATTCTAACTCTGTATTTACCAAGCATGTATACAGTTTTAGAAAAGGGAAAATTAGAGAATTGCCATAGAACAGCCAGTCTTACTGTTTCTAGTTCTTTCTGAGTCTCGTCTTCCATTCTCCTAATGTCTTCCATCGTGAGATCGATCCACTTGTCAATCCAACAAAAAAGCTGGCGATGGAAGTTTGTAAATATCCGTTTTTCTTGCTTTTAAAACAACAACAAAAAAGTAGCATAAGATGACAAAAACCTAAGATTAATGACACATTAACTTTACATGTTCCAATTAACCCATGAAATTTACACATTTGGTTCAAAAAGACTACTCTGTAGATTTGTGGAAATCATAATTCCATTTAATTATCATTGTGTCCAGCAAAATTAAACAAACAAAAAAAAACTTTCCCTGTGAAATGAAAAATAATCTCCTAGGCAAAGGTGTCATGATCTAGTAGAAACTAAAAAAATGCGGTGTGTATGACCTAATCCAACACATTCCTGCTGGGCCTGATTTATTTTTACCTTTTTCTAAATGTCAATGAGCAAAGGTCAACTAGATTTCTTCTGCTATAAAACTATATATTGTCATTCTTAACATTCACTATGAGGTGGAATACAATAATGCATTGAAAGAAAAGAGTCCTGGGTTCTTTTATTAAATTAAGAATCATTACAAACTCTCCCTTAATTTTTCTACACAACATGTTGCTGCCACTATTATAAATATATTTAAAAACCATGTATATAATTAGCGGTTTCAATTGATGGATTATTTAAGTTTTATTCAGCTTTCCCAAGAAGAGAGAAAAGTGCATGGAACAGTAAGTACTTCTGGACAATATTCAACTTAAAAATCTTCTTCCATGAATAGAAAGGACTTTATCAATTACATATGTGACTTCTATTTATCAGAACTGGATTGTTAATCTATGATTATGATCCGAGAGGAAGGAAGAATGCCAATATTTACAGAATGCTGACTGTAAGCAGGCCCATGAATAATCAAAGTTTCCAGCACTTTGAGATCCTTGTCTTATAAAATACTACAGCAGCTATAGTTTAAAAATAGAAAAGTTATGATGAAACAGACATAACTAATTGTGGAGATCTGAGATATAATGAGGGCTTCTTTATAATAATAACAGAATAAATATTCGCCCTACAGGAAAAGTAAACACCAAGGAAATGTTTCAACATTCCTAGGTAGTAACAACCGTGTGCATTTATAAAATTCCAATTCTCCCCTCCTCCTAGATCTAACTGCCCATGTTACTTTCACTTTAATAAAGAAGACATAAAAAAGAAACAAGTAGAATCTGGATCCTCAGATTGTGTACCTTAGTTCACAGTGTGCCCATTTTTCAGTAAAGACCTCTAAAGAAGACATCCCCTGTGACAGCACAAGGCACACATACATATTCTGAGAGATATGGAGGGTAGGGGGAAGGGTCCAGCTGAGATGGGGCAGGGGAGTCCTTCAGCAGGCTGGGCCCGCTCTCTCCCTCCAGTCAGGATCAGAACACCAGGTCCTCTTGGGGACGTGCTGTATGGGGAAAGGGTTCTCTACAGAAGCGCTGGGCAAACCATAAGGTAAGCACTTTGAACAAAAAGCTGCTGTGCTTGTCTCCAAAGAAAGTCCCTTAAAACCTCTGCTGCCATCTGTCTTTGCTGCTTTGAGGTATAAAGAAGGGCTGAAATGAATTATGTAGGGACAATAATTTTCATATCATAAAGGAGGAAAAAAAGTAATAACAGAGAAGATATCCCATTAATAGCTAGCTCCGATCTCATCCTAAATCTAAGTCACCACATTTTGAGCAGATTTTACCTTTTGAATGAAGTTTTCTACTTTGCTTTGCAGTCCCCACCACTTGAATTTGATGGTCACCAGCTTATAGGCACACATCTGGGGACAGTCAGGGCTGTTTGCCAGCTCCTTCTAGATGAGAAAAATTGAAAAGGAGAAATTATGACTTAAATATTTATGTTTTCATTAAAATTGACTGTTGTATAACGACATCATAGACATACATGAAGAAAATTACAATCTCATGTGTTTAATTCAGATATTTGAAAATTTGAAATCATTTTAGCAAAAGCCGCAGTATTCCCCTGCTGTAAACCCTCCTTCCACAGACCAAGTTACTTCCTAGCTCTAAAGTTTAATAGGTATGTTGCTCTGCCTCAAATAACACTATTCAGATTTCATATTAAATACCAAATTCTATTCACATCAAACCAATAGTGTCTTTAATACATAAGGGTTCTCATAACACCATTACCGCACTCCCACTGTGGATGTGGTGAGGCACAATAAAAAATGACAAGGAAGTTCAGCCTTCTTCTGTATCTTCAGATATTGGCAAGTGGAGCTGCACTGTTTATTAACTGAGGTATTTTCAATAGAAGGGAGATATGAAAAGTGATGCAACAGCAAAAATAATCTGTAATTACCAAATATTTGGAGGTAAATCCTATACATACAGACTTCAATTTCCACAAATGACTACACCTCACAGTTTAAATAGTGTAGTCAGGAATCAAATCAAGACTTGTTCTGGTAAACAAGGGAAAATAAACTATTTTTTTAAAGAGCCAAGAGATGCTGGGTACACTGGCTCATGCCTGTAATCCCAGAGCTTTGGGAGGCTGAAGTGGGAGGATCACCTGAGGCCAGGAGTTGGAGACCAGCCTGGGTAAGATAGCAAGACCCCATTTCTGGAAAAAAAAAAAAAAAAAAAAAAAAGGCTGGGCACAGTGGCTCACACCTGTAATCCCAGCACTTTGGGAGGCCGAGGTGGGCAGATCACTTGAGGTCAGGAGTTCGAGACCAGCCTGGCCAACATGGTGAAATCCCGTCTCTACTAAAAAATTACAAAAATTTGCTGGGGGTGGTGGTGGGAGCCTGTAATCCCAGCTACTAGGGAGGCAGAGGTTGCAGTGAGCTGAGGTCACATCATTGCCCTCCAGCCTGGGCTACAGGGCAAGACTCCATCTCAAAAAATAATAATAATAAAGACATAAATAAACTGGGGTGGGAGGTGGGGCACTGCAACCTATGTTATTATTGATGATTTCTGTGAGTCTTA
Source organism: Homo sapiens (assembly GCF_000001405.40). NCBI lineage: Eukaryota > Metazoa > Chordata > Mammalia > Primates > Hominidae > Homo > Homo sapiens. Next base: position 27,861,392 of record NC_000022.11, read on the forward strand.
CTAAGGCTTTGCCTTACTTAGTGAGTTCAATATACTAGCATGTTTATTTTCAGGAAGGAGTGAGTGGGTGTGAACCAGGAGCTTGCAGCATACATCAGTGACTTAAATATACAGGTCCACTTCCAAGGTGATGTGTGCAGAAGACCAAGATACTTCTGAGCTGACCCAGAAAAGCCTGGAACAGGTTCACAGCAGTGAGCAAACACAGGCATGGTCCTGTCCTCAGGGGCTCGGTCTACTACAGAAGGCACATATCAAAGCACCACAGACAGCAGAGGCAGACTGCAAGTATGGTCTGGGGAAAAGAGCCATTCTGTAAACTTGAAGCCCCAGTGTTGGTGTGCTTACAAGATGATTAAAAGAAAAAAAAGGGACATCATCTTAGGACTGTTGTGAGGTTGTGCGGACTGAGTAAGGCAGTGTAGTAGGTGCTTAGTAGGTGAGACTGAAGGGCTTAATACACATTAGTTCTCTCTTTCCCTTGTTCTTTAATAAACGTTGTATTGACCACTTTTGAATCTGCAAGACAGTTTTGAACAAATTGCCTCATAAGAGAAGAAAGTCACTGCAACACGACGGGGACCCCTTTTATAAAAACTAAATCACTGAGTCAAAGGCCAAAGCTGCCTCTCCCACGGGCTCTTCCCTCTTCACCACTGTCCCTGTCTTCACACGGTGGTGCCCAGACTTCACCACTGATCCAGTGATCAGTCCCACTGGGTGCTGCCACCACTGCTTGTCAGCTTCAACTTACCAGCTTCAACTCATCCCACTTTCAAAAAGCTGCGTGTGAGCAAAGATTCTCAAATCGGCCACATACATTCAAAAAATGATTAATTTCTAAGTCTTATTCTAAACCTCAAGATTATTTTTCCTTTATATGACTGAAGCACCAGACTACATTTTTCCCCATTATCTACCATGGCCCAGTTTTAAGTTAATTCTAGGGATATACTATATGAAAAATTATTATCTTGGTATTATTAATGCGACTGAATGTTCTATAGAGTCCTACATGATTGATCAACTTTTCTCAAGATATTTGTTCTGTAGTAACATTTCATCTTCTGAAGAATAACCTGATACATGGGCTACATCAACGAGGTAACACCAGTAAGCAGTTAAATAAAAATATTATAGTAAACTGTTCTCTTGCAGGTGAGCTCTGTTAACAAAATATCTTGGCTAGCTTAGCTCTATTTTTCCATGACGTTTCCCCCTTAAAACAGAGTACCAATGTGAAAATTCAGGATGTATGTGTATGTGTATATGTATACACACATACAAACCCATATTTTAGTAATATAATTCAGCAGGTATGAAGTGGGTACCATTTACCCTTTACTCTGTGCTAGGTGCTGTCAGGGGACATAAATGTAGCTAATAGAGAAGAGGATAATTATGTAAATAATGCTGCCCTTGGTGTCAATATTCTCACCCCGGAAACATCCTCCTGTTGTGGATGCTGGCTTGGGCTAAAATCAAATATTTACATACTACTCCCCTTGCTCTGCAGGCCCCTGGCACTTAAGCTGGGCTCCTGGATGCAGAAGCAGTCAACAAGCCTTCCATAAGACACAGCTAGCTTCTAAGTGCCCAGCTTTATTGAAATGACAACAAAGTTGGTCTTTCACAGATCATTTGATCAATAAACAATGAGCCAATGCTGAAGTACTTCCTAATCCAATGAATGTCACTGAAAATCCTCATATGCAATACAACTTGGGTATATGTAGAATATGGCACTTAATTGTGAGATATAGCTGCCAAACAGTAGCACTAGACTAGGAGTGCTACTTTGTTAAACTTCCTGTTTAACAAAGGTCAGGATCCTTAACCTCTCTCTGGGCCTCATTTCTCCCTCTGTAACAGGAAAACTAGACTCTATCAGGACTTTTCATTCTCCACTGAGGAAAAACTAAAAGCAGGGGTGAGCGAACTAAGGTCCTTGAGGGCCAGGATTGGTCTAGGGCTGTAGGTGGTAAACATTACATATCCTTGACATCCAATGACTTGTCCTAAAACTTCCTACAATTTTGTGTTTTATTCTGTAATATGCCTGGGCTTCAGGAAATATTCCCCTGCCTGTCACCCACCCATAGTGAATTTCCTCTATGACTGAGTACCCCACCAAACTGCTGATGAACTCTAAGATACTTTCCAGATTGAACATTAGAAGGTCCTATTAATTATGAGCTCCTGAAAGCTTTCTTTTACAACTTCAAATCATTGGACACTTTCTACTAAATGAAAATCTTGGGTGTACCTAGAACACTGATGCTTCAGAATTCTCCAGCAATTTTATAAAAACAGTGGGATGAAGCATGGTTCTAATTAAAGGAGTAAGCTAAATGTAATACAAATATGCCTACACTAAACTTGAGCTCCAAGAACAGAGTACACATACGTGACTTCAACAATCAACCAAGTTTATTTCTCACATTCTTTCTAGTGACTCTGGCAAGCAACTCAAATCAATTAATACTGGTAATTCATAAAGTGGCATTGTTCTATAAAATTCATTTTAGAAACTATAAGCCACGGGACAAAAAGGAACCAGTTCCCTAAGATATCTTTCCAGATCTAAAATGTATATTCAGTCCCAATCTGATTTTTGTTTTCCATCCAATTTACAAGTAATTATTTTTTTAAAAACCCTTCAGAGAAGAACACGTACCCAACTAAAAAACAAACAACTAAACAGCCTGCTGCCTAAAAACATAAACATTACCAGAAGAAAGTTGAGAACACACAAGCTATATACATTTTTTTCAATCATTATTATTATTAATGTATACATGATATCTAAAAGTTCTCATACAATTCTCAAAATGATTTGTGGGAGTCATCTGTTAAATGTGAGCTACAGTTATTTAAAGTACTGATTAAGTTAAGAATATGGCTTTGAAAGTCTCCATACTTATGATGGCACAGAAAATAGTGAAAATGTCTGAATGTCGTACATTAACCTAAAAGAATCCTTTTGGTATCTTCTCTCTGGAGTGAAATCTGACACTAGGTAATAAAAAGTCTTAAAAGCTGTTCATATCCTACCCTGTACCCTGTAACCTGGTAATTCCACTTTTAGAAACATATCCTATTAATCAAGTAAAGAAATGATACCACAGATTTATCTGTTAACAGCAAAAATCTGGACTTATTAATTATTAACTGAAATACCCACTACAGGAGACAGGTGAAATACTTCATAGGCCTTCCATACGATGGGCTATTATGCATACAGCCATTAAAAAACATTTTTTTCCAGCGGTACAGTGGTTCACACCTGTAAACCCAGTACTTTGGGAGGCCGAGGCAGGTGGATCACCTGATGTCAGGAGTTCTAAATCAGCCTGGCCAACATGGTGAAACCCCGTCTCTACTAAAGATACAAAAATTAGCTGGTCATGGTGGCGGGTGCCTATAATCCCAGTTACTTGGAAGGCTGAGGCATGAGAATTGTTTGCACCCAGGAGGCAGAGGTTGCAGTGAGCTGAGTTCGTGCCATTGCACTCCAGCCTGGGCAACAACAGCAAAACTCAAAAAAAAACTCTCAAAAAAAAGAAAAAAAAAGAAAAAAATTCAAATAACAGTTAACAATGTGGGAGAAAAAAAGGAGAATTAATATAAATAGGTATCTATGTATGGTACAAACATTCCTAACAAAATAAACTACAGGAATCAGAAAATATACCAAATAATAGTAATTAAATGAGACTACAACTAATTTTTTTCTTTTGTGTACAATTATTTTCAAAGTTATCATTTAAAAATTTAAAAAAACCTAATACACTGAAAAACAAATTGACTCTAAAGAAGTTTTTTTGCCCTCAGCAGAGTATTTTCGGACAAAGACCAACTTTACCCTAAATTATCTGGGTACTATTTCAAGTCTTCATTCTTCTTTCACTATAAACAATCTGGCTTTTGGCTTCTTTTTTCTGATGTTTAATAAATTAAATCTAAACAAAGCTAAACAAAATCAAGTTAAAAGCTGAATTAAGATCTTTAATACGTAACTTTAGTCCATCCCATATTTAATTTTTCTTGAAAGCAATCACAAGGTATACATGCAAAATAAAATGATCAACTCTTCTAGGTTATCAGCAACATGCTAGTGAAGAAATGTGTAACCTTTAAAATGTGAAAAATCTCAATGGGGCAAATATTTGGGACCCCACTCTCAGAGCAATGTTCTAGAATCCACAGGACCCAAAGAAGTTCCAGCGTCTCTGCCTAGCTCTCAAGAGGTTCACAGCCTGTGGCAAGGCAAAGCTTCCTCTCTGGCTTTAAAAAAATACAAATGTTGCGCGGAGGGTGAAAGGAAGGAGAGGAACAAAAAAGATAACTATTGGGTATGGGCAGGGGAGGGGCGGGCGGTGAGAAATACTATGTACAACAAATCCCCGTGACATGTGTTTACCTACATAACAAACCTTCACATGTACCCCCAAACCTAAAATAAAAGTTTTAAAAAAATGTTTTCTGATTCTTTCTTCTTCATTGGCTAAAAAACAACCCCAAAGCAAATAAAACCAAAATCTGAATTAAGATCTTTGACACATAACTCCAATCCAGCCCAAACCTAACATTTTCCTCCTCTAAGGCAAAACAGTTAACTCTTTGCTAATCTGCGAGTAAATAAAATGATTTTGCTAATAAATTGAGTTTTACATAAAGCATGAAAATTTAAAAGGACAACTTAAAAAGGTAAAGAATGGTTGATTACAAAGAGAACAATCAAAAGTTCTACAAGATGAACGTCATGGGCTAACAAGAACCTCAAATTATGACTCATTGCTACGTAATTTAAATTTCATCTGTAATACAGTAAGCACTAGTTGTGAAATGTTTCCAAAATTGTATTTAAATAGTTTGTATATTCACTGAATTCCTTACATTTCATGTTTCTAACTGTAAATGAAACTCCCAAGCCTGAGTCATGTTTTTAATTTAACAACACATATTAGGTTACTCTAAGGTATGTGGATGAGGTCTTAGGGGGAGTAATGTATACTAGAGGCACACAATGTAACTAAACAAAACACAGTGTGTTTAACTGGAGGAGTGAGCAATCAGTACATGTTATCCACAAGAACTAGTTTCTCGAATCTGTGACAAACAAATATAAACAAACGTAAAAGAGATTTAACATTTTTTAAAAAGAATCCAAAGGCATTCTGGAAATGTATTTTCTAAAAATACAGTCCCTTCAGTTTCATGAGACTTGTCAAGTTTACACATACTTTTTCCTATTTAAAACTGTGTTGGGATGAAGATGGAATAGGTATGTGCTACACTGAACCAGAGTTAACGCTTTGCAAAGACACAGCAGTTTCTGTAAGGCTCATAACTGTCTTCATATTTTCATTTTTCAATTTTAGGCAATGTGAATGCTTAATTTCAGCTGCTGATTCTGTGATGTTAAGTTTCCAACCCAGATTTCACCAAGAAAGTTAAAAATAAATGCACTGCTGGGAGTGCTGCCAGTGTGTGTGCATCAGTAAATATCAACACAAGATTACGAAATATATGTGACGTCTATGTACTGAAATTTCAAGCAGAACCCCATTCCCCAACTCAGCTATTCTCTCTATTTAGGTAACCTAAACTTTATTTAGGTAACCATTTATTTTAGTAGCCATTTGGACAGACCTAAATTGGACATTATATTTCTGTAAATACATGGGAAGTCCAATATTTGATTTTTATTTGGTTTAAGGTAGTTAACTTGAATCTAGCAAATACTTACAAGCCCCTACTATGAGCAAACCTCCCTGCTTGGCACTGACCCATATCAAGGTAAGTCAGACACAAAGCCTACCGTTTAAAATTCAGTGTGAACAACAGGAGATGGAGGAGGTGGGGGGAAGGAAGACAGGGGGAATACATAAACCACCACCCTGACCCAAGACACACTGGGAGCCATGAGAAGGTCATCGGCAAGACTCTAGTGGCATTCAAAGGTGGGGAAGTCCCATCTGGTGGGGTAAATGGAAAATATTAAATGGAAGAAGTAAACATGAGATTAAATGTGAGTTTAAAAAGACTGAACTAATTGTAGGTTAATCTAATTTCACAAAAAGGCGAAATAAGATCCAGACAGGAAAGCTTACTGCCTGTGAGAGGATAATCAGTCACATTTTCCATGTTCCTCCAAACTTAATTTTTTGTATGGCTCACACCCATTTTACTAAAGAGGACTATGTTAAATGCTTCATGCTTGTGGGTGATTACTCCAGGAGTGACACTATTTTCAAGTAAAACCCCAAGTTCACCTTCAAATGAAACTCATGAAGAAAACTTTGTTTCTGGAAGTGTCTGGAAGAATCTGCAAGAAGCTCACACTGCCAAATTACTTCTTGAACCTGAATAAGACATTCATTCGTCTGTGCCTGAATCCTTCAACTCTGTCTGAGAACAGAGACATTCCATAGCCAAGATAAGGTTAGAATTAATCAGTTTCACTCTTTGGGCACTTAGCTTCTTAAAGACATGGAACAGCTTTTTTTTGGTATCTTCTGTAGGAGTTAATATAATTAGTACATACTATGTGCTATATATTTATTTTAAAAATCAAATAAAAAATGTAGTCATCAAACTAGATATTAAAAAAAAATCAGCCATGCTTGAAGGTCTGCTTTATTATACATAATCCAAAATGTGGTCTAACCAGAAACTAATTACTAAGCCTCTTTATGCCACCCACTATGGGGTTTCAAATGTGAGATTACAGGGAGGGAACATGTTTTCAAATGCTTCGTATCCTCCCTGGACCTCACAGACAAGTCGAGGCTAAGAAACAAGAGAGCACCTCCCAGTGTTTCTACTAGGGCGGCTAACAAGTAAAAAACACTGCTCATAAGCCACTTGAGTCTCTGGGTGGCTTTCCTGCCACTCTCTATCTCAAAAGAGATTTCCACACCTGAATTTCAACTTCTCCCTCATCACTCACTTCTACTCCTCCTATCCCTGGCCAAAAAAATTTTGCAGTTTCATTATCTTAGGTCACTGACACCAAGGGTACCAACATCTTTTCACAGACATGGGGTAGACAAAGAAAGAAATCTTGGTAGCATGGCAGTAAACAAATTAACATCTCTATAATGCAGAAATATGGTTTCCCTCCACTGGCATGAAGGATCCAGAATGGCCTCTACGGCTGTTCTAGAATGAGTCTAAAGCTGACTGAGCAGCTAAACAGTATGAAAAACTGAAAGGCCAAGCTCGGACTGCTGGAGCATTTGCTCAGGCTAGAGTTAACACAGAAGACAAATGGGGCATGCCTTTATGATGAGAAAGAACATGTACATAAAGATAATTTAAAAACCACCATAATTTCTGGATCAACTTATTTATTTGACCTGATCCCCTTATATATTCCAAAGTTCAGAGCTCTGGCTGAGACTTCCGAGACACATCAAGCCCTATAAGGAAGAGACGCTTTGACAAAGCCTCTTACAAAGACCTTTAGAGGCCTAATTATTAACTATCATGTATTTGTAGACACAGAAGCTTAAATCTTCAAGAGGTGTCTGGCTTAAATGAAGGAAGAAATGAGGCCTTGCCATGGGATAAAAATGAAACCATAATCGTCAAAGGTAGTGTTTCAATCTGTTAAAATAACAATTCCTCACCCAAATCAGGAAGGGAAACTGAAAAGCTAAAAACAAATGGAAACAGGTACACACACACACACACACAAACACACGTGCACACAGTGCTATAGAGAAACAAGACATTAACATCCATCAGAAATGCACAATTCTGCCTTGAAGCAAAAATCTTAATCAGGTTATAAATCGCTTTCCTATTACTATGCACACAGTCACTTCATCAAGTGCCGAACCCTAAGTAACAAAAATATAATTTCTGCACTCAGATTTTAAAAATTCTTTCTTCAGAGGGAAAATAAATATACAACTGAGGCCTGCATCTCTGGGTTTGTAGTTTTTTAAAAATAAAAGATATGTATCACATCATAGGCTAAAAAAATTGTCTGTACTCTTAACAAATGTGGAAAATATGAAAATATATTCCTTAGCAACCTCATCATCCCCTGCTAGTGAATCCTCTCTAAACTGTGTGGCTCTCTGCTTTATGCATGACCAAATAAAATCACTCATTAAACATATATAACCACGAGGGGTAAAGACACGTGAACCCGGATGTGTTTAACAATCCCTAGATACCAGAATGAGGGGAACACATTCTAGAATGAGGGGAACTCTGAATACTAGACAGATAAGAATTACGCATCATAAATACAGGGGCACATTTATAGATCTCAGCAACCCCAAGAGACGAAAGACAAAAGCATTATAACAATAACGGTTAACATTGATTGTGCACTTCTTCTGTGCTGGGAACTTAACATTATTTCACTCAGTCTTTACAACTACCTTCTGAGGTAGTTACTAAAATCATTTCCATTTTGGAGATGTGGAAATCAAGGCTCAGAGTGAGGGTTAAGTTATAACTTGTGTAGATTCCCAGTGGCTTTTTAATGGATCTCCCTTAGTGCCTCCGACACTTACAGATTCCCTGACCATTGAAAACGTACCACTAGTGTAACAGAAATTATCAAATTCTGGCAAATACCATGAATAGGGCATCACACAATTGCCAATGATGCAACAGGGCATAAAAGGTACAGAACGGTGATCTAGGAGTCACTGGATTAAGAGTTAAAATCTGCTACATCTCCATACCTTACACACTGCTGTAACTACCACCGAATCAGGTGTTCCAGAAATGGCAGACATTCTGCTGTTTCTCCTACAACTATTACATGTGTTTCTCTGCCCAAGTTTCTCAACTATATAAAATAAAGCAGCTGAACTTACACCACAGGAAGGTTGTAAAGATTAAATGTAACCTTGTATAGTACCTGGTACCAAGGAAAAGTTTCTTTACCCCTAGTCAGTCTGGTGCAGACAGGAAGTAAATACTGCAATAATTCAGAGGGAAAATACCACCATCAGACAAGTAAGGAAAAGTTTCAAAGAAATCATAGGATTTGCATTTAGCTTTGAATAGACTTTGGAATCTGTACTGGTAAGGCAGGTTTCTGCTGAAGGGTATGTGTGGGATGGTTCACAGAGGCCTTTTGAGAGAGAGACTGTGGAACTACCAGGCAGCTCTTCTATAAGAACATTCTTCAACACTACCCTGGTTAAGTGGGTCCACAATAAGATTTCTTCTTCCTTTCAGCCATAATTATCATGTTTGTTCCCTATTTCTTCCTTGCATTTCAGAAGTATAAAAATTTCCAACTATTATCGTTCCCCAGTGCTACCCTCAGTGCCTCCACCAGGACAGTAATTGGCAAAGAGGGCCTGCTGAACATGTTTACAGAAGACACTGGTAAGATCAAGTCCAAAGGTTCCTATTTTCCTGTATGCCATATTATCAGCTATCTTCTTACGCTTTATTTCCCTCCACAGCAGCAAGTGGATGGCTTAATTATTATCAGTTATTCTTGACTGCACTAGTTATTTCTGAGATCACAGTAATTCACAGAAATTCAGTCAGGCAGTAGCTGAATTTATAAGAGTAGCTGGATACACCATCATCTGGATAAAATGAACAATCAACAGGCAAATGGGCAGAAACAACCAGCACCCTATCAGCCTAATAAGTTACTGTTTAACACAGGGGGGAAAATGGAAAAAAACTGCAGTTCTGCAATCTGCAGAAATACAAAATTCACATTATTTCTAAGAACTAAACCTATTCTAGAATTTCAATCATTAGTCAATAATAAAAGACAAAGCAATATCAGTTACAAATCAGGCCAGACATGGTATATATTCCAAGTTCCTAAAAAGTTAGAAATCAGTACAAGTCATAGTATCAAACTACTTTTGCTGCCTGTTATAAAATCAGGAGTTCCTATAGGAAGGATCTGAGCCCAAACATAAAGCCCACCACATAATGTAGCATTGTCTTTTAATGTTTATACTTGAAAAGCTAATAATTTCAAGAAAATACAATATTTAATTCACCTCTGGGTCTCAACCTCATGCCCCTTTACTCCCTGTAAAAGTATTGTCAGCTAGAGCTACTACTCACTGGAACAAGATGTACTTTTTTAGAAGTTACAGCACCAGTGGAGGTAGCCACCATCTGGGCTGCTCTCTGGCATGGTGTCCTTGTTTAGAAGACCAGTGTGAAATCTCAAAGGGCTTCTCCTCCAACTAAGATTGAGTTCTAAAGTCTGAAGCTAGAAATCTGGAAAAGGCTGGGGACACTAAATCCATTAAAGCAAATTTACATCAAGCAGGCTGAATTTGTTAATTTATAAGTGGTATATATCACTTTCTGGGTAATATAGATTGGGAATTTGTCCCTGCTCAAATCTCATGCTGAAATGTAATCCCCAATGTTGAAATGCAATCCCTAATGTTAGAGGTAAAGCCTCTAACAGGTGTTTGCATCATGACTGCAGATCCTTCATGAATAGCTTGGGCCATCCCCTTGGTGATAAGTGAGCTCTCACTCTGAGTTCACACGAGATCTGGCTGTATAAAAGTGCATGGCACACTTCCCCTGCCCCACTTCCACCATGTGAGACGCCTGCTTCTCCTTTGCCTACCATGACTGTAAGCTTTCTGAAGCCTCCCCAAAAGCAGATACCAGCACTATGCTTCCTATACAGTGTGCAGAACCGTGAGCCAATTAAGCCTGGTTTTTTTTTTTTTTTTTTTTTTTTTTTTTTGGGACGGAGTCTCACTCTGTCGCCCAGGTTGGAGTGCAATGGTGCAATCTTAGCTCACTGCAACCTCTACCTCCCGGGTTCAAGTGATTCTCCTGCCTCAGCCTCCTGAGTAGCTGGGATTACACGCAAGCACCATCGTGCCCAGCTAATTTTTGGATTTTTAGTAGAGATGGGGTTTCAACATGTTGCCCAGGCTGGTATTGAACTCCTGACCTCAAGTGATCCACCCACCTCAGCCTCCCAAAGTACTGGGATTACAGGCGTGAGCCACTGCACCTGGCCCAAGCCTCTTTATATATAATACCCATTCTCAGGTTCTTTGTAATAATGCAAGATTGGCCTAACATGCTAAGTATTAAAACTGGGAGAATTCTGAACTAAACTCTACCCAGAGAACAAATGTGAAAATAATATAGTTATGAATCATTTCTTATAAACCAAAGTCAAATTCATTTTTCCTTTTAGTTGATGCACAAGACAGTCCACAAAACAGTCTAACACCCAGGGAGAACCACTCAATGAGTTCTCTGTGGGGCTGTAACAGTAATCCTCTTATCTGCATGCAACTAGTACCTAGACATCACTTATCGATGACCTGTAACTGGCTTCAGCACAGACAGACTGGTTACCAAGTAAGACCCTGGGAGTGGAAAATCTGCTCTGGGCATGTTTAAGTTTTTATGCTCTTCTCTTGTCAAATTAGCTGTAGTAACTTGCCAATAACACATTAAGACTTCTTTAAGGATCTGTCATTTAGTTTAGTAGATGTCTTTAAAATGCATTATATTTCTATAGCAATTTAAATTATTACCTTGACATTACCTTACTTCCATGAATAAAGTAAGGGTGTGCACTTTATTTAAAAACAACTACTGGCTGGGCGCAGTGGCTCATGCCTGTAATCCCAACACTTTGGGAGGCCAGGGCGGGTGGATCACCTGAGGTCGGGAGTTCGAGACCAGCCTGACCAACATGGAGAAACCCCGTCTCCACTAAAAATACAAAATTAGCCAGGCATGGTGGCGCATGCCTGTAATCCCAGTTACCCGGGAGGCTGAGGCAGGACAATCACTTCAACCCAGGAGGCAGAGGCTGCAGTGAGCCCAGATTGCACCACTGCACCCCAGCCTGGGCAACAAGAGTGAAACTCTGTCTCAAAAACAAAACAAAAACAAAAACTGCTTGCCACAAAAATTGCTCACTCGTGTCCTGCTTTCCAAAAATATAACTATTAAAAGTCCAGGAATATGAGCTTGGGTGAAGGGAGCTTGTTCAGTTTTTAATAAGACTAAATTTAAACTATAAACCTTCATTTAAAATGGATTTTTATACTGCTTCAGGTCTCAAAAGAGAACATTAGAATCCCCAAAGACTAAATCACTTGTCTCTTTTAAGAGTTATTGGAGCTGCATTATGCTGAAAGTGACAGTCTGGCTCTGTTCTGTTTGTTAATGCAGCACAGATTTGCTGGCCAACTGCAACTGGCTGTAAGTCCTTATCGCAAATAAAACTATTTTTGTGCCATTTCTATTTTTCACTTAAACGTCACCAGCTCTTCAAGACTCAGGACCTGTCAAGTGTTCTGTTGCCAAGACTCTGCCTGTCAGAAAGGTCAGCATCCAGTACCTTCCAGTTGGGTCCCAAAGGGCCTCTCTTGGTCTTGACTGACTGGAATAATGCTGGGTCTTCATCAGCTTTGTAGTCCTGCAAAGCAAAACAAAGTCAGAGGCAGAGAAGAAAACCAGAGAATATTCTTTAACCGTGCCAGAATAGCTCTTCGCAGCTACCAAAACACAGGACAGAAATCAATTAGACTCACTGTGCTTTTGCGTAAAAGTAGAAAAATGCTTCTTTAAGACACTGTTTTCAGTTTGGTTTCCTTTGCTTTAAACTTTTACCTTGGGCTAAATAACTACATAATAAGAAATAATAAAAGTCCTGGACTAGCAATCCATTCTGACTGGTTACTGGACAGCTGTCTCCAATAACAAATCTTTCAACAGTTTTTTAAATAATTTAAGCATTTTGATATATGGATAATCACATTCAAAGAATAAAACATACCCATCCCAGTTTTGACACTACAGGTAGATGATGACACTGGACTGTTAATGCTGGCCAGAGCAACTACTGTGGCTGGGAACAAAATCAGAACTATCGATTCTGCAGCACCCCCAACCTCTTCCTACAGCTGGGTCTGTGGTGGACATCTCAGTTTCTTGACTGGCTTCTCCAAACCCTTGTTCGAGAGCCCTGGGATACACATGGCTTGTCTTCCTCATAGAAGGACTGCACTCACGTCATCCCCTCACTGTCAAAGGAGGCGAAGGAGGGGTGTCACGGGACTGCCTCAGTTATATACCACAGGGGAAAGGCTCTAAAATGAAGGTTTTATTCAGGGTTCTAGTGTGTGTAAATTCTGTTTCCCTTAGTATATCTTTTTCCTGACAGAACGGAGGAAATGAAAAAAGAAAATCTTTTAAAATCTATCTGCTTTACAAAAGTTCTCTTGTCATTACACAAACACACACTCTCTCTCTCTCCAGAAAAAAAGATAAAATTACTTTTGAAGAGCTAGAGCCCAGATTAATAACAATAAGAGAGACTTGCAACAATAACTTGACCGTGGTCGGTTGGTCAGTTTAAAACACTGCAAAGAAAGAGACAGCAGGGAGAGTCCTTTCCTTCTTGAGCAGACTTTCTGACTCTGGGGTCCTTCACAGAATTCGTGAAGAGACCCCATACTTAGTGAAAAATGCCCAGATGAGTCAGATATGAAACCTTAACTAAAAATCACTGTTCTAGAGATAAGGGCAGTATGAGCAAAAGCAAGAACTGAACATGCTCCACAGTATAATACGAACTTTCCACAAATCAAACAACAACAACAACAACAAAACACGTTGAGAAGCAGCCACTCAAAACTCAACAGTTACTCAGTAAGTGCATATGCCATGTTAGTAATTCCTAAAGAGAAAGTTACAAATTATGTGAGGAAGGAAAAATGTTCAGTTCAGAGAGAAAACAAAACTTTAAAGAAAGATAAGTCTGTAAATATGTGACCCAGAACTTGAAGCCTCTCTAAAGGTTGTCTACAAAAAGGACCAACAATAAGCTCAAAGTATTAAACAGCAAATAGGTCTGGCTATACTGGGTCTTAATGCTTTACAATATGCAATGTGGCATAGCCACAGGCATCAGCATTACCCAGGAACGACAAACTGGGATGGACAGTCTGCAAGGAGCTGGACAACTGGACTTACTTCCTATGTCTGGGCAAAGCAGCAGAAAGATCAGTTACTGTCAGCAAGTGTGAATTCTTAAACTACAATTTTGAACTGCATCCTAAAAATGAATAACTCCACTTCTGATTGACAAAAGAATCAACTGTGTGTACAGGTGGTTTCAAGACCTGGATTCACAATGAGAAATAAGCTACTCTATTAACATAAATAAACCTGTAACACCATAAAACATTTTCTTCTGGTCAGAGGCTTGGAATTAAAACCTAAAAGCAAGCTCATTTTCTTTTTCAAACATTGAAAGTATTTAACATTGTATCAAATAATCACTTTCAGCATCATTTCCCTCAATCAAAATCTAGTTATTGAACAGCCACCATATAGAAGGTAGCACACCAGACGTTATTAGTAAGAGGTAATTCAAGGAAACAGATAAAGTAAAAGAGAACTAACACAGTTCTGGCTCCTAAAGAATCAGTCTAGTTGGGATAAAGAAAGAAGCAAGCAAAGAACAGGTAACTCAAACCCCAGGAAGTACCTGTTAACTGCCAACAGAGAATGGAGACAATTACTGTCAGAATCAAAACCAAACAAAAGCAGCAAAGGAAACACACTTTTAAAATGAATTTTAAAATCATGTTTAACAGGAGAAAAATGTGAACTATGGATTCACAGAATCATAGAAGTAAAGTGAACCTTAAAGACCACCCAAGCTCCTTCATTTGACAGATGCTAAAACCACAGTCTGACGAGGAAGTGGTAGGGCTCACCTACCCCAGCACTTCAACTCAATCCTCCTTAGCCTCAGTCCTGGGCACATTCTGGTACACCTCACAGGATGATGGCAAAAGGTGTCAACAAATGCCAGACAATCAAACCACATTTCAAAAATACCAAGAAGCCGCAGCACTAGAGATATCAAAGTGGATTTTCCTATGAAGTACAACTGTGTGTATGTAAAATATCATACACATATACATATGTATGTATGAAATGAAGTCTTCCCCTCTCTGCTTTTTCTCCTCTTGAATACAAAGCAGAAAATATTAAAGATATTATATTGAAAACGTAACAAAACCCAATTATTAACAATAGCACTTTAACCTTGAAAGATGAGAATAATGAATCTTGTCAAGACCCAGGAATTTCTGTTTTACGTTAGTTTGAATATGAAGAATACGTAAATGTTTAATCAGCTGAATTAAGTTGCAAGATATTAAGAAGCAGGAAGTAGCTTTTTAACAACCTCAGTTTTGTATTTCCACAACAAACACCTAATTTTTTGAACAGTATTTTCTTTGCTACATTTTCACTATTGGGTATCTAGTTTGGTCTTGCTGTATCTGAAAACTGGCCAATTTATATCCGTATCACAATGAACAAATATATTCCTTCATGTATGACAGTTTCAGCATACAGAATGCAACCTCAGCTACCAATTATAGCTGCAAATGAGCAATAGTGTGGAATGAGACAGCCTGCTGGCTTTGTTAGTATTCTGTCTCCTTTGGGATCCCATGGGGAAAGGGGAGGCTCTGATGAAGAGAAGCCCTTGGCTCATGGTTTATTGTGCTTGCCACCAGCTGCAGACTTCTCATCTCATTAGTTCTTTTAGAATACTGTGGGTGAAGACAGCTGTAGCCTACTTGAGTCTTCAGCTCCTGGGTATTCTGAAGGCTGAATTTGCTATGCACTTTCTGTAATCCTTGGGGAAAAAAGAGAGCAAATTCACCAGGCCAAGGAAATGCATTTTTAAAATGGGTTTTAAAATCATGTTTAAAAGTAGAAAAATCTTATTGCTAAAGTGCACTGTGTTTAAAATTTTTTATGATTCAATTTTAATTATCTGTATAATGCCCAGAGGCCTGGCCAGAATAAGGGCTTAGTAAAACCATCATTATCAAGTTAGGTGTAATATCCCTAGACACTACTTGCTCCACCAATAATAGTGCCTGAACAAAGAAAAAATACAATAGTATCAGCATAAGGTATATTCGGATTAGTGTTAATACAACTCTATTTAATTGAAAACTCTTATTTAAGAAAAAAAGGCAGGATAGCCTTCGGAGAACAAAACAAAATATAATATGGTAAATAAATGGATTACTGAGTCTCCACACTGGAGCCACAGAATACACTCATTAATTTCTTATAAATAACTGTTTTCTGTCACTGGAATACAAAAGTTGTGCTACTTCTTGGGTGTACATCTGTTACTACAGATCTCAACAGAAACTCTCAATAGAAACCGGATTCATTTCGAATACAAAGAATATTAGTTTCATGAATCTTTGAGTACAGTGGCTGCCCCCAAAAATGAAAGTACAAAATCTGTCTGTGCTGAGCCAAACTAAATGTCCCTGAGCCCAGATTTAACTCCTAATTATGAATGGGGAAGTGAGTAGGAGGTGGGGGGCAGGCTGGTAGGAGTTTCTTGACAGCTTGTGGAAAAATTGAGATGAGCTCCAGACACCAGAAACTGCTTAAATAACCATGCATGGGTTACTAGAGGTGAGGCTAAGTGTAAACTAAGGAAAAGAGGACCCAAACCACAAGCATTAGCAACTCCTTGGCACCTGCTTATAAAAGATCAACCCCTATTTTCTATCCTGTGGAGAGGGGGTGTTTTACTGGGCAAACATAAAAGCTTGAGAGAGACATTAGGATCCTGCAGCCTGTTATATAAAATGCTTTCCTTTAGCATACAATGATTAATTAGGTGTCTATTAAAATAGCTCAAAGATAATCATTAAGTTTTAAATGCATGGGTATTGCAGTTCAACTTAGCAAGGCTTATTTCCTCTAATCACATCCTAAAAATAAAGCCCAGGATGGGGAATAAAGCTGAATTAAATATGAAGATAAATAACAAACATCATTTATTAGCACTGCCCTGAATTTTCCAGTATTGTGGCACCTAAATGAGTTCCTGGATCCTATCACTGTTGACCCTAATGCCAAACGAATAACTAACTCAAGCTGACAAAATTCAAGCGAGACTCCAAAGAGTAAGTAAGCCCATTAAAAAAAAGTTTACATTAAATTTTGCAAAAGCAAATAACAGAGGTGTAAAGAGAAATAACATTTACTAACTTGTTTAAGAAACTGATTTCAACAGTTATTTTCAAATAAGCAGCTTTCTTTTCTATTTTTAATTACATCTCCCCAGTGACTCCTCAACCTTTCAGGTTCCCACAGAGTACCATTAATATAGTATAAGTAAATCTCATTAATTCAGGTCCTACTACCTTGGAATACATAATCATTCAGACAGGGGCTGGGCTGAAGTTTATCTTTGCATGATCTATGAAAAAAAGATTTGCTACACAAATTAATAGAGTAACAAGATCTCAGGAGGGCTGTTTAAACAGTTCAGAAGTGTTTTAGAGCAATTCAGAAGCATTCATTTGCATATAATTATTATGCTAATTACAAATCATTCTTATCTATTCATTAAAGCAGATTCCCAAAGGACCACTAATTGTCAATAACTTGTTGGCCTAGTTTCTGTTACTGAATGTACCTCAGAGGGACAAAACTGCATTAAAAAATATTCTATAATTCAGTCCTCTCATTAAACCTTACTGGCTTTCCACCAATGAATCCTAAAAGCTGAATTTTAAACAACTGTATTGAGAACTGAGAAATGCAGTCAAATCTACACCCCTGAACATAACACTTTTTTTTTTTGGTAATCTTTCTGATCTCAAAGAGACCCTCCATAGAGTCCTGAGATGGTGGGGGTGAGCCTGGCATGTGGGTGGTGGGAGCACTGCTAGGCTAGAGCACAACTAAACTAATCGTTCATTCCATTCTTTCTGATCTTATCCTTATCCCCAACACTGTCATGTTTATGGAGGCAGACTCCTAAAGCCTTTGGAAGGATACAAATTAATAGAGAAAGAGAAAGAAATCAGAATTTCAGCCCCAAGAAAAGGTTACAAACAGATGGCTATGTGATACACTCCATATCCTACAACACAGCAAGGAAACCAAATAGCTGTGCTCCAGGATAAGATGAGAAAGTGAGGCCCAATGGAGCAAGCTCTTGAGATTCCTGTATAGCCCAGAGCTACTGGGGCTAGTGAGCTGCCTTAAGCAGCTGCCCATGGGCTACACCCCAGCACTCTCCTCAGGGGGAGGTGGGTTCCTGCTTTGGGCAGTTCATGCACAAATATAGAATATATTTATTATTGTAATATTGTATTTATTACTAGTATATGTTTATATATTATAACACTTAAAAATGAAGATATTTCAAACTCTACTACCAATGAAATGAGTTTTAACAAGTTAATTCCATAAAGGTGTTTGTTAAACATTACATATTTTAAAATTATACTGCATATACCTGAAATGTAAGTGATACATTTAGAAAAGTTTTATTTACAAAAAGGCATGTTTCCTTAAATGACAGTAAATCACTGAACATATTATATCAATTTCCTTAAACTGAAATGGGGGAAAACACCCTAGTAAAAATTCAGAGTGAGCCCTCTCTCACTCTGAATGTTAGTCCATGATTTGGCCTTTAGCTTCTAAGTCCCAAGATTCCATTTAGTCCATTAGCATTAAGTTAACAAATATTCAACATGAAAAAGTTAAAATATGAAAAAAATTAAACATTTTTTTAAAGTAAGAACAAAATCCAATAAGCAACATCATTCCTGCTACCATTTTGAAGCACACACTTATGTGTCAGGCCCCCACATTCTCCCAGTTAATGCTCAAAAACTTGAAATAAAGGTACTGGACTATCACCACCACTAGGGGCAGGGAAGTGAAATTCTTTGCCAGAGTCCACCATCACTGAGCAGAAGAGCCAGGACTCAGATGCTGCCCTGTCTGACACCAAAGCCAACCATGATCCTTTATTGAAAAAATGTGATTTACATTCTACCATTTGATTAGACTCAAGTACCTGAAGGGACGCTTGCTCCCTCTCAGCCTAGGGAGCCTTCCTTAAAAAAGAGTTTACATGGCTGAAAAGGGGCTTTTATAAGAAATGCACTGTAAAAACTTGACTTGGAGCTGTTTATGCTTATTTCTTTACAAATATCTGCCATGAGCTGCTCAAAAACATTTTCTGACTCTCAGAGAATTTTATCCCCCACCCAAGGAACTAGAGCAAATCCTATTCACACCCCCATCACCTCCATTACCCTCCCCGCCTTTTTACTTTTAAAACATGGAAGAAATTAGGAATAAACCTTAAATTAATAATGGTTTCTAGTGAAAAAGCATTTTGTACAAAACATGCTTGTACACACCGATTTTTTTTTTTTTGAGATGGAGTTTCGCTCTTGTTGCCCAGGCTACAGTGCAATGGCACGATCTCGGCTCACTACAACCTCCGCCTCCCAGGTTCAAGCGATTCTTCTGCCTCAGCTTCCCGAGTAGCTGGGATTACAGGCACATGCCACCATGCCCAGCTAATTTTGTATTTTTAGTAGAGAGGGGGTTTCTCCATGTTGGTCAGGCTGGTCTCGAACTCCCAACTTAGGTGATCTGCCTGCCTCAGCCTCCCAAACTGCTGGGATTACAGGCGTGAGCCACTGCACCCAGTTAATAAAATTTTAAAATCCTTGCTAATGTTTAAGCAAGCACGACATAAGCAATATGTTGTTTTCCCACAAGAGGGCACTATCCAACCATGCCTTCGAATATAGTGGACATTCTCTAAATCTACTACTGGAAATGATCTGAAAGTGTGTGACCATGTAAGGCAGTGGAATAATGTAGGAAACATTTTCACATTTCTTTTTAATAGAAAACATGCCTACATTTATTTATATCTTCTTTGAAGATGGGGGAAAAATCTCTAACTTACTACAAAAGACCTTGACAACAGTCTGTTTCACAGTAAAGGCAAGATGAGACAGGCGTTTGGCAAACAGAAATTTCTTAAGCATAAGCAAAATCACTGCTACCACAAAACGTGTATTTGAGGTGCTTTCTCCCTAAGTTCAGGAAAGCTACTATCACATGCATTCATCTTGAGTTAGGAGCTGGGTCACAATTCTCATGTTTTTATTATGCACACATAATAAAGAGTTTTTGGATCACACACCCTAGTGATAAGTAACACATTTTTAAGACAGAAATGAACGTCTAGGTTCATTTTAACAGCAAAAAGACATGGTACTCTACTGAGATCAAGTGTGTCTCTGCTCATGCTGAAGAAAACAACCAAAGCAGCATTTGGCAACCATAGGCCCGGCTAGGACTGGCTGGATCTCAGCCACAGACTTCTAATAAACAAAAGCTCTTTTCAGGTCTAAAGAGCCGGGTAGCCACTGCACAGCTCCAAGAAGCAGAAAGCCCTTCTTAGGAAATAAGCAGCAGCAGTTGGAACAAATGTAACATCTAAAACACAGGAGCTTCTTGAAAGCTGTGAGAGAGAACCAAAAGGACTGCTGACCATTTAGGGTATCATCTACCAAAAATTAATTTGGAGGATATATTAGGTTGACCCATAAGAAAACGTCATTTCTGTAGCTCAAAAGCTTACAAATACTAACAACTTCACATGGCTTCAACCAATATTTAACTTTTTCTGGTCATGTTCCATCATTCTTTTTCATTTTGAAAAGAAAAAAGTTTTAATATTATAAAGATTATTTAGAGAGTGCAATGACGAAGTTTAGTAAAGCATGTGTTACCAAGACTATCTACACAAGTATGTAACATCTGGGCATTGTCTCAGAGAATGTATGATCAAAAGAAAAGATACACCAAATCCTTCTGAGAGCACAAGAGACAAGCACTGCTTAAGGTGTGACCAAAACTTACATGCCCCTAAGATTCAATCCAAATAAATTAAACCAAGTTTCATCAGTTTGCCAACTTTTAGAAAATAATATGTTTAAAAAGAGCAAAATACCTTTTTTTTAAACAATATACACCCATGGTTTAAAACAATTAAGAAGTGTCAGATTGCTCACTAAAAAAACTCAAAAAATGGAATGGTATGTTCGAAATGAAAAGAACTAAATGTATGGAAAAGCAAATCATTTATGTTCATTCCCAAAGGCAACTGAAATTTCAAAAAACAGGTACTGGCTTAGTATATTCCTGCCCTCAACTAAAACAGGACACTGTTCTTACTACCAAGACATACTCACCAAATAAAGAACAAGCAAAAAGTACAAACTTTAAAGACCAATTCAGTTTCTTTGACATCACAATCCTTAAAAAGATTAACCTGAGACTTCTACAAAGCTGCTCAGAAACAGTTTAGATAAGCCCAACAATCCCATTATAGTCCTTTGACAAGCAATTAAAATGTCTGTTCATTTAGTAAACTGCAAAACTCCAAAACTCGTGGCTCCGATTAGTCTTTGAACTTTGACTATGGCTGCAGCCTGGTGCCCAGCACTGGTCTGTATCAGCTGTAAGGAAAAATAACCCTCTGGTGAAGGAGCACTCACATACTACACAACCAACAGTTGGAACTTGTAAGTCACTTATACACACTTCAGCATGTCCGCGATTAAGAAACTCACTCTCTTTAGACAGATACAATTGTTCCTTTAACTGGAGAAAGATTTATCCACAGTAACACAAAACAAACAGTAAGTTCCAATAAATGTTTATTAAATGAACAAATGAGAAAATGTATGAGTGGTGTTCCCTGTAAGTACCCACACCAAAACACATCTTTGGGTGTCCAATCCTTTTACTCTATTGCACATATGCGAACTTCAAAATACATCAGAGTTCAGCAGTTGTGGGAGGAGCTGACCAAGACTACTACTGATAAAAACTGGGGTTTCAGGGGACTAGGGAAGAGGGATGGAAGAACAGCTGCTGCCTGTTTCCTTCAAATAAATTAAGAATGCTCTTAATCAACATATTGCAAAGGAAGAAACATCATACAGCAAAAAGTTGTTCTCGAATGACAAAAATAAAGTCAGGAGCTCTGCATTAGAGTCCTGGCTCCCCTTCCACTGCTTACATGGCTGGGGAGTTACAGCAGTTCCCTGGGCTACAAATTCTTTTAACAGTAAAAATAAAGGTTGAGGGGAATATTGTTGGACCATGGCCTCCAACTGAGATTCCTTCTGCTTCCAAAATCCTAGAAGGGTGCCTATGCTACAATCTTCACCATTAATAATGTATACTAGAATGCAGCTTCTCAAAGGTGGGCATGCGCAGGAATGGCCTGGAGGGCCAGAAAGAGCCCTGAGCCCTACTCCAAAGATTCTAAACAGGGAAGGGGCAACAAATTTGCATTTCTAATAAGCTGCCTGCGGGCAGACCACACTTGAATGCAAAGGGACTCAGGGTTTTGGCTTGAGTCCTAATAAAGGCTTTGACAGGCAAGCTCTGAAGTTAGCTAAAAATGCTCCCCAGCGACCCTCAGGGGCTCTAAAAAGAACCACCTCTTAACTTCCAGGCAATCTTCAGAGAACTGGACTAGTGGACAGACCCAACCCACAACTGGAAGTCATGCATGTACAGACCTGCCTAATGACCATGGTCTCCAAAGGAGACCAAACTGGGGACAGGACGGGGGAGGTGTGAGTGAGCTGGACTCAGCAGAGGTGATTCAGGTGTTGCAAAGGAGGCTGAGCTGATTATCAGCAGCCTCATGCTCCCACTTGGGAGTGCCTGTGTCCTCTGGGGTATTAAGAAAAAAAATGTGACTAGTGAGTGGACCCACAGCTTTGCTGCAGAAGCTGGTGCTGAAAAAGCTGCTTGCACGAAGTGTTTCTGCTGGAAAGAGATGTTGCAGACTGGTCCAGAGTCTCAACAGCAGCAACAACCCAGGGACCACACAGTGTAGGGAGGGAAGGCTGGCTGCCTGGGGCAGGCAGGAGGGCTGCAGCACTCGAAGCCCGTAATTGTGTCCCCATTACCCCCTGGGGGGGACATCTGCAAATGAGGAAAGGTACCAGAAAAAAGGATGGAGATTTTGGGTAAATATGACAGTGGAAATTATATTCATGGGCAGGTAAGGAAGAGGCACATGAGAGTAACAACTAGTGTGAAGTTAAAAAGGACAAAAAGATGAACGTGATATGAATGAAATCTGAGCTTTATCTTAGGAGCACAACAAACTTACTGCGTAGCCCACAAAACAGGGACCCCTCCTACTCTGCAGGGAAGTTCCCTATCAATCAGGGCATACCCTGCACATTCTGTGACCCAAAACGAATATGGCACACGAGTTTCTAGCTTGTGTCTCTTCCTTTCAAGAACATCATCCTTGGTGATGCTGAAAAGCCATGGTCTTGGCACTGTGGTCACACAATGCTAATGCTTGATCTTGAACCATCTCATTTAGGAAAAATTTCACCATGAACTGAAGCATTACACTCAAACATGCTGAAAGACGAGGGGAAAAATTTCATTCTCTCTTTAAATTTGATTCATTTCAATATTAAATGGATCCCGATTTTTAAACTACATCTCTCAATTTAATGCTTTTATATCATTATTTCCTTATTATTAACATGTAAAAAACACTCAGATGTTAAGGTGCATCACTTTTAGGTATGTAAGCCTTAAAATTTTGGATTAAACATTGTTTCTACTTAAAAAGTACCTTGAAAATTATACAAATAAAGTCACATAGTATGTACTATAGAGGAAGGCTGATACAATCCTTTCTTGTTATACATAAATATCTAAAAATGTGGTTCCAATTTCTTTTTTTTTTTCTAAACCATGCTCATTTTCTTTCAAATTACTTCCAAAAACGAAGGTCTCTCTGATGTTAATCGTGTGTATACTTCAGCTTACACTTTAAAGAGTCTTCCTCTCCCGGGAAGTGACTTTTGTATATAAATCATGGAAAGCTACTTAGACAAAGTGCTGGAGATGATTAAAAAGAGCCAGATTCAAATTTATACCTAAAAAAAAAAAAAAAAAAAAAAAAAAAAAAAAAAAAAAAAGCAGAAGCAGATGTCAACTGACTCATTTGTGTATATTTTGGAAATGTGCTGAAGATATGCATGTGCATTTCATCAGGACATTTAAGGAATCCTAAACTTTTTACTGTGGTTGTGTATCAGTGACAACTTTAGAAATTAAAAAACTTTAAAACTTACACTGTGGTGTTTTATGCTGGATACTCCTGGTTCTTACTACAATTTGATCTAACCAAAACACTTTTTAATCTGACCAAAAAGGTATTTGCTCATTTAGAAACAACACTCAGAAATTTTATTTTCTTCAGACAGTCTCTGTTGCCCAGGCTGGAGTACAGTGGCATGATCATAGCTCACTGCAGCCTCGAACTCCTGAACTCAAGCAATCCTCCTGCCTCAGCCTCTCAAAATGCTGGAATTGCAGGCATGAGCCACTGTGTCTGGCCAAAATTTTTAGAATTTAAGGCATATAATATATATCTTATCCAGAATTACTAAAGAAGGAATTAAAGTAGATTTTATTTTTTCATTTACTATTTGAACAATAAAAACTTCAACTCCTCCAAAAAGCCTTTTCTTCTTCTTTTTTATAATACTAGACAGAAAAAACATTTGCAAATTCTCTCTGATCTACCAAACCTTTATGGAAGAGCTTATGCCACGCCATGCATCCAGCATCTTGCTAGGTCCTGGAAACAGAAATGATGAGTACAGTACAATCCTGACCGCCAAGAGGCATCTAGCTTACTGAGGAAGACTTTTAGAAGTGATGCCTGGGTTTAAAACAAGGGGCTCTGAGGATGGAGAGGGCGTGAGGTGTGTCCTGCTGGAGCATGGTGTACTCTGTGACCACTGGGATGACCAGCAGAAGGACGCTTCCCTCTTAAAGGATATAACAACTTAATAACACTTCACTACAATGTCACTTTCTCTTGAAACAGGAAATCCGTTTCCTATGGTAGGTACATTCTGAAGGGACAAAAGATACTAAGTGAGGACATTATGCAGAAATCCCAGACTACTTGGCTTCTTTCATCAGGAAGTGATGTAGCTTCTAGAAAATTACAGAGAACAGTGGCTAAAGCAATAGTCATATACAGACTTCCCACAAGTCATCAACAAAAAGTCTTAATGACCCATATATTTAAATACATATGATTTTTGTAGCAAACTACTCTGTGACCCTAGGTCACACTGACAGATTTTTAAAACAAATCCTTGTTCCTAGAGTTATTGTGATGATGTCACCCTCCAATTATGTAAACATGTCAAAGCATCCACTCAAGTATTCAGTTATGCCATGAGTCAAATCCCATCTCTTCTCTGCATGGTGAAGTATAGTTCATAAACACTACCAAAGACAGCAAATCTACAAGAGTGGTATACAAGCCACCTGACAACCTAGCTGAGAGAGTTAAATCTTAAGAGTAATCAACAATCACTCTGAATTAAAATATTTGGGGCTGCATTTGTATTACATTCACCTGCAGTGACAGAAAGCCCCCACCAGGTGGAGTTTCAAATTCTTGGTTTCTTGCACTCCCAACTATTTCATGTTTGTCCTGACTCTGAGGACTTCACTCAAATTTAATAATGCAGCTGTTTTCTTTCTTTTTAAAAGCAAGTAATATGAAAGAAACTCAACCATTTAACTTTTTTTTTAATTAGCTCACTCAAGAAAAACCAGAAGTCATTAAATACAGAATGAAAAATCACTGATTAAATCAGACTGAGACAAAAATCTCCAGGAGTCAAGGTGCCACAAGTACAAACTTTGAGGATCACTATACCTTCAGAAGGTCTTCCTAATTTTCTTTTTCCAAATCACCACCAACACATTCATTTAAGGGAGAAAAGGTCAAATCATGAAATTTTAAATTGGGTAAGACTATAGACAGTGATTTACCTGACTTCTGGATATTCACAACTGCATAGGTAACCAGATTCTACATGTGAGGTGTTACCACTAAACACAGGCGCATTAGAGGAACATGAATTCCCAGTAGTCACACGATCTCCCATTCAGAAGGTGCTGCCCTTTGGTCATAAAAATAGTGTTGAGAAAAACGCAGGTTCTAGCTACAGCCTCCTAGTACAGGCCCAGACATGATGGTGGTCTTGTGAAAGGGGATCATTCCCTGTTTACAAAGCAAGAGAGTCAGGCTCCCAGCTGAGCTGCAGGGTAAGAGCTGGGGCTGACTGAAGGGGTAGGATCTGGATCTGGCCATTCAACCATCCAACCTGAGCCTCCACAAGCTGTCCTCTGGTCCCCGGAACAAGACAGACTCAGCAAATCTAGGAAGGAGATTCTGCTCCAATATCCCCACCCACCCCACCTCCCCAGGTCTAACAGGCGACCCAATCCATGGGGTGCAGCCCCACCCCCACTCAATCCCACACCCACTTACTGGCCTATTCATAGTTACTAAGCTCTCGATTCTAGTGTCACTCCAATCCTTAAAGAGCAAGTTTTAGGCACTAAACATTGACTGCTGGTATGGCAGATGCATCCTAAAGTAAACCCCTCCCTGCCATAAGTCACCCTCATGTAATTCCCTCCCGTTAAGTGCAAGCAGAACCGCTAACCTGCTTCTAAGCCACAGACTGTGGCAAAGGTAATGGGAGGCCATTCCCTTAATTAATCAAACTAATCAGGTCACATTACCCAGCCACTAAATATGTAGTGATCTCTTATGCAGCAACAGAAACCATACAGTTGGTGAGAGGAGTTTATCCCCTGATCCACTGCACACATCTCTGTCAGACCTCAACTCTTCCATCCCATTCCTGTCCTAAGGGAAATCACTATTAATGGCATCTTATGCATTCTTCTTGATAGTCCATACATAACTAAGCAAACTATTTTTCTCCCTTTTAATATAACAAATGGAAGCATATTATACATACTTCTTTGTCTTTCTCCCTCCAGGTTGTCTTGAAAAGGATTCTCCATCAGTACAAATAGAGCTCACTCCCTTTTAATGATTGCACTGAACTCCATCACATGAGTGTGCCACAATGATTTTAATCAGTTCCCGATTGATAAAGAAACACTTAGACTTCTGATCCTAGGTTTATACACCTGTCACTTTACAGTGGGTAGAGTTAATTCCTAGAAGCAGAATTTTGCTGGGTCAACAGGCTATGTACACTTGTAATTCTGCTAGACTAGCAACAGTTCCACTAATTTACATTCCCACAGACAATGTATGGGAGTGCCTGCTTCCTCATCCCTTGCCAACCCAGGTGTTATCAAAAGGACATCAAATTGATTTTGTATTCCAGTACAAACTCTTGGCTCATAGTGTTTAGTTTCATCATTATTCTCAAGCTCATCAGGTTCATCTGACCGATATTTATGAAGGGCCTACTCTGTAAAAAGGGAACAGGTTGCTAAACAAAGAGAACAAAACACACCAATGAAATGAGCAAAAGCTTCTGAAATTCAGCAGAGAGGAAGACTGATTTCAACTTGAAAGAAATCTCCCTGGAGGAGGCAAGCTCCGACCTACCTAGATCCTGAAGGACATGTCAACTTTGGACAGAGAAAGGAGTCCCAGAAAGGAGGTGAGAACAAGTAGTGTGTTGGAACAGGAAAGCATAGGGTATGGTCCGTGGCACAGCAGTGTGAGGAGAGGAAGAGAATGCTCAAGTGGCAGCTCGAAGAGTGACTGCCCTGGCAAGGCCTGAGCTAGGGAAGAATCAGTCAGTGATCTGAGAATTGGGATTTCCACTTTAGGCATTAGCTAAGTGATCATGAGAAATACTAGCTTACCTGGGCCTCAGGAGGTTAGCCCTGAAACCAAAATTTCTGTAGCTGCAGAACTGTGTGTTCAAAGTAAATCTTACAGTCAAGACTAACGACAAGCAAGCACAACTGCGCTGGGAGAGGGAACAGGAAGGAACTCAGCCCCTTATTCTAGTTGCTCCATCCTGATAACCTGAGGGAGGAGGGGGCAAGAAACTCTTAGGATTATGTGAAGCACAGTCTAAATGCAAGGAGGCCTAGGTAGCTAAGGTTCCCTTCAGCTCGAAAAACTACTCCAATTCAATGTCAGATGGTACACCTGTACCTTCATTTCTATTCTGCTTGCCTATGATTCATTTATTAACAGGAATTCACTGAGTACCCACTACATTTCAGACAGTGTTATAGGATCTGGGGAGACATGGGCTAAGGTTGCAAAGACTCTTCCCTCTCAGGTTTAATTTCTACTTGGAAGGGAGAGAGAAAAATGAAGAAATAAACGTATAATGTGTCAGAGCAACGAGTGTAAGAGGAAAAAGTGTAATGACTGTTCCACTCATCAAAACTCTACACATCCTCATGTCAGGAGTCTTTCCTTCAGCCTTTTCAGCTTTGCATTCTTACAGATCATCTGTTCTCTTCTCTGAAATCCTACAGCACTTTGGACCACGCTGTAAGCCTCTGCCACTTGTTAACTACTTCATTGTACTGGGCTTCTCTTGCTAAGACTGTAAGTCTCTTGTAGGTGCTATACAAATCCTCGACAGCTACCACAGTGCTGCATGCACAGCACTGGTACACACTGCACAGGCATTCAGTACTATTGACTGCTATGACATTACCGTTTTAGAATAGCAAAGGTGTTGTGCCTTTTCTCTACACTGTAGACTAGAATATTCGAGTGACAAAATTACCTAAAAGGGCAGAATGAAATGAACTAATTAACTTAACAGAAAACCAAATTGGATCTGGTAAGAAGTAGTGACCTTCAGGTGGTCCAGGTGTTTGGGACAGAAGCTAATCCTAAAACACTAACTAGTCAAGGCCCAAACAATGGGGCGGAAATTAAAGGGTTAGAGTGTAGGGGCAGCTGTCAATGCCTGTGAAAGTGGACAGACAAGGATGTGCAGAAGAAAAGAGCAGACCCAGGGTCCCTGCACCACTAGATTTCACAGTCACCTCCTCCCTGAAATGGGGGTCTGGTCCTAGCTCTCCTGCCACCACCCATACCTGCCTTCAACACCGCCCACCCCCACACCCTCCATCCCAACCCTGGAAGCTCAATGCTCTGCTCCAGGCTTAAAAACTGTCAAGGGCAACTTTGCCACCAAAAAGTTCTTCTCTTTCTTTTTGTAACAGAGAAATATGCATACTGGAATTATTTTTTTTTTTTACATCAAAAGGTCTGATAATCCTTACGTAACAGTTCTTTAATTATCCCCCAAGACAGCACATTAGACGAAAAGCTCCTGTGACACAAAGGTCTACAGCAGCACTAGTCACAACAGCCAAGAGGTAGAAAAAACCCAAATGTCCATCAACAGATGAACGTATGAAGCTGGGCGCGGTGGCTCATGCCTGTAATCCCAGCACTTTGGGAGGCTGAAGCAGGAGGATCACAAGGTCAGGAGATCGAGACCATCCTGGCTAACATGGCGAAACCCTGTCTCTACTAAAAATACAAAAAATTAGCTGGGCATGGTGGTGGGCACCTGTAGTCCCAGCTACTCGGGAGGCTGAGGCAGGAGAATGGTGTGAACCCCGGAGGCGGAGCTTGCAGTGAGCCGAGATCGCGCCACTGCACTCCAGCCTGGGCGACAGAGCGAGACTCTGTCTCAAAAACAAAACAAAACAAAAAACAGATGAATGCATGAACAAAATGTGGTCTATCCATACACTGGAATATTATTCAGCCATAGAAAGGAATGAAGTACTGACACACACTACGAAGATGAATCTTGTAAATCAATGCGAAGTATAAGAAAGAAGCCAGCCACAGGAGGCTGTGCGTTGCGTGATTCTATTTATATGAAATATCCAGAATAGGCAAATCCCAAAAGACAGAAAACAGGTTAGCAGTTGCCAGAGGTTAGGGGGAAGGAGAATCAGGGAACGACTGTTCATGAGTACAGGGTGTCCTCTTGGGGTGATGAAAACGTTTTGCAGCTAAACAGTGGTGATGGTTGCAGGACCCTGTTAATGTACCAAATGCCACTGAATTATACATTTAAAAATGGCTAAAAGGGTAAAATTTAGATTATGTGTATTTTATCCCAATAAAAAATAGTTCCTGCAAATTCAATAAACTTTAAAATAAATTTATATCTTACTAATCTCTAAAACGTAATGGGAAATTAGGAGCTATGAACATCAAAAAGCCACATATACGCAGGTTGTGTTTAGTCCCCAGACAATGCTTGGTGTGAACACAGACTCTTGGAACTCTTGTACAACTGGAGCTAATAATAATGATAATTACAGCTAGCATTTACTGAACTACACACTGGCTGTATGATAAGATCTGGCTCTGTGTTACCACCCAAATCTCATCTCAAATTGTAATTAACACATGTCAAGGGAGGGACCTGTGATCCCCATGTGTCAAGGAAGGGAGGTGACTGGACCATGGGGGCAGCTTCCCCCATGTTGTTCTGGTGACGGTGAGTGAGTTCTCACAAGATCTGTTTAGGAGTTCCTCCTTCCTCCTCCTCTCTCTCCTGCCGCCATGTAAAACGTGCCTGATTCCCCTTCCACCATGACTGTAAGTTTCCCAAGGCCTCCCCAGCCATGCAGAACTGTGAGTGAATTAAACCTCTTTCCATTATAAATTACCCAGTCATGGGTAGTATCTTTACAGCAGTATGAAACAGACTAATATACTCTTAAGTGCTCACATTTAATCTTATAATTACTCTCATTTTACACAAGATAATACAGGCAAAGAGAGGCTAACCAACTTGTCCAAGATTAAATAGCCAGTAGGTGGCAGAGCCTCAGAATGGAAATCTGAAGCCCACCTAGTTTTAGAATGTATGTTTTTAGTCAAAGCTCCATACCTCACAACACAGATCCTCCTCACTTGGGCTCAATCCAGTCTTTTTCACTAGCTATCCACCCCAAACATCACCATTTTCACACAGAGAACTACCTACTCAGCCTTTGCATGTGCAGTGCCTTCCACCTGGAGCACCTATCTCAAGTGCTGCTGTCATGCATCCAGTGCCTCCTCTCCTCTCTGAAGTCTGTGCTGAGGTGGAGGTGATGGGAACCAGGGCCTCCACGGTTCTTGTGCAATCTGCCCTTACTCTGCTCTTTCCACCAGCATTCATGCCTGTAAACACTGCCCATTTTCGCCTGAGGACAGGAACAAAGAATTTTTATGCCTCCAGCAAAACCAAAGGTATCTTGTACTCTGCTGGTGAACAACGTAGACTGCAAACCTATGGACCATAAGTCTGAGTCAGTCGAGCCATTTTGTTTGGTCATTATAGCATTTTCAAACACCAACAACATAATGGGAATGCCTTCCCCAGGGCACCCGATCCTGGTGTGGCATACTGCTGCTTGGTATTTTAGTGATGGGCAGCTCCAGGCTTGTAAGCTGTCCTGACCTAGTCATTAACTAACTCACTCATTACTCCCAATTACTTCTCTTCCCATCATTCTTTCACATATAGTAAATCTTAGCTGTAAACAATACCAAGAGAAATAAAAGGGCATAACAGATATATCATTTCATTTCTACAGATTGAAAAACTCCCTATATAATGTCAAAGGTGGAAATATCCCTAAAATTGAAACAACTTCGAATCACAGCAAAACTAAAATTTAAGAACTTCTAGAACAAAAGTCCCTTATCAGTGCTCACACTTCTAAGCAGGAAGGGGGCCCTAGCAGAGTTGGCCCAGCCTGGCACTGGGTCACTGCTGGCAGTCTCAACCCCAGTGACATCTGAGAAAAGGTCGGGGACCTTTGTTCAGGCAAGTTTACCTTTAAATTTCAACAGCAAAACCAGACATTTAGCGTTTGACTTATTTCTGTTTCACTTACAACACTGCTCAAGTTCAGGGAATAAGCACCAAAAATAGAAATGGAAAGGGACGCCTACTGAACATACCGTGCTTGACCACGACAAAACAAAGGGTACCACTCTTATTCCAAAGCTTTAGCTCTCTAGATTAGAGGAAGAGGACCAGTGCTTGTATTTACACATGCTGTGTAAAACCAAAGCAGCACTTAGCACACTATAAAGTAAGAACCACATTAATATTCATAAACTTTGGCAAGATGAGACAGGGGTCTGTTTTTTCCTTTTTTTTTTTTTTTGAGACGGAGTCTCGCTCTGTTGTCCAGGCTGGAGTGCAGTGGCGCGATCTCGGCTCACTGCAAGCTCCGCCTCCCGGGCTCATGCCACTCTCCTGCCTCAGCCTCCCGAGTAGCTGGGACTATAGGCGCCCACCACCATACCGGCTAATTTTTTGTATTTTTAGTAGAGAAGGGGTTTCACCATGTTAGCCAGGATGGTCTCGATCTCCTGACCTCGTGATCTTCCTGCCTCAGCCTCCCAAAGTGCTGGGATTACAGGCTTGAGCCACCATGTCTAGCCTTTTTTTTTTTTTTTTTTTTTTTTTGAGCTAGGATCTCGCTCTGTCACCCTGGCTGGGGTGCAGTGGTACGATCACGGCTCACTGCAACCTCAAATTTCTGGACTCAAGTAATCCTCCTGTCTAAGCCTCCTCATGTAGCTGGAATTACAGGCACATGCCACCATGCCCAGCTAATCGTTTTTTTCTTTTTAGAGACAGGATCTCACTATGTTGTCCAGGCTGGTCTCAAGCTCCTGTGCTCAAGCAATCCTCCCTCCTTGGCCTTCCAAAGTGTTGGGATTACAAGTGGAAGCCACTGTGTCCAGCCTAAGATTATTCTATTATGCTTACATATATAATCTTTATCTTGAGTCTTAATCTGGCATGAGGAATAAGCATCTTTACTTGTGAAAAAGAAATTTTTTTATTAAGTCAAAAGCCAGGAGTAGAAATATTTACATCTTAATAGGATTCAAAATAGAAAGCTAAACAACTATTAAATTAAAATACTCTACACCTACTTCTGGAATCTAAAAGAACATTTTTAAAAAGATACTCTACACCAACCATTTTCCACAAATAACAACTGTAGCTGAGTTACTAAATACTTGTATGCAAATTAAATTTTTGCTTTCTTAATCACATTTGAAAAGTAAAAGGGACCTAGCTGGAGGGAGAATTATTTTGTAAACAATGTGTTTTTTGTTTTTCAATGAAAACAACCTACATTTCCCAGGTATACTGGGATTTCTTAAAGGGATCACTTGCACAAAGCCAAAATCTACACAGAAAACAAATCGCCTTCTCTCTTACTCTGGTCTCTTTGCTGCACAGACGTACTAGACTTCACTCCAAGCTCACTTCGGCATAGAAATGTAGGCCATACAAGAAAGAAAGGAAATAATTTTTTTAACTTAATCCCAAATGTGATAGTAGAAAATAATTTTTAACTGTAAAAGGGAACAGATTAAATGTCATTGAGTAATACTTACTGCTGGTTCAACTTGACTTCTATCTGCAATATCTATATGGACAATTTCAACAGTTTTCCATGTGTTTGGATCTAAACCATGTACCTACCAATGACAAAGAGAAAAGAAACAAAACAAACTGTAGATTATTCTATTATGCTTACACATATAATCTTTATCTTGAGTCTCTCAGGGGACATTATAGGGAATTAAAAGACCCAAATTATTATTTCATTATATTAGCTGTCTGACATTTTGCAGGATCTAAAAGTCTTTTATTACCACTTATAACCCCAAATAATAAGGAAGGAGAGAATGAGGATGCTGCCAAATGAATAGAAACCTGTCAATATTATCTTCTGACAGTCCTCACAGATGATTTATGTAACTAAATATACGAGACCTATGCTTAATCCAAATGATACACAACAAAGTACTTGTAACCTTTGTAACCAACAAAGTCCTATACAAACATAAGGTGACATTACAAGTAGAATTCAAATGATGCACTGTATGGTCTAAAATCTCTCCAAAATTTGATTATCCTAAAGCTATTCAGTTTCAGTATGATGCCAACTCCTCTCTACTGCATGTTGATCAATCATTTATTTCTGAAATGCCATCTGTGAACTAATTAGGAATTGTTTGAAAACTGCCAAAGATATGCCCATTTAAAAGCTGAAAATATCAGATTAAGTCATACAGATTAATGCACACCAAATAATCTTATCTAGATTATAAATTATAGAGGATTACTAAGAAAAACAACATAAAGGCTGGGTGCAGTGGCTCACACCTGTAATCCTAGCACTTTGGGAGGCTGAGGCAGGCAGATTACCTGAGGTCAGGAGTTCAAGACCAGCCTGGCCAACATGGTGAAACTCCATCTCTACTGAAAATACAAAAGTTAGCCAGGCATGGTGGTGCATGCCTGCAGTCCCAGCTACTTGGGAGGCTGAGGCAGGAGAATTGCTTGAACCCAGGAGGCAGAGGTTGCACTGAGCAGACAGCACGTGATTGCACCCCAGCCTGGGCAACAAAGTAAGACTCTGTCTCAAAAAAAAAAACAAAAAGAAAAACAACATAAAATGTCAAATGATCACTTGAAAGAAAACTCAAGTAAAATACTACATATTAAAATTCAAAGTTCTATTAACTGGCATCAATAACGTAAGAGCACCGTAATAGAACAGTAAAAACAGAATTTGCCACAATCATTAACCTACTCTCCTGGAATGAATGTGCATCAGAAAACAGAAACTGCTGAGTCCCACCCCTAGAGATTCTGGTTCGGTAGTTCTTGGGTGAGGTCAGAGTATTTGCATTTCAAACAAGTCCTCAGATACTGTGCTGCTGCTGGCCCATCCAAAGACCACACTTTTGAGAACTCCTAGACCAAGGGCATCAACCTATACAACAGGACTTCCCAAGTTCCACGACAAACCTTACCAAAAGTTAATGATTACATTTTTTTAAGTCCTAACTCAAAGATGTTCTTGAATCTTAAAGAGATAAATGTGAACCAACTTATATAAGTCAACAGCTTTTCAACATTTTTGTAAGTTATTCAAGTACTTTATCCCTCCTGCCTTTTGGCCATTTCTCTAACATGAGCCCATACCCTTGCAAAGCAGACAAGAGGTAAAAATTAAAGCAATCAATCCTGCTATGCAGAGCAGCTCTGACAAACACTCAGATATAAAAGCAATCTAATTAGCAAAACTAATGGCTAAAATTGGGCTGGGGATTATCTGTGAATTTTGTTTATTCATGCTCTCCTTGTCTCGGATAAAGAGAGTTGCTGATCAAAACAGCAACTTTACCAAAGTGTCAAGGCAAGCGGACTGATAGGGAAAGCCTATTTGGTTTCTGGCTGCTTGCCCGCCTCATCTCAATTTGACACAGCTTGGTGCGGTCAGATACACAGGTGACATTACTTTGATGATGACAAAGTGAACTACATATAGAATTCTCGTTTCCAGGGACTTTTGTACTAAAAGTGCAGAGTTGAAACTTACATTTTCTAATGTTCCCAAGTCTGGTTTGTGCCATGTTTCGATTTTAATGAAGAAATCATCTTTCATATATTCATTCTGCAGAAAACACAACAGGAAAATGACAGTGATCTTCTACCTGTTCCTTGGTGCCCACGTCTGAGGGAGCTTTTCCCAGTATAGGCATCCATGCTTTGACTCTACAAGGAGACTGATACTCAAGTGACAAAGAATCATTGGCTACCGATTTTTATAGACTTGTCAGGCAAACCAAATGCTACATGCTTTTAAATAATTTAAACAATTCTACTTGCCACGTGGCATATCGGGCTAATAAAGAAGCTGTGAGGTCTGATAAACAAATATGGCGTTTGAAGGGAGTAACAAAAGCAAAATAAAATCAATAGGGAGATTTTGAGACAAGGGTGGAAAGGGCCCATGAACACTGGGAACATGTGGTAGAGTGTGGCGGCTGGTTGGTGGGACACAGGAAGGAACCATGCAGCGAGGTGCAGTTAGCAAAGAATGGTTGAAAATAATTACTGTGTAAAACAAAGTTTAAAGATAAAGAAAGTATGAGACACAAAAATAGTTTTACTCACCGTTACAACTGAGGCATAATGGAGAGGTAGGTAATGAAAGGAGAAAAATTTCAGAATATTAATTGGAGTCAAAACAATCTGTCCCAATACTTAATGTCACAAAGACTAAACTATCTGAAAACAGAACATTTATTTAGTAATTTATGTCTGCAAAACAGTTTCCACACAAGTGACACTATACAGTACATTAGATTATGGAGTACAAATAAAATATGAACAATAATCTAATTTTAAAAATAATGCTAAAAAGAATAATAATGTCACAAAAGCAAAACATTATTTATAAGGTCAATTTAGCAAATGATAGGATGCTGTTTCAGAAGTCTGTCCTATTCCTCCTCTATTATGTAGCAATTTAAGTAAAATACTGTTGAAACACACCAAAACACCCTTCTGAGTGTAAACGACCTTTCTTTTGGCTTACCCCTGGAGCCAGCATAGTCAGCTAGGACCCCAAAGTGGCTGCCATGTGGGAATGAACTTATGCCTGTCACAAAGTTCTAGGGGGAGGAACCCAATGCAGCCCTTCCTCTGCCATCATTCTAGCAGTGACTATCCAAGAACCCAAGGAAGACCTTGCTCAGTGTAAACCTTCTCAAAGACACTGGTACTGGGAATCCCTCTCATTCTCAGGGTGGAGGGGTGCAATGGCTGCTGGGGGCCAAGCTTACTTGTTCTACAGTAGGGGTACGCATTCCAGGCTTTCTCATGAAACACCAAGGAGCCCTCGGGAGCAATCATCCTCACGAATGCAGGCACTTTGCTGGGAGAAGAGAGATACTGGATATATTTAACAGCACCATCAATTCTTTC
Organism: Homo sapiens; assembly: GCF_000001405.40. Classification (NCBI taxonomy): domain Eukaryota; kingdom Metazoa; phylum Chordata; class Mammalia; order Primates; family Hominidae; genus Homo; species Homo sapiens. The sequence continues at coordinate 27,897,943 of NC_000022.11, forward strand.
TTGGTATCTATCCAACTGCTTGAAAGAGTATGGCAATCAAAGGTGACCAGGTTCTAAGTCTGATGAACTAGTTTATTTCAATCCTAAAGTAATCCAGTAGAAATGAACACATAATTTTTTACATTTTAAATAAAAATGATTAAGAATATTTAGCTGGGTATGGTGGCTCATGCCTGTAATCCTAGCATTTTGAGAGGCTGAGGCAGGAGGATCACTTGAGCCCAGGAGTTTGAGACTAGCCTGGACAACATGGTGAAACCCTGTCTCTACAAAAAATATAAAACTAGCCAGGCATGGTGGCACATGCCTGTAGCCCCAACTATTCAGGAGGCTCAGGTGGGAGGATCACTTGAACCTGGGAGATAGAGGTTGCAGCAAGCTGAGATCACACCACTGCACTCTAGCCTGGGCAAAAGAGCAAGACCTTGTCTCACAAGGAAAAAAAAAATTAACTGTATAAAAGGTTTTGTGTGTGTGTGTGTGGTTTTTTTTTTTTTAAATAGAAGCAATTATTTCTTAAGAACTTCTGATCTACTACCCCAATGTAAAACCTAAGAGTTAACAGCTATTCAATCTGCACATTAATACAATGTAGTTCTTAAGAGTTAGATGACATTATACTGTTTCTTAATGCAAAAAGCCCCAGAATAAGGAGATATCTCTGAATAAAAGTCTGAATACATTTTATAGAACAGACCTGAAGAAAAATGACAATGTAAAGGACCCATGCAGAAAATGAGAAATTAAAGCATATCCAAGTATAAAATTTTGTAGGTATGGGAGATGAATGTCACTTGCTGCCTTAAGTATATTCAGAGGAAGAGAAAGGTTCAATACATGATTAATATATGAGAAGCTTGTGCAAGCATATGATAATCAGAAACAATCCCAACATATAAAGGGGCAAAAGTCATCCACAGGCCCATTACAAATAGAAAATGTTATTTGTTAACAAACAAATGGGAAAATCAGTCTTAACAGTCTTCAAATAAATGCAAATGAAGTGACTGATATAGTGACTGGAGCCTACTGTAAAGAGTAGTTTTGCTTGCACAGACTTTTCACACAGATCGAATTCAAATCCCAACATCACCATTTGGAAGCTGTGTGACCTTAGGCCTGCTACTTGGCTTCTCTGAAATTCCTCATGTGTTGAATGGAATTCCTATTACCTGCTCTGCAGGGTTATTAAGAGAATTAAATCAAATACTGGAATGTGTTTAGCACATTGCACAGTACAATGAGCTCAAAAAATGGTAGTTACTGCTTTTTAATTATAAGTTGATACGGAGCTGGGTATTTTCATATGCCTTTCTTCATTTAAATCTTCCTTAATGTCTTCACATCCTTAAAAATGAAAGGAGCTAATTCTTTGTTCACTTATTTCTTTTTTCTTTTTTGAGACGGAGTCTCACTCTGTTGCCCAGGCTGAAGTGCAGTGGCAGGATCTCGGCTCACTGCAAGCTCCACTTTGGGTTCACGCCATTCTCCTGCCTCAGGCTCCCGAATAGCTGGGGGTACAGGCGCCCGCCACTAGGCCCGGCTAATTTTTTTGTATTTTTAGTAGAGACAGGGTTTCACCGTGTTAGCCAGGGTGGTCTTCATCTCCTGACCTCGTGATCCGCCCGCCTTGGCCTCCCAAAGTGCTGGTATTACAGGCGTGAGCCACCGCGCCCGGCCTGATCACTTCTTTTCAAATGGTGGAACAATTCATTCAAACTTCAGAAACACCAAGCCAGGATAACTGAAAATAACATCACTTTAAAAGTCAAAGAGTATCTAGCTGTCCAAAAAATTTATCCCATTGCTAAAGAACTAGAACCAAAATCCCTTTAAGTGTGGGTGAGGTCTAATCAGGGTACAATGGAACACATGAGGATAATTTTTTAAGCCAAGCTACAAGACTACCTATTCATCTGAGAGTATGACAAACAGATCTATCAATGGTTCAGCTGGTCAACTTAGAAAAAGCAGGAGAGGCCAGGCGTGGTGGCTCACGCCTCTAATCCCAGCACTTTGGGAGGCAGAGGTGGGTGGATCACCTGAGGTCAGGAGTTCGAGACCAGCCTGGCCAACATGGCAAAACCCATCTCTACTAAAAATACAAAAAATTAGCCGGGCATGGTGGTGGGTGCCTGCAATCCCAGCTACTCGGGACACTGAGGCTGAATTGCTTGAACCTGGGAGGTGGAGGGTGCAGTGAGCTGAGATCATGCCATTTCACTCCAGCATGGGTGACATAGCAAGACTCTGTCTTTAAAATAAAAAATAAAAAAAAAAAAAGAAAGAAAAAACAAAAAGGCAGGAGAAACAATTCTGTATTAACTCAGACACATATTTTAACTATCCATTTATTCCTATAGTGCCTGATATGTGAAGAACCTTAATATTCATAAAATGTTCTAAAATTTGCTGACTCAAATAGAAGGAAATTGGCATTTATCATTAAAGGCCAACATGAGCCAAATCTACATGAAAATTTTAATATTTCTTTATCTCGCTCCCAAATGCCTACTATCTTATTTCTAAGATACTTTTCCCACCATGTGAATTCCAGCAATTCATTTTATGTTTTGACTGAGTTAATAAAGTCCAAATCTATAAGCTAGATTTCAAATTTACTTTTTTTTTATGTTTAACGTGAGAACATTATCAAATACATCTCTCCTCAATGAATCTAAGTAACTGACTAAACGAGGAAAATGTGCACATGGAGTAAATAAAATTAAATTTCAATTCTACTTCAAAGGTTAGAAATTTTTATTAATGGCAACCTTAATATATTCCTAACATGGTAGTTCAAGTGTGCCAGGTATATATAATTGAGAGCATATACATCATTTTGCCACCACAGTTACCACTTAGCAAGGCACTTTAGTAAAATGCAGCAGATTCCTCATTTGGAAGCTTAGCCTCCGAAAAGAACAATTATTAACTGAATGAACAATAGTAAGGCCCTTTAGTAAAATGTAGCAGATTCCTGTTTTGGAAGCTTAGAGAGCCTCAGAAAAGGAACAATTATTAACTGAATTAACAAAATGGGAGATAGGCCTTCAAAAACAAACATGCAAAAAAGACAATCCTTCAGTTGTCCTCCCAAACTATTCACAAAATGGTGCTCCCTCATGATAAACCAATACTCGGAACAGCGTTCACTTACCTCAAGGTAAACATGGCTAGATTTCAGCTGCTTAAGAGTGAAGAGTTAAGAGTTACCCATAGCACAATGCCCAGGACCATGAAGACTCTTCAGGAATACATACCGCTTCTCCCACTCTGAATAGTACTTTAAGACTATTTAACTTCAGGGTAAAATATGACCATAAGGTACACTGAACGCCTGATCTAGGCACATTCCTTTTTTAATCCTATTCCTGAGATAAATAATACCATGCACTTTTCCCTGGAAATTATTATGTCTATCTGTAAACCACACAAGCAAGACAACTTTTCCCACCCTTCTCCTTCCCACTGCAGATGAACATCAAAACACAGAAAAATATAGGGAAGAATTTGAAGACCAGATTAATTTACCATAAATAAACCAATTAATCTTTCATTTTACAATCAACTGAAATATCCCCTAAATACACTGTGATGCCTTCTCTTCACTAGTCAGGAAAAGCTCAGCTGAGAAGGCAAGAAAAGAAAAGAAAGGGCCAGGTGCGGTGGCTCACACCTGTAATCCAAGCACTTTGCCAGAGGTCAAGGTGGGAGGATCACCTGAGGTTGGGAGTTCGAGACCAGCCTGGCCAACATGATGAAACCCTGTGTCTACTAAAAACACAAAAATTAGCTGGACATGGTGGCGGGTGCCTACAATCCCAGCCACTTGGGAGGCTGAGGCAGGAGAGTCGCTTGACTCAGGGAGGTGGACGCTGCAGTGAGCCAAGATCACACCACTGTACTTCAGCCTGGGGACACAGTGAGACTGTGTCTCAAAAATAATAATAATAAATATATATATACCTACATACATAAAATACTGGGTACCTCATTCATTCATCCACTCAAATATTTCCTGTGTCCACTGCGCCAGGCCAGGGGCTGTGTAAATAATGGTGAGTACGCAGGGACGACTCCTACTCAGAACTTATTTCCAGGGATGGAGGCAGAAAACAGATTAGTAAACAACAAAATACAAAGAGAATTACTTAACAAGCAGTGCAGTGAAATTAAAGAACAGGGTACTGGGCAATCAGTAAGTGGAGCAAGGGTATTCGGGAAGGCCTCTCTGAGGAAATAATATTACAGCAGTGATCCAAGGGTACGGAGGCAGGGAACAGAACAGCAAGCAGAGGGAACAGCATGACTACAGGTCCTAAGACAGCAAAAGACTTAACGTGCTTGAGCCACTCTTAGGCCTCCAGCATGGCTAGACTGCAGTGACCAAACATGGAGAGAGGGCAGAAAGACCACATGGGCCCCACCTTATACGTCACAGAGTTTAGATTTTATTCTTTGGATGATGGGAAGCCACTGAAAGCTTTAAAAAGGGGAATGGCACAACCTGATTTCAGTTTTACGACCATTCTGGCTTTGTGTGAAAAATTAATTGGAGTGGGAAAGAATGGATGCAATTATTGAGTTAATTGCAAAAATTAACTCAAAATGGATAAAGACTTAAATAAAAACTAAAACTATAAAATTCTTATAAGAAAATACAGATGTAAATCTTTATGATCTTGGATTGGGCAATGATTTCTTTGATGACACCAAAAGCATAAACTACAAAAAGAAAAAATAAATTGGACTTCATCAAAATCATAAACTATTTTTTTCTTTGGTTTTTTAAGAGACAGGGTCTTGCTGTGTCACTAGGCTGGAGAACAGTGGTGTAATCATAGATCACTGCCACCTCTAACTTCTGGGCTCAAGCGATTCTCCCACCTCGTCTCCTGAGTAGCTATGACAAACAGGTACGCTGTACTGTGACTGGGCTAATTTTTAAATTTTTTTGTAAAGATGGGGTCGCAGTATGTTTTGCTATATTGCCCGGGCTGGTCTTGAAATCCTGGCCTCAAGCAATCCTCCCACCTCAGCCTCTTAGGTAGCTGGGACTATAGGCAAACACCAAAATTAAAAACTTTTTAAGCTTCAAAAGACACTATCAAGAAAGTGAAAAGATAACTCACAGAATGGGGGAAAAATCTGCAAATCACCTCTATGATAAGGAACTAGTACCCGGAATATATAAATAAGACAACTTAACAAAGAAAACTCAATTTCAAAATGGGCAGCCAGAGGCCAGGCATGGTGGCTCAGGCCTATAATCCCAGCACTTTAGGAGGCCGAGGAGGGTAGATCACCTGAGGTCAGGAGTTCGAGACCAGCCTGACCAACATGGAGAAACCCCGTCTCTACTAAAAATACAAAATTAGCCAGGCGTGGTGGTGCATGCCTGTAATACCAGCTACTCGGGAGGTTGAGGCAGGAGAAGCTCTTGAACCCGGAAGGCGGAGGTTGTGGTGAGCCGAGATCACGCCATTGCACTCTAGCCTGGGCAACAAGAGTGAAACTGTCTCAAAAAAAAAAAAAAAAAAGAATGGGCAGCCAAGGCCAGTGGCTCACACCTGTAATCCCAGTACTTTGGGAGGCTGAAGCAGGAGGATAGCTTAAGCACCAGGAGTTGGAGACCAGCCTGGGCAATACAGGGAGACCCCCCACCTCTACAAAAAAAAAAATTAGCAGAGCACAGTGGTGCACACCTATGGTCCCAGCTACTCGAGAGGCTGAGGTGGGGGGATTGCTTGAGCCCAGGAGTTCAAGGCTACAGTGAGCTATCATCAAGCAACTGCAGTCCAGCCTAGATGACATAGTGAGACCCTGTCTCCCAAAAAAAAAAAAAAAAAAAACTAAAAAGAAAGTGGGGGTACAAGATTTGAACAGATATTTCTTCAAACAAAGAAGATATACAAATGACCAAAAAGCACTTGAAAAGATGTTAACATCATTAATCACCAAGAAAATGCAAATCAAAACCAAAACCACAATGAGATACCACTTCACACACACTAGAATGCTTGTAATAAAAAAGATAATGAGGATGTGGAGAAACTGGAACCTTCATACACTGCTGATAACATTATAAAGTGGTGTAGTTGTTTCGGGAAGCTGATTGACAGTTCCTCAAAAGGTTAAACACAGAGTGATCATATGACCCAGCCAATTTCACTCACAGCAATATATATCTCCAAGAGAACTGAAAACATGTTCACACACACACAAAAAAGTATGCACAAATGTTAACAGCAGCATTACTTGTAACAGCCAAAAGTGAAAACAACCCAAATGTTCAACAACTGATGAATGGATAAACAAAATGTGGCAGGCCTATACAATGGAATATTACTCAGCAATCAAAGCAGTAGTGATACATGCTTTAACACAGACAAGCCTTGAAAACACGCTAAGTGAAAGAAGTCAATCACGGAAGGCCACATATTACATGATTCCATTTATATAAAATATCCACAGTATATCTACAGAGACAGAAAGTAGATCAGTGGTTGCCAGGCACTGGGAGGAGTGGGTAATAGTCAGTGACTGCTAATGAATACGAGATTTCTTTCTGGATTGTTGAAAATGTTCTGAAATTAAGTAACAATGGCAGTTGCCCAACTCTGTGAATATACCAAAAACTACTGAAGTGTGCATTTTAAAAGAATGAATTTTATGGCATATAAATTATATCTCAATTAATTTTAAAGTCAGAAAAAGAATGGATGGCAAAATATCAGCCAGGAGGCAAGTCTAAGAGAGAGAAGGTAACTTTGATTGATTAACAGTAATGATGGAGATGGAAGAAAGAAAGAAAAGAAGATACAAGAGGAGGGAAATTACAGAAATGATTTACAACCCCAGTTTGTGGGAAGGGAATAAAATAACCAGACACAAACTGCCTAACTTCTGGGAGACAAGAGACTCTAAAGTCCTGGAGAATTACAAAAAACAAAGAGAAAAGTATTTTTCACACAATAAAAGGGGAATAATAAATGAAAAATGAGATACACCATCAAGAGGAAACAATATATTTCAGAAAATACTTCTGATATTTTTCAGAAACAGGATCACTCTTGATTTGGAAAACTCTGAACTGTGAAAACTTTAGGACTAAACTACATATAATGACAAATAACATGTGTCTATGATGGCTAATTCTTGACTCAAGAACAAATTATGTTTGGCTGATATTTATAAATTTTTCCTTTACTTTTTTTGTTTGAGACGGAGTCTCACTCTTGTCTCCCAGGCTGGAGTACAATCATTATCTTGGCTCACTGCAACCTCCACCTCCCAGGTTCAAGCAATCCTCCTGCCTCAGCCTCCCAAGTAGCTGGGATTACAGGTGCCTGCCACCACATTCCGCTAAATTTTTTGTATTTTTAGTAGAGACGGGGTTTCACCATGTTGGCCAGGCTGGTTTCGAACTCCTGACTTCAAATAATCCACCCGCCTTGGCCTCCCAAAGTGCTGGGATTCCAGGCAAGCCACCACACCCAGCCTATTAATTTCTTACATGTGCAAGATGCTCTCTGAATGTGAAGAAGTATGTTACAATCAATCCTTTCATTTTCAAGTGATTTAAATTCCTCATTTTTAAACATAATTTAAGTTCCTGGCAAATGACTCCTTTTGCTTACAAAAATGAACTCTTACCTTGGAACCACATGAAATTTTAAAATAACTATTTTTCAATAAAAACCTCTTCTGTTTCGACCTTTGGGAAACAAGGTGGTTCTGGAGTTGGCAAAGCTTTATAAATTCCCCATCAATCAGGACTGACTGAAGATGGCGAAAGTGTAACACTTACGCAGAATAAGAAATAATAAAGCTGACTTTCCTCAAGAAGGGTGAGCAAATAAACTAGCAAAAAGGACTGGTCAGTGTGTTCGTACAGTGAGGTCTCAGGAGAGCTACAAGCTTTTCTCTGAAATACCATCTGAAAGTTACAACACATTTCTTTGTCTTGCTCCAAAATTCTCTGCCCAGTAAATTCCTTCCTCTTTCACTGCCATCTACTACTAAGTTATTATCAAAGAAACAAACTTTAGTGGAAAACAGGATACAACAAGACAAACATGCACATATGGAAATATATGACTAGGTATCAAAATGAGTCGAAATGACAAATATGATGGATTTAGGGAAGAGGGATCGAAGTGAATAAAATCAGCCATGGAATGCCTCTGCATAGGATAGTTCTGAGGTGTACTCAGAAAACCAAGCAGGTTATGAGAGGCCCCAGCATAAGGGGCTGAAAAAAACGCTCAGGGTGGGCTGAACAGTTTATGTTAGGAAGACAGCAGAGACTGGATTGCTTACAGCCAAGGGTTTTTGTTCTGGATGGACTTATACAATTGGGAATCTTAAATACCTTGTTAAGTTTAGCTTTATTTTGGAAGAAGACTTTAGACGTTAAAGACTTCAGAGAAAGTAAGAGATGGTGAAACCTGTGGTTTTGGAAGAATTTTTCTCTAAACTCCCAAGGAGTTAACTTCAGGAAATGGAAAATAACTCTTCCACAGGATTCAGACGTAGAGCAAAGTGGTTAGTTGAGCAAAGTGGTTAAGAGGGCAGGTTCTGGAGTTGGTCTGTGTTCAAGTCCTATCTCTGCTACCAAATAGCAGTGAGACATGTGGTAAGTTAAACCTTTCTGGACCTCAGTTTCCTCACTATAAAAAGTTGCTGTGAGGAATGAATAAACTCCCACCTAAAACACTTCCAATAACCCAGTGACCAGCACACAGTAAAAATACATAAGTACTAGATCTGTTCAGAATTACCATGGGCAAACACTCACTCTAAGTTATCAAACAAAATATGGACAAAATCTCATTATCCCATGAGATGATGTATCACCTGAGATTCAAGGAAACCAGACATTTCAAATGTCCCGTGCAATGAGTAACCAACTTTCAGATTTTGTCAATATTCACAAAGACTGTTTCTCAACCTTCTGGTTGAGATTAAGTGTATATATGCTACCAAGAAGTGTTTTGCTGAAATGGGAAAGCATACAGGTCAGGGAATCCAGAGACTTGAGTTATACTGGCTAAAGTAGATCTCAGAATTTCAAGTATCTCAAAAGTAAAATAAGGCCTTGGTGGCCTTAGTCAAGTTTGTAGTTTTATTGATGTTATATAGTGACGGTGCACCCAGCTTAGGATAATTTATGGAGTAAATGTTGTTGAAAAAGCAAACATATTACTAGACACAAATTTAACTTCCTCAGGGAGAGCTCTAAAACTAGCTAGGGACTATGGGTATGTCTTCAGCATGCTGAGATGATGCCCTAAAGAAAACTGTGAGTCTCATGGGGCTGCACCTTTAGGCTTGCCTTGGGATGGAGGTCTTTCCTGCAGAACAGTGAAGGCCTCAGCACTTACTACTAAATGATTCTTTGCCCTTCCATAATATAGTTATCCTGTGGCTGATGTGCTTTCAATGTTGACACTGAGAAATTTGTCATTGTGGACATCTGACTGCCCCATAGCCATTCCCTCCTCCAGAGGACAGCAAATGGGCCCTGTTTTGCCCAGTTTATTTATTATTGGTTAGGTTTTTGTTCCTCACTACTGTCAGAATAGTCATTATTTCCCATGCTGCCTGAGACTCATTACTGCCACCCTCTTGCCTTTTTCCCTTTCCTGTCTCATTCCTCTCTGTGCTTTTGCCCACAGCTGCCATCTTTGTGTGATAAGGCCAACCTTCTATGGGAATCAACCCTCGCCATCCCAGCAGATCCCCTCTCTCCCTTCTCATGGGAGTGCCTTGTATTCATCAGGCATCTGGGACTTGATGTGGGTGTGGGATTTGAAATCAGAGCACCTAGGTCTCTGTCACCATTCTGTCACTTATTAGCTGTGACCTTGGGTAAATACGTGCCTTAGTGTCTTAGGTACAATATGAATATTGTCTATTTCTCAGGATTGCAATGACAAGTAAATGAGTGCATGAGAGGGTAAAACCACAGGGTACTCCGCTCCTCCTAGGAATGGAGAAGTTGTTCTAGAAGCCCAAATGTGCTGGAAGGTTGGCCACCGAGAGCCAAAATCTTCTTTTATTTAACCACTGAAAGCCTGAGAGGAATTCTGAACCTCATCCCCAAATAACCTCTCCGGAATAAGAATATCTCTTGCACTAACCATATTTATCTAGCCCTCTTCAACTTACGAGACTCCTTATTCATGACTGGAGTGTTACCTAAATCAACTGTTTCAAAAATCATATTTAACATTCCTTTTCTTTCTCATAAAAATGAAAATACAGAAGAGAATATTTATCACCTGGTAGTGGGATATGGGTGATTTAAGTGGGATTTTTTAAATCACCCATATCCCACTACCAGGTGATAAATATTCTCAACATCTTAATGTACCTCTTTTAGGCTTTTTTTTTTTCTGATTTTTTTCAAAACACATGTAATGTATTATGTATTACACATTATTTCAAACTGTTCTTTTCCATGCAAGAATGTATCAAACACTTCCTCAACATTCCAACTCTTAGATTTCAACCAGAGGACATTTTGAATCTATTTCAAATTTATTTACTTATAGGATAGTGATCTAAACAGAACATCAGAGGCCAATAAAAAATTTTATACATCAAACTTTTTGGCTTATTTTAGAACCCCCAGGAAGAGTCCAGTGTCTTTAAGAGGAACTTTTATATGTGGTGGGGTATACTTCAATTAACAGGTAAATGCAAAAATGCTAGAAAAAGAAAGCTGAGTATATATAAGCAAATTCAAAACTTTAAATATATATAGACTATACCATCTGGAATGCCAAAATCTTCTCTCAATAGACATATTTTTCAGATATACTTAGGGTACTAACAAATTAATAGAAACCATGAAAAGACCTTCCTTATGGATAATTGATTGATCAGAGTTACTGCCTTATTTCTTAAGTCAAACCAGCAACAGAAGCAAAGAAATGCTGTATTCTAAGCGAAAATAATGATAAAATTTAAGGTTCTATAAAGAGATAAGATTATGTGTCACTATAAACCAAGGATGAGTAGGTTATGGGTCACTGTAAATCAAGTAGCAGAGTTAAGCTGAGGAAATATAAAAAAAATCTGATCATGACAGCTACAACTTTAAGGAGTTCCACAAAACATGAGTATGATTCATTTCAATATGAAGAGAATAGAGGCAAAAGATCCCCCACCTGTAATTAACTAGGGAGACAATGACAAAATGGACTCTTAAAAGCCATTACTGGTCTTCTGCCCTTAGATAAATACTGGTAGTACTTTTTTTTTTTTTTTTTTTTTTGGCTTGTTTCTTCTTTTTGTGGAGATGAGGTCCCACTATATTGCCCCGACTGGTCTCAAACTCCTGAGCTCAAGCAATACTCCCACCTCAGCCTCCCAAGTTCTGGGATTATAGGCCTGAGCCACCACACTTGGCCAGCATTTTTTGTTTTAAAATATTTATGCCAAAGATACAGATTAGACTGCCAAACTTAAGGGAATGTGCAAAAAAACTTCAACAAACCAAAGAGAAAAGAAACAATGAAGAAAGCATATGAAGAGTCAAAAGTCATACAAGAAATTCAAATGGTCAATTAACATAAAAAGACATTCAACCTCACTAATAAAGAAATACAAATTTTAACAAGAGACTATCTTTTGTCTACGAAATTAGCAAAAATTAAAAAGAAAAATATGGAAAAATACTATCAAACTCTTGAAGGGCAATTTTGGCAGTAATATCAAAATTTAAAAGGTGCATGTCCTCCCAGCAATCCTTTTATTAATTTCTCATTTTATAACTTCTCTTAGGAACAGTAACCTAAGGCATATAGACACATGTACAACCATGTTCATAAAAGTTTATTTTTTGAGACAGCGTCCATCTTGTTCTTTCGCCCAGGCTGAAGTGCAGTGATCACAGCCCACTGCAACCTCTAACTCCTGGGTCCAAGTGATCCTCCCACCTCAGCATCCCAAGTAGCTGGGACCATAAGCGTACACCACCATGCCCCACTAATTTCTTTTTTTTTTTTTTTTTTTGAGACGGAGTCTCGCTCTGTCACCAGGCTGGAGTGCAGTGGTGTGATCTCGGCTCACTGCAACCTCCACCTCCTCGGTTCAAAAGATCCTGCTGCCTCAGCCTCCCAAGTAGCTGGGACTATAGGCGTGCGCCACCACACCCAGGCTAATTTTTGTATTTTTAGTAGAGACAGGGTTTCACCATGCTGACCAGGGTGGTCTCGATCTCTTGACCTCGTAATCTGCCCGCCTCAGCCTCCCAAAGTGCTGGGATTACAAGCGTGAGCCACCGCGCCTGGCCAATTTTTTTGCTGTTGTTGTTGTTGTACTAGAGATGGGGTCTCCTTGTGTTGCCCAGGCTGGTGTCGAACTCCTAGGCTTAAGCAATCCTCCTGCCTCTGTCTCCCAAAGTGCTGAGATTACAGATGTGAGCCACCACACCTGGCCAGAAACATTATTTATAACAGACAAAAACTAGAAAATTCTAAAATACCTAAATGGACTTACAACGTAGGGAATGGTTAAGTAAACTATACTATGTCCAGAAGAAATTTTACTTAGCTTTAAAAAGAATCACACAGATATTAAATAACAATATGGAAGATGTTCATCAGAAATAAAGCAAACTGCAAAACCATTCATATGGTCCATTTGTTGTAGAAAACTAAAATTGATACAAGTAATACATCGCTATGTTTTAAAAATTCCTTTGAATATATACAGAAAATGATCTAGAAAGATAAACTCTAAGCTGCTTCTAGTGTTTCTCTCTGTGTTACAAATATTTGATGGCAAGGAGCAGGGACTAAGTTTTTATCTGAATTTTTGTTATAAGCAGATATAATCCTTTTCTAATTTACAAATAAAGGAGGAGGTTCTGCCAAAGAATTAAAATGCAATATATTATCAAACTGAAATTAAAAATGTACTTCACATCTACTAGTTAAGTTAGCTAGTTACATGCATCATAAGTAAGCCAGGTAGTTACAAGGCGTCAAATGTGAACACCGCTTACCTCTTTAGGTGATAAATTTTGTGCGTATACTGTCCCTTTTCTCCATCCTTCTCATAAGGTTCATTCTTTAAGACTTCAATTCCTTCTCCACCACCAGTCTCATTCTTACTAGCTTCTGCAACAGAGTAAAGCTGCCCAACCTGATACTGAAATTTCAAAGAATACAGAAACTGAGTAAGTCAGTAGTAACTGCAGAAATTTAGTATGCTAAAATCTTAATAATATAGATGATATAGAAAAGCATATCCAAACCATTCAGCACAACTGTGTTCAATATGAAAACACAACTCAAATTAGAAATTAATACGTTTAGGAAGACAAACCACAGATTATTATACAGTTTTAAAAACCTGTATTTTATAAACTTTCATTATTCAAAAAATTTGCCAGTTACAAATACTCTGGTGCCTTTACACTACCCATTTATCAAGAAAATGTCTCGAAACTTGGTTTAACTTTTGAACAATATATATTTGTACTTTACAAAGCATTTTCACCTCTATTATTTCTCATTTAACTTCACAAAATTCCAAGAAAGGTATGGCAGAAATACAACTGGCACTTTGCCAACTAAAGCTGAGCAACCAGCATATTGCTCTTAATGATAAAGGGGAGGGATGTAAACTGTAATAACAAAAGCCTGGAGATCCAAAGAAACATAATAGATAGTCCAAATCTTAGTAGACTTCTGGGGTCATTTTTAACTTATGACTTATTTATGATACACTCAATTTGGTCCTTCTTCAGCTAACCAGAAACAGTATTGGGGGCCCAAGATCAGAAATGGTTCATTGTGAGTCCTCAAGTAAAGAGAACAAACAGAAACTGTTTTTAAAGTAATATGAATGTATACATATTACCATAAAAGGTAGGAAATTGCTGACAGTAGCTTCTATTTCATTTAACGTGAATCAGAAATCTCAGAGGCCTCCATCAATACCTGTAAGTCAACTGTATTTTCTACGCCAATCTGGAGTCGCTAGTTCCAACAAATGTTGGAAAAAGTTCTCGTGTTCTAATTTGTTACAGTGACCCAACTGTGGCACTATCTTCCATCACTTCAAATTTGGCTAAATTTCTTCCTTCTAATGAAAACAGCTTGAAGAAGTGTATTTCTTCTTTATAAGCATATTTTCAAAGAAAAACTACAAAAATCTACCTCTAAGAACTTGTAATTTCAAAATTAACATTTTATGTGAGGGACCAAAACAACAGGTAGTTTAAGCTCAGTAAACATTCATATCTACAAATCACATGGAGATATGATGCTATCTTGCCTATTAGTTAAATTTAAAAACACACCCACACACACACTCTTACTCAATTTGGAAGTGTTTGGGAAGTTGAAACCAAACATATTTCTTAAATGCTCCCAAAATAAATTTCTGTAGGGCCTGCAGACAGGACTGCATTTCTCCTTTTGGCTTTCCATGATACAACACTAGGGTTAGTCTAATAATGCCACAATCCTTAAATACCTTCAACATGTACTTTTAAACACTATCATATTCTAAAACAGGACTAAAATGAGTCTAGGTCAAAAGATAAATTTCATTTTGGTCAGGAACACACAATAACAATATTCAAATGAACTGTATCCAAAAAAACGTTAATGGACTGACATTTCATGGCATGCTACTTAGTTTTCTCTCATTCTCCTTTTTTAAGAATAAAAAATTAAAAAAAAAAAGAATAAGAAATAGACACAGAAGGCATGTTTTAAAAATGTGCATACAGGCCTGGCACAGTGGCTCATGCTTGTAATCCCAAGGCTTTGGGAGGCTGAGGCAGGTGGATCACTTGAGGTCAGGAGTTCGAGACCAGCCTGACCAATATGGTGAAACCCGGTCTCTAATAAATATACAAAAATTAGCCAGGTGCGGTGGCGGGTGCCTGTAATCCCAGCTACTAGGGAGGCTGAGGCACGGAGAATTGCTTGAACCCAGGAGGCGGAGGTTGCAGAGAGCTGAGATCGCAATACTGTACTCCAGCCTGGGCGATAGAGCAAGACTCCATCTCCAAAAAAAAAAAAAAAAAAAAGGTGGGGGGGGGAGTATAACAAAAAGCCGAGAACAGTATTTTCAGTGACAATACCAAGACTCAAAAAGATTTCGACAAGCTGATTCAACCAGCTGAAATCAAAAGAAAAAGTCTAACAGAAACAAGTGTCAATTTCCACATTCAACTTCAAACAATCAATTGTGCAAATAGAGAACAGGGTGCCTAGCTTCTCTGGAGTGTTTTAATACAGTGAATCCTCCTGAGATATAAACAACTGTGTTCAAGTCTACACTAAACAGTGCCAGACAGCTACTCTTTTTCACTTCCTGCATTTCTTTCTGTCTTCTGTCAGCTGTCACTTCTTAGGTTATCAGTTTGTTTTGTCCCACTTCCAAGTCACTGCTTCTAATCTACTGTCAGCTCTAGGAAAACCAGATAACTGAGCAAATGGGAACTGTGTGCAAGTTACAGAAGAGCCTAGAGGGTTTTATGGGTTTTGCTATATATATCTTGATTTCTCAGAAGCTGTTTCTGCTCTTATCTTCATTCTTGTCTACAATACACATGGCTATAACTGCAGGACATGCAAGTTCTGAATAGGTGATATATTTCTGTATCATGTCCAGACTGAGGAAAACAATAAGCTCTTACAGTTGTGTGCTGTTCATACCATGTCTGGAATACTGTTTTCAGTTCAGATCAACAATTACAACACATATAGTAACAGGACCAGCTGGTAGCAAGTCCACATATCATGCTGTATTAAGCCAAGTGAATGTGCTGGGAATGTTTAACCTTGAGACTTTCTAAGATGAAATAAAAGTGCTTGTGGGGGATGGGGTTGGCTGGAGGGGAGAGCTGCCATCAGAAAACCTGAAGGATTAACCACTACAAGACAGAACAGGCTTATTTCCCATTGCTCAAATGGGATAAACTGTAAACAAGAGTCAAGCATTATAGGAAAAGCAGATTTTGGTTCAAACACAAATGTTTAAAATGTCCAACAGTAAAGTAGGCTGCTTCTCTAAGCAGCAAGCTACTTAACCTTAAAGTACTTAAGTTGAGGCTGGAGCCTCATTTCTCTGGGATGTTGGAGAAAGAATTCCTGCACTAGACAGGAGGTTAAACTACATTCTTTAGACTCTTCCAAAACAAGGCAGTGTAGCAAGAAATTCATTATCATTCATTTAATTCATTTTGCAATTCTTTGCAATTATCATTCATATAATTAATTTTGTCACATAAGGTGGAATGAAAAGGTAAATCAATACTACGAAAATGTGAGTTTAGAGTAACATATCAAAGTACAGTACATATACCAATAAAATGATGCAGAAGCAAGAAAAACTCACCTCCTGAACAGAACATGGCAAAACCACACGGCTAAAAAGACAAAAGAAAAAATATATATATTACATATGAAATAGCTTTAAACACAGATCTCTGAAGAGGTTTTACCTTAAATCCAATGATAACAGAGACAGGTCTCTTAAATCAAAAAAATACAAGGGTGTCATTTATGGAAGAGGGTCTTTGCAATGCCTACACCATAATTGGGGAACTAAAACTATCATTCCTGGGTCTCAATGATCATTTGCATTTAGTGTTCCCAGGACCCCAAACAGCAGCTGCAGAGATTCTTGTGAGTAAAGAAAAAAGAGAAAACTCAACATTGAAAATTGCAGGGTACAGAACGTATTATTTGCAGATTGTCTGGTCAGGTTGCCCTGACTAAATTTTTAGTATGGTTTCATTCTCCACCTATATACTGTGCATTTTGTTTTTATGATGCTTCTTACAGAATACGTGTCTTGAATCTCATTGAATAAACGCTTCCAGAAACTGTTCCCCCACTATTCAATTATTCCTCAAGTTTACTAAGAGAAAAATAAGGAGTCGTGTAGAATTAGTAAGAAAAATTTTACTATGGAAACTACTTGAACCTTATAATAATCCCTTCCAGCATATATACAATATAAGGTTGACATGTGTTTCATCCTGTCCAAGAGTTTCTTATTGTATATACCAAAAAGATGTCATTATAGCTCCATTGCAAGCAGTCTTAAAAGATAAAATCCAAAACAGTATCATGGTATATTGTTTTATCAAAATATTGCATCTTATCTCTAGATTTTATAAGGAGAGTCCTTAATTTATTTCCACCATAAATCCTGAAAACCAAGAACATCCCTGTATATCAATGGTCTCATAATTATAGTTGGTTCCAAGACAGCAACTTCCTTTTTTGTGGGATGGGGGTATACGATCCTTCTCATACTTTCCTAATCTTATCTGTCATTTTATGGAAAATTTTCAATAGTTTTCCTCATTCCAATTTCTTTTCAGCTTATAATTTCTTTTTCTTTTTTTCTTGCAGTAAGAGTCATTTAGCTTATTGTTTGTATTAGTGACAATCTTTTTGGCCTAGGCATTCTTTTTTAATAGTCTTTCTTATTCGTAAGTATGAAGAGAGTAATAAAACCCAGATTATATCTAGTTTGCATTCCAGCTACACTTTCCATCTACTCCTTTCTCCCTACTCTCCTCAAACATCTATGTCTGAATGTTCACATTACCTCAATCTCCAACATGCACAAGTCTGTTACTCCCTCCCCTTTGACTACTGAGTTACTCGCCACTCTTTGTCTTTCTGGTAACGGTGATTCAAAAACAATGAACACTCTCAAATCCACAATGGTCACTAATTTCTACTCTCCATCAAGAATAAACTTTTTGTAAGTCCTTCTATACCTAAAAATTCCGAATCATTTCTCTTCTCAGTATACACTAACTTGCTCACTGTCCCAGAGCATAAAATGAGGGAGAGGAAGACTAGAAAGCTATAGGTTGGGAGCAGATTATCAGGACCTGGAATACTATGGTAAGAAATCCATTAAATTCATCAGGCAATAAGGAATCCCAAAAGGTTGGTCCAAGAGGTAAGTGACAACTACTGCTGACCTGAAGAAGTCATCTGCAGGTGGTTGAAAACACTGACAAGCAGGAGAAGTGGGGAAAGCTATCTTTTGGGAGGCTAGGCAAGAACTGTCACAAAGGCCTGAACCAAGATGATGGACTGCAGAGGGAATGGAAGGAAGGGATAGAGAAAGAAGAGTTAGTCTTCCCTTAAGTTTCACAAAACCAAAGAATCACTGCTGAGTAATTTTACACTCACTAACAGGAAGATCCCTATTTTTATTTAAGAACACTTTCAAGGAAATTCTTTCAAAAAATTAAAGTGACTGATTAAGACATTCAGAACAATGAGTCAAGTAACTTCTTCAAGATTTGCTTAACAAGTAAAAGGGAAAAGGAACATACAGGCTTTGATTTTCTGTTGTTATTCTAAAAGCAGTATTCAACTTTCAGTGCCAGTTGAAAATGTTCAAATGTCTGAAAATCCTCATAAAAATAATTTCCAAATGGAATCAGTAACTAGTTCTTTAAAACCAGGACTTTACATTAATGGTAACTTCATCTACTGCTTAAATAATAACTTGAAGGGAAACAGCCCACCTCGAAAGTCATTTCTAACATTTTAATTCTTATAAAAAAATAAATAGAGGGCCAGGTGCGGTGACTCACACCTGTAATCCCAGCACTTAGTGGGCGGATCACCTGAGGTCATGAGTTCCAGACCAGCCTGGCCAGCAGGGTGAAACCCTGTCTCTACTAAAAATACAAAAAATTTAGCCGGTCATGGTGGCGTGCGCCTGTAGTCCCAGCTACTTGGGAGGCTGAGGCAGGAAAATCGCTTGAACCTGGGAGGCGGAGGTTGCAGTGAGCAGAGATCATGCCACTGCACTCCAGCCTGGGCAACAGAGACTCCGCCTCAAAAAAAAAACATAAAAATAAAAAAGAATTTTATAAGACAACAAACATTTGCCAAAGTATTTTAGTTACCAATATCTTCACATAGGAATAAGCTATTCATTGCTCCTAACCAACAAGAATTTTAGAAAGTTGACTTGAGAGTAAGAAGTATCAATTTTTCATTGAACAACACTGAATTCTTTAGAGCATGTTAGGCCTAGATGCTGTGCTAGATACCGACATTACTTAAGAAACAGCTTCTACCTTCAAAAAGTCTAGGAGGAAAAAAAATCTAGGGGAGATACACATGAAGAGTTAACATCAAGAAACTTAATTTATAACTCTTTGGGAAAAATAATTAGACTTTGGGCACGTGTCAACATTCATTATCTGGGTACATTTAAATCTTCATAATGAAAGCAAATGTTTGCAAAAAGCACAGTGCGCAAATTCCCAATAGGAACTGCTTTCCAAGAGTTAGCTTCATACTACTCACATACTGTCAAAGGGATCTACTGAATACTGTGTGTCTGTAACACTTTTGGAGGGAGGAAATACTCCAATGAAAGAAAAATGACTGGATCTATTTAAAATCAGTTCTGCAACTCACTTGCTGTGTAACTTGGTCCAAGTCAATTTCCTTCTTATTTTCTCCATTTGTTTTAGTGTCTGCCACCCATCTACCCACATCATCTAGAAGTCAGAGTAATGAACACTTGTTTGATACACTGTATAAACGACTTGGAAGAAAAGTTTTATATAAACCCAATATTCAGTACTATAAATAAGCTTTAATTGAGAATTTTCACTCTACCAAAAAAAGGCAAAATGTCTCTTCTCAAAATCCCTGTCACTGACCAAAGTTATCATTTTTCATCAATTCATTAACAAATATTTACTGAGCACCTATTACATGCGAGGGACTATTCTAAAAACTGGGGATATGAGAGTGAGCAAAACAAACTCATGGCCCTTACATGTAAAAAGAGAACACAACTAGTAGGAGAAAAATAATAATAATAAATTGTATTGGCATGTTGGATGGTGATAAGTACTATGGAGACCGATAAAGCAGGGAAGACAAATACCACCCCAAATAGTGGGAACTACAATTAGGTCTTCAGAAAGGGATTCCCTGAGAAGGTGACGTCTGAGCAAAGACCTGGAAGAAGGTGAGTTAGTGTGCCAAGGGAAGAACACTTCAAGCAAAGGGAACAAAAGCAGGTGGAAAGGTCTTGAACTGAACTTATTCTAGAGTAGCAGAGGAACAGCAAGGAAGCTTGCGAAGATGGAATGGGCAAGGAAAAGGTAGTAAATGAGATCAGGGCAGGAAAAAAAAGTGTAAAGCCTTGTAGCTGTTGCAGAGGCTTTGACTTTTATTCTGGGTGAGACAGGGAGTCTTTGGGAGGTATTAAGTCTCAGAGAAGTGCATCAGTGACTTTTTAAAGGAGGTTTAAGAACACTAAAAATAAGGTGTCTGAAAAAAGCTAAATTAAGCCAAAAATATTTCTAAGAATTTAAAATGAAGAATTTGAAAACCAACGAATGGGCCATACTCGACCTCCCTAGCTGCCCAAAGGATGCTGACGACACGAACCAGCTGTGACAGACGAACATTCAGAGGCAAGCAGATTTCCGTAATGTTTACAGTCCTTGCCAGTAGGAAAAGCCGTGACTTTTCAACAAAATCACTTGGCCAGTCGGATGCACCTCGAAATCCCTCCATTTGACAGAGCACGTGTTAACTTCTAAGAAAGTAGGTGGGGCCCGGGATGTCACCTCATCTTAAAACATGCGGAAACCAAAAAGAGAAAAGGCTCTCCCGTCAAGTCAGCGGAGCTGCCCAGGAGAGCGGAGGCTTTCCGGAATCCCGGCTCCACCACGAACTTCAAGGCGCCAGCGTCCCACCGCGAGTCCTGACACGAGGGCTGCCTTCAACCGGCAAGCCCATCTCCCGCTGGTTACCAGGGGACTCCACCCCGGACGACAAATCACAGTCAGAACCAACGTGTCTCTCCCACCCTCGGACTGCGGCTCCTTCCCACCGGCGGGCCTGGGGGTGGGCCCAGACCCAGCCTGGGGGTGGGGGGTTGGGGAGAAGGCGGGTCCCAGCGGAAACTCCCGGCCGCGCCTTCCCGAGCCATGCGCTCGGGCCGGGACCCAGCCGCCTTCGCCCCGGGGAAGGGAGAGGGCGTGTTACCACGGCAATGCCTGGAGGGCCGAGGGGCGCACTCGCTGAGGGGCTTCGAAGGGGCCGGGGGAGGGAGGGGGCGCCCGCAGGGAGGGGCTGACACAGGGCTGACTCCGATTTAGGAATATCCTACCACTTCTCCATCAACAAATCTCCCATCACTGCCGTCCCACGGCCTCGCTCGCGCCCACAGACCCACTCACAATTCCTTGATCAGCACCATCTTCCCGGAACCCCCTCACAGCTGCCGCCGATACCACCGCCGCCGCCGCCGCTACCGCCTCTCACAGCGCCTGCGCGGCCCCGCCTCCCTGCCCCCCCGAGCCACCATCGCGCCTGCGTGCTTACACCCTTCCGCCGCGACCAGTCGCGTCAGCGCGCGAGGGGGCCTAGCTCCGCCCAGTTTCGTGCCCCACCCCGGGCACACGAGGCCTCCACTGCGGTTGCGCAGCCTGCCGAAGAGCGTGCGGCTTCTACTGCGGCTGCGCAAGCTCGACGCGCGCACTCTTGTCTGCTTACGAGGGCTCCTCCCTTCAGCTTTGGTCCCTCGGGGCGTCTGGGCAGCCTACGCTTTCCGGTGAGTTTTCCAGTTGGTTCTTTGGAAGCCGTTTTGCGGTGACTGGTTTTCTGCTCTCTCTCACTGCTCCGAGTCAGGGCCCACCTCCTTGACCGACACCTCACCTCCATAGTCCACATAAAAGACTCCTGACAGGTTCTGGAGGCAGCCGACGCCAGCTTCTGTTCCCCTCCCCAGCCCTTGGCAGCTCAGGTTCCGCGGGAGGACGTTCACCTGCTTCGCGGTCTCGTGGAGGTCCACCGCGGCGGAGAATCCTAAACCTCACCTGTGACTCGGCAGGATGAGCGGCCAGCACTCCCGACGGAGGCCCTCTGGGAGAAAAGAGGCCCTTGGCCTCGAGACCCAGGAAAGCGGGCTGTTCAGGAGTTGGTTCGCGCAGTTACACCGAAAGCGCCGTGGGCCTCAAAGCCGCAGCCCGGAGGTCGCTGGCTTGCTCTGTGTCAGACACGGTTCTAGGCAGTGGGGATGCATCTAGAAGCAGACACAGTCCCTGTTCTCAAGAAGCTCACAGTCTAGAGGAGACAACTCACTTGGAAAGAAAGCAGGGAGAATTTGGGGTGGTGGGGAAGTGCTATGCTATGAATACAGTGGAGTACTGGGAGAAGCAGAGGACTCAAGACAAGGGCTGTCTTAGGAGGCGGTGTTTGAGCCTAGCCTGTTAGGATGTGAGAGGGGCATTCCAGTTGGAGGGAAATATGACCCGAGGATGGAGTAAGCCTAGGGTGTTCAAGGATCAGCTAGAGGGCAGATGTGGCCAGAACATCCTAAGTGAGGGTGGGAAATGAGCTGGGACCAACTGGATTACTAGGCCATAGTAAAGAATTTGTCTTCTAAGAACCATGAGAACCTGTTGAAAGGCTATTAAGACGATTAAAATATCACGAAAACATTTTTGTATAAACATCTGGTGTATCTGATAGTGGAATACATCTGTGGAGTTAGGGCTGCCTCCAAAAAAATAACGGAAATGGACTGACTCAGTGACTCCCAGGGACTGCCTTAGGAGAAAGTTTCTGGAATGTCAGAACTTCCAGAAACTTTCTCCTAAGGCAGTCCCTGGAGTCACCGAGTTTCTCTTATGTGTGACTAGTGCTAGTTATTGTGAGGGCAGAGATTTAAGGAAATACACGCTCTTTCTTGCAAGAGTTGAGAAGCTTAGAATCCGCTTTGTTGATTGGACATTGGATTTTATGCCAAGTACTGTGCTAAGTAATGGAGATATTTTATCTCATTTCACCCTTAGAACATTATGAGATGTATTTTAGCATGTTTTAGGAGGGGGAATAAAATGAGATTCAGGGAGCTATGTTAAGTGACTTGTACTAGCTTGTTTGCAGAGCCAGGTTTCAAGTCCAGATTTTAAAAACTTCAAGGTCTGGTCCATTTATTTCACTAATTTCCTAGATGAAAGTGAAGTTGGGGCGTGCAGACCATCTTTATGACAAATAATTATTCTCAATTATGGAAAGGAGACTAAAGTCAAATTCTAGAAGATATTTAGAAAAATTAAGAGATTGAGTACTATAAATCTGTATGCTTAGGGAGTGTTCTTTAAAGTCTAAGGAGGCAATATTAAAATTAATTGCCAAATTTATGTGGTATGGAGTCATTGTATGTTATAATCTCTCCCCACATGTTATGCTTGTTGAAAAATATAACTTTTTAAACGTTGCAGATAAATTTATGGTTGACATGCTTTATCATTAAGAAACATGAGGACATTTTACGTAATTTCTCTAATTTTTGAAGTCTCCCACAAGTGTTCACTAGTTCTTTTGTCTGCATAACACAATTCTTCTCATAGATAGTACTCAGATGTTTGCGAAATAAACGAGACAGTATGCTGGATGGAGCATACCTCCAAACCCGTATACAATATAGACGGTGCCTCGCTTTCCTATTGTTTAAAAAAATTATTTGATGATGATACTTGTTCAAGTATAGTAAGGCAGACTTTATTCAGGACCTTCGAAATAAGTATACGGACCACTGTAATGGGATTTTGTAGTGGGGGAAAGAGATTGGGCTCAACTCTGAACATAGCATGGGCAAGTAAGAATTTATAGCCAAGGAGCAAGATAGTTAGGGGTAGGGCGATCAGTGGATGGAAAATTATTAAGAGGATATACATCAGGGAGATTCTGGCTTAAGTAACCTAACATAATTCTTGCTGAAGACGTGATCAGACATCATCTGGGGAATGGTGGAGGATGAAGAACAGATACCAAGGATTGGGGAGGTTCTTGTTAAAACTAGATTTTTTAACTGTTGCACAGATAAGCCTAGGCTTGACTAAAGTTTGGTTGGGAGTGTATCTTTGTCACAATCAAAAGATTCATATTAAAATACTCAATTGAGAAACAAGGATAGATAAAGTAACCGGTTTAGATGTATTTATTGACGGAAAGATTAGGTTGCTGGAAAACATGAAATCTATATAATAAAATAATCCTACATTACATCTATTTACAGGATAAAAATGGCAGAATGAAAGAATTATGAGTGGAACTAGAGAATAGGAAAGACATGAACCAACGCCCAAAATGAGAAAGAAGGACATATAAAGAAAAAGACAAATACAAGTGAAAAAAATAGACTAATGGATTAACGTCCCTGTCGTGTGACATTTTCTGGTATGACAGCTGAAGATGTTGAACCGTATGGTGCAGTTTTGCAAATAGTGTATGAAGTGGGTTGTAAGTTTTACCAGTAATTGTCTATAGATACAAAAAGGAGCCAACCTCTTTTTTTTTCTTTTAGTGTGATGTTCCTTGTTCTATCTTCGAACTCTCAAAGGTAGCCTTTACACAGATGTTCAAACTAATTCTACCAGTGTCATATGTCTACCAATCTCATTACTTCCCTTGTATGTACTTCTAGAGCAAAGAGCTCATTACAGTAAGAATGATGGTAAATTTTACTGAGGCAAACAAAGATTTCTGAACGCGAGCAGTGTGTGTGAAATGCTTATGCACTAGCTGATAGCATAACTCTGGTCAAAGAAATTTGGTCACTTAAATATTATAATTGAATTTAGCCCCTAAAGTAGCTGTTCTTAACCTGGAATCTGAAGAACAGCCTGTTGGTGGGGCTCCCAGGGAATTTGTGAACCACTGAAATTATATACATAATTTCATGTCTGTGTACCGTGTACATTTATTTTTCTTACTTTTTTTTGAGATGGAGTTTCGCTCTGTTGCCCAGCCTGGAGTGCAGTGGCACCACCTCAGCTCACTGCAAGCTCCGCCTCCTGGGTTCACACCATTCTCCTGCCTCAGCCTCCCGAGTAGCTGGGACTACAGGTGCCCGCCACCATGCCCGGCTAATTTTTTGTGTTTTTAGTAGAGACGGGGTTTCACCATGTTAGCCAGGATGGTCTCAATCTCCTGACCTCGTGATCCGCCTGCCTTGGCCTCCCAAAGTGCTGGAATTACAGGTGTGAGCCACCGCGCCCGGCCCTGTTTTTTCTTTTTTCTTTCTTTTTTTTTTTTTTTTTTTGAGACTGGAGTTTTGCTCTTGTTGCCCAGGCTGGAGTGCAATGGCACGATCTCGGCTTACTGCAACCTCCGCCTCCCGAGTTCAAGCTGTTCTCCTGCCTCAGCCTCCCGAGTAACTGGGATTACAGGCACCTGCCATCACGCCCGGCTAAATTTCTTTTGTATTTGGTGGAGGCGAGGTTTCACCATGTTGGTCAGGCTGATCTTGAACGCCCGACCTCAGGTAATCCAGCCGCCTTGGCCTCCCGAAGTGCTGGGGTTACAGGTGTGAGCCACCGCTCCCGGCTCATGTGTACATTTATCTAAGGGAGAGGTTTGTAGCTTTCATTTGCCTTGCTTTCTCTGCGTTTTGCCATCCCATTTCTTTTTATCTTCTGCACATTCCAGAATGATCTTGATTGAGGATCTTTCTATGAAAACTAGAAGTATTCCCAAGAATGCTTTAATTTTGTTAAATATCAGGGCGTAGGTTATAATATTGTATCACTCTGGGACGGACAGGGTTAGGCTTTGGAGTAGAAAGACCCTAGCCTCAATCCTGCACTTACTCTGCCACTTACTGTTCTGAACCTTGAGAAAATGACTTAATCTCTCAGAGATTCAGTTTACACTGAAACTCAGTTTTACACATCTGAAAAAAGAGGACTATTAATATCTGCAACAGATTTAAGGACTAACAAATATGAAGTATATAAAGCACCTATGTTATCTACTTTACTGGATACATAAGTGTTCAGTGAATGGGAACCATTTAAAAGCTTACAAAAAGCAGGAACAGTAATTGAAGATATCAGTCTATAGAGTAACCACTATGTTTATTCATTATTTGTTACTCTAATACTTGCATAAGAACGTATATGTGCATTCATGCGTGTATACATATTGGCCATCATTACCTTTTGTCTGTTGTGTATAATACAGATTCTTGTTCTTCTGTGTCATCACCAACATGTAATATTGTCAGAATTTTTATTTTTTGTCAGTTTATTGGTTTTAAAACTCTTATCTTGTGTTCACTTTGCATTCCTTGCAGGTTGAGGATGTTTTGTTTTCTGGTCTTAGTCTCATTCTTCCTTCTTTTTCCTGTTGGTCTTGTTCTTTTCTTTTTGATTTGTAGGGTATATTAGGATGGTGCAAAAGTAATTGAGGTTTTTGCATCGTTGAAATTTGTCATTTGATACTGGAATACCCTCTTAAACCTTCTTAAATGTGGTTATGTTATACATCATTTTAATGGGCATTTCTCACTTTGTTTTTTTTTTTTTTGCTAATGACTTATTACTTGCTGTTTATATTTATTTTAGACTATGGAAATGATATTAGACAAAAAGCAACTTCAAGTGGTTTTCTTATTTGAGTTCAAAATGGGTCATAACGCAGCAGAGATAACTTGAAACATGAACAGCGCATTTGGCCCAGGAACTACTAACGAACATACAGGGCAGCTGTGATTCAAGAAGTTTTGCAAAGCAGACTAGAGCCTTGAATATGAGGAACACAGTGGCCAGCCATTGGATGCTTCACTTCTTGAAGCATCTTGACAGCTTTTTGCAGGTGAAATGCTTCCACACCAGCAGGATGCAGAAAAATGCTTTCCAAGAGTTTGTTGAATCCAGAAGCATGGATGTTTATGCTGCAGGAATAAACAAATTTATTTCTCGTTGGCAAAAAAGTGTTGATTGTAATGGTTCCTATTTTGATTAATAAAGATGTGTTTGAGCCTAGTTATAATGATTTAAAATTAATGGTCCAAAAATGCAATTACTTTTGCACCACCACCAACACACACACACACCTACACATTCTGGATTTGAATTCCATGTTGATTATATGCACTTGGAATATTTCTTTTCCATCTGTGGATTGTTCTGTCACTTATTTTCTTTAATAAATGGGTTTCTGAACCTCTGTTGTATTGACATTTTGGGTCAGATTATTCTTTGCTGTGTAGGCTGTTCTATGCCTTGTAGGGATGTTCAGCAACATCCCTGGCCTCTATTGGCCAGGTGCCGGTAGTACCCCTCCAGTCATGACAGTCAGCAGTGTTTCCAGACATTGCCTAGTTTCTCCTGGGGGGCACAATTGCCCTAAGTTGAGAACCACTGGTTATAGTGACTTTGTTGTGTAGTTATCCTGCTAACATTTTTTTATTATATGCCAGACAAGCCTTAAGTGTTTCATATGAATTAATCCTAACTCATTTACGCATCACAACAACATATGATGTAGATATTATTGTCCCTATTTTAAAGAGGAGAAATCTTATGTCCTCTAATATGCAGAAAATGTTAACTTTACCAAGCTATAACTTACATATAAAATGCACCTATTTGAAGTGTACAGCTGTAGGGTTTTGTTAAAGGTATACTCAGACTTCTGTAGAGTTTCATATCATTTATCATATAGTCCTTTTTGTATCTTCTAGCATAATGGTTCTGAGATTCCTGAATGTGTGTCATTCAGACCTTTTCATTGCTCAGTGGTATTCCTTTGTGTGGATATACCAGAAATTTTTTATCCGTTTACCTAGTGATGGATTTTTCAGTGCTATACAGTTTTTGGTCATGATAAAGTTGCCATGACTAGATGTATAGAAGTCTTCCTGTGGATATATGTTTTCATTTCTGTTGGATTATAAGGTAAGTGTATGTTTGGGAGAAGTGGCCAACAATTTACAAAGTGGTGGTACCATTTTGCATTCCCAGCAGCAATGCATGAGAGTCCAGTTACTCCACATCCTCATCAACACATTTTAGCCACTCTAGTGGAAATGTGGTATCTCATTGTAGTTAAATTTGCAGTTCTCTGAAAACTAATGATGTTGAGCACTTTTTCATGTACTTATTGGTCATTTGTACATGTTTTGTCAAGTAACTATTCAACTCTTGCCCATTTTCAAATTGTTCTTTTTCTGTTTTTGAGTTGGAAGAGTTATTTGAATATCCTACATATAAGTCCTTTCTCAGATGTTTGTGTTATGAGTATTTCCTCCCAGTCAGCTGCTTGCCTTTTCATCTTGGTGGTATATTTCAAACAGCAGAAATTTTAAGTTCTGATGAAGTCTAGTTTCTCATTTTGTTTTATGGTTCATGCTTTCTGTGTACTTCCTGAGAAATCTTTGCCTAAGCCAGAGGCACAAAGATTCTTATTTTACTATGTTTTCTTCTGCAAGTTTTAAAGTTTTGGCTCTTACATTTAGGTCTGTGAGCCATTTCAAATAAGTTTTGGTGTATATGTGAGGTAAGAATCAAGTTTGATTTTTTTTTTTGCATATGTATATCCAATTGTAGCCCCCATTATTAAAAAGACATTTCCTTTACTCATTTGTTGAAAATCAGTTGACTGTGTGTATGCGGGTCTGTTTCAGGAGAGTGTTCTGTTCCATTGGTCAATATGTTTATGTAATACCACACTGCTTTGATTACTATAGCTATATAGTAAGTCTTGAAATCGGGTGGTTTATTTCCTCCAGTTTCTACATTTTCAAAATTGTTTTGGCTCTTCTAGGATTTCATTTCATTAATTTGTTTAAAAAAGAACCCTGGTGGAATTTTTATGGGACTTTTCATTCAATCTATAGAACAATTGGGAAGAATTGACATCTTAATATTGAATCTTTATAAATGGTATATCTCTTCATTTATTTAGATCTTCAATGTTTCTCAGCTCTTGGCAGCATTTTGTAGCTTACAGGGTATAGGCTTTGCAAATATTTTGCTTTATCCTTAAGTATTTTGTGGTTTTTTAAAAAAAATTGTAATTTTTAAAAATTCCTCAAGTATTGATAATATGTAAAGATAGACTTGATTCTTGTTTATTCCCCTTGCTGGACTTACTTGTTACAAGAGTGGTTTTGTGTGTTTTATAAGATTTTCTATATAACAGTCTCTGAGTAAAGACAGTTTCATGTTTTTTTCCAATCTTTATGATTTTTATTCTTTTCCTTTATGGCACTGGTTAAGAACTCTAATACTGTTGCTGTAAGTGGTGAAATCAGTTTATTGATCTTTTTTTTCCCACCAGCCCATGTAGAGAAAGTTTACCAATTGGATAGATGTTTTTACCCCGTTCTTTGATTTTTCTCTACTTATTTTCAGTTTGATTGATTTTTACCTTTTATTACTTACCTCTGCCTAGTTAGTTTTGGTTTAATTTTTTCTATTTTTAGCTTTAAGATAGAAGCCCATATCATTGCTTTTAGACTTTCTTCTCAAATATAAGCATTTAAACATATAAATTCATCTCTAAGTTCTGGTTTAGCTGCATTTATATTTTTATGTTTTCATTGTCATTCAGTTCAAAGTATTTTCTAATTTTTTTTTAACTTTGGACTATTTGGAAGTATATTAATTACCAAATATTTCAATATTCTCCACATTTTAAAGTTTCAGTTTAATTTGCTTACAGTCCAAGAATATACCCTGTATGATTTTAATCATTTCAAATTTATTGAAACTTATAATCTAGTTTGTTCTTGCTTTGTGTATTTTGAGGTTTTGTTAGTAGATCCCTACACCTGTAGGACTTTTATGTTTTCTTGATGAATTATCCTCATTATAGTTGTGGCATACTTCCCTTTATCCTTGATAATATTCCTTGTTCTGAAGCCTATTTTGCCTGATATTAATGTAGAGTTTCAGCTTTCTTATGATTTGTGTTTGCGTAGTAGGTATCTTGTTATTCCTTTTAACCTTTTTGTCATTGTAGTGATAGTAATTTGTACACAACATATAGTTGGACCTTGCTTTTTAATCCAGTCTGATACTGGACCTTTTAAGTAGAATGTTAGGCCATTTATATTTAATATAGTTATAAAATGGTTGGGTTAAATCTACCAATTTTTTTATGTTTACTGTAGAGCTTATAAGATGTATCTGTAACTTACCACAGTCTACCATTAACCCTTTTCTTAGAAAAAAAAAAAAAGGTGCAGCTCACTGCCAGCACTCATTTAATTTTACATAAACATGCTTTTTGAGGATGAAGCAAATCTGATTTCCAATGTGAAAATAAAATATAAAAACTGTTCTTGGAGTTATTTCTAAATAGAACTAACATCAGAATTGTGTGAATCATTAGAATCATCTATTTCAGAAAAATTGGATTTATCAAATTTTTGGCCAACAACTGTTCAAGAACAATGTTAACATCACTCATAGGAATGCTATGTATTCTAGGATTTGACATTTTCAGTGATTGAGAATTACTATATTTTATAAATGGAAATACCACTACTAAAAACAGAATGCTATAAATAGAATGATGTCTTTTGTTTCGGGAGTCAATATTACTAGAGCAATGCAACAATAATTATAAAAGTGAGATATTTTGTGGCAAAGGTATCTCACGGTAAACTCTGTAGCTACAAGTGCTGCCAGCAAGTATTCTTGGGGCAAATGGGAAAAGGGTTAAATGGAATTAAACTGTTTCACATAAAATGTAAGAAACAAGAGTATACTTTCATCTCTCTTCTTGTTTTTACAATCTCACAAAACATCATTATTTTGCTTTAAAACAGTCAGTTATTGGCCGAGCACAGTGGCTCACGCCTGTAAGCCCAGCACTTTGGGAGGCCGAGGCAGGTGGATCACTTGAGGTCAGGAGTTCGAGACCAACCTGGCCAACAGGGTGAAGCCCCGTCTCTACTAAAAATACAAAAATTAGTCAGGCATGGTGGCACATGGCTGTAATCCCAGCTACTGGGGAGGCTGTGGCAGGAGAATTGCTTGAACCCGGGAGGTGGAGGTTGCAGTGAGCCAAGATCATGTCATTGCACTCCAGCCTGGGCAAAGAAGTAAGACTCTGTCTCAAAAAAAAAGAAAAGAAAAAAAGTCAGTTATCAACCAGGTACAATTTCTCATGCCTGTAGTCCCAGCATTTTGGGAGGCCAAGGCGGGAGGATCACTTGAGGCCAGGAGTTTGAGACCAGCCTGGGCAATATAGCGAGACCCTATCTTTCAAAAATTTTTAAAATAAAACTGAGAAAATAGTATTTTCTATTCTCTTGCTAACATTTGTTCAATATTTACTTTATGCTGGGTATTCTAAGTGCTTTGCATGATTTAATACATTTAATCTTGTAAGCAAACACATGATGTAGGTACTACTATCTATTTTACAGTTAAGCAAAGTGAGAGACAGCTAATTAACCCAAATTTAGTCAACTAGCTGGAATGTGAACCCAGCCAGTCTGGTACCAGAGCCTGAGTTTTTAACCACTTTGCTATACTGCCTTCCTAAATTGACCATGACCTCCAGTATAGTTTCAAGCAGAACATATAAAAGTAGGCATTTATTTTTTTTAAGAGACAGGATCTCCCTTTTTCACCTAGGCTAGAGTGCAGTGGCGTGATGGTAGCTCACTCCAGCCTCAAATTCCTGGACTCAAGGGATCCTCCCACTTCAGCCTCCCGAGTAGCTGGGACTACAGGCATGTACCACCCCACCTGGCTAATTTTAAAACTTTTTTTTTTATTACATGGGGTCTCACTGTGTTGCCCAGGTTGGTCAAACTCCTGGCCTCAAGTGATCCTCCCTCCTTGGTATCCGAGAGTGCTGGGAATATAGGTAAGAGCCACCATGCTGGACTGGACTGGCATACTTATCTTGATCTTGACTTTAAGATGCTTCCAGAATCTAAGTATGTTTGCTACAGGTTTTTGGTAGCTGCCCTTTATTAGATTAAGGCTGTTTTCTTCCTAGTTTGAGTTTTTGTCATTGTTCAGTATTGAATTTTGTGAAATGCTTTTCTGTGTTGAAATAATCATGTTCTGCTTTGTTCTGTTCGTGTAATCTATTCCATGACTAGATTTTCTGATGTTGAGCCATCCTTGGATTTTCAGAATAAACCTTAGCCAGTCATCATTTATGTTATTTTTTTTTTCCATTGGTCAGCTGTGATGTTAGGATAGGTTTGCTCAATAGTTCAGGAAATTAAAATGATGAAGCTGAGACAGATTTATGAATAGTACTGATTTTAATTTCAAATAATAGATGAATGGCTTATTAGCTGGCTTAAAATGAAGATGGCCTATGTAAGATATATCACTAATTTTATTTGAGAAGTCTTCTTAAAGCACTTATTTTTGAGTAGATAAGACAATCACATTTCATAATTCAAATTGTATAAAGGAATGTATACAGTGATACCCCTCTTCCATTCCTATCTCGACACCTCCAGAAACCAATATTACCAGTTTTTTTGTCCTGGAGATTTTGCATATATAAGCAAATATATTTATTTTCTTTGTCCCTCTTTAAAAAAAAAAAGAACATGAATTGCAGTATACACGCTATTCTGCATCCTGCAGTTTTTCTTGATCTTGAGGAATGTATGAGACAAGGTTCAGTCAGAGAAGTGGAGCTACTATGTGTGTTAAGACATATGGCATTCATCAAATGAATTGGCCTTTACTCAGTTGGAGTTGCTGAAGAAATGAAGGTCCAGAAGGGAAAGGTGGAGAATGAGAGGAGTCACTAACCAGGCTTTCTGAAGGATTAGTGTGGTGAACAAGTCAGAGCTTGTTAGGGAAATCTGGGAAACAGTCACATCCAGCTGCTGAGGTGAGATTGCAGAAAGGATAGTATGCTTTCAGGAAGAGCGGGATGTGAAATGGAGGAGAGTGGGGACAACCTAAAGCTTTCCACATACCTTTGTGAGTGTCCATCACTATCCTAATCCTGAAATCTTCATTGAGTCACGTCTGTTGCATTGTTCCTGCCTTCTAAAATCTTGTGCAAATTCCTCTTGGCCAAATCTTACTCAGAGCCATACAAGGAAGGGGATTCTGGAAAACAGTTCCAAGCTTAACTTTACTAACCCAGCACAGTTCAGCACCAAGAGCATGCTGTATTGATATGTAAAGGCAGCTTTATCCCCCTGCCCTTCTTTTTATTGTGGTAAAATACACATAACATATAACTTATCATCTTAGTGATTTTTAAGTGTACAATTCAGTGGTTTTAAATACATTCATCATATTGTGCAACTGTTACCATCCATCTCCAGAATTCTTTTCATCTTGTAAAACAAATTTTGTGCCCATTAACAATAATTCCCCATTATAAGTAGAATCACAGCATTTGTCTTTTTGTGACTGGCTCATTTCACTTAGCATGATGTCCTCAAGGGTCACCCATTTTGTAGTGTTTTGCAGAATATCTTTCCTTTCTAAGTTTGAGTACGATTCCATTGTGTGAATATACCACATTTTGCTTATCCACTCACACGTGGATGGACACTTAGCCTGCTTCCACATATTACCAATTACAAATAATGCTGCCATAAACATGGGTGCACAAATATCTCTCTGAGACCCTGATTTCAATTTTGGGGTATATATCTGGAAGGAGAATTGCTGAATCATAAGGTAATTCTATTTTTAATTTTTTGAGGAATTGCCGTACTGTTTTCCCCAGTGGCTGTTGCCATTTTACATTCCCACCAGCATGATGGGGGTATGGATTACTCCACATCCTTGCCAACACTTATTTCTGTTTTTTTGATAGTAGCCATACCAGTGGTTGTGAGGTAGCATCTCTCATAGTTTTGATTTGCATTTCTGAAATGAACAGTGATATTGAGCATCTTTTCATTGCTTTTTGGCCATTTGCTTATCTTTGGAGAAATGTGCATTCAAGACCTTTGCCCATTTTTAGTCAAGTTTTTTTTTTAATTGTGGAATTCTCTATTCTGGATATTGTTCCCTTATCAGATATATTATAAATATTTTCTGCCATTCTGTTGCATTTTTACTGTATTGTAGTTTTTAAATTTTATAAAATCCAGTATGTTTCTTTTTTGTTTCATTGCCTGTGCCTTTGGCATCATATCCAATAAGTTATTGCCAAATCCAGCGTCGTCACACATGTAGGCAATTATACATTTCAGGTTTTGTTTGTTTTTTTGTTTGTTTTTGTTTTTTTTTTGAGACGGAGTCTTGCTCTGTCACCCAGGCTGGAGTGCAGTGGCGCAATCTTGGCTCACTGCAACCTCCGCCTCCCAGGTTCAAGCAATTCTCCTGGCTCAGCCTCCCGAGTAGCTGGGACTACAAGTGTGTGCCACCATGCCTGGCTAATTTTTTTTTATTTTTAGGAGAGACGGGGTTTCACCATGTTAGCCGGGATGGTATTGATCTCCTGACCTCGTGATCCACCCGCCTCAGCCTCCCAAAGTGCTGGGATTACAAGCGTGAGCCACCACACCTGGCCGTTTTGTTTGTTTTTTTTTAAGAGATGGGGTCTCACCCTGTCACCCAGGCTGGAGTATAGTGGTGCAATTATAGCTCACTGTAATTTGAACTCCTGGACTAAAGTGATCCTCTTGCCTCAGCCTCCAAAATAGCTGGGACTGTATTTGGGACTACAGGCGTTTGCCACTATACCCAGTTAATTGTTTTTGTTGTTGTTTTGTTTGTTTTGTTTGCTTTTTGTAGAGCCAGGATCTTGTATTGCCCAGTATTGCCTTGAACTCCTGGCCTCAAGCAATTCTCCCATGTCAGCCTCCCAAAGCACTGGAATTATAGGCATGAGTCATGGTGCCTGTCTCATTTTAACTTAATTTTTGTATAGGGTATTAGGTAAGGATCCAGCTTCATTTTTCACCTGTGGATATCCAGTTTTCCCAATGCCATTTGTTGAAAATTCTGTCTTTTCCTCATTGAATGGTATTAGATAAAAATTATTTGACCATACAGGCAAGAGTGTATTTCTGGGCATTCTGTTGTGTATATGCAGTGTGATTTAAATTGTCTCCTGTTGGTACCCACTTAGGCTATATTCAATAGTTGCTATTATCAGAGTCCTGCAGTAAATACTCGTTTACATAGATCATTTCATGTAATGTATAAGTGTAACTATAAGAGAAATTTCTGAAAGTGGAATTGTTAAAGGGTAAGTTTAACATATTGCAGTTTTTACATATTTTGTCTAGTTTTCCTTTAAACTGTACCAGTATACACTTCCACACACAATGTATGAGAGTACCCATTTCCCCAAACTCTTCAACATCGTATTTTCAAACATTGCTTAAAACCTTTTGGTTGTATGATATAGTACTGTAAGAAACACACTCACCCATCCAAACCCGAAGAATGGACTTAGAGGCACGAAGAACAGCGAAAGTGAGACTTTAATAACGATCTTGCAAGGTCGGGTGTCTGAGCAGGTACATCCAGGGAAGTCACAACAGGTAATTTATCTCCTAGCACACAAGTCCCTCCACGAGTTCTGCATTGGTTGAGTACTATGGGGTTACAATCTTCCAAGACGTTGCCTAAGTTTCATTATCCCCCTTATAAGGTTATATCCCGTCCCTTTCCCTGCTTAAGTTTCGATTTCCTGATAACGAAACTTTCTTTCCTTTTACGGGCTGAACCCTCCTCTACATTCTGTTTGCTTATTGTGACCTAGGTGCATTAGCCAGGCATTTTGTCACATTTGCAGGCTAGCTGCCAATACTTAGATTTATCATGCCTTGAAAATTGACCATTTAAAATATTTTCTTACTGTACAAATACAAAAAAGTTACATAAAACAAATTAGTTACTGTAGGGAGATCAATAGTTGTTACCTCCACCAGGTCAAGAAATAGACCTTTGCCAGTCTTTCCATAAGTCCTTCATGTACTCTGTTCTAGTCACAATTCCCTCTTCTCTAAAAGTAACTGCCTAGCCAGGCATGGTAGCTCATGTCTGTAATCCCGGAACTTTGGGAGGCCAAAGAGGGAGGATCACTTGAGCCCAGAAGTTCAAGACTAGCCTGGGCAACATAGTGGGACCCCATCTCTACAAAAAAATAAAAAAAAATTATCTGGGTGTGGTGGCATATGCCTGTAGTATCAGGCACCTGAGACAGGAGGATGGCTTGAGCCCAGGAGGTCCAGGCTGCAGTAAGCAGTGATGGCGGCCACTGCACTCCAGCCTGGGTGGCAGAGTGAGACTCTGTCTCAAAAAGTAACTGCCTTCTTGACTTTCATGGGAATCACTTCCTTCATGCTTTTGATCACCCTACTGTGTAGCTCCTAAACTCTATAGTTTCTTTTTTGTTTCTTTTAACCTACATGTAAACCTGTTCTTTCACCCCACTCTCCCACCTACCATACAACTTGTTGAGGAAATTGAATTGTTTGATAGAATTCTCTGCACTCTGGATTTTGCTGCTGTTAGATCTTATTATGGTTTGGCTGTGTCCCAACTAAAATCTCATCTTAAATTCCCACGTGTTGTGGGAGGGACCTGGTGGGAGATAATTGAATCATGGGGGTAGGTCTTTCTCGTGCTGTTCTCCTGATAGTGAGTCTCATGAGATACAATGGTTTTATAAGGGGGAGTTACCCTACATGAGCTCTCTTCTCTTGCCGCCACCATGTAAGAAGTCCCTTTCGCTTTCCGCCATGATTGTGAGGCCTCCCCAGCCATGTGGAGTTGTAAGTCCATTAAACCTCTTTGTTTTGTAAATTGCCCAGTGTCAGGTATGTCCTTATCAGCATCCTGAAAACAGACTAATACACATCTACAGGCTTGACTAGGTCCAGTTGGAATATTTTTGGTAAACTTACTTCTTAGGTGGTAATGTGTTCTGTGAAAACACATATATATAGCCAAGACAATGGGAAAATTAAAAAAAGAACAACACATATATATTGTCTCTTTGTGGTGATAGCAACCATTACTGCTAAATCCTTAGCTCCATTAATTTATTATGGACTGGAAAATGGTGACATTCCTAATCATTTCTTAATTTATTGGCTGGAATATTTCTGCAAAGAGAAGCTGGTCATTTACTAGTGCAATTTATATAAGAAAGGCAGAATAGACCCTTGATTTTTGTCCCATTATTTACCAGTTCTCAAATGCAAATGTTTCCTGTTATCCTCAAAAGGTGATCAGTTACTGTTTCTTAATGTGGACTTAAACAAATCTGAAATACCGATGTCAATTTCACTTACTGCTCTTATTGCTCAGAATGTTCTATCTTTGGCCAGTTGAATCCCTTCAAATTGTCTCCTGAATCCTGCTGATGTGTTCCTGGTAAGTAGTCTTTGACAGCTTCATTGGTATAACAAGATCTAGCACAAAAGCTTATCTCATATATTTTCTGCCGTTCCAGACTGGAATCAGCCATTTTACCAAGAAAGTTGGGTTTCTTTTACTGGCAAATAGTACTTCAAGAGCACAGTCTTATGTAAGGTAAGTCATGGCTTCTGGATTTGTAATCGTTTTTTGGCCTTTTTAGTTGCTAGGGCGAAAAAATTTTGTACACTTAAATATATAGATAATGCATAGGGATATCGATTATATAAATATGACAGGAACACTTAATGTATTATGTGCATACAGTTGACCCTTGAGCAACATGGATTTGAACTGCACAGATCCACTTATACATGGATTTTTTTTCAATAAATATATTGGAAAATTTTTTGGAGATTCACAATGATTTAAAAAAAAAAAACACTTGGCCGGGCGTGGTGGCTCACGCCTGTAATCCCAGCACTCTGGGGGGCCGAGGCAGGTGGATCACGAGGTCAGGAGATCGAGACCATCCTGGCTAACATGGTGAAACCCCATCTCTACTAAAAATACAAAAAAATTAGGTGTGGTGGCACACGCCTGTGGTCCCAGCTACTTGGGAGGCTGAGGCAGGAGAATGGCGTGAACCTGGGAGGCGGAGCTTGCAGTGAGCCGAGATCACACCACTGCACTCCAGCCTGGGCAACAGAGCAAAACTCCGTCTCAAAAAAAAAAAAAACTTGCAGACTGTGTAGTCTAGAAATATTGAAAAAATTAAGAAGTTTAGTACGTCATAATGCATAAAATGTGGATATTAGTCCATTGTATCATTACTGCCATAAGATATACACAAATCTATCATAGAAAGCTAACATGTATTGAAATTTATACACACAAACACAGATCATACATGATGCCATTTGCAGTTGAGAGAAATGTAAACAAAGATGCAGTAATAAATCATAACTGCCTAAAGTTAGCTGTAGTACATACTGTGCTACTGTAACAATTTTGTAGCTACCTCTTATCTTTATTGGTGTGAGCTCAAGTGTTGTATCTTTAAAATGTAATGCTAATCATCTCCATGTGAGCAGTGTGTCCCGGTAAATTGCATATCATAGTAAAAAGTTATGCCTTGTGGTTCTCTAGTATTTTTTTTATTGTATTTGGTGTAATACTGTAAACTTTGAGTAACACATTGCAAAGTACCACTAGTGATGCTGGAAGGGTTCCCAAGAAGCAGGAAAAAGTCATGACATTATAAGAAAAAGGTGTATTGCTTGATGTGTACTGTAGATTGAGCTCTGCAACTGTAGTTGCCCACCATTTCAGACATATACTTCATTTTGTGACATAAACATGGTATCAGTAAATACATTACTAATATTTTCTGTGCCTAACTTTATTGTAAGAATACAGTACATAATACAGCATAAGAATACAGTAAAATATATGTTAGTTATCAGTAAGGATTCTGGTCAGCAGTAGGCTGTTAATAGCTAAGTTTGCAGAGAGTCAAAAGTAATATTAACAAATGGATTTTTGACTGCACAGGGGCTGGCACCCCTATTCCTAGAGTTGTCTAAGAGTCAACTATAAAATTTATGTATCATCTAAATATGTGACTTAACATATTTTGTTATAAATAGGTATTATGTACAAATAGACTAAGCATAAAAATTATAAAGTATACAAAAATAGCCTTTTTAAAGATGAAGTACCTTATGACTTTATACTGACTTCTAACTGAAGTCTAAGACCTCATAGTTTTTTACTCAACCTCTTTTATATCTTCACCTTCTTTCCCCAACACTGAGAATCCTAGTCCCTTCTAAAGAACCACAATCTTGGATTTCTCCATTCCCCATCCTCCTTACAGTTCTCTTCCACAAAATTCTATAAACGCTCAGCTTCATTATTTTCC
This sequence comes from Homo sapiens, assembly GCF_000001405.40. Taxonomy (NCBI): domain Eukaryota; kingdom Metazoa; phylum Chordata; class Mammalia; order Primates; family Hominidae; genus Homo; species Homo sapiens. The sequence goes on from NC_000022.11 coordinate 27,936,978, forward strand.
ATAATTTAAAGGACCAGAATTTTTGTAGCTAAATTATTTATTTGTGTGCTTTGAGACATACTAACTTAAAATCATAGAAGTTTTAAAGCTGTAAAGGGTGTAGGAAATAATCGCTTTAGGTTTTCCCAACTTGGAAGAGCAGTGCCACTTAGAATAAATAGCCTGAGGGATCTTAGCAAGCTGGAGTGAAGGCAGAGAGATCAGCTGTAATGTTTTACATCCATGCATTTAGGTTTTCTTTTTTTCATTCAGGAAACATTTATAGAAGCCCTCGTGTATTCTAGGTGCTGATGACACTTTAATCCACAAAGGATGCAGATCACTCAGTATGTGTTGAAGGAAATTTTTATTTATTTTTGAAATGGATGTTGAATTTTCCACATCTCATATTTTATGGTAGAATGTGGCAGTATTGTGAGATTCAGGTAGTACTTTACAAAGAGGGACAAGTGATGCTTAGAGAATAGAAGCTTGAGATGGTTTTTTATTTTTATTTTTCCTGGAGGACTATGCTGAGATGAATAACCTCCGTGATCTTGTGGCTGTATGGTTGATGCTGCTTCTGTGGCTAGATCTAGGTCAGGCTTACCTGGACTGGACTCAAAGACCATGTCATTTTTGTTGTATGTACACATCTTTTAAAGACTGGTGATCATCCTCATATATGCATCTGTACCAGCTCCCCCTCTTGGCTATGTCTATTAATACCCACATGTTACACAGTACTGGGAAGAATATTGGCTTTGGAGCCAGGAAAACTGGCTGCACCATTTATAGTATCTGAGACCTATCTTTGATATAGTAATAATATATACTTTAAAGATTAAATTATTTAAAGCATATTCCCATTACCTTGGGAGGCCAAGGCGGGTGGATCACTTGAGGGCAGGAGTTTGAGACTAGCCTAGTCAACATGGTGAAACCCCATCTCTACTAAAAAATGCAAACAAAATTAGCCAGGTGTGGTGGCACATGCCTGTAGTCCCAGCTACTTGGGAGGCTGAGGCACGAGAAATTGCTTGAACCCGGGAGGCAGAGATTGCAGTGAGCCTAGATAATGCCACTGCACTCCAGCCTGGGTGACAGAGTGAGACCTTGTCTCAAAAAAAAAAAAAAAAACCGCACATATAGCATATATAGGCACCATACAAAAGCTAGTTTTCTACTCATTGTCTTATGTTCCATATCTTTTTATTTATTTATTTTTTTTTTTGGAGACAGGGTCACTGCAACAGGGTCACTGAATCCCAGGTTCAAGCGATTCTCCTGCCTCAGCCTCCCAGGTAGCTGAGACTACAGATGTGTGCCACCACACCAAGCTAATTTTTGTGTTTTTAGTAGAGATGGGGTTTCACCATGTTGGCCAGGCCAGTCTCAAACTCCTGGCCTTAGGTGATCTGCCGGCCTCGGCCTCCCAAAGTGCTAGGATTAGAGGTGTGAGCCACCATGTCTGGTGTATTTTCCATATCTGAAGAGATGTTAATTACTCCCACTTCCTCTTCCCTCTAACTAGGATTTTCTTTGTTGAGTTTCTCATATACCTTTCTTTTCTGTTTGCATGGATACCATCTAATCCATTTCACCCTAATCCTTAATCTCATGAATGAACTGTTGTCATATATTGCAGTAGTAGAGATGAGTGTTTGTTCTGTCTCTTTTTATTCACATTTAAGAATTCTGGCCCCACACAGTGGCTCATGCCTGTAATTCCAACACTTTGGGAGGCCACGGTGGAAGAGTTGCTTGAAGCCAGGACTTCAAGGCCAGCCTGGCCAACATAGTGAGACCCTGTCTCTACAAAAAATAAGAATAAAATTAGCTGGTCATGGTAGCACACACCTGTAATCCAGCTACTGAAGAGGTTGAGGCAGGAGGGTCACGTTTGCCCAGGAGTAGGAGACTGCAGTGAGCAATGATCGCACCACTGCACTCCAGGCCAGGTGACAGAGCAAGACCCTGTTTTGGGGGTGGGGAGGAGGAAGTACTTCTGACATAAGAGGTAAAAGACTAATATAATGAACATCTGTATGCATTATAGCTAAGAAATAAAACATTTCCAGTAAAAGTGAAGCCCCCATGCTTACCTACCTGATTGCATCTCTCTCTCCCATTTCCTTCCCCCTCCTGCAAGTTTCACAATCCTGAATTATTTTAGATTAAGCTATCATTTCAAAATTAATACATGTCCCTGGCTGGGCGTGGTGGCTCACACCTGTAATCCCAGTACTTTGGGAGGCCAAGGCAGGCAGATTGCTTGAGGCCAGGAGTTTGAGACCTCCCTGGCCAAAATGGCGAAACCCCATCTCTACTAAAAATATAAAAATTAGCCAGGCATCATGGTGCGTGCCTGTAATCCCAGCTACTTGGGAGGCTGAGGCCCAAGAGTCATTTGAACCCAGGAGGCAGAGGGTGCAGTGAGCCGAGATCACGCCACTGCACTCCAGCCTGGGTGACAGAGCAAGACTCTCAAAAGCAAACAAAAGTAACACATGTCTCTGTCCTGAGGTCATAAAGATATTCCATATTCTAAAAGTTTTAAGTTTCACATTTTATATTTGGGTCTTTATCTGGATTTACTTTTTGTGTTTTTTCCCCCACACATATAACAAATAGTCTTAGCACTACTTATTGAACAGTCTATCCTCTGACATAATATACTAACTTGACATATATCAATTTTTTCCAGGTTCTCTGTGATATTTTTATAAATATTCCTATTTTTGAAAAAATCTGTTTTCTCTCATTTTTGAATGCAGTACTCCATCTATAACTGCTAGGTCAAGTTTATTGTGTTTGAATACTCTACCTTCTTAGTGATTTTGTGTGTGTATATACTTGATACAACAGTAACTGAAAGAGATGTGTTAAAATTTCTCAGTACAGTGACTCATGTGGTTTTTATTCTTGTTCTATTTTTTTGCCATATATTTTCAAGACTGTGCTATTAGTGTGTAAAAAGTAGAACTTTCATATGTTTCAGGTTAATTGATCTTAGATGCCATGCCTCTCAAGATATGTTTTTGTCTTATGTCTGATATTCAGGGAGCTGTACCAAGTTATTTTGGGTCAGAATTCTCCTGGGATATCTTTTTTCTTCGCCTTTTTAAACTCGTTTATTATAAAAACAATGTTACCATATGCAAAACTAGAAGAGTGTAATGAATTCCCGTGTGTCCATCATCTATCTTTAACAGGTATGAATTTGGCATTCTCATTTATTCTCCCTCCTAGTTTATTTCTTCTGGGGGGTATTTTAACGCAAATTCAAAACATCATATAATTTCTTCTATAGGTATTACTAACTTTCAACTTTACCTTATGTTCTAAGTGTGGCTCCTGTTAACAGGTTATAGGCAGATTGTATGGTTAACATTGACTTTCTAGGCTTTTTTAATACATTCTGATATTCTTTTAATTGATTGTCTTTCATTTATTGTGGGCTTATTTCTACAATTAATACATGCAGTATTGTAGAAATTGTAGAAATGTAATACAAGTTTATATTCACTCCACATATTCCTTTTGTTCCCCCGTGTTATCTTTTTGGTTTAAGAGTTCTTCCCCCACCCCACTTACTCAGTTTTGCTTATCTATTTTGTTAGAATTCATATGCTTTTGTGTATTTTTTTCAATTATTATACTAGTTTTAGCAGCCAGCCAGTCTGTCTGTCTTTCTCTCTTTCTTTCTCTTTCTCTCTCTCTTTCTTTTCCTCTCCTTTCCTTTTTTTTTTTTTTTTTTTTTGAGACAGGGTCTCACTCTGTCACCCAGGCTGGAGTGCAGTGGCACAATCATGGCTCACTGCAGCCTCAACCTCCTGGGCTCAGGTGATCCTCCCACTTCAGCTTCCCTCGTAGCCAGGACTACAGTCGGGCACCACCATGCCCAGCTAATTTTTCATTTTTTTTGGTTTGTTTTGTTTTTCATAGAGATGGGGTTTGACATGTTGCCCAGGCTGGTCTCAAACTCCTGAGCTTAAGTAATTTGCCTACCTCAGCCTCCCAAAGTGCTGGAATTACAGGCATGAGCCCCCACATCCGGCCTACAAATTTTTGTTGAGATGGGGTCTCACTATGTTACCTAGGCTGGTCTCAAACTGCTGACCTCAAGTGATACTCCCATCTCAGCCTCCCAAAGCGCTGGGATTACAGACTAAAGCCACCACACCTGGCCTTCTTTTTGTAATTTTTAGAGTTGGGGTATCTGTTTGTCACCCAGGTTGAAGTGCAGTGGCCTCCTGAGTAGCTGGGACTATAGGCATGCACCACCATGCCTGGCTAATTTTTTATTTTTATTTTATTTTTTAGAGATGGGATCTCTCTATGTTGCCCTGTCTGGTCTTAAACTCCTGGCTTCAAGCAGTTCTCCCTCCTTGGCTTCCCAAAGCAGTAAGATTACAGGCATGAGCCACCACACCTGACCACATGCATGCTTAGTCTAAAAAACATTATTTTTACCCTCCTCATGAACAATGCAAAGACCTTAGAATGCTCTAACCTTGAACAACAATTTGAACAATATACTGGACTATATATTGGCCCCATCCTGTTTTTCTCTTAGAAATCAGGCATCTCTGTATCAGAGATGTTGTATCATACAACAAATTAGACATTTATTTTCTGTTTTATACAATAAATATTTAGATTTGCTTACCATTCCCTTTTACATCTCAGCCCTTACATCTTAGTTAATTTTATTTGAAATTTGTATTCAAAAGTTTAATGGGTTTAAACTTTTGAGTTTGCACCAAAGGCTTTTGGTGGTAAATTATGGGATCTTTTTGTCTGAAAATGTCTCTATTTTGTCCTTATTCTTACAAAAGTGCTTTGATACAGAATTCTAAGTTGAGATTTGTTTTCTCTTGGCATGTTTAAGATACCGTTGTCCTGTCTTCTGGCTCTCATTGAAATAATCTAATACCTAGTCCTTTGTAGGCAATACAATCTTCTCTCTCTAGTTTTTACAGAAATATAACATGCATACAGAAAAGCACAAAAATTATATGCTTGGTACATTTCCAATAGTAAAAGCACTCATGTAATCATACCTCGATAAATAAATAAAGCATTATCAGAACCCCAGATCTACTTCTTTTAGGCCTTCCCAGTATTTACCACCCAAAGTTAATCAGTGTTTTATCTTATTACATGGTAGATTGGTTTTTCCTTATTTTACACTCTTACATAAATGGAATGTTAAGGTAAACATTTAACAACTGGCTTTTTTCTGCTCAGCACTACATGAGATTCATCTGCAATAGTTTATTCATTCTCATCGCTATCGAGCATCCCATTATTGGAATATACTACTATTCCATGTGGTACTATCACCATGAGGCGTGGTGGCCTGACCTCAAATGACTTCTTTTTTTTTTTTCTTTCCAAGAGGGAGTTTCGTTCTTGTTGCCCAGACTGCAGTGCAATGGCGTGATCTCGGCTCACCGCAACCTCTGCCTCCCAGATTCAAGCAATTCTCCTGCCTCAGCCTCCCGAGTAGCTGGGATTATAGGCATGCACCACCCGCCTGGCTAATTTTGTATTTTTAGTAGTGACGGAGTTTCTCCATGTTGGTCAGGCTGATCTTGAACTCCTGACCTCAGGTGATCCACCTGCCTCGGCCTCCCAAAGTGTTGGGATTACAGGCATGAGCCGCCACCACGCTTCGCTTTTTTTTTTTTTTTGAGATGGAGTCTTGCTCCGTCACGCAGGCTGGAGTGCGGTGGCACGATCTTGGCTCACTGCAACCTCCTCCTCCCGAGTTCAAGGCATTCTCCTGCCTTAGCTGCCCGAGTAGCTGGGATAACGTGCACACCACCATGCCCGGCTAGCTTTTTTGTATTTTTAGTAGTGACGGAGTTTCTCCATGTTGGTCAGGCTGATCTTGAACTCCTGACCTCAGGTGATCCACCTGCCTCGGCCTCCCAAAGTGTTGGGATTACAGGCATGAGCCGCCACCACGCTTGGCTTTTTTTTTTTTTTTTTTTTTTTTTGAGATGGAGTCTTGCTCCGTCACGCAGGCTGGAGTGCAGTGGCACGATCTTGGCTCACTGCAACCTCCTCCTCCCGAGTTCAAGGCATTCTCCTGCCTTAGCTGCCCGAATAGTTGGGATAACGTGCACACCACCATGCCCGGCTAGCTTTTTTGTATTTTTAGTAGAGACGGGGTTTGAAATGTTGGCCAGGCTGGTCTCAAACTCCTGACTTCAGGTAATCCCACCCACCTCAGCCTCCCAAAGTGCTGGGATTACAGGTGTGAGCCACTGTGTCAGGCCTTAGATGACTTTTAACAGTAAAGTGTTATCCCATCACTTTCGGAGGCCTAGGCTGGCGGATTGCTTGAGCCCAGGAGTTTGAGACCTGCTTGGACAACATGGCGAGAACTCATCTCTACAAAAAATTTAAAAATTAGCCAGGTGTGGTGGCATGCCTCTGTAGTCCCAGCTACTCAGGAGGCTGAAGCAGAAGGATTGCTTGAGCCCAGGAGGTCAAGTCTGCAGTGAGCTATGTTTGTACCAGTGCACTCCAGCCTGGGCAACAGAGCAAGACCCTGTCTCAAAAAAATAAAAATAAAAGTCATTTGAGTTGTTTCCAGTTTTTGACTATTACAAATCGTGCTATTTGTCTTTTATTGGCATTTGTGCTCATTTCTCTTGTATATACCTAGATATGAAATTGCTGGTAATAAGAAACTGCCAAATAGTTTTCAAAAGTGGTTGTGTCATTTTATGCTCCTACTAGAAATGTATGAGAGTTCTGTTTACTCCATAAAAACTCATCAACTTTGCTGCTCTCAATCTTACCAGCTTTAACCATTTTGCTTGATGGGTAATGGTATCTCATTGTGGTTTTAATTTAAATTTCTCTGATGACTAATGTGCTTGTTGGCCATTCATATATCTTCATATGTGCAAATCTCTCATTTTTAAAATTGGGTTATTTGTCTTCTTGAATTGAGCTATAAGAGTTTTTTTAAAAAATATATTCTGGAGGCTAGGCGCGGTGGCTCATGCCTGTAATCCCAGCACTTTGGGAGGCCGAGGCGGGCGGATCACGAGGTCAGGAGATCGAGACTATCCTGGCTAACGCGGTGAAACACCGTCTCTACTAAAAACACAAAAAATTAGCCGGGTGTAGTGGCGGGCGCCTGTAGTCCCAGCTACTGGGGAGGCTGAGGCAGGAGAATGGCATGAATCCGGGAAGCAGAGCTTGCAGTGAGCCGAGATTGTGCCACTGCACTCCAGCCTGGGTTACGGAGCAAGACTCCGTCTCAAAAAAAAAAAAAATATATATATATATATATATTCTGGATATGAGTTTATTGTTAGATATATGTTTACTTAATGGTGTTTTTTAAAGAAAAAAATTTAGTTTTGATTAATTCCAGTTTATCAGTTTTTTAGATCTTATTAGATCTAGTTATAGTTCATGTCTTTTGTCTTCTAAGAAATCTTTTCCTACCTCAGAGTTGCAAGGATTTTTCTCTTACGTTTTCTTCTAGAAGTTTTGTAGTTTACTTGTTTTATTTAGATCTTCAATCCCTTTCAAGTTAATTTTTATCTGTGATCTGAGGTAAAGGATGTGGTCATTTTGTTTTGTATAGGCATATTCAGTTGTTTAGTGGAATATATATATATATTCTTAAACCAAGAAGACAGCTTTGCTTACTCTAAGTTTATAGTAAGTCTTGGCCAGGTGCAGTCACTCAGGCCTGTAATCTCAGCACTTTGGGAGCCCGAGGCATGATGATTGCTTAAGCCCAGGAGCTCAAGACCAGCCTGGGCAACGTAGGGAGACCCTATCTCTGTGAAAAATAAAATGATTAGCTGGGTGTGATGGCACACACCTGTGATCCCAGGTACTCCGGAGGCTGAGATGGGAGGATTGCTTGAGCCTGGGAGGTCAAAGCTGCAGTGAACCATGATCCTGTCACTGCACTTCAGCCTGGGCGACAGAGCGAGACCCTCTGGGGTTGGCAGGGGGTGGTAGGGGGAGAGTTTATAATAAGTCTTGAAATCAGTCCTCTCTTTTGGTTATTTTTCAAAATTATTTGGCTGTCCATTTTTATATACATTTTAGAGCTTGTTAATTTCCACAAAACAATCCTGCTGGACTTTTGAGTGGGATTGCATTGAATCTGTTAATTAATTTGGGGGGAATTGACCTCTTCACAATATTGAGATTTCCGATCCACTAACATATCTCCAATTGTCAAGTCTTCTTTGATATCTCTTGGCAGTGTTTTATACTTTTTATTATAAAGGTCTGAAACATATTTGTTCCTAGCATTTTATGATTTTGGATGCTATCGTAAGTGATATTTTATTTCAATTTCCAATTGTTATTACAATATACACATTTATGATTGCTACATCTTCCTCATGCATTGAACCTGTTATGAAATGTTTTTATCTCTGGTAACATTTTTTGTCTGAGGTCTTCATTATCTGATTTTAATATAGCTACTTCATTCATCTCGTTCACACTTTTGTTCTTTTGAATAGTAACCTTTCTGTTCATTTACATCCTGTCCTTATTTAAAGAGCATCTCTCACAGACATCATCTTGATGGATAGGGTCTTTCTTTTTTTTTTTTTTTTTTTTGAGTTGGAGTCTGTGTCACCCAGGCTGGAATGCAGTGGCACAGTTATATAGCTCACTATAAGCCTCCCACTCCTGGTCTCAAGCAATCCTCCCACCTCAGCCTCTTGAATAGCTGGGACTACAGGCACAAGCCACCACATCCAGCTAGTATTTTTACTTTTTACTTTTTTTTTTTTTGTAAAGATGGAGTCTCACTATGCTGCCCAGGCTGGTCTCAAACTCCTGGCCTCAAGCAATCCTCCCATCTAGGTCTCCCAAAGTATTGGGATTACGGGCATGAGCCACCATGCCCAGCCTTTTTTAAAAATAAAAATTGATTCTGACAAATATCCGCCTTTTGGAGTGTTTAGTCCACTAACAGTTTATGGAATTATTGGTACAGTTTTATTTAGTTGCTTTTTTGGTCATCATTGTTTATCTCCTTTGTTTTTTGTTCTTCTGCTTTTCTGTTTCTGCTTGTTATTCTTCTGTGTTTTTTAAAGTGGTTGCTCTAGGAATTAAGATGTATGAACTTATTCATAATCTACTTAGACTTAAGATGTATGTATCACAGCACATGAAATATAAGAAACTTTTAGCCATACAGGCCCATTTATTCCATTCCCCTGTCCTTAATGGAATAATAGACCTAGAAATGTGCTCAACCCCCATTATACAATGTTATAACTTTTGCTTTTATAGTCATAAGTATGCTAATGAAATTAGTGGGAAGTAATAATGTTTTATATTTATCCTTGTATTTACCATTTATTGTCCTCTTCATTTCTTTGTGAAGTTCTGTGTTTCTATCTAGTATCCTCTGCTTTCTGCTTAAAGACCTTCATTTAGCATTTCTCTTTTTTTTTTTTTTTTTATTTTTGAGACAGGGTCTCGCTCAGTCACCAGGCTGGAGTGCAGTGACATGATCTTGGCTCACTGCAACCTCCACCTCCCAGGTTCAAGCGATTCTCCAGCCTCAGCCTCCCAAGTAGCTGGGACTACAGGCGCATGCCACCACACCCAGCTAATTTTTGTATTTTTAGCAGAGATGGGGTTTCACCATGTTGGTGAGGATGGTCTCGATCTCTTGACCTCGTGATCCACCTGCCTCGGCCTCCCAAAGTGCTGGGATTACAGCGGTGAGCCACTGCGCCCAGCCTCCTTTAACATTTCTTGTAATGCAGGTCTACTGACAATAAATTTTCTTGGTTTTCTTTTATTTGAAAATATCTTTATTTTACCTTAACTCTTGGAGAATATTTTTACTGGATGTAAAATTCTGGTTTAATTTTTTAAATTCCCATAGAACTTTAAAGATGTTTCATTGTCTTCTGGCTTTTATTGTTTCTGATAAAAATCTGAAGACATTTTGAATCATCCATTCTTCCCCGTATGTTAGAGAGAGAGAGCGTGTGTGTGTGTGTGTGTGTGTGTGTGTGTGTGTGTGTGTGTGTGTGTGTGTGTTTCCTCCAGCTGCTTTAAGGATTGTTCTCTTTAATTCTTGCTTTATCACCTTGGTCCAGGCATATGATGTGCCCAGGCAAAGTTTTCTTTATATTTATCTTTCTTGGGGTTCACTGAGCTTACAAGTTTATGTTGTTCACCATTCTCAGTCAGTTTTTGGCCATTATTCATTTCTTCAAATATTTTTTTCTACTGCCCTTTCTCTTCTCTTTCTGGAACTCCAGATTTGTGACACTTTTTGTTTTTGTTTTTGTTTTGTTTATAGTTGCATCAAGTCCCTGAGGCTCTGTTCATCTTTTGATGTATTTTTTTCTTTCTGAAGTTGGCTAATTTCTATTGCTCTCTCTTCTTGTTCACATATTGTCTATCTTCAAACTGCACTAAACCAACCCAGTGGTTTTTTATTCAGATATTATAATTCTCTAATCTGAAATGTCCATTTAGTCTTTTTATATAGTGCATATTTCTCTGCTGAGATTTTTAAATCTTTTCCTTCCTCATAAGTATGTTCTCTTTTATGTCCTTGAACATAGTTGTATTAGCTGCTTAAATTCCTTGTATGTTAATTTCAACATCTGGGGTCCTCCCAGGGTAAGTATCCATTCAAAGTTTCTTGAGCATGGCTCACACTTCCCTGTTATCTATTTATGTGGCATACTTTTGGATTGTATCCTAGATACTCTGAATGAAGCATTGTAAAGACTTTAGATTGTGTTATCTTCTTCCTAAGAGTACTGATACTTTTCCGTTTTAAAAAAATTAAGTCGGCAGGGCATGGTGGCTCACGCCTGTAATCCCAACACTTTGTGAGGCCGAGGTGGGTGGATCACCTGAGATCGTGAGTTCGAGACCAGCCGTCTCTACTAAAAACACAAAATTAGCCGGGCATGGTGGCACATACCTGTAATCCCAGCTACTTGAAAGGCTGACGAAGGAGGGTTGCTTGAACCTGGGAGGCAGAGGTTGTGGTGAGCCGAGATGGCGCCATTGCACTCCAGCCTGGGCAACAAGAGCGAAACTCTGTCTCAAAAAAAAAATTAAGTCATTAGGTTGGAGGAACTGGAACCTCTTATTTCCTCTATGGTAGGCAGCAGCTGAAACTTTAGTTCAGTTCATTTAGCCTTACCTAGGCTACTTGGAGACAGCCCTTCAGTGTTTACAAATACAATTTGGGAATACTCCACTCTGACTCTTACCTTAATAGCATTTTCCTCCTAACTAGCTACTGTGTTTGCCCTGAAATCTGTCCTCTGGGACAAGAAAGTCAAACTATGGATTTTAAAACTGAGTTTTAACATCTATGCATGGCATGGATTGGAGTCTGCCCAAAGAAGAAAATGGAATTTATTCCAGTGCTCGACTCCGCCCCCTCTCCTGCAAAATCTTCCTCCTTTGATTGCTCTCCAGTGCCTTTAGGTAGTTTTGGTTTTTGTTTTTCGTTTTTTGTTTTCCTATTTCATTAAGGGTTTATAGTTGTTATTTGTGGAATTATTATTCTGATAGTGGCTACTCAGCCACGATTAGAAGCAAAGTCACTTGGTTCTTTTTGATGCATGCAGTTTTATAGATACTCATATGAGGACAGTGGTCCTCACAGGTCCCTATTTGAACATGTGAATTACATGACAGGTAGCAGTAACATTAGCCATGACTACCCCGGGCTTTGGCTGTTAGATTTGGCTGTAGTAACTGGATCAGGAACCCTGTATTAGAGTTAGTTAGATCAAGTCAAGGTATTCCTCCAAACTGTGTGATGCAAACACTGCAAATATAGAGTGCCAGTACGTTTCAACAAGTCTTAGGTTTCATATCCATGTAGAGCTGAATACCAGAAAAGCCCATTTCATGTGGTCAGTAAATGTTAAATCATTTATGATAAACAGCTTTAGTCCTTGTAAATGATTTTAAAATAATATATAGTTTAGAGTAGTGATGGATTTGGGTGTGCCCAAGGAAAAGAAAATTGCCTACAATATTAGGAAGTTCAAAATACATAACCATCTGTGACTTGATGGAGGGGGGTGTAACATAAAGATGTATGATGCTATTTGTAAAACTAATTTCTCTTTCCATTTAATCTCTTGTTGCCTAAGAAAATGCATCTAGTAATTAAGATACCATTTTGGTCTTGCTTGTAAATGCTGTTGCCTTCATTAAATTTCACACTTGTGAAAAGGAGCTATTAAGAGACAGCCTAAGGTAACACTTTTGAATAGCTAACTTTGTTAAAAATACGTTTTCCAAATTTCTTGCAATAAAATGTAATTGCATTTTCTGTTTTCACTTGTGTAGAGTCTTCTCACATATTATCTGTTAGAGATAAGACTTGGTGCTAGAGGGAATATTTTGGCAAACTGGAGTAGTACAGTGACTTTTAAGTTCTTTCCTTGCCATTCATAATAAATAAAGTTTTCTGGTTTCTCTGCTAGTTTTTCTTAACATTCACTTCTCATAAGCTTAAGGAGTAGCACTGAGAGGTTCCAGGATATATGCTATTTTGAAACAGTGTCAAAAATTTGAAAGATTTGTCATTAAGTTACGCAAAGTGGTTAGGAGGCAGTCAATAAATAATCATTAAGCCTGTATTGCAACACCAGTGTACCTTGATAGCACAGCTACTACGTTAAACAAAAAACAGGGTGGGGGAAGAGGAAAAAACTATGTAATCTTTTGTCATTGGTTATACAAAATCATAGCCAATGAAAATATGTTCTATTTTACAAAACTGGATACATAGTAAAGGTGTTGCTATTGTATACATGAACAATGAACTTATGACATGTATTCTTTATCCTTTCACGTGTTTTAATATTTTCCATTGGATTTCTACGTCTTTATTTCTGTGACTGGTCTATAGCAAGACTAATATTAATAGATGAAAATGTTTTGAGGTTGATTGTATAACCTTTAAGCTTCCCGCATCAGTTTACCTTAAGACAGATCTTAATTCACATATCCTTATTAGTAGCTTAGTCATATATAAGAAACATTGAGTGCTCTTTTCCACTAATTTTAAGTCCCTTTCATGTATTTTCAAAGTGACAGTATTAACATGCTTGCTTCTAAAGTTCTTTTTCCAGATACTGATGTAAAGGTTCTCCTCTATCCTACATTAATTTTAACCTCAAAAGATCACCTTGAAGAAAAAATTTCTAGTTTTATCATTTAGGTTTATTTTAGCCTTTGCCTCTTCCTAAAATTATTAATAGAATGTAGTTAGTGTGACTGAATTTTGTGATATGAATACTTTCTACAGAGAATAAGACCAAATCTCTAAATTTGCTTTGAACTGAAATGTAAAATGCTTTTGAATCCAACAATTTTTAACCTAGTTTGAGATCAAACTACTATAGATTGTGCAATTGAAAGTATGTTTTCTTCAAATGAATACACAAAAATCTATAACCTACATGTATATATAGTGAGTACCTAGAAGATACAATTTCAGTTAGAATAAACTCAAGAGCTCTGTTGTACAACATGGTAGCTGTAGTTTAAAACAATGTATACTTGAATATTGCTAAAATAGTAGATTTTACTCACCAAAAATAAATGATAAGTATGTAAGTTAAGTACTAAATAAATAAATTATCATTTTTAATACTAATAGAAGGAAATACCTAGGAATGGAGTTAATGCACGTACTTTAAAGTTATATAAAAATAACCTTGTACCATTCCTGAAAAATACATAAATGTAGACTTGAACAAATGGAAAGATAGTGTTCTTGAAAAGGATGTTTCGTTACCACAAAAAATGTCATTTTCTCCCCATGTTAAAAAATAAACATAGTCCCAGTAAAAATACCACCTTTTTTTTCCAGGAGATAGAAAGCTTAATTATAAAGGCATGTATAAATAAGGAAGAATAACCAAGAAATCACTGAAAAACAACAATAATGGGTGAAGTGTGGCTAGCCCTAGCAGATGTTAAGACATACTATAAAAGCCTCCACAACTAGAAGAGAGTAATGTCACATTACAGACAAATCAACAAAACGGAATAGAAATTCCAAAAATTAACCACATACTAATGGAAATTTGGCATATAGATATGGCCATCTCAAATCACTGGAGGAAAATGGACTTTTAATAAGTAGTATTGAGATCACTGAATAGCAATTTGAAAAAAGATTGAACGTAAACCTCATATTGTATGCCAAAATAAATTCAAGGAGGTCAGAGAGATAATATAAAAAATGAAACCATATAAGAACTAGAAGGAAAAAAATGGGAGAATCCTTTATAGCCAAGGAGTGTCAAAAACCTTAAAAAAACACATATCATTTATTTGCGGTGGGAACACTTAAAATCTCTTTTAGCAATATTCAAGTATACATTGTTATTAACTACATTCAGCATGTTGCACACTAGATCTCTTGAATTTATTCTTTCTAACTGAAATTTTGTATCACTTGACCAGCATCTCCCCAGTCCACACCTCCAGCCCCTGATAATCTTACTCTCTGCTTTTATGAGTTTAACTTTTTTTAATTCCACATATTGGTAATATCATGCAGTATTTGTCTTTTTCTGCCTAGCTTATTCCACTGACGTTGTCACATAAATGGCTGAATAATATTCTTTTGTGTATATATACCACATTTTCTCTATCCATTTTTGTCTATTGATAGACACTTAGGTTGATTCCGTATCTTGGCTGTTGTGAATAGTGATACAATGAGCATGGGAGTGCAGATGACTCTTTGACATACTGATTTCACTTCCTTGGGATGTATACCCAGTAATAGGATTGCTAGATCATATGGTAGCTCCATTTTTAATTTTTTTGTGGAACCTCTGTACTGTTTTCCATAAAGGCTGTACTAATTTACATTCCTGCCAGCAGTATGCAAGGGTTCCCCTTTCTCCACATCCTCTCCAGCACTTATTGTTCATCTTTTAAGTAATAGCCATTCTAACAGGTGTGAGGTAATGGCTCATTGCAGTTTTAATTTGTTTTTCCCTGATGATTAATAATGCTGAGCATTTTTTAATATACCTGTTAGCCATTTGTATGTCTTCTTTTGAGAAATGTTTTTTATTCAGGTCCTTTGCCCATTTTTTTAAAAGACAGGATCTCTCTCTGTCACTTGGGCTGGAGCGCAGTGGTGTGATCACAGCTCACTGCAACCTAAACCTCCCAGGCTCAAGTAATCCTCCTGCCTCAGGCTCCCAAGTAGCTGGGACCACAGGTCTGTACCAGGCCTGGCTTTTTAAAAAATGTTTTGTAGTCTTGCTATGTTGCCCATGCTGTTGTTGAACTCCTGGCTCAATCAGTCCTCTCATCTCAACTTCCCAAAGTGCTAGGATTACAGGCATGAATGTGAGTCACTGTGCCTGGCCTTTTGCCCATTTTTAAATTGGGTTGTTTTCTTGCTATTGAGTTCTTTATATACTTTTTGATATTAACTCCTTGTCAGATGTATGGTTTGCACACGTTTTCTCGTATAGCTTGTCTCTTCACTCTGCTGATTGTTTCATTTGCTGTGCAGAAGTTATTTAGTTTAATGTAACCCCACTTGTTTATTTTTGCTTTTGTTGCCTGTGCTTTTGAGGTCCTATCTAAAAACCCATTGCCCAGATCAAAAGCCTTTCTAACTCTGACTCAATCTAACACATTAAAGAAAAGGTTAATGTGACTACACAAACATTAAAGAACATTTGTATCCAAATACTTTAAGGAGTAAACGTAAAGCATTTGCCATTTGTCTTTCTGTGCCTGACTTATTTGTGTCACAAGAAGATAATCTCAGTAACATACAATAACATACAATACTCTTAATCTCAGTAACGTGCAGTAACATACAAGGAGCTCTCACAATGTGAGGATAAAAACTCAGAAACTTGAACATTCAGTTCACAGAAAGAGACAAATGGCATTCGAACATATGAAAAATTGCTCAATCCCACTCATAAGGAAGTTCAAATTAAAGCTACACTATGATATCATGCAGTGAAATACTACTCAGCAATTGCTGATGCCAATATAATGTTATGTGAAAGATGACATTCTGAAAAAGGCAATAGGCCAGAAATCAGTGGTTGACAGGGACCAGAAATAGTGAGACAGGACATGAGGCAAATGGGTTGCTGAACATGTTCTGTGTCTTGGCTGTGGTGGTGGTTACTTGAATATGTGTTTACTGAAACTCGTTGGACTATACACCCCAAAAAGGTGAATGTATTGTATGTAAATTATACCTCAGTAAACCCGAGTTTTTTCTTTCTATCACTGTTTGATTGGAAATAAACCTAAATTTTAAAACAGTCAAAAGCCACACTATGATATTTCTTACATATAGCTTAGCAAAAATTGAAAAGTTCACGGCACTGTTGGAGATGCAGTGGAGAAAGAGGCTCTATCATACATTACTGGTAGATATACATCTGTTAGGGAGGTCTGTCCCTTTTGATATTAGTGGCAAATATTTTTCCCACTTTGTCAGTTGTGTTTTGAGTTTGCTTATGTGCAAAATGTCACAGTCTTTATCTAGAGGAATTTCACAATATCTAACAAAATTACAGATGCATTTATCCATTGGCCTATCTATTCTTTTTCTAGTCTATCCTACTTCTATTGCTGTCTATGTCCTACCTCATCCCACAAAAGAGACTACTATTGTTGTTGAGTATGCTATCAAGATTTTGTTTAATGCATATACATGCAAGTAGAAGTGAACATTCTTCCCCTTCCCCCTTTTACGCAGATGCCTGCTCTACACACCATTCCATGATTTGTTTCCTTCACTTCTGATATCTGAGAGATTTTTACATATCAGTACATGAAAATCAGCCTCTCTGTGGGTTTTCTTTCAGGGCAGTAGGGAGTTAAGATTTTTTTAAAATTAACGGTCTAGAGTATATTTCACTGAGTGCATAATTTTTTATGTAACTAACCTTATAGTGGATATAAGATTGTTTACTTTTTTTCTATTACAAACGATGCTGCAAGGCAGAATCATTATGTTTATTATCTCGTGTATGTATACTACATCTATAGGATACATTCTAAGAATTAGTATTGCCTAGTAAAATGGAAGGTACATGTGTAATTTTGAAGGGTATTGACAGATTGCCATCAACAGGGTTTGTAGCCATTTACACTGTTAACCGGTGATGTCTGAGAATGCCTATTTCCCCTCAGCATTGCCAACATCTTATCAAGATTTTAGATTTTGACCAAAATCTTATTTTAGTTTTAACCTTTGGTCAGTTCTATATACTAGGAAGATTTGTCCTTTGCGATATGAGTTGCAAATATTTTTCCCACTTTGTCATTTGTTATCGTTGAGTGTTTTATTTTTCTGTATTTTTTCTTTTGAGTTAGGGTCTCACTCTGTTGTGTAAGCTGGAGTGCAGTGACACGATCATAGCTTGTTGGAACCTCCACCTCCCAGGCTCAAGCCATCCTCCCACTTCAGCCTCCCAAGTAGCTGTAACTACAGGTGTACGCTACCAGACCCAGCTAATTTTTTAATTTTTTTGTAGAGATGAGGTCTCACCGTGTTGCCCAGGTTGGTCACGAACTCCTGGGCTCAGGGGATCCTCCTTCCTCGGCCTCCCAAAGTGCTGAGATTACAGGCACGTACCACTGTACCCAGCCTATTTTTATTTTTCTTATGTTAAATATCTTTTCTTGTATGGTTTGTGGATTTTGAGGTCAGTTAAAAAGGCCATTCCCAGCCTAAAGTTATTAAAGAACTTTGCTCCATTTCCTTCTAGTGTCTTTATTATTTTATTTTTACATTGAACTCTTGGTTCATATGGAATAGATTTTGATGTATAGTGTAAGATATAGATCCACCTTTATTATTGTTCTAAAGTAGTGAGTTGTCCAAATCCTAGAATAGTGATTTGATATACCATCTTTACCCTATATTAACTTTCTGTTTATCAGAATCTGTTTCTATTCTTTCATTTCATTGGTCTGCCTATTACGTGCTAGTACCAGCTTTCTTAATTGAGGCTTTTACTGTTTGGTATGACTAATCCCCCTGTTATAGTTATTTTTCCCCTTGAGAGTTTTTATAGATATTTCTACATTTTGTGTTTCCAAATGAACTTTAGAGTCACCCTATCTAGTTCAGCAACAATAAAACCTTCCAAAACAAAACTCAGTACTATCCAGAAGCTTATTATTATTATTATTTGAGACAGAGTCTCACTCTGTTGCCCAGGCTAGAGTACAGTGGCACGATCTCGGCTCACTGCAACCTCCACCTCCTGGATTCAAGTGATTCTCTTGCCTCAGCCTCCCAAGTAGCTGGGACTATAGGCGCATACCATCATGCCCGGCTAATTGTTTTGTATTTTTAGTAGAGATGAGGTTTCACCATGTTGGCCAGGCTGGTCTCAAACTCCTCACCTCAGGCGATTTGCCCACCTTGGCTTCCCAAAGTGCTAGGACTATAGGCGTGAGCCACCGTGCCTGACCTGGAAGCTTATTTTTTAAAATAAAACTACCTTAGATGTGTATATTAGCATCAGGAGAATTTATATTTTCTTCCCAAACAAGAGCATAGCATGCTGTAAACTTTCAATACTAGAATTTTGGCTTTGCATTTGAAAATTAAAATACTCAAAATAACATTAATTACTGCAGCATTAGTTTATAATGTCACAGTATCTGTAAAACCATTCACAATTATATTCACTAAATTGCTTTCAGCAATATGCCCCTCTTTGACCACAGTTATTTACTTCTCTGAGTCTCTCATACATTCTCGTGGAGCAAAGGTTATTTTCATAAACACTCTTAAGTGTTGGCCTGACATTATGATACAGTTTTTAACCTCCTACTCAGCATATTGTCTCCTTCTATGCTTTATCTCACCACTTGCTTAGGTCATATTGCAACAGATTAAACACAAATATTTTATGGGTATTTTGAAAATCCAAATGAATAGAAAAAGCAAGAATATAGCCAAATATAAGCAAATATTTTAATTAGTTTTTCTGTATGCTAGAAATATCAGTTTAGAAAATACAATGGGGAAAATATCCCTTTTAAATAACAACAAAACTATAAAATATCTAGGAATACATTTAATAAGAAATATACAAGGATCTATTTGAAAAACATAAAATTTTAATAAAGGAAATGAGAAACATTTGAATAAATTGGAGAGACATACTTGAATAAGAAGGCAGTATCATCAAACTTTCCTTAAATAACATTTATACTTAATGCAATTCCAACAAAAATAAAAACAGGACTATTTGGAAGTTTAAGAGTTTATTTCGAGGCCAAAGTGGGAAGATTGCTGAAGCCCAGGAGTTTGAGACCAGCCTGGGAAACGTAGTGAGACCCTATCTCTACAAAAAAAAATTAAAAAATTAGTTGGATATGGTAGTGCACACCTGTAGTCCCAGCTACACAGGAGGCTGAGGTGGGAGGATCGCTTATAAGTGGGGGAGTTGAGGCTGCAGTGAGCCATATTGTACCATTGCACTTCAGCTTAGGTGACAAGGCGAGACTCTGTCTCAAAAAAAAAAAAATTGAAATTTTAAAAAATTAAATAGGATTTTTAGCTTAACACATTTATTTTGAAGTTCATTAAGAAGGAAGAACTGGCCAGGCACGGTGGCTTATGCCTGTAATCCCACCACTTTGGGAGGCCAAGGCGGGTGGATCATGAGGTCAGGAGTTTAAGATGAGCCTGGCCAAGATGGTGAAACCTCGTCTCTACTAAAAATACAAAAATTACCTGGGCCTGCTGGCAGGTGCCTGTAATCCCAGCTACTCGGGAGGCTGAGGCAGGGAGTTGCTTGAACCCAGGAGGCAGAGGAGGTTGTAGTGAGCCGAGATGGTGCCACTACACCCCAGTCTGGGTGACAGAGTGAGACTCCATCTCAAAAAAAAAAAAAAAAAAAAAAAGAACCTTCAAAATCTTGAAGCAGCAGCATGAAGACTTGTCCTATAAGATATTAGAATGTACTATAAAACTGCAGTACTCAAAACTGTGTGGCAAGAACAGGTTTAATTTTTTTTTTTTTTTTTTTTTGGAGACAGAGTCTTGCTCTGTCACCCAGGCTGGAGTGCAGTGGCACGATCTCGGCTCACTGCAAGCTCTGCCTCCTGGGTTCACACCATTCTCCCGCCTCAGCCTCCCAAGTAGCTGGGACTACAGGCGCCTGCCACCACGCCCGGCTAATTTTTTGTATTTTTAGTAGAGACGGGGTTTCACCATGTTAGCCAGGATGGTCTCAATCTCCTGACCTCGTGATCTGCCCGCCTCAGCCTCCCAAAGTGCTGGGATTACAGGCATAAGCCACTGTGCCTGGCCCAGGTTTAATTTTTAAAAAGCAGAAGAAACCACTAAGGTACCAGAAGTAAATGTGTTTTGCTCCACCATTGTATTATAAAAATTTGCAAAAGTACAAAGAAATGAAACCTAAATGAATGGAAAGACATTCTACGTTCATGGATCAGAAGATTCATTATTGAGATGACAGTACTCTGTAAATTGATCTAAGATTCAATAGCAGAATTGCAGCTGGCTTCTTTTCACAAATTGACAAGCTATTCTTAAAATTCACATGGAAATTCAAAGGGCCCAGAATAGCCGAAACAATGTTGAGAAAGAACCTTGGGGGTCTCACACATCCTGATTTCAAAGCTTACTACAAAGTTATAGTAAGGAAGACAGGGTGATACTGGCATAAAGATAGACATATGGACCAATGGAGTTCAATTGAGAATCCAGAAATAAACCCATATATCTATAGTCAGTTGATTTTCAAAATGGGTGCCAAAACAAGGATGCAGAAGAATGAATTTGGGCACCCTACCTCACACCATATTCAAAAATTAACTAAAAATGGATTACAGACGATGTTAGCCAAAACTATAAAACTCTTAAAATGTAGGCATAAATCACTGTGACCTGGTGGTCACAATGTTGGTTTCTGAGATATGATACCAAAAGCACAAGCAACAGAAGAAAAACCGAATTGGACTTTATCTAATTAAAAACTCCTTTGCTTCAAAATAATCCATCAAGAAAATGAAAAGACAACCTACAGAGTGGGAGGAAAGATTTACGTTTGATAAGGGATTTGTATTTTTAATACTTAAACTCCCATAACTCAATAATAACCCAAATAAAATATGGGCAAAGGATCCAATATGGTTTGGCTGTGTCCCCACTTAAATCTCACCTTGAATTGTAATAATCCTGGCCAAGTGCAGTGGCTCACACCTGTAATTCCAGCACTTTGGGAGGCTGAGGTGGGCGGATCACTTGAGGCCAGGAGTTCGAGACCAGCTTGGCCAACATGGTGAAACTCCATCTCTACTAAAAATACAAAAAAGTAGCTGGTTGTGGTGGTGCATGCCTATAATCCCAGCTGCTCAGGAGGCTGAGATAGGAGAATCACTTGAACCCAGGAGGCGGAGATTGTAGTGAGCTGAGATCACCCCACTGTACTCCAGCCTGGGCAACAGAGCGAGACTCTGTCTCCAAAAAAAAAAAAAAATCATATCTCAATAGAGCTATTATTAAAAAATCAATTTGCATGAGTTGCTCTATTAATTAAAAAAAGTGACCATATTAGATACAGAAAAATCATTTGAGAAAATCTTTTCTTTTTTTTTTTTTTTGAGACGGAATCTCGCTTTGTCGCCCAGGCTGGAGTGCAGTGGCGCAATCTCAGCTCATGGCAATCTCCATCTTCTGGATTCAAGCGATTCTCCTGCCTCAGCCTCCCGAGTAGCTGGGATTACAGGCACCTGCCACCACGCCCGGCCAATTTTTTGTATTTTTAGTAGAGATGGGGTTTTACCATGTTAGCTAGGCTGGTCTCCATCTCCTGACCCCATGATCTGCCCACTTGGGCCTCCCACAGTGCTGGGATTACAGGCGTGAGCAATCGCGCCCAGCCTCGTTTGACAAAATCTAACTTTCATGTTTGATAAAAATTATTAGCAAACTAGAAATAGAAGGGAATTGCCTTAACATAATAGAGGCATCTTCAAAAACCCTGAAGCCAGCATGATACTTAATGGTGAAAGACTGAATGCTTTGCCCCTAAGATTGGGAACAAGACAGGATGATTTTCTCCTCATCATAGGTCATGATTTCATGTTTCTTTGCATGCCTGATTGCTTTTTGTTGGATGTTATACATAGTGAATTTTACCTTTTTGGGTGCTAGATATTTTTGTATTCCTAACACATTCTTGAGCTTGTTCTGGGACACATGTAAAATACTTGGAAACAGTTTCATTCTTTTGGGTCTTGTTTTTGAGATCTGTTCGGCAGGACTGAGCTTTTGTCAGCCTTGGGCTAATTACTGCCCACTACTGAGGCAAGACTGTTGTTTACTTCACCCAGTGCCTCATGGAACATGAGTCTGGCTGCTGGTGGGAACAGGCACTTTTCTTGCCCTTGTGTGAGTGCTGTGACATCTAATCCTTTCAGGTGGTTCTTCCCCAGGCCTCGGGTAGTTTCCTCATGTACATGTATAGATCACGAGTGACTCTGCTGACCTCTCAAGGTCTCTCTCCGGGCAGCTCCCTCCTCTCTGGCATTCTGCCCTTCATATAAGTCACTTAGTCCCCCTCACACTCTCATTCAGCTCTGTCTCCTCAACTCCGGGAATCCTCTGGACTCCAAAAGGTTTCCCTCCTGTGCCAGGTCTTGGAAACTATCCAGGCAGTAAGCTAGGGCAGTTGGAGAGCTCACTTCACATGTTTCCCATCTCTCAGGGTTACTGACCTTTGTTGCCTGATATACCTCAGGTCTTGAAAACTGTCGTTCCATGTATTTTGTGTGTTCTCTGAGTTCAGGCAAGACAGTAAATGTGGTCACTGTTACTCCACGTTGGCTGGAAGCACGTGATTTTTCTCTTTACAAATCTGACGAGGTAATTCAAAGGGGAAAAGCTGGTCTTTCCAACAGATGGTGGTAAAACAATTTGATATCCATATGCAAAGGAAGGAAGGAAAAGGAAAGAAAAGAGAACTTAGACCCTTACTTGGCACCATGCACTAAAATAAGTTTCAAAAGGATTATTCATAGGCCTAAATGTAAGAGCTAAAACTATACAACTTCAAGAAGAAAAAATAGGAGAAAGTTTTTCAGCTTTCTGTAAGGCAGTGATTCCTGAGAGAGGACCCCAAAGCACAATTCATAAAAGAAAAAAGTAGCAAATTAAACTTCATACCCAGCAATTCCACTCTTTGGTATATACCCAAAATGACTGAAAGAAGAGACTCAGATACTTTTACACCAATGTTCATAGCAGCGTTATTCATAATAGCCAAAGGTGGAAGTAGTCCAGATGTCCATCAACAGATGAATGGGTAAATAAAATGTGATCTATACATTATACAGTGGAATATTATTCATAAAAAGAAATAACATTCTGATAAATGCTGCAACTTGGAAGAACCTTGAGAACATTACGCTAGCGGAATAAGCCACAGTGGACAAATACTGTATAATTACGCTTCTATGAGGACGTGGAATAGGCAAATTCATAGAGACAGAAAGCAGACTACAAGTTACCAGGGGCCATTGAGGGAGTAATTGTTTCATGGTGTGTTCATTTCCTGGGCCTGCCATAACAAAGCACCACAAATGGGTGATTTAAAATCTAGAGATTTATTGTCTCACAGTTCTGGAGAGTAGAGATCCAAAATCAAGGTGACAAAAGGGCCATGGTCCTCTGAAACCTGCAGGGGAATTCTCTTTGCCTCTTCCTCACTTCTGGTAGTTGGCAGGTAATCTTGGGTGCAAATGCCAAAAATCTGACTTGCAGATGCATCACTGTAATCCTCCATCTTCCCGCGGGGTTCTCCCTGTGTGTCTTCCCTCTGAGTATGTCTGCGTCTGTGTCCGCGTCCAACTTTCCTTATGACGACACGAATCAGATCAGATTAGGGCCTACCTGCTGATCTCCATGTGACTGCATCTGCAAAGACTCTGTTTTAAGATCCTGAGGTACTAGGAGTTAGGACTTAAACATACCTTTTTGTGTGTGGGATGCACTTTAACCCATAACAAATAGGCACAGAGATTCTCTTTGGGATGATGAAAAAATTCTGGAAATTTGTGGTGGTAATGGTTGCATTACACTGTGTGCACTTAATGCCACTGAATTTTACACTTAATTATTTAAAAATTCACCACAGTAAAAAACAATGCCTGGAAAAATACTCAGCAAATGTTAAAAGTAGCTTTCTCTGGGTGGGGTGGGATTTCAAGTGATTTTCTTTCTTCTCTGTATGTTTATGTACTGTGTATAAATAGAAAATTTTTAAAATAGAGTTAATCCTGAAAAAGAGCATATACAAAAACCTATTTTTCTCTATTCAAAGTTCACCCTTTAGTGGAAAATTAAACCCAGTTACATGACCTCTAGTTTGATAAGATAGCGGCTCAGTGAGAGTTTTCCTGCCCCGAAAATGTTTGTTTTTGTTTCTCTATTTTAAGGAGTCTGGATATTTGTAATTCAAAACTCTGTACGTTTAAAAACAATCTCTTTTTCAAAATAAGAAACAATTTTCTTTTAGGTGTTTGTAGGGGTTGCCAATTCGTGGGCCAGTGCACTATGTTAAAAAAACAAACCTAGAGATTATTGTAAAATTCAGCTCTCATTCTTTACATTTAGGAAAAACTGAGGGATATGCCAAATTTCTTTCATTCAGTTATGATAAATCCAACCTCTACATATGTAGATATGACAGATCCTACCACTACTTTGTGCTTGATTGTTCTAGAGAAGTGTTATTTAAAAATTGTCAGTTTTCATTTTCCACTGTCAATTTTCAGGCATAATTACTTTATTAGAATTAGAGAGTTGATAAAAATAAGACTTAAGGTAACGTCATTTTGATTTGGTTAGTTTTGTTTATGTAAGCATTTATGAATATAATTTGATTCACAAAAGGAGTAAATATTGTTTTGAAGGATAGTGCTATCTCCTTTTCATGATCAATTGAGGAAAATTTATCAAGTCAGGTATAAAGTGTCTGCTTTATATGAACTGTGGAAACTAGGCCAGCAAATCTCAAGTTAGGGAACCAGGAATAGTCTGGATCTTTCTGTAAGTCACACTGAATGTTCTTGTCTGCAAACTATTCTGTGATATTCTCTGAAAGGGATTCTAAGCTTATTTGGAAAATAGAAGTAAGGAAATATTTATCTGTTAACCATATTCAAATCCTGATGAATTAAAAAAACTACCTTTCTATGTGAGATATATAGTTCAGCTTCATTTTCAGAAAATGGAAAGTACGGATACTATTTATTGGCATTTAGCCCTTTAAAAAAACTTTTTAATACAAGATTAGCAAGATATTAGAACCGTGGTAATTGGATGTCTTTCAGGGTAATAAACCATTAAAGTTTATGAGTCATGTTAACAGAAAGCCTTCTCAGTTCCACCATTTCCCTTGATCAGTTCATTCTCCAATAAACATAAAATCCTCCTCCTGGAGTTCAGAGCACAGCAAGGGAGAAGAGAAAAAGCTAAAACAAAATCCAGAAAGCAGTAATTGGGAAATGTTAGTAACCTCCTGAACCTTGGGCTCGTGACAAATGTCCAGGACTCAGGGCACTGCTGGCACCAGCAGGATTTGGCTGCGGGAAGTCTTCTTCACAAGAACTTAGTCCCTGGTTTGTGGTCTCAAGATTTTTGGAGACAATCCAGATGTGTTTTCTTGAAGTCATCCCAAAGCCGCCTTAGTAGTTAAAAAATAATAATAATGATTAAAAATAGTAACAGAGCAACATTAAGGGCTCTGGTCCTTTGTGTGGGAGGAGTCAGTTGACAGTTCCTTGATGTCTGGGACAGCTGCTGGAAGCCTCTATTGTGTAGACAGAGCAGGGTGTGGGCCCCAGGCCGAGTCTCTGAGCACAGAGAATGGATGCCACTTGTGGCTGGTGTGGACTCAGAGCTCGCCAGCAAGAAGAGTGCCACGCTCTGCCGCCAACATCATCCCTCCTCAGGGGTGCCTTGGATGCACGCTGGGGGAGCAGCTGTGTGTTTGATAATGGAACACAGTCTGATAAAAAAACCCTAGTGTAAGTAACTCAGTTACTGTCTTCCTTTGCCCTTTCAATACTTGACTCATTTTATTTTTGTTTTTATGAGTTTTATGCTGTGCTTTTATTTTGAGCTCCTTAAAACCTTTATAGAAGTTGAAGAACATATATGTATATCTATTTCTGCATGTATTAGTGTAACAAAAATATCTGAATTTACAAATAAAAATAGGTTTCTTTCATGACTTATGAAAAGCATTATGCAAGTCCTGTTGCATGTGAATTTTCTTTTAAAATAATTCTTTGAGGCTAGGCGCAGTGGCTCACACCTGTAATCCCAGCACTTTGGGAGGCCAAGGCGGGCAGATCACCTCAGGTCGGGAATTTGAGACCAGCCTGGCCAACATGGTGAAACCCTGTCTCTACTGAAAATACAAAAATTAGCCAGGCATGGTGGCAGGTGTCTGTAATCCCAGCTACCAGTGAGGCTGAGGCAGGAGAATTGCTTGAGCCCGGGAGGCGGAGGTTGCAGTGAGCCGAGATTGCGCCATTACACTCCAACCTGGGCAACAGTGCAAGACTGCATCTCAAAAAGAAATAATTATTATTATTTGGTTACAAGTTTTCAAAGAAAATAAAGCCATTGTTTGCATTTACTCTTCAAAAATAGTATGCGAAATGCCAGAGGTTCTTTTGTGGTCAGGAAGATGTACCAAAAACACATCCTTCTCTAGGAACTGCAGCATTCTTCTGTGAATTCTAAAAGTTTGAAAAGTCACATTTGCAACTGTGTAAGTGTCAGGATTCAGAGGGCTGGGCATGGGCATGACCTCAGGAAAGTCTGTGTCTACTTGATCAGTTGAGGCATTTTAGAGCCCTGTGCACTTCACCACTTTTACTGAGTTTTAAAGATTAAAGTCAAAGTAACCATTCTTTAGCCTCCATAGTCAGCCTAAAGGAAATTTTCACTTCTCAAGGTTAGAAATACAATAAGGTTGGTGAGCTAATTTTCTTTGATGCAGTTGGCTGTATATAGCTGTCTACAACTCCATGGCAAATAGCCTGTGTACTTATTACCAGCCAAGGCTGGTCGATAGGGTTATACCACCCAGTCTTTCAGGATGATGAAAGCGTCATCAGGCCAGGTGCGGTAGCTTATGCCTGTAATTCCAACACTTTGGGAGGCCGAAGCAGGCAGATCACTTGAGGCCAGGAGTTTGAGACCAGCCTGGCCAACGAGGCGAAACCCCGTCTCTACTAAAAGTACAAAAATTGGCCGGACATGGTGGCGCACACCTGTAATCCCAGCTACCCTGGGGGCTAAGGCATGAAAATCACTGGAATCTGGGAGGCAGAAGTTGCAGTGAGCCGAGATCACACCACTGTACTCCAGCCTGGGCCATAGAGCAAGACTCTATCTGAAAAAAAGAAAAAAAAAAAAACTTCATCAGTTACTCAAACTGGATTAATCAACTTGGTCAGGTTCCAGACAAATTTTTATTTTTATTTTCTTGAGACAGGGTATCTTGCTCTGTTGCCCAGGCTGGAATGCAGTGGCATGATTATGGCTCACTGCAGCCTCAACAACCTCCTAGGCTCAATTGGTCCTCCTACCTCAGCCTACTGAGTAGCTGGTACTACAGGTGCATACCACCATGCCTGGTGAATTCCTGTAATTTTTGTAGAGATGGAGTTTCACCATGTTGCCCAGGCTGGTCTCAAACTCCTGAGCTCAAGCCACTTGCCTGCCTTAGCCTCCCAAAGTGCTAGGGTTACAGGCATGAGCCACTGCACCTAGTCCCAGACAAAACTGACAGCCTTGCTACACTGTCAGAATTAGCCAAATGTTTGGAAAAATTATTTGTGAATACAATGAAAGTTTACCTGACATTACCTTCATAGGACCTCCTTACGGGCACGTTTCTCAGAAAACCAATGGTGTGCTAAAACAAAGCTATTTTAGCAAAGTTTTTATTTTAACCATTTTGGATGGAAAATTTTCAGCACAGGTAATTCGCATTTTTTTTTTTTTTTTTTTTTGAGACGGAGTCTTGCTTTGTCGTTCAGGCTGGAGTGCAGTGGCACGATCTCAGCTCACTGCAAGCTCCGCCTCCTGGGGTCACGCCATTCTCCTGCCTCAGCCTCCCGAGTAGCTGGGACTACAGGCACCCATCACCATGCCCAGCTAATTTTTTTGTATTTTTAGTAGAGACCGGGTTTCACTGTGTTAGCCAGGATGATTTCGATCTCCTGACCTCGTGATCCGCCCGCCTTGGTGTCCCAAAGTGCTGGGATTACAGGCGTGAGCCACCGCGCCCAGCCGATACTTAGCATTTTTTAACCAAAGTATTTCAGACGTAAAGGTACAGAGAATAACAATGAAAACCCATGTGTCTACCATCTACTCTAGGAAATAAAACATTATAAATACAATAGAAACTGTTGGTATAGTCCTCCCAGATTGCCTTCTGTCCCCCAGACCCACCCTTTATGTAAATGTGCTGTTACCCTTCTCATGCATAATCTGTAATAGATTCTTTTTACTGATCATTGTTGAGTGGATTTATCCTTGTGGGGATGTGTGGTTCTAGTTCATCCATTTTCACCGCTGTACATTTTGTCATTCTCTTCTTGGTATTTAACTTGATTTTAACATTTTGCTAGAGTAAATGATACCATCACGGACATTCCAGTAGGTCTCTTGTGCATATGTATGCTTTTCTCTAGACTGTGTACTTAGGAGTTGAACTGATGAGTCATAGGGTATAAACATCTTCCATAGTTATCAGTTACTTTCCAAAGTGTGTCCCCAGTTCACAGGTAAGTCATGTTTCAGGATGTCTTTCAATCTGAGTTTGATATTTCCTTATGATTAGATTCAGGTTATACATCTTTAGCAGAAATATCACCAGTAAAGCTGCCATCTTCTCAGTGTATCCAGGAAGGACCTTTATTATAAAATTGGCACATGATTCCAATTTATCCCATTTCTGATTATGTTTATTTTAGTCACTTCATTAAAATGCCATCTGCCAGGCTCCTATGTAAAGTTACTCTTTTTCTCTCTGTAATTGATAAGTATTTTCTGGAGAGGCACGTTGAAACAATGTAAAATCCCATTTTTCACATCCACTTCCAGCCAGGAGGGAATTACAGGGACCAGACTTATCCTATGTCTTAAACAGTAACAAAAAATCTACTGAGGTATAGGACACAGCAGTTTGCAGACACTGGAGGCTGGGCACCGCCAGCTGTGGTGCCCTGAGCAGGGAAAGTGAATGAGGTGAGTGAGCCCCAGGAAGTTCCCCGCTTACCCCCTGGAGTGTTCAGGCCTCAGCGCTGGGAGGGAGACCGAGACTGAGCTTGCAGTTGTGTTGAGGTTGAGGATTTAGGGAGGTCAAGGTGGCAAGAATTAACAGGACAAAGACCAGAGAGGAGAAGGCAGTGCAGAGGACCCTCCTGGGGCTTCAGCAGGCGAGTGAGGAGACCACCTGAGGCCAGACAAAGAGCCGCGGTAGAGGTGCAGGCAGGACAATCTGTGGAACACAAAGGGATGGGAATAGTTCATGTTCCCAACAGCCGGAGTGGAGAAATCTCACGATGTGTGGCATTAGACAGGGTTCCCAGAACGGCTCATCTCAGTGCAGGGGCTGGCTTAGCCCGGGCTAAAGGCTGCACCAGCTGGTCCCACCTAGCTAAGCTTACAAGCAAGCCCTGCAAGATCAAACTGGAACTTAGCCATGTCCTAGAACAAAGCACAGAAATATTTAAAAGAATACAAAAGATCAAAAACCCTGTACCCTACAATTTAAAACTCACCGTGCCCAGCATCTAGTCAATAATTGCTAGAGTTGCAAAAAAGTAGGAACATATGAGCCTTAAGGAGGAGAAAAATGCATTAGAAACTGACCGAAACGGCACAGATGATGGAGACCTTGGCATTAGAAAGGCAATTATAAATACATATCATGTGTTCTAGGAGGCGGAGGAGCAGGACAGGAACCATGGAAATAGGGTTCAAAGAACCAAATATAATTCCCCCAGATGGACACTATCCTGTTCCTCACCCAACCTTCGATTCATTCGTCACTATGGACCCAGTTTCCTACTTTATTCGATGGGTTATAATTTGTTACTAACATTATTTTTTTTGATACTCAAATTGTACCTGATTTGGCCAGTGGGAGCCCCTTCAAATTGTCACCTGTGCCCTTTTGACATGGCCCAGTCATTCTTTGAGTACTTCTTTACCTTCTGATATGCAAGGTGTTCCAGCTCTGCCTGAAACCAGTCATTTTTCCAAGGAGCCCTGGTTCCGTTTAGTGGAGAACGGTTTTTAGAAGCCGAGTTCTGGGTATTGGGTGCTTTCTTACTATTGGGGCGTTGCTGCTGCCAGGCTCTCCCTGTCAGAGCTAGGGAACATATCTGTATGTCTAGATTGATTGATTGATTGATGCAAACCATAAGCTTATATCAGTATTTCCAATTCTAATACACACCACATAGGGTTCATTCTAGTTCTCAACATTTGTAATGACTCCAACAGTGAGAAGCCTCACTCCCATGATGCATTATAGATTTGTGTATTTGAGCAGTCCCCTGTGTGTAATGCATCCCCATTGCCACCACCACTGCCCTGTGGGGACCCTCCGTCACCCCACTCAGGCTCCCACACCACACACGGGTGTGGGCCACTGTCACTCCTCCACATGGGCATTCTTCTCACCTTGCCTGTGCTCTGACATCCTGCATCGCCTTCCCCACCCCCAAAGGATGCCCTCCTCACCCTGGCCAGCCTCTATCATCCCTCCCAGGCCGCCACAGCTCCCCCACAACTCGGCCGCCTGCCTTGCTCACAGCCACCTAAGGGCTTTGTTCTGAATGTTTTGGGAAGGAGTAGAGGAAGTGCCTTTTGATGAACAGAAGTTCATCTTATTTATGGTTTGTGTGTCTATTTAAGAAATCTTACTTTGAAATTATAACAATATTCTATAAAGCTCATAAGTTTTATTTTTCATATTTAAGGCTTTCATTCAACTTTTTATATATGGTAAGAAGTAGAGATCCAGTTTTTCTTCTTTTGAAATGAATATTTCTTATGAAATGGTTCTCCACATTATTTATTGAATAGCCATATTTTTCCCACTGATCTGCAAATACCAACTTTACATACATACACTTGTGGGTCTAATTCTGAGCTATTAGCCTGATTTCCTGGGCTAATAATTACCACATTATCTTATTTACCATAACTTTGGAATCAGCCAGGGTCTAGTCAGGAAAACAAACCTCTCTAAGTATGTCAAGCAAGACTGGACTCAGTGTGGCCAAACCATGGGCAGGAAGGGGAAGACACAGCAAAGTAACGGCTACTTCTCAGGTTTGCTTCTGACTTTCTGAGAGATGGGAAGATGGAGACACCACAGAAAAATCTCCAAAAAACTCAGCTGTCCCAGGTACCTAGGCCAGCCAACACTTTATTTGAGGTATTCATTCAGGTTGTTACACATTGCCATAAAGTATTTTGTTGTGTAAATACACTGTCATTAACTTACACGATAGTCGATAGTCCATTTTCTCAAATATTTTCTTTATATTTATCACTTTTTATGTCCCATTTAAGAAATGTTTGCTACCTTAAAGTTGTGATGGTAGGTAGTCTCATGTTTTTTTCTAAACAGTTTTCCTAGATTTTTCTGCCTTTTCACCTTATCTTTTATATTTAGATATACAATACACCAAGAATTGATTTTTTTTTTTTGAGATGGAGTCTCGCTCTGTTGCCCAGGCTGGAGTGCTGCGGTGCTATCTGGGCTCACTGCAAACTCCATCTCCCGGGTTCAATTGATTCTCCTGCCTCAGCCTCCCAAGTAGCTGGGACTACAGGCACCCACCACCACGCCTGGCTAATTTTTGTATTTTTAGTAGAGACAGGGTTTTACCATGTTGGCCAGGATGGTCTCAATCTCTTGACTTTGTTATCTGCCCGCCTCGACCTCCCAAAGTGCTGGGATTAGATGTGAGCCACCGCGCCTGGCAAGAATTGATTTTTTATGTATGGTATGATATAGAGGTAAATATTAATTTTAAAAAATGCATATTCAGTTAACCAAGCTCCATTTATTGCAAAGTGTATTCTTTCCCCACTAGACAGCGCTGTCATCTTTGTCATAGGTCAGGTGACCACATATGCATGGGTCTGCTTCAGAACTTCCTGTCGTGTTTCATTCATCTGTCTTTTTATCCTCGCACCAGTTCTACTCTCTTAATTCTCATAGCTTTGTACTAGAGCTTAGTTTCTGGCAATGTAACTTCTCCAGCCTTGTTGTTCTTCTAGACTGACTGCCTTGGATATACTTGGCCCTTCTGCATTTCCATATACATTTAGAATCAGCTTGTTAATTTCTACCAAAAACAAAACACTGCTGAGGCTTTTAATTCATTTATGCATAATAAAATGCAAAAATATTAGGGGTACAGTTTAGTGAGTTTTGACAAATGCCTGCACCCATGTAATCAACACTCGAGTTAAGATCTAGAACACAGTCATCACCTTAGAATGTTCCTTCATGCTCCTTTCCAGTCAATCCCCATTTCCTACTAGAGGCAACCACTCTTTTGAAAGATTTCTGTCATCGTAAGTAGGTTTCGATTATTCTAGGACTCTGTATAAATAGAAACGTATGAACT
This sequence comes from Homo sapiens, assembly GCF_000001405.40. NCBI lineage: Eukaryota > Metazoa > Chordata > Mammalia > Primates > Hominidae > Homo > Homo sapiens. Next base: position 27,969,702 of record NC_000022.11, read on the forward strand.
CTTGTTTTTTACTTATTTTGCTCAACATACAGTGTTTTATATTCACTCATCTTGGTGGATATATCAGTTCATTCCTTTTTGTTGTTGAGTATTCCACTGTACGACTATACCAAAATTTGTTTATCCATTTACCTGATAATAGGCATTTTGTTTTTTTCCAGTTGTGGCTGCTATGGATAAGGCAACTATGAACATTCTTAGATGAGTCTCTTTGTGGACATCTTTTTTCATTTCTCTTGAGTGAATACTTAGGTATAGAATTTGATTGGGCGATAGAGTGGGTGTATGTTCAATTTTATAAGAAACTATCCAGCTGTTTTCCAAAATGGTTGCATCATTTAACACTCCCACTAACAATATGTGTGAATTCTAGTAGCTCTATATACTCATCAACATTTGATATGGTCAGTGTTTTTAATGTAGCCATTCTCAAGGTGTGAAGTGTTTTTTTATTGTAGTTTTAATTTGTATTCCCTGATAACTAATGAGTCTGAGCACATTTTCAGTGCTTGTTGATCATTTGTATATCTTCCTCCGTGAAGTTTTTGTTCAAATCTTTTGCCTTTATTTTTTGATGTTTTATTGTTACAGGAGTTTTATATATATTCCAGATACAAGTCTTCTGTCAGGTAAAGGTATCACAAAAATGTAGCACACATTTTGTCTTCTAAGCTGTGGTTTCCTTTTCATTTTCTTAATGATATCTTTTGAAGAGAAGGCAGTTTTAATTTTGATAAATTCCCATTTATTAAATTATTTCATGGTTAGTGCATTTCATGTCTCAAGAAATCTTTGCCTGACTCAAGGTCAAAGACATATTTCCCTGCCTGAAGCTTTATAGTTTCAGCTTTTACATCTAGGTTTATGATCCACCTTGAATACATTTTTGAGTATTATTTGAGGTAATTGTTAAGGTTTATCTTTTTCTAAATGATATGTTGTTATTTTAGTGCTATTTGTTGAAAATATTCCTTCTTTGTTGAATTGCCCTGGAACCCTCTATTGAAAATGATTGACTGTATGTTTGGACTCCGTTCTCTCCATATACTCTGAACCTTATTCTGTCCTCTGAAATATTTGATTATATGCCAGAACCACATAGCTTTTACATACCATAGCTTTAGAGTAAGTCTTGAAGTCATTCTCTTTTGCAAGTTTGTTTTGACTTTTCTAGATTCTTTGCATTTCTGAATAATTTGATTTAACTTGTCAGTTTCTAGTGAAAAATCTGCTAAGATTTTTCCTGCTAATATTTTGATTGCAATTGTGTTGAATCTATAAATCAATTTGGGAAGAACTAGCAGCTTAACAATATTGAGTGTTCTATCCATGAACATTGTATATCTCTCTGTTTATGTATGTCTTTAATTTTTCTCAGCACCATTTTATAGTTTTCAAAGTAGAAATCTTGCATCTCTTTTATTAAATTTATTATATATATTTTATCAACTTTGAGGTATAATTTACATAGTAATTTACAAATGCTCCCATTTTAAGTGTACAGTTTATATTTTTAATCAATTCTTTTATGATTATTGATGCAATGGTAAACAGAATTGGTTTACATTTTATTTTCCAGTATTTATTGTTAGTATATAAAAAAATTGCATTTACTATTGGATGTGATGTCTCTTCATTTTTTTACTCTTGAACAGTAAATATCCTTTATTTCTTTATGACATTGATGTGTTGAAGCAATCAGGTCAGTGGTCTTATTGTGTTGTTCATAACAGTGGCCATTAGGCACATATGGCCATATCCATGTAAATTAACATTAAAATTTTCCTTGATCACACTAACCTCGTTTTAGTTGCTCAGCAGCCACATGTACCTAGTGGCTACTGTATTGCACAGCACAAATTTTCATTATTGCAGATAGTTCTATTGAAAAGCACTGTGTGGAGTGGTGGGGTGGCCCCACCTTCTGGATTTGCTTCACTGTTCTCTTATGTTGTTGTGTAACTCATTAAAATAATCCCTGTATTTATAGAAAATTGGAAGTTATATATATATATGTTATATATATATATAACAGTTATATATATAAAAAACAGTTATATATATAACAGTTATATATATATATAAGCATATATATGTATGCTTACTTAGATCCAGATTAAACTTGTATTTCAAGACTACCTTAGGTGATGCTGTACCCTTTGTACTGCATTACAAAGAACTAAGAATTAACCACTAGATTTTGCACCATGGATGTAGCTATTGGTCTTATGTGGGGCCAAAAACCTGATTTGAGGGGGTAGTTCAAGAAAGAGGGGGAAGAGTGGAATTGGAGACACCAAGTATAGACCAGTTGGGAGCTTTGTACTGAAAGGAGAACAGAGAAATGGAGTGTTAACTGGATGGGGATATAGTACTGAGTTGGACAGCTATAGCGTATTTATGTGCTGATAGGAATGATTCATCTGAGAGGGAAAGCCTGACAATGCAGGAGAGAGAGAGGAGAATTATTAAAGCACTGTTCTGCAATAGGCAAGGGTGAGTGAGTGGGTCTGGGCTAGTGGACATGTTGGCCATGGAGAGGGGCCCAGAGGCTCTGCCTACAATAATAGATGGGATGGCAGAGCATAAGCTGGTAAGAAGGGACATGGGACTTCTCTATTTATTTCATGTCATACTGTCCAAGACTGTACAGTACTGTAGTGGCCTTCATTATAAGGCCCCAGACCTTCATGTTTTGTGTGCCCTTTTATGACCTATGTATAGCTCTTCTTCCTTTGCTGTCATTTCTGTCTCAGTTTGCCTGACTCTACAGCCTTCCTCCCTACCCCATTTCTAACTTGCTTCTATTTATGCCATAGATTCAAACATCCACAACTAAGGCCATTAAATTACAAAAGAAAAAAAAAAGACTGCCATGTAAGTTACCCTAACTTGGAAGTAGCTAATCCTGAAACTAGCATGGCCTGGAACTTGGCTACTTTGGAGACTTTTTTGGTCTCTCTCCTAGTGTCTTTGCATCTGTCCTGTCTTCCTCTTCGCTTCTCCTCTCTCTGCTTACGCATGGCTTTTGCGCCTCTGTCACTCTGGGCTGCACGTGGTCATGATGGCCCACTGACCTCAGTTTACATCACCAGCCTTTGGGTCTTGCTTCAGCTGCAAATACTGGATCTTGTCAAGATGTTCTGGATTGAATTCATGAGAAAAGGAATCTGGTTGGCCAGTTCACAGGCGTTTTTCTGACGTGTCCCGGGGTTGGCTGGGCCATGCAGTCTGTTTCCTGCTCTTGCCTAGTCAGCTGCAGCTGGGAGAGTAGAGTCCTCCAGTAGGAAACACAACTGCCTGGGTTCACAACTCCCTAGGCTGGGCCGAGGCAGTTCTGGGGAGGGGTGGTGAGTGGGTGGGTAGGGGCACAGTGGTTGTGTTTTCATTCATCAAGGTGTTTAAATTGTATCACGAAGACAATGGCATGTAAGTGAAGTGCATAAGCTGTATTTTATGGACTTGCTTTTCTCTTTTTTTTTTTTGGAAACAGGGTCTTGCTCTGTCACCCAGGCTGGGGTGTGGTGGCATGATCATGGCTCACTGCAGCCTTAACCTCCCAGGCTCTAGTGATCCTCCCACCTAAAAGCCTCCCGAGTAGCTGGGACTACAGGAACAGGCTACCATGCCTGGCTTATTTTTGTATTTTTTGTAGAGACAGGGTTTCACCATGTTGCCCAGGCTGGTCTCAAACTCCTGGGCTCAAGCAATTCCCTCGTTTTGGCCTCCCAAAGTGCTAAGATTAAGGTGTGAGCCATTGTGCTTGGCCTGTTTTATGGATTTTCTAACACCTGTTTTAACTTTCTGCTTATTTTTTATTGGCTGCATTCTACTTATCATAAACTCTGAGCAAATATTTGTGGAATGAATCACTTTTGAAATTACAGATAAGAACTGCCTTTTTCATTTTGACCACATGTTAATTTGATTTTACTTTTGCATTTTTGGTTTAGAATGAAAATGGCTATACTTCAAGAAGATCTGTATAGGAAAAAAAAATTAGACTGTTGGCAAAATGCTGCCAGGCAAATCAGAATTCAAATCCCTTTACCTGTCTTAATTAACTAAAAGTATAGACTTTCAGTTCTGCTCCTGGGATTTAAAGTTTAAAACTTTTTATTTTAAGTAAATATATTGACAATATTTATATACTTAAGAATATTATTATTCCCTGAAGCCCAAATGCATAATTGCTACAAATTTAATAAATATCTTGAGATTGGATGAAATTCATTTGAGAAGCAAAATGTTTCCTTAATGCCAATGTGTCCCTTTAATGTGTTTGGCTCCAGATGTTTGGCCTCATTTGCTGGAGTGGATGCAGCATTAGCCTGTCAGTTCCCTGCTGTTTGCCATTATTTAGGAGTATTAGAGGCTGTAAGCCTGCATGCTCATTGGGAAAGTTAAAGAAAAGCTTTAAATAGAGGAAGGTACCAAGCTGCGGCCCCTGTCCAGAATATCTGAGGTTAAAAGCAACACAACAAAGTGACTATAAATCAAGCATTAGAATCCTAAAAGTAGCTGCAATAGCTAAGAGCAGTCCTACTTGTAACCATCTTTCGTATTAGCTGTCAACTGAGATCCTGAAGCACAGAATCAAATCTTCATTAAGGGCCATTCTCTCCTTCAAAGGACGTGTCCAACAAAATATGTATTCTACAATGGAATATGCAAATTCTTTAGCAGTAACAGGGAATATAAATTGGATTTCCTGAAGTATTGGGGCCCACACTATTGTGCTCATAAATCCTTGCATTATGTCTCATTAACCTTTCATACTTAGATGTAGTCTGTAGATTATTGTATTATACTAAAGTAAAAGTCTACTTTAACACCAGTAGCAGGGTATAGCTCTTATACTGTGTCTTAAGAAATGGTAGAACCACTTGGAATTCCCTTTACATTGACATACAAATTTTATTTTCTTATAATGGGAAGATAATAGATTTTGCCTCTTGTATAATTATAGTGTAAACCATAGAACTCATCCACCCCAGTTCTTAGGGTCATAATGTTCTCCAGAATTTCATGCTTATTATAAGGTTTTCCGCATACGAATGTGTTTATAGGTATCCGTTTAGGGTCAGAGCTCTGGTCCCTTAGGAATACCAGTTGTGTGTATATTAGCAAAGACCAACACTCCCAAGTCACTAACACATAGATCCACTTTTCAGTTTGTGTTTTCTTAGTTTTCAAAATAACAGAGGTTTGCTGGGGGCGGTGGTGCATGCTTGAGGTCTCAGCTGATCTAGGAGGCTGAGGCAAGAGGATTGCTTGAGCCCAGGAGTTTGAGGTCAGCCTTGGCAACATAGCGAGAGCCCCATCTCTAAAAGTAAATAAATAATAAAATAAAATGCAGAGATTTAATGGCCAATATTTTCTTTAGGATTGTTATGTCTAGGTTCACACATGGAATGGTCCTGTTGTTTTCCTATACTCTTCACTGGTTTCAGAATTAAGGATAGCATCATGAAATGATTTGGACATCATTTTATATTTTCTAAACAGTTCATTTTGAAAAGAGAGAGATTAGCTGAAAAAAAACTCCTAAAAGTTTGGTGAAATACATGTAAAACCGCCTGGGCCTGTTATTTTTTGGAGAGTTGGGTAAGGGCAAAGAGTTGTGATTACCATTGTAGTTTAAGTTTCTTTTCCTTCTTACATCAATTTTGGCATTTTATCTTTTTTCAAAACTTTTAATGTCTTTTTCTAAAAGTTTGTGTAATCTAATTATTGTATAATTGCTAATAATATTTTTCACTTGTTCTTAAATTTATTATGAAGTAGTTCAGATATATAAACAGTTAGAGTTGTAAGTCACAGTGCTTTGCGGTTGAAGTCGCCCACATACCGCTCCTGACGCTAATTCCACCGCCTTGCCTCCCGCACGACAGTACCACTCCCGCGTGTGAGAGCCCTCATTCCCAGCATTTCTAGATACCTCCACTGCATGTATGCACCTGGACCCTGAAAGGCGTTATTTTGTATTTTCATATATAGTGGCATAAAATCGTTTGTAGCGTTTTCTTATTCTTTGATCTCAGCTGCGTCTTTAGATAGCCTATTTTCCTTCCCTTTCCCTCTCTGACTCACACACACGCACGCCCACACACATGCACACACACGATTACCATTCCCAGAAATCAGTGTATTTGTCTTTTTGGCAAACTTTGCCCTTCTTAACCTTCTATATTGTCTTCTTTTATTTCTGACCTTTCTTATTCCCTCTTTTATTTTCTCTCTGGGTATATTATTCTTTTTCTAACTTCTTGAATTGGTCACCTAGCTCAGTAAGTAGTTTTTGTTTTTTCCTAACATACCTCAGTACTCCAGTCTCACAGTACCAGTGTCCTTCTTCGTCGCTTGGGGCTCTTGCAGTTACATAAATATTACCCTTGAATATAAACATTTAGGGCTATAAATTTTTCTTTAATATGTTGTATTCCACTAGTTTTATGGAATTATTAATTTTCTTTATAACATAATGTATACATTTTCTGAAAATAGCATGTAAGCAGAAATGAAAATAATTGTAATTTTATTTTATTGGGTGAAAGTGATAATTGCAAATTATAGGCGAGTATAGAATAAATAAGAAACACCACTGTCCTTAATAAAAGAAAAACTCAGATATTCCTAAGGTAAATCTGGAGGCATCCACCTGTTTTGATATGTTGTATTTTCCCATTTCTATTTTGAGTTCTTCCATGGGTCATATGCTATGTGGTCCATTTTAAAATGTCTAAGTGATTGGCTACTTTTTAGTTATCCTCTTGTTATTGTTGCCTGACTTAATTGTATTGTGCTCTGATTATGTGGTAGTAATTCTTCGATATTTGCTGAGACTTGCTATGTGGCCTGTGCATGGTCTATTTTCATGAAATATTCCATGTGTGCAGGTGAAGACCGTGGATTCACTATCTGAGACTGGGTTCTCCTTAACCGCATTTCAGAAGCCTGTTCACATAATTGTTTAAACCTACCACATGCTTTCTAACTTTTCGTCTGCTGATCTATCAAAAGAGTAGTGGCTTAAAACTTCCCATGATGATGTTTTTTCAAACTTGTAGTTCTGCCAATTTTCTTCATGAATTTGGAGGCTATGTAGTTAGCTGCATACAAATTTAGAATTTTGCCTTTTTGCCAAGTTTATCATTAGGAAGTGGATCTTTGTTTTTATTAGTGCCCCTTACTTTAATATCTAGTTTGCCAGTCCTTTTACTATCAGCCATTTGGGGGGGCCCTTATGCTTTGGTGGTTTTCTTTTCAAATAGCATATAGCCTTTTAAAGAGCATGTGGCTTATTGCCATCATCTGTTAATCTACTGCTTAATTGTTTAGTTCACTTACATTTATAATGATTACTGATATTTTTCTTTTGTCTTATTTTTTAATTTTAATTTTTGTGGGAACATAGTAGATGTATATATTTATGGGGCACGTGAGATGTTTTGATCCAGGCGTGCAATTCGTAATAATCACATCATGGAGAATGGGGTGTCCATCCCCTCAAGCATTTATCCTTTGTGTTACAAACAATCCAATTATACTTTTAGTTATTTGAAAATGTACAATTAATTTCATCTTATATTTGTCCTGCCTTTTAGATGGTTTTTGTTGTTCCTTCCTTTTTCTATTCCTTTACATCAACCAGGGTTTTACAAAATGAATCTGTTTCTCTTCCACTGACTAGTTTGGAAGTATAACCCTCTACTTCAATGTGTGTGTGTGTAACTACATATATTTAACTTACTCTAAAAATAATATACAATTTGTTCCTAAACTTATAGCACTTTAACTCCCATGTTTTACATATTATTGTCTAGTATTTTTTGTTAGCCGAATGAAACATTACTCTTTTTATAAAGGCAATATTTGTGTTCATTTATGCATATTTACCCAATTCTTTACTATTCCTTCATGCTTCTCACACTTTTGCATATAGAATTATCTTCCTTCTTTCTGAAATACTACCTTGGAAGTTTTGTTAGATGATATAGGGATCTGGTGGTGATGAACTCTGTTTCTGTTTGTCGAAATACGTATTCAACTGTCGAACTTTCTGGCCCTCCAACTATGAGTAGCGTCTAAATTACCCCCCCACCGACAGTGCCCCCAGACCAGAGACGTGCGGGACAGCTCTGCTGCATGCATGGTCGTGCTCTCTGCTTGGCGGATGTGAGGCTATGGTGTAGAGGTGGGGTTAAAACTAGAGAGATACGTGCTCAGTAATGACACACGGCCCACTCCATGTACTGCAAAGAAACCTAGACAGTGTGGAAAGAGTAGAGAAAGTGATCCAGATACAGCACTTAAAACTGAGGGAACTCATGCTTTAATAGACACTGAAAATCACAAAGGAGGAAGGCCAAGTGCCTTAGCAATCTCAATAAAAATATGAAGTTCTTTTTACATGGTAAATTTCATAATATAAAAAGTTTAATGTCTGGAAATGGTGTAATTTACAAAAAAAGTCCACGTAGGCCAAAGATGGCTAACACTGCATATAAGGAACGTGAATGCCAGTGGGAAGGTGTCTGAGGAGGGGCAGGGCCACAGGTGTCCTGACAGGGAACATCTTTGAAGGATCTGGCACAAACAAGGGCCCAGTTCACAAACCACAGGTACACTCATTTTAGATAGAACAGCAGAATAGGTGATGAAAATTATACAGTTTTCACTTGTTGCCTACTTACTGAAAGCAAACCAGATTATTGCATGGCATTTTTCCAGCCTGAACTGAAATTATCAAGGCTACAGTTCTTCTTGTGGGTCTGCAAATGTGTGTGGCTGGGAGGTGGCAGAATCGGCACGGGCCAGGGACCGGCTGCAGTGATCATATGCTGGAGCGTCACTGGGACAGAGAGAGCAGGATGAGGACAGCGTGGGTGACACCTTTGTCTCCTGCTAAAACCCAGCAAGTTTCAGTGTGGACCGTGAATTTTTAAAAAATGGAATGGAGGTGAAAACTTTCATTTTGTGTTGCACATCAGTGTGGATCAAAATGTAAGTTTTAGTAGCAATTTTTCTCTTGATATTTTGACTTAATTAAAAAAATCAAATTAGTTGAGTCATTTACTGGAGAGAATTAAGAAAGCTTTGACTCCCTTGCTCTGTGGTCCTGCTGAGGTTTCTAAGAGAGGGGAGTTGTACGGCTTATAGTCATTGTATTTACATCTGATGGAGTAGCAGAGGGTGGGGCATGCCAGTTTCCTGAGCTAAAAGGAAATATATGCAATGCTTTCTGCAAATGGTAAGGAAAAAATTGTTTTGTAAATATTACATCCATGGACTCCTCCCAAGTGGGACAAAGAGCCAAGGGCTATGCAGGAGGCATTTGCTTCCATCCACGTGGCCCTCACATACCCTGGGCTCCCCGGACGCCAGTCAGTCTATCCACTACCTGACTTGCTTTTCCTAGACTGGAGAAACAAAACGTTATTCCATTTTCTGTCATCCATACCAGGAGTCAGCAAACTTCTTAAAAGGCCAGGTATTGGCTGGGCGCAGTGGCTCACCTGTAATCCCAGCAGTTTGGGAGGCCAAGGCGGGCGGATCCCCTGAGGTCAGGAGTTCGAGACCAGCCTGGCCAACATGGTGAAACCCCATCTCTATTAAAAATACAAAAATTAGCAAGGCATGGTAGTGGGTGCCTGTAGTCCCAGCTACTTAGAGGCTGAGGCAGGGAGAATTGCTTGAACCCAGGAGGAAGAGGTTGCAGTGAGCCAAAATCGCACCAGTGCACTCTATCCTGGGTGACAGAGCGAGACTCTGTCTCAAAAAAAAAAAAAAAGGCCAGGTATTGAATATTTTATGTGGTGTGGGCCAAAGGCAAAATCAAAAATATGATGTAATTACTTATATAACCCTTTAAAAAGGTAACTTAGCTCATGGCTGTGAAAAACCAGACCGCTGACCAGTCTTAGCCTGTGGGTCATAGTTGCCAACCCCTGATCTACACAAAGAAATCTTGGTGAATTATACAATTTCCTTTAATTCTAAGTGCATACTTTTTCCAGTGTAGCCTGAAACATTCACTGTGATTTTATGATTTTACATCCATTTTACTCATACAAGAACACCAAGACTGACATACACGTAAAGTGGCGGTGACTTTACAGTGGCCTCTAGACTGTTCTATCATTTTATCACTTTTGTTTTCCCTTCCTTGAAACTTATATTTAAGACAGAATAAAACCACATAAACCATTGGCTCTTCAGTATGAAACCTAAAACAACGATGTACATGGGACTAAAACCAGGTTAGAGTCCATGAGTAACTCCTAGCTGGCTCAATAACCACAGGAAGCGGCAGGGTGGTGGGGGTGTTTGCTAGAGAGGGGCAAATAGGGCCGCAGCCTTCCCCTCACAGAAAGAGAGCACAGACCCCAGAGCTTTACTCCAGGGATCCTTGGCACTTGGGAAAGAAGGAGGCTGAGAGATTTGCTAAGAGAGGGACAGCCTAACCATCTGCATATGGATTTAGAAACTTGAGGTTTACTTTTCATTGTTAAGAACCTGATTTTGCTATCTAATGCACAGTGCTATAAATTTGGTCTTCACTTGCTACACTGGTACTTTTATTACCATTTTTTCCCCTACTAACATAAAGAAACCCTCATAATTGCTGGCTTCTTTATAAAGTACTTCGCTTTCAGTGTTGGGATCAGGGCTAGAATAAGACATGCTTATTGTTGGCTTTTGTCAACATGGCTGTTGGTTAAATTAAAAACCCCTAGGATGGAGCTCAGGAGAACACAGATTGGATAAATATTATCCTTTCTTCTTTTCAGAGGAGTACACTGAGGAACAGGTGAGATTGTCAGTGTATGCGCAGAAGCTGAGATCCCACCCATGGTTAAAACCCCCACCTGGGGATCCTGAGGTCAGTGCCCCCTGCCAGGCCCCTCAGGTCTGCTCCATGTGCTGCTGGTGGCCCAGGCCAGGTGGCCGCCCACCTTCATGAGGAACCCTGTAGTGAGGTGGGTAGGATTTTAATTTTAGAATTACCTAAAAGATACTTACTTATCTAAATTCTCCAACTAAACTCAGTACTAATACGACTTTCAGCATTTCCTTTCTTTATAAAATAAATTAATGGTTACCCCTAACTAGATGATTCCCTTGTCTTGCCTCAAGCTGGCAACAATTTAAGTTACCGTCAGAGCTGTAGGAGAAGTCCACCTCCACTTTTTAAGATACATCTCTCTCTTCCCGGTTGGCCATAATCCAGGCATACGTCCCAGCAAAAGGCCCTGTTGCTTAGGATCTGTACGTGTGGCTTCAGCAGTGGGGGAGGGGCCAGTCCTTCAGACAGCAGGAGCACAGGAGGCTGGCCAGGGCCAAGGTGAGGGCCTGGGGGCAGCTCACAGAGGCAGGTGCTGGGATTGTGGGGACCTGGCAAAGGATTTAGATATAAGACAACTGAGGGACCTGGAGTTGGGAAAAGGGAATAAAATTCAGCAGCTAATAAAAGGGAACAGGAGCCTGGAAGGCGGGATTCTGGTTAAATCTAGTTAGCCATGGAAATTTTTTTTTTTTTTTTTTTTTTTTTTTTTTTTTTTTTGCTTATAAGGAAACGGAGTCATTTCAACCTTTCCTTCCAAACTTGATAATTACTTATTGATGACTATTCAAAATTTGACATTTTAAAAAACTTTTTGAGCTTTTAAAAATAATAGCTATAAATGCAAAGTACTATTGATAATAAAACCAAGTTGTTTATCCATATACAAAAAAGGTCAATAATGTTTTAAAAGCACAAAGTTGCATTTTAAATCACAATTGCATAGTTCTAAAATGCCTGGATAAGAGTTACATAATTTTTTTTTTAAGAAAATTCAAGTTTGGTTGACAGCGGGACCCAAAAGACATTTGCAGAGCAGAGTTCAGAATGGAAGCGCTGTTTCAATGTGAATTATTGCATTGTTGCTGAGATATTACACTATCATGAGACCAAAATTGCTACAATTTAATTACAAATCATTGGCATTTTAAAAACCATTTTTCTGTTTTTGGCTAATATAACACTTTCCTGTAGAATTCAACTGAAATTTCATATATCCCACCCCCAACCAGCAACCGAAAGCCTTAGAAAAAGCTCTATTTGTATTTCTGTGTATAAAAGGTACTGCATATATACCTCTTAGCAAAATATGTGCTCCCTTTCCTCTCCCCACCCCAGAACCATGATCATTTTTGTACAAAATCCTGGTGAAGAATCATATCAAAGATGAGAAGCAGGGAGTTCAAAGGTAAACAAACATTTGGTGAAGTGTGTAGGAAATTCCATGAGCCTCCTGTACCAGCCCCACAGAAGTCCTGGCTTTTGGTGAATGTGGCCCAGAAAAGCCACCAGTGTGTGTGGCAGCCTTTGGACGTGGTGGTGCCCCTCGCCTGCAGAGCACAGCATCATGAGGGTGCTGGTGGCTGTGGGGGGACTGCACTCAGGGAAGGGCTGAAGCAAACGCCAGGCCCCCATCTGCAGGCTGCTCAGAGTCAGTGGGTATAAAAGATGCTTTAGCATTTGGAAGAAGGGAAAAATCTTCCTGGAGACAGGAACTTGTAGCCATTTCCAGAAGGAAGCCTCAAAGGGCGCGCGGGGGCTGTGGCGGGAGGGCCGGCGGGCAGCGGCAGTGAGCCCAGCGAGGTGGTCTCGGTGCGCCAGTGTCCGTTGGGAGGGGCTTTCGGTGGAGCTCCGTCATGCTGCTGCAGGGACAGCTCCTTCAGTTCAAGCTTATCCACTCCCTCCTCCTTCTTATTGTGCCGTGGTGACAAATTCAACAGACTGAGGACATCCCTTTTGGAAGTCATCGTGCCAGGAGCCCCCCGGAAGATCTTCATTGGCCCTGTGGAATGCTGGGGTGTGCTCTGCCAGAACATCTTCAGGTTATGGACAGCCTGCACCTTTTCATCAATGGCTGCCATTTTCAGTTTGTCTATGTCGGGAGCGTCTGCTGGACTTGAGCGAGCAGATCCAGCTGAGGAGTAGGAGAGAGCTGGGGAGGGTGCACTGCCAGCAGGAGACTGGTGGCCGGAGCTTGGGGACATGTTCCTTGGTGATTTGGAAATGTGAGCGCTGTAAGGAGAGCTGGGGTACTTCAGTTTAAAGAGAGGCTGGTCCAGCTGGGAAGTCTGTGAGTCGCAGCCGGGCGATGGCCGGCCACTGTGCTGGCTCGGGCTGTCTTTGATGGACATCTCTGAGGTGGTGGGGCTGCTATATCCGGAACTCACCTTGGGCAGGGAGGAGCTCCTGGCTGGGGGCTTTGGTTTAACAGTGACTGGTGATGGCTGACTCTTCTGATGGGAGAGAACAGGCCTGCTGAACGCACTGGTTTCTGACGCTCTGAAGACAGCAGTGCTGCTGGGCGCCTGAACGCCGTCTTCAGGGTTATTACTCTTGCTCACCTGGCCGCCGCTCCTCTGAAGACGCTCCACCGCAATGAGATGACTCTGTGTCTCCTCCAGAATTTTCTGGGCTAACTCTTGTGGATCCAGTTTTGGGTTGCTTTCTTCTTGGGATTTCACGGTACTGTCCGTTTCTGTGCTAGACTGGTCTGATTCTCCTGTATCTGAGCTTGCTAGTTTTCCCACCTTTTGGAAGGGTGAGTTGGGGCTGGGAATCAGAGTCATTTTCACTGGAGAATTTGGAGTGCTGATGCTCCCTTTGGAGCTCACCGAGACTCTCATGCCTCCGGCTGTCCCAGGTTGGGGTTGTTTGTGGTCTGGTGAGAAGCATGTGTTTCGGTTTTCTTGGTAGGTCGCCAAGGGCTCGTTACTGATGATAGAAAACCCTTCATATTCTTCTTCATCTTTGTTGCCTGCAGGGCGGGTCTGGGGAGGCAGCTGGCTCCTAGGCAGGGTGGATCTCTGCAGGTAAGCGTTCTTGGACCGGTCATGGTCCTGCCGTCCTCCGGGGCCTCCACCCTCTGATCCACCCTCGGGTTTGGAGACAAAGCTCATTGAGGAGGCAATGGAGCTCAGACTGTACACAGAGATGGCATCTGAGGCGATGCTGTCCGCACCGGTGGGAGAGAAGGGGGGTTGCTGGTAACCCAAGGGCAGGGCGTTGGAAACAGACTGAGCAGAAGCAAGAGACTCGAGGGAGGAGGAGCTGTCAAGGCTGAGGCGCTTGGGTAGCTCAGTAGAATCTAAGCACAAAACACAAGGGCCCCAAGGACAGTTAGAATTCTATATGGTTTTGATTTTTCTTTCAAAATTTACGACATCTTTATATGCATAGAAGCTAGCAAAGAATTATGCAAGAGCTACTCATATTAATCTTACAATCCTCAAAAACATGGTCCTGTTAGAAAAAGTAAATCTAACATAGGGACAAAATCATTCTAGGAGAGCTCACAGCCACACCCACCCCAGACCCACCATGGCCCATCTCCACTCTGCTCCCTGTCACATGCGGGGTCAGGGTAAGCAGCATGACCCTGTATCCGCCTTCCTCTGAGCAGGGCTGGCCGTGCTCCTGGGGTGGGGGCCCTTTGCTCAGCTGGGGCATGTGAGCAGTCTGTGACATCTCCTGCCCTCCTTTCCAGCTCCATCCCAGCAAGTCCCTCTGGCATCACCGACACTCGCTCTCCACACTGCCTCTCCCCCATTCTCTCAACTTAGTCCATTCAGGTTTTAGTCCCTATCATTCTTATAAAGGTCACCAATGAGGTCCACACTGCCAAATCCAGAGTCCATTGCTCAGTTCTGCAGTGAGAGAGACACACCCTGCCCTCACCACCCCCTCCTCCACAGGCCCCTCCTCATCCTTGTCACTCTGAACCCTGGAATGCCCACAGGACACAATCCTCTTCCCCTCCGACCCGCATGCACCCCGGGTGATGCCATGCATGTTTCTGTCTCCATGCCAACCTCTCCCCTGAACTCCAAACTCACGTACCAGCTGCCTGCATGGATGCCTAATGGATATCCCCAAACCGAATGTGTCCCAGATGGAACTCAAGCCCATTCCTCCTGCCACTTTCCTGACCTCAGCAGAGGGCAATCCCATTTTGGCAGTTCTTCCAAATAAAAAACAGGATACCACTTTGACCCATCTGTCATGACCTTCAGCAGACTCCGTTGGTTCCACCTGCAAACCATAACCACCTTCCAAGCCAGCATTTGCTCTTCCCACTGTAGCCAGCTTGGCCCTTAAGAACATCAGTCGGGCTGGGTGTGTCCCCAGGGCCTGGAAATCTCCCAGGCCCACATGACCTGAGTGTCCGCTCCGGTCAGGCCCTGTGGCCCCACAGAGGACAGGCACACCTGTCGCCGCGTTCCCGTCTGCTCTGCCACCACCCTCTCACTTCCAGTCCCTTGCCCTGCTTGAGCACGTGCCAGCACCTCATACATTGCAAGTTCCATGAGAGCAGGGAGTTTTTGTTTCCTGCTCCTGAATAGTCCCTAACTGTTCCCTAACAAACATACACAAAAAATGTTGATTCACTTTTCTTCTGCTTCCCAAAATGTATGTGCTGGTGTCGGCCCCCAGGGAGAGCATGGCAGGCCCTGGTGGAGAACTGGTCTGAGGGCAGGCTCTTACCAAACAGAGACAGCAGGGACTGGAGCGCGAAGTGCACAGTCCGTCGATTAGCTTGCTTCCCGGTTTTCAGGATTACTTCCTCCTGACCAACTTCACAGAGATCAAAACCTAGAGGAACAAAGAATATAAGCATCTGCTTCCTTCGGGAAGATTCCAGATCTTGAACATGAGCGCTATAGGGCTCCTTGTGCAACTTCATGGAATGCCTGCAAGGCCCTTCAGCAAGCATTTGGGCCTGGGGCTTCCCCATGTCTGCACAGAGGTTGGTCATGTGGCAGAGGGGTCGGGCTGCCCCACCCAGAACATCCACTCTACGCAGCCCCCATTTGGCGTGTGTGTGGCTCTCACTGCCTGGCTCTCCTCTGTCCCTTCACGGAAAGCACTATGGACCAGAACTCAGTAAGGCTCACTCACATGTTTTCTTTTCCATTTTTTTTTCACAGAAGTACAGTCTATATAAAGACTGTCCAGGACAAAAACTGGCCACTCCATTCAGCATTGACAGCAGTATTTAAAGCTGGTGCATGGTGAGGTGAAGTTTCTCAAGGGCAAAGACAATGCCTTCATGCATGTTCAGTGTCTGCCCCCGTGGGCTTTGAAATGATCGCTGACAATGGGGGATCTGCAGTGACTTCTCTGCCTCTGCCAAAGCCCAGGGGTGCTGCTCCCTAATTCTAAGGATTCTAATGAGACTCAGAGCAGGTGTAACACAGGGCATGGAGCTTCCTGAGCAAGAGGCTGGCTAACAAACTGTGGACGTGGTACTTAGACACATTAAGAGACATTACAGGGACACCTGCAAGTATGTCTCCCTGGGGAGAAGCCAAGTGCAGATGCTATGGCCACAGATGATATGGTTTGGCTCTGTGTCCCCACTCAAATCTCATCTCAAGTTGTAATCCCTGGATGTCGAGGGAGGGACCTGGTGGGAGGTGATTGGATTGGTTCGCATGATAGTGAGGGAGTTCTCACGAGATCTGGTTGTTTGATAAGTGTCTGGCATTTCTCCTGTGCTGTCTCTCCTGCCACCTTGTGAAGAAGGTGCCTGCTTCTCCTTCGCCTTCCGCCATGATTGTAAGTTTCCTGAGGCCTCCCTAGCAATGCAGAACTGTGAGTCAATTAAACTTCCTTTCTTTATAAATTACCCAGTCTCGAATGGTATCTTTATACCAATGTAAGAACAGACTAATACAGACAGGGACCACAAAGCAAGAATTTAGGGCCTGAAGAGTCTTCAGCATTGAAAATCTTCACTCAGAATCCCTGGTCCCTGCATTGAGAGCACTGGGTAGATCACTGAACTCCCCTGACAACACTGCAAAGTGCTGGGTACCTACGATGCCACACCCTCTCCTCTGACCTCACAGTGTTAAAGTAAGGGGGCCCATAGTACACGATGTTACTGTCAGCATGCTATGTGTCGTGACTCAGCAACAGCACATTCACCAAAGGAGAAACCCCTCCGTCTCTCTATCTAGGCAGCCAGCCTTTTGACTTGTATTCGGGGATCTGGAGACTATCATTCCCTTAGGAATTAGGTTCACTAGAGGAGCATTCTGGTCACTATGGGACATTTTCCTCTGAATTTGAAAGTAAACAGCCCCTGAAAGCAACAGGAAGACATAATCAGAGAACTCAGCATTAAAAACCAATAATGAATAGTATCAATGTAATGCTTCCATTAGAAACCTCTACTTTTACCAAAATGATTTAAATGGGGTTGCTCAGAACTGAGTCCTCTCCATCTCTGACAGCCCATGCTGGGTTGTGAAGGTGTGTGCTTATTGCTGAGGACTGGAAAGGGGGCATTTCTTGGAGCCTTGGAGCCCTGGGAGCGAGCCAGCCACCTCTCTCCAGATGACAGGCCTACCGGACACCACTCTCCTCCCCGAGCTGTATGTCAAAAGGCCATAAAGCTTGCAAATGCATGCAGACCGACTCGCCCCTTGAGTATCAGTGGCTCTTGGAAAATACAGAGAATAACTGGAACATCAACTAAAGTCCCCCATAATCCCAACACCAGAGACAGCCTGTGTTAAGAGTTTTTGGGTTTCCTTCTGTACTATTCTTGATGTATCTGGCAAAGGGACCTCAAAAGCAGGGAGTGTGCAGGGGAGGAAGCCTGGCTCCACCACCCCCACACCAAAGGGAGCCTCAGGCTCCATGAGGAAGAGAGCTTTTCCTTTATAAAGCAAGGTCTTGGCCAGGTGCGGTGGCTCACGCCTATAATCCCAACACTTTGGGAGGCTGAGGCAGGCAGATCACTTGAGCTCAGGAGCTGGAGAACAGCCTGGGTAACATGGCGAACCCCTGTGTCTACAAAAAATACAAAAATTAGCTGGGCGTGGGTGGTGCATGCCTCAAGTCCCAGCTACTTGGGAGGTGGAGATTGCAGTGAGCTGAGCTCGCGCCACTGCATTCCAGCACCCCAGCCTGGGTAATAGAGTAAGACCCTGTCTCCAAAAAAAAAAAGGTTGTGGTTGTGGCTTCCTCTTGCTGACTCACTCGTGGCAGTGCCCCCCAAGGCTTGCCCTATGGCTTCTCACAGAAGTGACAAGAGAAGCATCCCGGATGGGAACCCAGCCCTTCTCAGTCTAGCGTCCATCTGCTGCTGCCTACATAGAAATTTACTATGTTTACACCAGGAAAATGATGCTTTAAACCCACAGAAGAAAAGCATGTAGGCCAGGAGCAGTGGCTCACACCTGAATCCCAGCACTTTGGGAGGCTGTGTGGGAGGGTTGCTTGAACCCAGGAGTTTAAAAAGACCATCTTGGGCAAAATGGTGAAACCCAATCTCTACAAAAAAAGTTAAAAAAAAATAAAAAACCAAGTAATGCAACCTGTAAAGGATGCCAAGCTTCTAATCCAAGGGGATTCAGAACCCCTGTGAGGCACTGTAGCTCCCCACTTTACCTTCACAATACACGACGTGTCTGAAAACACAAGGAGCCAGCCTTGAGCTGAGGTGGTCGGGGAAGGTCACCCACAAAACAGGTTAGACAGTGGGACCCCGAGCGAGAAGAAGCTTGCTTTTTTTTTTTTTTTTTTTTTGAGACAGAGCTTTTTGCTCTTGTCGCCCAGGCTGGAGTACAGTGGCGCGATCTCGGCTCACAGCAACCTCCGCCTCCTGGGTTCAAATGATTCTCCTGCCTCAGCCTCCTGAGTAGCTGGGACTACAGGCATGCGCCTCCATGCCTGGCTAATTTTTGTATTTTTAGTAGAGACGGGGTTTCTCCACGTTGGTCAGGCTGGTCTCAAACTCCCAACCTCAGGTGATCCACCCACCTCAGCCTCCCAAAGTGCTGGGATTACAGGAGTGAGCCACCGCACCCGGCAGGAAAGAAGCATTTTTAAGGATTCTCTGTCGGGCCATGTCTGACAGCTCATCCATGTAACAGTGAGGTCAGACAGTGCCATCTTCTCAAGGGTGTCCACTTCTCTCAGTTTAAAATCCAAAGGCCTTCCCTGGCATCACAGCCCACAGATCTGCCCTGCCCCCTACCCCGCCCCGACCCCTCCGTGGCTGTTCCCTCGGCCTGGCACTTTCTCCTGCAAACATCCCAGTCTCTGTGGGCCTGTCCTGGCCCTGCTCCCACCCATCTGCTTCTGCCTGCCATGGTGCTCCCTGGCTTCCTAAGGCGTCCCTTAGACACTGTATTAGGTTTGTTCGTGTTCTCCCAGTAGAGTGCAAGCTCTAGGATGGTAGGAATTTAGTCTTTTGCTCACTGCTGCATCTCCAGTGCCTGGAACATTGCCTGACACATAACAGGTGTTCAAAAGAAACCTGTGGAGTGAATGGTTCCCGAGCCAGTCACTGGGCCCCTAAGTGGGGCAGGAGGGGAGTGGCTCACAGCCTCTTGTGTTCTATCAACAGATGCACCATTACAGGTACACAGCAATATGTCAGGAGTCACACCTGCACGTTACAAATGGTAAAAAAGGGAAATCGAGTGTCCTGCACTGACTGAGGCCCCTGCTATGTGCAGTCCTAGGTACCCATGGTCTCTCAGAGGTGGTTTCAATAGTACTGTTTTCCTGCCAGTTTTGAGTACCCGTTGACAGAGGACAACACTGAAACCATTATCATCTTATGACTCTAATTTTAGTTTTCTTTAGCTCCTAATAACACTTGACCTCCAATAATACTAGAGTCTAGCAGGTTCATGTTAAGGTAATGGGCACAAATGACAGAGATGAAATCACAGTGCAGAGGAAATGGCACAAAGCCATTTGTACCATTTGGGAATCCTGCTAAACCACTGGAATCTAAGTTAATTTTTTTTTGGAAGAAAAAGAGAGATCCTCTGCCTCAGTCCTCCTGAGTAACTGAGACTACAGGCATGCACCACCATGCCCGGCTAATTTTTTTTAATTTTTGTAGAGATGGGGTCTCCCTGTGTTGCCCAGGCTGGACTCAAACACCTGGCTTCAAGTGTTCCTCCCCCTCAGCCTCCCAAAGTGCTAGGATTACATGCGTGAGCCACTGTACCCAGCCTGAGTTAACTGTTTTAAGATAATATTTTAAGAAGACACTGAGATACTTTGCCCAACAGAAACCAGGAGGAAAAACAGAGATTTAAAAGATGGAATTCAAGAACCCATTTAAGTCAAGGATTCTCTGCCTACCTAGAGCTGCCAGGAACTCGTGGCATCCCGGGAGCCGCCACAGCTGGACGCTGATGGAGACCTGAATGGGAGCTGATGCCAAGTCCTGCTCCTTCTCGCCAGCCTGGAGCTGAACCAGCACCTGGTGGAGCTGAGGAAGGGGGGACAGCGTGAGCACCCTGTGTCTCCTTCCCCTCCAGCCCACCTCAAGACTCGACCCATTATTCTTATGTCACCTGTCACTGGCATCGCTAATGACCCTCTCATGAGTGTAGCATTTGAGATTCTTTTTCAGGTGCATTCATACCTACTGTCCTGCTGTCCTCTCTGTGGGAAGCTCATGGGGCATTGGGGCAAGAGGCTGTGTGGCCTCCTGGGGCCGGGGCCGGGTTCTGCTTCCAGCCTTGTGTCTTCCCTCAGGCGTGGGAGAGCCTCACAGGAGAGGCCATGGAGAGTAGAAGGGGTGAGTTAGGGGACCGGCCACCTCCCACTTTCTTAAGTCATCTTTAGGACCTTGAGGTGGATGGCGAAGTGGAACCCGGTTACATCTTAGAGCCTCACAGCTCGAGGAATTACCCACTCAAGTGTCCATTTCCTTTCAGATTTCAGGGTCTGTGGCCTCTCCTCAGGGGTCTGTGTGTGGGTTCACAGAGTGACACTCACTGAAAGCTGGTTCTGCCCCTGCTGTCTGGTGGACCTCAGGAGGTCAAATCAAGGACGCAAGAAGGGCGGAGCAGGAAGAGGGGAGGCAGAGCAGAGAAGGGGACGGGCCGCCAGTCCAGCAGCAGTGCGCACCCGCGGGGGCGCCGCAGCCCGTGTGGCTCCGTTTGACAGCACGTGCACCCCGAGCTCAGAGCCTGCCCAGGGGAACTCGGGGGTGGGTGGGTTGAGGGGCTCACCTGACAACAGTTGCTACTTAAAGTAGTACTCACCATTCCAACCATATTTTTAACAGCCTTCGGCCAGCAGATTATAAGAAAAAGAAAGAAAGAGAGAAAGAAGAGAGTTTAGACTCAAGCACAGGCTGTTATGCAACATGAGCTGATCACTGTTTAGGAAGCGCCACACCAGGCCCGCGGCTCTGACTGGGAGGGGAGAGGAGCAAGAGTCAGCAGGGGACACACAGGAGAACGGACAGCCACACCCAGGCCAGCCGCGTGCGGATCCAGGGGCTCAGGGGCAGCATCAGCCAGGCCTCCCTTCCCAGCCAGTAGAGGCTCGGGAGGGAAAGAGCACAGCGGGCGTTTGTAGCCAGCTCAGGAAACCAAAGTCCCTGGTTCCTGAGTGAGCCAGGAAAGGTCCACCAGCTGCCACCACTGGGGGCAGCCTCGGGACATGTCCCTAGGGCCCAACAGCGTATCAGGCAGAAAGTCCCTGTGCTCCCATCAAAAGCAAGAAATTAAGCAACTGGCTTTTTGGCCTCTCAGCACAGCCTTGCAAATGGAGTATAATTTTGGCTTTCAGATTTTGTAGAACACAGACCTCTAGACCGCCTGGGTTCAGGATGCTTTAATATGCAGTGTTCTGGAAGTGTCTTCCTGATGCTATTCAACGAGCAGGCGTTAATACACTTATTACAAAATGAGCAGGGACTCAGCCAAGGGGACAGGTCACTGTTGGTTCTAAGTTCCAAATCCAGGTGGAAACAGCCCTAGGTAGCACTCAGTGTGTTTCAGAGGCTAATAGTAGATGGAGCAGCTTTATTTCTCCATAGAAATATTTCCACTTCAGTGAAATTTGCTGGCAAATATCTCTAATAACAACATATATTACTTTTTCAAATTGTTACACTCCAAAATGGCCAGAAAAGCAACTCTGTGCTCTTCAAGGGCTGCTCCAGCCTCCAGAAGTGCTCCCACAGCTGTCCCCCCAGGGGCTTGGTCCAGACCCTCACTGGCCAGAACGCAGTGGTGCAGCATGGGTACTGAGAAGCTCCCAGGCCAAGCTGCAAAGGACCTACATGATGCTAAGAACTGGAACCCGCCGAACTCCTGAACTAGATCTGTATTTTCCTAAAAGAAAGCACATCTGCTAAGCAGTGTCTTGCATGAGAGTTGCTCCTGGGTTCACTGCTTTGCCTTGGTGACTATCTTGTTTCAGGCATGGTTAAGTACTTTGATCAAAGAAGCGTGGGAACACCTGCAGCCATCCTGGTGGGCTGGCCCCACACCTGGTGGCTTGGGGAGGGTGGCTGTAACACTCGTCAATCAGCTGAAAAAGTGGGTGGTGAGGAGGACAAGGTTCAGGAGACCACCGAGTGGAGATTTCAGGAAATGCCCTGAGACCACAGGTGACAGGGGCCCCATAAGCATCCTCTGAAGGCCCTGGATGCTCAGCACATATGAGAACACTATGCAAACCTGCCCCTCTGTGCCCCTCTGAGTCAAGCACCCAGCTTCACCCTGGGGTTGGCCGCACAGCTTCATCAGGGCCACAGCTGCCCATGACAATGCCAATAGCAGCCAGTGTCTGCTGGTACGACCTCCCATCATGCCGGTAAGGGGCAGTGCCGCTGGCACGGATGCCTTGGCATCGCAGATGGAAACAGCAGGTAAACAGCACTTGCCAGGCAGGGCTATTCTCTTACTCCCGGCCCTCACCTTCTCCTTTGAATCACAAAGGCGGTGAGACTGCATTCACTTACAGGTTCCTATTTAGGGCCAAGTTGCTCTGCCTTTCCAAATCAGCATGGGCCTCAGGCCCTGGCTCAGCCCTCCAGGCTCGACTTACCCGGCTGATGAGCTGCTCGCCCGTCTCGGAGGCAGTGATGAGTTTGCAAAGGGCTTGGAGGGCAGGATTGGGCAGACCTAAACCAAGAAAAAAGGGTAGAAGTTATTCAGAAGGGCCTCTGCACCCAAAAGCCTGCCACCTTCCCAGGGGAAAGAACCCTAAATCCTTGGCATCGGTGGCATTTTTCAGAAGCTCAGCACAGCTAGACATGTGTGTCTGTGTGTGCCTTGGAAAAGGACAGCGTGGTCTCCCAGGAAGGTGGGTGGAAGTGGGTTGAGTCCTGACCCTGCCGCAGTCCTCTAGGCGTGGCCACACTCCCAGGACCCAGGCAGCACCACCCCTAGTCAAGCACCCAGCTTCACCCTGGGGTTGGCCGCACAGCTTCATCGGGGCCACAGCTGCTGATGACAATGGCAGTAGTGGCCAGTGTCTGCCGGCACGACCTCCCATCATCCCGGGAAGGGGCAGCGCCAGTGGGGCGCAGATGCCTGCCATCACAGATGGAAACAGCAGGTAAATGGCACTTGTTTCCTCCAGGTGTGGAGATGCTTGTATCTGGGACCCCCTGCCATTTCTCAGGACACCCTCCTGCTCCTAGCTGGGAGATCCAGCATCCTCATGAATGCGGGGCCCAAGGCCACCAACTGTTCCACCTGCTGTCAGCCAGGCCTGTTGCCCCAGCCCTACACCCACAGCTCACCCAGCAGGGACTGGAGTGTGCTGCTGCACTGCTGGAGCCGGTCGCCCGGGTCGGAGGTTGGGAAGAAGACAGCCGCTGGCAGGCCACTGGTTGGGGGGTCCAGCCGGAAGCCCACAGCGGTGAGGAGGGCCTGCCAGCCAGGGATGCCGCCCACTTTGTTCTCCACACTCTGCTGGGATGTGTACATGGCATTGCGCTGCCCATTCTGGATGCGCTGCAGGGATTTCTCCACCTGAGGGGGAATTGGGGGTGAGTCAGAGACCCAGGCCAGCCCTGGTTTCCATCCGCATGGCTTTGAGGGTACACAAAGCCCCAGGGTGAAGCCAGGCTGACTGCTGCAACCCCACATAGCCCACGTGGCCAGGCCTGAGGATGTGACACTGGGGCACTGACTAGGCATCTTGCAAGGGAGGGCACAGAAGGGAAGGATTTTACCATCAGAGCCCTCGAGGGCTGGTACAACAGAAGGATTCTGTCCCTCCCCTAAACCAACCCCTTCCACACTCTCCGCAGACAGTAAAGCAATGTGTCTGAACACACAGGTCAGGGGCCTGCCTCAACCATGTAATGGCTCCTGCCCACTAGGATAAACCCTCAGGCCCTTCAGGAACCCCCTCACTGCCCACAGCCCAGCCCCATCATGGGGTCTTGGCTGGCAATGCCCTTCTTCCCCATTCTTCCCACTCAGCCTTGGTCCCTCCGCACTGGCTTCTGGAGCCTATACCTCCCTCCACCGGGAAGTGCCCTCATGTCATCCAGGGCCTGAACAGGTGCCTGGCACTTCTACGCTGAAGTCACCCAAGTCACTGCTGCATGAACTACATGAGTGAGTGTTTTAACAGTAGTACAGGGCCTCAAGGCTAAGTGGCGGCAGCTGAGAGGCGTGGTGGCTCACGCCTGTAATCCTAACACTTTGGGAGGCCAAGACGGGCAGATCACTTGAGTCCAGGAGTTCAAGACAAGCCAGAGCAACATAGCGAGACCCCAGCTCTACACCCCACCCCCTAAAAACACACCCAAAAACAGTAGTGCAAACAGCTTTCATCAGGCCTCCCTGGGCCTCTCTCTAGTGGAAACCCCTGTCCACTCTGGGATGTTGGGTGCCCTATGAGGCACATGTGCCCTCACCGGAGGGGCATGAGTGGTCCAAGATGTCACCTGAGGTTTTTTTTTTTTTTTTTTACAGTAAACACTGGGATGCCGGAGCTCAGGCATCCCAGACAGGAGGAAGTGTGTACTCACACCAGCCAGGAGGAAACAAGCCTGCCTGGGAGGACAGACGATCAGCCCTGGCTGTCCCTCAGGAGCGGGGGGCCTCCAAGGCACACTGCCCACTGGGTCAAGGAGTATCCAGGAGGAGTTAGAAGGTAGGGGCTGGGGAACTTGACCCATGGCCCCCACACCCACCCCAGAAGATAATACCAAGGAAAAAGAGGAAACCCTTAAGTGGGCCTGAGGGGCCTCAAGGCCATGTAGGGGCAGCTGAGAGGCCTGGCCTGGGAGGAGGTGACTAATGGGTAGAGAAGGCAGTTCCATTTCCCCAAAAAAGCAGTGTGTAGTGGCAGCAAGGACGGAGGGACTTCGGGGGTGACGGGACCCGAGAACTGAAAGGCTCCAGACAGTTTCCAGATACAGGGTAACAGTGGAGAGGGCCTCCCAGCACCCTGGGTGTTGGCCTCCTCGAGCCAACTGGGGGCACGCTGGGGGCTTGCTGGTCACAGTGTTCACATACTGACTACTTTCAGGCCTGAGGAGACCCTAAGCTTCAGAAATATGTGTGACTCTATCCTCAGAAGTGCATGTAGAGCTACCATGCCCAGGCCCAGGTGCCAGGGTTCTAGAGGGCCCTGTTCAGGCCCAACCCACGGGCAAGAAGTTTGCATGGCCCAGGAGACATGCTCACTCCCAGGCTGCATCGACGCTGCCCCCGGTCCTCCATCTTAACCATGGATGGAGCTAGGCTGTGCAGCAACCAGCCTGCAAGGAGGCCCTGGGGTCCGTGGCAGATTTGGAAGGAGCTTGGCTGTGGCATAACTGTTCACCCACGCTGCATGGGCCCCAGGCTGGCACTGGGCTAGGAAGATGTGGGGTGGGCCAGGGCTGGTCTTTCTGGCACAGCACTCTAAATGATTTGAAACGGCCTTCCAGGTTGTTCCCGAGGTAGAAGGATGAAACAAGTTTGATGTCACTGCTTCTTGACTCAGTTGATAACTTTACACATGTAGCTGTGGGCCCTCCATTTGTGCTCTCACCTGGGCTCCACAGATGTTGGGGCAGGCTGATCAAGGGCATGATCAGACTTGGACTCAGGGGCAGACTGGTATCATCTGGTGGTAAAATAGGACTCTGCGCCAAGTACTCACATTTTCTCAAATCCTCACGATAACCTTGAACTGTTCAACTTTTATCACCCCTTCCAGATGAGAACACTGAGGCTCGGAGAGCCAAAGTGACTTGCCCAAAGCCACATGGCCTGGAAGCTGCTAGGTTGTGGGTCACTGTCGTCGGCTGCCCTTCCCCCAGGGTCCTGGCGAGTACTGCTACAGCCACCTGTATGGCACCACACACCATGCCCACCCCTCAGGCCAGCGGGCTCATCCCGGGGACGTCTGCAGAAGCACCCTGGGGATACTGCCCACTTTGTGCATCACGCTTTGCTGGGACATGGGTCTCCCAGCAGGCTTATCCCAGGGACGTCTGTGGAAGCCGGTCAGTGCCATCCTGGACACGGCCCCAATCACGGTGTCCTCTCCAACTGCTCACATCCCCGTGTAGGGAAACCCTTGCCTTCCCCTTCTCTCACAGCACTGCCAGCTCTCGTTGAGTGCAGGGTGCCCGACCCCCTTACCAGGTGCAGCAGCACTCGCAGGGCGTCCCGCGCACGCTCCGGGTGCTGCAGGATCTCTGTGAGGGCCTGGCCGATGAGTGATGAGGGGCTGTTCAGCTTAACGTCACTCCCGATGAGCATGAACCCTGCAGAAAGCAAAGGAGGGCACCTCAGCAGGGCAGCTGGAGACCCCCAGCCCCACCCCGGCTTCCAGGGCTCACTTACGCCTCGAGGTTAACCCAGCAGAAAGAGCAGGGCCTGGCAGGGGAGCAGCTCACAGGCTGGCCTGGGGCATCTGACTCACTGGATGGTGATGTGGCACCCTTTTGTCCCCTTCCTTTTAAGAATCAATATTGTTCAGCTGTTCAGGTTAGTGGGGCCTGCTATTTTGCAGAAAGGAGCCGAGGGAAGTGCAGTAGGAAAACCTGCCTTGTTTTCTCTGAAATTCATCTTTGTCTATCCTTAGGCCTTTAGGGGGGAACACGTCAGGGGAGGGGAGGTGTGCTCATCTCCTCCTTGCCATGGGGGCCATGGGGAGGTGGGGAGCGGCTACTCCTCCAGTTCTAAACCAGCAAACCAAGTTCGGCTGGGAAAGACCAACTGGGCTGAGGAGCACCGCATCCCACCGTTCCTTTCCACACTCCCTTCCGAAACAGGGCCTGGGGGAGCAGGTTCTCAAGCCCACAGGCAACTTTAGGACCAACCTGCCCCCAGATCATGTAGGGAAAGGGTTTTCTAAGATAATGAGCTGTTTTTAAAGGTAACAAGAGAGCATCACTAAAAATGGTTTCATCCAGAACAAAGTTGTGACTTATCTATCAACAAAACTAAACAAACAAAGATCCTTTTCAAAATGCCATGCCCGTAAGCACACTGGGCAGACCTGCAGAGACAGGAAAGGGGCCAGGTCCCCACAAGCCCTGCAGTAGGTTTTGTGGGATGCTGTGGGGCCCAAAGCCCCTTCTGACTGCCAGGAGCAGGTTGCACAGGACTTGTGTGATGAGGACAATAATGGAAACCACAGGGGTCACCTCTACTTTCTGCGTCTCCTAAGCGCAGGAGGAGAGGCAGGTGAGCAGCCCTCCGTGCCTGCTTGTGCATGCTTCGCCTGGCAGAACCAAGGGACGGCCGTGAGGTGACTAGGCAGGGCAGGGTATATGCCTGTCGGACCAACTAAATGCTTCTTTTCAGCCATATGAAGAAACAGGAACAATTCTATTTTGTTTTTTGAATAGCTCTGTGAAAAATACTACAGTTGTGTTTGTAAAGTAAGCAAAATGTTTTCATCTTTCAACAGCATGACCCATCTGCCTGGCACCAGCACCTGGGGCTGCCAGGCAGCCACCCCTGCAGCTGTGTTGACAGGACCTGGCAGAGGGACTGACCCACCTTTGGAAAATGACACCAGCAATATCAGGATGTGTCAACTGGATTTATGCTAAGAAAATAGGATTTTTGGTGTTCCTCTGTTTCCCAAAGTTTGAGACACTTTCAGACACTCTGCTTTGCGGTTGTGGCCGATGTTACCCATGGGTGGGACTTTTGCTTTGCTCTAGATTTTTGTAACACCCTGGGGAGTTTCAGGGGCCAATGCTGAGAGAAGACCACAGGCTGACACATCATGAGGTATGTTGGTAAAACAGTCCCGGCTGGCCGAGAGGCCACTGAGGGAACAGGCCCAGGGTTTGGTTTGTACTCTGTGAGTCTTGGCCTGGCAGGGTTTCCTGCAAAGCAGAGTCCTCTGAGTGGGACCCCAGGGGAAGCAGGTTGTTGCCTGGAGCTGAGGGGCAGCTCTGTATTCAGGAGGGGTGCCTGCCTTCCCATCTCCCCTGTGACCAGATGTCACAGAAACATTCTCTCTTTACTCCCTAGACCCTCTGGGCAGGTCCACTAAGAGCATGTATTCTAGAACATGCAGGGCTTGAAGCTTCACAAGATATTCAGTGCACTCCTTACAGATCCTGTCAAATGTGGACCGGGTGGTGTCATCGCACCACCATCATCCCCTTGTTACCCCTGAGAACACAGCTTCAGAGAGGGTAAGTAACCTATCTCAGGCCACACAGCCAGGACATGGAGTAGATCCATCCTAAGTCTTTCTACCACACACTCCTTTCTACAGTCATGGGTTAAATGAGGGTGCCATGGAATGGGTCATCCAGTGTACACTGACATCAGGAGGAGTTTCACATTCATACACTCATGGCAAATGGTTCTGTTGCTCCCTGGTCCAAAGATGATCTTAATAGTAGGAAAAACTCATTTGGCAGAAGCAAGACTCAGCACACAGGCTCTCTCCCTGAGTCTTCTGTGGCTGGCCTTGCCCTGCCCTCCCCTCCCCAACCCCACTGGCAGAATAAAGTCGGGGGGCTGTGAGGACTGAGCCCCAGGCCTTGACAGGCACCCGCAGCCAGCCGAACTCCCACCTGCCCAGTTGGAGGGGTGCGAGAAGGCCTTGCTGCTCTGCACCACCTTCATGGCCTCCCCCAGGGCGGCGCTGGCTTTCAGGCCGTTCAGCAGGGATGAGTAGAAGGCATGGATGAACATCTTAGAAGCAGCCACTGGCACAGGCCACAGAGACACGAGGACACACTGAGCGCCGGCAGCCAGGAAGGCCCTTGTCAGCGCGATGACCCCGTCGGCTGTGACTTTGCTGTTGGACTCCTGGGAGGAGCCAAGCACCACCAGCTTCACAGGCAGCTGCAGGTCCAGGACGTCGGCGGCAGTAAGCAGCAGCTCCTGCAGGGGCGGGCAGTCCGAGATGCTCTCCCCATCACTGGCATCGTCCTGCACCCGCAAGGACTCAGGGATCGTGTAGGGGTGGCCGAAGGAGCTCTTGCTGCTGGCAGGGTTGCCGTCCATGCTGGGCGTGAGGACCAAGGCCGACAGCTTCCAGGAGATGTGGGTGGCAAAGTGGACGCATTCAGCCTGGGTCAGGGCACTCATGACCCTCTCCTTGGTGGCCACACTGCCCACTAGGGGCTGGCAGCCCAGCAGCTCGGACACCATGTAGGCCTCTTCCTCGGCCGATGGCATGGGCCCCCACAGCCACCTGTCCATCACGGCCGATGGTAGCTTGGGGTTGCCGATGACAGCCGCCATGGATGTGGAGCTGGAGTATGTGGGCGGGTTCTTCCGTAAGTGAGACTAGGAGGGGAGGGGACAAAGCAGACCACCCGTCAGACAGAACAGCCAGGCTGCCCGGCAGTGGTCGGCCGAGCACAGGGACGGCCAGCTCTCTGCTGGTTGAGCTTGAATCCACCTGTTTCCCCAGTCACCACATTCACTCTTATTTTTCAACATCTTTTTGACACAGGTGCCTAACTTACTGAGAATCATGCCTGCTGTGATGAGCCCTTGGAAACCATCAGGACTGGATGGTAGGGGTCCTGAGAGGATTGGGGGAGGAGGCCTTGATATGACAGAGTGGACAGAGGCCGTGGAACCCAGGACAGCCAGCCTGCTCCACAATCCTCATCCCCACAGACCTTCATGTGTGGCTCCTAAATAAGAGGAAACCCACTCCTGATAAGTCAGGGGCTTTGAAAAGTGATTTTGTTTAAATGGTGCAAACAAGCAAGCCAATCTTGGGGAGACAGGGCTAAACTTAAGTCCTTTAAGAAGCTCTACATACTGACAAGATTCTAGTTCCCTTCCACCTTATATGCTGCAAAGTAAAAAGTATCACTGAATGAGAAAATCAGCATAAAGAAGCCCAATAATGTCTGCCTGAGTTTCCCCTATGATGACTTTTGGTACTTTTTGGGAAACATTAAGTATGAAGTTATTTCAAAATAATTTTTTGGTGCCTCTGCTTGGTGATGCCTTAAACTCTGGGTAAGAGAAACACCAGGTGCCTGTCAGGAGATGGCCTTTTCCAGGTTTCTGGTTAAGCTACAAACAGCTAACTGGCTGCTGTCATCAAAATAAAAGCTTTCTGAAGGTGGAGGCATCTGATACCCAGAGTGCTGCTATCAGCCGGCACGGTGGGCCGCTGGGTGGCAGGAGCGTCGAGAAGGCCAGCTCGCTTCCTATCTGGGATTCAGAATCAGCTATGGAAACTTGAGAGACCTAGAGAAAATAACTTCTTTCACTTTGAACTGATTCTTTGCTTCATAAGAAAAGTATTATCCAGCCACAAAAATGGTCAAAATTCAGATCTACAAAAGCCTGTCAGGCAGAAACTGACCCCACTTAGGCCACGCCAATGAGCAAGTCATCAAAGCAGCCAAGACAGGTCCTGTGGGGGCCACCCATGCACAGGGCCCAGCCTCGGGTCCTAACCCCGCCTATGCTTTCCGCCACCATAAAGAGGCCCATCTGGGTAAGACCTGTCCCGCCTGCTGTGGGGTATTAGGGCAGATGGGGTCTGAGGGGTCTGAGGGCTCTGAGAGCAGCTGGCAGCTCAAGGACATCCGGAGTTGGAGGATGGAGCAATGCAGGCCCTTGTGGTAAAGACAGTCCTGCAGCCGCGCAGGCAGGGATGCTGCAAGTGGAGTGCCAGGCGGGTGCGGAGCCCTGTGGGACTGTGGAGGGGTCAGAGGGAAGCCAGGATTTTGGGGTCTCTGAGAGTTTGGAGAAGGGGAAGAAGATTAAAGCTTGTTTCAAAAGTTTCTAATCAGGTGGGCAGGGCCAAGGGTGGCTGTGGGGTGAGACCCATGACTCAGGGTGGCCCACTGTTACTCTATTGATTTTTGGGCGTTTTTTTCCAAATTGATTATTCTTGCTGAATGAGACCTGAGTCCTTGACTGTCCCCTTAAAGCCACCTGACTTGTTTTCAGTTCCACTGGCCTGTCGGGCTGTTTTCTACTCAACTCCACTCTTGCTTGTCTGCCCTCCCTGCCTGGGGCCCAGCCAGCAGTCAGCTCAAGGGCCAGATGAATTGGGTGGCTGTGCTCTGCCCACTGGGCATCGTGTGGATGGTGGGTGACCAGCCCCCTCAGGTGCTCAGCCAGGCCTCAAGCCTTGCTGTGTACCTCAGAGCAGCTCCGTACCCTGATGTCACAGCAAAGAAACTTAGACATGACACAAACTGTGGCTTCCCAAGGCAGCAAAGAATGGCCAGGGGTCATGAGGGCCGTGCCCCACTTTTGGACAGACCTACTCTAAAGTCACGCTACCTGCGTGCAAATCATAAAATCAACACTTTTGAGGAGATCACAGCTATGCCTTCGTAACACAGCCCAGTCCGACCAGATAGACGGTGCCTCGTGACCCGAAAACAAGCCCCCGGCCCCCCACCATGTGTGTGAGCCTTAC
Organism: Homo sapiens; assembly: GCF_000001405.40. NCBI lineage: Eukaryota > Metazoa > Chordata > Mammalia > Primates > Hominidae > Homo > Homo sapiens. The sequence goes on from NC_000022.11 coordinate 28,001,374, forward strand.
CTTGGACTGCACGCTGAGGGAGCGGATGGAAGGGACAGCAAGGAGGCCGAAGCGCTCGTAGAGGTACTCATTGGAGGAGCTTCCCTTCAGGAGGGCGAAAGGAATGAGGTAGAGCTCCCCCTCCAGAACCAGGATGAGCTGCCGGTGCCGGCCCACGGGGCCGCTGGAGTGCATCAGGCCCTATGGAGCAAGCACGGAGAGGCTGACATGGGTGGCCCAGCAGGCAGGGGTTTCAGGCACCAGGACAACCCTGAGCCCTAGCCTGGATGACACAAGCACGAGCAGGTGAGGCCTGTGGGGGTGTGGGGCGCCATGGGGCATGGGCCGAGTTGCAGCCCTGCAGGAGCGGCACCAACTGGCATGCTCGCTTGTGGACTGGCAAGGGCTGGCCTGGCAGCATCCATCTGCCTCACAGTCCTGAGAAGGTTAGAGGACAGTTTCTTGAAGTTCACAAGAACCTGAAGTGGGTTGGAGACCGGTCTGTACCGCACAGGCACCCTGAGAAGGGGTGGGAATGGCCCCTCTCAAAACAAGATCTGTTTTCCATTTCAATGGACAAGAGGCTAGAAAATCACAGTGAGGACGGGAGGTCTGGGGGCTGGCATGACAGCCCCTGTAGAAGGGGATGGGCTGGGTTCTAGGATCTTCCGTGACCTCCTCTGAGAAAGAGTGGCCCCTTGGCTCTGGGCTTGGGAGGTGCCGTCCCCACTTGTTCCCTCTGGGGATGTCAGGGGACCCAATGCATGGATGACTCCCATCCCTCTTGAAAGGCCGAGCATGAGGACTCGAGGCAGGGTGTGCACAGGGCCACAGCGGACACAGCCTCATTCCTGTTCATTGCAGAACAAGGCTAAGGGCGCGGGCATCTTAATGAGAGCAGCAGGCAACAATCCTGGAAGCTGGGTCCACACAGACTGCGGTGAACAAAGAGGTGGCGTGGAAGCTGCTGCTGCAGCCCAGAGCCTGCCAAGAAGGTCCCAGGTCCACAGGGCCTGCGCAACACTGGGTGCCAGGGGTGGGGCTGGCCTGCCCCCCAACCCCATCTGCTGAGGAGTGGCTGACAAGCGGACACCCACCAGGGTGCCACTCGCTTGTGCCTGGGGAAGCAAATGTGCTCGCTTGACCCGTCTGATGTGCTGCCGTGGGCACTTGACTGAGAGTGGCAGAGCACTAGGCTAACCCAAAGTGACACATGCCTGGCGGGATGTTCAGTCTCTGTAAACCCATATGGTTTTTTTTTTTCTTTCCTTTAAAAAAAATTTCTAGCTCCATCTAGCGAAAGCAGAAATAAAAAGTATTAGGCCAATTTGTTTTTCATTTGTTTGCTGTAAGAGCTACAGCATGGGCCAGGCACCAGTGGCTCACACCTGTAATCCCAGCACTTTGGGAGCCCAAGGCGGGAGGATTATCTGAGGTCAGGAGTGCAACATGGTGAAACTGCATCTCTACTAAAAATCCAAAATAACCGGGTGTGGTGGCATGCACCTGTAGTCCCAACTACTCAGGAGGCTGAGGCAGGAGAATCGCTTGAACCCAGGAGGTGAAGATTGTAGTGGGCCAAGATTATACCAGTGTACTCCAGCCTGGGGGACAGAGCGAGACTGTGTCTCAAAAACAACAACAAAAAAAGAGCTACAGTATTTCCCAAGAGGAGGTAAATTAATCACTGTTCAATTGTGCAACCTAGGCAGGAAGAAGTAGGGGTGTGTCACAGTGACCCCGACACTGTCTATGGATGAGCTCTGGGTTAGCACAGGGAGGAGAAAGAGTTGTAGGGCACCTGGGCCCCATGGCCTGCCATGGGCCACACCTGAGCTCCCTGGCCGGCTCCATAGGTAAAGGTGGCTCAGGGGGCTGCTCTGGAGGGCAGTGCCACCACACCGTGGAGGTGTGCCAGTGAACCTCGAACCAGCCGCAGTGGCACAGCTGATGCTGCCCTGACCCTGCTGACAGGGTCAGCAGCTGTGACAGTGATGACCACCTGCTGCTCAGTGGGAACTGTGCTGCCTGAGAATGGGTAGTGTGGGGCTTGAGCCACCTGCCATGTGCAAAACTGGACCCACTTCCACTGTTCCAGAGTCGCAGGGCTTTGCTGTGACAAGATGCCAGCCCCAGCCCCAGCCCCAGGCCTGCAGGTCCTCCCTGGGCTCCTGCTGCCTAAGCCCAAACCACAGTAAGTTTCTGTCAGATATCATCCCACAGGCTACTGCCTTCACCAGGACACACGCCACTCATAGACAAGTCCCTGGTCATGACAGCACCTAACTGTGTGAACCGGAGGGAAGCTTGGCAAGCTGAAAAATGGAGAAGTGAGGCTGGAATCCACGCAGAGCAAACATTCACTGGCAGCCCATCTTCGTAGAACTCTGCTAACTCTGCCCACGAAACCTCATCTGCGGCACAAGCCTAATGATCAGAGAATGCATGTCCTTGAAGGCAGCTTGTCTGTCTGCTCCAACACTCCACCAGGGGTGGGGGGCATCTCCTGTGGCCCTATTGTCAGAAGTCTCCCAAGCTGGGCCTCGACTTTCCCATCAGCCACTGAGTGGTGTCCGTCATGTGCCTACTGGGGACCGTAGGGAAGTCAGATAAATTTAGGATATGGTCCTTGCTTGCAGACTTATGATGATGTACTTAGAAAACTAAAATGCACACAAGAGGCCATTGCTGAGTGAAACTCAGTATTGTCAAATGTAACACCTTCATGGCAGCATGGCAGCCCCAGAACGGGGAAAGCCTACCCAGGCTGACGCTGGGCCCACCCAGGAGGGTCCGTGAGGGTTGGGGAAGGCCTGGGCAGATGCTGTTGCCAGGTGAGCACAAGGCTAAAGAGGGACATGGGAGCCAGACTGTGGGGGCGCTGAAGATCAGGCAAGAAAGTGTGGTTCTTGTTGGCTGTCAGGACCCGCCATGCCTTCTCAAGCTGAGCCCTGCAAAGCATTGAGAGGCAGCCTGCCTGCCTGCGGGAGAGGGGGCTGTACCCAAGAGTAATTCAGACCAGGGCATGCCCACCAAGAGAAGAGACAAGGAGACTTGCTGGGACTCAGTGAGAGTGACCTTAGCAGGTGAGGAGAAGTCTGAAGTCCAGGCTGGGAGATAGGGAGGCTGTTCTCTGAACCTCATATCCCAATTTGGAGGTCTGGGTCCTCCCTGCATCATGCCTAGGAGCTGGTACCAAGCTTGGCTCATGCATACAACCCTGGGTGAAGGTCCCCAAATGGGACCCCTGTCCAAACTCTGTGAAATGAGGCAGGTGACAGTCGCAGCTGTTCTCTGAAATGTGTGGGCTTGTGGGGAGACGGGTAGAACAGCAGGCTGACAGCTGCCGTTCAAAGGGGGAAACTGATTGGACATGTTAGAGATAATGCCCAGGAAACTTGTCAGCTCTGACTCTGGTGTATGTGTGCTGTCCTTGCACTGAAAGATTAGTTATAATCCAACGTGAACTTGAAAAGGGGAAAGCAAGCGATATCTCTATTCAGCTTACATATCATCAGTCAGACTACAAAGGAGAGACATTCAAGGAAACACTATTCAGCACCTGGGCCTGTCAGCCTCAGAAAGGGTGTCTGCTGGCCTCTTAAGGCTTAGGGTTGAACAATAAAGTGGCTCACGCACCAGCCTTACAGCAGCAACTACCAGAGTCTCCAACAGATTCCATCAAAGACTCAGATGTTCTGACCTCTGCAGTTTCTAGTAATGGGATTTCTGAAAGCAGAAGATGACAGGGCCAGGTGCACTAGAATCTGTCTCTTCCCCAGGGGTGCCGCCCTGCGCTCTCACCAAGGGGCTGTGACCCTGACTGTGGCAATGTGAGTCCAGGCAGCAAATGATGCTTGAGAACTTACGGTGTTCCAGGCCAGGTGAGGGAAAAGGGGAAAGACACAGTGCTGGGCAGGCAGGCCACCATGCACAGCACTGTGGGGCTGCCCTGGGGCACGGTGATGACAGGGGTTCCGTGAAGGTGCAGTCTTTGTACAAGGAGAGGGTTGTTCCTTCTGACAGGGTGGGCAGTGAGTGCACTGGAGGTGGCTTTGTGCAGCTGTTGTCAGTTTACTGCCTCTCAGGTCCTGAAGCCCTTGTCACTATCCGCTCCAAGATAGGCTGCATTCCTTTGGCTGTTTCTCCCACGATATGCAGGGTGCTGAGCTGTGTCAGTGGAGTGCACTAAGGGGCACTGAGGAGGCAGGAGCCCTCCTGCTGGCCTGGGTCAGTGGTGGGTGAGGACATCCAGAGGGGCCTGCCCAGCCACGGGCCCAGAGCGCTGTCCCGTTGCCACCTTGCAGTCTCGGCCTGGTGATAATCTTCCCTCACTCCCAAGGCCTCCTGCCTCTGCAGGTCCCTGGACTCCCTGGCACCTATCACCGCTGGAAGCTGATGGCTGCTCTCCTGCCCACACTCAGGGGGCTAGCGCTTGCCAGCAACTCCAGACTGGCTCTGGCCTGGCCAAACAGTGGACATATCTCTGTGTCCTGTGGGCTGAATCACACCTCCTCCCATGTTCATTCTTTACTAGGTACACTCCCTCAGCCCTAGAGAACCACACAGCTTCCCTATATCTTACAGTTATTTGCCTATCATGGGTAATAGTTCTCAATACTAAACATCCGTGGTTAGTCTACGGTGTGGTTTCTGTCTCCAGATGGACCCAGAGGATGAAAAGCCGTGTGCAGTGGCCCAGGAAGGGATGCTGCATGCTGGGGAAAGAATAGGGGGTCTGAGGGGAGGCCCTGTCACGGAGTCTGGGTCAGCCTGCCAAGTCAGGGTGCTCCCAGCATCTGGAATTGCTAGATGGGAGGCGAGGGGTGAAAAACCAGTAGGGTTGGGGGTAGGAGCTCTGCACACTCCAACAAGACACTAACCTCTCTGCACCTTGGTTTCCAAACCCACAGGACAGCGCTAACATCCATTCCTCACAGGCCTATGAGGCCAAGGTAGCTGCACAGTGGGTAAAGCATCTAGCCCCATGCCTGGCACTGGTGTGCACTCCAGACATATTGGTCAAATGCGAATTTACAACTGTCTTCAGTGCTTGGAATAAAGTGATACTGCCCCTATTATTTATACTATTCTTTTCTCCTGGCCCATAATCATTTTTCCAGTATTACTCATTCCCTTTCTCTCTGGCGTTTACAAACATTCATGTGGCTAAAAGAGACAAATGGCTTCTCTGGAACATCCAGCTCCGAATTTTAACCCAGAGACTATGAGAGACAGAGGTCGTCACATCCCCCTCACCTCATCTTCACGTCACCATCGCTATCCTCCACACCTACTTACTGAGCCACCACCAAGCAGTTACCCTGAAGTCCAGTTTCCAAGCCCAGAGTTCTCCCAGGCAACCCCCAATGGATCCCGAATGTGTCTTTGGGTGGTGAATTCTGATTGGATTGCCGTTTCGGTCAGCGGGACCTTCTGCATATGCCCTGGTTGAGTACAGGTCGAGCTCTTCAGAAAGCACTCATAGCAAATGTTATGTTGATCATGTCCTAATCTGGAGTTTAAGAAAGATGCGCTCCTTGCGTATCGCCAAGGTTAGAGGATCTGCAGGTGACCTCCGCGGGGCACCGGGGAGTTTCCTTTTTACTGGCAGACACGGCAGGCCTCTCAGGGATTCACAGTATCACAGGCCAGAGGAATGAAAATCTCTGATCACCATGGGGGAGGGAAAGAAAATGCCTGGGTCCATGAGCTTTCAGACTGATTAGACTTGGGATGAAATGGACTTTACTGTCTACAATAAGGATTCCAGAGGCAAAGGGCTTCAGGGTATCCAGATACCCCAGAACTGTGTATAGGGCTTCACATTTTTTCCTGACTGATATTTTTGATGGAATAAATTTATCAAACAGAACTGTTTAAGGTAGAGGAACCCTTTCTGTGATGCTGCTGGGAAATCCTGTCATGATGGGTGGATACATACAGTTTTGGCAAAGATCACACACCTCCTGGAAATCACCCTCAACCATAACTGAAGCCCACCAAGACTGTAGATACTGTATTTCAGCCAGAAATGGAAAAGCGAACATTCAACCCATTCAACTGTATGCTTTGGCCAAACAACCGCCCACTGGTTTGCCTGAAGTACCTAAGAAGGTATTGGAGAAACGTGACCAATGGCCAGCAAGAGCCAGAAGGGCCTGCCTGAAACCCAGGGTCCAACTTCAGCCAAATCAGCTTGAAGGGACTGTTCAAGCTGCAGGAGCCTCTGTGCAGTGGGCAGGGTTGGAGGGGCGGAGGGGAGCCTCTCTCTCTATCTTGGCTGACCTGGTAAAAATGATCCCTCCACCCCTAGTGGCAGAAGACCCTGACCTGCCTGGAACCTGCCAGGGTAAGGCTAAGATGTCTGCTTGTTGAACACCAGCTAGAATAGAGCCAGCACGCAGATGACACTCATGTAACAGCAGCCATCCAGGTGAGAATGCCACTTACCACGTGAGATCTTGCTGGTTATCCTGGGTGCTGCCACCACTGGTTTTAGTCATACAGACAGTTTGCAAGTAATTGCCTCCATTTTTCCTCCTCCTAATCAGTTGTGAAAATGCTTGTTGTCCTTGGGTGATGTCTGTCCTCATTTGAATATCACTACAGATGTCTCAATCAGAAATCAATTAGACAGCCTGGTGGTGGGGCTGCCAGTCTCACAGGCCTCATCCTCTACCTCATACTGGAATCTAGGTCTGATTGTTTCTAAGGACAAAAATTCCCTGGCTATACCCAAGCCTCCCAATCTATTTAGAAAACAGGCAGCCACGTGGTCAGTCTCATTCCTGTTGCATCTGTTCTAGGAGAGGCCGACTTATCCTGCTACCTGATTTTGCAAGGGGTATTTTACAAAACACAAGGGAGTCCTTTCCCCCAGGGCAGTGATTACAGTCATGACCCAACCAAGGCCAAGCCACTCTCATGGCCGAGCCCTCGGCAGAGCTAGACCCCTGCTTTCACTCTTAGATGAGAAGTCTTAGGTGAAATCCCTGAGCTCCAGTGCTTGGAAAGCAGTTCAACAGCCTAACAGACATAAACAAGTTTTGAATAAGTTTCTAGGATTTTAAACAGGTGACTCCACACTTCATGAATCACAAGCTGAGGTGAATGAGATGTACTTTTCTTTCTGATCAAAGTCATTTGCTCTTGCTACCTGTCCTAGAACCTTGGTTTTTAAATTTAAATACAGGAAACAGGGAATTTAAATAAAGGGAAATAAAAGTAAGGATAACAGAGACTCTATAACTAGAGCAAGTCTAAACTCCAAGGATCCTGAAAGATCCCCAAATCTGGACCTTTGAAGAGTAACTTGACCAAACGTAAGGTATTCCTTAAATCTGGTTCCTTGATTATAGCAGCTGCTGGCTCTGGACGAAGGGCCCAACTGAAAACTGAGGGGTGATTTGGGATCTGAGTGGACGAGTGGCTTTGCCTACAGCAGCCCTGCAGAGCCCTGCCACAAGTTTGCTGCTGAGGGAGGGACGCTGGAGAGAACTCGGAGGCAGCCTTGTGCCTTGGGGTGGTGGGGACAGGACTGGCCCAGATCAGTCCAGGGCAAGAAGCAGGGAAGTCCAGGTCAGAGACATGGGTTACTATCCTTCACTCTAATTTGATTAAAAACTAATACCACAGACACAAACAGGTCCCAGTAGTCCCTTTCATGCTAAACACTTGCAACTTTTCTTTAGTGACATTTTCTCCTTTGGGGACTACACAGGATCTGACTTAATGTTTGATGATGGCTCATGTGCAAATGCAACCGGGCCCTCCTCAAAGATAAGCGGACATGCTCACCCCATCCTGACAGCAAAGGACAGCGTGGTTCCAGGAAAGAGCCACGACAGTGTTTCCCTTAGGCCAAATTAAATCACATACTGGTGTAAGGCCTATGGTAAAATATTATTCTGTTCCACTTTTCATACTGTCTGACCTAGTCCCTTAGCAATAGGACTGCGGCTAAACAAAGGCAGTTGTTCAAATAATTATATGCCCCATGTGAAGAGGCTAATCGTTTTAGTCTTGAAGTGTCAGTGATTCACAGTCTTGGACTTTTGGCTTTGATGTGCATTCTCACTGAAAATGTGGAGAAGGGTCTGGCTTGGCAGCTGACAGCGGCAGCTCTGGAGCCGGCTAGCGGTGTTATATCGCCCTCTTGTGGCCTCTGGAGCAGTGCGTGGGTGCTTGCAGCCAGAAGCAGGAGAATGATCCAGGCCTTCCCCTCCACCTGGGCAGCGCAGGTGACGGGTGCCAAACCCTCCCGAGATGACGGGGTCACTGAGGCTGACCTGCCACAATTCGGCATGGCCCACCGGCCTCGGGTGCTGGCCTCCATCACCACCATTAGCAGTCTGTGAGTGACCAGACATGAGAACACAGGCCCCTGGCCCAGATTTTCACCTGTCTTCCCCAGGTTTAGGACAGTGTGTGCCTGGCACAAGTCAGTAAATATCTGTTGAATGAATGGATAAAACTGGGGATGGAGAGGACTCCTAATTAGACTCCAACTTTTCAGTTAAGTGTTTTTACTGATACACAATGGATCATTTTAGTTAGCCAAGGAACAGTGCTTGCTCTGATGATTTACTTTAATACCTTTAAAAAGGTTTCACTCTGTCTCATTTAAAGCAGCCAAACTCCTTCCCCTGTGTTCAAATACCTGACTCACAAAAGATTGTATTTGTAGATATCAGGAACTAAGGATGTGCTTTCCAACTGCATGCCTCACCTCAAGATAGGACTGCAGCCTGTGGGCGGGTTCAGGGGCCCCTTCACATTCTCCACACAACCAGCTCTGAAGGGCAGCAGAAGCACAGGGTGCTGCTAGCAGCATGTCATTTTTTGAAATGCTGGTGACAGTGCTTTTTGCTTTTCCCAGTGTATAAAGGCATTATTCTGATCATTGTTCTAACTTGCTTGAGGCTTAAGTCCATAACCTTCCCCCTTCCTAGCACCCCTACAGGAAAACTAGGTTGTCCTGAAGCCAGCTACCACTAATCCTGATAGCATATTCTTTAAGTCACGGGAAAGTCTGCAGGGAGAAAAACTCTAAAACACATGGCACAACTTTTATACATTCAGAGGATCCCTTTCCAGGATGACCTGTGGCGCTGGGGAAGCACTGGGATGGGTCAAGGCAGGGCCACCTCCTGCCCTCCACCTCTTCCTGGCCTCCACCAAGCCGATTTCTGCCTCAAGTACAGAGCCGCCACAATAGTCACTGCCTTCAACTGGCTCAGCGTGGACACCTCGGCCAGTGAAACCATGCTCAGGGGTGGGGCCTGCAGGCATGTCGACTGGAGCATGCCCCCACCCTGAAATCACTGTGCTGGCTGGCAGAGGCAGGGGGCTCACTAGATTCAAAGCTCCTCGGGAACAGGCCCAGCCCCTTCCTTCTGCTTCATCCTCTTGGGAGAGCCCCCAGGTTCAACCCAAGAGCGGCCATGAAAAGCCTATTGGCTGATTTCTAAGTTGGCTCTTCTGCTTTCTGTGCCAAACTAGACCCAAAATGCAATGCTGCTTTGGACCCCATACCATTCCAGAAACTTTACTGACCGCCAACGTGTACCAGGCCTTGTAACAGCTGCTGGGGACACAGAGATGAGGGGCAGTCCTTGCCTTCAGGGACTGTAGAGTGGGCAGCAAGCACAGAGCTAAGTCCTGAGTCCAATCAGGCACAGCTGCCTCTCTGTATCCCTGGGGGATTATTCCAGGACACCCCTCAGATACCAAAATCCTCAGATGCTTAAGTCCTTGGTATAAAATGACATGGTGTTTCCATTAACCTTCATACAACCTCCTGTATACTTTAAATCATCTGTAGATTATTTATAATCTAGATTACCTAACAGAAGGCCTACATGTCACTTCATTCACATGGACTCAGTGTAGTAGTCAGCATGTAGCAAATTCAAGTTTGGCTTTTCATAACTTCGGGGAATTAAAAAATATATATTTTCGCTGGGCATGGTGGTTCACGCCCGTAATGCCAACACTTTGGGAAGCCAAAGCAGATGGATTGCCTGAGCCCAGGAGTTTGAAACTAGCCTGGGCAACATGGTGAAACCCTGTCCCTACAAAAAATATAAAAATTAGCTGGGTGTGGTGGTGCACACCTGTAGTCCCAGCTATTCAGGAGGCTGAGGTCAGGGGAGTGCTTGAGCCTGGGAGGTCGAGGCTGCAGTGAGCTATGATCACTGCCACTGCATTCAAGCCTGGGGACAGAGCAAGACTCTGTCTTAAAAATATATATGTATTTTTTCAATCCATGGTTGAATCCATAGATGAGGAACCCATGGATATGGAGGGCTGATTGTCTCAGGTACCATAAAAAACATCCAGGTATGCAAGGGGCCCAGTGGTGGGGAGGGGAATGAAGGGATCCAGGAAGGTAAGGAGAAGAGGCAAGGAAGGTTTCAAAGAGGAGGTGACACCTCAGCTGGGCCAGAGAGATGAGAGGAGCCTGCCAGCGCCAGATGACCTGAGCCTCATGGGGGCAGAAGCGGCAGTCACAGCCAGTCTCCATCTTTGCCCTCTGCTCCCCTCCCGGTCCCCAAACACCAATGCAACATTAATGGAACAAGTAATCTGGGGACCTGAATGCAAAAGGAGAAATGCAAAGGGAGACAGGCAAAGGCCTCAGAAGGCCCAAGTGGGTAAAGAATGGAGAGTCCAAATAACCTTCAGAGGAGCGGGGATCCCTGGGAAATGCAGGCCTCAGGGCGAGCAGGAGGGAAGGCTGGTAGTAAGTCACTGAAATGGTTTGCATGACAGTCAGTAGCAGTAAAGAAAACTTGGAAAAGCAAAGGAGCTAGGTTTATATTTCTTCCTCCAAGGTATGGCACATAAATCAGGGTAAGTGATGATGGTATCTCAGAAGCTTTAAGCTGGAGAATTCTCTGCAGTTTTGGTCATCTCATTAAAAGGAGGACGCAGGAGAGGGTCATAATCCTAAGAAGGGAAGGACAACCGAGCACGTGCAAGGACTGCAAGAATGTGCATGCAAGGATGTGATCGGATCCGGGAGGCCCAGGAGCACAGGGAAGGCTTGGAGGGACAGTGGCAGTGACCCGGCACTCGGAAGAGGTATCTGGGCACAAGAAGCCACTGCTCGCCAGGCACACATTCACTGCTGCTGCTGCCTCAGGGGCTTTATGCACCTGTATGTTTTTTTTGAGATATGGTTCAGTTCTGTCACCTAGGCTGGAGTGCAGTGGTACGATCATGGCTCATTGCAACCTCGATCTCCCAGGCTTAAGCGATCCTCCTACCTCAGCCTCCCGAGTAGCTGGGACTACAGTTGTGCACCATCATGCCTGGCTAATTTTTGTATTTTTTGTAGAGACGAGGTCTCACTATGTTGCCCAGGCTAGTCTCGAACTCCTGGGCTCAAGTGATCTGCCCGGCTCGGCCTCCCAAAGTGCTGGGATTACAGTCAAGAGCCACTGTGCTTGGCCAGGTGCTTTACACATTTGTCTAACCTGCTCTAACCTGTTGCATTGGGTGTTATCATCCTCATTTTCTAATGAGGAAACAGATACTCCAGGAGGGGAAGCAGCTTTGCCATTGTCACCCAGCCAGAAAAGGGCAGTGCCAGATGCAAATCCAGCTCTGCTGGTTCCCAAAGGCTCTGTGCTTTCCACCACACCCTGTCCCCAAGCCAGAGAACATCCAGAGGGCACTGGCAGGTAGCGCAGCCTCCTGACAAATATTAGGCAAGACACATCCTTGGAAGGCCAGGCAGGGAAGGTATAGGCATTTTCTGGGGACAAAGAAATCATTGTGCAGATGTGGTTTCCCGGGGATACATTTCTCCTCCGTCATTTGGCTGGAGCAGAAGAGAGAGCTGCTGAAGGCCACTCCAACAGCTGTGAGACAAATCTCCCACCTGGCTGCAGACTGCTGGGAAGAAGGGGCCATGCAGCCTGGCTAACAGCAGCCTGCTCGCCTGCTGCAGGCTCCCTGGGCTTTCCTAACAGTCTACGCAAAGGCATCTGATGGGCTCACCGTTGGGATTTGCGAAGATCCTGAGCCCTCCAGCACTCTCTGCTCAGTCAGAGGGCTGTGTTTGAATTAAAAAGTGATGTGCAAAGACCAGGGCAGGTGAATACACACCACAGAAAACCTGTCTGTGGCAGATTATGCAAGGGTGTCTTTAACGTTAGACTCTATGGTGGAGTCAGTGATTCCCAACAATATCTGAGGCTGAGGGCAAGAGGGAGGTGGGAATTGATTCTCTGAGACTCCATCTCACCAGAAAGCATAGCCCTGGCTCGAAGTTGCTCAGACAAGATTCTAGGATGAGAGGTGGGGAGGTGGGGAAGCATTCATTCCCAGTAGGGTGTGGGCGCAAGGTGCAAAGAAGCCCTCTGGGAAGGGCACAGCCACGGCCACATCCCCGAGGCGTCTGCTAGGTGGGAAAGGGCACATCCACGGCCACATCCCCGAGGCATCTGCTAGGTGGGAAAGGGCAGCCTCGTCCTCACACTGATGCACGGCCCCTACTGACAACTGCTTAGAGGTGCACCTGCGCCTCCCTGAGCCGCACCATCACTCTGTTGGGCAGGCTGGGAAGGGAGCATCATTTCATTTTGTACATGAGGTCACTGAGGCTGAATGTACCCGGCTTGTAGGGAGCAGAGCTAGGGCTTGAACCCAGATTTGCAACTTAAAGCTCAAGGCCTCATCCACTACCAACCAACCAACCAAGTCTGTGCTCCACCTTATTTTTCAAATGCTCACTGAGAAGCTGGACAGAGCGGACTTGTGTTCTGGAAAGCCTCCGGTTGTCTCGGGAGCCCATTTTGGTGTCTAAGAGGGATACATGTGGGCGCTGACTGGTAAGCGATGTGTTCTGATGCGGAGGAGCCTTGTGCCCCCAGGAGGTGCTTACCCCTTCCATGGGCGCGATGAGCAGGTCATACAGGGCACGGAGCGGGGGCTTGGCAAACGAGCTCTGCCTCCTGGGAAGAGAGGAGGTCCCGTCCTGGGTCGGTGACACAGTGTTACTGAACAGGCTCGTCATGCTCTGGCAGCTCCTGGGGAGGGAAGGGCCGAGGGATCAATCAGGGCCACTCAGACAGGCAAAGACTCACCCTGGCCCTCCAAGCCATGCCCCTGTATGGAAGGCAGGCTGAGGCTTCACAGCAGCAACCCCGCCAGCCTCCCTCCCAGCTCCGTTCCCTTCTCTTCCCTTTCAGGTAATTTTCACACTACAGTGAGCACTGTCAGAAACCGCAGGGTAAACCAGCTGCACACAACAGCTTACATTTCTATGGAGTTTTTCTACATAATCAAATGTCCCTAAGTGCTGTTCAAAGGATTTAATTACATCCTGTGTGGAGCAATTGTGTGCAGGCAAACGTGAGGACCATTAGGAATCAGCGACAGCCACCAAGCTGATGAGGACAGTGCCCCAATGCCAATTAAGGTACCAAGGGGGCTGCAAACAGGACAAAGAGCATGTTGGCCCCCACCTTGGGCTCAGAGCAACTGCTGAGCACCCACCTGAGCCCCAGCACGGGCTCTGTGGCAAGGCAGTAGAAACCCCTGGCCCCATGGCCTCATTGGGAAGATGCTATGACCAGGCAGCAGCTGCAGAGTGGGTCGGTTTGAGTATGGCTGTATAGTTTTGTTTCGCTTTTAAATTTCTGTTCCAATGTTTCCAGGCATAGTTTTATTAATACAGAAGCATTTTCAACCCCAAGGACCCCAAGCTTCATACTTCCAACATGGGATGAGAGCATTCACTGATTCATTCATTCACTCATTCATTTGGAAAATTTTCCCCAAGCACTGGCTGTCTGCCAGGCACTGGTATAGTCTCTGGGAACCTACAGAGGACAAAATGCACAAGTGAGCAGAAGAGATACAGGAAGGGGAAATGAGTCCATTTCCAATGCAGCAACAAGGCTGCCCACGTGCATCCTCTCAGCACCTGCCCTGTGGCCTGGCCACTGTGGCCGCAGCACAGCCATCAGTGACATTCTGTGCCTGATTACTGGACAGACAGTGATTTTTTTTTTAAACAGACAAGGTATCATCCTTCCTGTAGGAGATAGCTTTAAAAAAAAAAAAAAAAAAAAAAAGACAAATTGTTGCTCTGTGACCCAGGCTGGAGTGCAGTGGTGCAAACATAGCTCACTGCAGCCTCAACCTCCTGGGCCCAAGTGCTCCTCCTGCCTCAGCCTCCTGAGGAGTTGGGTCCACAGTTATGTACCACAACACCTAGCTAATTTGTAAATTTTTTTTTGTAGAGATGGGGTCTCACTGTGTTACCCAGGCTGGTCTTGAACTCCTGGGCTCAAGCAATCCTCCCACCTTGGCCTCCTAAAGTGTTGGGATTACAGACGTGAGACACCACACCCCACCATCAGTGATCTCTTAACCTCGATTTAGACACTGTTCATAGTTTAAGAGTTTCTGCTACATACTCTAGGACTCTTAAGGGCAAAGACCATGCCGTAAACCAGATACACTGCTGAGGTTCAGTAGGTACTCTGGCTACTGGCAGTGACAGCAACTAGATTGTTGCCGAAGAAAAGCACAGAAGGCTGCTCCTCTCTGCTGGTCCAGACCAGGAGCTGTGACATCAAAATAAATTATTTGAAAGATTCAGTGATGTGTTTTCCAGGTAAGGTTTCTACCCCTAGCTCTCTCCCACTCCTCCCAGTGATCTTGGCAATGCACCACTTGACCTAAATTCTAGGGTCATGCCAAGCCAAGCTCTCAGCACCCTCAGCCCCCAGCCTGGTGCCTGTGAGAGAAAAGCAGAGCAGCAGGACTTGGAGGGCCAGGGAGCCCACTCACATCCGCTCCCTGGCCTCACTCACTCTGGAAACGTGTAATTACAAGTGACGAGGGCTGCAGCATGTCTTTGCATTCAGAGCCAGTGAAGCACAGATAACCCCGGAGTGACACTCAGAGGCTCACTTAATTCCACAGAATACACTGCAAAGAGCAATTCTCCCCTCAAGGAGAGATTACCAAATTGCTCTCCCGAGGAGACGCTTTGGCATGACGCGCGGTGTCTGTCACGGCACTGTTGGTTACCACACACACGTGTTCTCAGCAGACAGGCAGCATGGCCCCGAAGAGCCTAGGCTGCCATCCAGACAGCAGATGGGCAGCAGCAGGAGCACTAGGTGCCCTCTTCCTATGTACCTCAAGTTTCACAATCTAGATGATGGCCTGGACTATGGGCTCATGTACCCCCAACTTGAGGTGCCTCAGTCTGATCAGTCCAGCTGGGGGTGACCAGGGGGAGTGCCATGCCCCCAGACAGTGCTGTGGCCCAAGGTCCTCAAGATGACTGATGGGGACACTTCACAAACCTCAAGGCCCTTCGGCTTTGAACTAAAAAGGCTCCTACTAGAGAAAGAGACCCCAGCTCTAGGGAGTTCTCAGGACAGCCCCAGCTGTCCAGGGAGACCCAGGAGTTCCTTCAGCTGCTCCAAAGCTTGGCTACTTACTCCAACAAATCAGAACCAAACACCCGGCCCATCTGACCCCTCCCTGAGGAGCACAAGATGTCAGGTTGGGCAGTCCCTGGAGGTCTGGGCAGGGTACCCCTACTGGCAATGCTGAACTACACAAGGAAGTGCCAGGGAAAGGCTGGAGTCTGATGCCGGCCAGCAATTCAAAAGAGGAAAATGTCTGGAAGAAGTGGTGGGCAGACCTGCTGAGCTCGAATCCCAGCCTTGGGCACTGCTTCATGCCCTGCAATCAGGGGCAGTGTCATCTAGGGGCAGGGAGTGTGGGGCCTGGAGAGGATGGCTGCAGCACGTGGAAAGCCAGACAAGGCTTGGGCACGTGAGCTAGAGACAGGCCTGGGGCAGGAGGGCAGAGACCAGGCTGTGGATTCCAGGGCCCAAGTGCTAACGGCGGTGGCATCTTTTTATTGAAAATGCCATGAGTGCCAGAGGCATCTAAGGGGCCCGGTGGCGCTAACCCATCCCACATATGTCACTGCCCGTGATGTGCCAGGCACCATGGGTGCCACCCAGGCCATGGGCCTTTGTCCTGGGTCCCAGTGGAGGTGGGGCAGCACCGGGGATAAGTCCCTGACTCCCACTGCTGGTCGGGCTGAGCTGAGGAAAGGCTCTTTGGGACAGCACCATTTGATCTGGGCTACAAGGGATGACTTGGTGGCACCCTGCCTGGACAAAGTGGAGGAGGTCATTCCAACAGAGGAACAACATAGGGAAATAGAGACTGGGGTACTTGGGGCAGTGAGTGTGAGGAGTCATGCGGACAGAGGGCTGGGGATGCAGGCCGAAGAAGAAAGTGGGCCAGATGGGCCTGGGCACTGGGCAGAGGATCTGGGGTTATCTATGGGGAGAAGCAGTACCTCTTACCTCTTTAAACAACCAGGCTTGCCTGATCAAGAAGTTCCTCTCCCCAGGCTACCAGTTGTTTCCTAGGGGATGAGCATAAGGAGGCCACCTGTGTCAACACCCCTCCCCTGAGAACATTCCCCCCATCCCCAGGGCTAACACAGTGCAGATTCTTCAAGAACCAGCGATTAATGGGGTGGCCAGGGCACCCAAGCTCCAATGAAGGCTCTGCCTCTGAGTCTCAGCTGAGCACCCCCTGCCTGGAACTTGACCTTGTCCTGCTCTCTCCAGGCCGCCAAGCCCACCTGTGCCCCATCAGCACTTGCTGGCCTCTGCCCCCCTAGATGCCACATCAAGCACTGGCTCTCAGCCTCCCACCCTGGCCCTTCTTGCAACCTGGCAGCTCACAGACCAACTATTTCTGGAGCAACAGTTCCTGGGCACTGACCCTAGCCAGCCCAGTCTGGGTGGGCCCAGCAGGACCTGGCCACGGGGCCCCTTGCATTCAGGCAGGCGGTCCTTTGAGAATACTCCTCTGATCTGTGCTGCTATTCAGTGTGTGTGTGTGTGTGTGTGTGTGTGTGTGTGTATGTGTGTGCGCGCGTGTGTGCGCGCGCGGGGGGGGGGGCGGGGAACCTGTCCCTAGAGAGATCCTTTTCAAAATAAAAACAAAAGCCTAGAAATAGTTGGTAATTATGAAACAACAAACCAAAAAACCAACCAACCTGCAACCGTGATTTGAGGTCAAAGTAAATCCATCAAGACTTTCTCCCTGAGCAGGAGGCATCTGTGGCTAGCCGCCCAGCCCCGCAGCAGCAGCCTTCGCAGTCCTGCATCTGCTGGGCCCAGTGCTGCCTTCCTGCCCACGCCTCTTCCTTAGTAGCTCTTCACGCAGCAGCTGCCTCTGGTTTCTCCATGCTAGTGGCCCTGGTCCACCTTGACAGCAGCCACATGTGGCTGGTCCCCACTGGGGAACTGCCCTGGGACTGATAGGCTCAGGGGCAGGGAATGGGAGTCAGGGGTCAGGGGGATGGCAGGCAGGAAACCAAGGCCAAGAGCTACTGAGGGTCCCTTGAACCCTGGGAGCCCTCCGCCAGAGGTGCGCATGGTGGGAGGGTGTCAAGCTGGGACTCAGAGGACAGGATGTGGCAGGATACAGCCCCTCCCTGGTTGTATGGGCGGACCCAAGGTTTCCTTGCCTCCACCATCATTAGTGCTGCTGCTGCCTTGTGCAGACTGCTGGAAGCTGGTAAGGGTGAGCTCCCTTTCACATGCAGTTTCTGTTCTCACTGCAACAGTTAAAGCAACCAATTGCAACTGTCTTACTGGGATACCTCTGCCTAGAGATCTGCATAAAGATATATTCCCAACAGATCAAAACAGCAAAGCAGTCAGCTCCTTAGCCCTGAGCCTTACTGTTCACAGCTGGGAGTGGACCACCAGTTTGCCTAGACATGTCACCAAAGAGCTGTGACTCTGGCAAGGAATGTCACTTCCCTCTTTTCCTTGCTGGTAAAATAAAGGGTTGGGCTAAAGTTCTTGTAGGGCCTCTTCTAGGGTTTTTAAAAAATTTTTTTTTTACTGATGATCAATCCAACTGGAACTTCTAGTTTTAGAAAATGAAAAATCTCCTCTATGTAGGCAAGCCCTCAACCCCTCTGCTGAACCTCAGCCCTTCCTGTGTCTCCTCTGTGTGGGCATCAGGCATGGGACAGTTAGGTGCAGGCTCAGCTTTCTGGTGGTGTAATCTGCCCAGGAGAGTTGGCACTACTGATACATGTCCTTGTGGTGGCGTGGTTTTGGGCCTCTGAGTCACAGCTGGCTGGCAGCAGGCACCCCAGGCTCTGAGCCCCAGGCGGCAGAATGCTCACAGCGGCTAACAGGTGTGCACTGGAGTGTGAGGGATGACCTGCTCTCTGCCGTCCACCTTCCTACACTGTCACGACAATCTAGTCCTTCACTGCTTTGTAGAAGAACGGCCACAGAGGGCCGGGGGCTCCTCAAGGCAGCACTTTAGAGTGTATATAGTATTGCTCTGATCTCCACAGGCCTTTCGCCCTGGCTGACTTCTCTTTGCCTCAGCTCTCTGGGCTCTAGAGAACAGTGCTTTTCGCTTGCTAGAATGGGAGCTTTGAAAGGGGTGGAAACATGCTTCCCACATGGCAGGAGCGTGAGCCGTGGCAGGGGCCATGCTGCCCATTTAGGAATGAAGACAGCCCAGAGTAGAACACACATGCACCCCTCTGCCGGCACAGCCAGGCCTGCCACGGCGGCCTCACCGGCTCAGGGCCTGTGAGGTTACTCCTCCTCTTCAGATGAGGAACCAAGGACCAGAGAGAGCAAGAGACCTGCACAAAGCCACCAGGCTGGTAGGGCATCAGGCCTCCCACTTGGCAGGATAGGGGCTTTTGCTGTGCCCTCCCAGCCGCTGTGTCCCTAAAGGTGGTGTGATGGTGGGTGGCCCCTCCTGGGGGCTGCGGCTCCGGGCTTCACAGCTGCACCACCCCGGGGCTCCAGCAGGTGGCACTGGCTCACTTTTCTCACAGTCTGTCCCATGGCTGCCGGGACCCAGTTGGACTGACAGCCTAGCTCTCAGCAGAGGATCTTCTCACCTCACTCTGTCTTTATTGGTTTATTCTTCAGATGATGTTTATTAACCTACTTCGGGAACATTTTCATTTTCTCCAAAGCACACAGTCTGTGTGGTGGCGGGAAAAGGAGAGGGCCCAGCATGCATGCAGAGAGAGGTGAGGCCACAGAGGGTCTGCGAAGAGCAGCCAAGGGGCAGAGGGGTCAGGGGCGTGGCTCATGTCTCTGGAATGATGACAAATGCCAGCTGGGCTGGGCTCGTGAATCTTCCCTCGCTGCTCATGAATCTTCCCTTCAGGGAGGATGAAGGGCTCTATTCCTGAGGCAGGAGGAAGCCAGCGCACTGCTCACACTCCTTTGGGCAGTCTGTGCTGCAGCAGTGCCTGCGAGCGAGGATGAGCCTGTGTGCAGCTGCTCCCTGGCTTCCCATCCACACTCAGCTTAAAGAGTGAAGTTAATTCATGGTGCAGACAGCAGCCTGGGCAAGTCCCCCTCCCCCAACACACACACACACACACACACACGCACACACACAGAGCTTTCTCAGGCTCTCACACTCTGAGGTGGAGAGTGAAATGCACGCACCCACTCTGCTTGGGCCAAACAAGCTCCTTCAGGCAGCTAGGACCCGACAGACCTCCCTGTGGAGTCTGCCCGCCCTGCCTTCTGCGAGGCAGGCTCTCACCTCAACCCACTCTGCTCTGTCACCCCTCACCTGGCTTCCAAGGCAGCATTTCTGCAGCAGTCTGGCATTGAGGAATCAGGTCTCCCACGTGAAGAACACAGCACTGCCTCCTTGGCAGAGAAGCGTCTACGTGGGGTCAGCAGATGAAGAAACAGGGGCTTGACTCTCCCTCAGCCAAGGCTAAGAAAAGGGCTCTGGCTCAAGCCTGAAGATGACCAGGATGGTGGGGGCCCACCTAGCCCTGAGATTCTGGCCCTACTGTCTCTGCAGTAGGGCTGACCAGATGGCTGGGAGGAGGGAACAAGCATGCTAGAGCTTAGTGCAATCTCGAAGAACCTCACTGGCTGGCTGGGGCTGTCTGCTCCACACACATCAACCCAGAGGCAGCCACTACCGTGGGGCCAGCGCTGTGAGACTGCCTGGGGAGGGGCAGCTAGGAAGGGTACCACCTGAGGAACGCATGAAGGGGCGACCTGAGGGAAGGCTTTGCTCCTCACGGCACCAAAGAGAAAGGTGGTGCTCATTCACCCATTCAACATGGGCTAAGTGCCTCCTTGGTGGCCCTGGGTGAGCTGCAGGGGGGGAATTCAGTGAACAGGGAGATTTGGTCCTTGCCCTCGTGGAGTTCACAATTTGATGAGGACCAAGCAAGGCCCGATAGCAGCTGTGTACATGTGTGCTCACATGTGTGCGTCTGATCTTAACGCTTGAACACAGGTGGCAGAACGAGGCCTCTGGGAGTGTCTTCCTTTCTGCCTCTTCCCTGTGTCCCGCCCTCCTGCTCCTCTGGGGCTCAATTCCTCACCAGGCACTTGGTTCCTTCATGGTCTGTCTAGATATAGGGCCAGGAATGCTCACCCCAGGGCACATCTGGCCATGACATCTTTAGGATGGCTGGAAGGGAGGGGTGAGAAGGGAACTAAACTGATATGGGGCATCTTCTAGAGTACGGACATGGAATCTCAGGGCCAGGTGGGCCCCCGCCATCTTCTGGGCTGTGATGTGAGTACACCACTCGCATCCTCTTCCAGCCCTCAGCCCCATTCACTGTGACTAATGAGTAAACAAAGATGCAAGGTTAAACATCTCCTCTAAGGCAGCAACATCAGGGGCAAGGCCCCACCACTCCATGCAGTCAGGCAGCAGAAAGCCTGTGGCCTGAGGGGGAGCCCTCTGCTCTCTGGGGAGCCGAAGGCCTGGTGCTGTATGGCATCAGGCCCTGAACCCTCATCTGCCTCATCTGGCCTGTGCCCTCTATCCCAGAAAGGCAGACACTGCACAGAGCACCAGTCCAGGGGCCATCTGTGAAGACCCTGTCCCCAGGTCAGAGTTCTACAGGGGTCAGGGAGGGTCCTCGGTGGTGGCAGCTCATTCAAGGTGTGGCTGCCATTTCTCAGCCCGTCATTTCTCTTCTGATCAGACACATGGTCCTCACCTTCTCAGGATGTCTTTATTGCGCATATTCACCTGCCATGCCCTCTGTGCTGCTCTGCGGTCAGGCTGCCCTGGGGGGAATCCTGCCTCTGCCCCTCACTTGCTCACCTGCTCACACTCACTCAGGTGAGCCCCTCAACCCCTCTGGGCTGCAGCTTCCTGCCTCACAGGCGAGGACTGCACCTGGCAGATTGTCAGTGTAGCTCCTGCTCTGCTGGGATCGAGCTACCTGGAAAATCCTTTGGTTCCTTCCTCCCTCAACTGAGCCCTAACCAGGATGCTCCTAAATCCCCTCTGGGGCTCTCAACTGAGCTGCATCTTCTGAGGTAGCTGGCCTGAGATCTGAACCTGAGTTTTAAGACGTCAATGGAAAAATTAATTGGCAAATACATTATATTTAAGTAACCAGAGATGCCTCAATTCAATTAAAAAACAGGATTCTGAAACCATTCAGTGACTTCCCTCCACGAACATCCTCACACAAAAGGTTGTCTCCTCTGGGAGGTGAACCTGGTGAACACTGCATTTTAAGTACTTATGCAATAAGCTGCGGGCGCTTCTACCTGTTCCCCTCCTTAATTGCCATGTGCCTGGCTGCTCTTCCAGAGAAGAGCCACAAGGCTGGGCAGGTACAGGCAGGGACCCTGGCTCTTACGGTGGTGCCTGGCTCCTCTCAAGCCCAGGAATGAATCTGGAGCCGCATGTGGCTTCTCTCCCCTTGCTCTTGGACTCTCCTGGGCATGCTGGGTCCATGGTAGGTTCCCTGCCTGGGCTAAGGGTTATGGCACATGCCTCCACCAAGAGGGTCTGCACCTGCCCTCCTGCAGGAGCCACGGCAGCAGTTGGTGGTGCCCGGCCTCTGCCCACTCTGGGCATTGTGCTGTGGCCATCTCCTCTTTACTGTAACAAGTATGAGGCTCTAGGGCCAAGCCTGGAGATGCTCACCTTAAAAGAACCTGATGCCCAGGCCAGCCTTGCACAGGCTTTTCCTGCTGACCCCATTCAGAGATCAGAACAAAGGCCCGAGCCAGGCAGTCATTGGGGTGGGCTTCTCAAGTGCTCAGGGATGGAGAGAAGAAAAGACAACCTGGTGTATGGCAGCCTGCCCAGCTGATGCATGTCCAGCAATACAGCAAAACCCCCTTCCAAAGGACTTTCCACTTTCAATTTGTGGGTCCAAGCCTGTCCCTGAAAACAAACCTGTGGGGTCGAATTCACTTGTTCACAGAGAACTTCCAGAGCTGGATTAGTCAGAGTTGTCTGAAGACAGAATATGCTGCCTCAGGAGGTAGTAAGCTCCCTGTCATGGGAGGAATTCAGGCAAAAGATGGGTGATCACCTGGCAAGGGAGTTAGATGGATGAGGGCCTGTGGGGCCGGAGCACTGTCTTTGGAGTCTGGCAGACCTGGCTCCTAATGCTGGCTCTGTCATTTTCTAGCTGTGAGACCCTGGGCAACTAACTTAACCTCTCTAAGCCTCGGTGTCATCATAGTACCCCTCATGGTTGCTGCAGGGATTAACTAAGATAACACATGTAAAGCACTTAGCACAGTGCTGAGTGCTAGGAAGTAATCAGCAGACGCGCACTGCTGTCATTATCATCTTTGTTATTGTTGTTATAGTTACTTAATTCCCTCCCTCCCTCCCTCCCTTCTGTGCCTGTACCTACTTAACACACAGCACCCTGCTAGGCTCCTTGGGGATACAGAGATAAATCAGAAGTGACTGAGCCTCAGGCGAGTGCACAGCCTGGGAGGGGAGAGGGCATGGACACAGGTGACAAATGCAAGGTGCATGGTTGTGGCTCCCTACCCGCAGATAAAGCACCAGGAAGTTTTAGAGAAGGCAGAAATGTTTCCAGTAGGGGCAATCCAAGATGGATTTGTGAAAGATGCTGTGTTTGAGACAGTGCCTCAGGGGAAAGCCCTCTTTGGCCATGTCCCCATGCCCAAGTGAAGACCCTGAGATGTGAATGGGCAGGTCTGGGGTTCCTCTGGGTTAGGACAGAGGGTGGGGGGAAAATGGAACAGGAAATGGGAAGAATGGCAAGGTGGGACTGTGAAGTACTCAGATGCCAAGCTCCACACTTCCACCCAACCCCACTGGAACTCCTGTGACTCCTGTCAAGAGAGGGACACAAACAAAACTGCGCCCCAGCCAGAGGGGGGACAGCGATGACCATCAGCCTGTCCCAGGTGGGTGGTAATGGGATCAGTGTGAGGGACAAAGTCACATCCAGTGAGGGGCAGATTTCATCTCTGCCACTGACAAGTGGGCAGACTTGGCTTGGGGCAATTCACCTTGCTGAGCACGAGCAACCGTTTGAGGCTGTTGATAGGCATCAAGATAGGCAGGGACAGGACAGGGGCTCCTGCCCAAAGCCTGGTGACTGGAACCAGCAGCTGCAACAGCTGTTGGCAGGGAAGATCCTTGCCCAGAATAGTCACAGTGAGGTGAGTATGGGTGGATGGCAGCCATGGCATGCTCTACATGCCCACATTTAATGTGGCACAGATGACCTGGAGGTCAGAGATGGAGAGAACACTCAGCTCCTTATTGGGGCCAGAAGCCAAAGAGGCACCAACAAGGAGCAGGGGAAAGAGATGCAGGACCCCAGCCAGAAAGCTGGGTATGCAATCTTGGGGGTTCAAAGCCAGGGCTATAGCTGTAGCTGACGGCAGATTGGGTCATCACTCTGCATTTATTCAAGGTGTTTCCAGTGGCCCTGAGAGAGGTTGTAGCAGGAAGAAGCATCAATCTATCAGTTTCTTGGTGGAGATTTGATCTTTTGGATCTTTTGAGTGGTTGATTCACCCCTCAGAAAAGAGCCTTTGGTGCCGTAGAAACCTCAGACTCAAGGTGGGGAGAGAAAGAAACTACTTACTACACAGCAGGATTGATCTCGTCATCATTAACCTTATTGCATCCTAGTAACTACTCCATCGGTAAGCAAACGTAAAAAGCTCAAGGTCACCTTAACAAAGGGCAGAGCCAGGTTTCAAATCAAGGTCTGGCTGGCCCCAGAGCCCAAGATTTCTCCTCTGCACTGTGTGCCTCACCACAGACAAAGGCCTAGACCTAGGAAGATAGTGATCAGCAGATGGCCGGCCTACACTGGGCTTTTGCAGCACTGCTGCAGCACGCCTCCGTACAGCCCTAAAGCAGGGTGGCCCACATGTACGTTCATAAAAAACCACAGCCTGGCCAGGTACGGAGACTCACAAGGATCCCAGCATTTTGGGAGGCCAAGATGAGAGGATCACTTGAGCCAGCCTGGGCCACAAAGCAAGACCCTGTTGCTACAAAAAAATAATTTAAAAAAATTAGCTGGGTGAGGTGGTGTGCACCTGTGGTCCCTGTTACTCAGGAGGCTGAGGCAGGAGGATCACTTGAGCCCAGGAGTTTGAGGCTGCAGTTAGTTATGACGGCACCACTATAACCCAGCCTGGGTGACAGAGTGTGACTCTGTCTCTAAACAAAAAAAGAACTACAACCACACATCCATGCAGACGCACACACAGCAGGACACGTGTGTGCCAGGTCTCAGCTTACCGGCCAGGCTGGCCTTGTGGAGATGGCTCTCCTCTCCAGTCACTGCTCTCCACTGTCCTGCTGACACTTTCTTCCCCGCACCTTTAGGAAGTCCTCCTGTGTATTACAGTCACTGCATTCCCTCCCACCTCCACTGTAGGCCAGGCTTTCACGCGTGGATTTGGAGGGCAGGGCAGGCTCTGGGAGCACTACTGCCTCTCCACTTTCAGGGCCTGACCCTCAGGTGTTGAGGGCAGAGGGGGAAGGGGGCAGGGAAAAGCTCTGCAGGGTTTCCTCTGCACCCCTCAACGTGGCAGCAGCTCTGGCTCTCCCAGAACCCCTCCACTCTGCCACTGGCTGCACACTCCATAACATGCGGTTGAGGTCCCTGCCCAGCAGACAGCCTCCTGGGTGGGGAACCAGTAAGGTGCTGGGCCCATGTGACCCACCCAGCAGGACACACACACACACCCGTGCCACGTTAAATGTGGGCACGCTGAGCACTGTGGCCGGCCCACTCCCACCTAGCATCCTCCCTACTTTCTTTTCTCCCTGTTCTATAGTCATGGAGGCTGGGCCCATGGGATGGAGAGGCCTCTTTCCCCATGTAGCAGGACCCCAGTTTTTGCTGGTGATTCTCTGGAAGGACCCCCAACCAAGCTGAGGTTCTCTCTTGCTGATTCCTTATCCAGTCTTCTGTGAGAGACCAGAAGTGTCTCTCACAGGGCACTAGAGGGAAGTTGTCTAGCAGGGCACTAGAGGGAAGTTGCAGAGACCTGAGGGTGGGCTCTGGCCCTGTTGTGCACCTCTCTTCAGAAAAAGAAGACTTACTTCTTTGTCCTCTGTTTTGGCTCTAGTCACTGCTCTCTGGACAATAAGAAAGTCCCTCTCCACATTGTGTCACACACAGATATAAAGTGGAAAATTAAAGACCTAGGATGCTTGTTGCGCCAATGGTGGCTTACAGAAGTCAGGAAACTTCTCTGGGATACTGGCCCTAAATGACTCTGGATGGGTGCACCTTACTTAATACCAACGCAGTCCCTGTAGTCCAGGATCCAGGATGCAGTCAAAAGCCTGTCCTGTTCTTCTTCGTCTTTTCTACAGCAAATGTGATCTGCTGACTGACCCAGGTCCAGTCACATACACACATATCATATATACATACCACACACAAACACACACACACAAATACAACCCTGCACATACAAATACATACATACATTCCCACAGAACCTCCCCTGACACACACACAGACACTTACATGCATGTGCTGGCCTACCAGTCCTCCGCGTCACTCCCAAAGGGTAGGGCTGCTGCTCTGCCCTCTGGGGCTCACACCAAGGTCAGGGTGCTGGCCAAGAGAAGGGTCTTTGTTTTTCATTCAATAGCAGTGCCTACCCTGGGTTCAAAATGCACATGTGTTTTCTGCCAATAGGCAAGAAGAAAAATAGTGATTGCCGAGACCTCAAAAATGACAGCAGAACAAAGAGCAATTCCTGAAGTGGCAAGGGAGAAAAACCTAAAGCCAAGTCTCACTTGACTCGCATTAGCTACAGAGGCCTCATTGCCAAATCAGTCCAGCAAACCACCAAGGAACAAAGGGGCCAAGGAATCCATAAAATCACTGAGCTGGAGAGCCCCCGGAGAGGGAAGCCCTTACTGCTCCAGTACACAAGGCCCTACACACATGGTTGCTTCCATATCACCTCTGTTGGCTCCAGGCTACAAGGACTCTGCAAACGCTAGCCACTATCAGCAATCTGCAGAAAAGCCACTTCTAGCCGCTCTGTTCAGTCACAAGCCAGTGCACTCTTAGCCCAGATCCCTGGCCATACATGGGACAGAGAGGGAGGCCTGGGACCCCACAGCAGGGCAGGGACAGGCTGGCAGGGAAGCTGCGAGGCATGTTTTGGCACCTGTTCATGGGCAGATCTCCCTCCTCTCTGGCCTATGTGTGCTCAGCTATAAGACATGAGGCTGCACTGAAAGTGCCAGGGAAGTTTGCACTGTTCTAGCAAGGATACCTTTGCCTCTGTGGTTCCCTCAGCTGTAGCTCCACTCTCTTGTGGATGAAGGCCAGAACCCCCCTTCCTGGCTTGTGAGAGAGGCGCCAGAGAACACGCAGTGTTGCAAACTTTCCTGGGCCTTAAGGGCTTACCACATTGAAGCGAGAAGAACGCCGGCTATTTCCCTCATCCAAAGGGTCGGGGTTGGAAGAGTCTGCAGAGACCCCTTCAATTTCTTTGCTTTTCTGAGGGTGGGACTGGATTGGGTCAGGCCTTGCCAAGGGAGCTGGGTGCAAGCTCCGGGGCTGTGGGCCTTGCTGCTCCCCACTCAGTCCCCAGGGCTGGGCACAATACTCAGCCTGGCTGGGGGCGGAGATTGTGTTGTATAAGTGAACCAACAAATTAATCTACAGCATTGTGCTCACTGGAGCTATTGCAGGGCTGCTCAGGACAGAAACCATCTTTCCAAAATGAGCACTCCACCATTCAAAGTGCACAGCACCCCAAGCCTAGGGTTAATAAGCTAGGGCCCTAGATATACCTGGCTTGACCCTTTTCTTCCATAGTGCTGAGGTCCTGGGGGAACTGGTTCCTGACTGCTGGAGTGCCTGCAACCAGGTCACCATGGATGCCTGACTGTCTGCTTTGGCAGCTCTCTCCTGTGAAGGACTTGAGGTAGGAAGGGAAGAAGGATGAGGGAGGCTACAACCCAAGATGGCCAACAGCTGCTGCATAGGCACACAGACGTCTCATCCCTTCCAAAGTTTCTCCACCCATGTTAAGAATTTAAGTTTAGCACTATTCTTCCCACTTTACTCCAAACAACAGAAACCCACCAGTTGTTCAGTGCCTTCCACACATTAAGTCGGTCAGTGTGTTATTTATACATTGGCTCCTTTATTCCCACATTACAGGAACCCTGCAGGGTAAGAAGCCATCCCCATTTCACAGATGACGAGACTGAGGCTGACAGAGGTGAAACTGCCTCCCTAGTGTCCTACAGCTTGTGAGTGGCAAGGCCAGAGGCTGCACTCTGAGCTCTTCACACTCTAGTTTATCACCACAGCCTGCATCACCTGGTGGAGGTAAGTGTCACCTGCCTTCACTGGCTGAGAAGTTGGCAGAGCAAGAACATGTGTCCAGGCCCAATCCCAGGCCTCCGCAAACCTGGTTGCATCCCTACATGAAACCAAAAGCCATGAGGGACACCTGTGAAGGTGGCTGGGAAGAAGGAACTAAGGGTGAACTAGCTTGAAGTTTTGGCCTCCTTACAACCAGGCTGCCAGCTCCTACATCCCCTGCCCTTGGCTCCCTTCCCACTCAACTCAGCCCTGGGAAAGTCAACACACATTTGTCACCCTGACAGCACAATAATGAGAGGAAACCAGGGCCTGGAGTAGGAACAGACAGGGCGCACAATGCCCTGCACAGCAGGGCTGCCAAGCAGAGGCTGCCTCCCACCCAGTGCACAGTCACTTCCTGCCTGTGTTCTAGGGTCAACCAGCTGCCCTTTAAAGGCAGGCCTTCAGGCTGTGGCAGGGACCTAGGGAGTCTGTGATATCTTTCCAAAGAGGTCTATCAAAATGTACTCCTAGGTTGTTGCCAGGCAACCAAACAACAGTGGGACAGGTGTCCCTCAACCCCAACCGCCTGCCCTGTTTATCCGGACCCAGCTCAGGTGTCACTCCTAAGAAAAAGATGAAGGGGTGTGCTGGCTTGGAAATTTCAAACTCGATTCATCTTAAAGCCATTAAGGCCTATTTGGTCAAGTGACAGGGAACTGAGGTCTTGGCACAGACGGGTGAGCCTGGGTCTGGATGAGTGCATTCCTAGGCCCAGTTTCTCCCTCCAACAGCACTAGCATTCTCACTCTCCCTGACCTCCCCGAATCTCAGGCCAGGAAGTCAGTGCAGGTACCTGGCCCAGGAGTTACCTGCAGAAGCTGGCAAAGAAGTATGTGAAGTTGCTCTGGCTTCTGCCTGATGTTTGGAAAGTCAGCTCTGAGGCTATGTGAAGAAGCAGCCAACTATCCCCTGGGACTCCTATCCCAGCCAAATGAGGATTGTCACATCAAGCCTGTCACTGTTTTCTCGCTTGAGCTGGAGATGCTGCTGTGAAGCAGAGGCC
The DNA here is from genome assembly GCF_000001405.40 of Homo sapiens. Taxonomy (NCBI): domain Eukaryota; kingdom Metazoa; phylum Chordata; class Mammalia; order Primates; family Hominidae; genus Homo; species Homo sapiens. Next base: position 28,030,065 of record NC_000022.11, read on the forward strand.
CTGACGGGCATGGGGCTGTGAAAGCATCATGCTTGCTGCTGCAAATGCATGACACGAGCCAGAAGCCTAACCAGCTGGAAGGAGCATCCACTGAAAGCATATTATCTGTGCTCAGAGCACCCTGCCCTGCACTGGGCCTGGGGAAAGCGCCCCACACTCACCTGTTAAACAGGTTATTGCGGCGAACCATCCGCAGAAAGCCAGTGGGGTCAGTGACCGAGTTGAGTTTGTTGTTCATCTCTTCAAATTGCTGGTCCATGATGTCTCCCGCTTCACTCTCTGTCTCACTGCTGGCACAGGCCCTGCAGGAAAAATTGCAGAAAAAGCCAATCAGAGAAAGGAAGCGCTGAGCTATGGAAGTCAGCTCTGAGGTCCTATGCCATTCTGTCACCAAACGAACCTCTAGTACCGTTGTCTCCAGATGACAGCATCACCCCACTCCCTCCTCAGTGTCCCTGAGGCCCTCTTCCTGAACTTCTTTTGTCCACTGCTTCTCAAGATGAACTCTGGTTGGTTGTTTATGGGCTGTCACCCCCGACTCTGCTGTGAACTCTCTACAGGCAGCAGCTGTGTCTGAATAAGAACTGTATTCCCAGCACCTAGCTTATGTATGACAGACTAGATGAGGTGCTGTCTGTGATGGGCTGGTCAGGCACTCTTCCCAGCGTACAGCTGAGGCAAGTGCAGCTGTGAGGCAGTCCTCCCTGCACAAGCTGCAGTCCAGTCCATTCCAGAAACAGTAACTAAATACCTACATTGTGTTGGGTACTGTCCTAGGCAAGGGGGACATGCAGCCTAAAACGGCATTTTCCAGATGAGGAGACAAACATGCTGACAAGTGGTTGCAATGCTAGCAGGGCAGGCACCGCTGGAAACGCAAACTTGAGAACTGCCGCTGATTTGGCCCATTTTCCAAGCTCAGCATGAGGAGGTGACCATTTTTGAATTAATAAATTCATATTTCCCCTATGACAGACTTTAACAGAACATCCCACAATGTGTTTTAAGTAAACAGAAATACCCAGGAGTACCTTGATTCATCAGCATGATTAAAATGGCAAAAGGCTTATTAAATGTAAAAGCCATGCACTGTGTGCCCTGATGACACACGGACAGCCAGGCCAGGGCAAATGTGTCTGTGGGAGTGCCGCCAGCCTGCAGCCATCCTCCTCCATGCCACACCATGCCTCCCAACCAACTGAGGCTCACAAAGGCACATCTCTATGTTGAGCCCTCACCTATCCTAGGCATCAGGACCACATTCAGACTTTGTGGAGATGCTTACTGATACCTCGCCCCCAGATAACTCTAAGCCCACAGGAAAACTACTTTCAGACCTTCCTACTAAGGACCGGTGTGAAGAAGTGGAGGGCACCAGGGCACTGCAGGCAGCAGACAGAGTCGCAAGCCCCTCATGTGCTAGGCAGGTGGGACTCTGGAAAGGGGCAGACCTCCTGTCGCTGAGAAGAATAAGGCTTGGTGCATACAGATTTGGGTTTAGGACAAACATGACCCACTTCAAATGGCCAAGCTGGCGACACCTGTGACAGAGAAGGGAAATAAGCCCCTCATTCTGGGGGCCAAATGAGACATGGCAGGTAAAGCTGCTATGCAAACTTGAATGCTCTATGTGAACACCAACCATGGTGTGATGGCTAAATTTATGTCAACGTGACTGGGCTGCAGGGTGCCCAGATATTTGGTTAAACATTATTTGGGATGTGTTTGTGAGGGTATTTCTAGATGAGATTACCATTTAAGCTCGCAGACTGAGTAAAGTAGACTGCCCTCCCCAGTGTGAGTGGGCCTCATCTGCTTATCCATTGAAGGCCTGGATAGAGCAAAAAAGTAGAGAAAGAGAAAATTTGCTCTTTCTGCACTGTCACCAACCTAAGGCATCAATCTTTTGCCTTCAGGCTTGGACTTGAACTGAAACTTACCCTACTGGCTTTCCTGGGTCTGCAGCTTGCTGTGGCAGATCCTGGGGCTTCTCAGCCTCCACAACCACATGAACCAATTCCTTATAATAAGTTTCCTTTATCTCTTTATAAAAATAAATAAATAAATATACAAGCACATCCTATTTATATCTACTTAGTGTGTGTATATATATATATATATATAAAATATATATATATAAAATATATATATATAAAATATATATATATAAAATATATATATATAAAATATATATATATATATAGTGTGTGTGTGTGTGTGTGTGTGTGTGTATATGTGTGTGTTTGTATATATATATCTCTTTTATTGGTTCTGTTTCTCTGGAAAACCCAGATAAAAACATCTAGTAATTATCTCAGAACCACATTGATGACTGGTAAAGTCCTGGCTATTAGCCTGCTTTTCTCCCCAGCCTTCATAGTCTGGAAATGGCTCTTTAAACACAGCGCAGTACCTGGCATGCAGCAGGTATGCAACGGGGAATTGCTGAATGAATGAATGACCTATGCTGGAGAGAATTTTATAATGTGCAAAGTATTTTTACACAGATTTAATTTTATCTCTATGACAACTCTGTGAGGTAGCTCTTATTATCTCTACCTTATATCTAAGGTGACAGAGGTTTGGAGAAGCCAAGGAACTGGGCTAAAGAGTACTAGGTGGTAGAGCTGGGTCTGAGTCCAGCTCAGATCTGTGGCACTCACTGACCTCCCTCCCCCTCCCCCTAAAAGGCTCTAAGCTTCTCACAGACTCTATGCTTCTCTCCTGGGGTTTGACTTCAACAGGCAGGGGCTGAATACAGGAATTAGGAGAAACCAGGAAACTTCTAGCATCGAAACAAATCACCAAGCTCCCATCATGCTGGAGAGCTTTTATTCCTCTCACTGCCTCATGGATGTCAGCTGAACAGGCAGGCAGGTGAAGGCTTGAAAGGCTCCTTTGGGAGCTGAAGGCCCTTCACAGAGACCCTGGTAAATATTACTCAACAAGCTCCTCTGTCCAGGGACACATTTATCATCTGAATGCAACTGCCTGCTTGGAGCTGAGAAATCGGCTTATCATTCAGCCTTTGCAAAGGGGAGAAGAATTGCCTGGGACCGGTATCAGCCTCCATTATCTTGCAGTTCTGTTCTTACTGTCAGCCACAGACTGAGCCCTCAGTATCTCCTGCTTAATGGGGTTGTTTCCTATTTCCTGACCCTTCAAAGTATTAACACCGAAGGGAACAACAAGCAGGCGATGTCACAGATAAAGGAATCTCCCATTTACAAAACAAGCCTCATATCTATATAGTAGGAGTCCCTAGTGCCTTGCCACCAATCCTCACAGCACACTCACTCTCCTGCACCCATTTCTCTGAGTGACTTTCTAGAGATGGCACATCTGGTCACCATAGGCCCTGATTCAATTCACATTGCTTCAACAATGATTACTGGGTAGGACCCATGTGTAAGAACTACAGGGGCTAAACAGATGAGGGTCACATTGTAGCTGCCTTCAAGGCTCTTACTATCTGGTATGACTAGTATCCTTTAGTTCTCCCTTCTTACTAGCCAATCCCTTTTACTCCAATCTCTACTAGAGTTAACAATTCTTTATCTTAAACTATCTCTGTTCAAATTATTGTGTGGTTTCTTATTCTTGTTTTGATACTGACTGATACATACTGTATGTTAATTTAAAAAACAAAATAAATCCTACTATTCCCAAATCCTGGGAGGAAGTCAGGAAAGTAAGATAAGCTTTGGTGCCCCTCACTCATTCATGTGGTCATTAGGCTGCCCAACCCTCAAAAACTCAGTGTGCAACCAGTACATCCCAGACACTCAGCTGGGGCTGGGATTACTCAAAGGAGGAACACTTCCGCCCTAAGAAGCTGCTAGATATGCACACTAATCTCTGCAACATGAAAAATAAATTATTACATAGTAGTACATGTATGTATATAGAAAGACTGAATGGACAATCATTACAGGATGAGCAGGGGAGACAGCAAGAAAAGAAAGAGAGGAGAAGGGAATGAAATATGAGAATGTGAATAAACAAATAGTGGCTGTGCAGAAAGAGCCCCTAAAGCATTTAGTCTCATGGCCTGATTTTAGCCACTACTCTGATGGCCATGATCTGAAACGGAGAAGAAACAATAGAGACACATTGGCTTTGCAGACAAAACTGGTGGTCATAGCTCAGCAGAGGATAACTCGAGGGAGACAGGGCCCATGAGCTGGGTGGCAAGGCAGGAAGAGTGGAAAAGGAGGGCACTCCTGGCACACCAGCTGCTCAGGACTGGCAAGCTAGGGAGGCACCAAAAGCTAAGATTCCGCCTGTCTTCTTCCCAGTCTGCTTACGTTCCACTCCTGTCTACCCAGCTCTGGACCCTTGGCCCTGCCTACCTCTCTTGCCCTCCAGACTTGGCCACACGATCGATTTCTCCTTCCCTCGTGGCTCTCTGGACCTGAAGATTCTGGCTCAGACATCCTTCATGGGCCCTTTCTACTCCTGGACTCTGGAGGGTAAAAGAGGACTCTGTTCTTGTTCCAGGGGCCTAACTTGGCACTTGCCCATCAGCCAGAGTCCTGGCTGGACCCTGCCCTAGTCTTCTGTCTGGAGTTAGGTAGAAGGCTGAGGTCTGGATTATTACGGTCATGAAGAACAGTGAGGGCAAAAGGTCAAAGTCAGTACAAGGTGGCCTAAGCAGAGGGCAGCAAGGTATACCTCCTGGCGAGGGCTGAGAGGGGAGCTGGAGAGAGGGAGCAGTCCAGAGGCAGGCAGTAGCTGCTTCATGGTACCCACCTGCCCTGCCAGCATCTGTTCCAGGGATCCTGTGACAAGCCCAGATCCTGCCTGCTCTGGGGAATATAAATCATGCCGTCACCAGAGGCAGGCTCCAAAATGCTGTTCATATGCAGCTTTCCCCAGAGAGATGGAAATGGCTCATGAATCAAGCACCTTGGAGCTGTGCCAGAGCTCATCCTGTTCTTGGGGACAGGGCTTGGCAAGAGGCTCCAGATAGGATTTTCATTTGCAAGCATGGCCACCTGATCTCTCCAAGAACACGCTTGCTCCCTGCCATTCCCCTGACAGTTGCAACTGAAGCTCCACAAGGCACACTTTTATTTATGTCTCAACATCCTTTTACTAACTCACTGTGTCTCCATTCCCCACCCCCCTCCAGGCTTCTTGTGCACTGATAACCAGTTATTTGCCAAAGACCAACCAATTGCAACCCTGAAGCTGAAAACGACAGGCGAGAAACTCCATCTTCAGTTTCCTGTGCACAGGGCAGTGAGATAGCTCCTACACCGCTGGCCCCGTGCCCAGTGGAAACAGATCAAAGGCAGCAAAACGCTCCTTCTTTCAAAGCAAGGATCTTTTTGCAGTTGGTAAAACTTCAGAAAGCAAGCGTTAGTGAATTTGCAGCCACTGCCTATAATCATTTTGTGCCTTCTGATTCTGAAAGGCCAGGTCTAACTGTGCCAGCACCCTATGTTGCGGATTCTACAACCAGGAAGCAGAGGGTATCCTGGGGATCTGAAAAGGTGCACAGATGACAATACCATGGGCACTTACTAGGTTTTGCATGGGCCGGTCTGCCAATACCTGAAAAGGCCCACCCATTTTTCCCAGTAGCCACTTAGCAAGAGTGCCAGAAAATGAAGACATGAGACTTTGGGAACTCTAGATTTCTGAGACCTTTGAAACTTTCCCGTGTGACTTACTTACCAGTTCCTGTCTATTTTTTCTTACTGACAATTAGTAAACTTTTAAGACGAAAAGAGCCTGGGCTAAAGAAAAACAGCAGGGGTTGCAATCTTAGTCTCTGATAAAACAGACTTTAAACCAACAAAGATCAAAAGAGACAAAGAAGGCCACTACATAAATGGTTAAAGGGATCAAGTCAACAAGAAGAGCTGACTCTCCTAAATATATATGCACCCAATACAGGAGCATCCAGATTCACACAGCAAGTCCTTAGAGACCTACAAAGAGACTTAGACTCCCACTGTCAATAATAATGGGAGACTTTAACACCCCTCTGTCGATATTAGACAGATCAACGAGACAGAAGGTTAACAAGGATATCCAGGACATGAACTCAGCTCTGGACCAAGTGGACCTAATAGACATCTACAGAACTCTCCACCCCAAATCAACAGAATGTACATTCTTCTCAGCATCACATCGGACTTATTCTAAAATTGAATAATAAAATAAAATAAAATTGATTTACTACAAAATCGTTAGTAAAACACTCCTCAGCAAATGTAAAAGAACAGAAATCACAACAAACTGTCTCTCACACCACAGTGCAATCACATTAGAACTCAGGATTAAGAAACTCACTCAAAACCGGACAACTACATGGAAACTGAACAACCTGCTCCTGAATGATTACTGGGTACGTAACAAAATGAAGGCAGAAATAAAGACGTTCTTTGAAACCAATGAGAACAAAGACACAACATACCATAATCTCTGGGACACATTTAAAGCAGTGTGTAGAGGGAAATTTATAGCACTAAATGCCCACAAGAGAAAGCAGGAGAGATCTAAAATTGACACCCTAACATCACAATTGAAAGAACTAGAGAAGCAAGAGCAAACACGTTCAAAAACTAGCAGAAGGCAAGAAGTAACTAAGATCAGAGCAGAACTGAAGGAGATAGAGACATAAAAAACCCTTTAAAAAATCAAGGAATCCAGGAGCTGGTTTTTTGGAAGGATCAACAAAATTGACAGACCGCTAGCAAGACTAATAAAGAAGAAAAGAGAGAAGAATCAAATAGACGCAATAAAAAATGATAAAGGGGATATCACCACTGGATCCCACAGAAATACAAACTACCATCAGAGAATACTATAAACACCTCTACGCAAATAAACTAGAAAATCTAGAAGAAATGGATAAATTCCTCGACACATACACCCTCCCAAGACTAAACTAGGAAGAAGTTGAATCTCTGAATAGACCAATAGGCTCTGAAATTGAGGCAATAATTAATAGCTTACCAACCAAAAAAAGTCCAGGACCAGATGGATTCACAGCCGAATTCTACCAGAGGCATAAGGAGGAGCTGGTACCATTCCTTCTGAAACTATTCCAATCAATAGAAAAAGAGGGAATCCTCCCTAACTCATTTTATGAGGCCAGCATCATCCTGATACCAAAGCCTGGCAGAGACACAACAAAAAAAGAGAATTTTAGGCCAATATCCCTGACGACCATCGACGCAAAAATCCTCAATAAAATACTGGCAAACCGAATCCAGCAACACATCAAAAAGCTTATCCAACATGATCAAGTAGGCTTCATCCCTGGGATGTAAGGCTGGTTCAACATACGAAAATCAATAAACGTAATCCAGCATATAAACAGAACCAATGACAAAAACCACATGATTATCTCAATAGATGCAGAAAAGGCCTTTGGCAAAATTCAACAACCCTTCATGCTAAAAACTCTCAATAAATTAGGTACTGATGGGATGTATCTCAAAATAATAAGAGCTATTTATGACAAACCCACAGCCAATATCATACTGAATGGCCAAAAACTGGAAGCATTCCCTTTGAAAACTGGCACAAGACAGGGATGCCCTCTCTCACCACTCCTATTCAACATAGTGTTGGAAGTTCTGGCCAGGGCAATCAGGCAGGAGAAGGAAATAAAGGGCATTCAATTAGGAAAAGAGGAAGTCAAAGTGTCCCTGTTTGCAGATGACATGATTGTATATCTAGAAAACCCCATCGTCTCAGCCCAAAATCTCCTTAAGCTGATAAGCAACTTCAGGAAAGTCTCAGGATACAAAATCAATGTGTAAAAATCACAAGCCTTCCTATACACCAAAAACAGACAAACAGAGAGCCAAATCATGAGTGAACTCCCATTCGCGATTGCTTCAAAGAGAATAAAATACCTAGGAAAACAACTTACAAGGGATGTGAAGGACCTCTTCAAGGAGAACTAGAAACCACTGCTCAATGAAATAAAAGAGGATACAAACAAATGGAAGAACATTCCATGCTCATGGACAGGAAGAATCAATATCGTGAAAATGGCCATACTGCCCAAGGTAATTTATAGATTCAAGGCCATCCCCATCAAGCTACCAATGACTTTCTTCACAGAATTGGAGAAAACTTCTTTAAAGTTCATAAGCAACCAAAAAAGAGCCCACATTGGCAAGTCAATCCTAAGCCAAAAGAACAAAGCTGGAGGCATCAAGCTACCTGACTTCAAACTATACTACAAGGCTACAGTAACCAAAACAGCATGGTACTGGTACCAAAACAGAGATATAGACCAATGGAACAGAACAGAGCCCTCAGAAATAATGCTACACATCTACAACTATCTGATCTTTGACAAACCTGACAAAGACAAGCAATGGGGAAAGGATTCCCTATTTAATAAATGGTGCTGGGAAAACTGGCTAGCCATATGTAGAAAGCTGAAACTGGATCCCTTCCTTACACCTTATACAAAAATTAATTCAAGATGGATTAAAGACTTAAATGTTAGACCGAAAACCATAAAAACCCTAGAAGAAAACCTAGGCAATACCATTCAGGACATAGGCATGGCCAAGGACTTCATGTCTAAAACACCAAAAGCAATGGCAACAAAAGCCAAAATTGACAAATGGGATCTAATTAAACTAAAGAGCTTCTGCACAGCAAAAGAAACTACCGTCAGAGTGAACAGACAACCTACAGAATGGGAGAAAATTTTTGCAATCTACTCATCTGACAAAGGGCTAATATCCAGAATCTGCAAAGAACTCAAACAAATTTACAAGAAAATAACAAACAACCCCATCAAAAAGTGGGCAAAGCATATGAACAGACATTTCTCCAAAGAAGACATTTATGTAGCCAACAGACACATGAAAAAATGCTCAACATCACTGGCCATCAGAGAAATGCAAATCAAAACCACAATGAGATACCATCTCACACCAGTTAGAATGGCGATCATCAAAAAGTCAGGAAACAACAGGTGCTGGACAGGATGTGGAGATATAGGAACACCTTTACACTGTTGGTAGGACTGTAAACTAGTTCAACCATTGTGGAAGTCAGTGTGGCGATTCCTCAGGGTTCTAGAACTAGAAATACCATTTGACCCAGCCATCCCATTACTGGGTATATACCCAAAGGATTATAAAACATGCTGCTATGAAGACACATGCACACGTATGTTTATTGCGGCACTACTCACAATAGCAAACACTTGGAACCAACCCAAATGTCCAACAATGATAGACTGGATTAAGAAAATGTGGCACATATACACCATGGAATACTATGCAGCCATAAAAAAGGATGAGTTCATGTCCTTTGTAGGGACATGGATGAAGCTGGAAACCATCATTCTCAGCAAACTATAGCAAGGACAAAAAACCAAACACGGCATGTTCTCACTCATAGGTGGGAATTGAACAATGAGAACACTTGGACACAGGAAGGGGAACATCACAACCCGGGGTCTGTTGTTGGGTGGGGGGAGGTGGGAGGGATGGCATTAGGAGATATACCTAATATAAATGACGAGTTAATGGGTGCAGCACACCAACATGGCACATGTATACATATGTAACAAACCTGCACGTTGTGCACATGTACCCTAAAACTTAAAGTATAAAAAAAAGAACTAGAGAAGGAAGAGCAAACAAATTCAAAAGCTAGCAGAAGGCAAGAAATAACTAAGATCAGAGCAGAACTGAAGGAGACAGAGACACAAAAAACCCTTCAAAAAAATCAATGAATCCAGGAGCCTTTTTTAAAAGATCAACAAAATTGATAGACTGCTAGCAAGACTAATAAAGAAGAAAAGAGAGAAGAATCAAATAGACATGATAAAAAATGATAAAAGGGATATCACCACTGGATCCCACAGAAATACAAACTACCATCAGAGAATACTATAAACACCTCTATGCAAATAAACTAGAAAATCTAGAAGAAATGGATAAATTCCTGGACACATACACTCTCCCAAGACTAAACCAGGAAGAAGTTGAATCCCTGAATAGACCAATAACAGGTTCTGAAATTGAGGAAATAACCCATAGCCTACCAAACAAAAAAAGTCCAGGACCAGACAGATTCACAGCCAAATTCTACCAGCAGTACAAAGAGGAGCTGGTACCATTCAGTCTGAAACTATTCCAATCAATAGAAAAAGAGGGAATCCTCCCTAACTCATTTTATGAGGCTAGCATCATCCTGATACCAAAGCCTGGCAGAGACACAACAAAAAAAGAGAATTTTAGGCCAATATCCCTGATGAACATCAGTGCGAAAATCCTCAATAAAATACTGGCAAACCGAATCCAGCAGCACATAAAAAAGCTTATCCACCACGATCAAGTCGTCTTCATCCCTGGGATGCAGGGCTGGTTCAATGTAGGCAAATCAATAAATGTAATCTATTACATAAATAGAACCAATGACAAAAACTACGATTACCTCAATAGATGCATGAAAGGCCTTTGACAAAATTCAACAGCCCTTCATGCTAAAAACTCTCAATAAACTAGGTATTGATGGAATGTATATCAAAATAATAAGAGCTATTTACCACAAACCCACAGCCAATACCATACCGAATGGGCAAAAACTGTAAGCATTCCCTTTGAAAACCGGTACAAGAAAAGGATGCCCTCTGTCACCACTCCTATTCAACATAGTGTTGGAAGTTCTGGCTGGGGCAATCAGGGAAGAGAAAGAAATAAAGGGTATTCAATTAGGAAAAGAGGAAGTCAAATTGTCTCTGTTTGCAGATGACATGATTGTATATTTAGAAAACCCCATCGTCTCAGCCCAAAATTTCCTTAAGCTGATAAGCAACTTCAGCAAAGTCTTAGGATACAAAATCCATGTGCAAAAAACACAAGCATTCCTCTACACCAATAATAGACAAACAGCCAAATCTTGAGTGAACCCCCATTCACAATTACTACAAAGAGAATAAAATACCTAGAAATCCAACCTACAAGGGATGTGAACGACCTCTTCAAGGAAAACTACAAACTACTGGTCAACAAAATAAAAGAGGGCACAAACAAATGGAAGAACATTCCATGCTCATGGATAGGAAGAATCAATATCATGAAAATGGCCATACTGCCCAAGGTAGTTTATAGATTCAATGCTATCCCCATCAAGCTACCAATGACTTTCTTCACAGAATTGGAAAAAACTACTTTAAAGTTCATATGGAACCAAAGAAGAGCCTGCATTGCCAAGACAATCCTAAGCAAAAAGAACAAAGCTGGAGGCATCAAGCTACCTGACTTCAAACTATACTGCAAGGCTACAGTAACCAAAACAGCATGGTGCTGGTACCAAAACAGATATATAGACCAATGGAACAGAACAGAAGCCTCAGAAATAACACCACATATCTACAACCATCTGATCTTTGGCAAACCTGACAAAAACAAGAAATGGGGAAAGGATTCCCTATTTAATAAATGGTGCTGGGAAAACTGGCTAGCCATATGTAGAAAGCTGAAACTGGATCCCTTCCTTACACCGTATACAAAAATTAACTCCAGATGGATTTAAGACTTAAATGTTAGACCTAAAACCATAAAAACCCTAGAAGAAAACCTAGGCAATACCATTCAGGACAGAGGCATGGGCAAAGACTTCATGCCTAAAACACCAAAAGCAATGGCAACAAAAGCCAAAATTGACAAATGGGATCTAATTAAACTAAAGAGCTTCTGCACAGCAAAAGAAACTATCATCAGAGTGAACAGGTAACCTACAGAATGGGAGAAAATCTTTGCAATCTACACATGTGACAAAGGGCTAATATCCAGAATCTACAAAGAACTCAAACAAATTTACAAGAAAAAAAAAACCCCATCGAAAAGTGGGCAAAAGATATGAACAGACACTTCTTAAAAGAAAACATTTATACAGCCAACAGACATATGAAAAAATGCTCATCATCACTGGTCATTAGAAAAATGCAAATCAAAACCACAATGAGATACCATCTTATGCCAGTTAGAATGGCAATCATTAAAAAGTCAGGAAACAACAGGTGCTGGAGGGGATGTGGAGAAATAGGAATGCTTTTACACTGTTGGTGGGAGTGTAAATTAGTTCAACCATTGTGGAAGACAGTGTGGCGATTCCTCAAGGATCTAGAACTAGAAATACCGTTTGACCCAGCCATCCCATTACTGGGTATATACCCAAGGGATTATAAATCATGCTACTATAAAGACACATGCACACGTATTTTTATTGCAGCACTATTCACAGTAGCAAAAACTTGGAACCAACCCTAATGTCCAACAATGATAGACTGGATTAAGAAAATGTGGCACATATACACCATGGAATACTATGCAGACATAAAAAAAGGATGAGTTCATAACCTTTGCAGGGACTTGGATGAAGCTGGAACCATCATTCTAAGCAAACTATCGCAAGGACAAAAAAACCAAACACCACACATTTTCACTCATAGGTTGGAGTTGAATAATGAGAACACATGGACACAGGGCAGGGAACATCATACACTGGGGCTTGTCAGGGGGTGGGGGACTGGAGGAGGGAGAGCATTAGGAGAAATACCTAATGTAAATGATGAGTTGATGGGTGCAGCAAACCAACAGGGTTGTATACCTATGTAACAAACCTGCACGTTGTGCACATGTACCCTAGAACTTAAATTAAAAAAAAAAAAAGAAAAGAGCCTGGGCTTCCTTTTAGGGATAGCAAAGAAAGGCTGGGAGACATCCTACTCTATGGGCTGCCTCACATAGGAGAAGAACCCAAGAAACAGAGAAGCGATGTGAGTCTTTAAATCAGGAATACAGGCTACACGTTGGGGATGAGGAGAAGGGGCAGTGTAGTAGACAGCTTTGGAGCGAGCTCTGACCATAAACATTCTACTTCTAGAAACTGCCTCCCTGGGCCAGGCACGGTGGCTCATGCCTGTAATTCCAACACTTTGGGAGGCCAAGGCAGGTGGATCACGAGGTCAGGAGTTCAAGACCAGCCTGGCCAAAATGGCAAAACCCTGTCTCTACTAAAAATACAAAAATTAGCCAGGCATGGTGGTGGGCACCTGTAATCCCAGCTACTCGGGAGGCTGAGGCAGAGAACTGCTTGAACCCGGGAGGCAGAGGTTGCAGTGAGCCAAGATCACGCCACTGCACTCCAGCCTGCATAACAGAGTAAGACTCCATCTCAAAAAAAAAAAAAAAAAAAAAAAAAAAGAAAAGATATTGCCTCCCTGATTCACAGGGTCACATATGGTGACCATCCTTCCTGCACTGGTGATTGTATCAGACGTGTATTACTGCCCCAAGCTTGGCCTGTCAGATTCCTTTCCCCAAAATTTGTGCACTGGAATTCAGGGGAGCTGAATGTAACTTCTGTGGCTAGTTCTATAGGCTGTGGGTGAGCACAGGAGCCATCCAAGGTGGCTATTTTCCCACTCTGGGATTAGGAGCAGAGAGCAGTTTGCACCTCCAGCTGCAAACTGGAGGTCTGCAGCGGGAGGTGCCAAATGAAGCAGCTGAGCAGTGATGAGAACCAGACTGCCTCCCACAGCCCAGGGGTTCCCACAGCTTTCCTTTAGTGTTCCAAGTTTGCCCTTGGATTTCATGGGACTCCTCACCCATATAACCTTATTAGAAATCCCCCTCTTTGGATTAAGCAAGGTTTGGGGAGGATTGCTGTTGGGGGAGAGGATGGGCAGGGCGGAGATGTGTCCTCAGGGACCTGTGTGTCCTTACTGCCCAAAGCCACAGCTCTCTAATTGCTCTGGCATCATTCAAACTTATGGGCACGTTGGAGAGTCAGTGGGTAGAGAGAGTATGAGCTGCACACCAGAGCAAGATGTGCTAGAACCACCCATGAGGGCAGAGACAAGTGAAAGCCATTCTTCTCAGAAAATTCCTCCCAGTGGGCCCAATATCATGCCAGAGAAAATGTGGTACCGCCAGCACCGTCTCTGAAGTCAGATCCACTGGTTCAAACCCACTGTAGGGGCTAGCAGTGGGGGCCCTTCCAGCATTTGCTGTTGACACTGCCAGGAGCTAAGAACAGTTTCTCATCAGAAGGTCAGTCACTATCATACATTCACTGGTCTCTCTAGAAATGCTTATATTTGAATGAGGCTAGATTTAATTCCTTTCTCTTCTTGTACATCACTTTAGAAATTGCTTTTCTCTGTATCCTCTCAAGTCTGTAATTTATACTATTATCTAACAGCTGTAATGTATAGAACAAACCTTCTGTTGGTCGGAAGGCAAACGATACATTAACCTGCCGAGAATCTATACACACATGAACACAAAACACACCTATGAACAATCAATGAATTCTGTGTGCTTTGCTAAACTGATAAAAGTCCTCTTCCAAAATGCTTTCTTAAGAGCATTTTCTTTTCTTTTTTTTCTATTATTATTATACTTTAAAGGTTTTAGAGTACATGTGCACAATGTGCAGGTTTGTTACATATGTATACATGTGCCATGTTGGTGTGCTGCACCCATTAACTCGTCATTTATCATTAGGTATATCTCCTAATGCTATCCCTCCCCGCTCCCCCCAACCCACAACAGTCCCCGGTATGTGATGTTCCCCTTCCTGTGTCCATGTGTTCTCATTGTTCAATTCCCACCTATGAGTGAGAACATGTGGTGTTTGGTTGAATTTTCTTAAAACAACAAAGCCTTCTGGCCTCTGGGATCCAGAACAATTGTGCATTTTTAACTCAGAAGCATTTTTTGTACACATCCTTTTTATCTCATGGCCTGGAATTATCTAGTCTATACTTAAGTGTTAAAGTAGAAATACAGGTTTTCCCCTAGCTTTTCTTTGTTAAAGGAGAAATACAGGTTTTCCCCTAGCTTTTCTTTTTTCAGTAAACACAGTGATCAAATCCATAAATAGGTTTCACTTCCGTTAGCTCAATAGCCTGTGTGTATGAATACACAATGACTGTAATCGATTGGAAGGCCCCATTACTTGTTGTCTTATTTTTGAAATCTTTGCCGAGAAAGTGTTAGCAATGGAGTTTTCCCCTGATGATGTGGCTCTCAAACCCTCTCCCCCACCAATTAGGTTTAATCACATCGATAAGGCTCAACTCAACCAATATGAATGCTGTCTAGCACAGGTTGAGTATCCTTATCTGAAATGCTTGGGACCAGAAGCATTTTGAATTTTTGATCTTTTTGGATTTTGGAATATTTACCAGCTGAGCATCCCAAATTCAAAAACCTGAAATCTGACATGCTCCAATGAGCATTTCCTCTGAGCATCATGTTGACGCTGTGAAAGTTTTGGATTCTGGAGCATTTTGGATTTTTGAATTTGGGATTCAACCTGTAGTAGAAAGAGCCCAAGGCCTGGAGTCTAGGATACATTCCTTCTGGACATCACCTATGGCACTCAGGGGAAGCAAACCTTTCTTCTTCATGGGTAAAATAGAGATAATAATAGGATTAATGAAATAATGTCAGTGTATATAGCACCTATCACATAGAACCTGGCACCTGCTAGGTGCTCAGTAAACTCAATGGACATTTTTCTTTTTTGAATTCTGTGAATGTGTTTTACCTAAGAATTAGACACATGCAGACTCACATATACAGATATATCCAATAAAGAGTCATCCCAGCCAGGTGCAGTGACTCATGCCTGTAATCCCAGCACTTTGGGAGGCCAAGGCAGGCAGATCACTTGAGGTCAGGAGTTCAAGACCAGCCTGGCCAACATGGTGAAACCTTGTCTCTACTAAAAATACAAAAATTAGCCGGGTGTGGTGGTGCATGCCTGTGATCCCAGTTACTCTGGAGGCTAAGGCAGGAGAATCACTTGAATGCAGGAGGCGGAGCTGGAAGTTGCAGTGAGCCGAGAAGGCACCACTGTACTTCAGCCTGGGCGACAGAGCAAGGCTCTGTCTCAAAAACGAAAAGAAAGTCATCCCAACTATAAAGAACTGTTTTGAGACCCAGGCAAGAGCATACATGAAAGTTCTTTGTAAAAGGCAGACTATACAAATGAAAGTTGTTATTAAAAGTACTTAATGAAATTTTTAGCTGTACCAATATTTAGTAGCAATGTGTGTTGTCCTTAGTGAAAATGCCATAGGCTAGAAAAAATAGTGTAGTAACTTCATCTACTTTCTTTTAATTCTGAAAGTAAAATATACTTGTGGCAAATACAGTCACATGCCATTTAATAACAGGAACATGTTCTGAGAAACACATCATTAGGCAATTTCATCACTGTGTGAGCATCAGAGAGTGCAGGTGCACAAACCTAGCTGAGACAGCCTACTACACACCTAAGCTACCAGCCTATTTCTCCTAGGCTACAAACCTTTAGAGCATGTTATTGTACTGAATACCATAGGCAACTGTAACACAATGTTAAGTATTTGTGTATCTAAACATAGAAAAGGTACAGTATAATATGGTAGTGTAATCTCTTAGGATCACCATTGTGTATGACATTGTTGACCAAAACGTCATTATGTGGTACATGACTATTTAAAATTGATTCTAAAGGTAACCAAGCAAAAAAGTAAAAGCCCCTCTCTCCTCCCACAAAGTGAGCACTACTACAACTGTGTACATAGGCTGCCTGTATACATATGCTATATACATGGCAATATATACATAGGATGCCTGTACACATAGGATATACACACAGCAATATATACACAGGCTGCCTGTAAACATAGGCTACACACACAGCAATATATACACAGGCTACCTGTACACATAGGCTATACACACAGCAATATATACACAGGCTGCATGATTGTTGTATGTGTGGATATACGTGCATGTGTGTTTGTATGTGTGTGTGCACCTCTTTAACGGAGGTGTCAATGCAATAAATATCAGATACAGGTACTCTGCCTCACCTCCCCATGTCCAGATGCACATAGGAAATGGCTTTGAGAACCTGTCTCAGGACTTTTGGGTCTCCACCTAGATCAGTGGTCAGAGACGGCCAGAGAGAAGGGAATGAGGAAACTGGTGATTTCTTTGGAGAGAGTTACCACCATACAGTGAGTCCCCATCCCAGCCCCTTTCGGAGAGGAGTGAGGGGGCACCATGTTCCACCTCAAGCCTCACAGGAGGTGTTGTCATGGCACCTCACAGGGGATACCACTCAGAGAGCTTGGAAATGTGCACCCTGAAGTCAGGGGAGAGACATGCAGAACTGAAGCCTGACCCTTGCTGAGTGGAGTCTCACTGTCCCATCCTGCTTCTGCCCTGCCAGGAGGGTGAGGCTAGGGAGGGGATAGCCTATGCTGCTAGAGTTCACTGGGGTCAGGGATACAAGAGTGCTTCCTGGGGACCAAATGTGAAAGAGCAGGCAAAGCTCATCTTGAGTTCTGTCCTGTAAAGTCACCTGGAGAGGCCATAGAAGGTGCACAGCCAGACGCCAAGGGCTGAGAAGAAAAGTGGAGGACTAGAAAGGCACCTACCTGGGTCCAGCAAGCCGCAGGGCCCCTCTAAAGCGCCCACAAAAAGCAAGGTTCCACTCTACCCATCTAACAGGCCCAAAGTTCGCAAAGCCATGTATCCAAGCAAGAATGATCCCGTCTCCCTCTATCCCCTTGCCATAGCATCAAGTGGGTGGCAGAGGAGGTGGGCCTGTCCCATTACTCTCAGCAGGCTTCCAGCCCAAAGCAGGCCCAGGTGAGTGTGATGCTCTCTTCTCCTTGGCAACAATGGAACAAACCCTGGCTGCTGCATATGACCATATTCAAGTGAAGAGGAAGAGGGATTTCAGTGGCCTCATAACTTAGTTGATAACAAGAGTATATCCTGGGCTCAGTTTTTTCTTCTGGTCCAGGAAATCATATTGCTGGTAGGCATGAAGGAAGGGAGGCAACCTTGTCCTCTTCCTGGATCCTTTCCTGGAATAAGCCTGTTGCTCAAAGTTGTGGAGAGAACTGCCCTGCTCCTTTCCACTCCTCAAAATGAGGCCCTGCACTCAGAGCCACCATCCTGTGCAATAGGACTCTGGGGCACGTAGCCATTCTTGTCAACCTAGGAGGTTTTTTTCTGCTTGGGTAAGGAGGTTTTTTTCTGCTTGGGTAAATCCATGCATAATGGGGTTCCTGGCCTCTGAGAAGTGAAGGTGAGGAAGCTAAAGTGTCCAGAATGGAATGTACTCATTCACCCACATATCCTGGAGGCCCTGTAAAGTGCAAGATGCTATAAGAGATCCCACCAAGTGTCAGAGTCTGTGCCCTCAGAAGTTCTCAGCCCTGGACAGGAGCAGAATGCAGACAAACATGCCTCTAGCACAAGCCAGAAGCTAGCAAGTGTCTAATGCAGAGAGTCACAGAGCTTTGGGGTGGGAGATGTGCCACCTAGTTCAGGGAGACCCTTTATGTCCTCTCAGAGGCAGCAATAATTAAGACGAAAGAATGAGCCAGGATTGGAGCAAGTTAGGATGGCAGTGTAGGATATCTGGGTCGGGGTGGGGCTAAGAAACAGCTAAAGCAAAACCACAGACGTGGCATTAAGATAAAAGACATAAATTCTTTCAAATTAATCTTCCAAGAACTAGCACATCGATTAGGCCTTAACTGCCTGAGTCCACATATGCTGTCCACCACCTAGAGGACAGTGCAGAGTCTGGTGTGAATACTGCTGTCATCTAACACCAGTCTAGCTTTCAAATCTTATCTCCCATCACTGCCTGAGACAAGCCTGCTCCATCTGAACCAAGCACTCTCCATTCCACAAACACACCTTGCAGTGGGCCACCTCCCTGCCTTGCCTAGGCCATTCTCTTGACCTAGACTCTCCCTTCTCCATCAACCCTGACCTGCCATGCATGTGAAAATTAAGCCTCTCCCTCCAAGACAAGCTCAAATGCCTTCCCCTCTAGAAAGCTTCCCCTGAACACCTGTGGCCAAAAGGGAGCTCTCCCTTCTCTGTGCACCTCCAGCAGCACCTACTAGGTGAATAACTCCTTAAGATCCAGACCATAAGGAGCCTTCAGTCTGCCCATCTTTGCCCCTGATTGCATGGACAGGTGTGGAGGCACGGACCCTGTCTCAAGTCTCTGATCCTTATAAGGGCTAGCATCAGGCCTTGGCTACAGCAGAGCTCAGCACAGGCTGGGTGGCCGTATAAGGACTCCTGAAGGCCTCCTTGACCTCATCGCCTGCACCTGGGAGATGTGCCACAGGAGCAGCACACCACCTTCAGAACAGCTGCGAAATGGTTTTAAATCCCACCATACAGGTTAACTTCTATCCCCTCCCAAGGAGAACCAAGTCAGTCACTGGAAAAATAAAATCGGCACCTTTAAGTAAACAGTGGCTTTGCAGCAACTGTAAAATGCCTTTCTTCCATTTCCTTTTTAGAACCTTAAACTTTCTTCCTGTGAGGCGACCAGAGAGAAGACGAACTGTTACAGAAAGGAATTTAAAATTTTTTAAATTTTATTTTAGCAGGGGTGGTTTGGGGTCAGGTTTCTGGAGCAGCAGAGGACTAGTGCTCTAGGAGGCTGGTCCGAAATCCATGGCACCTGGCTACTCCTTCCCTTCCCCCAGCTGGTTGGGGACTGTATAAGGGGTCATGATGGCCCCACTGAACTTAATCATGGGGTGTGTGAGCACATACACATAATGTGAGGTGGTAAGCATATGCAGCTGTGAAGGTGGGGTGTCTACAGTGTGGTAAGGGCACAAGATGAGTGTGTGTGAGGGGTGTGTGCAAGCACACTGGTGTGTGAGGGGGTGCAGTGGGCTTGGCACATGAGAGCTGTGTATGGGTGTATGTTCGTGAAGAGTGTGTGTAGGAGCAAGGGCCTGTGGGGAAAAGCATTCTATCAGGTGAGTATCTCTGGGCCCTTCCACTGGGCCTCTGAAACAAAGTACCCATTCTGATCTGGTAGGGCTCTCCAGTTCTAAACCTAAAGGGCAACAGAGTTGAGACACATTATTAATGACAGCTGAAGTCAATTACTGAGTGTCATGGTCCTACTTGCATATTACCATGAATCCTTATAGCTGGGACAGCTATAAGGGTACAGCTGGGAGGTAGATCTTATCTTTGTTAAAGATCCCTAAAGGGAGACTCAGAGGAGCTCAGGCACTTATCCAGGGTCCCACAGGTAATAAGCAGCAGAAGTAGGCCCCGGAGCCAGGTGAGCTTGAATCAGGCCTGTTCATTCCCCTGTCACCATCCCAGCCTCTAAGGGCTCAGAAGCTGCCTAATCCAGGGACACATTTTCTAAAGGCAATCAGGGGCTGAGAAGCTCAAAGTTCACAGAGGCATTTCCATTAGCACAGCCCTCTTTAGCAGCATCAGCTCCCATATGCTATGCATTCTTTTAAATTTCATTTGATTCTGTGTTCTTGTAGAAAACACAGGCTATTATAACTGAAAATGGTCTTCAAAGATCACCATGAGGTCCATTTCCCTTGTTCACTAAGAGCCAAGAAGGTCTCTGGAAAGAACATTTGCATATATTACGTACATGCTACATGTTATTTAGGAGCATTTATACATCAAGGGGTTTGAGATGCACGATGGCAGAGTGTGGGGAGTATGGGCATACATTTTACCAGCTGTTAGAGAGACCTGCCTGAGTCAGTGTTTAAAGATTTTTGTTTCCTACACATGCACTAATACAAGTTATATTAAAAAGCCAAATGACCCCTTTAACAAATGAAAAAGAGATGAGGGTTTAGGATAATGAGAATATTATAGCAAAACTCATACTGTGCCGCTTCTAATGGGAATCCTACAGCTAGACCTCCACATAATGCTTTGCGAATGCCCCCCTCAGAGTTGTTATAAATACAACAAACCCCAATATGTCATAATGAAAATGCATATTCTAATACAACATGATCTCCTTAATGAGGCAAACTGGAGGGGGTGTGTGGTAGCTTTATTTATAATCCTCTAAATTTAGGTAAATTGCACACATTTTAAATTTCTATACAAATAGTGTCACCAAGAGCTATCAAACTGAGTCTATTTGGTCTCGATAAGAGACCACTTAATAGAGAAAGTCAGGGTGTAACCAAATGCTAGGCAACAACCGGGGGTAGGGAAGTTATTTTTCATATGGGATGTGGTCCTTAAAAGCTAGAAGTGACTTTTAAAATTATTCCCTATTCCCTAGATCTTTTGTAAAACCACCTAAAACTGAACAAGTCAGAGGGAGAGTGTGACTCCCAGGCTCCTGGCAGGAATCACGGAAAGCCTTTGCAATCCCCCATCTCTGATGTTTTTTGAACAGTCATATTTGTTATTGTCTAAATTGAACTTTGGGTGAAAATAGTTTCCTGTTTGCCTGCAGTATTTGTTTTCTGAGAGGATATTCAGAAACATCAGTTTTCTGAAACAAGTCAAAGTAATATAGGATTTCCTTTGTTAATATCAAAGTCTTTTACCTCTGGGATAGAGCCTGTTTTCTCTTTCTCTTTCTCTCAGCAAAGAATATTTCCTTCTCTCTCTAATTGGATTTCTACAAGGATCTGTTTCCCCTTCTCTCTACCAGATGCTCGAGATAGAGCACTGTACAGAAAGCTGCTGGCTGATGTCGTTCCTGTCTTTTTCTGCCACATTAACCCAGTAGGGGGTTTAACAGCCCGAGATTTTGAAAAGCTGTTGTCACGTCATGAAAGCCCCCAAACACAACTTAAATGGTTATTAGCTAGTGGGAAACGTCCCCTGCATTCTAATCCTTCCATTTAAATAACAATAATAAAGAAAATAATAACAGTAAGAGTAAACTCCATGGCTTCGAAGCCATGATTATACCCTACCACCCATCGTCCACACAGTCTACAGCGAATTTATATGGGGCCTAAGGGTGAGGTGTATGGCTTTTGGCTTGGTGGGCACTTCTGATTTTGCAGCCAGCCAGCAGGGGTCGCCCAAGTCATCTAGCAGTTACTTTGGAGCTTCCATGACATCCTGGATAATTCCTTTAAAAAATCCAAGGCACAGACAAAAGAGCCAAGGGGGTCCCTTGCTGTATTAAAAGCCCTGAAACACATGTATTTGCCAAATAGAAAGGTGCAGAATTAATTGGAAAAGAGATGGAATTTGTATTTCCAGTTCCCTTGGGGGTTTTATAATTAATAAATATTTGTTAAGTCTTTAACAAGTATAAAGTACCATATATGTGCGGAACAAAACAAGCTTTTGCTGGCATCAGAATGTGGTGCATTCTGTACTTGATCAAAAGACATAAAAGTTAAGAATAAGCAATGACAGCAGTGCCATATAGTGACCCTTTATCATGTGCCAGGCATTTCCTAAATTTCCTCACAATGACCCATCAAGGTAGATCCTACTATTATTCCTATTTCGTAGATTTTTGTTAAAAGCCCCACAAAGCTCCGCAAGATTCAGTCACTTGCCCCAGGAAGCCCAGCCAGTAACTGGAAGAGCCCAGATTTAAACTGGGCTTTATAGTTAATACATCTTCTCAACTCCCAAACTGATGTTTTTTCTAACAGCCCTATTGTATAGCCAGCATAACAAAATTTATGTATTCCTTATGCCAAGGATACTAAAGGAAATGCTACCACAGAAAAAAAGACCAGCCATTTTCAATAATAATTAATGAAGTACAAATTGTGTAGGTAATACAAAAAAATTGTGTTGGCTATGGGGCTTCTGAAATAATGTCTCGAGTGTTTTATTTCCTTATGTATATTCAATACTTTATAAAATGTCTACAGATGTGAAAATTATAGTAAATATGTTCTGCAGTCTTAATTGCTAAATGATCACAAAGTAACTAAACAAGAGGTGGCAGGTTGCCCTGTGGCTTTATTCATCTCTTTCTGGAGAGCAGCAAAATCATAAAGTCTTCTCCGACACAACAGGTTTCTATGGTTACAAGAGACGTAAATATATTATATGTCCTGTGCGACGTGAAAGGACCAGCCAGGCGCTGTGTGTGCAGCAGACCCCCAGAGGGAGAGCACTCATGTGGATGGCACTCCACAGCCAGCTAAATATTTGTTTCTAGGTTTACAACAGGGTAGAAGCAGGAATAAAAGCTGTTGGTGCTAGAGAACCTGTCTACATAGCTCAGCAAATGTATCGGCACGTTGGCCGTAAAGAAATGCAAAGAACGAAATGGCTTCTGCCTTGTCAGCCTTGAAAACCAGTCCTTAGTGAGCTGTGTGAGGCAGAGGCTTTGTCCATCATCCCTTCAGGATGCAGGATGGCCTATTGTCTCCCACTGCTGGGCATCTGCACAGAATCTACATGATTCAAATTATTCTGTTGGTGGTTTATGTATTTTTTTAACCTTAAAGAAGCATAATCAGATAGTGGCTACTGAGAAATAAAATAAGAAAAGTAGTTTCCATTCAAGATAGGATAGGGTCAGAGACCTCTGTCTGAATCCAGGATTTACTATATGTATCATAAGAAGTGACAAATTACAATAATCTGCATCATTAAGACTGAAGACGGAATACTGGAAAATCCAAATTCAAAGAGCAAGGGAAATAACAGCTTAGATTTCTCCAGAGTTATTTTCATTGCATAAATTGTGAAGCAATGTTAAATGAAGAAATGCTGTTGTCCATTAAATAGAATCCCTGAAACCCTGAACTGTACCCTTTCCTTGTTTAATTCTGAAGTCTTTCACAGATCACCTGCCTTTGACTGCACATATTCCAGGAGCCCTGGAATCCAGAAAAGTAGTTACTGGGACAGCTACATTCCTCTTTTCTTTTTTTTAATAATTAGAGAAAGGGAAAACAAGGACAGGCTAAAAATCCCTAGGAAAGAAAGAAGCAATCTCTCCTGGAAAGACAGTATTTACCTGAAGAAACTGTTCATTGGTATCCTTTAGAGCAAAAAATAATGACTGTTCCTGGCCACTTTTGCTTTTAAGGTTTTTAAGAACACATTACACATTCTTATTTTAAATATAAATGCATCCTGACGTTTGTTAGCTAAAGGAAGACTTAAATAAATCCCTGACACACTTAGTGAGTCAGAGGGGGTGATCTGGGTTAGGAAAATAGAATAACAACCCCATATGGGGAAGAAAGGGCACAAATGCTGGGTATCTGACCCTCCTAGAGAGAAAGTAAGGAGCCTGGTTTCCTGCAGCTATCCTTCATGATCCAGAAATGTGGTGAAGGCAAGAATGGAGAGGGAATGATGAAATGGACCAAAGGGAAGACTGTGGTGATCCCAGGATGGTCCCGCATGCAGCAGATTGCTTGACGAAATGAGGCTGCCTAATGAGTAGCTTGGATTGATTTGAAGACATGGAAATATCAGGCCGAGGCAGTGCCAATGGTCCCTCCCAGGGTTTGGGTCATGTCAGCTGGCTGCTATGTATGCCAAACACAATGCAAAACCAATATTTCCAGGCTGAAATGTAGGGTTCCAAATGTGTCATTTGGGTTTCATTTTAAAATCAGGGTTTGAGCCATGTCTTTGGCCCAGATAAAAGGATAAGGAGGTCAGGACAAAAATCAAGGATAAGAGAGGGGTGTTGCCAAGGACAGAGCAGAGAGGGAGTGGTGATGGCTTCCAACTCATCCACCCGCCATCTTGTCCCCTTTATGTAATGTGATAATCCTGATACACAGCCAACGCCCTCCCTGTGTGGGCTCCCCTCCACACATATCTGCTGCCATCTCCAATCCCCAGCTCATGTCACTCTACACCCTTGGAATGTTCCATCCTCTCTTTAGACAACCCACATCTTTCCCCATCAATAAACTCTGCTTAATATTTACCTCCTCCATGAAGGCAATCTCTCTGACTAATCCCAACTGGCTTTGAACATACAAATCCTTTTCATCTAACTTTTAGCATTCAAGGGTTTGGTTATATAAAATCAAAGATCACTTCCAGCTCTAAAATGTTATCCATAGTTTCACAGAATAGCTGAAAGAGCACCCACAGTAAAGAGAAGTTCCCTGTCTTTGAGTCCAGTGTGTTTCTGGAGCCACACCCTGCAGCAGATCAGGGTTGGGTTCACACTATTCCATCTGTTTGGATAAGTTCAGCAAGTCTGGCAGTATATGAGGGATGGGTAAAAGCAATGATAAATCAGTGTGTTTATTAGACAGTACTGAGTTAAAAAGCAGTGAAAAACAGGTAATGTCTATTCTTTCATTCACTCATCAAATATTTGCTGAGCCCCCATGCAGCGAAAAGATAGGGAGTAACAGACACAGTCCCTGCTCTGCTACGAGTCAAGAAAATACTGGGTAACAACTGAGCACAGGGATACTCAAAGCTACACTCTGAGTCCTCAATAACCTGTAGAACGATTAGTGGAAGAGCAAGATTGGTATACACAAATCAATACTTCTAAAGGAGCTCTATGTATGAGACAAAATGGGATAGAATGGAATGGCTAAAAGTGCTAAAAGTGTTTGAAACAAAGGAAAAAGATAGGCTGTTCTGAAGTTAAAGAAGTCAAGCCCCTTGAAGGACATCGAAGATTTAGATGAATAGAAGAAAAGAAGAAAAATAGACCTCCGCTTAATGTCTACCAAAGATTAAGGGCTGTGCTAGGAATCTCCCAGACACTATTTAGTTTTAAGGCTCACAACAACTCTATGAGGCAACGATCATAACCCCCATTTTATGGATGAGAAAAGTAGGTCTAAAGAATGTTAAACAACTTGTCCCAAATGACATAGCTAGTAAAGTGCAGGGCCAAGATTTGCCTCTAAGTTTAATGCTTTTTCATGCACTCACCTACCCCACTCCCTTTCTCCCCATGACCATCATTAATCCATGCAAGGCCATCTATATCACCACCCATCTGTCACTCATACCGTCACCCCTAGGCCCTACTCACATTCCTTTCCCCCACTGGCCACCATTCTAATGTGTTTATTGTATAGCCTTTTGCCTGAATTTCTCCCTCTAAATCTGTATATAGGTATTTTAATCATGTATATGATATCACCTTATATAGTTCATTCTTTCTTATTTTTCCATGACACCCTATATTTTTAAGATCAATATGTACATGCTGTTTTATATATTTTCCCAAAATTTTACAGTGAAAAGTGAAACATACAGAAAAATTTAAATAATTTTGTAGTGAATACCTATATTTTACTGCCTTGATTCTATCATTAGCTTTTTTTTCAGACATGGGGTCTCGCTATGTTGCCATGGCTGGAGTGCAGTGGCTATTCACTATTCACAGGCATGATCCTACTGCTGATCCGCACCAGAGTTCTCACCAGCTCTATTTCTGACCTGGGTCAGTTCACCCCTCCTCAGGCAACCTGGTGGCCCCTCGCTCTCAGGAGATCACCATATTGATGCTGAACTTAGGGCAGACACCTGATCAGCACAGCACCCTACAGCCCACAGCTCCTGGGCTCAAGTGGTCCTCCTGCCTCAGTCTCCTGAGTGACTGGGAATACAGGCCCATTATCATTAACATTTTAATAAAATTGCTTTATCACATACCTGTCCAAGTAGTTTACCCTCTTTCCATTCATCAACTCATTTTGTGTTTGGATGTAATTCAATGTAAATTACAGGCTTCAATTAAGGTTCCCTTAAATAGTTCAGAAGGCAATTATTAGCCATAATACATTTATGGTTTTTAATATAAAATTTATATACAATAAAAAATATAAATAACTACATAAAATGAATTGCACAAATCTTAATGTACATTAAGGAAGTTTTGACAAAGGCATGCACTTGTGTTCATAACTCTATCAAGATTTAGAGCATTACTTTCATCCCAGAAAGTTCCTTCATGATCCTTCCCAGTTAATTTTTACCCCAGCCCTGGAGGCAAATCGTCTGATTCTCTTCCACCAGAGATTAATTAGGCTTGTTCTAGAACTTCACATAAATGGAATCATATGGTATATGCTCTTCTGGGTAAGGTTCCTTTCAATTAACAAAGTATTTTTCGGATTCATCCATGTTGCTGTTTGTATTTACAGCTTCTTACTTTTTACTGGTGGGTACCATGCCATTGTATAACCATAGCACAGATGAGTCATTCTCCTGCTGATAGACATCTGTGCTCCTTTATGATTTGGAGGTATTATGAATAAAGCTGCTAATGACATTTATGTAAAATTCTTTTTGTGAACATATATTTTCATTTATCTTGGGTAAATACCTCAGAGTGAAATTGATGATCCATAGAGTAGGTATTTAGTTTCATAAAACTGTTCAAACTTTTTCCAGAGTTATTACATATTCATAGTCACTCCAATAATACATAAGCATTTTAGTAACTCTACATCCTCACTAACATTTGTATTTTCAGTTTTTAAAATTTCATCCTTTCTAGTGGGAATGTAGTGGTATCTTCTTGTGGCTTAAATTGGACTTCTATCATGCTAGATATCTATCATGCTAGATATTTTTTGATGTGCACACTCTCATTCACAAAACTTTTTAAATCAAGTGTTTGTTTAAATCTTTCCACGTTTTAAATTGGATTATTCTATTAATTAAATTTTAGGAGTTCTTTACAAATGCTGGGTACCAGTCTTTTATCAGATATATGATTTGTGGCTTGCCTATCCATTTTCTTCATGATGTATTTTGATGAGCGTAAGTTTTAAATTGCGATGATATCTAATTTATAATTTTTTTTCTTTTCTGGCTATTGCTTTTTATGACCTGCCTACCTCTAAGTCAGAAATATTCTCTTCCATGTTTTCATATAACAGTTTTATAGTTTTATTTATTATGTATAAGTCTATGATCCATCTTGAATTGATTTTTGTGCTTGGTATGAGGTAAGGTTCAAGATTGTTTTTTTCTGTAGATATACCCAGTTGTTCCAGCATGATTTGTTGAAAAGACTTTCCTTTCCCCATTGTATTGTTTTGGTATCTCTGTCAAAAATCAAATGACCATATGAGTGTGGGTCTATTTCTGGGCTCTCTATTCTGCTCCATTGATCTACTTGTCAATTCTTATGTGCCACACTGTCTTGATTACTATAGCTTTATAAGTCCTGGAGTCAAGTAGTATACATTCTCCAACTTCACCTTTTTTTCCCCCAGATTGCTTTGGATATTCTAGGTCAAATATCAGAAATGCTTCTTTTTTTTTTCCTTAAAGGACAGATAATAAATATTTTAGGCTTACGGGCAATATGGTATCTGTCCTAACTACTCAACAGTAGTGTTGTGGCATGAGAGTAACCATAAACAATATGTAAACAAATGGCTGTGGCTGTGTTCCAGTAAAAGTTTATTTACGAAACAGTAGCTGGTCTGCAGACCACAGTCTCTGAACTTCTGCTAAGCCTTGGGCATTTCCATACATATTGTAAAATCACCTTATCAATTTGGAGATTATGACTGATATAGTGTTGAGCCTAGAAGTCAATTTGGGAAGAGCTGACATCTTAACAATGTTGAGTCTTCCAATATGTTAATATGGCAAAGTATACTAACTGATTTTTTTTAATGTTAAACCAGCCTTATATTTCTGGGATAAAGCTACATGGTCATGCTATATTTGATTTGCTAATGTTTTGCTAAATATTTTTATACCTATATGCATGAGTAATTTGGTTTGCAATTTTCTTTTTATCTAATATCATTGTTAGGTTTTGGTATTAGGGTTATAATACAAGTTTAATACAAGTGGAAGTGGTTCCTCCTCTTCTATTTTCAGCAGTTTGTGTAAAATTGTAGGGTTTTTTCTTAAATATTTGATAGAATTCATTAGTGAAATCATCTAAACTTTGAGTTTGCTGTTAAAAAGGTTTCTGATAATGAATTTAATAGACATAGGGCTATTCATATTTTGCTTAATCTAGTATTAGTTTTGGTAAAAGGAATTTTTCAAGGAATTTTTTCATTTCATCTTAGTTGTCAAATTTATTGGTAGAAAGTTGTTCATAGTATTCTCTTATCCTTGTTATGTCCATAAGATCTGAAGCAATAAGGTTTCTTTCAGCTCTTATAGTCATAATTCATGTTCCATCTCTTTCCTTAGCCAGTATCACTGAGGGTTTGGTTTATCAATTTTTTGCTCTTTCCAAAGAAGTGATTTTAGCTTTATTAATTTTTCAATATTGTTTCTCCGTTTTCTCTTTCATGGATTTCTGTTCTTATCTTTATCATTTTCTTCTTTCTACTTAATTTTGGGTTTACATGCTCTTCGTTTTCTAGCTTCTTTAGGCATAATCTTATATCACTGACTTTCTACTTTCCTCTTTTTCTACTATGAACATTTAAAACTATAAATTTCCTTCTATCTATGCTTTAACTTCATATTTTGATATGTCAGTTTTCTTTATCATTTATTAGAAATACATTTAAATTTCTCTTGTTTTCTTCTTTGACCTATGGATATTTTAGTAGTGTATTTAATTTCCAAGTATCTGTGGTCAGAACATGTACCCTATAGTATTTTAATCATTTTAACTTCTATCAAAATGTGTTTTATAGTCTATTTGTTGACTGTACCATGAGCACTTGAAGAGAATATGTATTCTTCAGTTTGGGGATATGATGTTCTATAACTATAATTAGGTCAAGGTGATTGGTGTTTTTGTATCATCTATGTTTTACTGGCTTGTATTTTTTCTAATTATTCTATAAATTTCTAATTATAGCTATTATTTATCAATACAGAGTGGTGTTAAAGTTGCCAAATACAACTGCAGAAATATCTGTTTCTTTTTAATTTTATCAAATTTTGCTTCATGTAATTTGAAACTTGGTCACTAGGTAAATATACATTTATGGCTTTTAATGTCTTCTTGGTAAATTGATTCTTTTATCATTAAGAAATGTCCCTCTTTACCTCTGGTAATACTCTTGGTATTATTAAATATTAAATTAATATTTAATCTGACTGAAGGCACTCCAGCCACCTGTATGATTACCGTTTACATGGTATATCGTTTTCTACCCATTTATTTTCAATCTATAGGTAAATATCAGAGATTTTGGTTCTGCTTTTTAAAAAATCCATTTAACAATGTCCTTTAATTGTACTATTTAGTTCCTTAATATTGTACTATTTAGTTCCTTAACATTTATTGAAAGAACTAATATTTAATGAAAGTACTCAACTTTTTTTTTTAAAAAGATCCTTTTGTTATTATTATACTTTAAGTTCTAAGGTACATGTGCACAATGTGCAGGTTTGTTACACATGTATACATGTGCCATGTTGGTGTGCTGCACCCATTAACTCATCATTTACATTAGGTATTTCTCCTAATGCTATCCTTCCCCCATCCCCCAACCCCACGACAGGCTCCGGTGTGTGATGTTCCCCACCCTGTGTCCAAGTGTTCTCATTCTTCAATTCCCACCTATGAATGAGAACATGCGGTGTTTGGTTTTCTGTCCTTGTGACAGTTGCTCAGAACGATGGTTTCCAGCTTCATCCATGTCTCTACAAAGGACATGAACTCATCCTTTTTTATGGCTGCATAGTATTCCATGGTGTATATGTGCCACATTTTCTTAATCCAGTCTATCATTGCTGGACATCTGGGTTGTTTCCAAGTCTTTGCTATTGTGAATAGTGCTGCAATAAACATACGTATGCATGTGTCTTTATAGCAGCATGATTTATAATCCTTTGGGTATATACCCAGTAATGGGATGGCTGGGTCAAATGGTATTTTTAGTTCTACATCCTTGAGGAATCGCCACACTGTCTTCCACAATGGTTGAACTAGTTTACAGTTCACCAACAGTGTAAAAGTGTTCCTATTTCTCCACATCCTCTCCAGCACGTTGTTTATAGTTCACCAACAGTGTAAAAGTGTTCCTATTTCTCCACATCCTCTCCAGCACCTGTTGTTTACAGTACACCAACAGTGTAAAAGTGTTCCTATTTCTCCACATCCTCTCCAGCACCTGTTGTTTCCTGACTTTTTAATGACTGCCATTCTAACTGGTGTGAGATGGTATCTCATTGTGGTTTTGATTTGCATTTCTCTGATGGCCAGTGAGGATGAGCATTTTTTCATGTGTCTGTTGGCTGCATAAATGTCTTCCTTTGAGAAGTGTCTGTTCACATCCTTCATCCACTTTTTGATGAGGTTGTTTGATTTTTTTCTTGTAAATTTAAGTTCCTTGTAGATTCTGGATATTAGCCCTTTGTCAGATGGGTAGATTGCAAAAATTTTCTCCCATTCTGTAGGTTGTCTGTTCACTCTGATGGTAGTTTCTTTTGCTGTGCAGAAGCTCTTTAGTTTAATTAGATCCCATTTGTCAATTTTAGCTTTTGTTGCCATTGCTTTTGGTGTTTTAGACATGAAGTCCTTGGCCATGCCTATGTCCTGAATGGTATTGCCTAGGTTTTCTTCTAGGGTTTTTATGGTTTTAGGTCTAACACTTAAGTCTTTAATCCATCTTGAATTAATTTTTGTATAAGGTGTAAGGAAGGGGTCCAGTTTCAGCTTTCTACATATGGCTAGCCAGTTTTCCCAGCACCATTTATTAAATAGGGAATCCTTTCCCCATTGCTTGTTTTTCTCAGGTTTGTCAAAGATCAGATGGTTGTGGATGTGTGGCGTTATACCTGAGGGCTCTGTTTCGTTCCATTGGTCTGTATCTCTGTTTTGGTACCAGTACCATGCTGTTTTGGTTATTGTAGCTTTGTAGTACAGTTTGAAGTCAGGTAGCTTGATGCCTCCAGCTTTGTTCTTTTGGCTTAGGATTGTCTTGGCAATGCAGGCTCTTCTTTGGTTCCATATGAACTTTAAAGTAGTTTTTTCCAATTCTGTGAAGAAAGTCATTGGTAGCTTGATGGGGATAGCATTGAATCTATAAATTACCTTGGGCAGTATGGCCATTTTCACGATATTCATTCTTCCTATCCATGAGCATGGAATATTCTTCCATTTGTTTGTGTCCTCTTTTATTTTGTTGAGCAGTGGTTTGTAGTTCTCCTTGAAGAGGTCCTTCACATCCGTTGTAAGTTGGATTCCTAGGTATTTTATTCTCTTTGAAGCAATTGTGAATGGGAGTTCACTCATGATTTGGCTCTCTGTTTGTCTGTTATCGGTGTATAACTCAACTTTAAGTCTACTATCTTTTTTTTTTGAGAGTCTCCCTCTGTTGCCTAGGCTGGAATGCAGTGGTGTGATTTCAGCTCACTGCAACCTCTGCCTCCTTGCCTCCTGGATTCAAGTGAGATTCTCCTGCCTCAGCCGCCTGAGTAACTGAGCTTACAGGCATGTGCCACCATGCCTGGCTAATTTTTTTGGATTTTTAGTAGAGACGGGGGTTTCACCATGTTGGTCAGGGTGGTCTCGAACTCTTGACCTCAAATGATCTGTCTGCCTCGGCCTCCCAAAGTGCTGGGACTACAGGCATGAGCTGCTGCATCTGGTGGTCTACTATCTTATTATTTTCTGTTGTGCCCTGTGGATTGTTTTTAACTCTTCTTTTTTTTTTTTTTTTTTTGGAATTATTTGAATATTTTCTAGAATTCTACTTTATTTTGGCTTTTTATTTTTTAGAGACAGGGTCTCTCTCTGTCACCTAGGCCATAGTACAGTGATGCCATCGTAGCTCACTGTAGACTTGAACTCCTGGGCTCACGTGATCCTCCTGTCTAGCCTCCCAAGAAGCTGAGAATGCAGACGCAAGCCACTGTACTTGGCCCGAGATTGATACTTTCTATTGATCTATAAGTTCATTGTTTTCTTTGTCATTTCCTTTATGTTGTTAAGCCTATCCAGTGAATTTTTAATTTTAGATATTGTAATTTTCAGTTTTAGAATTTCCATTGTGTTCTTTTTTATAGTTTCTAGTTCTACTCTGACAAAATGCCTTATATTTTTATTCATTGTGAGCATAGTTCATTGAGCATATTTATAATTGCTTTAATATTTTTGTCTGCTAATTTCAACATCTGAGTCATTCATAAATGGTATCAGTCTTTTCTCTTAAAAATGAATCACATTTTCCTGGTTCTTTAAATGTGAAATAAATTTGCAGTGTAACCTGGACATTGCAAAGGTTATGAGGTAGATTTTGTTATACTCTTCTGAAGAGTATTTTTTTTCAAAACAAGTAATTAACTTGATTGGATTCAAATGGAAAACTCAGTTTCTTGAATGGCACCTCAAATCTCAGTTTAGTTCTTGTATCTTTAGCTAGAATCTAAAGATTCTAAATGCATAGCTAAAGTCCCATGCATTTGTGGTTCAGGGTTCAGCCAGAGATATGGGCAGAGTTTATACACAAAATTTGAGTTTTCCACTCTCTAGGTCTTTCCATTCCAAGATATCCATGTCCCCCTCATTTTCCAGAGGCTGTGGTTGTCCTGAATGCTGTCATCTGGTTCTTCAGAACAGAATGGCTGTAGTTTACTATTGGAGCTTTAAACGCCAAATGTGGCCATTGGCCATGTTCAGACCTTAGGCTAAAAGCCATAAGAATGGTAAACACACTCTGCCATTCCTTTCTTCCATGTTTTGACACCCCTCCAGAATCTGTGTCCTTTAGGACCTTGTGTTCACAAGCTAGGACCTTCAGGCGGTTGGTATTTCCCCCACCCTGCCCCACTGCCCACCGCAGAGAGTTTTTGTTATTTATGGGAAGGTTATCCTAGAAGGAGCTTATTTCATTATACTGAAAGTAAAACCATTGTAATATGCATTGCTGCATAATATGCCATGGCATGTATCCACCACATTTTACCTGTCCACTCTATCAGTGATGGATGCACAGCTCAGGTTGACTCCAACTTCCCATCCACACGCATAACACAGTCCAGGGCCTTTTCTACCACATGTCTCTGTAGTGAGAAGGCATCTGGATGAAGATATTATCCCAAGCAAAAGCCACGAGGTAGGCGTGTGAACCTAGCATGTGAGGGAATGGAGAGAAGAGTAGCACAGCTGCAGGGCGGCCGAGCAACAGCTGATGTGAGGACCCATGAAGAAATTAGTCAATGAAGGTTTAACTGGGGGAGTCACAGGAGAGCTGTGTTTTAGGAGGGTTCTTGTATCTGCAGAGCATTTGTTGAAATGAACTGTAAAAAGACTGGGGACCAGGAATCTAGTTTAGTGTCCTTTTTTTAACCCCATATTTGATGGGATATGAAATAGGATAAGCATGGCAGACAGGGTAGGGGATGGATATGAAAGAAGTGACATGTGCTTATTAACTTTCCTATGGATGAGGGAAAAGTGAAATACTGATGGTCATGTTATATTTAGTTTGCAAGGCTGCTCCTCAAGAACTGAAGATGAAGGAATAGAAAGAATGCACTAGAACTCCATGTCTGTGGGTTTGCTGTCTTGGGAGTCTGGTGGTATCACTGACACACAAATCAGAGGGAAAAGGATGACTTCAGGTTTGGATGAAGTCTCCAAATAACCCTCTGGGCCTCCCTACTTCAAACCTCTCTGATTCTGTGTTTCCAAGTGTGGTTTTATGACTCCCTTCTAGAAAGTGGAAAACTCAAATTTTGTGTATAAACTCTGTCCATATCTCTGGCTGACCCCTGAACCACTGGACAGAAGAGCGCGGAAAACTCAAATGGGGATAATAATACCTGCTTTTGTTTATTTTCTATATAATAAAGGTAAAGTGAGATAATGGAATAAAAATATTTTACTCCATAAAATATCATATATAATAATATTTTATTGTTAGATAGACCCAATTATACCCCTCCCCCAAATAACATCATACTTTCAGCATCAGCTCTACATTCAGAACTAAGAAGGCAAAGCAGTTTTACCGTATTTATTGCCAAACACTATTGCTGCCCTCAAGAAGCAAGGAGACAGACATATCAAATGAGTGAGACTATCTTGGAAAAGGTATCCAGTAAACTATAACGCTGGCAACTCCAGGGAGGAAAATTAGGTGGTGAGAAAAAGAGATGGGAGGGAGACTGTTCAGCATTTTTTTCTTTTGAAGCTTTGAATTTCGTACCATGTGCAAGTATCACTTATTCAAAAACTAAAAAATGCAAATAGTTAATGAGTATATGCACATTAGAGAGCTATCAGTGTACTGATGCATCATTTTGATACATTATACATAGGAATGCATGGCTTTCCCTATAGCATCCAGAAACCAATAATGCCACTGGTATTCCACCCAGGCCACACCCCTTGCATAGCGGCTTGGCAGCAGCTGCAAAACCTCATTGGGTCAGCCAGGACAGACTCTTACCATGCTAGGGTATTTCCTTTCAGTGATTATGGACACACGTTCTCTTCCCACAGTGGTATATGTAAGGATAATTATACTTCCCACCAACATGAGATTCTTCCAAAGAAGGAAGTGAAAATCCATGGATACTAAAGAAAGTATGGGTTACTCTGCCACAGTTCACAGTCTACATACTTAGTCCTCAATTCTTCTTTCTCCACTGACTTAGCGTATGCTTCGAGGTCACTGATAATCTTTAACCTAAGTGAGCTGACATTCTTTCCAGACTGCTGTGCCATAACATTCTTCTTCTTCATAAAATGGTCGGGCCAACAAGAGTTAGGCATGCTAACTGTGATCATTTTTCATTTAAGAAAACACCCTATAAGGCCAAAATAATTTAAGAAAACATGTTTTCTATGGTTAAACTGAGGGCCAGTGAGCTCCTTTGACAGCTCTGCTGCTGCAATACTTAACACAGCTAAAGTGTCACAGCCTCAGGTGCCCTTCAGAAAAAGGAGATAATTTGTTTTCTTTTTTACTTATTTTGAATGATAGCATGACAAAATTATTCAACTTTAATTCTAATAGAAAATGGAGTAAAAAAAGAAAGAGTTCTACACCATTTCAGACCGTAAGCTTCCAATGAGTTAGGCTCTGTCCATGTGAGAAAGGTTTAGAGAAGGGATTTTGGCTTGGACTGTGCACAGCTAAAACCTTGTCTCCCTGAACATTTATTCCAGTTAGGTAATTTTCTGCCAACACAATCAAAGACATTACTAGGAAATGTACATATTTCATACTTGATTTATTCTTATAGCATTTGCTGGACCAAACCAAAATATTAATTTTCTAGTTTTCTCTACAACCAGAAAGTGAGTCTTCCCCCTTGTACGCACAATATTTCTTGCTTAAAGGCAGATACTCAACAAGACTTTTAACTGTTGGCCAGGGTTTTTTATTAAGACAGAGATATCTCTATTTTTTTTTCCAGCCTTACTGAGGCATAATTAACAAATAAAAATTGTATATATTCAAAGTGTATGTAATACTTTGATATATGTATATACTGTAAAATGATTATGATTACCACACTCAAGTTAATTAACACATTAATTACCTTACCTAGTTACCGTGTGTGTGTGTGTGTGTGTGTGTGTGTGGTGTGTGTGTGTGTGTGTGCGCGCGCGCATGCATGTGTAGGACACTTAAGATCTACTGCACTGGCAAATTTCAAGCGTACGATACAGTGTTAACTATAGTCACCATGCTGGACATTAGATCTCTAGACTCACTCATCCTACATAACTGAAAGTCTATATCCTTTCACTGACTACTACTCATTTCCCCCACCCCCAAACCTCTGGTCACCACCATTCTACTCTCTTCTTCTATGACTTAGATTTTTATAGTCTACATATGAGCTCATACAGTATTGGTCTGTCCAGCAGGTTTTAAAAATGGTTCTTTATTTTCCCCTTAAAATAACAGACCTTGTGGAATATTTAACCAAAAAGACCAAGACAGAACAGGCAAAATGATCTTGAGGTGTCTCACTGGACAACTTGGGACCATGGGGTCTTTCTCAAATGCAAACCTGCCTATTCCACACTTCTGGCCCTGGCTACAGGGTGGGTCCCCCTAACCCTCTTCATGGCCTCCTGGGGTCTGTCGCCAGGCACCTCTCCAGCCTGTTTCCAGTGGTGTGCTTGATATTCTTCCCTGCATCTCCCTAAGTGTGGCACTGCACCCCCTACCTTGCTTGTACTGCTCCTTCACCTGTGTTTGGCAGGGCAAAAACCCACTGCACTTCCCGCGTAGATCAAGCAGCCCTTTCTCCAGGAAGCCTCTCCTGACTGAGCCCTCCCTAAAGTACCAGTAGCCCCTTCCACCTCTGTGTGCCTGTGGGAACCCAAATCCTCCTTCCACTTTTCTCATAATAACCAACAGTGGCAGCAGCTACATTAGACTTCTTACATGCCCAGCTCTATCCTCCTGCTTTTCAGGTATTATGTGTATTGTTACAAAAGTTCCATGAGATTAAATTGCTTGCTAAAGGTCATGTAGCTAGTAAGTGGCAGAGTCAGGATTGGGCATATTTGTTTATTCTTTTTCTCTCCTATTAAAGTGAGAACTTCTTATAGCAGGAAACATATTGGCTTCATCTCTGTAGCCCCAATACTCAGCAGAGGCCCAGGCATGTAGTATGCGTCTGACAAACGTTTCCTGAATGAATGAATATTTCAATAATTAGGTTTCTTGCAAGTTAGACTGATTGCAATATCTCTTATAACATGAAATACTGAAAATCCCAATGATAAGAAAATAAAAGATTTGGAAAACTGGGGGGCAAGCAAACTTGGTGCCCATCATAAGACGAACACTAGATGTTTGTGAAGCTTATGCTTGTGTTTCTAAGTGTCTCTACTCGTGACATCTACAAACCTACGAGCTCCTCAAGGAAAGGAACTGTGTTTTTGCTCTGAATCCTTGGGACTCATCACAGCCACTGGCACAACAGAGATATTCACCAAATAGTTGCTAAGTGAATAAATGGGTTAAAAATGAATGAATACTAGACTTCAAATTCTATTTGGGTACAAGGCTAACTTACTTGGAAGAACGCTTTTAAAATTGTCTGTTATACTTTCATTATAGACACTTCACAGCTGTTCTTTTAAGCAGAGTTATATCACACTAAGTGATATTTTATTTATCTCCTCTTTGCTACCTGCTTCTTAGCCCATTTTGATTTAGGCAGCTTCAGATTTATCCTGGAATCTACGTGCCTAAGCTATGTAAAAGTTGAGTAGACCAGTTTATTCATATACTATTAACTTAAACTTAGCTCATCTCTAATTTAGTGTTACAGCAGCAAATAATTCAGAACTTCATTATTGCAGGCCAAATTCCATTTCTATAAATACTGTTATACACCCCAGGCAACACCCACACGTCTCAAACATAGGAAAAACTCCATTACAATTAAAGACTTTTCATGAGCCTTGACAGAGCTCTAATAAGAGCTTATCCACAGTAAATGCTCGCCCCTTAAGAGAGATAAAAGGCTTGGTGGAAAAAGCGGTAAATTGGCACTTGGAGACCTGGGTTCAAGTTCTGACTCTGTCATTTTAGCTGTGTGACCTAGGATAAATCAGTCAGTCTTCTGAGACTCAATTTTCTTGTTTCAAAAAGAGGGGTCATAGTTGTCCTGCCTCTCTCAAAGGACTACCGTAAGAATTAAACTAGGTACTATGTGCAAAAACGCCTGGTAGGTGTTAAAGCACCACTGTGTAACAGGTGATATTTTTATTGTTAGAGCTGATACTTCATTCCATTCTGGGCTCCCACAACTTAATCTCTTTTTTCCCTGTTTTTTAGTCTCAGCGGGCAAGGAGTTTATATTCCGAGGTCTCTATTTCTTTAAAATTGCATTTCTCTTTCAAACGAAGTCAAATATGCAACAGATCCAAGTCTGTTTCAAGGTTGAGCTAAAATCACCAAAGCAATTACTTAGGGGGAGTTCAGGGAATTGTATGTAAGATTAAACGATCACTTTAATGTTTGAATAGAAAAATAGGTAAATTCTCAAGGACTGCTTAATTATTTCTTTCATGATGTGGCTTGATATGAACTATTTTTATTTCAAGAACTGTCCAGGGTAATGAAGGATTTATTTTTTGGAAATATTCTCCAAGCCAAAGGACTTCTATTTCTCAACGAGAAATCATTTCCCTTGCTCTCAAATTCACTACAGTAAGATTATTTAAATGATACGTCAGATTGCACTGTGACAGAAGATTTCTCTATTTTTTCATCTCACATATATTTCTAAGTTTTTCTCTTCCCTGTTGTACTGCTGATGTCAGTGGGACTGGGGAATACCCAGTACTCAGAGACCAAAAGGAAGTTTCCAGAAGAGGAGGACAAAAGTCTACCAAAACCTCCAAAAAGACAGCAAAAGTCTGGAAAGGCAGTGAGTGAGTCATTTTCTTTTGATCTTTTTCTCTTCCTCAAATAAAATCATTTGAAAGCAATTTCAGAGCCCCAGGAGGCATGTTGGCACTCTGTTTTTCAGAAGTCTTTTTTAAGGCCGACGTTTGTATTCTAGTTCCATCATTTAATTAAACATGAATCCTTGGACAATTCACTGAAGAGTTCTGAGCTTTGACTTTGTGCTATGTAAAACAGAGACTACAATCAGCACCTTGGAGGATGTTGCAAACATCTCGTGAGTTCATACACCTATGTCTGACACATGGAAAGTGCCCAAAGAGGTCATTTCTCTCTTCTTTGTCCAAAAAGAAGCAAGCTGAGAGGCTCTAATAGGAAGTGAGAGCTAAAATGTGAGAATTAACTTGGCATCACAGAGCACTCAGCAAAGCATCTTATATATCTTGGCTTATTAATATTATTCATTAGCATAAGATAAAATAAAAATTGTATCTATCTACTGAGAAATTCTGTCTGCCACAGAAAACCAAAATGACAAGTATTATATAGAATCTGGATTCTCTTGCCTGTTTGACTCATTTTCAAAGACAAGTTAGACAAGTAGCTTTTTTTCTCCTTGAAACTTTCATCCAACTATTAATTATCTATCCCTTTTCAACCTAACCACTTCTAACATTCAAAAACACCACATTCCAAAGTCCTTACTATAAGCTCCACGGAGTTTGTATTTCTAGGATTTAAAGCACAACACTGAACCAAAGTACGAAGAAGCAGACAAGGAGAAAAATACAATAAAGTATTAGCCTACACTAAATTGAAAGGTTGTACAAACACACACACACACACACACACACACACACACACACACACACAAATGCCCCTTGTTCTTTTCCATTGTACTCTGGTATTAACCCAGGTTGCTCATTCTGTGTCCTCCTTTGGAAATAAATTTTTTGCCTGTATATAGTCAGACCCATTCTAGCAATGATCAGAAAACGTCTAAGCTTCAGCTTTAACATAATTATAAATAAACAGTGCTTATATGGGGAAAAAAGGTAGAACTACTTCATGTAATCATTCAATGAATATTCCCTGAGGCCCAGCTACATTCCAGGTTCTGTACTGATGTAAACTGAACAGATCAATCTCTGCCCTCAATGGGCCTCCAGTCCAGTGGGAGAGTGAGAAATTACAAAGTTAACCTCCACACAATAAATACTACTGTGATTAGGGACAGCCAAAAAAGGAAAGACACAAGGTGCTGAGATAGACAAAAACAGTAGAAACCCAAAAAAGTAAGACTACTCAAGCCTAACAAATAGATTTTTTTTGAAAACAACCCCAAAGAAATTTCTGTAGAGAACAGGGATGTGGTATCCAAAACATCATTAAAAGGCAAGTCTAGGCTGGGTGCAGTGATCCACTCCTGTAATCTCAGCACTTTGGGAGGACAAGATGGGTGGATCACCTGAGCTCAGGAGTTTGAGACCAGCCTGGGGAACATGGTGAAACTCCACCTCTACAAAAATTACAAAAATTAGTTGGGCAAAAGAGGTGGTCTGGTGGTAAAAAGAGGCAAGTCTAAAAGAGATAATTTAAAGTGGATAATATCTAAAGGAAAGAAAATCAATGTTGTGTGTCATTCAGTCTTTCCATTTCATCTTCATCAAGAAAAGCTGTGTCTAACCTTGAGGTGATAATCAATATATGTGACACAGTTTCAACGTATTAAGCCTAAATTAATAAATATACATACTAACTTACAGTATAATTTTCAAGCTATCCCACAGCTATATTCTTTCGAGAGCACAGTATGTCAACCCAACTTTGGGCTTTAGCTGCAAGCATCCATTGCTACTCGATTCAACTATGAGACAGGAGGTGAGGGAGCAGCAAAAGAACTAAAGCCTCTATGAGTAACACACTTGAGGAGGCCCTGGTGTCAGGGCATGGGAGGAGAATGAGTGCTGGACATCTGGGGGCCAAATCCAAGGGTGGGAAAGGTAGTCAGTCCTTTCTAAAAGCAGGAATCATCTAGTAAGGCCACCAGAAAATGATGTGTTATCTCCTGACATCTCTAACTGGCAAGAGGCACACACAAAAATTAAGAAAAACACCCAGCCATCCCATTACTGGGTATATACCCAAATGACTATAAATCATGCTGCTATAAAGACACATGCACACGTATGTTTATTGCGGCATTATTCACAATAGCAAAGACTTGGAACCAACCCAAATGTCCAACAATGATAGACTGGATTAAGAAAACGTGGCACATATACACCATGGAATACTATGCAGCCATAAAAAATGATGAGTTCATGTCCTTTGTAGGGACATGGATGAAATTGGAAATCATCATTCTCAGTAAACTATCGCAAGAACAAAAAACCAAACACCGCATATTCTCACTCATAGGTGGGACTTGAACAATGAGATCACATGGACACATGAAGGGGAATATCACACTCTGGGGACTGTGGTGGGGTGGGGGGGAGCGGGGAGGGATAGCATTGGGAGATATACCTAAGGCTAGATGACGAGTTAGTGGGTGCAGCGCACCAGCATGGCACATGTATACATATGTAACTAACCTGCACAATGTGCACATGTACCCTAAAACTTAAAGTATAATAAAAAAAAAAAAAGGAAAAAAAAAAAAAAAAAGAAAAACACAAGTTTACGATGACAACTTCGTCTCCACCAGCCAGCATATTTTTGGAAGTGACAGATCCTTAAATCAATTCTGTCTCTCCCTGCTTATTAGCAGGAACTCCTCACCGCATTAGCATAAGCCTATCAAAAGCTAGGAAAGAACATCTCATTACTTGTGAAGCCTTAACGAGTCTTAATGTGTTACTAGGAATCGGAAGAGTTTCATAAGCTGGCTTTGGGGTCAAGTTTTGAGATGTGGATGTTAGCTCAAGGTCTGTCATTAACTACCTGATCTGGATTAAGTCTACC
Organism: Homo sapiens; assembly: GCF_000001405.40. NCBI lineage: Eukaryota > Metazoa > Chordata > Mammalia > Primates > Hominidae > Homo > Homo sapiens. The sequence continues at coordinate 28,072,063 of NC_000022.11, forward strand.
TCTTTGATCGTCCCAGATGATACTATATGTTCATGGCACTTCACAGGAGTGGAAGTGGATAGGAAAAGGCTAGAGAAATGTAAGAAATAACTATGAAATGCATGTTATCACTGAGTCATGCTTTGTCATGTAGATGATTACAGGCTAACCACACATTAATGATGCTATGTTGACCGTGTGTGCCAGAGAAGGTGTGGTTTATTCTACCAGCCCCCAGTAGTTTGTTCTCTCACACCCTTGCTCATCCACTCATCCAGTAAACATTCATGGAGGCCTCTTGTGTACTAGGCATGGTCAGGAGCTTGAAATGCAGACATAAGGCATGATCACTGCTAAGTCGTCATCTGGCCTGCAGGGACATTCATCAATGGGACTAAGTTCAATTGTCCATCTGTATTATTGAACTAGTTAACCAACAAGTATCCATTAGGGTGCTATGTATTGTGTACCCAGACTCTTCTAAATCCTGGTCAGGAGGCAGAGAAAGTGGGCAAACATGGGTGGGTCAGCTCCACAGCAGGTATCCTCCACTTCAACCAGTTTGGCCCCCATTTTTGGCTCTTACCCCCCTGTGTAAGCAATTCCTGCCTTCAATGCATACTGAAGACATCTAGGAAAAAATGATGCCCCAGCGAATATAACTCCAGGGGATCCCATGCTATCAGAAGAAGAAAGTAATTGCAAGCTTACTAGAATGTGCATGGTGCAGAGGTAGCAGGGGGAAGCCGGCTCCTGTTGGAACAGAGGGTTTACACCAGGAGATAGAGTGGGACACACAATGGGGCCTCATAGCCAACTTCATCTCCAGGCACTCCTCCATCACTGTCCTTCTCTGGGGCTGATGTGTGCAGGAGTGCTTGGATGACAGTGACCTCTTAGAAAATGCCTTAAGTAGCAGAAAGCCAGAAGCACTGATGGAGGAGAAGATAGAAGGCAGGTGGCCAGGCTAGTTCTGTGGGCATGTTATCATAAGAGCCCAGCCTGGCATGGGAGAAAAGAAGGGGTGATTCTAGAAGCAAATGGGTAATATCAAACAGAGGTTAGTGACTGATTAAATCAACAGCAACAAATGAAAGGGAGATTTAAGGACAAATGATTCAAAAGCCTCAAAACTAAGGAAGTTGAGAGAGAAAGATGGAGGCTTTCAAATAAATGGGAATAAATACACACCTGATTGAGGAACTGCATGAGAAAAGGTCTGATTTTGGATAGGCTGAGTTTGAGGTGAATTCCAAGGGAAAGTCAAGCTTAGAAATCAAGGGAGACACTGAGCCAGGGACATATATCTGTGTCCTTGGGATAGATCAAATTTCTAAAGGAATGTCCATTAACCAAGAGTGCCCATAGTTTTGGAGCAAAAGGAAGATGAGAAGCCACAGAAGAAGATGGAGGAGTGCTTGCAGATGCTCACCCACACAGAGGTGTGTGCTATGTTAAGGGAAGAAAGATATAAGCAAAAAAATGGTCAGCCATCAGATGCTGAAGGAAACAAGGAGCGTAAAGCCTGAGAGAAGATGATGCTTCTTTCTCCAGGTCTCCGCAGACAGTGGGTATGAGTGGGAAACTGGATCATTGTTCAACACACATCCACTCCTGTGGGAGGAATATATTCTTTGCCCTACTGATGTTGGGCTTGATACGAGATTTGCTTTAGCCAATGAAATGTGAATGGTCAAGAGGTAAGCAGAGGCTTGAAATGTGTCTCTTTATTTTGCTTTGTCTCTTGCAATCTTAACTTTTACCATCTCGACTTGTGGACACAGAAGGAGCTGACTTAAGCTTAACGGGCAGTATAAAAAACAGAACCACCCCAGTTTACCCACAGACCCAGAACAAGAAATAAATGCTTGTGGTTAAATGTCTCTGAAACTCTGGGATGCTACATGGCATTATTGGAGGAAAACCTGGACAGTACTGTGTGAGTTGTGGGTCTGACACAGTTAAATGTGCTCCTTCAGGGATGGCACCCTCTGAGCCTCCTTATCACTGTGCTTAAATCACAAAAGTACAAGCAAGATGAAAAACAAAGCCTATTTCAACCAGTTCAAAGAGAAACTTGGTGACTATATACTAGGGTTATTTTCCTCAAGCCAGAGAAGTCAAGAGTTACACATTAAATATCTTAAATATTGATTGTTACATAAAGTTTTATAAAATCAACCAGAAAAAAAAGACTGGGGAATTTTTTTATCTTGCCCTGGGGTAAAGTGCAAGATATACAAAGTCAGGGATATTGAGATTTGATAAGTTCAAATAATTTTTACAGAATTGGTTGTGGCAACATCCAGCTAGCAGCTGACATGGAACCATGAGGGGAAGGACTGAATGTCTGAATTAATCAACAGATTCAGAATCCCACCCTGTCCCTTCTCCCTCCAGCTCCTGTTCTAATAGGAATGCCATCCCAAGCTTTGGGACCATGAATAAAGCATTTGGGACAAGAGATAAAAGTCTGTTTCGTCTGGTGTTCAACAGTGCCTCTGCCAGGTGTTCAGGGCATCTAACAGATTGGCCCCTGCCCTATGACACAGGTGCAGAAGTGTCAGGCCCTGGTACAAGACAGCCTAGATCAGTCTGAATTCCAAGCCCTCACGCTTGCCCAGTGACAGGCTCATGACATTTTTCCCCACATCAATGTGGTCTGTTTTTTGTCTTTGGGCTGACACTACCATTCACCAGATTATCCCCCCCCATGTACAATGGGATAACTCACACCTAGCAATTTCAAGAGCTCTGCTTTTAAAAAAGGTCATGAGGCCAGGCGCAGTGGCTCACGCCTATAATCCCAGCACTTTGGGAGGCCAAGGCAGGCGGATCACCTGAGGTCAGGAGTTTGAGACCAGCCTGGCCAACATGGTGAAACCCTGTCTCTACTAAAAATACAAAAATTAGCCGAGTGTGGTGGTGCACGTCTGTAATCCCAGCTGAGACACGAGAATCGCTTGAACTCAGGAGGCAGAGGTTTCAGTGAGCCAAGATTGCACCAACGCACTACAGCCTGGATAACAGAGAGAGATTCTGTCTCAATAAATAAATAAATAAATAATAAAATAAAAATTTAAAAGGTCATGAGAAACATAAAAGGAGATTCCATTTAGACTATTTCAGAGGTCATTCAAGAAGACCAATTATAGTTATCCTCTTGCTAAGCTGCTGACTTACACTAAGAAGCTTATAAAAGCCTTCTGAACTCATTTTGTTCTCAGCCTTTCAGAAGGAGTAGAAATTCAAGAATCAGGGGCACAAGACGAGTCTACAGTGTGTCCACTCATTCCTGCAACTGCGTCTCTTTAGTGCTCTAGTCCCTAATGTGGCATCAACTTTTTTTTTCCTCAAGCAGATACAGCTGAGCCTGAGTGAGTCACTTCACAGATTAGGCTATGTCTGCCTTTTGGAAGCCAGCCATGGTAGGAGAGGAGGCCACAACAAGACAGGACACAAGAGACTCAGCCAGGAAATCCCATCCTACTTGAGAAGGAGCCCAACTTTGGATCTTACAAGAAAGGGGTGAGCATCAGGAAGCAGAAGCTGGGGAAATGTGATGTAGCAAGCTACAATCCCTGCAGCAAAGGACAGACTATCTTCCTCCTGCAAACACCATTCAACATCTGGAATGTCTGGGCCCTTTCTTTCCTCCATGCCCTTGCCTGGTGAGAAACTCCTCCGCCTGGAATGGCTTTTCTCCCCTCACCCTTTAGGGCCCAGCTAAAATGTCACCTCTTTGGAAGCCTCTTGAATCATTGCCTCACCCCTCAAGTAGGCAGAGCGAGGCACAGGCCTCTTTGTTCCGACCTTTATCAGAGCACTTCTCACGTGGTAGATTAATAATTTACACGTTTGTTGCATGCTCCACACCGTGAGCTACTGTAAGGCCAAGAATTCCAGCTATTATTCATGCATATATCTCCAGGCCCAGCATCAGCCCTGGCACAGACTGCATGCTCATAAAATATTTTCAAAATGGCAGTACCCTATTTTAGAATGAAATTGGAAACTCTTTGTTTTAAGGAATAAAATAAGTGCCAAAATATATTCTATCTACTTTTTCTCCACAGAGTTCTGGAAAGGATTGGGGGTAAGAAAAAACACTTGTCTTGCAAAGTAAAACCTTATCAATTTGGATTAAGTGGTAGGTCAGTCTCAATTAGCAAACAACCTTAATTAGAAATACCTATAATGATAATTTTAAATGTTCAAAGACCCACTGTACATTGAATGAGGCTAATGATGCAGCAATGGCATAGTCACCAGTGCATGGGGACTGCTTTAAAGAACAGATAGAAATAATTTGAATCAGTCTATCAACTGTCCATTTACATCAATATGTTAAAGATATCCTAGTTGCAATCCTGGTTTTGTAATTCATTTGCTTAAAAACCCCTGCTTTTTTCCCTCTTTTTGGGAAGCTGAGGTAGGGGGGTAAAAGGGAATCTCTCTGGAATTGTATTAATCATACATAATCTTTGGATTGTGACACTCTTCCATCATGCACAAGCTGTATTCATTCATGCTTTCCTTCTTTCATTCACCCAGAGATGGGGTCTCATTCTGTTGCCCAGGCTGGAGTGCAGTGGCGCAACCATAGCTCACTGCAGGCTCAAACTCCTGGGATCAAGTGACCCTCCCACCTTAGCCCTGCAAGTAGCTGGGACTTCAGGTGTGTGCCACCATGTCACTGCTTTCATGTATTTATTTTGTAATTTTAAATAATGTAATAAACATGCACTAAACCACTACCCAAAACAAAAGCCAGGATCTTGAGAATAACATACCTCTAATCATTTGCTACTTCCCAGTGAGTCCATCCCCAGCCTGAGGTAGGTCCCATCCCTAATCCCATAGCAATCACTCCCTGGTTGTCCTTTCTATACAGGTTTTATTGCATCTATCTGTATTCTGAAAAGTGTATTTTTATTTTTGTCTTTAACTATTAAAAAGATGTCATCCTGCAGGTAATGTTTTAGAATTTACTTTTTCACTTATTAATTATTATAGTTCTATTATGTAGCCACTATCTTAGGCTTCACTGTGGCTCATTTGTTGTTGAAACCTAATAGTCCATTTTAGGATTGCACCTCTATTTATTCATCTACTCTCTCACTAATGCCATCTGGGTTGTTTCCAGAATTTTGCTATTGTTTACAGTGCAGCTTTGAAGATTCCTGTTCATGCACAAGACTCTCTCTTGGATATTACACCTCAAGTGTAAAGGGTATGTACATATGCGATCTACTTATTTATTTACTGAAACAGGGTCTCATTCTGTCACTCAGGTTGGAATGCAGTGGTGTGATCATAGTTCACTGCAGCCTCAAACTCCTGGGCTCAAGTGATCCTCCCACTTCAACCTCCTAAAGTGCTAGGATTACAGGTATGAGCCACCTCACCCAGCTAATATTCAACTTCCGATGGTCATGACAAGCTTCTTCTGATGTGGTTATGCCAATTTACTCTTCGACCAGTCATTTAAAAGATAGCTTATGGACTGACATCTCCTCCAATACTCAATATTGTCAGACTTGTTAATATTTGCCGCTTGTTATCAGTGTAGAATCAATGGAGTTGTCAGCATTATAAACAAGTGTAATCTAAATTAACCAGTATTTTGAAATAAGAAAATGTATTTGATTACAAAAATAACTTTCACGGTAGAAAATTTGTAAATATAGAAAAACACCAAAAGGGAAAAAAATAACAGCTATAGTTTATCAAGGTTTAATATTGCTTTACAATAAAGGAACATTTACCCCATTAAAAGGGCAATGTACAATTGCAATTTATTTAAAACCCCTTGTGAGTGCTCCTTCCAGACCTGACCTACTACTGAACAAAGCCCTACCCAGTCTTAGATTCCCTAAAGTGCCACAGCACCGTTCTAGGAGCCCAGGGAACAATTTACATACTGCAAGATGCTGGCTAAATATCAGAGTTAAAAACTGAAGATGTGTTTTGAAATTCATAACATCTCCCTTATGGGAGGCTCATGTTCTATACAGTGGTTTCAATCTACGCCTCTTTTGATCTGGGAGGAAGGGACTGGAAGTTCTTATTAAACACTTAATAAAAGCACTTCTTTTATTTTTAAATCCATTTTCAGAAACTCCTTTGTAGCATTTTACTTCCTTTCGGCAGCAAGATGCCATTAAGGAGAGCAAAAACAGTCTGCAGAATAACAAGGACACCATGGCTAGGCTGCGGGTAATTGAATAAAGGTGTCTCCCAAGGCATAGAGACTCAGTTTCTAGGGGCACAGTGCATTTTACAAACACTAGCCCAGCATGAACGGAGTCTGCTTACGGCACAACTTCTGGTGACTAAATTTCAAACTTACTGATGTCTAACCATGTGTCAGGCACTGTGTTAGTGAGAATTCAGAAAGAAGGACACAGCATCTACCCTCTAGGGCATCACCATCTGCTTGGAAAGACATACAAACTACATAAATATAAAACTGGAAAGAACAAAATAAGTGCTATTATTAGGTACACAGAGGGGAGCAAAGACCTGATTTGGACCAACAAGGATGGGAATAATTCTGATGAAAGCAGTGTGAAATATAAACAGAGCTCCAAAAGGTGATTAGACTATCTATAGGAAAATATAGTCTATAAAACAAATTCAGGCAGAAGGGAGAAGCGCTTCATTTGCAGAACTAGTCAGTTGTTCATGCAAACATTTCTTAAGCATCTACTATGTTCCTGAGCTGCCCTAGAGACTGGGAACACAAAGAGGTGAATGAAACTAACAACGGAGCTTCTGAAAGGCTTTTCAGAGAAGATAGGAATTTGAAGGATGAAAGGAACCAGTCACAACAAGAGCAGGGGGCAGAACTTTACTTAGAGAAGGAAGAGCATGTGGATAACTCTAAGGTGGGAAAGCCCTTGGTGTAAACTAGGAGGTGAAAGGAGGCCAGGGGGCCACATGGAAATGCTAAGCTGAAGAAGGGTTATAGGTGCTGTTGAAGGGTGGGCAGAGGCTAGATCACACAGGCATACAGGTCAGCATAAGGAAAGTGAGCTGGAGTCTAAAGACCATCAGAAACTCTGAAGACACTTAAGTGTGTTTGGGGAGCTTTGTGGTGGGTAGGAGGGCAAGGAAACAGAATCCCAAATACATCTTTGAAAGACCACTCTGGCTAATGGGTTTGGAAAGCCATGAGAGGGAGAAGGAGAAGACAGATAAGATAGGAAGTGGTAGCAGTGGTTTAGGATAGAGATGATGGTGACCTGCACTGTGCATGTAGCAGTGGTGACAGAAGTGGATTGATTAAATATGTATTTTTAAAATACTTTAAAAATTTGTGATAAAAACATATCATAAAATTTATTCTCGTAACCATTTTAAGTATATGGTAGTGTTAACTATATGTATCTTGTGTGCAACAAATCTCAAGAAATTTTTCATCTTATAAAACTGAAGCCCTATATCCATTAAACAACTCCCTTTTACCCCTCCTACCCATCCCTGAGGACCACCATTCTAGTTCCTGTTTCTAAGAGCTTGGCTACTTCAGATACCTTAATGTGAAATAAGCCAATCACACACAAAAAGACAAATATTGCCAAATGAAATCATGTAGTATTTGTCTTTCTTTGTGATTGGCTCATTTCACTTAGCATAATGACCTCAAAATTCATCCATGGTGTAGCATGTGACAGGATTTTCTTCTTCCTTTTCTTCCCCCAGTACAGAGTCTCGCTCTGTCACCTAGGCTGGTGTACAGTGGCACGATCACAGCTCACTACAGCCTCGACCTCCCAGGCTCGTGTGATTCCCCTACCTCAGCCTCCTGAGTAGCTGGTACTATAGGCATACGACCACATCTGGCTAGTTTTAAAAATTTTTTTGTAGAGACAGGGTCTCACTGTGTTGCCCAGGAAAGTCAGGAACTCATGGGCTCAAGCGATCCTCCTGCCTCAGCCTCTCGAAGTGCTGAGATTATAGGCATGAGCCACCATGCCCAGCTGATTTTCTTCTTTTTTAAGGCTGAGTAATATTCCATTGTATACACCACATTTTTAAAATCTGTTTATCCATAGATGGACTTTTCGGTTGCTCCTACCCCCTGGCTATTATGAGTAGTACTGCAATGAATATGTGTGCCAATATCTCTGAGATCATGTTTTCAATTCTTTTGTGTATACCCAGAAATGGGATTGTTGCATTGTACACTAATTCTATTTTTTAGAGGAATGTCCATACTGTTTTCTATAGCAGCTCCACTATTTTACATTCCCACCAACAATGCACAAAGGTTCCAATTTTTCCACATCCTGGCCAACACTGGTTATTTTCCATTTTTTTTAAAGTGACCATCCTAATGAGGAAAAAGGTTTCTCATTATGCTGTTGATTTGCATTTCGCTGATGATTAGTAATGCTGAACATCTTTACATATGCTTGTTGCTCATTTGTTTACCTCTTTGAAGAAATGTCTACTTAGGTCCTTTGCCCATTTTTAAATTGGATTTTGTTGTTGTTGTTGTTGTTGTTGTTAAGTTGTAGGAGTTTTTATATATTCTGGATATTATCAGATACATGGTTTGCAAATAATTTCTCCCATTCATAGGCTGCCTTTTCAAAATGTTAATTATTTCCTTTGCTGCATAGAAGTTTTCAAGAAGTTTGAAGTAGTCCCTTTTCTCTCCTTTTCTTTTGTTGCCTGTGCTTTCTGTATCATAACCAATAAATTATTGCCAAATCCAATGTCAAGTAGCTTTTCCTCTATGTTTTCCTTTAGGAGTTTTAGACTTTCAAGTTTTACGTTTAGGTCTCTAATCCATTTTGAGTCAATTTTTGCATGTCGTATAAATAAGGGTCCAACGTTTTTCCTTTTGCATGTGGATATCCAGTTTTCCTAACACCATTTATTGAAGAAATTGTTCTCTCCCCATTGTGTTGCCTTTGTACCCTTGTCGAAGATCATTTGACATACACATAAGGGTTTATTTCTGGGCTATTTATTCTATTTCATTGGTTTATATGTCTGTTTATGTCAGTATCATATTGTTTTGATAACCGTAACATAGAAATACACATATGTACATATATATTTATATATTATAATTATATACATAATATGGACATACATACACACACACACACACACACACACATATTTATGTACATATATATTTTTTGGAGACAAAGTCTCTGTTGCCCAGGCTGGAGTGCAGTGGCACCATCTTGGCTCACTGCAACCTCTGCCTTCCAGGTTCAAGCGATTCTCATGCCTCATCCACCCAAGTAGCTGGGATTACAAGTGCATGCCACCACACTCAGCTAATTGTAATAATATTTTGAAATTAGGAAGTATGATACCTCCAGCTTTTTTTGTTTTTCCTTAAGATTGCCTTAGCTATGTGGGGTCCTCTGAGATTTCAAATGAATTTTAGAATTTTTTTCTATTTCTGTAAAAGTATGCCACCAGGATTTTTTTTTTTTTTTTTTAGGTGGAGTCTCACTGCATTGCCTAGGCTGGAGTGCAGTGACGCGATCTTGGCTCACTGCAACCTCTGCCTCCTGGGTTCAAGTGATTCTCCCCCTTCAGCCTCCTGAGTAGCTGGGATTACAGGCGTGCGCCACCTTGCCCAGCTAATTTTGTACATTTAGTAGAGACGAGATTTCACCATGTTGGCCAGGCTGGTCTCAAACTGCTGACCTCAGATGATTCACCCGCCTCAGCCTCCCAAAGTGCTGGGATTACAGGCATAAGCCACTGAGCCCGGCTGCCACTAGGATTTTGCTAGGGATTACACTGAATCTGTAGATCACTTTGGATAGTATGGATGCTTTTTAACAATATTAACTCTTGTAGTCCATGATCATAGGATATCTTCCCATTTATTTGTGTCTTCTTTAATTTCCTTCAGAATTTTTTGTAGTTTTCAGTATATGGGTCTTTCCCTTCCTTGGTTAAGTTTATTCCTGAGTATTTTGTAATTTTTGATGCTTTGGTAAGTGGGATTGTTTTCTGAATTTCCTCTTTAGATTGTTCATTGCTAGTGTATAGAAACACACTTGATTTTTGTTCATTGATTTCATATCCTGCAGATTTACTAAATCTGTTTATTAGCTCTAATAGTTTTTTGGTAGAATCTTTCAAGTTTTCTACATATAAGATCATGTCATCTGTGAATAGAGATAATTTCACTCTTCCCTTTTCAATTTGGATATTTATTTCCCTTCCTTATTTAATTGCTCTGGCTAGCACTTCCAGTACTATATATTGAAGATATGACAAAAGAAGGCATCCTTGCCTTGTTCCTGGTCTTACATGAAATATTTTCAAATTATTGCTCATTAGTATGATGTTAGCTGTGGATTTTTCATATATGGCCTTCACTATGTTGAGGTAATTTCCTTTTACTAGCTTGCAGTGTGGTTTTTATCATGAAAGGGTGTTAAATTTTGTCAAATGCTTTTCTGCATCAACTCAAATGATCATGTGTTTTTTGTCCTTCATTCTGTTAATGTGGTGTATTACGCTGATTGATATTCACAGGTGAACCATCCTTATATTCCAAGAGTAAATCCCACATAGTCATGGTGCAGAATCCTTTTAATGTATTATTGAATTCAGTTTGCTGGTATTTTTTGAGGATTTTTGCATCAATTTTCATGATAAATATTGGTCTACAGTTGTTTTACTTGTGGTATCTTTGTCTGATTTCGGCATCATGGTAACTCTGGCCTCATAAAATGAATTTGTAATGTTCTTTACTCTTTAATTTTTAAAAAGAATTTGAAAAGGATTGGTATTAATTCTTCCTTAAATATTTGGTAGAATTCCCCAGTGAATACATCTGGTCCCAAACTTTTCTTTATTGGGAGGTTTTTGGTTACTGATTTAATTTCCTCACTAGTTATAGATCTGTTCAGATATTTTATTTCTTCATGATTCAGTCTTGGTAGGTCATTCAAAATGTATTTTACGGAAATATATTTCTATAAATCTGCAAGATTAATTGATTAGAATGAGGGAAAGAAAAAATAATGGATGATGATTCATTTTTTTTTTTTTTTGTCTTAAGCAACTAGTTATATGATGGCGCAGGAACCTGGATAAAGATTAAAGTAGAAATGGGGACATTAAAGAGTTAGGCTTTAGGTGTTTTAGACCAGAGGTGCCTGGAAGATATCCAGATATAGATGTTCATTGACAGATACACATACAGATCCAGAGCTCAGAGACCCCTGAGCTAGAGTAGAGAGACAGAAATTACAGGGTACATTTAGAGAGCAAAGAAGGCATAGTGGTTGAAATACAGTATTCACCAAGAGACAAGAATGGAAAATAAACCCAGAATACCTTCCTAGAACTAGATCACAGTGACAGGCTCTGACACTGGGGTTTTATTTTCTGCAAAGTCAAATTACAAAAAAGTTTCTTCCCCCTTTTGTATGACAGAATTGTTTATTCATGGCTATTTATTTCTCATTTAAAAGTACTATATGCGAATTCAGCAGTGGAGCCAAGATGGCCGAATAGGAACAGCTCCAGTCTACAGCTCCCAGCGTGAGCGATGCAGAAGACGGGTGATTTTTGCATTTCCAACTGAGGTACTGGGTTCATCTCACTGGGGAGTGCCAGACAGCAGGTGCAGGACAGCGGGTGCAGCGCACCGTGCATGAGATGAAGCAGGGCGAGGCATCGCTTCACCAGGGAAGCACAAGGGGTCAGGGAATTCCCTTTCCTAGTCAAAGAAAGGGGTGACAGACGGCACCTGGAAAATCGGGTCACTCCCACCCTCATACTGCGCTCTTCCAATAGGCTTAACAAATGGCACACTAGGAGATTATATCCCGCACCTGGCTCAGAGGGTCCTACGCCCACGGAGCCTCGCTCATTGCTAGCACAGCAGTCTGAGATCAAACTGCAAGGCGGAAGCGAGGCTGTGGGAGGGGCGCCTGCCATTGCTCAGGCTTGAGTAGGTAAACAAAGTGGCCAGGAAGCTCAAACTGGGTGGAGCCCACCACAGCTCAAGGAGGCCTGCTTGCCTCTGTAGGCTCCACCTCTGGGGGCAGGGCACAGACAAACAAAAGACAGCAACAACCTCTGCAGTCTTAAATGTCCCGGTCTGACAGCTCTGAAGAGAGTAGTAGTTCTCCCAGCACACAGCCTGAGATCTGAGAAAGGGCAGACTGCCTCCTCAAGTGGGTCCCTGATCCCCAAGTAACCTAACTGGGAAGCACACCCCAGTAGCGGCGGACTGATACCTCACATGGCTGGGTACTCCTCTGAGACAAAACTTCCAGAGGAATGAACAGGCAGCAGCATTTGCGGTTCACCAATATCCGCTGTTCTGCAGCCACCGCTGCTGATACCCAGGAAAACAGGGTCTGGAGTGGACCTCCAGTAAACTCCAACAGACCTGCAGCTGAGGGTCCTGTCTGTTAGAAGGAAAACTAACAAACAGAAAGGACATCCACACCAAAAACCCATCTGTATGTCACCATCATCAAAGACCAAAGGTAGATGAAACCACAAAGATGGGGAAAAAACAGAGCAGAAAAACTGGAAACTCTAAAAATCAGAGTGCCTCTCCTCCTCCAAAGAAACGCAGCTCCTCACCAGCAACGGAACAAAGCTGGACGGAGAATGACTTTGACGAGTTGAGAGAGGAAGGCTTCAGAAGATCAAACTGCTCTGAGCTAAAGAAGGAAGTTCGAACCAATGGCAAAGAAGTTAAAAACTTTGAAAAAAAATTAGACGAATGGATAACTAGAATAATCAATGCAGAGAAGTCCTCAAAGGACCTGATGGAGCTGAAAACCATGGCATGAGAACTACGTGATGAATGCACAAGCCTCAGTAGTCGATGCGATCAACTGGAAGAAAGGGTATCAGTGATGGAAGACGAAATGAATCAAATGAAACGTGAAGAGAAGTTTAGAGAAAAAAGAATAAAAAGAAATGAACAAACCCTCCAAGAAATATGGGACTATGTGAAAACACCAAATCTACGTCTGATTGGTGTACCTGAAAGTCATGGGGAGAATGGAACCAAGGTGGAAAACACTCTGCAGGATATTATCCAGGAGAACTTCCCCAATCTAGCAAGGCAGGCCAACATTCAAATTCAGGAAATACAGAGAATGCCAGAAAGATACTCCCCGAGAAGAGCAACTCCAAGACACATCATTGTCAGATTCACCAAAGTTGAAATGAAGGAAAAAATGTTAAGGGCAGCCAGAGAGCAAGATCAGGTTACCCACAAAGGGAAGCCCATCAGACTAACAGCTGATCTCTCAGCAGAAACTCTACAAGTCAGAAGAGAGTGGGGGCCAATATTCAACATTCTTAAAGAAAAGAATTTTCAACCCAGAATTTCATATCCAGCCAAACTAAGCTTCATAAGTGAAGGAGAAATAAAATCCTTTACAGACAAGCAAATGCTGACAGATTTTGTCACCACCAGGCCTGCCCTAAAAGAGCTCCTGAAGGAAGCACTAAACATGGAAAGGAACAACCGGTAGCAGCCACTGCAAAATCATGCCAAACTGTAAAGACCATCGAGGCTAGGAAGAAACTGCATCAACTAACCAGCAAAATAACCAGCTAACATCATAATGACAGGATCAAATTCACACATAACAATATTAACTTTAAATGTAAATGGACTAAATGCTCCAATTAAAAGACACAGACTGGCAAATTGGATAAAGAGTCAAGACCCATCAGTGTGCTGTATTCAGGAAACCCACCTCACGTGCAGAGACACACATAGGCTCAAAATAAAAGGATGGAGGAACATCTACCAAGCAAATGGAAAACAAAAAAAGGCAGGGGTTGCAATCCTGGTCTCTGATAAAACAGACTTTAAACCAACAAAGATCAAAAGAGACAAAGAAGGCCATTACGTAATGGTAAAGGGATCAATTCAACAAGAAGAGCTAACTATCCTAAAATATATATGCACCCAATACAGGAGCACCCAGATTCATAAAGCAAGTCCTCAGTGACCTACAAAGAGACTTAGACTCCCACACAATAATATTGGGAGACTTTAACACCCCACTGTCAACATTAGACAGATCAACGAGACAGAAAGTTAACAAGGATACCCAGGAATTGAACTCAGCTCTGCACTAAGCGGACCTAATAGACATCTACAGAACTCTCCACCCCAAATCAACAGAATATACATTTTTTTCAGCACCACACCACACCTATTCCAAAATTGACCACATACTTGGAAGTAAAGCTCTCCTCAGCAAATGTAAAAGATGAGACATTATAACAAACTGTCTCTCAGACCACAGTGCAATCAAACTAGAACTCAGGATTAAGAAACTCACTCAAAACTGGACAACTACATGGAAACTGAACAACCTGCTCCTGAATGACTACTGGGTACATAACAAAATGAAGGCAGAAATAAAGATGTTCTTTGAAACCAATGAGAACAAAGACACAACATACCATAATCTCTGGGACACGTTCAAAGCAGTGTGTAGAGGGACATTTATAGCACTAAATGCCCACAAGAGAAAGCAGGAAAGATCCAAAATTGACACCCTAACATCACAATTAAAAGAACTAGAAAAGCAAGAGCAAACATATTCAAAAGCTAGCAGAAGGCAAGAAATAACTAAAATCAGAGCAGAACTGAAGGTAATAGAGACACAAAAAACCCTTCAAAAAATTAATGAATCCAGGAGCTGGTTTTTTGAAAGGATCAACAAAATTGATAGACCACTAGCAAGACTAATAAAGAAAAGAGAGAAGAATCAAATAGATGCAATAAAAAATGATAAAGGGGATATCACCACCGATCCCACAGAAATACAAACTACCATCAGAGAATACTACAAACACCTCTACGCAAATAAACTAGAAAATCTAGAAGAAATGGATAAATTCCTCGACACATACACCCTCCCAAGACTAAACCAGGAAGAAGTTGAATATCTAAATAGACCAATAACAGGCTCCGAAATTGTAGCAATAATCAATAGCTTACCAACCAAAAAGAGTCCAGGACCAGACGGATTCACAGCGGAATTCTACCAGAGATACAAGGAGGAACTGGTACCATTCCTTCTGAAACTATTCCAATCAATAGAAAAAGAGGGAATCCTCCCTAACTCATTTTATGAGGCCAGCATCATCCTGATACCAAAGCCGGGCAGAGACAAAACAAAAAAAGAGAATTTTAGACCAATATCCTTGATGAACATTGATGCAAAAATCCTCAATAAAATAATGGCAAACCAAAACCAGCAGCACATCAAAACGCTTATCCACCATGATCAAGTGGGCTTCATCCCTGGGATGCAAGGCTGGTTCAATATATGCAAATCAATAAATGTAATCCAGTATATAAACAGAACCAAAGACAAAAACCACATGATTATCTCAATAGATGCAGAAAAGGCCTTTGACAAAATTCAACAACCCTTCATGCTAAAAAGTCTCAATAAATTAGGTATTGATGGGACGTATCTCAAAATAATAAGAGCTATTTATGACAAACCCACAGCCAATATCATACTGAATGGCCAAAAACTGGAAGCATTCCCTTTGAAAACTGGCACAAGACAGGGATGCCCTCTCTCACCACTCCTATTCAACACAGTGCTGGAAGTTCTGGCCAGGGCAATCAGGCAGGAGAAGGAAATAAATGGTATTCAATTAGGAAAAGAGGAAGTCAAATCGTCCCTGTTTGCAGATGACATGATTGTATATCTAGAAAACCCCACTGTCTCAGCCCAAAATCTCCTTAAGCTGATAAGCAACTTCAGCAAAGTCTCAGGATACAAAATCAAGGTACAAAAATCACAAGCATTCTTATACACCAATAACAGACAAACAGAGAGCCAAATCATGAGTGAACTCTCATTCACAATTGCATCAAAGAGAATAAAATACCTAGGAATCCAACTTACAAGGGATGTGAAGGACCTCTTCAAGGAGAACTAGAAACCACTGCTCAATGAAATAAAAGAGGATACAAACAAATGGAAGAACATTCCATGCTCATGGATAGGAAGAATCATTATTGTGAAAATGGCCATACTGCCCAAGGTAATTTATAGATTCAATGCCATCCCCATCAAGCTACCAATGACTTTCTTCACAGAATTGGAGAAAACTACTTTAAAGTTCATATGGCACCAAAAAAGAGCCCGCATTGCCAAGTCAATCTTAAGCCAAAAGAGCAAAGCTGGAGGCATCACGCTACCTGACTTCCAACTATACTACAAGGCTACAGTAACCAAAACAGCATGGTACTGGTACCAAAACAGAGATATAGATCAATGGAACAGAACAGAGCCCTCAGAAATAACGCCGCATATCTACAACTATCTGATCTTTGACAAACTTGACAAAAACAAGCAATGGGGAAAGGATTCCCTATTTAATAAATGGTGCTGAGAAAACTGGCTAGCCATATGTAGAAAGCTGAAACTGGATCCCTTCCTTACACCTTATACAAAAATTAATTCAAGATGGATTAAAGACTTAAACGTTAGACCTAAAACCATAAAAACCCTAGAAAAAAACCTAGGCAATACCATTCAGGACATAGGCATGGGCAAGGACTTCGTGTATAAAACATCAAAAGCAATGGCAACAAACGCCAAAATTGACAAATGGGATCTAATTAAACTAAAGAGCTTCTGCACAGCAAAGGAAACTACCATCAGAGTGAACAGCCAACCTACAAAATGGGAAAACATCTTCGCAACCTACTCATCTGACAAAGGGCTAATATCCAGAATCTACAAGGAACTCAAACAAATTTACAAGAAAAAAACAAACAACCTCATCAAAAAGTGGGCGAAGGACATGAACAGACACTTCTCAGAAGAAGACATTTATGCAGCCAAAACACACGTGAAAAAATGCTCACCATCACTGGCCATCAGAGAAATGCAAATCAAAACCACAATGAGGTACCATCTCACACCAGTTAGAATGGCAATCATTAAAAAGTCAGGAAACAACAGGTGCTGGAGAGGATGTGGAGAAATAGGAACACTTTTACACTGTTGTTGGGACTGTAAACTAGTTCAACCATTGTGGAAGTCAGTGAGGCGATTCCTCAGGGATCTAGAACTAGAAATACCATTTGACCCAGCCATCCCATTACTGAGTATATACCCAAAGGACTATAAATCATGCTGCTATAAAGACACATGCACACGTATGTTTACTGCAGCACTATTCACAATAGCAAAGACTTGGAACCAACCCAAATGTCCAACAATGATAGACTGGATTAAGAAAATGTGGCATATATACACCATGGAATACTATGCAGCCATAAAAAATGATGAGTTCATGTCCTTTGTAGGGACATGGATGAAATTGGAAATCATCATTCTCAGTAAACTATCGCAAGAACAAGAAAGCAAACACCGCATATTCTCACTCATAGGTGGGAATTGAACAATGAGAACACATGGACACAGGAAGGGGAACATCACACTCTGGGGACTGTTGTGGGGTGGGGGGATGGGGGAGGGATAGCATTAGGAGATATACCTAATGCTTAATGACGAGTTACTGGGTGCAGCACACCAGCATGGCACGTGTATACATATGTAACTAACCTGCACGTTGTGCACATATACCCTAAAACTTAAAGTATAATAATAATAAAATAAAATAAAATAAAATAAAAAATAAAAAAATAAAAAAAATAAAGGTTTTCAAATGTTTAAAAAAAAAAAGAAAATGTGGCATGTATACACCATGGAATACTATGCAGCCATAAAAAATGATGAGTTCCTGTCCTTTGTAGGGACATGGATGAAGCTGGAAACTATCATTCTCAGCAAAGTATCGCAAGGACAAAAAACCACATACCGCATGTTCTCACTCACAGGTGGGAATTGAACAATGAGAACACATGGACACAGGAAGGGGAACATCACACACCGGGGACTGTTGTGGGGTGGTGGGAGGGGAGAAGGATAGCATTAGGAGATATACCTAATGCTAAATGACGAGTTAATGGGTGCAGCACACCAACATGGCACATGTATACATATGTAACAAACCTGCACGTTGTGCACATGTATCCTAAAAGTTAAAGTATAATAATAATAAAAAAAGTACTATATGCCTAATTGTAAAAAAAAAAAGTTAAAAATAAGGAAAAGTAAAAAGAATAAAATAACAAGCATCTATAATTTCACCATTCATTTATAATCACCACTAAAATATAGCCTAGTCTCCTTCTGAGAATTTTTCTTTTCATACCCATATTTTATATAATTACAAAATTTAAATTATACTATATACAGTAATTCTATATCCTATTTTTTTCACTTAATATTTTGTCTATGTGATTAAACATTTGGCTATTTGATTAAAAATTCTTTGTAAACATAATTTTAATTGCAACATAACATTCTGAATAGATATAACATAATTTGTTTGTAATTCAATTATTGTTGTATATTTAGGTTGTTTTCAATGTCTTCTATAATATATAAACCTAGGACAGATACTAGTATGTACAGATCTTTGCTCCATTTCTATAATAAAGAATTTTGAGACCAAAGGGCATAAACATGTAAAAAGATTTTTTATACTATTGGCAAATTGTTTTTAGAAATGCAAAATCCAGGTATATCCCTACGATATGAGCCTGCTCATTCACTGCATCCTTACTCTCACTGAGCATTATGGTTTTAAAAAATATTTACTAAATTTGTAGATGAAAAATAATACTTCAGTGAAATTTTCTTACTGTTTTCATGAAACTATGAGACACGAATCGCTCTCACAAACACTCCATTCCAGTAAATTCAAACCATGCCAATAAAGTGTTTAATTTTAATATTATAATCAACAATATGAGTTTAAGCTCACAAAATATAAACAAATCTCTAACAAGATTACTCCAAAGCAACAGGAAAAACCTTATTTCTAGCAGTCTAAGGGGAAGATCTAGGCTACTGAGGGCAGCCCAACAAAGTGATGCTGAGTGTCAAGCCACATAACCTGCTAGAGATCCTAAGGACTCATTAGCTCTCTGTATAGAGCAGAGGGGAAATGGTTAACATGGGAAACACAAGCAAGTTGCAGTCTTTCCTCTCTCTCTACCTTTGATGAAGAGATGAACTATAACTCAAAAGACATTTTTCAATTCAAAAGGCACCTGGAAACAGAATTACTCAACCTCCAGTATCATAGAAAAGAACTGCTTAGCCACATGTATTTAAAGTTCAACCATGACATCCAATGAGGAGCATGGAAGAGTGAGACCAAGGGTAATCCTCTTCTTTCTCCTGGTGAATTTTAATCTAGATATCTGGAAATTTGGATTAGGTGAAATATACATTTTCATACAGGCTGAGCCCCATGAATGCTTGGTTTAGACTGAGATGACTTGGATGTGGTCCCCACATTGCCATAAGGGAGAGGCCACCTTCACATATGCAGAGATTTCAAATGGCAGGTGTCATACACCCAAGTACCTTTATAATCTTGGTGGCCAGCAGTAGAAACATGAAAAAGGGAAAGGTAGCAGGGCAGACTCCGGCAGTGCCCATTTCTAATACTATCGAAAGGAGGGAGAGTCTTGGCTTAGGGACACAAAGTCCCATCGGCAAGGCTGACCCCATGGTGGACATGGGGTCACCGTGCTCTCTTAGATCCCTGCTGTCCCTCCTCCCACAAGTATTTGAGTGCTCACTCTATAAGGTGCTATGCTAGAGATTACGGATCCTGATGAATAAGGCAGACATAGCCCCTGCTCTCACAGAACTGAAAAAGAGTAAACAACAGAGTATATAAAATCTTCTAATTAAAATTGTAGTAAATGCTTAAATGAAAATGTCGGGTATAATGAGAATGTATAAATGGGCATAAGGGGTAGGGAAACCTATGCTGGGAGTTGTAGAGGCT
The DNA here is from genome assembly GCF_000001405.40 of Homo sapiens. NCBI lineage: Eukaryota > Metazoa > Chordata > Mammalia > Primates > Hominidae > Homo > Homo sapiens. The sequence continues at coordinate 28,091,929 of NC_000022.11, forward strand.
TCCTTAAGGAGAGAATATTTGAGCTGAGCTCAGAGGATGAGGAGAATTAAGCTGCCAAAGGCTACCCCAGGCAGTATGCACAAAGGTCTTCAGCAGCCCTTGGTGGAGAAGATCTCTCAGATGGTCCTCCTGCCTTCCCTTGTTCAGGTCCCATGCTTCTTGTCAACCTTTCTAACTATCATTTGGTTGCTCATGTAAATATACTTGAAGATAGAGAATGTACATAATACCTGGCATTCTAGTTTGTACAATTTTCTTTGAGCTTGGTTAATGAAAGTTCGCTTCCAAGAGGCAAACCCTCTTTGGGCATGTTAGCAACATCAGTCAGGTTTTCAAACTTAGAAGGCCATACTTCAGAGCTTGCCCTCAGTTCTGGGACAGTAGGGGCTATGTCTCCTTGTTCATCAGGATCCTTAATCTCTATCATAGTACCTTATACACAGTGAGCACTCAAAATACCTGTGGAAGGAGGGACAGTGGGGGGACTAAGAGAACTTGGCGACTGCATGCCCACCATGGGATCAGCCTTTTCAGTGGGACCTTGTGTCCCTAAACCAAGATTCTCTCTCCCTTTCATAGTGTTAGAAATGAACACTGCCAAAGTCTGCCCTGCTGGCTCTCCTACTTTTGGGTTTCTATTGCTGGCCAGCCATGCCCCTCTAACTCTCACTTTGGACATGCAATACCTTTGGTCAGGTTATAGTCTAATCACACTGGCCTAAATTTCTGTCTGCCGAAGCAGCTTTGTATACCTCTGGTCTAATGTCTAACCTAGTTTATTATGGTCATTTATAATTTCAATCTCAGAGGGCAGTGTTACTTCCAAGTTCTTGGGAGTTACCACCCTGTCAACCCCTGTAATTGCCAAACTGTTGCCTGGGTTGTTAAGGACGGGGATACTTCAGGATGCACAGCAGTCACAGGATAAATAAGAGAAGCACGTGTGCAAGTGGCTAAAGCCTGTTCCTACTTCATAAAAACAGAAGCTAGAAATGAAATTCTTATATTTGGCTACTTTCTCAAAATATGATATTAATTTTGAAAATTAAAAACAGAACAAGCACTGGCCTGGAAGTCTGGGTGAGATGTAGACTGTTTTGATCCTGGCTCTGACACTAACTTGGCTGTCAGCAAGTCCTATTTCAGTGTTAACTTCTGTTAAATGAAGGGGTTGGACTAGATGACTACTACAGCCCCTTCCAATATTGACATTAAATTATTCAATAATCATTTTTCACCTAAGAACTCTTTCTTCCCCAACTTAATAAGCACCCCAAAGATCAGTCCAGCTGCTGGCAGCAACCACCGCATGCTTGGGAATTTGGGTGAAGCATCTCTAAATAAATCACAGAATTACCTAAGGATTTTCATGATTACAAATGAAATCATTCAGGAGATGAGCAGAGATTCTTGGGACCTGATACAAGCTAACATAGCAGATTCTCTGACACACAGATCTTCCGAACCCTTGGTAATCACTGGATGGAGAACAGAGATGCCTGGGAAATCTGGTTACAACCCAGCTCTAAGATACCCTCTTCCTTTGATTTCCCCTAGAAGCAGGGTGCTTGTGGAAATTATTTTTTTCATATGTAAAATAGTCAATCATTATGATAAAATGTTTCCATAAGCTTATACCTTTTACAACCTTTGCAAAAAGCAGTTCCCTTATCTATTCTTCATATTTGAGAGTTCAGCTCCTTTCACCTCACCCCTCAGGCTCACAGATCTGTGCACATATCCTGTCACTGGTACTAAATTACTCTCTCAAATAGGCGTTCAGCTACAGTACAAACAAACTCATTATAATTTGTTTATAACAAAAAATAATCTCAGTTTTAATTGGCTGGTATGTTAAATTCAAAGCCATGTTTATGTTTAAACAGTTTACAAATCCTGCTTACAGAATGGGCATGTCTGATGAGGCCCTTCCCCATCTGATGGAAAATCACCAAAAAGAATAAAGACAGACCACTAAGGGGCTTACACTCCAGAGACACATATTTGTTTCTGCTGCAGCAGCTGTGAACAGACTGAGCGCAACTACATGAATTCCAAAAGATTTCTTCTGTTAGCTCAAATAGGATGTTTACAAAAAATAATACCCTGAGATTTATCTGAAAATGGACTTGGGGATGTTTTACTACCTACCTTGAGTAGTGAGACTCCACCCCCAGGGCCTCCCGGACACTGGCAATGTGCTGCTCCAGGGCTGAGCCGGTTGCTGTTGGAAGGGTTACACTGCTGCTGGCCTGGAAGTCACTTGAGTTTTCCACTGTGTTCTCACCCAGGTAGTGTTCATGAAACTTCACAATTCCTGAAGCAAAACAGGCACAGCCAACATTATACACAATTAGGGTCAGAGAAAGGAGAAGTTGAAGGCAGGGGACAGGAATGCCAATGGTATGTGACTTCTTTGACAAGCATGCCATCCTGCAAACCCTGTCAAAAAATCCTGAAATCCAAGGTCTCAAGAGGGCTTTCTCTATTTTGGTCAGTATCCTTTTCACAGCTTTTACCATTAGGTGTGGGGCTTGAAACCAGGGAATTCAAGATACAGCCTCAGAAGCTCCTGGAATTATGACTACTTCATATGTGTTTCAAAACAGATGCTTCTTAGAAGCACCAACTAGGGAAAGTCTCCTTTCAGGAATAGTGCATGAGTATGCCAGGATATATTCCTTATAGAAATTGAAATCCCAAAGACAAATATAATTGACCAAGTGGAAATTGTGTTCCAACAGAGCTTTCATTTCACAAAAGCAAATTATAATAAATATGTAGTATAAAGGCCAGATAAAAACATTTTAAACCATTTTTAAATAAGACTAACTGGTCAATGGTCATTAATGAATTAAAGGAGCAAAAAATGATGGGTGCATGAAATTGAGGCAGTCCACAGTGGTTTTCTGGCGATAAATAGGATATATTCTCAAATGGTAATGAGGTGTGTCAGCTCTGGAAAACGCCGGTCCTCTCTGATTGGATTAGCGCCCCCAGTGAAAGCTTCAGAGCCTCATTAAGAGCAAAAAGGAACGGAAAAAGAAACAATAGAAGCCTCATTATACATGGCTCATTATTACAGGAATTCCGATATACCACCTGTCAAATCATGTCCCCAAGATGTAACAACCACAGAGAGAAGGAGTTTGATACCTCCCAGTCATCAACTGTGTCCTCACGAGTATCAGTACCACTCTGGGAGCTGGGATCCACAAAGATTCCACTGTAGCCAACATTTATTAACCAAGTCACTGTAAAAATCACAATTTAAAACCTTTAGCATTAAAAAGGTCAGCGGTAAGAACATTCTTTGTGGAAAGCCCATAAAGAACATGGAACTAAAGGGAAAAAATTATTAAAAACAATGCCGAGGCATAGAATGTATACGCACAAATGCTCAGAGCCTAAAAGCATCTGGGAGCTGTCATCCAGCCATCATTTTTTTTTTTTTTAAATCAAAGGCATAGAAACATAATCAAGAAAATCTTGTCAATTCTCGCTGGCAGTTAAAGTTTTTGAAACTGGCTTACAGATATTCAAGAAGCTCATTCTTTAAGATTACCAATTATAAGATCCACTTCCCCAGTCAATAAACTCTAATTGGATCTGGTGTGTCTCCAACTTGGTAAAGCCATCAGCATTTTATTATGCAAAAAATATGGCCCTAACAGCTAATTAGTGTTTCTGTATTTAGTGAAACTGTTACAGCCTGAACATTTAATGCTGATTTAATCAAAGGAGATTTTTACTTCTGAAATAGATTTACAGCAGAACTGGTTAAAAATGGGTTCTGTTAAACTCAGAAATTTCAAGCATAAGACTTATTTATAACCTGTGATAGAGCTGCCATTATCATTTTAGTCTCTTTAACTTTGCCATGACAAAGGGTCACAATTATTAAACCATGTCTAGAAAGAATTCGTTAGGACTTGCAGTCATCACTTTATTAGCTAATGAACAACAGCTGCCTACACACAGGGCTGCTAGTGAAATTAATTCTTCTGCTTTTAGTCTTCCTTGATAAATGCTTCCACATTCAACAGTGAGGAGCAGCAATTTCTTGGGGAAATGAGAAAGCTGGGCTGTCTTATTATCTGAATGCCCCACCACGGCATATCCACTGCGGCTGAGGTTTTGCTAAAATCTGACATCAGTTCCTTAGTATGATCTATGATAATGCACCTATTCCACCTCTATTCATTAGACTTTCACAGGTCTAGTCTTCTAATTGCCCTGTTCCCACAGAAAGAGATCTTACCTGCCCCAGGAGCCAGCAGCCAGCTATACAGATAGCCTGCAGCCAGGGAATAGTAAAGCACTAGTCCCCTCTGGCCATTTACCATCTCTAAGATCTGATCAATAGTGACTGGGGAGTAGGGGTCGGAGTCTTGTTGTCCTGTTTGTCGTTCCACCAGAAGATCAGCAAATGCCCTTGTCCGTCCCCTTTCTGCCACAGCCAGGGCTTCATCATGATGGCCTAGGAGACAAAGAGATATGCCGAGGAGTCCATAGTGAGTGTGCTTACTTAGAGAGGCCTATCAGGGACGGCCATCAAATCCTGGGCAGAAACCTCACTGCCTCTACTCTCCAATATGTGACAGAATCTCAGTCACACTGCTTCAGATTCAATTCCCTGCCTCAGATGGTGGGTGCAGTGTCCTGCATGACTGATTCCACACTACCCTAAGCCATCAGACCTTCGCCTGTCTTGCAGCCAGCGCCACAAAAGAGCTGATCCAATTCAGTGCACTTGTCCTTAGCCCTGCTCCATCTCTGCTCCACCTCCTGAGTTGCTCCCTAACCTGGCTTTTTTTTTTCTAACCTCCTGCCTGGCTTCTGACACCAGGTTTATTGGTGTCACTTGGCTCTCTACGTGTCTTTTTTTTTTTTTGAGACAGGGTCTCACTCTGTCTCCCAGGCTGGAATATAGTGGCATGATCTCAGTTCACTGCAATCTCCGCCCCCTGGGTTCAAGCGATTCTCCTGCCTCAACTTCCCAAGTAGCTGGGATTACAGGCACGGGCCACCATTCCTGGCTAATTTTCATATTTTTAGTAGAGACGGGGTTTCGCCATGTTGGCCAGGCTGGTCTCAAACTCCTGGCCTCAAGTGATCCACCCGCCTCAGCCTCACAAGCTGTCTATGCGTCTTCTGACTCTCTCTCCTCCCTCCATGCAGCCCCTCTATGCATAACATTGTCCAGCCTTATGCATTTCTCTCCAAATTATACCTCCATCCCTTTAAGCATGCCAGTCCCTCTCCTGGGCGTGCCCTTTTCCCTTTCACTGGCCTTGTCTCAAGAAGAGGGATGCTAACAGTTGTCCTGCCTATCGCAAAGGGCTATTTTAAAGATTAAATGAAGCACTACATGTAAAGATGGCTGGCAGGCCTACTTACATCACTACATGTATAACAGGTAGTAGTAATGTTGTTGGAGCTGATGTCTCATTCCATTCTGGGCTCCAACACACTTTTTTCCTTATCCCCATGGGAAAAGAGTTTAACCTCTAAGGTCTCTAGTTCTTTAAAATTGCTTCTCTATCTCAAGCTTTTCCCATCTTTTAATCGAATTTTGAATCCCACTTTCCTTAAGGAACTGGTCTATAATCTAGTTTAAAAGCTAATGTACCAATCTGAAACCACAAAAAATGTAAAGGAATTGTTTATAAGTGCTGAAGGAACACAATGCAGCGGATTTACTTTTGTCATAAATGTAAATATGGAAGAGTTACTATAACCAGAGTCCAAAGAAAGCAGACAGAAGCAGACCAGATGCTGCAGCTGTGACAGCACTTCAAGGATGCCTTGCTTCCTGCAGTTTGGGTATCAGAAGCAAGTGGAGATTTGTATGTGTGTATGTAAATGTCTCCTTTTACTCTATTAAGTTATTAACTGGAACAGCAGGAACAATTTCTGTGCACACGGGAAAATCGGCCCCTAGGTGCTAGACAGACTTAACACTGTGATTATAATAGATAATAAACTGTAATCCCAGGCAATGAACACATTTAATAGATAAATTTTTCAAGAGGAAATTTGAGTCCTTCCTATACATACAGCAAAAGACAGGTTATCGAAAAGGCCTCAACATCCAAATTCAAAGCCTTTGTTAGTTCCAATAAATATCTCCTGGGAAGAGGCAGATGACGGAGAGCTGGAAGGGACTGGCTGACTAGTTAAGGCCCGGGTGAAAGAAGATGCATGCTGCCCCACTGTGATGGGGCACATAGGCTTGGGAGAATCATCACTGACTATGCCACAGCCTAGGAGGCAGACCCAGGTGGCAGAAACATTTATTAGACAGCAACCTTGAAAGATGTGTGGATGAGGAAATAGACAAGAGGCCAGGTGTCTTCTCAGGTACTTCCTCTTAGTCAGATGCTTGAACCACACGCTAGTGGTGAGAGGGAACCTAGGGAGGGAACCTGGTTCAAGCATCCCTGTCTCAAGGACACTTTCTCTGGCTCCCGGACCCACCAGACAAGAGACTTTGTTTCAGGCTGGGTGTCATGGTTCTCACCTGTGATCCCAGCCCTTTGGGAGGCCAAGGCAGGAGCATTGCCTGAGCCCAGGAGTTCGAGACCAGGCTGGGCAACATAGTGAGACCTCATCTCTATTTAAACTTTTTTTTTTTTTTAAGAGACTTTATTTCCACAGCATCTGAGTTTATCCTAGTGCCAATCAGCACTGTACTGGACTCACTGACTTATGTCTCTCCACAAGCTAAGCTTCTTGGGGTCAGGAACCAGGACTTCTTGACTGTAACCCCCAGGGCAGGCACTCAGCACATGGTAGGAGCTCTACTAATCTTTGTTGAATAAATGAATGAATGTTCATTGACTGGTTGTAGTTGTGGCTTCACAGTCTGTTGTCACAACAAATCATATTTCTTCACCGCTGTCACTAAACAACTTGGACACATGGACGCGCACCCGTGCGCACTAGTGCACACGTAAGCAAGGAGTAACCCCAGCTGTTCTCACCTAGGCTGACGAGCACCCGCTGCAAGGCCTGGTAGGATGATGTCTGCAGGTCAAAGAGGGAGAGTTTGTAGTCCGTGCTCAGCTGTGCCTCATGTCGGATTGTTTCAAACAAGGCTGATGCCCTATAAAGCTGCAAGGAGGGAGGAAGAACATCATCCATTCCCCAGAAACCAATGTCCAGCTGTTTACAGACTAGAGACAACTTTTGCTCATATCTTTGTGCACAACCTAAATATTTTTTACAGATTTGAAAGGAAGAGTCTGATGTCCAGGTGTAAGGAAAAATGGATGTGCTGCGGTCAAGAATAGGCCGAGGCAGACATCCAGTCCAGCATGACTCAGTGAGTTTGGAGCACAGGCTCACAACTCCACTCATCATGTAACGACACCATGTGAGGCGCATTAGGTGATCACCCATGTGAGCTCGTCCTTAGCTCAGAGCCACTATTGTCTTTAAAAGGTATAATTACCCTGCTAACGCCGTATATATGGCTTGTGCCCACAGCTCGTGCCTGGTCTCACTAGCGCCCAGAGTGAGTAAAGCCATGGTGAAACTGTCTACGCTTCCTCGAGTGTTTTTCCAGCTACCTGCCACTCGCCCACTGACTTCCCTCGGACCTCAGTTAGAACCTGACACCAGGTAGGTCCTTGTGGACCTAAAAAGGCATCAGATCATGCCCAGTAAATTACAGTTTATATAATCGATTTTTGACAGACAAAGGGATCTAAAAGACAGGAATTAGAGACTTACGGTCTTAAAGATATTAAAACAGATATTAATCCACCAAGTGCTGATTTTTATTAAAACAAAAAGCCTCTCCTCTTGTCATCAGGCAACCACAATTCACCACCCTCGTGCCTCATGGTGAGTAAGGATGGGAGTGAGAACAGGTATGGTGAAGGCATCCCGGAAATGGACGAGCCTGAGGGGAAGAGAGCGCCACACTCTCTGAAGGGCGATAGCTCTTTGCAGATGGTTCAGTGTCCCAGGCTCAGATCATCACTGGGCAAGCTCCTCAAGGAGCCATGCCCACTCACATAGACATTCTGAGGACCAGACAATTGCCATTCCTAACGGAGACATTGTCCTGATGCTCTAACAGGCTCCTCCATCAGTGAGGCCATCAGACTTTTCTGACTCTGATATTTTCCTTTTTTTTCCCCCTCATGCCACACTGTCTAAGATGACTCTGATATTTACATGCTGGAAACTCAGTATCAAATTTTAAATTTATCCAAACTTCAGAATTCTAAGACTACTTGCTTCTCGGCCTTTTGGCTAAGATCAAGTACAGAATTCTAAGACTAAGAGACATAGACCCGGAGAGCGCTAAGAGAATGTGTTCCTAACTCTGCCACTAATTGGCTGTGTGACTTTTGGCAAGATTCAGAGACTCAATTTCTTCCTCTCTATAAAGAGGATAGTTTCTACCTCACAGGGTTATTTTAAGGATCAAATTCACTGAGCTATAATAAGTACTTTGAAAATTGCAAATCACAATATCAACACAGGTTTTACTTTTTATAACCAGGAAATTAGAGAATTAATCCTTTACATTGTCTTTAATCATTTTAAAAGTACAGTAAAACACCCTAACATTCTAGAACGCTATGGTGCAAATTCAGTCACATCTCTTCAACTCTTGTGAGCACCTCTGGATAGGAGTCTGGATGTCCTTATCCTTGCTCCCCTCTGTCTAGCACAATGTCCTCTGCAGTCACCACTCACATGCTCGCTATCTGGATGAGTGCGTGATCTTAGATGCAGCCATCTCACTACTACTCCAACCTAACAGAGGAGGCCTATAACTCGAGGGATCTTTCTACTCTCCAGGGCCAGCATGACAAGGGACTTTCCTTCAACTACTTGCATATATGCAGAAATATGGCCTTATTGTAAAAGAGGGAGAGAGAGAAGTTATATCTATTAATATATCTAGAAACATGAAATTTAATTATGAATTTTTGTTTTACTTGTCATGAGATGAATATAATTTCATATCAATGTTTAATGGGGAGCAATAGCAGTTAATATAAAAATTCTTAAGAAATTGAGAAATCTATCACATGAGTGAGCAAAAATCTTTACTAATTGTTCAAATACTTCTGGGCTAGTACAGGCGGGAAATCATACACATTAGCCCAAGGGTAGAAGTCAGTGCCTCTTGTAAATGCCATCACTACTAGGACAGTAATCCTAAAGTCTCCCATGCTTCTGGAAACAAAAAATCCACTTCAGTCAGGGGTTCTGCTTACCTGGTGTTGGGCCTCCTCCAAGTTTCCACTAGCCCAAAGGGAGAGGCCAAGGCCATGGCGAATTTTTGCCTCATCTTCTCTTCGGCCCAGTTGCTCAGCTAACCTTAAACCTGAAACCAGATAGAGAAATTTAAGGAAACATAGAAGATGGATAATTCCACTATCCTAAGGAGTCCTGAAGGGTCATTTTACTTTTGTGTTTTTGTTTGTTTTGAGACAGGGTCTCACTCTGTTCCCCAGACTGGAGTGCAGTGGCAGCTCACTGCAGCCTGCACCTCCCCAGGCTCAGGTGATCCACCTCAGTCAGCCTCCGGAATACCTGGGACTACGGGCACGGGCCACCACAACCCGGCTGGCTTTTGTATTTTTTGGTACGGACAGGGTTTCACCATGTTGCCCAGGCTGGTCTCCAGCTCCTGATCCACCCACCTCAAGTGATCCACCCACCCCGGTCTCCTAAAGCACTGGGATAGCACTGCTCCCACCCAATTTTGCTTCAGGTGTCTATAAAAGAATGTTAACAAGAGCCACTCAGGAGGCTGAGGCAGGAGGACTGCTTAAGCCCAGGAGTAAGAATCTAGCCTGGGCAACTTAGTGAGACCCATCTCTGTTAAAAAAAAAAAAAAAAAAAAAAAAAAAAAAGAATACTAACAACACAGCTAGATAAAATGAGGACAAGAGCTGAATCAGCCAAGGTAGAATAAGCATTGTCTTCAAATTCTGTGTTGGTAGCAACATTTCCAGGATGTTCCAGGATGCCTCGGCAAGAGCCCAGGTGATGGCTATCAGCAGGAGACAGGTTTGCTGGGCAGGCAGAAACACTAAAACAAGTGAAACTTAACCTGGTCACCCTCCTAAATTTGAAATCCATAGCTTTGCAAAGGAAAACTCCTGGCTGATAAACTTATCTAACCTGATTCTTTGGCTGGCAAAGCTCTTCCTGATAGTTAAATACAGAAGGCAAAAGAATATTCTTCCTTTCTCACGTGCACAGCATCCAATGAGTGTTAATAGAAGATACATACGATGTTCTCCTGAAAGCAGAATATGAACACAGCCTGACCCTGCCTTCTGTTACTGATGTTACTGACACATTTCATGTCTAATCTATTTTCCTTTTCAGTCTAAGATTTTGATGTGCCTCAGCGGGGTTGCAAAACAAGTGCTATTATGAGGCAAAAGCCTTAAATGAAACCATCCTCATTCTAACAGCCTTCAGGCAGGCACCTGCAGTTTGGGTCACTTACCCACAGCAAGCTTCTGGGTTTCAGGACACCAGCAACCTTGAGGGCTTTGTGAGAGTCAAATCTGAAGGCAACCATTTATTGTATTGGTCACTAGGCAGTTCTCAGCATCACTTTGCCCTCATTATCCTGCTCACTGTACATAGAAGCTAGCTTGTGCAGAGACAGCATGAAGGCTCCCACCGTACAACTGCACACACAAAGGAAGGACTTCCTTCTTCTAATCTAATTCAGGGTAGATGGAAGCCTGCCTCTGATCATGCTGGGCCTGTGCAATTTCAGGCTTTTGAAAAGGAACTGAGTCTGTTGAGACGGTAAGAAAAGTGACACTCAGGTTCAATGTCATAAATATACATTTCAAAATGCTGATAACTCAGAAAACTTAGAAACATTTTAAGTCATGTTATTGGATAGCAAAAATATTTGTAAATAATTCACATTTTTAAACATCTCACAGAATAGAAAAACATATGAAAGAAGATGGTTCTTGGGAGAAAACCAGAAGGATACCGATTGTTTAAACCTTCAATAAGCTAAACACATTAATTCTTCAATACAGATGTCCCTTCTAGGTCAAGATCTATGAGTCAGAAGTAAAATTCACTGAGACAACTCCTGCTTAGAAGCCATGTTCTATGAAAACAGGGACTTTGCTTTGTTCCTGCTATATCCTCAGCATGTAGGACTCTAGCTGAGGTTCAACAATGAAGAGTTAAAAGCCCCCTGGATAGACATGGTATCTGTCCTGCCCCAGCTTCTCTCTGCTTCTGCCTCTTAGGAACCTGACTCACCCATCCAGCTCTCCTAGAACCTATAGTTTGTCAGGGACTGGTTCCAGGAAAGTCACCAAATTGATCCACGCTCCCTTTCTTCATTTGCAAGAAGAGGAAGGGCTGGGTGAGACCAGTGGTTTTATCCAGAGGTGTCTCCCTCCACAGCACCTGGAGAGCTTGTTCAAAAGGCTCAGACCAGGCCCCACCTGTGAGAGTCTATTGCACTGAAGCAGGGTGATGCTGATCTACAAGGCCCCACAGCCTCATCCCCTCAGAAAGCCAGGGGAGAGGGAGCAGTAGGGTGGTTTCCAGATAAACTAGTCCCTCCTTGCCAGAGGCTGCAGACCTAACTCAGAGCATTCGGAAAGCACCATCCAGGTGTCCTGCCCTCATGAGAAGAGGCATTTGGTTTGGCCCACGAGGAAAGCCATCAGCTGCAGGCTCTCTAGTGGACACATCCACAAGACAGACACTGTAGAGATGCTACAAATTAGAGTTTTTAGATCTCTGCAAGACTTAAAAAATTACAAGAAACAATAAAAATGAACTTGAGAGTTTTCCACAAATATAGAATTGTGTTGCAATGTCTCAGGCAAACCAGCTGTTTCATGGAAATAGTATTTCAGGAAGTACAAAAGAACACAGCTGAAAAGTTGTCATATGACTGAATTTAATAGTTTTTACAAATTCAAATGAAAATTGCTCCTTGTCTGTTGGAATTTTACCACAGTCAAGTTTCAGGAAATTAGAAGCCAACATTCTCATTTAATGCATAGAGGCAGAGCCCCATGTGGATAGAAGCGGAGGTAGATAAGGTCTGGGAAGTGGCTTCCAGACTCTCTGTAACCTCTCAGACTGCAGGCCAGTGCAGTCCCTGGTCTGTTGCAAAGGAGACCAGCGAATCATCAGCTCTTTACCCACTCTCCTCTTTGCTTGCTGCTTCTCTCTCTCCTGGCTTCCCAGTGGGGGCTCAGGAGTAAAAGCGGGTAGGATGCCCAACCCTACTCTGCAACTGTAAAGTTAGAAACAACTTCAGAGAGGATCTTGTATGGTTTCTGGGTTGGAAAACTCGGGCTGGGCCCTACTCCTTGACTAACTGACTACATGATTAGGATTGAATCACTGTACTTCTCTGAGCCTCAGGTGATTCAACTGCAAAAATGGGAATAAAAAGATATACCTCACAAGACTATTGTGAGAATTGAATCAGCTTAAATAAACTTTATGTGCAAAGCCCCCTGGAAATGAGAGTTTTTGCTTGAAATCAGTAACCATTCCTTTTACCAGTGAGCTATCTGCCCTTTTTCCCTTCTAGGGTGAGAGGATCCAATATGCCTGTGTGAGAAGGACTTTCAAGAGCAGAAAGCCTCATCTCAATGTAAAGAGGTGGAGGGCAAATACATTGCTATGGGACTTCTGCTTTCGGAGGAAGGAAGCATCCAAGGTCCAACTGTGCAGCCTTCAGTTTCTAGGCCAGCCTGGAACAAGACCCTACTGTGGCACCAACCCAAGCACTGTAGGTGACAAATGCTGAGAAAGAAGCCTGGTTTACTGCTTGAGTACCCCTCAGACTGATACTTCTGGATTAGACCTCAGCTGCCATGTCAGAACTGACTTCTATAAAGTTTTAATATAGTTAGTTTAGATATTCTCTAGAGGGACAACAGAGCCTGGAGCAGATGGGCATTTTCTTCTGATTCGAACCCTTATAATTTTTTAGGATTACATCTTACTTGATTCATCTGTGCGAGAACGTGCTGCTCATTCCTCAGAGGGTTCTGAAAAGCAAGGAGGGTATCAGCTCCTTGGGCAGCTGGCGAGCAGTAGATGCTGTCACTGAGAGAGTAAGACAATCTGGGTCCGAGAGAGCAGGGCAAGGTGCTATGGACAATGAAACACCTTAGTACTATCAACGGACACCTGGTGGGGACACCGTGATTCTGGAGTTGAACTGACAATGTGGCCTCTGAGACCCTTACTCCACACAGAGGTGGCCATTCAAACTGTGCATACTTCCCTCTGAGTCTTGAGTTCTGACTCTGAACTTGATTTCAAGTAGGCCAAGAGAACACAATGGGCCTTTTCACCTACCTTCCTGTAAGTACATGACTGCTTGGGAATAGTTCTGCAAGGCATGATGGGTCCTTCCAAGGCTACTATATGACACCGTCTTGGCCGCCAAGTCATTCATCTGTGCAGCAATGCTCAAGTGCTGTTCTTGATAGACCACAGCCCTCTCGAAGGTGCCCAGGGATTCATAAGTCAGGCCCAGGTTCCCATAGGCTCGGCCCTGGCACGTGGGGTTGTTGGTTTCCTCTGCTATCTGTAGATCAAGCTGGTGGTACTGCAGGGCTGTGTCATACTCCCCCATCTGCTGGTAAACGCCCCCCAGGCCACAGGCTGCGTCACTCTCCAGGGCTCGGTCTTTCATATCTCTAGCAATGTTCAGCTGGCGTTCAAGGCAGGAAATGGCTTGTTCGTAATTCCCTAATTGGCTGTGCAGACTTCCCAGCTCTCCATAGGCCTGGGCTTTATTGAAGGCCTCTCCAAGTTCATGAGCAACCACGAGCCTCTTTTCAAAGCACACAAGGGCTTGCTGCAAGCTCCCCATTGCCCTGTGGGGATGTAGACAGAAAAGCAATGATATTATTTCATGCAGGTGCAGACATGCTAAAGCCCCTGAGAAAATGAAAAGCATTTGTCACTGTCACTTACTATAGAAGCTCTTAACTCCTCTTCTAGCTAAAATCTATCATGTGCCCTTAGAGTGAGATGCAGAGGAATTTCATAATCTGGAAAGCAATTCAAAAGTCATCCCTTAGTGACCTTCCCAAGAGCTTGAGATTCAATGGGATATACACCCCAGAGGAAACATAAAATATATTAATAGGCACAATGATAGCAAGTGAACTGTTTGGTTCTTCAGGCCTCCCAATTTCCACTACCGCTTAGACTATGTTTTTGAAATCACTTCACAGTGGCTATAAATCTTTCACCCTGAGCTTCTCAGAGCACTCTGTGGGTGAAGATTTAGTTTGACCCTTGCCCTTCCTCCACTCCAGGAGCCCTAATCCCCTGCCTCTCTGGTGGGGCCATATATCCTGCAGACACAGGCACCTTCTTGGGTTCCCCACATTTAGGAGAAAGTATCACCTTGACCAACAGTGTGTCTTTTTCTGCTGCTAAGAGAAGACACGATAAGCGTGGAAAGAGTATGACCAAACCAGTTGTGTGGGGCACATGAATTAGTTCCCCTGAGCCTCCAATTCTGGTGATAATAAATCCCACATCCCACAGCAGATGATAATAGATATAGAGTAATACAAAACTGTTAAAACTATTAAGATATCTGTGCAAGGGACCTTGCACAGATGATGCATGCAACATAGTACATTTATGCATTCTCCTATTATCAGGTGGCTTTTCTGAGGAGCAACACAATGGGGCCTAAGTAATTGGTTAGGTGCAGATGTTGTATTAATAAACACATTCATATAATGTGGGAGGTATTCAGAAAAGATCAGCGAAAGTGACTCGTTCACCTTCCCCATCCCTATTATCCTTCTCATTCTAATGTAGTCAAAAGGCACTGCATTTGGAGTCACAGAGCCCTGGGTTTAACTCTCAGCTGTCCCTTTTAAGCTGCATAATCTTAGGCATTAACTCAATTTCTCTGGGCTTTAGTTTCTTCATCCATAACATAAGGGTAACAACATCAACTACTTGATTCAAACAGTTGTTGGAGGAATCAGATGAGATATGTACGAAAATGTTTGTAGTTAACAAACTGCCATGCAGACACGAAGTTGCCTTTACTGCCACAAATGCTCTTTTTGCAGAACTATAAACCACAATTGTCCTTGGTCATTTTTACCTGTGTCCATTTCCCAGGCCCCGGTAAGCCTTGGCTTGGTCTTGCATGCGATTCAGACTCTGCGCGACAGATAAATATTGTTCATAGTATTTGATAGCTTCCTCATAGTCACCCAGGGCTTCGTAGCAATCCCCCAGGTTGCCATAGGCCCGGCCCCTGTCGAGCACAGACTCATTTCCACTTAGCTGCTGCAGCATGGCCAATTGCTGCTCAAAGTAGCCAATGGCTTCTTCCATCACATTCATGTTCATCTTTGTGATGCCCATGTTGCCATAGACCTGGGCTTCCAGACTCGGATCCTTCAGCTTTTGCCCTAGATCCAGTTGCTCTTCATAACACTTGAATGCCATTGTGTATTTCCCAAGGGCCATGTAGACAGCAGCCAGGTGCCCATGAGCTCTGCACTCCCCTGGCAAGTCACTCAGCTCCTGATATACCTCCAGTTCCTGTGTGTGATAACCCAGGGCCTTGTCATACTTCTGGATCATTCGGTATGCAGTGCCCAGGGCTGCATATGCACTGGCTTCTAATCTTCTGTCCTTTACCTGGTGAGCTAAGCCCAGTTGCTGCTCATAGAATTTTATTGCACCATTTATATCTTTTTTACAGATGAATATATCGCCCAGGTTTCCTAGGGCTCGAAATTTAGCCTGGGAATTATTCAGAGACTGGGCTAGGGACAGTAGGTACTTCTGACACTCTTCAGCTTTACTGAAATTCAGCAGAGCCTTGAATGCTAGGCCCAAGTTGCAGTAGGCTTTTGCTTGGCTCAACTTGTCGTGAAGGTCTTTAGCCAGTGCCAGATCCTGTTCGTAGTACTTCACTGCCTCCTGATAGTTTCCAAGGCAGTAATGGGCATAGCCAAGATTGTGGCAGACCTTCCCTTCTCCTTCCATGTCTTGAAGGTCGGGAGCAAGCCGGAGGTACTGTTCATAATAGGGGGCAGCCTGGACATACTCTCCCCGAGAGCAGTGGAAATTGCCCAGGTTGCTGAGGGCCCGGGCCTCGCTCTGGATGTCTCGTAGCTCCCGGGCGATGTTCAAGTGGTTCTGATAGTGTTGCAGGGCCCGGTCATGGGCACCCAGGGCCTGGTAGGCCACGGCAAGGTTCCCATGTGTGGAGGCCTGTGAGGCGCGGTCATTCACTTCCATGGAGATCTGCAGCTCCTGCCGATGGTATTTGACCGCCTGGTCGTACATGCCCAGGGCATTGTAGGCATTGCCCATATTCCCATAGGCACGGCCCTGGGCAGCATAATCACTCAGCTCCTGGGCAATGCACAGGTGGGTCTTGTGGAGTTTCAGTGCAGTGTCATAATCACCTTTCATCTGGTGTATGATTCCTGAGAAAGAGAATAAAAGAACAGACTAAGACTGAAATAACTGATTTGCAATGTAGAAAGAAATGTAATTTGCATCTCAATTTATAGTAAAATGCAATCCAGATGAATTAAAGAATTTAAAATAACAGAAGGTAGAATTAAATATTTATCAGCTCTCCACAGAGAGGATAGCTTAAGTTTCAAAGCAACAGAAAAAAACATTTACTGATTTTATTACAAAAATAAGAATGTTTGTACTACAAATACATATCTAAAATTAAAAGGCAAAACAATACTGGAAAATATATTAAACATAAATGAAAAAGTTCAATAGCCATTGCGTATAAAGAGTTTATTTGGTTTGATTTTTTAAAAATGAAGATCCCAATTTACTAAAATAGGCGAAGACCTGTAAATGTTAGCAGACAACTCACATCCACAGAAATACAAAGAGTAACCACAAGGGAAAATGCTAATTTCCTTTAATAATCAATGAAATGCAAAATAAAGCAACCCTGAAGTACCATGTTGCTTTGGCTAAATTAGCAAACAAAAAAATTAACCACAACTCCTACACTGATGAGATTGTCCTAAAATTGGTAAACACACCAACTGCTGGGGACATAAACTGGAACAACCTTTTTGCATAAGCAGCCTGGCAAGAACCACAAACGGCGCTCCTACTCTGACCCAGCAATCTTACTCGAGGGAAAGTATCCTAAGAAAATAATCTGACAAACACAAAAGATTGCATAACAATACACGTAACAACCTTCAATGTGGCACCATAAACTACTGGAAAATCAGAAACATCTTAAATGTGAAACACTGGGGGATTGTATAAGTACATTTTGGTATATCAACTCAATAGAGGATTATGCAGTCATTAAAAAGATAATTATGAAGTCTATGCTGAAAAATGGGAAACAATGTTCTTGTAATCATATTAACTGGAAAAATCAGGAAAAAATGCTGCATGCTCCCGTGACAATAACTAGGAAAGTAAGTATGTCCATACACACGGACAAGCTCTTGACGGGGTTATACAAAAACAAAAATAGTTGCCTTGTTAGGTAGTGGAATTTCAGTAATTTTTGTTCTAAAATCTCTTGTAATTCTGCTATACTGCTTTTACAATCAACAATAACAGTGCTCCAAACAAACCTCATGAACCATATTATAGCTGCTAAGCTAAACTATTGTTTTAACAAGCAGTTTAAAAAAGTGAGTTATATCATACATATCATAACTATAAAGTGGTTTCAAATGAGGGATAGCATAATGGTAACTTGGGAGCTGGCTTTAAGGAGAGCTTCGTCCATCCCAGTTGGGGCTAGAGTGAGGGCCACCACTAGAAAAGGTGGAGAGAAGCTAGTATGCAAACAGGTTTCTCCTTGCCTTTGGTTTTGAACATGCTTTTCCATGCATCAGTCTGTGAGCTTTCCAGTGGTGACTAAAACCTACAGAAGCCCCAAAAGTCAAAAATGCCAAGATGTGTTCTGTTAAAACATCTGAACTAAAAATAGATGCTCTGAGAAAGAAAGCTGTGAAAACCTAGCCTCCCCAATTTGTGTATCTCTCTGACACTCTTTATTCATTCATTCACTTATCCAGCAGACATTAGCTGGGCATTTATTGTATCAGAACTTGTGGTGGGCAGCAGGGGTAGAAAGAAGAATGAGGACAGAAGTCTCTGCCCCCAGAGAGCACACTGAGTGAAAAGGCAGACAGTATGCATGATCAAGGCTGAAGTCAGGGCAGGGCAGGAGCTGGGGCTGCAGTGCAGGGTGAGTCTGTGGGGACCACTCTGCTGGTCCTGACTCCTCCCTTGCATGCTGTGGAGATCTGCCCTGCCACAAGAGTCACATCTACTCCTGGGACCCAGCCATCTCTTTGACTTAACTGGACTTAGGGTAAATCATTTAGGTTTTTGAGTTTTATGTAGTTCATCTATAGTTCATATATTTTCTCATCTATAAAATGAGAAAAATAATAAACATAACACCAACCTTAGTAGGTGATAGTGAGGATCAAATGAAATAATGTATGTGCAAGAGCACTGTAAAACTGCAGAGTGAAATTGCAATATTAGTTATTGAAATTATTCCCTTCCAGGAAAGGAAATTCTTAAGGTGCTGGAAATTAAATAAGCCATGGTAATTCTTCTGTATATTTTTTATGAGTAAAATATTTCATAATTTAAAAATAAGTACATAAATCATGGTACACTTATACAATGGAATAAACATGGTGACATTAAAAATGGTGAGGGGCTGGGTGTGGTGGCTCACACCTATAACCCGGCACTTTGGAAGGCTGAGGCAAGAGGATCGCTTGAGCTTAGGAGTTCAAGAGAAGCTTGGGTAACATAACAAGACCTTGTCTCTACCAAAAATTAAAAAATTAGCTGGGCATGGTGGTGTGAGCCTGTAGTCCCAGCTACTTGGGAGGCTGAGGTAGGAGGATCATTTGAGCTCAGAAGTTCGAGGCTGCAGTAGGCCATGATCACACCACTGCTCTCCAGCCTGGGTGACAGAGTGAGACCCTGCCTTTAAAAAAAAAAAAAAAAAGTTAAGTTTATTGACATAGGAAGAAATTTACAATATATTAAGGGGATATATGATCCCAAAACAGTACATTTTAATGCATACTTTAGTAGCATTGTGTATAGACATACATGTTTATATTTAAACATATAGCATAAAATGTATTTAAAGGTTAAGAGCAGTAATATTTGGGTGGTAGAATTGTAGTTTTTTTTGTCTTTTTACTTACATGTATTTTAATTTTTTTTCTATGACGAACATATAAACCTTGGTTTAAAAACAGTATTTTTGGACTCCAATCCAGTAAGAAAGTAATATTCCTGGGGACTGGGTCTGGTCACTTCCCTGGGTTAGAGATGTCACCAGGATCCTTGCTGGAAGGATCAGGGTTTTTCCGAATCTGTCTCAAGGTGAGAAAATCTAAGCTTCCCGAGAGGAAATAATACCTTAGCATCACCTACAACCCTCTTAATGCTAAAAAATTATTAGTGACAGAAACGTTTCAGTTCTAAAGACCTGAATTTAACATGTGGTCCTAAACCACTTTTATCTAAAGAGAAAAATTTCACATTTCAAATTTCCAGGTTTCCTCAGAGGAAATTTTTTTTTTTACATTTCTCCCTCTCTCCTCATTTACTCCCTCTCTCCTCAGTTTCTGTATTTTTTAAATTAGGGTCAAAATATCTGCCCAGCCATGAGTCAATAATTACGAACAGAGCCGGAGCTGGGGAGGGCAGTAGGAGTGCCCAAATCTCCCTTGGAGCACTTTCTCCCACAATCATGCCTTTGCAGTGATTTTTTTTTCCCTCACAGCTTTTGGATTTTATTGCAATGATTTTCTTAAGCCAGTATAATCACTTTTGTTTGCTAAGATGGGGGTAAGAGGAAGCAAGTGGTGAGAGGCAATTGGAGGCAACTGTAGGAAGCTTGGCTTTCCTATATGGCCCATCACCACCAAAGACAGGTCTCCTTGGACGCTCCCCACTTCTCCTGCAGGGTGGGACTTACCTCATCCTACAGGAAACTGGCTAAGCATTAGAAAGGCACAATATAATAGAAAAGGCACAGGACTCTAAGCCAGAAGTACTGTTTACAAGCCTGGCTCCCACCTCATTCAGCTGAGTGTCTTTGAGACACTCAATACCTCTGAGCCTTTGTTATTTTTTTAAATTGAAAATATTTTGGCAATTTTTGTTTTCTCACTAATAAGGTCATATTATAATCATTTCAAAGACATAGCTTGAGAAACATAATAGTATGTATCAATATACTTTGTAAACTAAAACATGGTATCTAAACCTAGTAGGACCAGTATTTAGAGAGTGAGAAAAAGGAAAGGAATTCTGTTTCTCTGACTCTCATGACCTTAAGAGTCTGGGCTAGTTAATAGGGAGCAGTCGGGATGATAATGGCTACCCAGGGTTCAATGATTTGTGAAAGAAACTGCCTGCTGGTTATGGCAAAATGATCTGATCTCCAGCCAGCTTCCCTATGCACTCTACTGTTCTCCTGTCCTCCTTATCTTACTTTTCCAAGGGCCTGTAAAGAATCATAGGAAGACTCTCAAAGGCTTCCTCATGCAGACAAGAGTAAGAAGAGATGGATGAGGCCGAACTGGGAATTTTTCATCCTCCCTGTGTCTCTACTGTCCCAGCCACTGCCAGCCTGGGGAATTCTGAATGGAACATGACACACTCTTGGCAGCCTTTCTCTTTGTTGAGGCAACTTAAAAGCGGCCCCAGAGCTGCCAGCAGAGTGACTGCACATGCTGAGGAGATAATCTGCAGATCCTCCTTCCCTTTCGAGACCACAGCTTGATTTTCCAGGGCCGTCAGTCAGATGAAGACTTACAGAGGGCCTGTCAGCAGGGGCGTGCTAGGTGACAACGTGCTGCAGGGAGGGGAATTAAATGAAGATTAGTGGGGCAGAAGATCCTCACAAAGCCGAGTTCTCACGAGGGTGTGTGGAGAAAGGACACATGGTTATGAATTTATACATCGTCACAGCAGGTCTCCACCTATGGGTCAAGAATGGTCACTGCCATGGGAATAATAATAGCTACTTCAAAGGGCTGTTGTGAGGGCCAATGCGATCATGCTCAGCAGAGGCTGGCCTAAGTGCCTCAGACATAGTAAGTGCTCAATACATTTTGCTTTTATTATTAGCCATTACCAGCAAAGACCAAGGGAGGTGTGAGCTGCACAAGCCAAGCAGAAAAATTACTAAACATAGAATGCAGTTCTGGCTGCCTTTTCTCTTATGAATTTTGTGGAGGTAGGGGCCTCGGTGCACCGCCACAAACAATGGAAGTGGTCTTCTCATGTATTGAAAGTGTTACAGTCATGATTATTAATAGTACACAACCCAAATGGGGCTTTAAGAGATGATCTATTTTTTCCTCTACTTTCAAACAAATTGTTTTCTGCTCCATCCTACTCAAATCACCATCTATTCTCAGAGGCAACATAAGATTTGGGAACTGGAAAAGGCCCTCCCATGGGTTCACTTTCTAAATGATGTGACCTGGCGAAAGTAATGGAGATTCGTCTCCAGTGAGAGGAAGTGAGTTAGTGGCAGAACTGAGGCAAGGACTCTCAGACCCACTGCCCTCAGCAGGACCAGCCCATCTGCTTTCAGGACAAGCTGGAGACATGAAGTAACTCTTATTAGTCTTGCTAGGTGTGACATAGGACAGTGGGTATGCTTTATAAAGTTCTCTTCCGTTAGAAATATTTATAGAAGCATTTACACATGAAACAACGTGGTGTCCATGATTTGCTTTAAAAATTGTGTGTGTGTGTTTATGAAAATAGATGAAACAAGATTAGCAAAATGTGGAAAACTGGGTTATGAGTATGTGGGAGTTCATTATACCATTTTCTCCTGTGTGTTCATGAACATTTCAATAATGGAAAATTAAATAACAAAGGTATACATAAAACTTTGCACTGCATATATTCTTCTATAATCTTTTTGGATCAGGAAACTGTTCCTTGCAGCTAAGTCCTGACGTGGATGTTTAAGTCCACTTTTATGTCTATGGGACAACAGTAGAAAGAAATTGGGTTGGTCAACAGCCTCTGTAGCTGCACCAGCCTCCATATCCTTTTCCAGGCTGGGAGAAGAACATGTAGAGACTGAAAACTACACAGCACTTTGTCCTGTTGCCTTGATTTCATTTCTAATGATCTTAAAGGATAGGATGATATTTTGTCTATCAAAGAGCCAAATGGCTGAGAAATGGCTAAAATGGCCAAGAAAATCTGCTTCACAGAAAAGTGCTGTGTACTCCCAACTGTTCCTCCCAATCCTCCTCCTCATTGGGAGAAGTGGTCCCAGGTTTTCCATAGGACCCATAATTCTAACCCTAGATATCTTTAGGTTCCCTGAACCCTCTCCTTCTCAAGTTTTCACATATAAGTTCTTCTACATTGTACTTAAAATATTGCAAAGCTGAGAGTGAGGAGGAGGTGACAGACCTGGTTAGTAAACAGATGGCTAGAATCAAAGGCATGAGAGCAAAGTGCTCTGTGTTAGAAATGCAACCAATTGGATGTCTTATCTAACACACTTGCAGGTGACTATTTATTAATATGCACCTGGAGACAAATCTCCATTATTTTTGCCAGTGATGGACAGCAAAGGTATAGATTTTTTTTTTTTTTTTTTGAGACAGGGTCCCACTCTGTCACCTATGCTGGAGTGCAGTGGCATGATCATGGCTCACTGCAGCCTCAATCGCCCAGGCTCAAGAGATCCTCCTGCCTCAGCATCCCATGTAGCTGGGACTATAGCTGTGCACCACTGTGTCCAGCTAATGTTTAATTAATTAATTTTTGTAGACATGGGATCTCACTATGTTGCCCAGGCTAGTCTCAAACTCTTGGGCTCAAGTTATCTTCCTGCCTTGGCCTCCTAAAGCACTGGGATTGCAGGGGTAAGCCAACATGTCAGGCCAATACAGATATTTTTAAATGCAGGTAATTCCAAAAATATGTATCATTTGACTTCAGCTAAAAGCAACTTCCTGATAGGTAAGCTTTTCTTGAGAACCTCTCTGTGCCTGGCTCGCTGCTCCATGATCTCATTCATGCCCCAAAACAAGGTTGATACTGTGGTCTCAGAGCCCCAAAAGGTTCAAGAGCTTACTCAGGCCCACACGGCTCTAAGTGGCAGGATTGTTACTAAAACCCAGATTTTTCTGACTCAGAAGTCCATGCTCCATGCTTTTTTTATTTTTTAAGAGACAGAGTCTTACACTCCAGCCTGTGACCCGGGCTGAAGTCCAGTGGCACAATCACAGCTCATTACAGCCATGACCTCCCGGGCTCAAGTGATCCTCCCACCTCAGCCTCCCAAGTAGCTGGGACTACAGGCACACACCACCATACCCAGCTTAGTCCACACT
Source organism: Homo sapiens (assembly GCF_000001405.40). NCBI lineage: Eukaryota > Metazoa > Chordata > Mammalia > Primates > Hominidae > Homo > Homo sapiens. The sequence goes on from NC_000022.11 coordinate 28,115,337, forward strand.
CTTTTACCTTCTCCCTTCATCTGGAAATGTCGTCCAGTAAAAGACAGGCATGATTCTGTGCCCATTTCTTTTCCCTCACCATACACACAAATATTTGCATCATGTGCCAATTTCTTCTTTATTAACATTAGTATACTGCTGTGGCAAACCAAGCTCTTAGCAGCTGCATATGAACAGATTGATGGCCTGGCTAAATCTGTATCTAGAGAACAGAGAAGTACACATTAGATACAAGAAAATCCTAAAAGATTAAGAAATGTAGTAGGAGGATGCAGATGTAATCTGTGTGGGCATCACCTCTGGAGAACTCTTGCGCCATCGCACGTCTGTTCTGCCATCCTTTAACTTAATTACATCTGTCTCCTTTTTCTACTAAACCCACCAGGCTCAGCCTGTTCCTTGAAGGATAAGTGAAGTTACGAGCCTGTTATCTTCTTTTGCTTCAACAGCAGTTTAGGATGTCTTCAGTGACATTGAGAGTTTGGTGGCCACTTCTGTTCCAGATCCCAATTGCCCTTCCCTTCTGTTTCAACTCTGAGGAGCCTGCTATAATAAGGTTGGGAAATCTCTGTACCACCTCTCCCTCCTATAAGCTACACTCCATTGGACGCTATCTACCTTTTAAACCAACTTTGGAGGAAATAAAATGTAGTATTTTTGTAGAGACTACATTTTAGAGTCTAAATGTATTATTTATTTGCTATACATTTATTTCTCCAAATGCAGAGAAATAGGTTCTATTGCTCACCCCCACCCCTCAAGACTCCCCCTGATGCTAACTGGGAGCAGGGTCAGTTCCTCTTCAGTCCCCTCCCACCACCATCCCAAAGGCTTGGGCTGAATGAGCAGTGACGAGCCCACTGGAACCCACAAATATTCACTGCCTTCATGCATAGCCATCCTTCCCACTTCCCTTGGATACTTAAAGACTAAGACTGCAGGTGAATAGCTCAGAAATTCCCTGGGCCTGTGCCACTGTAAATCCTGAGGCAGTGGGGAAGATTAATTGTGCCATGAAGTAAGGGAAGTAATAATTAAACCTATTTAAAAAGAGGTGGCTGGAGAGGGGTGCTGGTGATAGATGATGAGGTAGGAAGTGCTAGGCACAGTCATCTCTAAAGGCTATGGCCGGGCCACTGGGAGAGACTTGGTGGGAAGCCCAGAGCAGAGTGAAAAATATGCTGGGCCTGCCTGGCCAAGCCCCGCCATTAGTCACTGTTTGGAAAAGTCAGAGTGTGCCTGGTTTTCATTCTGGATCACAATAAGAGGTGGGAGGCAGCCTCACAAGTTAGCAATGCAGGGAATGTTACAAGGAGTTAGCTTCAGTATGAAAAAAACATTTGTTTAGAGGCATGGGATAGAATCACTGAAATGCTGAGACAACTGTTCCTTCTCCTCCCTTGAGCTAAGACCCTGAAAGCTGAACCAGTACCATCTCCTTGGAGCACCTTCTGAGGGTCCCTCTAGCCTACAAAGTGTAGTCAAGTGGAATTTGTGCGCTTTCCTGATTCAGGCCCAATCCAGTCTTCCTATGCCAGCCACAGAGCAGTCCCATACTCCCTTCTGCTCAATCCTACCCTGCCTCTTCTGCCTGTGAGTATCCTATTCACTTGGCTTGGATTACCTTTCTTGCTCATCTGCAGTAGACTTTACCAATGCTCCCTGCTATCTGGATCTCTTCCACGTTCAGGTATGTATTTCCCACTCGTGAGAAGTTAGGCATGGCAAGTGACTTGCTTTATCCAGTGAAAAGTAATGAGAAATGATTGTGTTACTTCCAGACAGAAGCGTTGAAGAGCTGAAGTGCAGTATTCCATGTTCTCTCTTCCTCTGTCTCATCAACTTGCAGAAGCTATGTATTGTATTCCAGATGGTACAGCTATAGGAAGACGGAGCTAAGGCAGGCTTAGATTAGTGTGTTGCCCCTAAGGATTGCATGGACCTGTGGTAGGCTTTGTATGAATATAATACTTTGTTGTATTAAGCCACTAAGATTTATGGGCTGTTACTCTATTAGCACCTAGCACATCCTGATAGATGTGCCCTCCAATATAAACCCTCCCAGCCCTTGTCACAGCCTACAATTACAAATCATATTCTAACAAAGTCTGTGTGAGACAGACGTCTATTAACAGAAGTTTCCCAAGGAGCTTTTGAGCCATCCATGCCTCTGGATGCTCTAAATTCTAGCCCTGGATCTAGGGAGACCACAAAAACCTGTAAACTTGAACCAAATTACCTTGGACCTACACAGAATTGTGGGTTATCATGGTGCCCTCGAGTTAGTTAATTTGCTCTTGATTAAAGATTGCTGTTAGCAAAAGCACACTGAAGTCTACTACAATCTTTGCTGTACAATTGTATTGATACCATACATTTTGTCACCAGAACCCCCCTATTTAAATTCTCTCTTGAGAAATTTCTTTTAGAATTCAGCTACCCTTTCCCTGAGGAATGCTAGGCTCCCATCTTTTGGATAATAACAATTGTGAAAAAAATAGTTAGAAAGAATGAATAAAATCAGTATAGTAGTTGATAGCACAACAGGGTGACTGTAGCCAATAATAATTTAATTGTACATTTAAAAATAACTAAAAAGAGTATAATTGGATTATTTGTCACACAAAGGATAAATACTTGAGGGGACAAGTACCCCATTTACCCCGATGGTGATTATTACGCATTATATGCTTGTATCAAAATATCTCATATAATCTATAATTATATACAACTACTATGTATCCATAAAAATACAAAATTAAATTAAAAAAAGAATTATGGGCCAGGAGCGGTGGCTCACACCTGTAATCCCAACACTTTGGGAGGCCAAGGCGGGTGGATCACCTGAAGTCAGGAGTTCGAGACCAACCTGGCCAACATGGTGAAACCCCGTCTCTACTAAAAATACAAAAATCAGCTGGGCATGGTGGCATGCACCTGTAATCCCAGCTACTCAGGAGGCTGAGGTGGGAGAATCACTTGAACCCAGGAGGCGGAGGTTGCAGCAAGCCGAGATCACGCCACTGCACTCCAGCCTGGGTGACAGAGCAAGACTGCATCTCAAAAGAAAAAAAAAAAAGAATTATGTATATAGTCAAGGACAGACACTCAGTCAATGACAGACTGTAGATACAACAGTGGTCCCATAAGATTATAATACCATATTTTTAGCATACCTTCTCTATGTTTAGATACACAAATATTTATCATTGTGTTAAACATTTCAGTACAGTACCCTCCTATACAACTTTGTAGCCTAGGAGCAGTCAGCTATATACCACGTAGCCTAAGTGTGTAGTAGGCTATCCTATCCAGGTTTGTGTAAGTGCACTCTGATGTTCACGCAATGAAGAAATTGCCGAATGATGCATCTCAGAATGTATCCCTATTGTTAAACGACACATGACTATATTTCTTTCTTTGCTTCAGCCACCAAGAAGCTCTGGCTTAAATATGAAACTCTACTATAACAACTATATTAGCCCTTATATGCTGCATGTTTGGGCTCTTTGATCTTGATTTTCTATTTCTATTATATCATCATTTGATATTAGAAGTTAAATAAATCCTTTATGGAATGAAACAAGTTATAAACAATCAAGCAATCAAAAAATTTTATATCTGTTGCATGCTCAGCTGACTTTGCCTTGGTAATTGGTGTGTCCCCTGAGCCTGCCATTTCTCAACTTTGCTGCCTAAGCTCTGCAATTTGTTTCATGGGTCTTATTCTACAAGATTTAATAATCCAGAATTGCCAGTTATGTGGCACAGTGCTTTATGGTTGAAAGGCACTGTGAGCAGAATCAGAAGATCCCTATTCCCGGCTCTACTACTTCATGTCATGTGCTCTTAAGAAAGTTACTATTAATACTTCTTCTGGCCTCAGGTTTTCATCTATCTCAGAAGGCTATTATGAAGATCAAATGAAACAGTTTCTAGGGTATTGGTATTATTCCAAACAGCTTCAATTACCATAGTCCTCAATATTACAAATAACAAAATAAAAAACTGCCACTCCCTCTAGCATTATTTAGCTAGAGTACAACTCACTGTCTTAGATGCCATCATATTTCCTAAGTAAGTATCAAAGGGAACTTGACACCAGATCATCTCACCTAAGGACAGTGCAAAACTGTGGGCTCTGAGAATACTATATCAAAGCTCTGCTTACGTGGGGATGGAACCCATTTCCTTAAGTACCAGAGTGTGTAGGTAGGGGAGGAAGTGCCCTTACAGGGCCTTTGCAAATGTGGTGGGGGCATTTTTGGTTGTCAAAATATCTGGGAGACCACACTGGCAAGTGTGGGTGGGGCCAGGGATACTAAACAACCTTCACCATGTGGGAAAATCCTACACAATGAAAAGACATCACACCCAAAACGACAATAGCACCACATTGAGTAACACTGGATGCTCTGAGGTAATTTTACACTCTGGCACTACTAATTAATAATCTGAAGAAACAACTTCATTTTTGTACTGTCATCCAGCTGAAGTTGTTAAAATAAATCATCAAAGCTAATTAATTGGGAAGTCTTTTGGCTGGTATCCAATAATTTAAGCAAAAGACTGAGAAACTGAAAACCTTACTTTAAAAATCTCGTTTACTGACTGATCCTCCTCACCAATTTATCTGTAAAATGTAATGCATTAAGAAGACAGATTAAAAAACACCCAAGTATGGGCTTCCTCCTAATTTCACAATGATTATTAATAAGGGAGAGGGGAACCCTTCCTAATAATAAAAAACAGTAGTAGCAATAATAATAATAATGATAATGATAATATACAAAATTCTCTTTTGGTGATCTCATGACACGGCACAAAATACCAAGTATGTGACTCCTAAAATAGGCAATTCTAGCTCTGAGTTCTCTCCTAAGCCGTAGTCTCATAAATCTAACTGCTTTCTGAATATGTCTACCTGGATATACCTCAGATACCCTAAAATTCAAAAATGTTTGCTATATTGTTGAGCTTAATTAAATTTAACATTTTAGGGCTCTCATCTGCTTTCAACGCCCTGGGACCTTCATTATCTTATTTGAGTCTAGGGACAAAGGCAGGGTGGCTGGGTCTGCTTTTGAAGACACTCACAGAGGCCATGTGGTCACTAAGATTCAGAGCTAGGACCTGAACTCACACCCACCACCTCCCAGCCCAGCACATTTTTTTCCCTGGGTTACTTTGCCTCTCTGAGAGTCTGAGACAGTAACTGCTACAGAATTCAACTGTGCAACCCAGGGTGAAGACAAAGCCCATCCTCCAGAGCAGCATCATGCCTTCAGCCCAGGGAGGATAAGTGGACAGCATGGTCTGCCCAGACAAATAGAAAGCCCTGAAAATGAACAGGAAAAGGGAGAAACAGCAGAAGAGCTGGTCAATAGAGCAGCCCTTTAAAATGATTTTACCTTGCAAATTCAATTGCAAAGACAGATGGATGTTTTAGCAAGGCTGGAGAGCAAATTATGAAATCTGTGTTCCCAAGGCAATCGGGTCTGAAAAGCTTCCTTTTAAAAATTCACACTGGATGGAAATTCAAACTCTATGATTGTGTGAAGTGTTCTAGCTAGATTAAGCATAATGCTATCAAAACAAGTGATTCACATATTCTGCTCATTTTTCTGTTAGTATATGGGCTTTTGGTTAGGGCAATTTCAAAAACACTGAAAGGAGCAAAATGGGATTAAAATTGTGAATCCATTTACTGCTTTCAGTTTTTCTTCCGTTTCTGTTTAATTGAGAGGAACTTACATAGGAAATTGGAGGCTCCTGAGGCTGGCTCACTTATGCACATCACAGAGATGCTATTTAAACATGTTTTCCTAGAAAGCTCTTGTAATCCACTTTAAATCTGAAACCCCATTTACCTCTTTATTTGAGCTGTAGACTCACAGGATTACAGAAACCTGTGAAAATCACTTGAACTTGGGCTTCCCAAGACATTTGTTGGTTCACAGTGAACCTCAACCCTACTACATACATCAGGAAGGGTGGGTTCCTTTGCCTAACTATTCTGCCAGACCTTCTTGTCTACATGCTTATCTCCAGCCAACCACTTCTTCCATGCATATGTAAATAAAGAAACCACCCAGTTTTTCTCCCTCTGATCACTTACAGCAACGAGTGAGGACACTAAGGCAGAATATCACTAGTCTCAAGACCTAGAGCAGACAACTTTACTGCTTCTGTGGCTTTCTTTTAGTTTTTGTTGTTGTTGTGCATGCTTTTGAATTATTGAGATTGTATAGCAAATTCAAAATTGAACTAAAATTGAAATTTAAAAAATTTCTGTTATGAAAATACTAAATTAAAAAATGCTTGTGGCAGACAGCAAAGGCTGGTGCACCCAATATTCATTTTCAGCTTCCTCCTCCTCTCCTGCCTGCCTCTGCCTATGGGGCTAGAAAGCCAAGTATTTACCTTCCCAGCCTTTCTTACAGCTAGGGTTAGTCAAGTGACACTACTGTGATCAATTAGACAAAAGCAGAACTTTTTTGGGATTTTAGGGTAAGCGTTTGTTTTTGTTTTGTTTTGTTTATTTTGTTTGAGACAGAGTCTTGCTCTATTATCCAGGCTGGAATACAGTGGCACGATCTTGGCTCACTGCAAACTCCGCCTCCCAGGTTCAAGCGATTCTCCTGCCTCAGCCTCCTGAGTAGCTGGGATTACAGGAGCACGCCACCACGCCCAGCTAATTTTTGTATTTTTAGTAGAGACAGGGTTTTACCCTGTTGGCCAGGCTGTTCTCGAACTCCTGACCTCAAGTGATCCGCCATCCTTGACCTCCCAAAGTGATAGGATTGCAGGTGTGAACCACCGCGCTCAGCCTGCTTTTTTGATAAAGGGATACAGAAGCAGCTCCCTTTTACTTATTCGAATGAGTCATGAGGTTTGAAGCTTCAGCAGCAATGTTGTGACCATGAGGCTTAAGAGGCGAGAATATAAGAAAGGCCAAGAGGACTGCAGAGAAATTGGTTTTATTATCCTTAAACCTCTGAACCAATGTCAGGTGCCTCACAATTATTGTTTTGTGAGAAAAATAAGCCCTTATTTATTTAAACCATTGTAAGCCAGATTTTCTGTTTCTTATAGTCAAAAGATTCAATGTAGAAAATATTTAAAAATACAGAAAAAATCCCTATGTATCTATCTTACCTGATGACTGAAGATAATCATTGTTAACATTTTAGAGTAGTTCTGATAATCTTTATGGGTTTTGCTGTTGTTAGTGGTTTCATTTTGTTTTGATATGGGTTGTTTTGTTTACATTACTGAAATCATATTATATGCACTGATTTCAAAACATAAATATAATAAGACCAGGTTCTTAAAGGCAGATAATAATAAAAAAGACTTTGATGACAACTATTTGCCACTAGGTCTTTGCTTAGATTTAGATCATTCGTTATAGATTTAAGGGATGTATACAATCATTTTCTCAAAGTTTCTAGGTAATAAAAATGATCACTATATTGTTGTCTACAGCTCTCTTTTGTAGAATAAAAATTGTTTTAGTTTAGTAACTCTTCTAATAATATTCTCACCATGTAAAAATACCTAAGCCGTTCTTAGGAAGTCCTGGGACAGAACCACACCAGTTATGGCTTTTGGTTGTATTACACTGGACAAGCGATTTTATTGAAATGGGGTATGAAGGATGTAGACAAAGAAACACATCTTCTGGTACTAACAAAGGAGCCAAAGAAGGGCAGCCAACGGGAAGAGCAGGCCCAAACTTCTCTTGGCAGCAAAAGCCATCTTACAACACATCAGCTCACTGAAATATGGGAGCAAGATGAGAAACGGAAGAACTTCAAGCCCAGTATCAATGCTTCCCATCCTTTCCTTCTCTTTGTTCTTTCCTTCTGTATTCTACTGATTCAGTTTCCCACTGTTTCAGGTTTTTTTTTTTGTTTGTTTGTTTGTTTGTTTTTGAGATGGAGTCTCACTCTCGTGCCCAGGCTGGAGTGCAATGGCACGATCGTGGCTCACTGCAACCTCCGCCTCCCGGGTTCAAGTGATTCTCCTGCCTCAGCCTCCCAAGTAGCTGGGACTACAAGCGCATGCCACCACACCCAGCTAATTTTTGTATTTTTTAGTAGAAATGGGGTTTCACCATGTTGGCCAGGCTGGTCTCAAATCCCTGACCTCAGGTGATCTGCCCGCCTCAGCCTCCCAACATGTTGGGATTATAGGCGTAAGCCACCACACCCAGCCTCCCGCTGTATCAGTTCTTCTCAATTCTACCTTTATTGCACACTTTACATTTTAGGGTCCTTACGATCTTCCTTCTATCATCCATCTTTTTTTATTCAACCCCTTTCTCCCGTATCAACCTGCCTTCTCAATATTTTTACTTCTGACTGGGGGCGGTGGCTTATGCCTGTAATCCTAGCATTTTGGGAGGCCGAGGCGGGTGGATTGCTTGAGCTCAGGAGTTTGAGACCAGCCTGGGCAACATGGTGAAATCCCGTCTCTACTAAAATACAAAAAATTAGCCAGGTGTGGCGGCATGTGCCTGTAGTCCCAGCTACTCGGGAGGCTGAGGCAGGAGAATTGCTTGAACCCGGGAGGCAGAGGTTTCAGTGAGCTGAGATCACACCACTGCACTCCAACCTGGGTGACAGAGCGAGACTCCATCTCCAAAAAAAGAAAAAATATATATTTTTTACTTCTACTTCATGTCTTTTTGTATCCTACTAAGGATGCCAAACTTTTATACATTTTTCCCTTCATTCTTACAGTAAGCAACTTTTAAAGGTCTGCTTGTCTTCTGAGAATCACTGTTGCCTCTCCCTTATTCTGTAGCAATTTTTCACTTATCTCTCTTTGTTGTTGTTGTTGTTGTTGTTGTTGTTGTTTGTTTTTTGTTTTTTTCCTGTTTGACCTCAAAGAAAGCAAGCTGTATCTAGGCCCAATATTTACCCAAAACAAAGTATGTGGCTTGTGCTCCAATGGAGTTTGGCCCCATTCTCCAAGTGGTTGGGTGCTAGCCAAATCCCTGTCTCAGATCTATAGCTAGATGATAGAATGATAATATATATAGTGCTCAGCTCAATTCCCAGTATATAATAATATCCATTCTAATAGCTAAAATTATTGAAACCTATGTGCCAGGCACTATTCTAGGCATTTTACATTTGTTAATTTAATCTCACAAGTGGGTTGTTAAATGCTGTAATTATCCTATTATTTCAGATGAGTCAGAGATGCTACAGAACTTGCCGTAGGTCACACATCTAGAAAGGGCAAGCCCAGGAAGTCTGATTCTATAGTTCAAGCTCTTAACCAGTACACTCAAATAGCATTAAATGACATCTGGGCAATAAACCAAGGCTTCTGTAAGCAAGATACAGGAGAGAAGGTAGGATTTAGGGAGACACTATCTATGTCCAGTGATTTACAAATCATCTCTAGATAGCTCACCTGAGACCTAGTCATGGGTCTCCAGTTGTCTCAGGCTGTCACTTCATGCTCCTAGAACTTGGAGTTGAGGTAGAAGGTAGAGGTAATTTTTTAGGACAAAGTCCTATAGGTTCCCCAATTCAGAAAAGATGTATTCTAAACTGGGCTCACTGTGCCTAACCAGTCTCATTTTCCATGTCTCACCAACATGAACTCTCTATTCCAGCTAGCTTTCTTCTGTGTTCTTCGAGGAATAAACTGAATACATTGCATACCCTAGAAAAATAATAGTGGCGATAATGATGACTGAGTGTTACATATACCTTTCCTCCAAAGAGCTCACCATGCTCTCATGCCTCCCCTTTATCATTACCGTATTACTTGGAGGGATGCAAAGTTACTAATCATTTGTTTTCCAGATGGAGAATTGAAGTACAAAGAAGGGTCACAACCTACCCAACATTAGAGAGCTGGCTACTGTTGGTATGAACCTGTTTCTTAGCTTAGCTCCTTAGGATCAGGTTCTCTGAGCCCTCCAGAGTGAAAAATACCTCGATTTATTAATCTCTGTTGGCTTGGACTTAATTTTCTAAAAATGCCTTTATCATTCTTTCAACAAACATTTACTGTAGTACTACAGGCGGCATCAGGGATAAAAGATGATGAACACGGCTTCCTGCTCACAACCTCAAGGCAGACCCAATCACAACTCAGGGTAGTAACTGTAGAAATGGAGGCCCAAACACAATATGCAACACCCCCAGCCATCAGCTCACTGTAATTACCACCAATGCTGCCAAAGGCAAAAGAACAAAGAATGGTTTTACATCTTGAACTTTGGAAACACAAAACAGTACAGATCAATACTGTGTAGGCTAACAACAAAAGGATTCATATTTCCTTTATGATGTGCTTCTTATAGGCAGTAGTTCATAAAGATCTGCTTGAAAAAGAATTATCACCAATCATTAATAAGACAAGCCAACTGGCTGAACAGTGATTTTTTAAAATCATTAATAAAATTTATTCAGCATAGAAATATGTTCATAAGTAATTCAGTAAAGCTTCATCTGTTAAATAAAAAAAATGTTGCATAGCTCATTACAAAAAACTGGGTAAGAGACAAAAGAATGAGTTTTCTCTTATGAGGCATCTGCATAAAGTAGGTGAAAAAAATACTACTCTGGGGGCTTAGAAACTGCACATACCCATCTACAATCCTTAGAGGATCTGGAAAAAATGGAAATTAGAAAGCGGCAAAGTCACTGTATTCTCTATTACTGAAAGACACTGTACCCCTGAGGCAAAAAACAACATATGAAACGAGAGGATGTTTTGGTCCTAGAGAGGATTGGAGAGGACTAAAAGAGAATGAATTTGGCTCTGTGCTCCAAATAGATATGAAATAATTTACTGCAGCATTACATGGTTTCTCCATTGACAAGAGTCCCTCTCCTTAATATAATAAAATAATCGAACCACAGAATTGTTTAATTACTGGGCTGGACCCTGGATATGTCATTCAGATTGATCAAAATCATCACAAACGTAACTATGGCTGGGGTTGGCCACGGAGAACTACGAGTTTCCAGTGTTTTATAATCCAGTGTTGAGTGGCAATTTCACAATCTCACGGTATTTGAGGTTAATCCACACTCTTCATTCTTCCAATCCTGCTCTCTACAATGGTTCACTTAAATACAGAGTGACTCTAGTCTAAGTAGTTGTAAAGACTGTACTTCCACAGAAATGTCAGTTCTCAAGGTCTGCTGGACTGAATACCCACTCTCTAATCCCCACTATGTTGATTTAGATGGAAAAAGGAGTTCTGTGCCTTATTCTTCTAGTGGGAAAGGCAGTCATTATACAAATATAGGGTCAGCAAAGTAACTGAAGTGATCTCCTAGTTCTGTGTTTTCTGAAACTTTCTCCACAGAGCAGCTGTGTCTCATAAGATGTTAATACTGCAGATGTCCTGAGAAGTATGTGTCTTCCATGGTCAAGTGAGTATGAAACACTGGATTAAACAAAGTTAATACACGACTTCTCAGAGCCCTTCATATACTAATATGCAGAATGAATTTCCTGGAGAGGAATCTAGAATTCCAAATTATTTGATTGCAGGGATATGACAGCCTTATCCACATGTCCTGGAAGAAGAGTTCTATAGAACACAATTTGTGATTTAGCTTGCTCATGCTGGCCTCGAACTCCTGGGGTCAAGCAATCCTCCTGCCTCAGCCTCCTGAGTAGCTGGGACTCCAGGCCACTGTGCTAGGCTCCAAATTTTAAAAATATCTTAATAAATTAAAGCAAAACACTTATTGTTTAGATTGATTCTTAAAAGGTTTGACATAACTATAACCATTGCAAAGTCAGGCCCTGTTAAAAATATTTGGTACAGACAGAAAGAATCAGGCCCTACTAAAAATATCTAGTACAGACAAGACTGGGCCTTGGAGATACAAGTAGCTTTTCTGTACACTAGGCTAGAAAAAGGCTGTCATGAACTGGAATCTTAAGTCATTTTGCTAAAACTTTGATATATGAGAACATTTATAACTAAGGGTCACTAAGAAGTGTAAGGCATGATTTCACTGGGTGCAGGGATAAAGCCTGGGGAACACAGCATTACACTTACTCCAGTGTAATGGTAGCAACAACCAACCAACCTCCCCTAATCCTTGCTCCCCTCAACAATAAGGAAGTTGTGCTTTCCTCAGTGCTTCTCTAGATAATACTGTCCAATAACATAGCTGAGCACTTGAAATGTGGCTAGTCCAAACTGAGATATGCAGTAATGTAAAACAGACACAGGATTTCCAAGACTTCGTATGAGAAAAGGAATGTAAAATGTCATTAATTTTCATATTGATTACATGGTGAAATAATATTTTTATATACTGGGTTAATAAAATATATTATTAAAATTATTTCATCCTTTTTTAACTTTTAAAATGCAGCCACTAGAAAAATTTAAATTACGTATGTGCCTCACATTTTCTTTCCATAGGCTGTCACCTAGGCTGGAGTGCAGTGATGTGATTATGGCCCACTGAAGCCTCAATCTCCAAGACTCAAGTGATCCTCCTGCCTCAGCCCCTCTCCAAGTAGCTGGGACTACAGGTTCAAATCACCATGCCTGGCTAATTTTTTTTTTTTTTTTTGGGGGTGGGATTTCATTATATTGCCCAGACTGGTCTCAAACTCATGGGCTTAAGTGATCCTCCTGCCTCAGGCTTCCAAAGTATTGGAACTACAGGTATGAACCACTGTACCTAGACACCTTCTTCATTTCTAGATACCTGTAACTTAGCTCAGAGTCTGGCTCACATCAAAGCCTCTGTAAGTCTGTGTTGAACTAACTTAAATTTCAAGCGTTGGCTGTTCAGGGCTAGACCCTCTTTCCTGTTAGAAAGTACAGTAGGCTGGGCACAGTGGCTCACGCCTATAATCCCAGCACTTTGGGAAGCTGAGGCAGGAAAATTGCTTGAACCCAGGAGGCAGAAGTTGCAGTGAGCCGAGATTGCGCCATTACACTCCAGCCTGGGCAACAGAGCAAGACTCCGTCTCAAAAAAACAAAAAAAAAAGTACAGTAAAGAGAAAAGAACATGGGCTATTTTGAATTATTTTGAGTTGAATCACAGTTCTAGCAAACTGCTTAATTTCTGTGAACCTCAGTTTGCTCACCTAAGAAACACGGTAAGGTAAGGATTAAATGAATAAGTAAAGCACACAGCCAATTCCTGTCAGCAAATTATGGAGCAGGATAGAACTTTGGTATCTCCTTATTTTTTTATTTTTGTTTTTGAGACAGGGTTTTGTTCTGTCACCCAGGCTGGAGTACAGTGGCTCAATCTCGGTTCAATGCAACCACTGCCTCCCAGGCTCAAGTGATCCTCCTAACCTCAGTCTCCCCAGTGGCTGGGACCACAAGCACATACCACCATGCCCGGCTAATTTTTATATTTTTTGGTAAATATGGGGTTTCACCATGTTGCCCAGGCTTGTCTCAAACTACTGGGCTCAAGCAATCTGCCCATCTCAGCCTCCCAAAGTACTGAGATTACAGGTGTGAGCCACTACACCTGCCCTGGAATTTATTTTACACAATTTATCTAACACTGAGACTCACTTGCAGACCTAAACACGAGATTTTAAGTAAGTCGTACCTGACAATGAGAGCTAGATTGTGTAAGAAGTAAGACAACTGAGGAAATCATCATGTTCAGAGAACTGTGCTCATAAAGATTGCAAAAGATGCCTAACTGCCTTGGACATTTAGCCAGATCTAGACAGCCATATTCAATCTCTCTCTCCCTGAACATGATGTGATTGTTCCATGTAACAAGTACCCAAATGCTTTAGGTACTTACGCCACTACTCCCAATGACAGCAATCTCAAAGTTTACCCATATAATAAGTGAAGGGAGGCAGATGAACTGTTCCCGATGGAAATCCCATTAACAGGGGCAAACTAAAGGTTAGCCAGTCCATAAACCAGAAATTCTCAACCTTGGGGTAGACACTGGGATTGCTGAGAAAGATTTTTAAAATCCCAATGTCAGATCTAGATCCCAGACCAATTAAATCCGAATCTCTGAGAGTGGGCATCAGTGTTTTGTAATGCTCCCCAGGTAACGCCAAAATGCAGCCACAGCTGAAATCCACCTTTGTAATCCCTTTCTCATTCCAAGATGTTCTCAAACACTTGCAAAGAGCAGGAGCTTGGCGGTCAAGGATTTAATCTGGCTCTGGCATTTCCTGGCTGTGTGATCTTAAGCAAGTTACTTACCCTCTTGAACTTCATTCTCCTCAACTGTAAAGTGGAGCTAGTATTACCTCCCTCACGAGGTGTGGTAAGGATGAGGTGAATACTTAGGTAGAGTGCCTGGCGCACAGTGTAGACTTAAAGAGCAGTAGTTGCTACCATTATCATTATTCTCTTCACCTCAGGGGAAATGATTCCTGCATGTGGTAAGGTTGATGTCACTTTTTCCTATGTTTGCACTACATTGGCGGGGGAGATGATGCACGTAAAAGTATTTTGTAGACAGAGGCTCCTCTGAACTTAATGTGAGTAAGAATCACAGGGGACCTTGTTAACATACAGTGGCTGATTTCCTAGGTCTAAGGTGAGGCCAAGGGAGAGTCTGAATTTCTAACAAACTCCCAGGAGATGAGATGCTGTTGATCCATGGGCCACACTTTGAGTACCAAGACTGTAGGTGGTAAAGCTCTTTACAGAAGTAAAGCACTACTATTATTTCCTTAACATGGTTTTGGGAAATACCACCATATTACCTATTTTGTTTAATCTTCTGTTTATGAGACTTTATAGCAAGCTTAAAACCTACAAAAGAACCACCTAAATCAGATATCCTATATGGAAAATTCAAAGTTTAAGCAGATTCCTTTTACATTATAGTCTTTCCTTTCTCTTTTTTTTGCCATTAGTCAACATTTGACTCAATTTAATGAACACATACCTAAATCACAAGTGTGGAAAACACACTTGTCTTCCCCCACTCCCCAAATTAAAGATATTGCTCCCTTTGCTCCCAAGGAAAAGCAGAAGATTCATTACAGTCTCTCGGGAGCTTGAGGCTTCTTCCACCACTTTATAACAATAAACTGCCACTTTGATGCTTCAGAAACTTCCTAGTTGTATCTTCATAATGATATGGTGTTTCTCAATAATGTCAATAATTTTGTTTTAGCATAAAATTATTAGCATAATCCTGTGAGTACCCTATCAGAATGATAGTGACATTTTGTTTTATACATATGTATCTAGCTTTACATATAAATATGTCTTCAAGAAATTGGGCATGAAACACTTCTGGGTGAATGCAGATGCAGAAAGAATGCAGATGCAGAAAGATAGCTGGCTATTTAAGGTTTTCTATGAAAGATAATTTTGAAAACCAGCCTTGAAAGTCTTTTGGAAAATCTGGAGATTCCTTTTGCTGCATGAGTGGACTGGATCACCTCAATTGTTGATCACTTCTATAAGGTTCCTTTCAGTCCTGTGGGTTCTGTTTTCTGGGTTTTTTGTTTGTTTTTGTTTTTTACTTTTTACTCTGGTGACAACTTTATCTGTCACCAGAGAAGAGCAGACAGGATAAAAATTAGTTTAGATACTTTTTTCCCAAACTACAATATATAATTCTAAAACATATATAGCTTCTGCCTGAGGAGCCAAACGTCATTTCTGTCAATTACTCAGAATATACTCAATTATCCCTTTTATCAAGCCCTTCTGTCATGAGGTGATTCTGACTAACAATGGCAATAGCCAGGGTAGCCAGCAAATACTGGTGATGCCTACTATGGAAGCATGTATCTCAGTGCTAGGTGGTGGAGATGTTCAGGCAAGGACGGTGAATTTAGAAATCCAATAAGGCCTTTTTTATTTGAAAGGTTTATCTATTAATTTAGTATTATGTTGAAAGGCTTGGTTCTGTTTCTAAATTAAAAACACATTTTTTTTTCTCTAAGGTACATGCTGTTGGCTGAAGATCAGTCCCCTATTTAATTTTGTGAGATACAGAGATGTTGCTTGACTTGAGATGGGATGTCCCAATGAATCCATCATAAATTGAAAATATTTTAAATCAAAATGGTCATTTTGTAGACAATGATGGGCTATGAAAAACAAAATACAATATCCAGAAATCACTGGCAACACACTTCTGTACACCGTAGCATGCTGGTTGTTTACCATCATGATCTCACAGCTGACTGGGGGCTGTGGCTCACTGTTGCTGCCCAGCATCTCAAGAGCATATCATACCACTTATCACTAGCCTCGGAAAAAAATCAAAATTTGAACAATGGTTTTTACTGAATGTATCACTTTTGAACCACTGTAAAGTCGAAAAATCTAAGTCAAGTCATCCTAAGTCAGGGACTGTCTGTATATGTACTAACTCTGTGACCTTGGGTATATTATTTGCCCTGTCAAAGTGTCAGTTTCTTCATCTGTAAAATGGTGGTAATACGTATTAGAAAGGGTTGTTTTATGGATTAAGTGAGATCCAGATTCAGGGTTTAGCACAGCTCCTGGAATGGAATCAGGCTCAACAAATGGCTACTATTATAATTTTTATTATTAATATATAGCCTGAATATTCAATTGTTTTAATGATTATTTTCTTCTGCCCTTGAACTAATCCCTAAAACAGCACTGGAGAGGACACCACTCATTATTCAAAAGATTCAAAAAATTCAATTTCAGAAATTTAAGGCCATTATGCCAAGTAAGCCACAGGCAAACCATTGGTGTTGTGATACCTTGTTGACCACAATTCCCAACAGTTATACTCTAAGAAAAAAGAAAAATGCTCAGCTATCTGCAATAAAAAGAGAGACAAGGAAGGAATGAGAAGATACAAGACAATGAACTACAAAAGTTGAGATCTTGGAGTCTAATACGTGAATTGCTATAGATACATATACTTGAAGGTGTCCTGTTGGAGGCCATTATGCATTATCAGATTTGTAGCTTCATAAAGTTACACATTTTAATAAGACAAATCTTTTGATATGGAAAGACTGAATGGAGAGACACATTTATCACCAGTCATCCAGCAGTCTGAATATACTTCAATTAGCACAATTCTCAGCCTGGTGACTTCAACAGGACGCTGATTATGGTACAGCAATATACTAAGCCAGGAGAAATGCGTTCTCTTCTTGGCTCAGTATAAATCTGTTGTGTGATCTCATGTTAGTCAAAAAGCCTCCCAAAACATTACTTTTTTCATCAGTAAAGTAAGAGTTAGACTGAATATTTTTCAAAAAACCCTTTCCAGTTCCAACATTCCATGGTTCTAAGATTCCTTTAACTCTAGCTTATACCAATGTTCTGATTTTCTAACACGACTCTGACAATATCAGGAAGTACCCCACTGAGAGCTTTATTCAGATCATTGGCTAACTGTACTAAAGGGCAGAGGCTACCTCAAATCCTTCAGCAAATACGACTGTACCAAGTAGTGTAGTGAAACCACTTACACAGCAGGTGCTACAATAACATTATTTCCTTCAATGCCATTTTGTTAATGAGTAAAAATAATTGGCTGCTTCAAACATTGTTTCTCTAAAAGTCACAGTTTCCAAGAACCCTATAGACAATGTTAAATAAGGACTTACTATATATGAGATAATATAAATATATGAGACATTTGTAATGGCCGGGCATGGTGGCTCACACCTGTAATCCCACCACTTTGGGAGGCGGAGGTGGGCAGATCATTTGAGGTCAGGAGTTTGAGACCACCTGGCCAACATGGTGAAACCCCGTCTCTACAAAAAATACCAAAATTAGCCAGGTGTGATGGCGCATGCCTGTAATTCCAGCTACTCAGGAGGCTGAGGCAGGAGAATCGCTTGAAACCAGAAGTTGGAGGTTGCCGTGAGGTGAGATCGTGCCATTGCACTCCAGCCTGGGTGACAGAGTGAATGTGACTCTGTCTCAAAAATAAATAAATAGGGAGTTCCAAGATGGCCAAATAGGATCAGCTCAGGTCTACACCTCCCAGCGTGAGCAACACAGAAGATGGGTGATTTCTGCATTTCCAACTGAGGTACCAGGTTCATCTCACTGGGGCTTGTTGGACAGTGGGTGCAGCCCACCGGGCGTGAGCTGAAGAAGGGTGAGGCATCACCTCACTCAGGAAGTGCAAGGGGTCAGGGAATTCCCTTTCCTAGCCAAGGGAAGCTGAGACAGACGGCACCTGGAAAATCGGGCCACTCCCACCCTAATACTGAACTTTTCCAACTGTCTTAGCAAACGGCACACCAGGAGATTATAACCCGCGCATGGCTCAGAGGGTCCCAAGCCCACAGAGCCTCCCTCATTGCTAGCACAGCAGTCTGAGATCAAACTGCAAGGCAGCAGCATGGCTAGGGGAGGGGCGCCCACCAATGCTGAGGCTTGAGTAGGTAAACAAAGTGGCTGGGAAGCTTGAACTGGGTGGAGCCCACCATAGCTCAAGGAGGCCTGCCTGCCTCTGTAGACTCCACCTCTGGGGGCAGGGCATAGCCAAACAAAAGGCAGCAGAAACCTCTGCAGACTTAAATGTCCCTGTCTGACAGCTTTGAAGAGAGTAGTGGTTCTCCCAGCACGCAGCTTGAGATCTGAGAGCGGACAGACTGCCTCCTGAAGTGGGTCCCTGACCCCTGAATAGCCTAACTGGGAGGCACCCCCTAGTAGGCGCAGACTAACACCTCACGCGGCCAGGTACCCCTCTGAGACGAAGCTTCCAGAGGAACGATCAGGCAGCAACATTTGCTGTTCAGCAATATTCACTGCTCTGCAGCCTCCGCTGCTGATATCCAGGCAAACAGGGTCTGGAGTGGACTCCAGCAAACTCCAACAGACCTGCAGCTAAGGGTCCTGAGTGTTACAAGGAAAACTAACAAACAGAAAGGACATCCACACCAAAATCCCATCTGTACGTCACCATCATCAAAGAGCAAAGGTAGATAAAACCACAAAGATGGGGAAAAAACAGAGCAGAAAAGCTGAAAGTTCTAAAAATCAGAGCGCCACTCCCCCTCCAAAGGAATGCAGCTCCTCGCCAGCAATGGAACACAGCTGGACGGAGAATGACTTTGATGAGTTGAGAGAAGAAGGCGTCAGACAATCAAACTTCTCCGAACTAAAGGAGGAAGTTCGAACCCATCACAAAGAAGCTAAAAAGTTGAAAAAAGATTAGACGAATGGCTAACTAGAATAACCAGTGTAGAGAAGTCCTGATGGAGCTGAAAACCATGGCATGAGAACTACATGATGAATGCACAAGCTTCAGTAGCCGATTCGATCAAGTGGAAGAAAGGGTATCAGTGATTGAAGATCAAATGAATGAAATGAAGCGAGAAGAGAAGTTTAGAGAAAAAAGAGTAAAAAGAAATGAACGAAGCCTCTAAGAAATATAGGACTACGTGAAAAGACCAAATCTACGTCTGACTGGTGTACCTGAAAGTGACGAGGAGAATGGAACCAAGTTGGAAAACACTCTGCAGGATATTATCCAGGAGAACTGGATAATTTTAGTTCTAAACTTTCCATCTGGTTTTTCTTTATATCTTCTACATCTTTGCTGAGACTATATTTCTGTGTGGAAGTTGTCCATTTTTTCCATTTGTTTCAAGCTTATTCATAATTGCTCACTCATGCATTCTTATAATGTTTACTTTAAAATCTTTGTCAGATCTTTTGAGCATCGGTATCATCTCAGTGTCAGTATCCATTGGCTGTCTTTTCTCATTAAATCTAAGATCTTCCTAGTTCTTGGTATGATGAGTGATTTTCTATTGAAACCTAGGTATTTTTGATATTATGCTATGAGATTTTGGATCTTACTTGAATGTTGTGTTTTATCAGGTCTCCTCTGACACCACTCTGTTGAGTGAAGTGAGGTAGGGGTGGGGGACTGCCATCCTGTTACTACCTTGGGGTGGAAGTCAGGTTCTCTACTTGGCCTCTGTTGAGGGAACTCAACACCAGTGAGCTCACCACTACGTCATTCTTTGGGTTCTCTTTTATGGGTAAGAAAATGCTTATTTATATTATAATAGGATTATTTACAAAATATGCACAATAACTTATTAAATCCATTAATGAATTAAATTTCAAAAATTTTACCCTCTAAATGACTTACACATAGCTTTGAATAGGCAGAGTTGTTGAGGAGTAAAACGCCAGAGCTAGGAGGAGTTTTAGAAGGCAAGTAAAGGAGAAATCCCAGGAAGGCTGTGTGGCAGACAGGAGAAGGAGTTCAAATAAGTCAAGTAAGAGGACAGGTCAACTGACTTGACATTTAGAAAATCACTGATGACTTTAGCAAAAATAAATTTAAAAGAATAGTGGTGGGGGGAAAGTCAGATTTCAGACAGTGGAGAAGTAAATAGAAGTTGAGGAAGTAGAACTTTGTAAAAGAGTACCTAAGAGAAGCAGGAAGAACATGTGAAGCCAAGTTGGAAAGTGAAGGGGAGAAAACACAGGGAATTCACATCTGATGTTTTCTCTTACCACTGTAATTGTTTATTATATTAGGGTCATTTCAAAGGAAAGATCAAGAAATCTTAGAAACACAGTAGATATATGAAATTAATACAAAAATATCCAAAATTAATTACCCTTATAACTATATCTTCCTAAGACTGATTTGAATGTACATATTATAAAGCAGTGCTCCTCAAACTACACTGATGAAGGGTCAGTTCTGGGGTTTTTTGTTTTTCACAATCAATTGCAGAATAATACTATTGTAAAACACAATAAAATATCACAGCAATGACCAGTTGCTATAAAAGTTTCAAAATGCTTACTATTTTTTGATAAAATAAAATTTCTAAGCAATGACTAGTTGCTATTAAAGTTTCAAAATGCTTACGTTTTGTTTTTTGGTATGGGGTCTCCCTCTGTTGCTCAGGCTAGAGTTCAGTGGTGTGATCATAGCTCATTCTAGCCTGGAACTCCCAGACTGAAGCAATCCTCCCACCTCAGCCTCTCAAGTAGTTGAAAATACAGGCATGCACCACCACACCCAGCTAATTTTTAAAATTTTTCTGTAGAGATGAGGTCTCATTATGTTGCCTAGGCTGGTCTCAAACTCCTGGCCTCAAGCGATCCTCCTGCCTCAGCCTCCCAAGGTGCTGGGATTATAGATGTAAGCCATAGCACCCAGCCCAAAATGCTTATTTTTGATTCTGCACTTCTCTCCTCATGGACAGGTAATATATAGTTCATGAATTGGCACTGGCCTACACTTGGAGCAGTCCTCTTCTCTAAAGCTGAACTCAAGTTGTCCAGACCTTAAATTCAAAATCTAACTTCTCAAATAAGCTCTAGATGTCCAGGGAAATGTCTAACATGAGAGCATTCCACTTCTGTGTCCCTGCTTGAATTAGTCAGGGAAGGAGAGGTTATGGTGTCACAAAGAGTGCTCCAGTCTCAAAGGTTTACATGTTTAATTCTTGTTCACTTTGCATGCCCAAGGTGATTCAATACAAGGCTCTGTTCTGTATACCCACTACTTTAGTGGCCATGGCAGGTACACAGAGACTGGAGAACTGCACACATGCTTTCCATGGCCTCACATTTTATCAGCCAGAAGTAGTAATATGTCTTTGCCGAGGAAGCTGGAAAACTTGGGAGTACCGCTTAAATCATAAGCAACACAGAGGATGGACTGCTGAGGTTCCACTGGAAAACAAGTATAAAACTACTTTTCTCCTCACTCCTCCAGGGCGCTGAATTAAGGGGCATGGAAAGACACATGTGACTCTTAACCAGTATTCTCATGGCTGTTGCTGGCTGTTAGCCTCAAACTGACTGGCCACTAGCATCTAAATGCTAGCTGCATTTGCTGGAGTCTTGTATAAGTTCTTTGGAGCCCCTATGGAGAGACCTATCCATGGCACAATTCCCTGATGTGAGAACTCTCAGATCCCACCTGCAGAGTTACATTCCACAGTCTCATGCTGCTGAGGCTTCCTCATCCTGAGGCAGCGCTCTTGAGAAATGTTCTAGGGAGTTGTCTCAAGCTAACTTCTATACTGATTCACAGGAAATTCATGCATCCACAACTGTCCAAAGAGTGCCAGTTCTCTTTACTGACCTCTCTCTCTCTGCCTTTCCTCTCTCGCTTCTCAGAAGCGTACAGGTAGCAGACCAGCAAGTTAACTACATAATCACATCTCTCAGTAGAACGTGACTACCATTCCTGCAAGAACCTTAAACAAACACTGTGAGTAGTTCTCTTGGAGGGCCCTCTTGGTTTGGAGGGAGAATATCCCATTCTGTTCTCCACAGGAGCTTGAGCATCCTTACAACATGGTGGATGAATTCTGCCTGCATGAATAATCCAACAGGAAAAGTGCCAAGCAGAAGCTGTGTCCTTGTTATGACCTTGCCTCAGAAGTCATATAATATGACTTCTGCCGCATTCTACTGGTTAGAAAATAGTCACTATGGGCCAGGCACGGTGGCTCACACCTGTAATCCCAGCACTTTGGGAGGCCAAGGCAGGTGGATCACCTGAGCTCAGGAGTTCAAGACCAGCCTAGCCAAAATGGGGAAACCCTGTCTCTACTAAAAATACAAAAATCAGCAGAGCATAGTGGTGGGCACCTGTAATCCCAGCTACCCGGCAGGCTGAGGCAGGAGAGGCACTTGAGCCCGGGAGGCAGAGGTTGCAGTGAGCCGAGATCGCGCCACTGCACTCCAGCCTGGGTGACAAGAGCGAAACTCCGTTGTTGTTTTTTTTTAAAAAAAAGGAATATAGCCACTATGTCTGGCCCACATTCAAGGGAAGGAGAATTAGGCTCTACTTTTTGAAGGGAGATGTGTCAAGGAATTTGTGGACGTATTTTAAAACCATCATGCTCCTTAAACACTTTCTAACAAGTTTAATTCATTCTGTGGAATGAACTACAGTATCAATCAGCCAGAGTCTGAAGCAAACAAATATCTGACACAGAAATCATTATAATTTTGAGATACTGTCGAAAGCTGTTAGAACTCTTTATTTTTATGAATGCTTAATAATGGGTAAAGGGATGCACTGCTAGACTCTTGGGAAATGAGATCCAAAAATTTTCAAATGCTCCAATAAATCTCTTTCTGTCACATATTTTAAAAAACACTAAGCAAATGTTTACAAGTATTTGCACAAGGGAAGCTTTAATGACTAATAAAATAAGAGTTAAAAGTGTAATATTCCTTATCTTTTCTTCTACCCAGTATCACCATCAAGATGCCTATTCTGGCAGAAGCCCATTCCTCCATCTGCATGGATGATCAGAACAGAAAACAATCCGGGAATATGTTGCTGTTTAGAATTGTAAGTATACTGATTTGGTCAGTACAGCCCTGGCTTTAATAGTTTGGAAAAATCCTGAGGCTTATCAAGGCCAAACAACTTGTCCATAGAAAACCCCACAGGCAGTACGTGAGAGACCCTGTGCCCCTCTGACTCCACAGCCAGAGTCCTTTATCCCTAGGCAGCGTTTCCTCTCCAAAACACCAAACATTAACTCAATGTGTAGGAAAGATCTGAGGTGGCTTCTATTCCATTAAAAGGAAATCAATATTGTTGAACTGAACTCAGATACGAACAAAGAATCGAGGACAGTTCAAGTGAATAGAGAATAACAATGACCACTAGTTCTCAAAATACAGATACTTAAAAAGACAAATATAAGCATGAATCACAAGGCTCCAAATTTTCCTGTCTGTTAACTATTAGGATTGTATCTTGATTTCTGAGGTGGGGGGATTTTTATCCTGATTTTGGGGGTTGGGGAGAGATGGGGTGGAGTTGAAGCGATTGAAGGAGATGGAGTATAAACATGCTACCAAAACAAACACATTTAATGATGCCTTCTGTGGATCATGCATTGTGCTGGAGGACACAATCCTGAGTCTCGAAAGGCCTAGTACCAGGCCTTCAGAAGAAATTCACAGCCTGGATGTGAGGAGAGGCATGTAGGGAAATAAGAATAATGCATTATAATACATGAAACAACAGAAAACAAAACACAGTTTGTAAGAAAGTAGCAACTGCTTCCAAGACCTGGTGAGCTCCATTTCTGTGGTACATTCATGAATTAAAATGACATTGGTAAGGAGGATAAATCCACAGTAACAAGGATAGGATGGCCTTAATCATTGTTCTTATTATTTTGATTAAGGGCATTTTAATCAAGACTGCTTTTAGGAACCATGAGCACTAGGATGAACAATTTAAAAATATCAAACTGTCAAAATGTAAAGGGCTTTCCATTGCAGCAGGGAAAATAAGGAGAGTAAACTTGATACCAGGAAGGAAAATACTGCAAGGAAGGAAATGCTTTTGCCCCAGCATTAGAAACATCAGGTTTCTACAGTACTTGGTCACAAACCAGCTGTGATTTAAATCCCTTAGCTTCTCTGAGCTGAAGTTCCTTTTTTTTTTTTTTCCTAAACATTAAGGGGACTGGAGTATACAATCCCCACAGCGCCTCTCCAGCTCCAAAATTTGTAATCCTAATGATGTTCCAAGGAAAATCTCTTTCCCCTCTGAAGTGCCATCTCTCTCTGCACAGCTCCCTTTAGCTTCAGGGCCTGAGTCAAATCTCCTCTCTATAGGCTAAATTCATACACATGACTGGGTTCACAACACCAACTATAGTCACCCACATAATTTCTGTAGAAAGATCTGCCATGTGTCAGCAGCTCCCATGATGAGGAGGGTTGTCTTTCCCAGCAAGGTGGCCAAGGTAAAACACTTGCTTATGGGCTCAGGTCTGGGTGTAGTCCTGGCTGCCTGGGTGATCTTGGATGTGTGAGTTCCTCCCCCATAAGGTTGAGAGGGTCTGCTCTGACTCTCTGCAGGGTTGTTGTGAGGACAAACCGAAGTGATTCATAAAGCACTGTACAAATTCAGAGTATCACAGTGATGACTGAACACTCTGGATTCAGGAAATCCTTCAGCTGGAAGTCTTGCTAGGACAGAGGTATGTGCTGTATTGCTCCCTGAGAGGAAACCTGATGTAAAACAAACTCAGCCTCAAGGCTGATGTGCCTCTGAATCTCCCCTCAGAGCAGCTAACGGCTCTAGAACTAATAAGGTCCCAGTGGACTTTTTCTTTAAAGAAGCTTTTAATGTTACCAGGAACTGACAGCAACGCTGTCCACATCAATCCCACTCAGACCCCAGCCTCTGGAAGACATGACCTTAGAAACTCTGCAGAACTTTTCTGTCACGTTCCACCTATGTCAACATTCATGCCACCCACTGTCCCATGTCGAGTTCTAAGAAGTTAAGATCTGTACCTGTTAAAATGGACTTCTAGATTTCCAAAAAAGAGTTTCATGGGACTGTGGGCATTTCACATAGTTAGGCTATCCACGGGCCTGGCCTTTCCAGAAATGGTCAACTTCATGTAATCTTCTTATCCATAAAGGCAAAGATTAATTAAATGTGTAACTAAATATAATTAATTTTTATAACTCTCTTACATATTTATTTAAATAAACCCATAAATCAGAAATGACGTTTTTTTTCCTCAGACTGATCTTCTTGAGACTTGATTTTTTTACTTGGAAAATATAGTTACTGTAAATACTATAAACTCTGGTTAACCAGCATGTTCAGAGAATATAAAGCTGTAGTAACCTTTAAATGCAAAGGAAGAGGAGGAGGAGGAGGAGGAGGAGGAAGAAAAGGAAGAGGAGGAGGAAGAGTGATAATTAATATCAAATACATTAATACAAGCAGGTTTTATTAACTGTACTTTTAACAGATGATGAAACACATTCAGAGAGACCCAACAGCAAGTAAATTACAATGCCAGAATTAGAACCCAAATTTGGCTCACTCAGAGGCGCTCAATCTCTGCTTCATTCAGGTCTCTGCTCAAACATTACCTCCTTACAGAGGCCTTCCTTGACCACACGATTGAAAATGTCCCAGCTGTCAGCCTGGCTCCCTCCTTCCCTGCCATCAACTTGCTGTCTTTTTCAGTCCCCTTACCTGGCTTTAGTTTCCTTCATAGTACTTAGCTGTATGTTTGTTTAAAAACATGTCTCCTGTTTGATAGAATGCAAGTTAAGCAGGGATTTTAAATTATTCACTGCTTTATCTCTAATGCCTAGAATAGTGTCTGAGACATAATTGGTACTAAATGAACAAACGAATAAAAGACCCTAAAATGCATGCATTTTTCATTACGTCTCACTGAAAGGGAACAGTAAGAAAGCGGATACATATATACACTGCATTATGTCATAATTCTTTCATGATCTGGGTGGTATGATTATAGAATAAAGGTTCAAATTGATTGTGGAGATCACTCATTAATATTTCTACTAAGGGAAAAGAGTAGCTGTCTCCTAGAAACTGAAGGAACCCTTTACAACTGTAGCAGTGTGCTCTTTTTCACACTCACAATCTCTCCTTCCTATCAACTCTGACATAAGAATACACAGGACTCTTTTCACGACAAGTCCAAGAATTTGGTTAGATTATTTTTGCCATATAAAGGACCATTTAATACCAAAACAAACCTCCCACATCAAACAGTTAATTCCACAACCACGAAACCTCTTCTGACTCACCAAGAAAAGCCACATCAACACAGGCACAAGGGATTCATTTATTACACCAAAAGAGTCTCTTCAGTACTTCTTAAGTAACTATAATTTTTGGTCATTTAAATAATTTTGCATTTAATGTAGGCTCTACTTCCAGATTTTTCTGAAACTGATGGAAGACATACCTAATAAAAATGCATTTCAAGAAAAAGAAACAGATTATGAACATCTCGTTTCATCTGGGTTTATGTGAGACTTAACATTCACTATTCTTACTAGACATTCTCCCTGGGAAGGTAAAACTTTTTTAAAAAGTAATGCCTCCAAGGTACATCGTGAAGGCAGACATCTGCTTTATTCAGGCAAAGTAAGTGCCCAGTAAGTGTTGGCTCACCAGATCATGTATGTCTTTCACATAGCAAATATTCCGAGTTCTAAGTCACAAATCGAATACTCAACAATTCCGCCTAGAATAGAGGAGTAACCATGTCTGTGGGAGGGGGAAGGGTTGGGAAGAGATCTGTTCTTCTTCCTGATACCCATGAGCAGAATACTGTCACACAGACCTATTTTGTGTTTTTATAATTACCCAAATTCTCTTCTTTTGTCAGAATTCATTCTCAGTAACAGCTTGAGCAATGTAGCAATCGTGCTCTGAAATGACTTGTAAACCACAGACACAAATATTTGGGCCAAGAATGTGGAATCCATTGCTGTCACATTCCATTATTTCTGGTGGAGCAATTCACTAACATTTTGGAATCTAGATCATAAATTATGCAGAGCCTCAGCAAAAGAGCTGAGGAAACAAACTGCTGTAATAAAACTCCTGTTACTGGAGCCATAAAAACAGAACAAAGGAAAGGCAAAGAAGAAAAATAGTGGTTGGACTTTTCTGACATGCCTTGTCCACCATTGTTACTGGTTTCAAAAATGATAATGTAACAATCGGAAAACCATCAGGCAAGCCAAAAATGATACAATAGGCATACTGTCATTCATAAACATCACCACCACCATGAGAGTCCCCAGAATAAAATTAGCTTTTTGAAGAATGCCTGAATGTTGACATAAATTAAAGTGCCTAAATGTACATACAACCAAGCCATCTGTACATTTTTCATGACTCTCCAGGGGTGTGAAATGTCCTTCAACAACAGCACTTGGATAGTGGTCGCATTTTCTGTTGGGACATATCATAAATGTCAGAGGGAGAAAGAGATCTGTGTCACATGTGAACTGAAGCAGGTCCCTTTCCCTCTCTGTGGAAACTGACTTAATGGCAGAGCTGGGACTAAAACCCACATCTCTTGACTCCCAAGATAAGAATGACTTTTATTTTGCAGTATGATGCCTAGAGCATGGTAGGGGCTCAAAAATTACTTTGTGAACGGAAGAATGACAGAATGAATGGATAGGTGAGTAAATGAATAAATGGACAAATGAATAAAGAAGTAACAGAACCATTCCCTGTGGTTTGATGCTTACAGTCAGAAAAGGTCAAAAAGGGACATATCATTGAAACACTTTAGAAATAAAATAGAGAACTGAAAAGCCAGATGGTCCATGCTTAGCAAACATTCCAAAAAGCCACTGCTAACTCCAAGAACTCTTTCTTTTCAATTATAACATTGTGTTGGAGAGCACTGGTGTATCTATCTCAAGAGAAATAATGAATGTGAGAATAAAAATGGGTGAACATGTTTCTTAAATAAGACTGCTATAATTTAACACCCATTTAGTATGACTCCCTTTTTCAAGATTTAATGTAAATGAGGGAGAACAGAGAGCGTGAGGGAGGGGCCAAGGACAAAGATGGACTAAAAGTCAGGCATGCACTTTATGAGCACAGCACTGCTTGTGCAATTATTACAAACATATTTAGAAGAAAACAAAATGCTTTTCAAGATCACACAGAAGGTCTAAAATGTTAAAACAGGGAAAAAGGGCTCAGCAAAAGTTAAAACCATATAAGGGAAGAAAGTTATTTTTTCACCAGCAAAGGAAAAAACTTTTCTTCCAGCGAATCTTACAGCACAAAAGACACTGGCCTCAATCACCTGTTTAAGTCAGGAATCTTCAAATTTTTTTACGAAGAGAAACTATTTAAAATTTTCCCAGAGCCTCGACATTATTCAGAGAAGGAGGGAAAGAGAGTAGAGAAAAAGAAGGAAAAGAGCCTAGTGGTGCCAGTGGTACCTCCAAGGCAGAAGGAAGTTTCAGTCCAATACCAGCCACTATTTCCTGAGCCTGTACTGTGCCAGGCACCATGCAAAATGCTTCACATACATCAACTCATTTAATCCTCACAAGAGCCACACCCTTCATTGCTATCCTAGAGATTCTAGTCTTAATTCTATTTTACATCTTACATAACTTTCCCCAGGCCACACAGCTCATAAATGGCAGAGCTACAATTCAAACCAGGGCCTGTCTAATACCAAGGCTCAGGTTTTTCTGTCTCCTGGCTGCCACAGACTCCTTCTGAGAGAATCTCAGGAAGCCAACCATGGCTTTACCAGGCTTAATAGTGGAAGATGGTTTGGAAAGCTATCAGGTATACCTTCAAGTTCTTTCAAAACTATAATTGGAGATATGAGTTTCAGAAATCTGGGTTTACCATTACAAAACAACTGGCAGTTTTCTTTCTTTGGTAAAAATGTTCTGGAAAGCCAAAATTGCTGTGCTATGGTCATTCCTTAGCCAAGTCTGCATTTTAACATCCAACTAATTGAGATGAGTGGAGACATCTGTAAGCTTATTTTAAAAAAGACAAATCTCTCGATGTGTAATAACAGCAGTACCATTTACTGAGGGCTTGCTATGTGCTAAGCACTACTTGTCAATTTACGTGGCATCAAAGATTAACAAGCTGAGAGCTAAGCACTAGGAATACAAATGCATCAAATGGGGAGCCCGTAGCATAGCCTCTTTGGAGGCTTACAACCTTAATGGGGAGACAGACAAGCAAGCTGACTGCTGCAGGGGAATATGCGAAGGGTGCGCCTCACCATCTGGGCACAAAGCACTGCAAGGTGCAGAAAAGCACTGGTTTGTATTTGAAAAAGCTTCTTAAAGGAAGGGGTGTTTCCTCACAACAATCCTATGAAGTTGGGAGGAACCTGATGGTCAGAAAGGTTAAGTAATGCAAAGGTACACAGCTATGAAATAAGTTGAGCCCAAGGTCACCTCACTTTGAAGCCACACTTTCCATCAGTTCCTGTGGCATCACAGAAAAATAATCTCCTTAAATCTCTTGCCACATGATTACTTTTACCTTACAGGGGAAAAAACAAAACAAATACCGACACTAACTTCTAGGTACTCCTTAGAGTCATATTAATACGGCTCTAGTCATTAAAGCGTTTTCACATTCACACTTTCATTTGAGTCTAATGATCTTGTGAGAAGCAAATATATTATTATTGTTCCCCTTTTTTACACATCACAAAACTGAGGCCCAGGAAAGTAATATAACTTGTTCAGGGTCATGCAAAAGGTAAGAGCTCACGTTAGGCTGCTTGAATGTCTAACTCCTAGGTCAGCCGTCTTGGCACCACAAAACATTAGATACACCACCTACTTGAGTCTCTCCTTGTTGGTACCTACAATTGATTGCCTTACTCCGAGATCAATGAACGGTGGGGGCAGAGTTAGAATCTGGGGCGGGTTTCTCCTGGTCAGCGTTTTGATTTGGATTATTTTATGGATCTCTTTCATTTGAAATGTCTTGTCAGAAAAAATGTCAGCCAGTCATAATGGAGAGTTTGTCAGCAAGAGATGAAGACATCAAATAACAACATGTACTTCTAGCCCCTGATAACCACCTGCAACTTTCAAGGGATCAGAGTATTGTGAAGGATAAGAAATGTTATGTATTTCAGTAGCATTTTCACCTTTCTTTTAGCACTTGGTTTTGTGTGAACAAATGATACACTCTTTCGACATATGATACAAACTACAATGATAATAATGATTACAACAGTTTTGAGTGTTTATTATGTGTCATTGTTCTAAGGGCTTTATACATACTAACTCATTCAATCCTCACAGCCACCTCATGAGATGGGTGCTATAATTGTCCCTATTTGGGGAGGATGAAGAAACTGAGGCAGAAATCAGCTAAGCATCTTGTCCAGGCTCAGGAAGCCAGAAAGCGGCATAGTTAGGATCTAAAGCCAGGCCATCTGATTGAAAGCTCATGTTCCTCACAGAATGCTACATGTAGGGGGATTCTATATCCCAGTGGTGTGTGGGGCTGTCCCAGTGATAAATGATAAGGTCACTCTAGCTATAACAACACTGTAAAAGCCCCTAACTTGGCTTGTAGGCAAAATATTTGTATACAGGCTTCTTGGTAATCAAAATGGAGAGAAATCAGCACTGAAATCCAGTAGTTTCTCTGCTACAAGAAGAAGGGAAAAGAACAGTCCAATAGGATGTTTACGCAGAATACCAGAGCCACAGGGGAGAACGATCATGAAAACGCTTAGTAAAGGATTTAGCACATAGGTGCTTCTTATTCCCTCTGTCCCATGCACAGTTGTGTGAGTTCTTCACTGACGAACTGACACAAAGAGGATGTCTTTCTCCATCAGGCATTTAAGAAGTACCAGGAGTTGTCAAGGCAGACATGCCAGCTCGCCGGATGGTGCCACAAACTGGAGAATGCCATCTGTTTTGTCAAGGTTGACAGTCTGAAATTTCTGGTTAAACTCCAGATCTCCTTGTTGTGAAGGGCTTGATAACTTTTAGTCCATTACCTTCTGTTTACTGAGTCACAGAGCATATCATATCTCCCTCTAGAGCACTCCAACAGCTGGGCCATGTTATAAGCTGTCTTTGTCTTATTCGGGATTAGATAATGGATTGGTGGAACCTTCCATTTGAATCAGGGAAACAATTACAGAATAACTGTTGTTTCAAATAAGTGGCCAGCTCTGACAATCTGGCTCAAGAACACAAATCCATTACTTTTTTTTTTTTTCTTGCCACTGGGCTGTTCTGATGAGGGCTTGCTTTACAAGCATGTTGGGCACATAACAACAAAGCATTTACTTCACTTTTTAATTGCTCTTGGAAACATTTTAAATGGCACCAATGCAATTTTTACCAGAAAATGAAAGCATTCACTCCCAGAGTAACTTAACTCTTCAGTAGGATGGCATAAAGGACCACTTTCAGAAATCTGTTGAAAACTGAGAGCCTGTATTCAGGAGCTAACAAAGCTATTTGAAAGTCAAGTTGAGAACAGGCTTAGTCAGCAATATGAACCAAAAGTTGCATTCCAGCTTTCATCTAATTCAACAAATGTATTTTCTGCTGTGTCAGAGACAGCCTTAAGAAGAATTTCGGTCGGGAACAACATGCAGAAACTGGTTCTCAGTAAAAAAGCTACTTTTTGAAGTTACCATGAAATTACTAATTATGCTGAAGAGTCTTAAACACTTGTGTCTCTTGTGGATTTCATGCTGGAAAAGAGGGGAGACTTCAGGTGGCAGTGTATGAGCAGCCACGTTTCCACCTTGCATTAGGTCTGTATGTGTGCTTAAGTACAGCCGTTATGAAATAGGGATGAGTGAACGAGGATGAAAATAAGCTGTGGGTAAAGAGAAATGCTCAATTTCCAGTTACAATGTCACATTGTCCTACTCACTTAGAAATGCTACAGCTTTATCTCTTTTCTCCATAATTTTAGACATTTTCTTTTGAGAGGTGGTGTAACATAAAAGAGCACTGACTTTTGATTCTGACAGCTCTAGGCCCACACCCCAGCTCTGCCACACACTTACTATGAGATCTTTGACAAGTTAACCTCTCTGTTCTTTGGGTTTTTGATTTCTAAACAGGAATAATAAGCCCTATCTTTCTGAATTATTAAATTAAACAATGAATCGCTGCATAAGAAGCTACACCAAGTATAGTGTTCACATACTGGAGGCATTCAATAAGTGTCATTCCTTTATCATTATTATTGTGACTTCTAAGCCACTTCAAATGTGTGCTGGAGGGATCACAAAGGCCTTTTCATATATTCTCAATGGAAGCTGTTATTTGAATATCTAGAAAAGTGGAACTGCATTAGTTTCCTAAGACTAGATGTTAAATACAGAGAATAGACTATTAAGTTCATGTACTTAAAAGAAGAAACAGTGTGATATCCTAGTGATTTTCTTGTCTAAAAGTCATAAATATTAGGGTTCTTCAAACCTGCACAAAAGACTTCATTTTAGTCATGCTTTGTAAACTTCTTGGATGAAGATCCAAAAAGGTTAATATATTATTTAGTTAGCCTGCTAATCAGACTCTCATTTAGCTATAGGGCAAAGGACCATGTAAAGGAGGGAGAAAATTCTCCTCAATTCAGTCTTCCTACTAACTGTAAGGAGTAAAATTAAAATGATATCATAAAACCTAATCACTGCCTGCTAGTTTAACTATTTCTCAAGTTCATTATATTTCTGGTTCACGTAAAAGGCTTTAAGAATGAAGTTCTAGGCCGGGTGCAGTGGCTCATGCCTGTAATCCCAGCACTTTGGGAGGCCAAGGCAGGCAGATCACGAAGTCAGGAGATCGAGACCATCCTGGCTAACATGGTGAAACCCCATCTCTACTAAAAATACAAAAAGTTAGCTAGGCGCGGTGGCGGGCACCTGTAGTCCCACCTACTCGGGAGGCTGAGGCAGGAGAATGGCATGAACCCGGGAGGTGGACCTTGCAGTGAGCCAAGATTGCGTCACTGCACTTCAGCCTGGGCGACAGAATGAGACTCTGTCTCAAAAAAAAAAAAAAAAAATCAAGTTCTAGCTTCTATATACAATTCTCTTTCCATGGAAAAAATCATAGAATTTCAGCTTTCTAGAGTATTAAAGAATTTTAGGTATTGTTTACACCA
This sequence comes from Homo sapiens, assembly GCF_000001405.40. Taxonomy (NCBI): domain Eukaryota; kingdom Metazoa; phylum Chordata; class Mammalia; order Primates; family Hominidae; genus Homo; species Homo sapiens. The sequence continues at coordinate 28,148,730 of NC_000022.11, forward strand.
ATGAGAATGTCAAGGTATAATATAAAATGTACAGAAATTGCCATTGCTCCCAGAACTAGTCTCCCTGGTCTCTGGGGTCAGAAGCAGCAGGAATGATATCTAGACTTAATGACAGTAGTAAGGCACAAATAGATGAACATAGTAAATATGAAAGATATGGGTAATTATTTGAACTTTACACTCCAGTTATAAGTCCTAGCACTTCCCATAGTTCTTAGCTCTCATCATCCTTCATCCATTCAAGACATACACAGTAATTAATGAGTCACTTAACAATGAGGAATACATACTGAGAAACGTGTTGTTAGGTGATTTCGTCATTGTACGAACATCATCGAGTGTACTGACACAAACCTAGATGACATAGCCTATTACACACCTAGGCTATATGGTGTAGCCTATTGTTCCTAGGCTACAAACCTGTACAGCATGTTGCTGTATGGAATATTGTAGGAAACTGTAACACAATAGTAGATGTTTTAGCTGGAAGTCAGATCTGGTTTGGAAAGTTGGTGCACCATGGTGAAAACCACAGGCATGAATGGGATCAGTATGTGGAGGAGATATCTGCACTTCCATGTTCACTGAAGCATTATTCACAATAACCAAGATACAGAATCAACCTAAGTGTCCATCATGGATGAGTGGATAAAAAAATGTGGTATATATACACAACGAAATACGAAACAGTTTTCAAAACAAAAAATTCTGTCACTTAAGACAATATGGATGAACCTAGGGAATGCTATGCTAAATGAAATTAGCCGGGCACAGAAAGACAAATACTATGTGATATATGTGAAATCTAAAAACTTGTTAAACTTGTTAAAAACTTAAGACATGAACACATACATTAGCCTAGGCCAATGCAGGGTCAGAATCATCAATATCATTGCTTCCACCTCCACATTTTGTCCCACCAGATGGTCTTCAGGGGCTATAACACACATGGAGCTATCATCTCCTATGATAACAATAGAAGCAGACAATAGAATGGTGGTTACTAGAGGCTGGGAGGTGGGGGATGCAGAGAAGGGAGATGTTCATCAAAGGGTGCAAATTTCCAGTTAGACAAGAGGAATAAATTTTAGTGATCTGTTGCACAGCATGGTGACTGTAGTTAATAATGTATATTTCAAAATTGCTAAAAGGGTAGATTTTAAATGTTCTCACCAGCAAAAAAATGGTAAGTAGGTGAGCTGATGAATATGTTAATTAGCTTGATTTAATCTTTCTGCAAGGTATACATATATCAAATATCACATTGTATCCCATAAATATATATACTTTGTCAATTAAAAGTTAAAAAGGAAAAAGAAAAAAGAAAGGCATATGATTACAATCCTACTCTGCCCCAGAGTGCAATGTGTTTTTAAAATTAAGCCTTTAAATAGAGTATAAAATATTGTCAGGAAGGTATAAAATCATAAGCATAGAGCTCAACAAATTTTCATAAAGTTGAGGACAGCTATGTAACCCTACCACTCAGATCAAGAAGCAGAACATTACCAGAGCCTATGAAACATACTTCTTTTTATCATCAAAGACATTTACTGCCACAATCATGTTGGTGGCTTAGAAACTTGGAATCTTCATCTCTAAATATTATCTTCAAATAGAATTCTCCATGAAGGAGAACAACGGAGGTGATCTGAATAATCGTTTGTTAAATCACCTCCAAATGTCTACCTAAAAGATCTGATTCTGATGCTCTATATTTTCTGCTGTTATTTTGATTTTCTCAAAAAAAATCATTCAAAAGCAAATTCCTCTAAAGTCACCCCAAAACAGATGGATTCCTTAAGGAATGAACATAAGACTAAAAGCAGAGCCAAATGATTCCAGAAGAAAGACCCCAAAGCTCAGTGCAGTCACATGGCATAGGTCCAGGGTGCAGTGTCCAGCACAGATGGCAGAACCCAGGGTCACATCTGCACTCACCATTGCTGGCAAAGCAAAGGGCTACACAGGAGCTGTTGCAGATGGAAAGATTTAGGGACAGGCAGGTGTGGGAGGTGCCAGTGCCAGGTGTGGGTTCAGGAGCCAATGACTAACCCATTGCAAGGCTCCCAGGTTCACTGCATAGTACCAGGCAGCACTGCTCACAAAACATGGCCAAAGAACAGCCGAAGGTAGGGTGAGCACCAAAGTGGCAGTACCCCCAGGAAGTAGTGCCCACCTAGGTCTAGGAAAACAAAATTGTGTTCAGAAATAAATATTCTCCAAAGTGATCACTCAAATATTCCTTTCTGAAGTCCTAACAGAAGTGTTATCAATGCTCAGAACTGGGCTGCCTAACGGGAAAAGTCCCCATGGGGGGTTTTTGACTCATAAACCTATTCAGCCTCATATGTTCATAATCATTTGTGTAAAGAAGAAAAAACCTCCAAGCACTAATTAGAAAGATAGAGCTGTTGTGTTTTCCTCCTGATCACCTTATCTTCTTTATTCAGTTCTTGAAGACTCAGCTATTAAAAGAAATTAAGTAATTCATCAAGCCCATTTCAATTACCTGCTGCTGATAACATCAGATTACAATTAGCATCTACAAATGAACCAAGTGCCAACTGCCAAGCTGAAAAACATAAGCTAATTTACTGCCAGACTCTGCCTGCTGGAGACACAACTATGGGACCTGGCAGCGAGCAGCTACTTCATTATTCCAGCAACAGTTTTGCAGCCTCTCTTGCAACAGTCCAAAGTGCAGCTCTGACCAAAATTTACTGCCCCGTCTTCCTCTGCTCACATGTTTACAGATGCACAGTATCTGTAAGCAAATCACAGCTCCTTTTAAATAGCAATGTCTAGACAAGCTGGGTGACAAATCTTGACCTAAAGGAGAGAATAAATATTATTAATATGTATTAGGCACCGATAGGTGTGGGGCACAGCACAGGATGCGCATGTCATAACCTTAATGAGGGTGTGAATCATTTTCTGCAAGGCCTCTGGTGCTTGGTCAGAAAAATCTCCTGCTTTGGTTGATGCTCTCCATTTCTCTTTTCTCCTTTTACATGGGGATAGGACATTCTTGTTCCTTTCTTTTAGATGTCTAGAAAAATCTGTTTCAGGGCCTGTGATATCTCAATTTTTTACATTTATATTTTCCCTTTTCATGGCCCTTAATAGGAACTGCTTTAGATGAAAAGCTGAGGTGTGCAGTTTGGCTTCCTACATCAAGGGCATTATTAGACTTTGACAGTTTGTGTAGTCTTGTCTATGCCTCTCAAGTAGAAGAACTAACTGGTCAATAAATGTGTGGGGCTCAGAGGGGGCCCGCAGGCTGTAGCAAAAGACAACATGAAGATCTGAATTTGGATCCTGCCTCTGCTGCTTATAAACTGTATGAATTTGGGCCAGTACCTTTACTTTTATGCCAACCACATAGCTTTGTAATGAGAATTAAATGAAATAATGTTTGCAAAGTGCCTAGCTCAATGCAAGTAATCAATAGACAATAGCTTCTCTAGGAAAAGAGGAGAAAGGGCCGCTCCCTCCTGGTGGTGCATATACTCCTCTAGGAATGCTTGCTGTCTTCTCCCTGGGCATGAACAGGGACCACTGCTTCAGGGTGGCCCATAACTCTTCTAGTGGTGCTTCCTTTTTCATCTTCTTGTGGATGGAAGAAGGGAGAAGGAGCGTCTTTGGCCTTTAGCCCTAGCCCAGGTAATCCTAGCATGGCTCCCACTCAGATCCACAATGGGGCATGTTCTCTTGTGGAAAGATCTGTGGACTTGGAATCCAAGAACTCAAGTCTTATCCTGGCTCTCCCTCATACTCTATAATCTCAGGTGAGTCACAAATCTCTGAATCGTCATCACTAAAATAGAATAATAATGGTTTACCTCCTAGGGCTACTGCGAGAACAAATAAGTACTATAAAACACAAATATCATGGATACACTTCTATGTGAGGTCTCACAGACCTTTTGACATATTAAGAGGTTATTTAGAATATGACCCCATATATCATTCTGAGAATCTCCAAAGGAAAACATCTGGTTAGTGTACTGACTACCTATAATTAGAAACATTTTACCTATAAAGCTAGGCCTCTTTCCGTAGAAAGATTCCATAAAATATCATCAGGTTTCCATAGATTTCCATAGCAAGATAATCCAATGTATAACAATTAAAATGTAAAAAACATTAAAGAGAGTTATTGCTATATTATAGAAAAATTTTTCTCCTACAAAAGTAATTTTTTAAAAATTTTTATTTATTTAGGATACTAGGTTTCGTGTGTGTTCACAGTAATGATTTCATTCATAAACTCTATTTAGGAATAAAATATAGCTAAGGTACGATATGGATGTGTATTATATAGATAATATGTAACATTATTCCACCTGACCTTGGGAATCCAGAATTTTCTGATTCAGATTACCAGATTTTAATGTTCAAATATGATTTTATAAAAGTAATTTAAGTAATATTTCTTAAACCCTTGACTTAGAACAGCTGAGAGTCACCATTTCTGGTGACTATCATTTTGCTGCACTGTAAATAAGAGGAATAATATATAACCACCACAATTGCTACCAAACTTTTACTCCAACCCATGACTCCCAGGATGGTTTGAAAATAGGAGAAAAAGAGGCTAAGCATCATTTTATGAGATCTTAATGAGCTTTTATGCTTTGGGTATCCAGAAACTCAAAGAATTAAAAAAAAAAAAAAAAAAAAAAACCTTCGTTTTTTGTTTTTTGTTTTTTTTTTAAACTTACTTGGACCTTGATTTTTCTCATACGTAAAATCAATTAGTATTCTCAACCTCATAGGTTTTGAGAAGAATTAAATATGAAAATGAATATAAACATGTGACACTGAGTAGGTTTCAATAATCACTTGTTGAATGAAAAACCATAAGCTCTATGGGGGTAGGAGATATTAATATGTCGATTTTATTCATTAAAAGATAGCACAGTATCTACCACATAACTAATGTTCGACAAATATTTGTTGATCAAAAGAATGAATGAACAGGTGAACAAATGAACTAACACTAGTCTTGTTTCCCTTTTCTTTCCAAATAAGTTACTTTCTAGATATAAAATGTTTTTCTGACTAAAAAGAGACAGTTGTTTTTAAACTGATTGTTTTCCATAGATGAATTATTAGGTATCTGACCTCAGGCCTTGGTGGGAAGCACCTTCTACCTCTCGTATTTGACCCAATACTAGAGGCGATCAGGCCTGAAACTGATGTGTGTGGGAAGTGGCTCCTGAAATGTACTCACCTTTGTATCTATGGCAGGTGTATACTAAGTCACCTTCATCAGAGAGAGAGAGAGAGAGGAGAAACTGAGTCATGATTCTCATTGTCTCCCTACTGACTTTCCTAATTGCAGTTCATCCTAAAGTGAGATGAGAGATAATTCTGCCTGGTTTCCCAGTAAATAAGATTCATGGTTTTCAGTGTGAGAGGACTTTAACTGAGCCTTCAGTCTAGTAACCTACTCTGCAGCACATCTGAGGTTTGACTCCAAACTGCCTAAATTAGAATGAGAAAGAAGGCCACCAAAAAACCAGAGGCTATAGAATCATTGTTATGCAACTACAGTTGTTTTGAACATAAAAGAAAAGATGGCCATTTTTTTTTTTTTCTTTTCTTTTCTTTTCTTTTTCTTTTTTTTTTTTTGAGACAGAGTCTCACTCTGTCGCCCAGGCTGGAGTGCAGTGGCGCGATCTCGGCACACTGCAAGCTTTGCCTCCCAGGTTCATGCCATTCTCCTGCCTCAGCCTCTGAGTAGCTGGGACTACAGGCGCCTGCCGCCACGCCCAGCTAATTTTTTCTTTTTATATTTTTAGTAGAGACGGGGTTTCACCGTGTTAGCCAGGATGGTCTCGACCTCCTGACCTTGTGATCCGCCTGCCTCGGCCTCCCAAAGTGCTGGGATTACAGGCGTGAGCCACCACGCTCAGAAGATGGCCATTTTCTAAGCCAAAATTTATATTAACATTATTTTCACAAGGAGGACAGACATAGAAAATAGCTAGGCTACACTTTATTGTTCCTAAGAAATCTAAAGACTTTAAATCATTTTAAATTATTTTATTATAAAACAAATAAAAGGTGAATAATAAATATTAGTACATGCTGACCACCAAAGAACAAAGACTTCCTGTCATCTCTATCTTCTTTCTTTTTCTCCTTCTCTACAAGTTCTACCCACTTCACCTTTACCTGTGCACAGGAAGCTTCTATTGTCCAAAAACCTTCTTAGTGACTCAAATCTCATTTTCCTTGGCTTCTTTGATATAAATGTTACATCATCTACATCGTGGAAGTTCTCTTCTCCCTGAGCTCTCCCTGGATTCCCCCGACCCTCTGTGAGCCTGATTCAGTCTCCCTGGCTGGCTTTTCTATGTATCTCATAGATGTTATTAGGATGATGTTATCTTAACATTTGTTTCCAGTTCTATTTGCTTACATTCCATTAAGTGAAAGAAATACATACCAGGAGTATACAGAATCAAACAAATCATGTGCTTTCCCTAACTAGTTGCCCCTCTTAGCTTTTCTATTTCTTTCCAAAGGCATGACCATCTTCCAATTATTCCAATCACTGTGGCACAACATCGTGATATAAGCTTTAACTCATTCAATCTAACCATACAAATATTTTTGTGTAAGGAGTTACACTCACTGATATGGAAACCACAGAGTAGAACATAGTTCATAGTTCCAATGAACTTCAATTCAGCAGAGGTAAGTATACAAGTATACAACTACCTATAATTTATGTTCAAATATAAATAGAATAAGAAGAGAATTTTAAAAGTGTTATTAGGGCTCAGACTAAAGAAGTTATATTGTTACTAAGAGAGGCTTCAAGTAATGAATGGTATTTGGGATAATCCTAAAAAGATGGGTGACAAGACAGGAACACAGGAATTATATGTGGAGGAAAGCTTAAGGAAATGTATTGAAGCAGGAAAACATGGCCAATGTGGTGAGATTAGTGAAAATGGAACACCTCAGTTTTAGGTAAACGGTATATACAGAGAAGTAGTGGAATTTAAAAATGGAAAATCAGACATGTCTGTAATCACAACAGCCTTCATTTAGGGTGAGGACTCTACCTATAATGTGGCATACAATATGTGGCAATGAATGACTTGAGTACAGCTTTAGGAAGATCAATCTAGTACTGATGTGTGGGATGGAAGAGACATGGGAAGAAGGGAATGGAGATAAGGAAAACTCAACTAGTAGGTTGATGCAACAGACTGGGCAGCTAGGATGGTGCAATAATAAAAAAATAATCTTCATGAGAAAATGTATTTGGCAACTGTTAGGTTGGGAGTCAACTGAAAAACAAGAAAATAAATCAAATGATGACTTCAGAGTTCTAAGTCAGGATGGTATGGCAGGCTGAATAATGACATCCCCTGCAATGTGTCTATGTCCTAATCTCCAGAACCTGTGAATGTTACCTTACATGGCAAAAGGGACTTTGCAAATTAAGAATCTTGAGAAAGGGAAATTATCCTAGACCATCCAGGTGGGCCTGATGTAATCACAACAGTCTTTATTGGAGAAACGCAAGTCAGGGTCAGAAGAGAAGGTGATGTGATGACAAAAGCAGAGACTGGAGTGATGTATCCTGAAGGAGGAAGATGGCAGCTGACAGGGGCAAAGAAATATATTCTCCTCTGGACTCTGAAAAAGGAACTAGCACTGTCAATATCTTGACTTTAGCCCAGCGAAGCTGATTTTAGACTCCTGACCTCCAGAGCTGTAAGAGAATAAATTTGTGTTGTTTTAAACCACTAAGTTTATGGTAATTGGTTATACAGGAATAAGAAACTAAGGCAGATGGCAAGAGGAGTGGGGCTGTCAAGGGAATTAAGAAAGCTAGGAGTTAACCTAGAAAAAAGGATGTTCCACGTGTGGGCTCACTAACTTCAACAGATCAACATCAAAACGAGACGGAATATCTACTAGGCAGTTGGAAATGTGAAAGTGATGCTCAGGCAGGAAAGAAGTCAGAGCTGGTGAATATAGAGTTGGAAACACTGTGTACTGGAGCAGTTGTCAAAGGTTGGGGGTACAAAACCTACGGGATGCAGCAAAAGCAGTATTAAATTTATAGCTATAAGTGCCTACCTCAAAAAGGAAGAAAAACTTCAAATAAACAATCTAATGATGCATCTTAAAGGACTAGAAAGCAAGAGCAAACCAAACCCAAAATCAGTAGAGGAAAAAAATTAAGATCAGAGCAGAAATAAAATTAATTTGAAATTAAGAAAACACAAAAGATAAATGAAATAAAAGTTGGTTGTTTGAAAAGTTAAACAAAATTGACAAACCTTTAGCCATACTAAGAAAAAAAGAGAGCAGATACAAATTAATAAAATCAGAAATGAAAAATGAGACATTGCAACTGATAACTGATACTGCAGAAATCCAAAGGACCATTAGTGGCTACTATGAGCAACTATACACCAATTAAGTTGGAAAATCTAGATGAAATGGACAAATTCCTAGACACATACAACCTGCCAAGATTGAACCATGAAGAAATCCAAAACCTGAACAGACTGACAACAAGCAATGAGATTAAAGCTGTAATAAAGTTTCCCAGTAAAGAAAAGTCCAGGACCTGATGGCTTCATTGATGAATTCTAACATTTAAAGAGGAACTAATACCAATCCTACTCAAACTGTTCCAAGAAACAGAGAAGAGAATACTTCCAAATTCATTCTATGAGGCCAGTATTACCCTGATACGAAAACCAAAGACACATCAAACTACAGGCCGATATCCCTGATGAATATTTATACCAAAATCCTCAACAAAATACTAGCAAACCAAATTCAACAATATATTAGAAAGATTATTCATCATGACCTAGTGGGATTTATCATAGAGATGGCAAGGATGGTTCAATAAATACAAATCAATCAATGTGATACTTCATATCAACAGAATGAAGGCCATTTCAATTGATGCTGAAAAAGCATTTGATAAAGTTCAACATCTCTTCATAAAAACGCTCAAAAAAACGGGATATAGAAGGAATATACCTCAACATAATAAAAGCCATATACAAGAGACCCACAGCTAGTATCATACTTAAATGAGGAAAATCTGAAAGCCTTTCCTCTAGTATCTGGAACACGACAAGGATGCCCACTTTTACCACTGTTATTCAACATAGTACTGGAGGTCCTAGCTACAGCAGTCAGACAACAGAAAGAAATTTAGGACATCCAAACTAAAATGGAAGAAATCAAATCATCCTTGTTTGCAGATGACATGATATTATACTTGGAAAAATCTAAAGACTCCATCAAAAAAAAACCACTAGAACTGATAAAGTCCACAAAGTTGCAGGATACAAAATCAACATACAAAAATCAGCAGCATTTCTATATGCCAACAGTTAATAATCTAAAAAAGAAATAAGAAAGGAATCTCATTTACAATAGCCATACATAAAATTAAATGCCTAGGAATTAACCAAAGAAGTGGAATACCTCTATAATGAAAACTATAAAACACTCATGAAAGAAACTGAGGAGGACACCAAGAACTGGAAAAATCTTCCACATTCATGGATTGGAAGAATCAATGTTTTTAAAATGTCCATACTACCCAAAGCAATCTATAGATTCAATGCAATCCATATCAAAACACCAATGACATTCTTCAAGGAAATAGAAAAAACAATCCTAAAATTTACATGAAACCACAAAAGACCCAGAATAGCCAAAGCTATCCTAAGGAAAAATAAGAAAACTGGAATAATTTGAATCATTACCTGATTTCAAATTACACTACAAAGCTATAGTAACCAAAGCAGCATGTAATGGTATAAAAACAGACACACAGACCAATGGAACAGAATAGAGAACCCAGAAACAAATCCACACACCAACAGTGAACTCATTTTTGACAAAGGTGCCAAGAACATACACTGAGAAAAGACAGTCTCTTCAATAAATGGTGCTGGGAAAACTGGATATCCATATGCAGAAGAATGAAACTAGACCCCTATCCCTTGTCGTATCTAAAAATCACATCAAAATTGATTAAAGACTTTAAATCTATGACTTCAAACTATGAAAGTACTATAAGAAAACATTGGAGAAAATCTCCAGGATATTGGTCTGGGCAAAAATTTCTTGAGCAATACCCCATGAGCACAGGCAACAAAAGCAAAAATGGACAAGTGGGATCATATCAAGTTAAAAGGTTTTTGAACAGCAAAGGATACCATCAACAAAGTGAAGAGACAACCCACAGAATGGGAGAAAATATTTGCGAACTACCCATATGACAAGGGATTAATAACCAGAATATATAAGGCACTCAAACAATCTACAGGAAAAAAGTCTAATAATCTGATTTAAAAATGGGCAAAAGATTTGAATAGACATTTCTCAAAAGAAGACACATAAATGGCAAACAGGCATAAGATCTGATCACCACAGAAATGCAAACCAAAACTACAATGAGATATCATCTCACTCCAGCTAAAGTGGCTTATATCCAAAGGACAGGCAATAACAAATGCTGGCAAGGATGTGGAGAAAAGGGAACCCTAGCACACTGTTGGTGGGAGTGTAAATTAGTACAACCACTATGGAGAAGGGTTCGGAGGTTAATCAAAAAAAACTAAAAATAGAGCTACCGGCCGGGCATGGTGGCTCATGCCTGTAATCCCAGCACTCTGGGAGGCCGAGGCAGGCAGATCACAAGGTCAGGAGTTCGATACCAGCCTGGGCAATATGCTGAAACCCCATCTCTACTAAAAAACTACAAAAATTAGCTGGGCGTGGTGGCGTGAGCCTACTGTAGTCCCAGCTACCCGGGAGGCTAAGGCAGGAAAATCGCTGGAACCCAGGAGGCAGAGGTTGCAGTGAACTGAGATCATGCCACTGCATTCCAGCCTGGGTGACAAAGTGAGACTCTGTCTCAAAAAAAAAAAAAAAAAAATAGAGCTACCATATGATTCAGCAATCCCATTGCTGGATATATACCCACAAGAAAGGAAATCAGTATGTCGAAGAGATATCTGTACTTCTATTTTTTGCAGCATTGTTCACAATAGCTAAGCTTTGGAAGCAATGTAAGTGTCCATCAACAGATGAACAGATAAAGAAAATGTGGTACATATACACAATGGAGTACTATTCAGCCATAGAAAAAGAATGAGATCCTGTCATCTGCAACAATATTGATGGTCATTATGTCAAGTGAAATAAGCCAAGCACAATCAGACAAACATTGCATGTTCTCACTTATTTGTGGGATCTAAAAATCAAAACAATTGAAGTCATGGACATAAATAATAGAAGGATGGTTACCAGAGGCTGGGAAGGGTAGTGGGGGCACTGCAGGGAGAGGTGGGAATGGCTAATGGGTATCAAAAGATAGAAAGGATGAAGAAGACCTACTATTTGATAGCACAACCGGATAACTATAGTCAATGGAAACTTAATTGTACATTTGAAAATAACTAAAAAGTGTAATTGGATTGTTTGTAACACAAAGAATAAATGCCTGTGGGATGGATACCCCATTCTCCATGATATGATTATTTCACATTGCATGCCTGTATCAAAATATCTCAAGTACCCCACAAATATATGTACCTACTATGTACCCACAGAAATTTTTTTAAAAAGGTTGGGGGTAAAAATGACAAAAGGACATATACAAAGAAATAACAGAAAAGAATCAAGGAACAAAATATGACAATTCCCACATTTAACAAGTGGCAATACAATGGAAAGGAGCCATTAAAATAATGTAGGATATCTGAATAATGAGATACAGGGAAGCCTAGGAGAGGAGGCAGAGTAAAAAAGGCAGCTTCAGAAAAGTATGTATGTTACAATCCAAGATTTGAAAAGGGAACACAATTTATACACACATGTATATATATACATATATGATTACACTGACATGTGTTTATGTATATAGTAAAAAGGTCTGGAAAGATTATAACCAAATTATTAACAGTAGTTGACACTGAGGAGTGGGACAAGGGAAGATATTAATGTGAGGGGGTGAGCCTCCTTTTTCTATTTTATACATTTTTATATGTTAAGAATTTTTTACAAAACTAAGTGCCACTTTTGTAACTTTTAAAAATTGTTTGTTTTTTGAAGGGAGCATCAAAAGCCAATGCAGAAGATACAGAAGGAGCAGCCAGGAAGAAAATCAGGACAGTGGTGTTTCACAGAAACCTAGAGAGAAGAGAATTTCACAGAAAAATTAGCAGAGCATGCCAACTACTGATACTGATTAGGGAAATTTAGAAATGTCAAAAATCTTCTAACTCAGCCATGAAGAGATCACTGCTGATTTTCTGTCAGGGAAAAACCCCAAATATTTTTATATTAAACACTTCATGAGTCAAAGAGAAATCACAAATCAACTCAGAAGATTTTAAAAACCCAATAAAAGTGAACATAATACATAAAAAATTATGGGATGCAGGTCAAGCAGTGTTTAGAGAAAATTTTGTATCTGTAAATGCTTGTAATATAAAAAACAAAGAATCACCAAGTGCAGTGGCTCATGCCTGTCATCCCAACACTCTGGAGGCCAAGGAGGGAGGATCGTTTGAGGCCAGGAGTTCGAGACTAGCCTGAGGAACATAACAAGGCCTCACTGCAACAACAAAACAACAAATGAAAATTAGCTGGGCATGGTGGCTGATGCCCACCATGGGCAGGTTGCTTGAGCCCAAGAGTTTCAGACCAGCTTGGGCAACATAGTGAGACCATGACTCTACTAAGAAAGAAAGAAATTAGCTGGTCAGGGTGGCATGCACTGCATCTATGGTTCTAGCTACTCGGGAGGCTGAGGTGGGAGGATCACTTTTGCTCAGGAGTTTGAGGCTGCAGTGAGCCATGATTGCACCACTATACTCCAGCCAAGGTAATAGATGGAGACCCTGTCTCAAGAAAGAAAGAAAGAAAAGGAAGAAAAGGAAGGAAAGGAGAGGAGAGGAGGGGAAAGAGGAAAGGAAAGAGGACAGGACAGGACAGGACAGGACAGGACAGGAAAGGAAAGGAGGAAGGAAGAGAGGAATGGAGGAAGGGAGGAAGGGAGGGAGGGAAGGAGGGAAGGAGGGAGGGAGGGGAAGGAAGAAAGTTAAGAAAGGAAGAAAGAGGAAGGAAGGAAGGGAGGAAGGGATGAAGGGAAGGAAGGAGGGAGGGAGGGAGGGAAGGAGGGAGGGAAGGTGGCTAAGTTTTACATTCTGCTGCTACTCATATCTGATAAGCATATCAATAAGGTCAACTTCTCTTTGTCCTCTCCCCGTCCTGAATCCCTATAGGCAAAGAACAAACCATGTGGTGCCAGGCACAGGGATAAGTTTAGCTCATACTTCCAAACACACCTTCCATTCATTATGTACCCACATCTGTTTGAATACAGGGATAAGATAATATCTTCTAAAAAATTGCCAGTTACCAATTACTTGTCTCTTACCACTACATATAAATTCCCCCAAATTATGAATGTTTTAATTGTAACCAAGTACTATCAAAACAGTGAATGTAAATCTATCATCTTTAAATAGATCTTTCACAAAAATAATTTTGCATTTACATTAAAACTATTAATATTATTTTTTGAATACACATAATTTTGAGGAAAAAATGCATTTCCTGTGGGGTTAATTCACCAAGTAAAGAAATCCCTGTAAGCAAAAATCCTTTCATGTTCTCATCTACTGATGACTGCTTAGCAGCTTCTCTTTCATTTAAACCAAACATAGCCTATATCATCATTTCATGCCTCTTCTCTCTAATTAGATAAATCTGGTTGCTCTTCTCTTTCTATACATTAAAAGGTTGGGATGTTTTGTTTTTCCAGTATCTCAGAATTCTAATCCTTACAGCACCACGATGACAGGAAGAATTGTGTGATTTAGAGAAGGCAGGATCCAAGGAAATATATCTAAAGAAAGAGGCCAGGTACGGTGGCTTATGCCATAATTGTAGCACTTTGGAAAGCCGAGGTGGGAGGATCGCTTGAGCCCAGGAGTTCGAGACCAGCCTGGGCAACATAAGAAGACGCCTGTCTCTACAAAAAATTTAAAAAATAGCCAGGTGTACTGGCGTGTGCCTGTCGTCCCAGCTACTCGGGAGGCTGAGGTGGGAAGATCACTGCAGTGAGGTGTGGTTGTGCCACACCATCCTTGGCCTGTGTACTCCATCCTCAGTGACAGATGAAGACCCTGTCTCAAAAAGAAAAGGAAAAGAAAAGAGCACACACAATAAGGATATTCTTTTAAATATAAACACACAGATTCCTATAAAAGATAGTGATCTACTCCAGCTATTTCCAGCTCATGACTTTGACCTGGGCTCTTACAGGCAACCCTGTTCTTACCTAGATTGGAGGATGCTCGCCCCTCTGCAGCCCGGTCCTTGAGATCCTCAGCAATGCCCAGCTGCTGCTCATGGTATTGTTTAGCTCTCTCCAAATCCTGCATGCACCTGGCAGCATGGCCTAGTCCAGCATAGGCCCGCATCTCAATAGCCTTCTCCATCAACTCCTGTGCCAGCTCCAGGACATAGTTATGGTAAGACATGGCCTTGTCAAAGTTCCTCCGGTAGTGATAGGCACTGCCCAGGTTGCTATAAGCCCGGGCCTCTTCTCGCTTGTTCCCCAGGTCCTTGGCTATCTTCAGATGCTGCTCATGGCACTGCACAGCATTCTCAAAGTCACCCATGGCAATATACACAGCTCCCATGTTGCCAAGTTCTCGGGCTTCAGAAAGTTCATCTTTGGATTGCTTGGCAAGAAGAACACACTGTTTGTGACTGGCCAGTGCATTGGGGTAGTCTCCAATGGCTGTGTACACGTGGCCCAGACTGCTCAAGGCTGATGAAGCTGCCTGGAGAGAAAAGGATAAAGTGGAGAAATGAAAACACATCAGAATGGTTTTGGTATATTTTGGCAGATAAAATTTTACAGGTTGCAAGATGGCCGAATAGGAACAGCTCTAGTCTACAGCTCCCAGCGTGAGTGACGCAGAAGACGGGTGATTTCTGCATTTCCAACTGAGGTACCGGGTTCATCTCACTGGGGAGTGCCGGACAGTGGGTGCAGCGCACCGTGCATGAGCTGAAGCACGGCGAGGCATTGCCTCACCTGGGAAGCACAAGGGGTCAAGGAATTCCCTTTCCTAGTCAAAGAAAGGGGTGACAGACGGCACCTGGAAAATCAGGTCACTCCCACCCTAATACTGCACTTTTCCAATGGGCTTAACAAACGGCACACCAGGAGATTATATCCCGCACCTGGCTCAG
Organism: Homo sapiens; assembly: GCF_000001405.40. Lineage (NCBI taxonomy): Eukaryota > Metazoa > Chordata > Mammalia > Primates > Hominidae > Homo > Homo sapiens. The sequence continues at coordinate 28,164,015 of NC_000022.11, forward strand.
AGGGTCCTATGCCCATGGAGCCTTGCTCATTGCTAGCACAACAGTCTGAGATCAAACTGCAAGGCGGAAGCGAGGCTGGGGGAGGGGCGCCCATCATTGCCAAGGCTTGAGTAGGTAAACAAAGTGGCCAGGAAGCTCGAACTGGCTGGAGCCCACCACAGTTCAAAGAGGCCTGCCTGCTTCTGTAGACTCCACCTCTGGGAGCAGGGCACAGACAAATAAAAGACAGCAGTAACCTCTGCAGACTTAAATGTCCCTGTCTGACAGCTTTGAAGAGAGTAGTGGTTCTCCCAGCACGCAACCTGAGATCTGAGAATGGGCAGACTGCCTCCTCAAGTGGGTCTCTGAACCCCGAGTAGCCTAACTGGGAGGCACCCTCCAGTAGGGGCGGACTGACACCTCACATGGCAGGGTACTCCTCTGAGACAAAACTTCCAGAGGAACGATCAGGCAGCAGCATTTGCAGTTCACCAATATCCACTGTTCTACAGCCACTGCTGCTGATACCCAGGCAAACAGGGTCTGGAGTGGACCTCCAGCAAACTCCAACACACCTGCAGCTGAGGGTCCTGACTGTTAGAAGGAAAACTAACAAACAGAAAGGACATCCACAACAAAAACCCATCTCCACGTCACCATCATCAAACACCAAAGTAGATAAAACCACAAAGATGGGGAAAATACAAAGCAGAAAAACCGGAAACTCTAAAAATCAGAGTGCCTCTTCTCCTCCAAAGGAACACAGTTCCTCACCAACAATGGAACAAAGCTGAATGGAGAACGACTTTGACAAGTTGAGAGAAGAAGGCTTAAAATGATCAATGACGAGTTGAGAGAAGAAGGCTTCAGATGATCAAACTACTCTGAGCTAAAGGAGGAAGTTCGAACCCATGGCAAAGAAGTTAAAAACCTTGAAAAAAAACTAGACAAATGGCTAACTAGAATAACCAATGCAGAGAAGTCCTTAAAGGACCTGATGGAGCTGAAAACCATGGCATGAGAACTACGTGATGAATGCACAAGCCTCAGTAGCTGATGCGATCAACTGGAAGAAAGGGTATCAGTGATGGAAGACGAAATGAATGAAATGAAGTGAGAAGAGAAGTTTAGAGAAAAAAGAATAAAAAGAAATGAACAAAGCCTCCAAGAAATATGGGACTATGTGAAAAGACCAAATCTACATCTCATTGGTGTACCTGAAAGTCATGGGGAGAATGGAACCAAGTTGGAAAACACTCTGCAGGGTATTATCCAGGAGAACTTCTCCAATCTAGCAAGGCAGGCCAACATTCAAATTCAGGAAATACAGAGAACACCACAAAGATACTCCTCGAGAAGAGCAACGCCAAGACACATAATTGTCAGATTCACCAAAGTTGAAATGAAGGAAAAAATGTTAAGAGCAGCCAGAGAGAAAGGTCGGGTTACCCACAAAGGGAAGCCCATCAGACTAACAGCTGATCTCAGGACAGAAACTCTACAAGCCAGAAGAGAGTAGGGGCCAATATTCAACATTCTTAAAGAAAAGAATTTTCAACCCAGAATTTCATATCCAGCCAAACTAAGCTTCATAAGTGAAGGAGAAATAAAATCCTTTACAGACAAGTAAATGTTGACAGATTTTGTCACCACCAGGCCTGCCCTAAAAGAGCTCCTGAAGGAAGCACTAAATATGGAAAGGAACAACTGGTACCAGCCACTGCAAAAACATGCCAAATTGCAAAGACCATCCAGGCTAGGAAGAAACTGCATCAACTAACCAGCAAAATAACCAGCTAGCATCATAATGACAGGATCAAATTCACACATAACAATATGAACCTTAAATGTAAATGGGCTAAATGCTCCAATTAAAAGACACAGACTGGCAAATTGGATAAAGAGTCAAGACCCATCAGTGTGCTGTATTCAGGAAACCCATCTCACATGCAGAGACACACATAGGCTCAAAATAAAGGGACGGAGGAAGATCTACCAAGCAAATGGAAAACAAAAAAAGGCAGGGGTTGCAATCCTAGTCTCGGGTAAAACAGACTTTAAACCAACAAAGATCAAAAGAGACAAAGAAGGCCACTACTTAATGGTAAAGGGATCAATTCAACAAGAAGAGCTATCCTAAATACATATGCACCCAATACAGGAGCACCCAGATTCATAAAGCAAGCCCTTAGTGGCCTACAAAGAGACTTTGACTCCCACTCAATAATAATGGGAGACTTTAAACCCCACTGTCAACATTAGACAGATCAACGAGACAGAAAGTTAACAAGGATATCCAGGAATTGAACTCAGCTCTGCACCAAGCGGACCTAACAGACATCTACAGAACTCTCCACCCCAAATCAACAGAATATACATTCTTCTCAGCACCACACCACACCTATTCCAAAATTGACCACATGGTTGGAAGTAAAGCACTCCTCAGCAAATGTAAAAGAACACAAATTATAACAAACTCTGTCAGATCACAGTGCAATCAAACTAGAACTCAGGATTAAGAAATTCACTCAAAACCGCTCAACTACATGGAAACTAAACAACCTGCTCCTGAATGACTACTGGGTACATAACGAAATGAAGGCAGAAATAAAGATGTTTTTTGAAGCCAATGAGAACAAAGACACAACATGCCAGAATCTCTGGGACACATTTAAAGCAGTGTGAAGAGGGAAATTTATAGCACTAAATGCCCACAAGAGAAAGCAGGAAAGATCTAAAATTGATACCCTAACATCACAATTAGAAGAACTAGAGAAGCAAGAGCAAACACATTCAAAAGCTAGCAGAAGGCAAGAAATAACTAAGATCAGAGCAGAACTGAAGGAGATAGAGACACAAAAAACCCTTCAAAACATCAATGAATCCAGGAGCTGGTTTTTGAAAAGATCAACAAAATTGATGGACTGCTAGAAAGACTAATAAAGAAGAAAAGAGAGAAGAATCAAATAGATGCAATAAAAAACGACAAAGGGGATATGACCACCGATTCCACAGAAATACAAACTACCATCAGAGAATACTATAAACACCTCTACGCAAAAAAACTAGAAAATCTAGAAGAAATGGATAAATTCCTCGACACATACACCCGCCCAAGACTAAACCAGGAAGAAGTTGAATCTCTGCAAAGACCAATAACAGGCTCTCAAATTGAGGCAATAATTAATAGCTTACCAGCCAAGAAAAGGTCCAGGACCAGATGGATTCACAGCCAAATTCTACCAGAGGTATAAGGAGGAGCTGGTACCATTCCTTCTGAAACCATTCCAATCAATAGAAAAAGAGGGAATCCTCCCTAACTCATCTTATGAGGCCAGCATTATCCTGATACCAAAGCCTGGCAGAGATACAACAAAAAGAGAATTTTAGACCAATATCCCTGATGAACATTGATGCAAAAATCCTCAATAAAATACTGGCAAACCGAATCCAGCAGCATATCAAAAAGCTTATACACCACGATCACGTGGACTTCATCTCTGCGATGCAAGGCTGGTTCAACATACACAAATCAATAAACGTAAGCCATCATATAAACAGAACCAAAGAAAAAACCACATGATTATCTCAATAGATGCAGAAAAGGCCTTTGACAAAATTCAACAATGCTTCATGCTAAAATCTCTCTATAAATTAGGTACTGATGGGAAGTATCTCAAAATAGTAAGAGCTATCTATGGCAAACCCACAGCCAATATCATACTGAATGGCCAAAAACTGGAAGCATTCCCTTTGAAAACTGGCACAAGACAGGGATGCCCTCTCTCACCACTCCTATTCAACACAGTGTTGGAAGTTCTGGCCAGGGCAATCAGGCAGGAGAAGGAAATAAAGGGTATTCAATTAGGAAAAGAGGAAGTCAAATTGTCCCTGTTTGCAGATGACATGATTGTATATCTAGAAAACCCCATCATCTCAGCCTCAAATCTTCTTAAGCTGATAAGGAACTTCAGCAAAGTCTCAGAATACAAAATCAATGTGCAAAAATCACAAGCATTCCTATACACCAAAAACAGACAAACAGAGAGCCAAATCATGAGTGAACTCCCATTCACAATTACTTCAAAGAGAATAAAATATCTAGGAATTCAACTTACAAGGGATGTGAAGGACCTCTTCAAGGAGAACTACAAACCACTGCTCAATGAAACAAAAGAGGGCACAACCAAATGCAAGAACATTCCATGCTCATGGATAGGAAGAATCAATATCGTGAAAATGGCCATACTGCCCAAGGTAATTTATAGATTCAAGGCCATCCCCATCAAGCTACCACAGACTTTCTTCACAGAATTGGAAAAAACTACTTTAAAGTTCATATGGAACCAAAAAAGAGCCCGCATTGCCAAGTCAATCTTAAGCCAAAAGAGCAAAGCTGGAGGCATCACGCTACCTGACTTCAAACTATACTACAAGGCTACAGTAACCAAAACAGCATGGTACTGGTACCAAAACAGAGATATAGACCAATGGAACAGAACAGAGCCCTCAGAAATAATGCCGCATATCTACAACCATCTGATCTTTGACAAACCTGACAAAAACAAGAAATGGGGAAAGGATTCCCTATTTAATAAATGGTGCTGGGAAAACTGGCTAGCCATATGTAGAAAGCTGAAACTGGATCCCTTCCTTACACCTTATACAAAAATTAATTCAAGATGGATTAAAGACTTAAATGTTAGACCTATAACCATAAAAACCCTAGAAGAAAACCTAGGCAATACCATTCAGGACATAGGCATGGCCAAGGACTTCGTGTCTAAAACACCAAAAGCAATGGCAACAAAAGCCAAAATTGACAAATGGGATCTAATTAAACTAAAGAGCTTCTGCACAGCAAAAGAAACTACCATCAGAGTGAACAGGCACCCTACAGAATGGGAGAAAATTTTTGCAACCTACTCATTTGACAAAGGGCTAATATCCAGAGTCTACAATGAACTCCAACAAATTTACAAGAAAAAAACAAACAATCCCATCAAAAAGTGGGCGAAGGACATGAACAGACACTTCTCAAAAGAAGACATTTATGCAGCCAAAAAACACATGAAAAAATGCTCATCATTACTGGCCATCAGAGAAATGCAAATCAAAACCACAATGATACACCATCGCACACCAGTTAGAATGGCGATCATTAAAAAGTCAGGAAACAACAGGTGCTGGAGAGGATGTGGAGAAATAGGAACACTTTTACACTGTTGGTGGGACTGTAAACTAGTTCAACCATTGTGGAAGTCGGTGTGGTGATTCCTCAGGGATCTAGAACTAGAAATACCATTTGACCCAGCCATCCGATTACTGGGTATATACCCAAAGGATTATAAATCATGCTGCTATAAAGACACATGCACACATGTTTATTGTGGCACTACTCACAATAGCAAAGACTTGGAACCAACCCAAATGTCCAACAATGATAGACTGGATTAAGAAAATGTGGCACATATACACCATGGAATACTATGCAGCCATAAAAAAGGATGAGTCATGTCCTTTGTAGGGACATGGATGAAGCTGGAAACCAGCATTCTCAGCAAACTATCGCAAGGACAAAAAACCAAACACCACATGTTCTCACTCATAGGTGGGAACTGAACAATCAGAACACATGGACACAGGAAGGGGAACATCACACACCAGGGACTGTTGTGGGTTGTGGGGAGCGGGGAGGGATAGCATTGGGAGATATACCTAATGCTAAATGACGAGTTAATGGGTGCAGCACACCAACATGGCACATGTATACATATGTAAGGAACCTGCACATTGTGCACATGTACCCTAAAACTTAAAGTATAATAATAATAAAATAAAATAAAATAAAATAAAGAACCTGATTAAATTGGGGAATTTTAAAATAAAAACAGGAAGCACATCATACTCTTAAAAAAAAAATTTTGCAGGTTGCTTGTAATTATCCAATCCAGTTGCTAATCGTACTTCTATCAGTTTTCCACAGACCTACGCAGAATTGATAAAGAACACATCCAAACAGCAAGTTCCTAATAAAAAACAATGGTACTTTAATCAGTAACTTTCTATACCTCATCTCCTAGAAACAAGTTGTATAACATATGTCATTTTAAGGACTTATTGACATTTCTAACATTAATTATGATATTACATCTCTGTTAATACCTATTAACCTCTGTCATATAGGAAAATGTATAAGAAAATGGAAATTAGGCCGGGTGCGGTGGCTCACACCTGTAATCCCAGCACTTTGGAAGGCTGAGGCAGGCGGATCACGAGGTCAGGAGGTCGAGACCATCCTGGCTAACACGGTGAAACCCCGTCTCTATTAAAAATACAAAAAAAATTAGCTGGGCGTGGTTGCGGGCACCTGTAGTCCCACCTACTCGGGAGGCTGAGGCAGGAGAATGGCGTGAACCCAGGAGGCAGAGCTTGCAGTGAGCCAAGATCACACCACTGCACTCCAGCCCGGGTGACAGAGCGAGACTCCGTCTCCAAAAAAAAAAAAAAGAAAAAAAGAAAATCGAAATTAATTACTACATATAACAGACCACAGGAAATTCACAGGAGAAATCCATGCTTGGCTTTTTGCACTCCTGGGAATATCTCTCTTCTTGTCTTCTTCCACGGTAAATGGATATCTTAATGGTAAGAGAGATGTTTACCATGATGACTGATGATTCTGTGACCGAAGGCTCACTGGAGAGGGTCCTGCTCTCTTATCTTTGTTCCTTCAATGCAACTTCATCAGTGTTGGTTACTCTGGAGGGCTTAGATTTGGATGAGTCTCAGAGGAAAAAAATGGGTGGGTTACAACCTGTACTGTACTCTGAGTGGGGTGGTCTCCATTAAGCCTCACCACCCCCTCTCAGGCTCACCCAGCTCTTCAACCATTTCTTTTCCTGCCTAGAAGCGCTTCTAACCCCAGCCTCTCTGTGCAGAGAGATGCCATCTTCCTAGGCCTCTCACATTGCTTGCCACTCATTCTTTTTTTTTTTTTTTTTCTTATTTTGGCCAAGGAAAAGCATGCAAACCCTTTTTGTCTTAAAGGTTTTAATGAAACTGACTCTATGCTGGTGTACTGAACCACAAAGGGACAACAAAAATACAGGAGATGTTACATGGTTTCTAGAATCTTAACAAATACTTAACAGTCTTATATTCTAGTCTTTGGTTTCCAATTTATTTGCAGATATAAAAGGGAAGTTATGCTGGGATTTTTCTGCCCTTCTTTTTATCCTAAAAGTTGGAAGCTTGCCTACCCTTTCTTTCCTTCATTACCGGCCTATGGCTAGAGCCATGTGGCTGCCTTTCTTCATGAAGTTCCCTCTTAGTAAGTGAGCATGTGATCCTGCCAGAACAAAGGGTGTACTCTGTTACACATGGGCAAGTAATTTTTCTAAGGGCCTCCTGGCTAGGGAATAACAATGAGGGGATGCTGTCCCTCCTGGAGTAAGGGCATTTCTTTACGAAATGTGTTCTATGTCTGTGCACTTCAGAACACTTTTATTAATATTTTATAGATATGAGTGATTTTCTACCCTATTTTCTTTGCCTGTGAAATAGCAGTTCTTGATCAAAATGACTGAGGAAACTTTTTTAAACGGTGCTTGCAAATGGCATATTTGCAAAAAAAAAAAAAAAAAGCCCCATATTGTTTTAAGTTGCTTTTATCATTTCACAGATGTTCTAACAAAAAGACTTAGAAAATAGAGAGGAAATAAATACTTAGAAATTTACTTTTCTGTTTCTTTTTTTCTGAGTGGTAGAGAGCAGAAACAATTCCACACAAGTCACAATGCTGCAGCAGTGTGCTTCTGGCAGAAGCAGCAATGAAGTCAACAAAGAGCATGTCACTTGGTTGTGTACTGGCCTCAGGTTCCTACTTTGTGAGCCTCTTTGGGGCTGAGGTTAGGACTTCATGTCAGCACATTGTACAAGGAACTTTCTACTGCTTCCACCTCCACCCATACCCTATCCCCCAAATCTTTTCTTCCTCCTTTGCTGCAGGCCTAGAGACTCAGCCTCTTTCCTCTACTTCAGTAGTTGGCCCTCCCCACCTTATTCTTTGTGGGTTCTTCTCCACCACCTGGCTAGGGAGGACACAACCCACTCCCACCCAGAAATCTTTGTTACCCTCAAAGCGAAACATGCAGGCTCTTTGACTATGGAGCTAGTGTAGCTTAGAATCAGATACACTTTGTTCAGAACTGCACTGCCCTTTACTAGCTCAGAGAGCTTTAGCAACTTAACTTCGCTGAGCCTTGGTTTTCCAGACATTTTTAGGCCCAAGCAGCAAGCCAGGAAAGAGAATTTTCAAACCCAGCCATGAGCCCCTGTCAAATATGTAAACCATAAATAATTCACTAGATAATTCCAAATAGTAGATCTGGTTGGAGGCAATGAGCCTTTGAACACTGCATAGGATGGATTTATAAGTCTCAGGGCAGGCACAACACCCCAGGCGTCGCTGTTCTCAGGAACTTCTGGTTTATGGCAACTCCAAATGATAGCCCTGGCATCTTCTGCTTCTGGTTCTTCATTTCTCTAAATGCCAGGGAGACATAGGAGCTGCTTACTAAAGCTCTCTGAACATAAGGAAGGGAATATTTGGGCATTTCCCCTCTGGGGTGTGGGAGAAAGAGGGAAAGACTATTACATTGGCTCTTTCCTGGCATCCTCCAGTTACCAGGCAGTGCTGTCAGGCTGGGACTCTCCGTGATGGGTGTCCTGGAAGTCCGTATCTCTAGAAAGGATGTAATTTATGAAGCACACATCATTGCCTCTGAAACTAGAGAGGCAGCTTGCTATATACTATAAGAATGGAATAGGATTTAGCATCAGAGGCCCTGGCTATGTAACACTAATAAGTATTTTACTTCTTCACTCCTGTTTTCTTTATTTGTAAAATGTTGCTAATGACAATACTGTACATACTTCACAGGGCTGAGATGGCATCAGATGAAGCAGTGCATGTGAGTGCCTTCAGTAAACTATAGAGTGCTCTGTGAATGCATCACTAAGGTGTGGATGGATGTTTTATGATTGCAAGACGGCTAGGCTGAGTTCTGCTACCAAGCAGAAGCTAGTAATGGCAACTGAAAACATCAATCATTATGACCAAACACCTATATTGCTGTCAGTTGCTACAGGAAATAAAGTCCGGTATTTTACAGCCCCTGGGCAAATAACATGTGATGATACTTATCAGCTAAGTGAATCACAAATTAATCACTTGTCTTTGTTCCTGTTCCTGTAGAATAAGCTTAGATCTGAAACGTGGTTTCAGGCTGTTAATGAGAATCTGAAGACCCACTATCTATGGGGAATCACAGGCTCCACCTCAAGCAGATGCTGCATTTGCCACTAAGGTTCATGCTGCCTTTGTATATTAATCTCTTTGAGATTTCTGTGCTAAAATAGCAGCAGCTGCTTCCCACAGTGGAAATACTCTGGAACATCTGTATTTGAATACTAAAATGCATACAAACAGTTATGCTAACAAACTATCTAGTTGGAATAAGACAACACTTTTCTCTTTCTACAAGATATAAATTACTCATGTTCTTGCCAAAATATAATTTCCAGCTGCAGATTTAGGCGCATAAGAGTCAGTCACCTCTTGCTCTGTGACCTGAATATTTGCAGAAGAATTGCATCTGACAAGTTAGATTCATGGGACATAAAACCAGAGTAAGAAATTTGTTCATATTTCTTCAAACCACCTTTTAAAGGTTTTTAGTTTGAGAAATAAAGTTTAAACTACCCAAACTATAACCACATCGATGACACTACCATTAAATATTATGCTGAAGATTTAAACACGTTTTCCTTCCATCTAGCATGTTTTTCCCTTACCATATGTATTTATCATAAGGGTTATATTTTGTGGGAGGATTACATGCTTACAGTGTTATACACAGAATATTCAATATAATTGCTGATTGATTCACTACATGTCATTGGAAAAATGGGAAATGTACCTGCGGCTAGTACCAGAAATATTGCATTTCTCTTTTACTGCTCAAATCTACATGCTCCATGTATTCTCTGCCAGTTCAGCGCCCATAAACCAAAGTCCTAGATTAACTACCCACAACCCAATAGGAAGAAATACATAGAAGAATAAGGATAGACTCTGGAATCAGGCACACACTGATTCAAATAACACACTGTGATAACACACATTTGTAACATCTTTGAGACTTAGTTTCCTCATCTGTGAAATGGGAATATTAATATCTCACAGAGCCTTCATGAGTACTAAATAATACAGTATTTATAATGACCCTGGTTCAGAACTCAGCAATAAGATGCTCAAAAATTTTAGATTTTAGTTTTTCTTCCTATCCCAACCAAGATAATACGCACTTAGCTTTTATTCATTTCAAAGATGTGATAGAAGATAACCAGAAAATAAACCATAAGGTTATGTCACCACAACTAAAAAGACAACACAAGAAGTTTGCCCCAGTGATGGTCAAAAATGTCATCAACTTCGTACACTGAAGACCAGCATATGATTCATACTGCTCTTCTGCAAATATATGCATAAGAAAATTCACCCTTGTAGCGCAGCACCACTGGTGGGCACCTGTAATCCCAGTTACTTGGGTGGCTGAGGCAGGAAGACTGTTTGAGCCCAGGAGTTTGAGGCTACAGGGAGCTATGATCACGCCACTGCACTCCAGCCTGGATGACACAGCGAAACCCCATATCTTAAGAAAAAGAAAAACTAAGAAAAATCCACCCTTTACTTAGGACATTTTGGAATCCAACACATATCCAACATATAATTCAACACAGGTACAATTAGGTGTATATCCAACACATAATCTTGGTAAATACACTTCACTTCAAGCAGTGAAAGTTTAGGCCGGCATTGGAGTGTTTGGGGTCTGTTGGTTGGTTCCTTTGTTCATTCATTCTTGCATTCAAGAAAATTGTTTAGGCCCAGAAATAAATTCATGTACCTATAGCCAACTGATTTTTGACAAAGTTGCATGCATTGGAAAATAAGGTAGTCTCTTAAAAAAAAAAAAAAAGGACTGGGAAAATTTAATATTTGCATGCAGAAGGATGAGACTAGACTCCTTCTCTCACCATATACAAAAATCAATTCTAAATAGAATAAGGACTTAGCTATAAAACCTGAAACTATGACACTGCTAGAAGAAAACACTGAAAAAGCTTCATGATATTGGGCTGGGCAAGGATTTTTAAAACATGAGCTCAAAAGCACAGGCAACAAAAGCAAAAACAGATAAATGAGATTACCTCAAACTAAAAACTTTTCACAGCAAAGGAAACTCTTAAGAGAGTAAAGAGACAACCTATACAATGGGAGAAAATATTTGCAAACTATACACCTGATAAGGGGTTAATATCCAGAATATTTAAGGAACTTAAACAACTCAACAGGACAAAAACAAAATAACCCAATTAAAAAATGGGCAGGCCAGGCCTGGTGGCTCATGCCTGTAATCCCAGCAGTTTGGGAGGCCGAGGCGGGTGGATGCCCTGAGGTCAGGAGTTCGAGACCAGCCTGGCCAACATGGTGAAACCCCATCTCTACTAAAAATACAAAAAATTATCCGGGCACGGTGGTGCATGCCTGTAATCCCAGCTACTCAGGAGGCCGAAACAAGAGAATCGCTTAAGCCAGGGAGGCAGAGGTTGCAGTGAGCCGAGATGGCACCACTGCCCTCCAGCCTGGGCAACAAGAGCAAAACTCTGTCTCAAAAAAAAATTAAAAAATGGGCAAAAGACCTTAATACACATTTCTCAAAAGAAGACATACAAATGGCCAACCGGTATAAGAAAAAAAAATGTTCAACATCACTAATCAGGGAAATGCAAATCAAAACCACAATGAAATACCAGTTACAACGGCTATTATAAAAAAGATACATGAAAACAAGTGTTGGTGAGGTTTTGGAGAAAAGGGAATGCTTATTCACTACTGGTGGAATTGTAAACCAGTACAACTATTATAAAAAACAATGTGGAAGTTCCTCAAGAAACGAAAAATAGAACTACCATATGATTCTGCAATCCTAATACTGGTTATATATCCAAAGGAAATAAAATCAGTATGTCAAGGAGATTACCTGCATTCCCATGTTCACTGTAGCACTATTTACAATGGCCAAGATAGGGAATCAACCTAAGTGTCCAAAAAGGGATGAATGGATAAAGAAAATGTGGTATACATATACAATGAAATATGATTCAATAATAAGAAGACTAAAATCCTGTCATTTGTGACAACATGTTCGAACCTGGAGAACATTGTGTTAAGTGAAATAAGCCAGACAAAGAATGACAAATTATGCATGATCTCATTCCTATGTGGAATCTGAAAAAAAAAAGTTGGTATTATAGAAGCAGAGAGTAGAACAGTCCTTGCCAGAGACTGGAGGGGAAGAAAAAAGGGAGGATTCTGAGGGGTTGGTTAAAAGGTACAAAGTTACAATTAGATGGGAGGAATAAATTCTGGTGTCCTACTGCACAGTAAGGTGACTATGGCTAACAATAAAATACTGTATATTACAAAACAGCTAGAAGAGAAGCTTTTGAATGTTCTCACCACAAATAAATGATAAATGCATGAGGTAACGGATACACTACTATGACTGGATTATTATACAACATAGATATGTATCCAAACATCAAATTGTACACCATAAATATGTACAATTACAAAGTATCCACTAAAAAGAGAAATACATTTTTTAATGAGAATTCTCCAGACTCACATAAATATAATAACTAATCTTTGACAGGGTACAAAGGTAGTTACATGGAGAAAGGATAGTCTTTTCAACAAATGGTGCTAGAACAACTAGACATCACATACAAAAAAATGAATATAGACACAGACCTTACACATTTAACAAAAATTAACTGGAAATGGATCAGACCTAAATGTAAACTGCAAAGCTACAAAATTCCAAGACAACATCAGAGAAAATCTACATGACCTTTATATATAAGACCAAAAATATGTTCAATGAAAGAAAAAATTAAGTTGAACTTCATTAATATTTAAAACTGTGTTATGCAAAAGATACTGTTAGGAGAATGAAAAGTCAAGTCACAGACGGCGAGAAAACATTTGCAAAACACATAAATGATAAAAGACTTATATCAAAAATATAAAAGCTCAACAAGAAAACAAACAATTAAAAAATAACAAAATATCTGAAGAGACAGCTCATTAGAGAAGATATGCAGATGGCAAGGAAGTATACGGAAAGATGTTCAACATCATATGTCATTAGGGAATGGCAAACTAAAACAACAATGAGATACCACTACATACGTATTAGAACAGCTAAAATCCAAAAGAACTGACAATATCAAATGCTGACAAGAACATGGAACAATAGAAACTCTCATTCATAGTCGGAAGGAATGAAAAATGATACAGCCACTTTGGAAGACAGTTGGGCAATTTCTTAGAAAACTCAACATGGTCTTACCATGTGTTCCAGCAACTGTGCTCCCATGTATTAACTCAAATGAGTTGAACACATGTCCACACGAAAACCTGTGCATGACTGTTTATAACAGTTTTATTCATAATTGCTAAAAACTGGAAGCAAATAAGATGTCTTTCAAAAGGTGAATGGAGAAATAAACTGTGGGATATCCATACAATGGAATATTATTCAGGGCTAAAAACAATGGTCTATCAAGCTGTGAAAAGACATGAAAGAAATTTTAAATGTATACTGCTTAGTCAAAGAGGCTTGTCTAAAAAGGCAACATATTGTATGATTTCAACTATATTACATTCTGAAAAAGTCAAATGTATAGAGAGAATAAAAAGTTCAGCAGTTGCAAGGGAGTTGGGGGAGTGGAGGACAGATGGAGCACAGGGGATTTTTAGGGCAATGAAACTATTCTGCATGATAATACTGGACACATGACATTATAAATTTGTCAAAACCCACAGAACTGTACAATACAAAGAGTGAACCCTAATGTAAATATTGAACTTTAGTTAATAATTATATATCAATATTGGTTCATCAGTTGTAATAATGTACCATACTAATGCAGGATATCAATAACAGGAGAAAACGACTGGGGGAGAGAGAAAGGGTATGTGGAAACTCTATACTATTTGTTTAATTTTCTGTAAACCTAAAACTGCTAGAAGAAAAGTATATCGGGCCGGGCACGGTGGCACATGCCTGTAATCCCAGCACTTTGGGAGGCCGTGGTGGACAGATCACCTGAGGTCAGGAGTTCGAGACTAGCCTGCCTAACATGGTGAAACGCCGTCTCTACTAATAAATACAAAAAAAAAAAAAAAATTAGCCAAGCCTAGTGGCACATGCCTGTAATCCCAGCTACTCAGGAGGCTGAAGCAGAATAATCACTTGAATCTGGGAGGCGGAGGTTGCAGTGAGCCGAGATGGCACCATTGCAAACCAGCCTGGGCAACAAGAGTGAAACTCTGTCGAGGGAGAGGAACGGGGGAGGGGAGGGGGAGGTAATTTGAAAATATATAAATTGGAGTTTTCCTCCTTGGGGGAATGGCTAATTCTAGGAAATGGAAACAGCATGAGCAAAGACACAAAGTATGTCGGAGTGTGTTATGATTGGAGAATAAGAAGGCATTTATACCTGGGAGCAGGGGTAGTGGCTGGAGAGGAGTTTGTAAAGGTAAGTTTAGATGAATTCTGTCTGTCCACCAGTTTGTAAAATCTAAAGCATTTTTCATATATGTTGTTTCATTGATCATTATAATAAACCTTTTAAGTGTACGTTATTATTACACCCATTGGTGAGATAAGGCTAGACTCAAAGAGGCAAAGACTCAAAGAGATAAAGTGGCATATCCAAAAGTACACAATTAATAACACCACCAGGGTTCAGATCCACATATGTGAGACTCTAGCCCTTCTGCTCTTTTGACTACATAGTTTAGCCTCTATTGATGAATTTGCAATCCCCACAGATGGGGAATGGGAACCACAAAAGGTTTAAGTGGGGAAGCGACATGACCATTTGTACTTTCACATATTTCCATGGAGTAGACGAAAACTAGGAAGATCTGTAACAAGAACAACAAAATACTGTATAAAATAATGACTAATTAGAATACAATTGGGTCTATTTTAAGCACTAATGGTACTTAGTTTTTTGTTTTTTTGTTTTGTTTTTTTTTTTTTGACAGAGTCTTGCTCTGTCACCCAGGCCTGGAGTGCAGTGGTGCAATCTCAGCTCACTACAACCTCCGCCTCCCAGGGTCACATGATTCTCCTGCCTCAACCTCCCAAGTAGCTGGGATTACAGGTGTGTGCCACCATGCACAGCTAATTTTTTTTTTGTATTTTTAATAGAGACAGGGTTTCACCATGTTGGTCAGGCTGAAACTCCTGACCTCAGGTGATCTGCCCTCCTCGGCCTCCCAAAGTGTTGGGATTAAAGGCATGAGGCACCGCGCCTGGCCTAGGGCGGTTTTTAAGGCCATTCACAAATGCTGACTTCTCTCTGTCCAGGCAGGTAAGATTGCACATTGCTGCCTGCATGAAGTCAGGTGTGGGCAGCTATGTGACCTGCTGTGGCTAATAAATAGGATCACTTCCAGGTAAAGCTTTAGAAATCAATGCATGTGTCACCACATTCTCTTTGCTACAGACTGTTCCAACAGAGTTGGTCTTCAAGGGAGAATCATGGCAATGTGGAATAGATCCCTGGCTGATCTGTAATGAATATACAGTGGGCACAACAAATAAATCCTTGTTGTTTTAAGCTACTAAAATATTGAGATTGTTATTACAGTATATCCTGGCCAATCCTGACCAATACAATACTGAGCATAAATTAATAATTTCATGCTCCAGTTATCATAGTTATAGTTGACACTATCTAGTGATTCTATATGTACCAATTAACACAGGTTTCTGGATGATAAAATTTTGCACATTTTTATAGAAAAAACAAATTTAAGAATACCGTTCTAAAATCAGAGATTTAGCTAATCTTTAAAAACTTGTATTTATTAACAAAGGTCTGCCTGGTAGTAATTTATCTTTGCATAATTAAAAGAAAACCCCCTGATTGCAGGGTTTTCATGGGGAATCAATAGCTACTCAAAAATAAACCTGTAGAAACAGAAAACTGAATCATGTTCTTGGAGTTTAGTCTTAAATGATATATACTCTCTATTTAATGAGTGTATTGCTGCCTGAAAATCTACCCTTAATCAGCAACTGAGCTGATGAAATAATTGTATATAAAAGGTTAAATAATGTTCATAAACTTTGAGTTGCTTACTCAATAGTCACACAAAATTAATTGCACCACAATAACCAAATAAATTTTATAATCTATATTGTTGAAGACATTGGCCATGATATCACCCAATATCATCTTTACAAGGATGATGGAAAAATTTTTTCAGATCTCAGTGCTTCCACCGAGCAGCTACTGTGATTTTATCTTAAGAAAAATGTGAATCTTTGAAGCGATCACGTTTACTTCTTTGTCGGGGCCACCAGTAAGCTTGTGACCAGATGCAGAGCCTCCCTTTAACAACCAGATAGAATCCCAAAATATGTACATAGTCTGCCCTAGTTTCAGCCCATCATTTGATCCTAATCCCTTCATTATTCTGATCTCTCCCATTTTAGGATTTGCTCCCACCGATTCTTCTTGGATCAAAGTGGACCAATCAATGAAATACACACAAAAAGCACAATTAAATATTAAGAATCTTGGTAGGGAAAAAACTTCCTGAGTGGGATCTCTAAGAACTGTGAACTCACATCCATGGCCTACAAAGAAGAGGCTTAAATACCACATAAACAGGGAAATTTTTAATTACATGGTCTTTAATGGTCTTAAATTATTTCCTTACTGTATGTGCTCAATAGCTGGTGTCGGATTTACTACCATCAATCTAACCAGTTTGTTCCAATGCCTAAGCCTAGGGTTGGAGGGATATTTTGCAATCCTTACTGAAAAGAAAACAGTGATTTGTACATATCTAAATTCTTTTCTACCTTAATAGTGGGAATAGTTGGTTTTATTCTATTACTCTAAGCTTAGAGAGCTGTTAGTGATAGTTACAGCTTCTCCATGGTAACCTGTCAGCCTTTTCCAATGCTGTGGGACCAGAGGAGCTTTCATAATAATTATTTTTATCAAAATTATATTAGGGTTGGAAGAACAATATGTCAGAAAGATCTATTACCTAGACCTAAGAGTTACTATCACAGGTGATAAATTATTTATAATGCACAGCATTAATACAGCAATGTTTTCAAATCAAGAATCTGTAAATGTCCTTTGCAGATGTAAATTAACAGATTAATAAGAAAACAAGCTTTCTGGTATGAGAAGCTGGAATGACAGATTAGCTATTAAGTGCAATTTATAGGTCATAAGATATGAAAGTTGGCAAGAAACACTACCTCTCCTGGCTCTATAAATAGTAAAACTGCATTTAGTTTCCCAGAGGTATCCTGTTAGACATTTTAATTACACCATAAAAACTGCCAGAATTTATAATGATTTCATTTTTTTTAAAACTTGATGCTCAATGTAAACTTGATGCAATACAACAGGCATCTGTGCTATGTGTTATAATTGCCAACTTGCAGCCAATGAAGAATGCCTGCTACTTCCTCCTGAAGGACTATAAATGGTGAGGCTGATGAAAACATCAGAGGAAATAAATGTTACTCCTTGACACCTCCTCCAGGATACTTAAGGATTCTCCTATCTCACATGTTAACACCTTCCACTGTAGCCATGCTATCTATTTAGGAAGACGTTTACCAAAGACTGCCTTCTAGCTGGGCATGGGGAGGCCGAGGCTAGAAGGATTGCTTGAGCCCAGTGAGACCCTGTTTCTCAAAAACAAACAAACAAACAAACAAAAAAAACTAGAAAACAAAAAATGAACTCCATTCTATGTAGCTCTTTGGCCACAAAATGATGACCAAGTAAAGCTTCTAGAGACTTCATAGTTCTATTAGGGAGAAACACTTGAGAACTTCTGGCTTCCATCCATGAAATATTAGAGAGTCGAGTTTGTTTGGGGTTAAATTCTCTCACTCACTTGAAATAATTAGTTAGGATTATTTCTGGAAATTTATTTCCTACTCTCAGTCCCACCTACATTTTCATTTTTACTTGGGGGAAGTGGAGGGTGTGTAACCTAGCTTCATAAGCATTTTCAATGACACAATTCACTACAGTTTCCTATGGAATAATTTGACCTGGATTAGGAAACATATTCTATCACAATGCTATCCAATCAAAACTGTTCCAGTCCACACTTGCCAGCCAACCTGAATTTCGGTGGGCTATAAAACATTATTCTGTAGGGGGTTGGAATGTAGTCGATCACCCTTCAAAGACAGTATTTACACCAAATCATAAAATCTGGCTTTGGCAGGGCAGGATATATTGAAGAAACTCAGAGAGAGAGAGATGGAAAACACACACATGTACAAGTGCACATATGAGAGGCAGAGAAAATGTTTCTGGAAGGAAGAAACAAGAAATCTTTAAATTGGGTGGAAAGGGATCCTCAAGGATCCTGGAGATATTTTAGAGAATTAAGAAACAACTAAGAACTTCTGGCTTCCATCCATGAAAGAATATCATTACAGCCCCCCTGCTAAAAAAGGTAGCTCCTAATATAGGCTAAGATCTCCTGAAATGCATGGCTTTTGAATGCTCAGGAACAAATGTCCCCCAGTCTCAGCTCTCTGTACTTTCACTAATTCTAGCAGGTTTAACCTCTATCCCCTGTTGAATGATTCCAAACCCAGATTTCACAACAAACAAGAGACAGAGAATTTTACAGCTGGAAGAGGCCTTACAGATCACCTAATCCACAGATTTTCAAACTTTGTTTAAACCAAATTACAAATACATGTGATCTGTATTATTAAAAGTATAGCTGTTTAGGTGAAGTTGGACTAGGATCTACTTTTCTCCTCAAGCAGCCCTTAAGGAAATCTGGCACTCTGTAGGACTCTTCAGAGCAGAATTTGAAAACCACTTAGCAATAAACCCCTTCAATGTCTTTTTTTTTTTTTTTTAAATGTTGTAGAGACTGAGTCTCGCTCTGTCACCCAGGCTGGAGTACAGGGATGTAATCATAACTCACTGCAGCCTCGAACTCTTGGGTTCAAGTGGTTCCCCCCACCTCAGCCTTCTGAGTAGCTGGGACTACAGACACACACCACTATGCCAAGCTAATATTTTTATTTTTGGTAGAGATGGGGTCTCACTACGTTGCCCAGGCTGGTCTCCAGTCTGGCCTCAAGCAATCCTCTCACCTTAGCCTCCTGAGTAGCCAAGATTTCAGGGGTGAGCTATCATGCTTGGCCCCTCAATGTCTTTAGGTGTAGAAACTAAGGACAAGAGAGTTCAACTATCTTGGCTGAAGGTCAGCCTACTAATGACCAGTGAAGGCAGGACCAGAGCCAGGTCTTCAGGACCCCAGCTGGTACCCTCCTCATTCTGCTTTGCTGACATTCTATCAGGCCATTTCCCTGTCACCTCAAATCAAGTCCTCATTGTCTTTGCCAAGTCTCTTCTACTCTTTTGGCTTCCATAACTAATATAAGAGGCAAGTGCTGTCACTATTTCTTCCAGTCAAAAGCTCAGCATTATCATTGCCTTTTTCCTGTTCTTTGACACATTCGTTTGGCAGCCATCCAAGACCAGCTTTATTAGACTCCTGAAATTATAATGATACTAGTTTTCATTTAATTATATTTATTTTAATGCCAATTATCTATATGCAGGATCTATTTAGAATTTCTGACAGTTTTACTTTAAATAATAATTAAAAAAATTAATTTAACAATGTTAACAGATGGTATTTTAATACATTTTAAAACATAGTACTATGCTCTTTAAAATCCCAGCCAGCTATTAGTGGCAAATTCAATGGCAAACTTAGATAACTTCAATTAAACTTTAGTAACTTTTCTAACAACTACTGATTCTGTTCCCTGCATAATAATGGACTTAGCAACCATAAGGTAATACAGTGATTAAAACTGCCTAGGTTTGAATCCTGTGTCTACTGGCTACTTTCCCTTAATTAAGGAAGTTACTCTCTCTGTCTCTGTTTCCTTATCTATAAAATGGGGGTAATGATATCCACCTTATGGGCTTATTATGACCACACATTTAAAGAGCTTAGAATTGTGTCTGACACATAGCAAGTATTTAATCACTAGTAGCTATTATTACAGATAGTAAATACCAATAAAACTGAGTACATTAAGCAATTTTAAAGTCATATATTTATATTAATCTGTTTTGTATATTTGTTTAACATTTAAATGTACCAAATTACTGCCCTCCTTCTTCCTCATTATATTAATAAAAAATCCTAGAAATGTCATTTCCCTTGTGTGGCATTTGTCAGTGTTCCTTTGGCACAGAAATTATTTGGGCATGCAAGCGCATAAATATTCCTTTTGGAAATCCCCAAAGAAAGGAGTCATTATGCCCAGATCTTAAAACAGAACATAATATGTTCACTGAAGAAAAATTAAATTTTTAATTAAGATCCTAAGTTACATTTTTAAATTTTTTTTTACCAATTTCCTCAGGTAATTCTGATACTAAAATTATTATTTTTTGATTTGCTTAGCATAAAAATATACAAGCTAACATTAAATATAGGTTATACTGATAGATACGATTTCTAATTACAAGTATGATCAAATTATTCATCATATTAATTTTAAATTTTTCAGTGGTATGCTTGTTTTAAATGAAAATGAATACTAAAAATATGTGCTAAGTTTCAAAGGAAATATGTTCAGTAACAAAAAAGAAATGATTCATGTATATTCTATTTAACATAATAAGAAAAGGTATAGGGTACAGGTTAAGGGAAGGAGGCACAGCATGAGACAGATGAGACGGGAGCTTCCTGATGCCAAGGGTTGTCTTATTCATCTCTGTAACTCAAGGTCTAGCAAAATGCCTGGCACTTAGCAGGTGCTCAGCAAATACCTGAGGAATCGAATTGATAGTCATGGGACTTTAGGTCTGCGTAAGGATATAAAAGAAGAAAAGTCCATCCGTCCAAAGTAAGAATGTCAGAATGAATATGTGGTACTAATGTCTTTCAACTCCTAGTCCTCCTTAAGCAAAATTCAGTTACACAAAAATTCACTCTTGTTTATTTTTCCCTACAGCTGCAAGAATATGAAACCCATAAACACAGGCTGTTTCTGAGTTGCCATCTTGTCTGTCTACACAGAACTCACGGTCCCTCAGATCTGCTCTTGTTCTTCTACCCGCTGCTCTCCACACTCTTGATCAATCTTATGAAATCTATTCCTTTTCACCTTTGTACCGTGCACGAGGCATGAAATGATTAAACAGGAGCTGCTATTATGTTTGTTATAACACTCTTTTTCCTAATAATTGTAATGGTATCCAAAATCATAGTCTGAGAAAATTAATACAACACAAATTCTTACTAAGTATAAATAAAATCTTTCTTAGAAAAAAAGGATCTAATAGTAAGTATGACTACTATTCATTGAGCACCAGGCATACTGTATTTAATAAAATCAAAGTTGCTGTCAATTATAAGAATTTTACAATATGTACCACAAATAAAGGAAAAAATTGTTGTAATTAAATAACTACAGTATGTTTACTTACAGATTATAAGACTATCCTGATTTCAGAGATATTAAAATGTAAAAAAAAGTATATCTGAGAGTCAATGAATTATGATATATCAGATGCTTTTTTACATTATCTCAAATACCCACAGGATCCTCAGAAGTAAGAATTTCACCCTCATTTTGCAGATGAGGAAACAAATATTAAATGACTGGTCCAAAGTCAAATAACTAATAAACAGCAAGTTTGGGATTTAAATCCAGGCCTACCTGACTGCAAATCTGTGCATTTCCATCATATTGCACTCCTTCCTCCAGAAATCCCACAAGAAAAACAAAAAATGAGAAAGAAGGCAAGGACATCTTCTCTAAAAGGACTCTATTAGCTCTATTTACAATTAAGTGCTTAGAATAGCTTAGCAAGCAAATGTTTCTAATTTGCAATTTTTTTTAAAAATGGTATTGTCAAATCCTATCACAAAATGGATATAGACTTAGAATTTTATTAAGACTAAGGAAGAAAAAATCTGCAACAATTCTATTACACTGATGTTTTTTGAGCAACATACCATTTTTTACTGCCTCCCCCACAGATATAAAAATTACCTTTGGAAGACTTCAAGTTTGCCAACCTGCCCATAAGTGTAGAAAGAGATGCATGTTATTTGATTAATAGTATCCTCAGGATTATATATAAATGCAAAGATACGGAATGAAAAGCTTTGAGAATGTTCCTAGCCTAGGTCTGGTTAATGTGTCTGGCTTCCCTGAAAAATCCCTCAAAGCTGCATCCGAATGCCTGTAACTACAGACATTAACAGGATGGGCTATGCTTCAGGTATAAGTTTATTCCATTCAGGGATACAGATGGTTTTCAACAGTGACACTGGGCTGTGAGTTCAGAGGACCATTTAAATGTGCCTTAGTAATACATCTGTGATGGGAGCTCTACAGGAAGAAAGAATTAGATCAACTCCTAGAATGGCAGGGCACATTTCCAGAAGGTTCCATTCAAAGTATCATGGTATTAAATAGAGACTGCTGGAAATCATGTAGTTTTACGGAAACCTCAGAAGCCTCTTTCTGAAAAACTCTGGGATTAGGAATGGTTTACTTTGCTGCTAGTAAATGGTGAAAGGAGAGGTGATGACTGGGTCAGTATTAAAGAGAGAAATCAATGGAAGGCAGAGGTGAGGTGCTGAGTGATGGTAGCTCTGATGGTGCCCCACTCCAGATGGGAGTAGGATACAGCCGTTTCCTGTTCTGCCTTCTTTCCAAGAAAGTAGCAGCACATTTTCCCCACAAAGCACACGTTATATCATTTCTAATTACACCTAATCAGCTTATTAGCTTATTTTACCTAATTTTATAGGTCAAAACAGTGGGAGAGAGGGAATAAATAAAGAACAGGAGGGTAAATAAATCAGTTTTGTTTCCCAAATTCTAAGATTACTCTACTGGTAGTGACTTCATTCTGTAGTTGTTTATGTGGCTGTAATATAAGAAAAATAGGTAGAAATGCTGAACAGAGGAACTATCATTGAGCAAGAGTGAGAGGAACTATCATTGACCGAGGGTAAGAGGTTAAGGTTAACTTCTTATCTATAGAGAAATGCAAAATAAAGCCTGGAAAGAAGTGAAAAATACCAGTCCTAAAATACTAACCTATCAAAATAATTTGTCATAAATGTTAAAGTATGATAATTTGAATTTCATTTAAAAAACACAGAATCTTTATTTGCATTTGATGAGCTGTCAGAAAGACAGAACTTTGATTTTAACATAATTTTTGGTATAACAAAATTAAACTTCCTGAACCAATGGTAAAAGGCAGAGGCCACTATACACAACCACTATATACTATACACACTATACACAACACTATACACTGTAGGCTCCCCTCAGAATTTGTCACTGTTTCTCAGCACATCCAGATGTGTCCAGGTGGGTTACATTTCCCCCAGGATGCTTCTTCCAATATCATCTCTCTAACAAGATAAATAGTAGTCCTCATACTTCTCATGGGTGCCATCAAAGGCAAACCAGAGTACAGCATTAAACACGTGTTAGGTACTTGAGAGCAATCTGGTGATTAAGTCAGCTGGGGGCATCAAGGATGTGCTTCAGGGGTTTGGTAATAAGAGTCTGGGAGATATATTCATCATTGGATACTTAATAAAATCCTCTGCATAACAATGCCCACTGGGAATGCTAAGTAACTGGCACATACTGTGAATACCAGCTGCGTTCAAAGGCGATCAGCCTCACCACAATGGCAGAATCTAGATTTACATTGTAAGCATTCTGCTTTAAGAAACATCAAGAAAACAAATGTTTGCAAAGCAAAGTTTATTCAGTTGATGTATTCACCACTCAACAACATTGAGTGCCTACTATGTGCTAGGTCCGGGAAATATAAAAATAAACGAGACAAGGCATCTGCTCCAAACTCGCTCACAGTTTAGGCGGAGGCAGACTAGAAAAAAGTAAGTGCAAGAGACTTCCAGGTAAATAGAGCAAATGGAAACCCCTAGTTTGCAACTTCTGCTAGAAACCTCAGTAAAATAATAGTGATAAAAAAGGTTTTAAGGCTATAAGCCCATAAAAACAAAAAGACTGAAAAAGATGACAGTAGATGAAAGATATCCACAAAATTTTGGAAGATGGAAAACAGATGGATAAATGGTAGCTAATTTAGTAGGACAGAGAAAACGGAAACCAAACTGCCTGCAAGGAAAGGTGCCAATAAAAGGCAAGCCAAGCCCAGCTGCAGGACCCTGGAAAGGAGCAGGAATTGAGGCACTAAGGGCTTCTGAAGTTCAGGGGAAGGGGTACAGGTCTGAAAACAGAGGATAGAATATAAACTTATATAAAAAGCAACTTATATAAAAAGGACCCTAAGTCTGCTCCCCTAATCTGGCAAAAGACGGGGGCCAAGATGGGGGCCTACTGTCTGGAGATGTTTAGAGATGAAGACGGAAATGAAATGTTACACTAAAAACAGGGCCGTGGGGGGTCAGTGAAAGTCTGCATCCTGAATGGTGAGATTCTCCTCACCCAGTATCCTTCTCACATTACAAGCCCCTTTGTTCTGCTCAGTTTCCAGAATGCTGGCAGTCATGCTGGAAGCCCCTGTGGAAATTGGCCCAAAGAAAAGGTGTGCACAGACTAACATGAGGGGGATTCCCCAAATAAGAAAAAGCTCACCATCGTTTCAACCTGCATTGAAACCATCTGTGAACAAGAGCCACCCAACCACACAGAGGCACTAATTCGTTTTTAGTGCCTCACTCCTCATATGAGCAAAGATTACTAGACATTTGAGGAAAACTCTAATTTGAAAGACAGTGATCAAAATGAACAAACAGAAAAAAGGAACTCAGGGGGAAAAGAAAGGGCTGAAGAAAAAAGACCTTCAAAAAAAACCACAAAGTATTGTTGGGCACAGTAAGCGCATGCCTGTAATCCCAGCACTTTGGGAGGCTGAGGTGGGAGGATCACTTGAGGCCAGGAGTTCAAGACCATCCTGGGCAACATAGCAAGACCTCATCTCAAAAATAACAAATACATATGTATGTAAAGTCTTCAGAGACATAACATACTATAACCATGCACCTTTTGAGTGCCATACAAAAGGAACATTCAGAAAACAAGACAGAAGTCTTCAGAATTTTAAATGACAGCATAAAATAATACATGAAGTAGAACAAATCCAAGAAGAATATTACTTCAAGGGAAATAGGATTTTTTAAAAATCCAAAGAAATCCTAAGGAAGGGGGAAGAAAGATAAAATGAGAGGATCGACCCAAGCAGCCTAACATCTGACTAACACGAGTTCTATACATAGAAAACAAAGAAAATGGTGAGGAAGAAATTATCAAAAACTTAAGAAATTTTTTCCTAGAAACTGAACACATGAGATTCTACGCAATGAAAAAAAAAAACCAAAAAGAAAAAAAAGACCTTCTGTGAAATTTCAGGTCACCAGGGACAAAGGAAAGATCTCCAAATATTCTGGTAGAATTTGGCTTCTCAACAGTAACTGAAAGGTAAAAGACAATCGATAAAATACTGTCAAAATCCTGGGAAAATGGCATTCCAATCTAGAATTCTATTCCTAGCCAAACTACCAATCAAACTTGAAGACAGAATTGAAGCTTGAAGAAGAATTTTAATACACTTAAAGTCTCAAAAACTTTACCTATATTTTGCTAAGGCAAAAAGAGAATATTTAAAGAAAAAAAAAAGAGTGCCATCATAATTAGTCAATTAACTGAGTGTAGCACTCAGCTTTACTTTTCTTATTAGGAAGCTTAAGTAGTTTCAAAAAGATTCAACGAGTCTAGTTACTACTAGAGCATTGTGCTGGGCACTTTATAAGCAACAGAAATTAAGAAGGTATTGTTATTCCCCATTTTACATTTTAGGCATAAAGAGGTGAAGTAAATGGCCCATGGTCACCATGGTCACACAGCTGAAAGGTGTCAGAGATTCAAAGCCAAGCTGGCTGTGCCCACAACCTGTTCTCTTACCTGCAGTGTGCATTCTAATAACTTCTTAAAATATCAGTTACCATCTGCTGAGGGGGTACTTTGTGTTAAGCACTGGCCTAAACATTTTACATGTATTAATGCATTTAATCTTCACCACAATTCTACACGACAGATAATATTTTCATCCCCACTTTATAGCAGAGGTTAAGTGACTTGCCCAAGGCCATCCAATTAGTAAGATGCAGTGCTAGGATTTGAGCCCAGTCATTCCAGCTCAAGATCTTATGCTCTGTCACCACTAGGCCACATCACCTTCTCTGAAGTTATTTGGATTCCTCTAAATCTGTTTCCCTATATCTAATGATGAGTATGTATACTTCTGAATCTACCTCTGAGGTATGTTAGTGTAGCAAATGGTGGCCAACAAACATGTTTTATTTGGTTTACACAGTATGTTGTTTAATTAGGAAACTCACATGAAAATTCAGCTTTAGAATTTCCTTGGAAACAACAACAATAAAGTAACAACAGATCTGACAACTCTGACCCATATTCCCACATAGGAAAAGCCACCTAACTGAATAGTGTCTATCTCTATTAAAGATTATGTATGCATTTTCAAGTTCCCCACGGACCCCATCACTGCCCACATCTAAACACATTTCACTCTTCTGCAGTACTGCCTGGTTCCTTTGGGAGCTCGTGTTTTGAGGCCCCGTTCTTATTTTGGGTCTCTCCCACTCTGGGCCTCTTTTTCTCTCACCTGCATAACAGCCTCTACCCTCTCCATTCTTCTATTCTACTAATATTCCTAAACTATAGCTCTGACTATGCCAGCCCCTTGGTTCTGAACCTTTGATGACTTCCCAGTGCATATGAATCTAACCCCTAGGCCTGGCAAATAACGATTTTCACAATATGATTCCAACCTCCTTTTTAGTATCATCTCCCTCCTCAGAACCTAGACCTCCTGGCATATTTCTTGTTCTCTGAACATCCACCTCATTTCCTGCTTCTAGGCCATGGTTAACATTTGCGTTAAAATTTTAATTAAAAGAAACATGTTTAAATGCAGGTTTACTTGATTCAAATTATGCTAAAGGTGCCTTCAAAAATCCTGGTTATAAAATAAATGGAGAAATAAAGAATTACCAACTAAATAGAGATGAAAACAATTGGTTCAGAAATTACACAGTTCTTGCGAATAGGAACAGCTCCAGTCTACAGCTCCCAGGGTGAGCAACACAGAAGACGGGTGATTTCTGCATTTCCAACTGAGGTAGCGGGTTCATCTCACTAGGGAGTGTCGGACAGTGGGTGCAGGTCAGTGGGTGCAGCGCACCGAGCGTAAGCGGAGGCAGGGCGAGGCATCGCCTCACCCGGGAAGCACAAGGGGTCAGGGAATTCCCTTTCCTAGTCAAAGAAAGGGGTAACAGATGGCACCTGGAAAATCGGGTCTCTCCCACCCTAATACTGCGCTTTTCCAACGGTCTTAGCAAATGGCACAACAGGAGATTATATTCCACACCTGGCTCAGAGGGTCCTATGCCCACGGAGCCTTGCTCATTGCTAGCGCAGCAGTCTGAGATCAAATTGCAAGGTGGAAGCGAGGCTGGGGGAGGGGTGCCTGACATTGCCCAGGCTTCAGAAGGAAAACAAAGCAGCCAGGAAGCTCGAACTGGGTGGAGCCCACTGCAGCTCAAGGAGGCCTGCCTGCCTCTGTAGACTCCACCTCTGGGAGCAGGGCATTGCCAAACAAAAGGCAGCAGAATCCTCTGCAGACTTGAATGACCCTGTCTGACAGCTTTGAAGAGAGTAGTGGTTCTCCCAGCACGCAGCTGGAGATCTGAGAACGGACAGACTGCCTCCTCAGGTGGGTCCCTGACCGCCGAGTAGCCTAACTGGGAGGCACCCCCCAGTAGGGGCAGACTGACACCTCACACGGCCGGGTACTCCTCTGAGACAAAACTTCCAGAGGAACGATCAGGCAGCAACATTTGCTGTTCACCAATAACCGCTGTTCTGCAGCCTCCGCTGCTGATACCCAGGCAAACAGGGTCTGGAGTGGACCTCCAGCAAACTCCAACAGACTTGCAGCTGAGGGTCCTGACTGTCAGAAGGAAAACTAACAAACGGAAAGGACATCCACACCAAAACCCCATCTGTATGTCACCATCATCAAAGACCAAAGGTAGATAAAACCACAAAGATGGGGAAAAAAAAGAGCAGAAGAACTGGAAACTCTAAAAATTAGAGTGCCTCTCCTCCTTCAAAGGAACGCAGCTCCTCACCAGTAACGGAACAAAGCTGGATGGAGAATGACTTTGACGAGTTGAGAGAAGAAGTTTTCACACGATTGGTAATAACAAACTTCTCTGAACTAAAGGAGGATGTTCGAAGAAAAGAAGCTAAAAACCTTGAGAAAAGATTGGATGAATGGCTAACTAGAATAAACAGTGTAGAGAAGACCTTAAATGACCTGATGGAGCTGAAAACCATGGCATGAGAACTACGTGACACATACACAAGCTTCAGCAGCCGATTCAATCAAGTGGAAGAAAGGGTATCAGTGATGGAAGAGCGAATGAATGAAATGAAGCAAGAAGAGAAGTTCAGAGAAAAAAAGTAAAAAGCAAGGACAACAGCCTCCAAGAAATATGGGACTATGAGAAAAGACCAAATCTACGTCTGATTGGTGTACCTGAAAGTGACTGAGAGAATGCAAACAAGTTGGAAACCACTCTGCAGGATATTTTCCAGGAGAACTTCCCCAACCTAGCAAGGCAGGCCAACATTCAAATTCAGGAAATACACAGAACGCCACAAAGATACGCCTTGACAAGAGCAACTCCAAGACACATATTGTCAGATTTACCAAAGTTGAAACGAAGGAAAAAATGCTAAGGGCAGCCAGAGAGAAAGGTCGGGTTATCCACAAAGGAAGCCCATCAGACTAACAGCTGATCTCAGGACAGAAACTCTACAAGCCAGAAAAGAGTGGGGGCCAATATTCAATATTCTTAAAAGAATTTTCAACCCAGAATTTCATATCCAGCCAAACTAAGCTTCATTAAGTGAAGGAGAAATAAAATCCTTTACAGACAAGCGAATGCTGAGAGATTTTGTCACCAGCAGGCCTGCCTTACAAGAGCTCCTGAAGGAAGCACTAAACATGGAAAGGAACAACCGGTACCAACCACTGCAAAAATATGCCAAATTGTAAAGACCATTGATGCTAGGAAGAAACTGCATCAACTAACGGGCAAAATAACCAGCTAACATCATAATGACAGGATCAAATTCACACATAACAATATTAACCTTAAATGTAAATGGGCTAAATGCTCCAATTAAAAGACACAGACTGGCAAATTGATTAAACAGTCAAGACCCATCAGTGTGCTGTATTCAGGAGACCCATCTCACGTGCAGACACACACATAAGCTCAAAATAAAGGGATGGAGGAAGATCTGCCAAGCAAATGGAAAACAAAAAAAGGCAGGGGTTGCAAACCTAGTCTCGGATAAAACAGACTTTAAACCAACAAAGATTGAAAGACACAAGGAAGGTCATTACATAATGTTAAAGGGATCAATTCAACAAGAAGAGCTAACTATCCTAAATATATATGCACCCAATAAAGGAGCATCCAGATTCATAAATCAAGTCCTTAGAGACCTACCAAGAGACTTAGACTCCCACGCAAGAATAATGAGAGACTTTAAGACCCCACTGTCAACATTAGACACATCAACGAGACAGAAAGTTAAAAAGGATTTCCACGACTTGAACTCAACTCTGGACCAAGCAGACCTAATAGACATCTACAGAACTCTCCACCCCAAATCAACAGAATATACATTCTTCTCAGCACCACATCACACTTATTCCAAAATTGACCACATAGTTGGAAATAAAGCACTCCTCAGCAAATGTAAAGAACAGAAATTATAACAAACTCTCAGACCACAGTGCAATCAAATTAGAACTCAGGATTAAGAAACTCACTCAAAACCACTCAACTATATGGAAACTGAACAACGTACTCCTCAATGACTACTGGGTACATAACAAAATGAAGACAGAAATAAAGATGTTCTTTGAAACCAATGAGAACAAAGACACTACATGCCAGAATCTCTGGGACACATTTAAAGCAGTGCGTAGAGGGAAATTTATAGCACTAAATGCCCACAAGAGAAAGCAGGAAAGTTCTAAAATTGACACCTGAACATCACAATTAAAAGAACTGGAGAAGCAAGAGCAAACACATTCAAAAGCTAACAGAAGGCAAGAAATAACTAAGATCAGAGCAGAACTGAAGGAAATAGAGACATAAAAAACCCTTCAAAAAATCAAGGAATCCAGGAGCTGGTTTTTTGAAAAGATCAACAAAATTGAGAGACCGCTAGCAAGACTAATAAAGAAGAAAAGAGAGAAGAGTCAAATAGATGCAATAAAAAAATGATAAAGGGGATATCACCACCGATCCCACAGAAATACAAACTACCATCAGAGAATACCAGAAACACCTCTACGGAAATAAACTAGAAAATCTAGAAGAAATGGATAAATTCCTCAACAAATACACCCACCCAAGACTAAAACAAGATAAGAAGTTGAATCCCTGAATAGACCAATAACAGGCTCTGAAATTGAGGCAATAATTAATAGCCTACCAATCAAAAAATCTCCAGGACCAGATGGATTCACAGCCTAATTCTACCAGAGGTACAAAGAGGAGTTGGTACCATGCCTTCTGAAACTATTCCAATCAATAGGAAAAGAGGGAATCCTCCCTAACTCATTTTATGAGGCCAGCATCATCCTGATACCAAAGCCTGGGAGAGATACAACAAAGAGAATTTTAGACCAATATCCCTGGTGAACAACGATGCAAAAATCCTCAATAAAATACTGGCAAACCGAATCCAGCAGCACATCAAAAAGCTTATCCACCACGATCAAGCTGGCTTCATCCCTGGGATGCAAGGCTGGTTCAACATACACAAATCAATAAACGTAAGCCATCATATAAACAGAACCAAAGACAAAAACCACATGATTATCTCAATAGATGCAGAAAAGGCCTTTGACAAAATTCAACAGCCCTTCATGCTAAAAAAAACTTTCAATAAACTAGGTATTCATGGGACATATCTCAAAATCATAAGAGCTATTTATGACAAACCCACAGCCAATATCATACTGAATGGACAAAAACTGGAAGCATTCCCTTTGAAAACTGGCGCAAGACAGGGACGCCCTCTCTCACCATTCCTATTCAACATAGTGTTGGAAGTTCTGGCTAGGGCAGTCAGGGAAGAGAAAGAAATAAAGGGCATTCGATTAGGAAAAGAGGAAGTCAAATCGTCCCTGTTTGCAGATGACATGATTGTATATTTAGAAAACCCCATCGTCTCAGCCCAAGATCTCCTCAAGCTGATAAGCAACTTTAACAAAGTCTCAGGATACAAAATCGATGTGCAAAAATCACAAGCCTTCCTATACACCCATAACAGACAAACAGAGAGCCAAATCATGAGTGAACTCCCATTCACAATTGCTTCAAAGAGAATAAAATACCTAGGAATCCAACTTACAAGGGATGTGAAGGACCTCTTCAAGGAGAACTACAAACCACTGCTCAACAAAATAAAAGAGGTCACAAACAAATGGAAGAACATTCCATGCTCCGGGATAGGAAGAATCAATATCATGAAAATGGCCATACTGCTCAAGGTAATTTATAGATTCAGTGCCATCTCCATTAAGCTACCAATGACTTTCTTCACAGAACTGGAAAAAACTACTTTAAAGTTCATATGGAACCAAAAAAGAGCCCGTATTGCCAAGTCAATCCTAAGCCAAAAGAACAAAGCTGGAGGCATCACGCTACCTGACTTCAAACTATACTACAAGGCTACAGTAACCAAAACAGCATGGTACTGGTACCAAAACAGAGATATAGACCAATGGAACAGAACAGAGCCCTCAGAAATAATGCCGCATATCTACAACCATCTGATCTTTGACAAACCTGACAAAAACAAGAATTGGGGAAAGGATTCCCTATTTAATAAATGGTGCTGGGAAAACTGGCTAGCCATATGTAGAAAGCTGAAACTGGATCCCTTCCTTATACCTTATACAAAAATTAATTCAAGATGGGATAAAAGACTTAAATGTTAGACCTAAAACCATAAAAACCCTAGAAGAAAACCTAGGCAATACCATTCAGGACATAGGCATGGCCAAGGACTTCATGTCTAAAACACCAAAAGTAATGGCAACAAAAGCCAAAATTGACAAATGGGATCTAATTAAACTAAAGAGCTTCTGCACAGCAAGAGAAACTACCATCAGAGTGAACAGGCACCCTACAGAATGGGAGAAAATTTTTGCAATCTACTCATCTGACAAAGGGCTAATATCCAGAATCTACAATGAACTCCAACAAATTTACAAGAAAAAAACAAACAACCCCATCAAAAAGTGAGTGAAGGATATAAACAGACACTTCTCAAAAGAAGACATTTATGCAGCCAAAAAACACATGAAAAAATGCTCATCATCATTGGCCATCAGAGAAATGCAAATCAAAACCACACCAGTTAGTATGGCGATCATTAAAAAGTCAGGAAACAACAGGTGCTGGAGAGGATGTGGAGAAATAGGAACACTTTTACACTATTGGTGGGACTGTAAACTAGTTCAACCATTGTGGAAGTCAGTGTGGTGATTCCTCAGGGATCTAGAACTAGAAATACCATTTGACCCAACCATTCCATTACTTGGTATATACCCAAAGGATTATAAATCATGCTGCTATAAAAACACATGCACACATATGTTTATTGTGGCACTATTCACAATAGCAAAGACTTGGAACCAACCCAAATGTCCAACAATGATAGACTGGATTAAGAAAATGTGGCACATATACACCATGGAATACTATGCAGCCATAAAAAATAATGAATTCATGTCCTTTGTAGGGACATGGATGAAGCTGGAAACCATCACTCTCAGCAAACTATCGCAAGGACAAAAAACCAAACACCGCATGTTCTCACTCATAGGTGGGAATTGAACAATGAGAACACATGGACACAGGAAGGGAAACATCACACACCGGGGACTGTTGTGGGGTGGGGGGAGGGGAGAGGAGAGGGATAGCATTAAGAGATATACCTAATGCTAAATGACGAGTTACTGGGTGCAGCACACCAACATGGCACATGTATACATATGTAACTAACCTGCGTGTTGTGCACATGTACCCTAAAACTTAAAGTATAATAATAATAAAAAAAGGAATAGAAATTACACAGTTCTTCAAAAACCAGATGGACAAAAAAAGACAAACATAAAAACTAGAAGCAAATGTAAGTGATTACTTCATCTCTAAAATGGGGAAGGACTTTTAAAGCCTAAAAATGATAAAAATCACAAAGAATAAAATAAAATGATATGACTAAATAAAACTTTTAAATTTATGTCAAAAACACGAAAATATTGTTAAGAAAATTAAATGGCAAAAAAATTTCCTGAAAAAAGTATCTTCCATAAATAAGGACTGGGAGCAAGAACAGAAAATTCACTAACAGTGTGGGTGTGCTGGCTCACATGTGTAATCCCAGCACTTTGGGAGATTGAGGTAGGAGGATCTTTCGAGGAAAGGAGTTTGAGGCCAGTCTGTGCAACACAGCAAGACCCTGTCTTTATTTTTTAAAATTCACTAACAGAATATTTAAAAAACCCATCAAACATATGGAAAAATTCATCTTCATTAGTGATTAAGGGGTCATAAAGGAAAATAAGATTTCACTTCACCTTTCAAACAGCAAAGTGCAAAAAAGATTTTAAAAATTTCACCATGATGAAAATGGAGTGATAGAGGTACTCTCATGTACTGCTGGTAGAAATATAAACTGTTGAAGCTTTTCTGACAAACTCGTCAGAACAAATCAAAAGTCTGAAAATGTCTTTTGATGAAGTAATCTTTCTAAATTCAAAACCAGGAATTTTCAACTTTGGCATTACTGAAATTTGGGGCTAGATAATTGTTGGTTGTGGGAGGCTATTCTGCGCCTTCTACGTTGTTTAGCAGCATCCCTGTCTGACCTCTAATCGATAGATGCCAGCAACACACCCCCTCAAAATTTTGACAATCAAAATGTCTCCAGACATTGCCAAATGTGCCCCAGAGGAAAAGTATTTCCCAGTTGAGAGCCATTGCTTTTTATACAAACAAAGTAATGAGAAAGATGGATAAGGATTTTTGCAGAAAAGTTGTCACATTATAGAAAAAAATTATAAAAATGTTAAATGCTCACTAATAGCAGAATGATTAAATTATGGCACAACCATGTTATGAGATATGAAACATTTATTTAAAATAATATTTTTAAAACATTTAATGACATTTTAAAAATGCTCAATCAGTTAAGATAGTGCTAGCTGCTATAACAAGCACCAAGATTTCACTTAACACACAAAGAAAGTTTGGTTCTCCTTCATGAAGCAGTTCAAGGTGGTGCCAGATTAACAGGGAAGAACAGGCTGGAGATAGGGCCCGGTTCCACACACGTATTGAGACTCAAGCTGCTAGGAGCTCTGCCATATTTATTTGGTAACTTACAAAGTTACCCTTAGTGTTGGTATCCACCTAGCAGTTGGAAAGAGCATGGATGATTACAACAGGGAAGTCTTTTATGTGCCAGGTCTAGAAGCAGCAAAAATCACTTCCACTTACATTCTATTGTACAGAACTGAGTCACAGGCCACAAGTACCTGCAAAGTGGGGTGGGAAACAGTCTACTCATGACTCCAGAAAAAAAGAGAAAACAGGTTTGGTAAACCAATAGTTCAGTCCCTGTCAGTGTCACAACATAATGTTAAACAAAAAGAGTAGTTTAATACAACTGTATGTGCAATGCAATCCAAATCTTTCTTTAAAAGCATATTTCTAGAAGTAATATCTTGTAACCCAGTATTTCTATTTCTAAATACACTCTCTAGAGAAATACAGAGGAACATGTACAAAGATATTTAAAAATCTAAGAAATGGCCTAAATGACCATAAAGGGAACTGACTGACTAAAATATTGAAAACTCATATTCTGGAATACTATGCACAGAAGAAATAAGGTAGAACTACATAAACTGAATTGGAAATATCCCTAAGGTATACTGGTAAATGCAAAAAGCAAGAAGCAAAACAATACTTAAAGTATAATGCCACTTACATTAAAAATTATATATATATATATATATATATATATATATATATATATGTAACTATTCCAGGAGTTCAAGGTTTCACTGACCATGATTGTGCCACTGTACTCCAGCCTGTGCAACAGAGCAAGACTCTGTCTCTTCAAAAAAAGAAATACCTATACATATATATATATATATATACACACAAACACTAAATTATTTGTGTGCATGTGCACTGTGTATGTGTATGTGTATGTGTATGTGTATGTGTATGTTCATAAAACAAGCTCTGGAGGAGGGTTTGTGACAGTGACACTATTAACATTTTGGGCCAGACAGTTATCTGTAGCAGGAGATGTGTGGAGAGTTCTGTGCCTTATAGGATGTTTAGCAGCATCCCTGACCTCTACCCACTAGATGCCACTAACAAGTCTTACTGTCTTCAGAAGAATATACACTAAATGAACAAAAGTGTTACTCTGGAGGAAAAATGGGAGAGGGGCAAAGGGTACATTCATTTTATCTGTAAAGTTTTGAAAACTTACCAGGAGAATCTATCCATGTATTTGCTATATAATTTTTACTTTTTAAAATGTCATAAGTAAAATACATAAAAACATTAACAATAATTATCTTTGAGCCATGAAACTATAGGTGACATTTGTTGTTCTCTATATATTTTCTATAAATATGTATTGTTTAAGAAAATTAAAAAGAAATAAAACTTTATTTTTATAAAATAAAAGAGAGACAGAGTCTCGCTATATTGCCCAGGCTGGAATACAGTGGCTATTCACAGGCGTGATCATAGCGTACTACAGACTTGAATTCCTGGGCTTAAGAAATCCTCCTTGCCTCAGCCTCCTAAGTAGCTGGGACTACAGATGCATGCCACCATGCCTGGCAGTAAACTTTTATCATTGAAGGAAAGGACAAAGATTTAAAAAATACAAATTCTCAACAGTGCTTACAAATGGGAAATAAAATGACATGTCATTTTTGTTTGCCTTTTGATTTTTGCTTTACAAATTTCCTACAACAGCATGTATTAATTACAATTCAAACAGTTTTATTTTCTTTGAAAAAATCCTAGTCTTAATACATCTGAATTAAAAAGAATGGCCCCAAAAGAATAAATTAGGACCAAATGGAGTGAGAGATAGTGTTGGTACCTGGCTCCCCTCCATAAGACAGCTGGAAATCCTAGCTACAGAGATCAACCACCATAGTTGGGAAAGAAAAGTTTAGAACTGGGGTTTAGAATCGGAGGGCTAGATAGATAGCTCCACTGAGAACATAAGAGCCATAGGAGAATGTTCATTACATGTGTAACAAACAGGTGGAATACAGTCTTGAACACCTTCTCCAACTAGCAATTAAGGAGCAGAATGGACAGAATGTCAAGTTGGGACACTAGAAATGGCCTAGGAGCACTGCTAGGTAGGAGCAGGATTATAAACCTCTGCTGAGACAAGCCCCTGATAATAGGTTCTCAAAGACTTGCTATACTTGGATTTATAAGCAGAAAGCTATATTGTGTGCTACTATCTAAATAAGTAATATTTTTGTTTTTATATTTAAAAAGCACACTTACATTTCTTGGGAAATCTCTATTGTTCTTGTTTTCCCATTTATAAAGGAAAAATAGTATTCATTCAGTCCTCACTACGTGCCAGGCAGTTTATGTCCATTGGCTCACTTGTAACTCACAACACATTAGAGTTGGATAGTGTTATCTCACTTCAGAGGTTGGAAAACTGAGGGTCAATCAGGTCATTAACCAAGAACACACATTGAGAAAAGTATAGGAGAAGGACTTGATCAATCTTAAAATTCATTCATTCATTCATTCATTCATTCACTCAACCAAACCAACATGTATTGAGCATCTATGATCTGCCAGTTAGGCTGCAGATATAAGTGACCATGATGCACTCTGTTTTCATTAAATGTGCAGGGCGAGAGTAGAGCACAGACTTCAAACACGAAATTATAATACAAGTTTGATGAAGACTGGAGAAGGGCAGCTGAGGTCAAAACACAGCAAGAAGACTTAACCTTCTTAGGGTGTCAAGGAAGGCTTATCAGAGAAACTGAGATTTAAAATGAAACCTGAAGAATCAGTAAGAATTAGAAAGGATACTTAGAGCAAGGTGAAGGGGAAGAAGGACAAGAAGCAAGAGATAAGAGAGCATATGGAACTTTCAAGTTACTAAGGAAATTCAGTATAGGTGAGGCATGAAATGCAACTTCAGTTGCAGTAACAGTGGTGAGAAAGAAAATGAGAGAGGATGGCAGCAACAGCCAGGGGAGTTCTCAAAAGGGAATATAAAAGACTGAAATAAGCAAGGAAAAAAGAGTGTGGTCTAATTTGGGTTTGTGAAAGATCTGATTACAGAAAGCAAAAAAAAAAAAAAAAAAGAGGGGAGCCAGTGTGAACACAAAGAGAGATCAGTTAAGAGGCCATTTATGAGGACTAGGTGAAAGAGAGGAATACAGCCTGAACAGGGGTGATGGCCCTGGGAATACAGAGCTGTGAATAGACATGAGGAATATTTAGGACATAGAATTGAATGAAATTAATATTTGTACAGAGCTTCAGAAGCCAAATGAAATAGCCTACTATGAGTACCCATCATATGCTTCACTCTTTACAGGTCATCTTTAACTGCCACAACAATCTTAGGAAGTAGTCTTATCCTCATTTCACAGAAGCAGCAGAGGCTCAGAGAGGTTTAGTAACTTGTTCTCAGTCTCAGGGTATCAAGTGGCAAGGCTGAGATTCAAATCTCAGTCAGTCTAACTTCAGAGCCCAGGTTCTTTTCAAAATATCGTACTGCGTTTGAGTAGATTCAGAAACTTCAAAATCATGCTTTTATTCAAGAGCTTAAAAACAACAGAAACAAGGCCGGGTGCAGTGGCTCACACCTGTAATCACAGCACTTTGGGAGGCCAAGGCAGGAGGATTACTTGAGGTCAGGAGTTTGAGACCAGCGTGGCCAACATGGTGAAACCCTGTCTCTACTAAAAATACAAAAATTAGCAGGGCATGGCAGCAGGAGCCTGTCATCTCAGCTATTCAGGAGGCTGAGGCAGGAGAATCGCTTGAATCTGGGAGACAAAGGTTGCAGTGAGCCAAGATCGCACCACTGCACTCCAGCCTGGGGAACAACAGCGAGACTCTGTCTCAAAAAAAAAAAAAAGAGAAACAAGAATAGGTAGAATTTTCTTTGAATCATCATTCTGTATCTTAGATTTATAAAGCTATAAAGATGTCAAACTAGCAGGGACCTTGGTCATCAGAAAACCACAGAATTTTACAGCTGGCCTAGAGAGACCTTAGAGGTGCACGCACTGTCTAGCTCTTCCCTTCTTCCAATGCAAATGCCACCAAAGCTTTCTATCTGGTAATTTAGGCCTGGTTTTGTTTTTCATCTTTTGAATGTTTCAAACAGAGAAAGTATAAAAAATAACATAAAATACCCATAACCCAGCTTTAACAAATTTTAACATTCTTCCACATTTGTCTCAAATTTTCTCTTCTTTTTTTTAAAGAAAAATAAACACTACGGATACAGTTTATTCCTTCCTTCCCTTTACAGAGTGACCAGAATGCTAAATTGGATGTTTACCACTTTTATGAACATTTGACACGATTATTGTATAGTATGAATACATAAAAATGGATAGTTTTGTTTTCCAATTTTATATAAATAATAACATACTGTATACATCCTTCCGTAGATATGGTTTTCTATGCTTATTTGCGCATATTAAATTTTTTTAGTGGAAAAAAAACATGGTAAAGTGAGGCAAACATGGACTTTAGAGTCAGTCAGAAATTGTGGCTTTTTCATGTAGGCCCTCAAGCAAGTCACTGAATCTTCTGGAGCTTGTTTCTTGATTTGTAAAATAGGGGTAAGGACCTACCACCTTGCAAGGCTATTGAGAAGTAGAAGATAGTACCTATCTTCAGGCCTGCCACAAATATTCAATAAATGTTAACTATTATTTGTCACATAAAATAGTACACACTCAAAAAATGGTAGCTATTTTTATTGTAACCTGTAAATGTTCTTCATATCTGTTCAGGAAATTAAGTCTTACAATGGCCCTAAGGTCCCCAGTGCCTGACTGTGCTCATATAAAAGGAAGTGTGATAATTTCCAGGTCAAGTCTTTGTGAATTTTTATGAACTCCCCTATCCAGCTGGGCTTGGCTTTTTTATTTTCATAGCAGAATTAAACTACCAATTCTTAGATTTCTACTGAATGCCATTCTATATCCCTGTGATCAGGAGTCTAACGTGCAGAAGATTTTTTAAAGCTTAACTGTATTCTCCACCCCCAACCACTCCCACCCACCTGCCTCTGTGGATTAACACCATCTCAGTACAATTTTGTTATCCATAAATTTATTAAGTGTTCATCTTAATTTTCAATAAAAATGCTAAACTCAGGCTCAGGAATGACACCAGCAGAAGCACCACTGTTTATGTTATCTCTGCCTCACTCATCACAAGGAGACTGATGTTGTGCCTTCCAAAGGTCATTTGATTATGTTATTGTTATGTTAAAAACGAAAACACAAAAAAGCAAAAGAAAATATGTTTATTCATTGCCTTATTGTTAATACCTTGATCCCACTCCTTATACCTACCTCTGCCTGTCAAAACTTCACCCATTCTTCATGATTCCTCTCAAGTGTAAACCTTTTCATAAAATCCATCCTGACTTCCCCTTCCCATAGGGGCACTCTCTCTCTTCTGAATGCCAAAGCATGTGTCTGTTGCATAGACTTCAGCAAATAGTTTATCCCTATGTATCCCGGATTAAACCGCAAGCTTCCCCAGAGAAAGACATCCCACTCTCTTCTCTTCTAGGCACTTAGAACTGAACTCAACAACTATTAGGAATTAATACACTGTGATAGGATATCAGCCAATATGCAAACCATCACTGACACAGAGAGTAGGGCAACCTGCTTATTTTAGTGGTCACATGGATTCAATATCTCTGTCTAAACGGTAATAGTAATAGCTATCTTTATCAGGAGACTGTCCTGCCTGGTCCTTTACATGCAGTAGTTCTATTCTCATATTAATCCTGCAAGAAAAGTGAAACTGTCCACATTTTCCATATTGCACTGGAACTGTAATTCAAATCCAGCTCCATCTAACTCTGAGGCCTATGCTCTTTCCACACCATGTGTCCAATACCATAAACAGTAGCCTGACTCTCATCACTCCGTGAAAGACTACCCTGCCACACAAGGAACATAATGATTAAGTAAATCAGGATGCCCTCACACACAGCCAAACAGTAATTCATTAAAAAAACACTTAATCTTTGCCACAGATTCCTAAGCCTCCAGTTATACCATCCCCCAGAGAAAATCCCAATCCATTTGGGATATTAATTATGATAAAAATGTATTAAATACTCATAAATGTTAGACACTACAGGGAACACTAGAGAAACACAGCCATGTATCTATGCTTTCATTCAAAGAAAATTAAATGTCTAAATGATGAGGACTCCTGGTAGCAGTAAATATACTTTATTACTTGCATATTCCCTGTCCTTGTCTTAAAGCTGGTTATTATTTATCTAGTCTCTTGATTTTTGGACCAAATGCCAAAATCTCATATATGTTTCAGGTAAAATACGATCTTAGCAGAGGAGCATACAACCAACTCACTATCAGCCTTATCTCCATCATAATGGTCCTTATGAAATATTACCTATAGTGTTTTCATGTTTCTTTATTCCCTCTTAGACTGAAACAGGGAATAAAAATAGCCTAAACCTTTTAGATGAATACAGTGAAGATAAAGAGATGCTCTTTTGTTTTAACGCAACACACACACACACAGAGACCGGGGGGAGAGAGGGAGAGAGAAATGACTCCATTCAACCTCATTTACTTCTCCATAGTAAAGTTAGACATTTTTTCCTTATAAATATCCTCAAATTTCTATGGCCTATTTTTCCCAGAGCCTCTGTTAAAGGTGGTGCAGCACAGTCATTAATACACATGACCAAACCAAAAAAGATCATGGGCACCTGAAGCCCAGACTACAATTTACACCTGATGATAATTCTGCCAACTGCCCATACTCCAGGGTCAAGTTGATATGAAATTTTAATAAAATGACACTTTCATCTAGTAGTTTCCAAAGGACTGAGTGAAATGAGATTAACATAGAAAAATGTCAGACTGGTGAATGATTGACCTATTTGGCTAGTATGAATTAAATGAGAATTTTCAATGATGATGTCAAATGAACAACAGAATTAAACATTTGATGGGATAAATATATATAAATTAAATTTCTGAAAGCAGGGCCAACTCTGAAATGAAGGTATGATTTCTCAGATAGGGGAAGGAGCCCACATAAACACAAACCTTTTCCTTTCCCCGTCCATGAATTCCTTTTATGAGCCACATTTATTTCACCATTAGAGATCAGACTTAAAATAGAAATAATACCCTGGAAGAAGTAGCACATTGATTTTCATGAAATAACATTGATTTCCACCACCCCTCCACAACTGATTCACACTAAGGTTTAAGTATCTGATGAACAGAAAAGGCTTATTACAGGCCCCGGCTGCACAAAACCCTATGTAGCCATGGGGTGTCAAAAAAAAAAAAAAGGAGACATTATTGAAAATTGGGAAAGGCAGAGGTTAGAGTCCTAGCAGCTAAAGCAAAACATTAAAATTCTGCCCAAGTCCCCAGGAAGCCAGCTTGCAAAGTCTACTCCCATGATTATTCTAATTATGCATTGGGTCAGCTGTGAGATACTCTGCAGTAATTGCTAATTAAAATACAACAGCCAATGATCACAGACTGGTAAGTGATGATAAATGTATGCATTTAAAGGAAGAAGGGAGAAACTTAAGAAGGTTGTGGTTAACAAATGCTCTGGCCCCCTCAAATTTCTTCTTATAAAATATTCATTCACTATGGGCTCTGACACAAGTTATGGTCCTACACACCTCCCGATCTTCTGTTTAATTCTGTGGAGAAATGACGAAATATGTCCACTTTCTAATCATCTTTCAACTATAATAACATTAGATGCTAATTACAGTATTTGTGCTAGCCCAAGAAGCAGTTAAGTGTCCAGAGCCAGTTCAAGAGAACCTAGTTTATCACGTTGCTCAGACATTAGGCTATAAAGGAAAGGTTAGCCTACTTTGCTGATATACAAATCTGGTTAATATGTCCCTTGTAGTAGATGAGCTCTGATTAGTATTTTATCTGTTAAATCATTTAAGAACTAGGAGCTACACTTTGCCTTGACTAGTACTAGGGTTTCATGAACAAAAGAAATGGGTCCTCTCATTAGGGGTTTGAAAAGTCACTGAATTTTGGCTATGGGAGGCCAGGAAAAGAAAACATGTATTTCTACTCTAGGAGCCACACTACATTCTAGCTGCCATCCTCATTAGTACTTTACTCAGCACTATGGAAAGAAAGCCATTCAAAAGTAATTTAAGTGCAACTGACTCACGTTGTTACAGATAATGGGGAGAAGTCCGTACCTACTCCGGACGGAATCGGGTGGGGGTAGGAGGTGGCAAAGACAGTAAAACTCGAAGGACAAGAGAGACTAGTCAGGACAAGTAATTCATTCCAACATTTCAACACTGGATAATATAAAATGTTATTAGGAAGGTAAATTTGGGATAATCCCTCAAATGTAAATGACATTTAGATTGTCCCAGCTGAGGATTATCTATCACCAAGGTTATCTACAAATTGAATATAGTACCCTTAAGGGGAAAATACTGAGTGCAAATAACTGACAAGCCACTAAGCCCTTCAAAAAGAATGCCACTTGATTTCAAGGGGGCTAAGCAGATGGAAAAAAAAAAAAAAGCACAAAAAAAAACAGGCCTTCAATAAATAGTTCTTTATAGCTGTGATATCATTCTGGGTTAATTTATCCTAAAAATCACTACAAGCATTCCACTAGAGGAACATAAAAAGATTTGAAAAACACTGACCCAAAAACACTATGCTTGGCTACATGGCAGAATAAAAAGGGCAAGGGGCCACCTTTGGAATTAGAAAGATGTAGAAATGAATCATGGCTCTACTATTTAATATGAATGACCTCAGACAAGTTACTAATCCTTCCGGGCCTCAGTTTATTTGGGCTATAAAATGAGGCCAACAATATCTGACTCTTACAGTTTCTTAACTATGTAAACCCATAATGGAGTACCCAGAACATAGTAAGCGTACAGAAGAAAAAGATTTTTCTAAACTCAGTATTAGAACCATCAAAATCAGCATCAAAGGATGGGCTTTAGAGACACTGGAGAGCTAACGCAGAGACATGATCCAGGGACACGTGGGAATGGTCTCTATTTTCTCTCCTTCAGGGAGGATTTGGCCTTGCTCACACTGATCCTGGTAGAGGATCCAGGAGAGCCCCATGTTTATAAACATGTACTTAAATGAATCACATAGACTGTAAATGTTAAGCTCTTCAGAAACGGTGATAAAAAATCCTAAAAAGGGTGTGGAGTATGAGGTACTCAATATGGCAGAACTTGACTCGCATGAGGTTTGTCTCAAGAAGCTGTGCACCCTGTGGGCAAGGGGCAAGAAAAACTATATGCTGCATCTATGACTACTCTGTGCAGCTACCTCATTTCTACA
The DNA here is from genome assembly GCF_000001405.40 of Homo sapiens. Lineage (NCBI taxonomy): Eukaryota > Metazoa > Chordata > Mammalia > Primates > Hominidae > Homo > Homo sapiens. Next base: position 28,208,028 of record NC_000022.11, read on the forward strand.
AGTCCTATACCTATGATCACTAAACCCAGAACCTATAGTAGGTATATGCTTTTAAGTATGCGTGTAATCTCTTCCCACCATTTTGTAACCTGCCCAAAATGCTGCAAGGTGCTTGAATACTTGCTGAATGAATAAAGGACACATAGGTTTCCCCAGGAAGCACACACTAAATACACAAACCCTAATTTCGTAATGACTAAAGGCAAAGTAATTTAGTATTAGTCAAGCCTAATGGTGCCTTGCTGTGGTTCAGACCTCATTATCACACTTCACCAGCCCTGGTAAAACTCTACACTGCATTAGTCTCTTCATCCATATAGTATGCAACTAAAAGAACATAAATGGCAGAGACTCCTAGAATAGCTGTAAACTTACAGGGTGGGTTGGTGAAAACAGCACCACTCCAGAAGAATCAAGAGAACCAGGTTCAAGCCCCAGCTCTAAGTCTCAACAGTTTCTAACCTTTTCCTGACGTGAGCCAGAAAACAAGGAAGTTCAAAGATCTGGGAATCTAGGAATAAAAATGGCCTAACATTCACATATGACCATATCTACCCTATGGCTTACCAGTCATAGCAATAGTCCTCACTCATACAATGATAACTTGCCTTTTGCTCTATATAAATTACTATGCTATGAATTCAAGCTATCACAATCAATCCATGGCCTTCCAAAATATAGTATTTTAACTATATATATATGTGCATATATTTTTTCCAAACCTTCAAAGATGAAGAAAAGTTGTGGTCAACACCTGGAACTGACTCCGAGAAATGATAGATCTGAAACCAATTTCGGCCTCTGGGAAGAAGTCTGTCAGAAAATTCTGTGCTCAGATTTTAGGGTGAAGTTGCTTATTCTCTACATATTAGAGGGTCAATCTCCAATCATTCAGAAGAGCAACTGCTCATTGGAATCATCTGGGATCTGCCAGAGACAATTACTTGAAAACCACTGACTAAAAACAGGTCAGCTGAATTAAAAGGTTTTTCATACAGCCCTGCAAACAGCCTTAGCATACATCAAAAGGCCATTGTTCTCATACTTTCAAATTTTCATACTCTATAGATCACCTACCACTAAACTAGCTCAGAGACATTAGAAAACTGGTTGTACTTCTCTGCACTTCAGTCTCCTTAGCTATAAGAGAGAAGACTGGGATGGCCGAATAGGAACAGCTCCAGTCTACAGCTACCAGCATGAGCGACACAGAAGATGGGTGATTTCCGCATTTCCAACTGAGGTTGTTGGACTGAGGCTTGCTGGAGAGTGGGTGCAACCCACAGAGTGTGAGCCAAAGCAGGGCGGGGCATCGCCTCACCCAGGAAGCGCAAGGGGTCAGGGAATTCCCTTTCCTAGCCAAGGGAAGCCGTGACAGACCGTACCTGGAAAATCGGGACATTCCCACCCTAATACTGCGCTTTTCCAACAGTCTTAGCAAATGGCACACAAGGAGATGATATACTGCGCCTGGATCAGAGGGTCCCACGCCCACTGAGCCTCACTCACTGCTAGCACAGCAGTCTGAGATTGAACTGCAAGGCAGCAGCGAGGCTGGGGGAGGGGCGTCTGCCATTGCTGAGTCTTGAGTAGGTAAACAAAGCTGCCCAGAAGCTCGAACTGGGTGGAGCCCACCACAGCTCAAGGAGGCCTGCCTGCCTCTGCAGACTCCACCTCTGGGGAGCAGGGCATAGCTGAACAAAAGGCAGCAGAAACTTCTGCAGACTTAAACTTCCCTGTCTGACACTTTGAAGAGAGTAGTGGTTCTCTCAGCACGGAGTTTGAGATCTGAAAACACACAGACTGCCTCCTCAAGTGGGTTCCTAACCCCTGAGTAGTCTAACTGAGAGACACCTCCCAGTAGGGGCCGACTGACACCTCATACAGACAGGTGCCCCTCTGAGACGAAGCTTCCAGAGGAAGGATCAGGCAGCAACATTTGCTGTACTGCAATATTTGCTGTTCGGCAGCCTCCAATGGAGATACCCTGGCAAACAGGGTCTGCAGTGAACCTCCAGCAAACTCCAACAGACCTGCAGGTTAGGGTCCTCAGTGTTAGAAGGCAAACTAACAAACAGAAAGGACATCCACACCAAAACCCCATCTATATGTCACCATCACCAAAGACCAAAGGTAGATAAAACCACAAAGATGCGGAGACACCAGAGCAGAAAAGCTGAAAATTCTAAAAATCAGAGTGCCTCTTCTCCACCAAAGGAACGCAGCTTCTCGCCAGCAATGGAACACAGCTGGATGGAGAATGACTTTGACAAATAGACAGAAGTAGGCTTCAGACGATCGGTAATAACAAACTTCTCCAAACTAAAGGAGGATGTTCGAAGAAAAGAAGCTAAAAACCTTGAGAAAAGATTGGACGAGTGGCTAACTAGAATAAACAGTGTAGAGAAGACCTTAAATGACCTGATGGAGCTGAAAACCATGGCATGAGAACTACGTGACACATACACAAGCTTCAGCAGCCGACTCAATCAAGTGGAAGAAAGGGTATCAGTGATGGAAGAGCAAATGAATGAAATGAAGCAAGAAGAGAAGTTTAGAGGAAAAAAAGTAAAAAGCAAGGACAACAGCCTCCAAGAAATATGGGACTATGAGAAAAGACCAAATCTACGTCTGATTGGTGTACCTGAAAGTGACGGGGAGAATGGAACCAAGTTGGAAAACACTCTGTAGGATATTCTCCAGGAGAACTTCCCCAACCTAGCAAGGCAGGCCAACATTCAATTCAGGAAATACAGAGAATGCCACAAAGATACGCCTTGACAAGAGCAACTCCAAGACAAATATTGTCAGATTTACCAAAGTTGAAACGAAGGAAAAAATGCTAAGGGCAGCCAGAGAGAAAGGTCGGGTTATCCACAAAGGAAGCCCATCAGACTAACAGCTGATCTCAGGACAGAAACTCTACAAGCCAGAAGAGAGTGAGGGCCAATATTCAACATTCTTAAAAGAATTTCCAACCCAGAATTTCATATCCAGCCAAACTAAGCTTCATAATTGAAGGAGAAATAAAATCCTTTACAGACAAGCAAATGCTGAGAGATTTTGTCACCACCAGGCCTGCCCTAAAAGAGCTCCTGAAGGAAGCACTAAACATGGAAAGGAACAACCGGTACCAACCACTGCAAAAACATGCCAAATTGTAAAGACCATTGATGCTAGGAAGAAACTGCATCAACTAACGAGCAAAATAACCAGCTAGCATCATAATGACAGGATCAAATTCACACATAACAATATTAACCTTAAATGTAAATGGGTTAAATGCTCCAATTAAAAGACACAGACTGGCAAATTGGATAAAGAGTCAAGACCCATCAGTGTGCTGTATTCAGGAGACCCATCTCACATGCAGACACACACATAGGCTCAAAATAAAGGGATGGAGGAAGATCTACCAAGCAAATGGAAAACAAAAAAAGCAGAGGTTACAATCCTAGTCTCTGATAAAACAGACTTTAAATAAACAAGGATCAAAAGAGACAAAGAAGGCCATTACATATTGCTAAAGGGATCAATTCAACAAGAAGACCTAACTATCCTAAATATATATGCACCCAATACAGGAGCACCCAGATTCATAAAGCAAGTCCTTAGAGACCTACAAAGAGACTTAGATTCCAAACAATAATAATGAGAGACTTTAACACCCCACTGTCAACATTAGACAGATCAACGAGACAGAAAGTTAAAAAGGATATCCACGACTTGAACTCAACTCTGGACCAAGCAGACCTAATAGACATCTACAGAACTCTCCACCCCAAATCAACAGAATATACATTCTTCTCAGCACCATATCGCACTTATTCCAAAATTGACCACATAGTTGGAAATAAAGCACTCCTCAGCAAATGTAAAGAACAGAAATTATAACAAACTCTCAGACCACAGTGCAATCAAATTAGAACTCAGGATTAAGAAACTCACTCAAAACCGCTCAACTATATGGAAACTGAACAACGTGCTCCTCAATGACTACTGGGTACATAACGAAATGAAGGCAGAAATAAAGATGTTCTTTGAAACCAATGAGAACAAAGACACAACATGCCAGAATCTCTGGGACACATTTAAAGCAGTGCATAGAGGGAAATTTATAGCACTAAATGCCCACAAGAGAAAGCAGGAAAGTTCTAAAATTGACACCTGAACATCACAATTAAAAGAACTAGAGAAGCAAGAGCAAACACATTCAAAAGCTAACAGAAGGCAAGAAATAACTAAGATCAGAGCAGAACTGAAGGAGATAGAGACACAAAAAACCCTTCAAAAAATCAAGGAATCCAGGAGCTGGTTTTTTGAAAAGATCAACAAAATTGAGAGACCGCTAGCAAGACTAATAAAGAAGAAAAGAGAGAAGAGTCAAATAGATGCAACAAAAAATAATAAAGGGGATATCACCACCGATCCCACAGAAATACAAACTACCATCAGAGAATACCAGAAACACCTCTACGGAAATAAACTAGAAAATCTAGAAGAAATGGATAAATTCCTCAACAAATACACCCACCCAAGACTAAAACAAGATAAGAAGTTGAATCCCTGAATAGACCAATAACAGGCTCTGAAATTGAGGCAATAATTAATAGCCTACCAATCAAAAAATCTCCAGGACCAGATGGATTCACAGCCTAATTCTACCAGAGGTACAAAGAGGAGTTGGTACCATGCCTTCTGAAACTATTCCAATCAATAGGAAAAGAGGGAATCCTCCCTAACTCATTTTATGAGGCCAGCATCATCCTGATACCAAAGCCTGGGAGAGATACAACAAAGAGAATTTTAGACCAATATCCCTGGTGAACAACGATGCAAAAATCCTCAATAAAATACTGGCAAACCGAATCCAGCAGCACATCAAAAAGCTTATCCACCACGATCAAGCTGGCTTCATCCCTGGGATGCAAGGCTGGTTCAACATACACAAATCAATAAACGTAAGCCATCATATAAACAGAACCAAAGACAAAAACCACATGATTATCTCAATAGATGCAGAAAAGGCCTTTGACAAAATTCAACAGCCCTTCATGCTAAAAAAAACTTTCAATAAACTAGGTATTCATGGGACATATCTCAAAATCATAAGAGCTATTTATGACAAACCCACAGCCAATATCATACTGAATGGACAAAAACTGGAAGCATTCCCTTTGAAAACTGGCGCAAGACAGGGACGCCCTCTCTCACCATTCCTATTCAACATAGTGTTGGAAGTTCTGGCTAGGGCAGTCAGGGAAGAGAAAGAAATAAAGGGCATTCGATTAGGAAAAGAGGAAGTCAAATCGTCCCTGTTTGCAGATGACATGATTGTATATTTAGAAAACCCCATCGTCTCAGCCCAAGATCTCCTCAAGCTGATAAGCAACTTTAACAAAGTCTCAGGATACAAAATCGATGTGCAAAAATCACAAGCCTTCCTATACACCCATAACAGACAAACAGAGAGCCAAATCATGAGTGAACTCCCATTCACAATTGCTTCAAAGAGAATAAAATACCTAGGAATCCAACTTACAAGGGATGTGAAGGACCTCTTCAAGGAGAACTACAAACCACTGCTCAACAAAATAAAAGAGGTCACAAACAAATGGAAGAACATTCCATGCTCCGGGATAGGAAGAATCAATATCATGAAAATGGCCATACTGCTCAAGGTAATTTATAGATTCAGTGCCATCTCCATTAAGCTACCAATGACTTTCTTCACAGAATTGGAAAAAACTACTTTAAAGTTCATATGGAACCAAAAAAGAGCCCGCATTGCCAAGTCAATCCTAAGCCAAAAGAACAAAGCTGGAGGCATCACGCTACCCGACTTCAAACTATAGTACAAGGCTACAGTAATCAAAACAGCACGATACTGGTACCAAAACAGAGATATAGACCAATGGAACAGAACAGAGCCCTCAGAAATAATGCCGCATATCTACAACCATCTGATCTTTGACAAAACTGACAAAAACAAGAAATGGGGAAAGGATTCCCTGTTTAATAAATGGTGCTGGGAAAACTGGCTAGCCATATGTAGAAAGCTGAAACTGGATCCCTTCCTTATACCTTATACAAAAATTAATTCAAGATGGGATAAAAGACTTAAATGTTAGACCTAAAACCATAAAAACCCTAGAAGAAAACCTAGGCAATACCATTCAGGACATAGGCATGGCCAAGGACTTCATGTCTAAAACACCAAAAGCAATGGCAACAAAAGTCAAAATTGACAAATGGGATCTAATTAAACCAAAGAGCTTCTGCACAGCAAAAGAAACTACCATCAGAGTGAACAGGCAACCTACAGAAAGGGAGAAAATTTTTACAATCTACTCATCTAACAAAGGGCGAATATCCAGAATCTACAAAGAACTTAAACAAATTTCCAAGAAAAAATCAAACAACCTCATCAAAAAGTGGGTGAAGGATATGAACAGACACATCTCAAAAGAAGACATTTATGCAGCCAACAGTTACATGAAAAATTGCTCATCATCAATGGCCATCAAAGAAATGCAAATCAAAACCACAATGAGATACCATCTCACACCAGTTAGAATGGCAAACATTAAAAAGCCAGGAAACAACAGATGCTGGAGAGGATGTGGAGAAATAGGAACACTTTTACACTGTTGGTGGGACTGTAAACTAGTTCAACCATTTTGGAAGACAGTGTGGTGATTTCCCAAGGATCTAGAACTAGAAATACCATTTGATCCAGCAATCCCATTACTTGGTCTATACCCAAAGGATTATAAATCATGCTGCTATAAAGACACATGCACACGTATGTTTATTGTGGCACTATTCACAATAGCAAAGACTTGGAACCAACCCAAATGTCCATCAAGGATAGAATGGATTAAGAAAATGTGGCACATATATACCATGGAATACTATGCAGCCATAAAAAAGGATGAGTTCACGTCCTTCGTAGGGACATGCATGAAGCTGGAAGCCGTCATTCTAAGCAAACTAAAGCAAGGACAGAAAACCAAACACCACATGTTCTCACTAATAGGTGGGAACTGAACAATGAGAACACTTGCACACAGGGTGGGGAACATCACACACCGGGGCCTGTGGTGGGGTTGGGGGAGGGGAGAGGGATAGCATTAAGAGATATATCTAATGTAAATGACGAGTTAATGGGTGCAGCACACCAACATGGCACATGTGTACATATGTAACAAACCTGCACGTTGTGCACATGTACCCTAGATCTTAAAGTATAATAATAAATAAATAAATAAAGAAGACTGGATCAGATGGTCTGCATGGTGCCTTCCAGCACTGAGTTTCCATGCTCATTCACTACTGCAACCTCTGTGCTACTATCTCACACACTATGAAAAGAAGGTAGAGGTTCCAATGATGGATCATATTAATTGGGTTTTGCTGTGAAAAATAATGCCTGCTCTGCCCTCTCTGTTCCTTGCTTCCTTATTTGGTGATAAATTTTCTTCTGTATAAAAATAACTTCATTATGGAATTCATCTCTATGGAAATAAAAGCAAGCTTATCTTGACAAATCTCTAAAATGATTTTAAAGCATGCACACATGGTGTGTGTGTGTATGTGTGTGTGTGTGTATGTGTAAGAGAGAGGATGTGTTTGTGAATGTAGGTAAGTTGGTGTTGAATCAGAAGACTAGGATCCTAGTGATGTTCTATCGCTCATATGCAAAATGAGGACAAAACCATCTTCCTTACTGATCTTATGGTTACTATAACAATCAAATGAAATAAGCATGGGAAAATATTTTTAAATCATTAGGAATGGTGCAAATATAAGGCATGTTTTTATTAACTTTTCTTAGTCTTAGGTACAATGGTTTTCTTGAAATCAGAGAGAAAAAAGCCATATTTGCACAAAGTACAGGCTAATTAAATTTTGACTTGCTTAAAAATTAAATACCAAAAAGTACTGTGAATGAAAAGCATCCTACACCATGTTACAGACATTTGTTAAGCCCTTACTGTATAGCAGAACCTATAGGGCTAGGCATTTGAGACACAATTGCCTAAATTCTGAGAGGAGATGCACTTTGGGTCACTCACTGCTCCATCCTCAGCCTCCAGCACAGCAATGAGACAGAGAGGTACTCAACATTTGCAGAATGAATGAATGAGAAATGGTCTCTGTCTTTGAAAGGCTTAGAGTACACTATGAAGACCTGGCATATAACTAGTATAGTAGCTATCATAGCTGATTTGAAAGAAGTCCATATCATCAGGGCATGAAGGAAGGAGTGGTCAATTCAACTTGGACTATGTTCAATGAGTGGGAGTGCAAAGAAAGTAAGAAAAGCCTTCAAAGAGGAGGTAAGCTTGGCCTGAACCTTTGGTGCACAAATTCATTAATAAGTCTAACTCTCCTTCAGCCATAAGGTATTTGGAGTGAGAGACATGTTAACACATGAGTTATGTGTTGTAAATTGGGGAGTAGTAAGGAATAGATTGTGTTTATATCATCTTTGCTACACGTAATTCTAGTGAACTGAATTTACATGACAGTCTCATTTACATACAAAGGAAAGGTTAAAAAAACAAAGCAAGAGGTAGTCAATAAGGAGGAAAGGATATTGACAACATTTACAAAGGTGCAGCAATATCATAGTCATTACTGATCCTGAGGTCCTCTAATGATGTTGATGACAATAAATATTTTTTTAGTTTGAAAAAAAATTTTTTAGAGACACAGTCTCACTCTGTCACCCAGACTGAAGTACAGTGGTGTGATCACATCTTACTGCAGCCTCAATCTCCCAGGCACAAGTGATCCTCCCACCTCAGCCTTCCGAGTAGCTCAGATCACAGGCGCATGCCACCATGCTTGGCAATTTTTTATTTTTTGTAGAGACAGGGTCTTCCTGTGTTGCCCAGGCTAGTTTTCTCCTGGGCTCAAGCGATCGTCCTTCCTCAGCCTCCCAAAGTGCTGGGATCACAGGCATGAGCCACCGCACCCAGTCTTATTTTCAATAATAAACATTTCATGTGATGAAACGTTTAGCTTCAGTGTGGAGAAAATAACAAATACCCTCAGATATAGGCAAGAGATTTGCTGCAACAAGTTACAGCATATTCATTAGGTGGTATTAAATGGTCCAAGTCAGAGAAGCCATCTCTCCTAATAGCTGAGTGTTAATGACTACACAAGATACACACTGCATATCAAAAGAGCTCATGTACCCTATCAATATATATACCTACTATGCACATGCAAAAAATAAAAATAAAAAACTGAGTGCCAGAAACATCTAGATTGCCAGAAAAATCTATAACTGACCTAACAATAAATTCAGACATGAATATCCAATGAGTTTTGCCATATACCTATTACATCAGTTCAGCCAAGTCACATCTAATTTATGGATTCCATTTAGTATAAAGGAATTGTGGCGATAGAGGAAAGTGATAACTGTATATAATCTCCTAATATCAGGAAATTTATTTTCCAACAGCAAAATCAAGGCTAACAGGATAAAGGCAAAGCACATTTATTGTCATTAGTGAAATGATATGCATCTTTAAAGTGACTTATCAAGTTAGTCTGCTTATAATATTTTATTTTAGTTTCAGCATAGGCATGTAAGAACAAGAAGCAGCACAGTATAATGCATCAGTTCTAAAAACACTTTTTAGTCTCAGGATCATTTATATACTTAATAAGTACAATTCCAACAAACTTTTGTTTATGTGGGTTATGCAGTACATAACAATGTTTAATGTATAAGACATTAGAATTTTTGAATATTTGTTAACCCATTAGAATTACAAATCCTTTACATGCTAATATAAATAACACATTTTTATGAAACATATATCCTCTAAAACAACAAAATAAGGAAAGGAATGGCATCACTTTACACTTTTTAAAATCCTTAATGTTTTTGCTTAATAGAAGACAACTGGATTTTCTTATCTGCTTCTGCATTTAATCTGTTGAAATATGTTGTTTTGGTTGAAATATATATTTTTAAAAAACAGCCTCACATAGATATGTAATTGGAAAATAGATGATGTGAATATCATTCTTTACCATTATACCAAAACTTGACACGTGCTTTTTTAAGGTTAGCTGCAATGTGGAATTTAAGACTATATCAATGAACTTTCTGTACTCTGTTACTTTCAAATGCATTGGTTTATCTTGCACTTTCAGTGGCTCTTTTGCCCACTCATAATTTTATAACATTATGCATTGGCTATTGGAAAATATTGTTCAGTAAGGCTACAGATCTTCCAAATGTTGACAATTTCATTATACAATATCAAAAACTCACCACCACTTCATCAAGAAAATAAGTGTTGGGAAGTTGTCAAGCTCTCACAGTCACGGTGGTAAATACAAGTTTCCCCAAACTCTATCTTTCCCTTAAAAGCATGAATTGGCAGCAAATACTGTTTTCCTTGAAGTGACAGGCACATTCATTCAGTTTTTTTCACTCATTCAGTTTTGATAAAATTTCTCCAAATATTAAGTCTGCAAAAACCACAGTTTTCTTCAGTCATTCTTTCACATAAAAAAAAAAGTTCTATAAAAAAATACCCACTCAGTTCACAACTCAAGTGCACAAGCGCCTTTCTTTTAGACAACCAGTGATTAGTTGGTATGCAACACAGGTGCTTTACATGTACTACCCATTTAATCACTGCAAATACTAAAAAGATCTACTCAAGGGTTGAGATTTATTAAAATTAATGCTTATAATAGCTTCATTGAGGACATTTTTAAGTCAAACTGGCTCTCCCACCCCACCCCACTCCAGCCCTTTTAACTTCAAGTTTATGGCAGTCAAAAATACAATGACTTCTAGTGCAGCTTGGTGCCACTGTCCAGATTCATGTTAAGGCTCCAGCAGTTTTTCCCACCATTACTTTTATACCGTCAGTGCAAACACCAACACAGTAAAAAAAAAAAAAAGACAAATAATATCTTAGTATTATTATGAAAATAGTTGTGACCTCATGGATTCCCTGAAAGGATCTCAGGAACCCCAAGGAATCCATGAACCATACTTTGAGAACCACTGATGTCATGGAAAGACATTTTTGAAGTCAGTGGGATTAAGTTCTGACTCTGAGACTTACTAGCTATGTACTTGGGCACATTACTTAACGTCTCTTGGTCTTGCTTTGCTCACTTAACAAAAATAAAGAAAAAAAAAATACCCACTTCGTCTGGGCGTGGTGGCTCACGCCTGTAATCCCAACACTTTGGGAGGTCGAGGCAGGTGGACTGCCTGAGGTCAGGAGTTCGAGACCAGCCTGACCAACATGATGAAATCCTCTCTCTACTAAAAATACAAAAATTAGCCAGGCATGGTGGCAGGCACCCGTAATCCCAGCTACTCGGGAGGCTGAGACACGAGAATCGCTTGAACCTGGAGGCAGGGGTTGCAGTGAGCCAAGATCGCACCATTGCACTCTGGCCTGGGTGACAGAGGGAGACTTTGTTAAAAAAAAAAAGAAAAAAAAAACAGCCATTTCATAGACCTACTGTGGAGAAGCTCATAGGAGATGCAAAACAAGTAGCAAAGTACTCAGTAGGTGTTCACGAAATGTTATTTTTAACTCTCCCCTACGTAAAATAAGAGATTATCCCATTTTGACACCTAACCAAAGATCAAGAGAGGTTAAATGACTGACGATCAAAAGAACAAAATGGGAAAATTAATATGAGAATGATGCATAAATAACAGATCAACCTAATACTGTTATGAAACTGAGAGATTTGAAAAATGCGTTAGAAAATGTTTGTATTTTCTGCCAGTAAACCTTTGTGAAGTGTCTCAGTTTCAAAAGGGATGACAAACATTCATCCTGAACCATTTATCACTATACTTTAGACACCACTGACACCTTTTGAACACTCTCAAGAAAATCTTTAAGAGTTCTTTTATTTTTTCTTTGTCCTCTATTACACACAAGGTTACACTCAACAGAGTCTCTGTGATTCCAGAGTTTTCCTACTGCAGCTGCTGGATCCCATCTGGTGTCCTTTATCTAGGACACCTGTTTCAGGAATAAGACAATTAAGGTGATGAACCAATTCCATGTAGAAAATAGCAATTTCCCATTTCCTTAGGAATGTTAGTAGGAGAGAGAAAAATTGTTTGATAAAGCACAATTACACATCTAATTACCAGATGCTAAGCATTTAGCCAGAACAGATATTCTAATTGCTGTATGTTGTTTTGCTCCACTGAGACATTGTATTAGTTATCTATTGCTGAGTAACAATATTTCCACAGTTTCAGTAGCTTAAAATAACACCCATTTATTATCTCACAGTTCTGTGAGTAAGGAGTCCAGGCATAGCTTCACTGGGTCCTCTGCAAGGCTGCAATCATGGTGTCAGCTAGACCTGGTTCTCATGTGGAGGCTTAATTTGGGGAGGATCTGCTTCCCTGCTTGTGCAGTTGTTGACAGCATTCAGTTCCTTGCAATTGTAGAACTGAGAGCTTCAGTTTTTTGCTGGCTGTCAGGGGAGACTGCCCTCAGCTCCTCAAAGCCACCTGAAGTTCTTTGCCACATGGGGTTCCCCAATATAGCTACTTGCTACCTCATAGCCAGCAAGGGAGAGAGAGACTCCAGCAAAATGAGGGCTACAATCTTACATAATCATATACACAAAATAATGTACATTCTGTCACTTTTGCCATGTTCTATTGGTTAGAAGCAAGTCACAGGATCCATCCATACTCAAGGGAAACGGATCACACAAGGGCATGAAGAAAGGCAGGAATCATGGGGCCCACGTTAAGAGTATGTTTGCCACAGACATGCTGGAGCATGTAGTGTGACTAGTAGAGAATAGGAAAAATTTGAAACAAGCCAAGAATAGGGTGAGGAGAATGAATGAGCTTGACAGTATGGAGAGAAGGAATACAGGCCTAGTATCATCTAAATCTATATCCATAGGGAGGCAACAAATGTGGATAAAGGTGAGACAATACAGATAAAGAAGTCTGATTTGGTAGGTTGTATACAACTTTAAGAATTAACAGGGACTCACAACGAGCAGGTGACGATGGTGTGGCTCCAGGAAAGTTGTTAGTTGGAGCAGGATCCCAGCATGCAGCTGGAATATGGAAAGAAGAATACGGGCCCTAGGAGGAGGAAGAGGACTGATAAGAGACAGACTCAGTGTCTGGACTAGCTCCAGTACTGGGAATTGGAAGGCTAATCAGAAAAGCAAGCAAAAGCCCAGTCACAAAAACCAGGAGAACAAGGATAGAGTGAGGGTCCAGTTACTGAGCTCAGGGAGCTTATGAGTGTCTGGACATACCACAGTTTAGGGTAGCAAGACTAATTCTAAATTCCAATAGCTAATAACCCAGGGTTACCTTTGCTCCAGAGACTCACCTGGTCAGGGATTGACTAGGTGAAGCTGAACTTTAAGGTATTGGTGTTGGGAGCTAAGCAAGAGAAGACAAGAACTGGCTTTGATAGTTTCTCATTGCTTAGGACACTGGGTAGATTCTAAATCCACAGTATGGTATGAACCCCATGATAACACAGCCTCAGTCTGCCCATCTAGTCTTGTCCCCCTGCATGCTTGACACTCCTTAGACTGAAACCACTGGAACACCCTGCTGTGTCCTAAACAGGGCACGGACTTGCATGCTTCTGAGACAACCTCTGTTTACTTTCCCTAAAGTGCCCTATCTCTTCTGCCTCTAACTAGAGAATTCTACTTAACTTCTAAGGACCTAGTCCACATGTTACTTTTTCTGTGAAATGGGTCCACTGTCCAGACCTCTACTGTGGCACTTATCATCAAGTTATGATTGTTTATTCTGTGTGTCTTCAACCTAACAGACTATGAATATGAGAAGGAAAAGACCATATCTATCCATTCAACTTTGTATCCTTTGAACCTGGAATAGTGGCTGGCATTTAGTGGTTACTCAATAAAAATTATTGAAACAAATGCAGGAAGTAGTTAAATAACGCTTTACTGATCTTGCCTTAGGAGCCTAATTTAGCTCCCCAACTCTCACCTCCATTTCCGCCTGCTATACACCCACTTCTTGCAATATTGATGGGAGCTCTGTGTATATGCCTGGGTTCACCTAGCTGCTGCTCTTTAATGAGCATTGATGCAGCTGAAGCCTGACACAGAGGGCTGAAAAAACAGCACTAAATCTTTTATGGACAAACTGCAAATCTGCATGTACAGTCAGACATTTCCCCTGTTGACCTAGAGCTCTGATCACCAGATGTGAGAGGTAAAGCAGAACACAACACCCACATGTTTTCAAAAGAGGGAAAATCCCAAGTTTAGTTCATGGCTGCCACTGTGGGTAACCCAGAAAACCTACACGACCCGAAGGTGATTTTAAGTCCCTATCCTTTTGCTGACAAGAAAAACATGTCTTGGCACTTGGTACCTTAATGTCTAAAGCTACAGTAAAAGTATTTCCTCTTTAAAATTCATTCTGCAGTGAGAATGGCTTCCTTCTGCCCTTGCATGTGAGACTTTAATGAGTAAACCTAATGTACACACAAAAAGTTGGATCACAGATCCAGCAATTACTACTTCTGAGGCTGGCTATTGAGTTCTGCATTAAGAAATGTTCAGAAGCTATCCACCTCCTATTGGGCGAGGGAGAAAAGGGCTATTCATCATCCTCAGACATGCACAACAGTATCAGTCAATTCTCTTCTATGGTGAAAGATTTTAAGTTGAAATGAATCTTTCAAATCCAATTGTTCATACTCAAGGTGACCCCAACAAGGAGTGGCTAGAAACAAGGCCTGAGCCGATCTGTACAAGCCCTTTTCAGCCTTTTAATATGGATATTAAACCCTAGAAATGGGAACAAATTATGCACACATCTTTTCATTTTAGTTTAAAATATGCACAGATCCATGTTTTAAAATGGCTCTTTGGCCTAAAACAATGAAGGAACTCCATTCACAATGAGGGACAAGCATTAGGTATGCTGACAAAAAGGGAATTAATTTGCTTAATATGTCCTTAGAGTCAGACTTTTGGAGAGAAAATATCCAGGAACTGAAAGGCCCTTCTGTCCAGACGCTCTCAGCATGACACTGAACACAACAGTTGTGTTCCATGGAGAGGGGCGGCCAGAGCCAGCATGTTGTGCAGCATCCTGGCTTGTCTGCTTGCTCTTTGGTCCTTCCTTCTTTCCATCCCACAAATACTCACTGAGAACATACCAATGTGCTTACTGCAATAGGCTCCTTCCTTTCAGAGAAGAATTTATACAGTAGCATAAGAAGCAAAGGATGTGAAAAAGAAACTTTTACTCCACATTGGGTGAAGCCAGCAAAGTCCCTCTGGAAAGGATACCTTGGTTTCTTCTTCAAAAGAAGAAATTGAAATTGAGAAAATATTTACTTCTACTATTCATTGTTAAACGTTTACAGGAAGCTACTATAATGATTTCAGCTTCTATAATCTATTTTGATGAGCTTCAAACATCTGTGTTTTAGAACTTAATTATCTGAACTAGATTTGATCTGTTTTTGCATCCCCACAGTTGGCCACAGCAGTGGAACATCCTGAATGATTATA
Organism: Homo sapiens; assembly: GCF_000001405.40. Taxonomy (NCBI): domain Eukaryota; kingdom Metazoa; phylum Chordata; class Mammalia; order Primates; family Hominidae; genus Homo; species Homo sapiens. The sequence goes on from NC_000022.11 coordinate 28,223,595, forward strand.
GCCTGAACTTCCCAAAGAGATTTCTCTGAAAAGGTCTCACTGTTCAGTAACAGAAGGTATTTTATAGAAAACAAGCACAATTACACAAGTGGCTAGGTTCAAGATTTAATGTGTACATGGTACCTACATGAATAAACATTTTTCCACTATATCTCAAAAATGGAAAATGAAAAGAAATGGCTTTCTAAATTAATATAGTAAAGTTCACAAGAAAGTTATAAAACCTGACATTATAAAGAAATAAAAACTCACAAAAGCCTGATATTAAACCTTCCCTTCTACACGGGCTTTGGATTTTGGCGGGAAAATCCCACGAGACTGACTAATATTTGTACAGACTAACAGTTTATAAAACACTTTATATGTTATTTCTTTTCATCCTCTATAGCAATGATTCTCAGCTAGGGCAATTTCCTCCCTCCAGGGACATCTGGGAATGTCTGGAGACATGTTTAGTTGTCACGACTTGTGGTAGGAGAGTTGCTACTGGCAACTAGTGGGCAGAGGTCAGTGATGCCGCTAATCATCCTACGATGCACAGAACAGACCCCCACAATAACGGAGGACCCAGGACCACATGTTAGCAGTGCTGAGGTGGAGAAACCCTTCTCTATAGCAGTGCTTCTTGAGCTTTAAGGTGCATGTGTCATGTTAAAATGCAGTAGGTCTGGGGCAGGATCTGAGATTCTGCATCCCTCACCAACTCCCAGGTGATGCTGATGTTGCTGGTCCACAGAATACCAAGGTTCCATAGCACATGTAGTATGCAATGTGCCTGTCTTATACAGCCCTTCTCAAGGGCCGCTCTGTTCTCAAACCCCTAGTGAGTAGGTTATATGACCACCCTTCCCTTCATGGCTCTTAATACCTTGATGGACCCCAGAACCCAAGTAAGCCAGTCAAATAACCTCTCAAGAATTTATCATGTCTCAGGAACTCTAGAAAGTTTCTGCTAAAAACTAGGAGCTGGCAATCAATTCTGGGAGTTAGAAACTGATATAGGGCTAGGTCCAGAATGGATATGTATTTGGTCCATGTGCACAGAGAAACAGAAGTTTCTGAGCTAAATGGGCTGGTGGAGGGGGTCATGGGGGCAGGGAGATGGCTGATGAGAAGCAAATATAAGAAAGTGATCTCCCCTTCATTCTACAGTTCCTCCTGAGGCCCCAGCTGAACTTCTTGCCCCAGCATTCATTAGAAACCTCTATATAGTGTGACTACATTCCCTTTTTTGCTTAAACTAGTTTAAGAAGGTTTATTTGCTTAAAACAACTGATTCTTGACCAGAATATGTTCATAATGATTGTCCTCAACCCTGAGATACATAACTATCACTTAGAAATTCGGCAGCTTTCCCAATGTTAGTAAGAACCAGTAAATGGCAAAGCACAATTTTTTATGCCTCCAGATCCCGTGCTCCTTAAACAGGCTATCCATTAACAATCAAATAATAAACCTTACAGACTACTGCCACATCTCACAGAAAAACAATGGTGCTGGCTGGGCACAATGGCTCACCTGTAATCCCAGCACTTTGGGAGGCCGAGGTCAGGAGTTTGAGACCAGCCTGGCCAACATAGTGAAACCCCATCTCTACTAAAAATACAAAAATTGGCCAGGCGTGATGGTGCATGCATGTAGTCCCAGCTACTCGGGAGGCTGAGGCAGAAGAATTGCTTGAACCCGAAAGGCGGAGGTTGCAGTGAGCCGAGATCATGCCACTGTACTCCAGCCTGGGCAACAGAGTGAGAGATTCTGTTAAAAAAAAAAAGAAAAGAAGAAGAAGAAGAAGAAGAAGAAGAAGAAGAAAGAAGAAGAAAAGAAAAACAATGGTGCTTCAAATTTTCATTCCGTTTTCCCAAGTTACCCATTCCTGCTTCCACCAAAGGAAATGTCTCCAACTCTTCAAATTGAGATCAACTTTTCTGCCACGGACAAACAGCAACACAATTACAAAAAGAAATAATAATGACCTAAAGAAGGGTAGAATTGCACAGATAATTGAAAATAGCATGCAATTTATTTACTGAGGTAATTGACAAAAAATAAATAACATATATTGAAGTGTACAACTTGTAAGCTCTGACATATGTGTACACTTGTAAAATCACCACGGCAGGCAACATAGTGAACATATCCCATCCACCAACCAAAATTTTTCTCATGCCCCTTTGCATTCGCTACTTTTTGTCCTACCTCCTTACCCCTATTACCAGGCAACCACTGATTTGCTTTCTGTGCCTAAAGATTAGTTTGCATTTTGTAGAGCTTCATATAAGTGAAATCATTTTGTAGATACTCTGTCTTTGTTGGGCTTCTTTCACTCAACATAATGATTTTGAGATTCAACCATGTTGTTACATGTATCAGTAGTTTGTTCCTTTTTATTAGTGAGAAGTATTCTGTTGTTTGGATATACTACCACACTTTGTTTATCCATTCACCTGCTAGTGGATATTTGGATTGTTTCCAGTTTTTGGCTATTATAGATAAAGCTGCTATGAATGTTCATGTACAAATCTTTGTGTAGACGTATGCTTTCTTTTCACTAGTGTAAATTTGTAGGAGTGAAACGGTTCGGTCATATGGTAGGTATGTGTTTAACTTTGTAGGGAACTGCCAAACTGTTTTCCAAAGTGGTGGTACAACTTTGCATTCTCAGCAGCAGTGTATGGGAGTTCTAGTTCTTCCATATCCTTGTCAAAACTCAGTGTGGTCAGTGTTTTTAATTTTAGCCATTCTAATGGGCATGTAGGCTTGCTCACTGTAGTTTAAATTTGCATTTCCCTAAATACTATTGATGTTGAGCTTTTTCTGTTCTCTTCTCTTCTTTTCTCTTCTCTTTTTATGAGACAGAGTCTCACTCTGTCTTTCCAGGCTGGAGTGCAGTGGTGCAATCTCAGCTCACTGCAACTTCTGCCTCCCAGGTTCACGTAATTCTCCCACCTCCGCCTTCCGAGTAGCTGGGACTACAGGTGGGCGCTACCACACTTGGCTAATTTGTGTATTTTTTGGTAGAGACAGGGTTTCACCATGTTGGCCAGGCTGGTTTTTAACTCCTGACCTCAAGTGATCCACCCGCCTTGGCCTCCCAAAGTGTTGGGATTAGAGACGTGACCACTGCACCCGGCTGATGTTGAGCATTTTTTAATGTTGTTTTTGTCACTCAGTGCCATTATTTGACCAAGTATCTGTTCAACTCTTTTGTCAGGTTTTAAACTGTGGTATTTGTTTACTTTTATTTCTCAATTATATCTTTCAAAGAGCAGAAGTTATTATTTTGATGAAGTCCAGTTTCTCCATTCTATAGGACTATTCAGGTCATCTGTTTATTTTTTGTTTTGTTTTGTGACAGGGTCTCACTCTGTCCACCCAGGCTGGAGTGCAGTAGAGCAATCATAGCTCACTGTAACCTCAAACTCCTGGCTCAAATGATCTTCCCACCTGAGGTTCTCAAGTAGCTGGGACTACAGATGCACACCTCCATGCTCGGCTAATTTTTATTTTATTTTTATTTTTTTAGAGATGGGGTCTCACTATATTGCCCAGGCTGATCTCAAACTCTTGGCCTCAAGTGATCCTCTGACCCTGGCCTCTCAAAGAATGAAGTGAATCTTTACCTTACACCATACATAAAAATCAACTCAAAATGGATGAAAGACCTAAACTCAAGAGCTAAAACTATAAAACTCTTAGAATAAAACATTGAGGAAAAGCTTCGTGACATTGGATTCTGCAATGCTTTCTTAAATATGACACCAACAGCATGAGTGACACAGCTCAAAATCAATCAGCTGAACTTTATCAAAATTAATAACTTTTGTGTATCGAAGGTCACTACCAAAGAAGTAAAAAGACAACACACAAAATGGAACAAAATATTTGCAAATATACCTAAAAAGGGATTTATACCCAGAATATGTAAAGAACTCCTACAACCCAATTCAAAAATGGACTTGGAACTTGAAGACATTTCTCCAAACAAGATACATAAATAGCTAATAAGCACATATTAAGTATCTATTTAATATCACTAGTCATTAGGAAAATGCAAATCAAAACCACAATGAGATACCACTTCGCACTCATTAGGATGTTATTACAGATTTGAAAAAAAAAAAACAAGTGTTAGCAAGGATATAGAGAAATTGGAACCCTTGTGCACTGCTAGTGGGAATGTAAAATGGTACAACCATTGTAAAAAACAGTACGGCAGTTCCTCAAAAAGTTACCTATAGAATTACCATATGATTCAGCAATTCTACTCCTGGGTATATACCCAAAAGAATTGAAAGCAGGACCTCAAATAGATATTTGCACGTCCATGTTTATAGCAGCATTATTCACAATAGCCCAAAGGTGAAAGCAACCCAAATGTCCATTATAGATTAATGGATAAACAAAATGTGGTATATACATACAATAAAATATTATTCAGACTTCAAAAAGAAGGAAATTCTGATGCATGCTACATGAATAAACCTTGAAGACATTAAAAGTGAAATAAGGCAGACACAAAAGGATGCATACTGTGTGATTCCACTAATACGAGATACCTAGAGTAAACAAATTCACAGAGACAGAAAGGAGAATGATGGTTGCTACAGGCTGAGGAGGAAAGGAGAATGAGGAGTTGACTGTTTAATAGGCACAAAATTCAAGTTGGGAAAATGAAATTGTTCTGGAGATGGATGGTGGTAGTAGTTGCAAAACAATGTTAAAATATTTAATGGCACTGAACTGTGTAGCTAAAATGGTTAAAATAGTAAATTTTGTTATGTATGTTTTACCACAATAAAAATAAATTTTAAAAATACATGTTTGGCCAGGTGCGGTAGCTCATGCCTGTAATCCCAGCACTTTGGAAGACCGAGGCAGGGGGATTACCTGAGGTCAGGAGTTCAAGACCAGCCTGGCCAACATGGCGAAAACCCGTCTCTACTAAAAATACAAAAATTAGCTGGGCGTGGTGGTGTGCAACTGTAATCCCAGCTACCCAGGAGGCTGAGGCAGGAGAATCGCTAGAACCCGGGGGGCAGAGGTTGCAGTGAGCCGAGATTGCGCCACTGCACTCCAGCCTGGGCAACAGAACAGGACTCCATCAAAAACAAAAACAAAAACAAAAAACACACACACACAGTTTAGACTTCACTCAAGATCTGAGGAAGGTCACTCTAAGACACTGAAGATCCTTTTATTGGTAGGAACTTTAAAAATTTTTTCTTTAAATCAATAAATGGAATATAAATATTTTCTCGATTGTTTAAAAAACTACACCCCGGCGAGGCGTGGTGGCTCACGCCTGTAATCCCACCATTTTGGGAGCCTCAGGCAGGCAGATCACAAGGTCAGGAGATCGAGACCATCCTGGCCAACACAGTGAAACCCCATCTCTACTAAAAATACAGAAAATTAGCCGGGCATGGTGGCACACGCCTGTAGTCCCAACTACTCAGGAGGCTGAGGCAGGAGAATCGCTCGAACCTGGGAGGTGGAGGTTGCAGTGAGCTGAGACCGTGCCACTGCACTCCAGCCTGGGCGACAGAGCAAGACTCCATCTCAAAAAACAAACAAACAAAAAAACTACACCCTCTCCAATAGGAAAATAAAGTCAATTTCAAGGGAAAAAGTAAGCTAATTTTGTAGTTCTGGGTAGAATATCTACTGTCTTTAAAAATCACACACAGAATAAATAAGTTCTCCATTTGGCTTTAATAATACAAACCAAAAAAATTAAGTGAAGCCAGCTAAAATAAAGGGGGACCAAGTGAATCAAGAACATCCTTAACTTTCAACAGCTATCATAATGAACTGCTATCAACCATTGCCAGCAAAAAGCTGACTCCAAAACTATTCAGTTCAACCTTATAGACCTATTCTAGTGTAGATAAATAAAATATGGAAGCAACGAGCTTGTTCAAGTACTCCAGATTCAACTAATTTCACTATTTTGTTATCCTTCTATTTTAACAATATATTTGAGGCTATATAAAGTCAAGGGAGGTCCTCAAAACAATGTTATAGACTAGTAATATGGAGGCAACAAGCAGCTTCCTAAGAGCTGCTAGTCTTAAAAGCTTATTCCCCACCACCCCTTTCAATTCTACAAGCATACGAATCAGGAGTTAAGAACAGTCATCCAGCATTCAGAGTAGTAACTCAAGCCTCATTCTGAGCTCTGTGGGTTAGACACAGCATAACTGCCCAGAAATGTCCACTGCTACCAGACAGAAATAATGATGTGTTCCTTTCTCTGTGAAAGGATTTTGAGAATTACAGTTCTTTAAAACATTTTGAGATGCTTAAATTTAAAAAAAAATCTAAAAAGGGCAAAATTCCATTTCTAATGGCTTCATGAAGTGGTAATAAATAGAATGCACACATGCAATGTGTCTGGTCTCCAAGCAGAATATTTGAATAGTGGGAACCTGGTATCCAGTTTGGTCCCCAGCTGACAGATACCAGTTGGAAATGAAAGAATGGAAAAAGCCATTGTGGCAGTAGTCTGCATCCTGCAAGAGCAGATTCTGACCGGCATCACTTCCGCAGTGAAAGGTAACAAAATCTGACAGAGAAAAATTCAGTCTCCTTTTCTACTTGTAATTGTCACATCAGCCCAAGTGGAAGTATGTTATATGAGAGATACAGCAAAGAATGCAAGCAAATATCACTGGCCACAGAAAGGCCCCTCCCAGCCAAACCAAGGCAGAATTTCTCAAGGATGAGCAGTATTCCACAGAGAGATCTGTTGGCTGTAAAAAGCTTACTGATCCTGCTGAAGCTTTCTGCAGATTATTAAAATTCAAGAGATCCAGATGAGACTTGTTACAATCCATTCATAGGTGACTACAACATAAGACTGAGTCTTCACATAGAGGGGAAGGGTCTTTGTCTTCTCATTGCCCAGAAAAGAAAACAACCCTTTTATTCTCCTGGACATCAGAGGAGATTCTTCAAAAGAGGTTCCTCCACATTTCCTTTACATGCCATGCCAGATTCATCCAGGTGCCTTCCCTGAATTACACAGATGTTTTAGAATACAGAGAGAGACTGGGGGAGGTTCGAGAGAAATAGGATATTTTCCCTTAGACGTATATCCTATAGTAGCAGCTGGGAAGGGTCTGAACATTAAGTCAAGTGTGAGTTGAACCAAAATTTTTTCTGTATGGGCAGAAAAATTTTATATAATTGTAAACTATTAGTTCTCATTCATTCCAATTCCAGGATTTTAATCCTCCTCAGCCAAGAGAAATGACCTAATAGGAAGTCTAACCTCATTACTCAATTCTGTGTGTGAGGTTTTGGCAAAATGTTTAAGAGAGATGTGTGCACCTATGTGGGAAGCCTGTACTGATGAAAAATGTATCAAGTGTTTTATGGGTATGAATTATAATAAATACTAGTATATAACTTGGGTGATGCCCAAGTTATCCCCAAGTACTTATTTAGGTATGTTCTAAAGTCAGTATCTTTCAACAATCTTTTCTTTTCTTTCAACAATCTGTTCATGCCACAACTACTGACTACATATCTAGCACGTATAGGTACTGTGCTAGAAAGAGAAGCTGGAAGGTGGGAATACATAGATAAATTAAACATAGTCTCTGCACTTGAAGAACCAACAGTCTACAGCAGGAGATAGATATGTAAACAAATGCTTTAACACATGGGATAAATGCTTTAATACATGGACTGAATACACGGATAAGTTCTTTAATACACAGAAACACAAAGAGAAAATCAGAACATCTGAGACTAAGGTTTGTTTGTTTTTTGTTTTGTTTTGTTTTGTTTTTGTTTTTAAACACAAGGCAGGGGATTGAGCCTGGAGTCCTATTTTTAAATTTTAAGTCCAAATCCCTGAAGAGGTCAAAATATATAATTTGCATCTTTAACTCTTCTAATTCCTCCTACAGTCACAAGATAAACCTAATACAAGAGTGGCTCATGTCTGTAGATCACAGCAGGGAACTGCTCTTTGTTCTATTTGGTTTACAAGTCCTATGTGGGTTGTGGAATGTTAGCAGTTTACACATGGCTGGTGAAGAGAAGCTATGCAAGAGTTGTCAGGAACTCAGCTGTGATAGACCAGGCATGGCCATTAGGAAAGCCCATGAAAATAAATGTCCTGGAAGGAAGACAGTTGTTGTTCCAAAGAATCAAAGTCAAACATCAGGTCATTTGTCCATCTAAACATACACTTATTCCAGCTTTGATAACAGCAAGAAAACAACTGACAATGGTTTATTAATATGAAACAAATAATCAATGGTGTGAAGATGTAAGGGACGTTTTCTTTCTGATTTGATACAAGCCTTAAATACTTAATCTAGACTTACACACCTAGGGGCCACAGTAGTTCATAATTGAGAAAGTATCCAGCAGAGAGTTGGGAATTATGGATAATTTTTAGAAGGATTACCCTACAACCATGGAAGTCAGGTATTAGCTTTCTTTTATCAGACAGTGATGGGGAAATGCCAGCCCACAGTCTTTTTTAAGGAAAACCACTTCTTCATCCCACCCCTGCTGAGAGCCATAGCTGCTCATGAAGTACCACAGGATTTCAACCACTCCAGCACAGCTGTTTGAGTCAGGTGTGGGCATCTGACTGAAAGCCAATCAATTGAATGATCAATAACGTATTTTGTGACCTGTAATGAAGAAAAGAGCTCCAACCAATCAGATTAATCTACTTTCAGGAATTTAATAAATATTAAAAGAATGTGGCTGTTAAGAGTGAATCTAAAGCCAAAAGAATGCAAAAAAAAGAGGCCTCATGGGGCAGCCTTTCAGGCATAGGAGCTCATATCAAGGCCTAAGGGAATAATCCTCAGCAAGCAGCAGCAATCTTGACAGAGAGACCCTAGGTGGTCCATCACATAGAGAAAGCTGCTAGTCCTTGCTGGAGTTTCCGTTCCGGGGTACATGTATCCTCATAATATGCTCCCTTTCTCTTAACATTTGTTTTGCAAATGTCTGTTTGAAACCAACAGAACCCAACTATAAATGAAAAAAACCACAACTCAATGTAATTAAATAATCAGTTGAGTGGTACACCAGCTAGAATCCTGTACATGGCTCAAGACAGAACAGATGGATGGATGAATAAATAAAATAATTAGTGTCTCTTGCAGGTTTATGAATAGTTTTTCTTTCTCTTACTTAGGGTTCCTTTGATGACATCACATTGTCTAAGTAATTTTAAATTTTTTCCATTTTAGGGCTGGGCACGCTGGTTCACGCCTGTAATCCCGGCACTTTGGGAGGCTAAGGTGGGTGGATTGCCCGAGGTCAGGAGTTCAAGACCAGCCTGGCCAACATAGTGAAACCCCATCTCTACTAAAAATACAAAAAATTAGCTGGGCGTGGTGACGGGCACCTGTAATCCCAGCTACTCGGGAGGCTGAGGCAGGAGAATCGCTTGAACCCGGGAGGCAGAGGTTGCAGTGAGCTGAGATCACACCATTGCACTCCAACCTAGGCAACAAGAGTGAAACTCTGTCTCAAAAAAAAAAAAATCCATTTTAATTTTCAATTGCTTTTCCCTTGTTGCTTTATAATTATTCATTCTTCAATATTATTTGAGCATTAAAATTCTGGATTTTTTTCAGTGATAATTTTTTTAAAAATCAAGTATACTGGTAGAAAGAGTAGTCTAAAGTTCTCCCAGTTGAGTTATATTAGAATTCTGGATAATCTCATAATTTACCGCTTTTAAATTTGACCATATATCTTCACGTAATTTTGCTCATATTTTAATTATTTTCATTTCCCTTCATTACAGGGAGATATCTCTATACCTCACAAAATGTACACATTTTTATTAATGTATTATTTATACACTCTTCTAGAATGTTGCCATATTGTTTAATATGTGAATATCTGTCCATTATACAACTAGTGAAATAATGAAAAATAAAATAAAATGATAAAAAATAACCCAGAGGTTGATTCCCCAGTTAGACATATGTATTCCAAGTATTCTTCAGACATTACAGACTCACCAGCAATACATCACACCACTCAAAGGCATGTATTGTATTTGTTACAAGAGCACAATAAGCCATAACTAATGTGCATACTACAGTCTAATAGATCACGAGTTAAATGACAATGGAAGAATTTACCAAAATTATTAGAGAAAAAGGACCTTTTTTGTTTTTTGGAGATGGAGTCTCATTCTGTCGCCCAGGCTGGAGTGCAGTGGCGCAATCTCAGCTCACTGCAACTTCTGCCTCCTGGGTTCAAGCGATTCTCCAGCCTCCTGAGTAGCTGGGACTACAGGCACCCACCACCACACCTAGCAAATTAGTTTTTTTTTTTTTTTTTGAGACAGAGTCTTGCTGTCGCCCAGGCTAGAGTGCAGCGGCACAATCTTGGCTCACTGCAATCTCCGCCTCCCGGGTTCACGCTGTTCTCCTGCCTCAGCCTCCCGAGTAGCTGGGACTATAGGTGCCTGCCACTACGCCCGGCTAATTTTTTGGATTTTTTAGTAGAGACAGGTTTCACCATGTTAGCCAGGATGGTCTCGATCTCCTGACCTCGTGATCCGCCGGCCTCGGCCTCCCAAAATGCTGGGATTACAGGCATGAGCCACCGCACCTGGCCAAATTTTTTGTATTTTAGTAGAGATGGGGTTTCACTGTGTTGCCCAGGCTGGTCTCGAACTCCTGAGCTCAGGCAATCCGCCTGCCTGGGCCTCCCAAAGTGCTAGGATTACAGGCGTGAGCCACCACTTACCAGGACCTAAAATTCTACATTAGCCTCATCTTCTAATTTTTTTTGTTTGTTTTGAGAAGGAGTCTCCCTCTGTCACCCAGGCTACAGTACAGTGGCACGATCTCAGCTCACTGCAACCTCAGCCTCCTGGGTTCACGTGATTCTCCTGCCTCAGCCTCCTGAGTAGCTGGGATTATAGGTGTGCACCACCACACCCAGCTAATTTATGTATTTTTAGTAGAGATAGGGTTTCACCATGTTAGCCAGGCTGGTCTCGAACTCCTGACCTCAAGTGATCCACCCACCTCCGGCTCCCAAAGTGCTGGGATTACAGGCATGAGCCACTAACGCCCGGCCTCATCTTCTAATTTAAACACTATACAGAATTAGGGAGAAGCTGAGATCCCTTGGAGTGTTTATCTATATATAGTGAAATAAGGGTGTGAGTAAAATTCCTGAATCCTCAGAGGCATACTAGGTAATTGGCCTCCACTATGCCCCACAAATAGAATTTACTTCTAAACTAGAATTGTGATGCTAAATTGTTCCAGTGGGAATGTGAGCTTATACACAATAAGCTCCTAAAATATACTCACTGATAGACAACCAGCTAATGATTACCTCCAACTTGAGTTGTGATCTTTTATGTTATTGCCAAGGAAGGGGACTTTTTGATACGCAGAATTACGAGGTTGAGTCATATAATATTAGAAAAGGAAAGACTGAGATGTTTAATCTAGCCCTCTCATATGGCAGTTGGGAAATGAAAGCCCAAAGAGATGAAACAGCTCTCCCAGAGTCACAAGAAATGTCAGTGGCAAAGCTGCCACCAGCCCTCAGGTCACTTTCTTTTAGTCCAGACTTCACTGCTCTTTGTTATTCTCATAATGTCCTTATTGTTTTGTTTTTTATTCTAAAATAGGCAAGATGAAGAGACCAGAGAAGAAAGTAATATTTGTACTAGCATTTGATGCCTGATCTGTTGCCTTCCCTCAACTCCATCTAGGAAAGGATAATTAACTTCACCTTCACTAAAACTCTGTAGTAATCAGTGGCAAATCTAACTGGCCTCTAAATATCAGATTTCTCCTTTCCATTAATAATTCCTAATATTCAAGGTAAAACACTGCTGTAAGTGAGGTTCTAGCTAAAGTTAGATAAGAATGGGGTTTAAATGCAGGCTTTTAAACTATAAAGGAAGACTAGCCCTGTCAGATAAGAAAACATTTTATAAAGTTTCTAGAATAGAACAACATGGTAGTAGTGTCTGAACAGACAAAAATAACACTGGAATAGAACATGAAGTCCAGAACACACACAACTAAATAAGGAAATTTAGAATATGGTAATGGTAGCGTCTCAAAGCACTGAAGCAGATTTTAATAAAGGTTGATGGGGAAAACTGAATAGTCTTTGGGAAAAGATAAAAATTAGATCCATACCTCCTACTATACACAAGGATAAACTCCAAATGGATCATAGATTAAAATGTAAAAACTGAAACCATGTAACTGTTCTATTGTTAACTTCGTTAAGTTGGAACTACAATTCCTGGAACCCTCTTCTTTGTATGGTTTCAGGTTAGAATATGCCAATAGACGAACTTTTAAGAAACTTGGGAGGTGGAAGTGAAATAGCAGCTACTGCTTTCTAAGAGTCTTCATTGACTAATGTGATGGTGCCTGGTAAGTTCCAGTTTTTCATCTTTCTCCAGGTGACTGCTGATCTTGCTGACCAACAGCAGTCCCAGGTCCATCACCAAATGCCTCGTAATGATTACATGGAAGCAACATCTTCCCCACAGATCCCCTCCACACACCACCTTCACAATCCTAGTTCCGCAGCTAGACATGCTTGGCTTCTCAGGTTTTTCTGCCAGCTCCAGTTTGTCCACTTGCACCAGCTTCAGGAAGAGAGATTGGTGACTTTTGCATTGATCCTCCAACACCCTCTTTTGAACTTTCATTTCTTTAGCTATTCCCACATTTGCATAATGTCCATCCTGTATTAAATTCCTTATCCTGTAACATGTATAGTGAATTTGCTTGCATGACCGATATTATTATTGGTGTTCGGAGTAGAGTTCCAAGGTAAAGAATGAAAAGGATGGGAATCTGGAATTGGTTCTTTGATCTGCCTAGACTTAAGTCTTTAAAGGCATTCATGACCCTATTGATAGTGATAAATAGGACACTGGTAATAGGTGGCATACAGTGACAAACAGATAATACAAGTATTACCTGTAGTCACCTGAAGTCAAGTGCCAATAAACTGCAAAGCTTCGGGTGACCAAGACGCTGATGCCATTGTACAACAGTACATGTTAGTGGAAATAGAGTTTAAGGATATGGGCTTGGTCAACTGCTTCCTAAGCATGCTGGAGAACTTGAGGAAAAGAAAATTATTATCTCAACACTTTAAATTCCAGCGTACGTTCAGAGAAAGGAACCAGAAAGCTTCTCTATGATTGTCCTGAAAGATGTCCTTATCTTCTGAAGCCACAGGTTCAAGATTTCAGAAAACTAATTAAGAAATAGAGGGAATGGAACTCTGAAAAATAGGATAAAGACATACAAGCAAATTCTAATGAAGCTGAGGACCTCAAACCCCTAAAGGTTAATCTTTCCTTGCCTGAGAACCTATAATGGCCTCTCCCAAAGTAATTACCTGATTAAAGTAATGGCTGACTAAAACCTGGAACTCCATTTCTCCTTTGTTCCTTTTTCCCCTCTTTATCCTGCCTTCTTCTGGATCAAGTGAGCATTTTTTAGGATCTAATTTTATCTCCTCTATTGACTTTGTGTTCTTGTTCATGTGCTCTCGCTCGCTGGTGCATTCTCTCTCTCTCTTGCTCTCTCCCCACCCTTTTCTCTCCCTTTTTCTTTCTCAATGGTTGCTCTCCACAGCCCTCTTCAACTGAGATTCTATGATAGAATTAAACAATAATGTCCTAACGTGTCCACTGCATGTTGTGATCTAACCCCTCTCCCACGCATCCTAGAATAGTACTGGTTACATTCCATTCTTAGGAGAATTGAGACAGCAGTTACTCAAATCATTTTCTGTGTTTCATGGTTGAAATAAGGAACTCCAGTTGAGAAAGACTGCTAGGGTTTACAGTACACATCTTTAAATTAGTACAGTCTACCTTTAAATAATATTAACTGCTTTATGTATAATGTAAGAATCTTACAACGGTATGTACTTTCATTTCTCCCTCTTATTCTTTGAGCTATTATTGTAATGTATTGTTTTTAAACATGTTATAAGCCCCACAATATACTGTTATCACTGCTGTGTTACCTAGTCAAACATCTTCTAAATAAAATCTTCAAAATACATGAAAAAATGAGGGATATCACTTATATTTATCTACATATTTAAATTTTGGCCTCCCTTCTTTCCTTTGTATAGAATCAAGTTTCTGGTATCATTTTCCCTCCACCTGAAAAAATTCCTTTAATAGTTCTTTAGTGCAAATCTGCTGGCAGTAATTTTTCTCAGCCTTTGCTGAAAATGTTGACTTCACCTCTATTTTTGAAGCAGATTTTTGCTAGATACTGAATTCTGGGGGGAGAGTTTTTCTTTTAACATTACCAAGATATCATCCCATCGTTCTCTGGCTTGTATTGCTTCTAATGAGAAGTCAGTACTCATTCTTATCTTTGTTCCTCTTTATGTAATGTAGTTTCTCTGGCTGTTCTTCAGATTCTCTCTTTTATCATTTATTTTCAGTAGTTTGATTATGTTGTGCCTAGTTGTGACTTACTTTATGTTTTTACTGCACGAATGGGGTTGACAGCTCTTTGGGTATGTAAATTTCATATTAGGAAATTCCTTCATCATTATTTCTTCAAATATTTGTATGCCCACTTTCTGGGAATTCAATTACATATATTCTAGTCTACCTAATAGTATCCAATGGATCACTGAGGTTTTATTAATTTTCCTTGGTCTTTTTTCCTTTGCTTCAGTTTGGATGTTTTCTACTGATGCATCTTTAGGTTATCTGATCTTTTCTTCAGCTGTATCTAATCTCTTTTTAAGCCCATCCAGTCATTTTTCATTTCTGAAATTGTATTTTTCCAATCCAGAAGTTTCATTTGGTTCTTTCACAGAGCTTCCAGTTCTTTTATATTCTATCAAATGTTCTCTTCTAAATCTTTGAAAATGTTTATAATATCTGTTTTAAAGTACTTGTCTGTTAATTCCATCATCTGTGTCATTTACTTGCAAATCAGCCTATTCTAAGACTTGTTTTTAAGTTTTTTAAGGATGAGTTGAGCATAGCCTTTACCAGGGCTGTTTAGTTCTACTTCTAAGATACAGCCTTTTTAGGGTCTCTATTAAATGTCCTGGGTGTTCAACAAGGTCTTTCCATCTGGCCATGTGGTAGTTCTAGTAGTTGTTCAACTCCCAGGTAGTTGTTCTTTCCCTCAATAATTATTTTTTGCCTGGCTTTGTGGAAACTAACCTCACACAAGTATAGCACAGTATTCACCCAAACAGTGAAGAGGACTCACATATAGATTTCTGGAGGTCTTTCTCTTTGTTGCCCCTTCCTGTCTCTGTTCCACAAATTCCAGATGGTTCAGACTCCCCAAACTAATATGTATTTTTCCTCAACTCAATGAAACCATTGTGCTCTATGAGGTTCCTCTCCTTACGACATGACCTGCAAAGTATTCTAGGTAGAAACAGAGTAACTGTAAGGTTCAATGCTCTATTTCCCTTCTGTCAGGGATCACAGTTCTGCGTGATTTGCTCAGGTCTGAAAACAGTATTTTCATATATACTGACCAATGTTGTAGTTGTTTACAGTGGAAGGACTAGTTATTCCATCATGAACAAAGCAGAATTTTTACTTTTCTTTCCTTTTGCTTCAATTTCCCTTCTAACAGTTCTGTTCAACGGAACTCTGCAATAATGGACATATTCTACAATCTTCTTTGTCCAATATGGTAGCCAATAGCCACATGTGGCTATTGAGAACTTAAAATATGACCAGTGACTTTTTATTTCAGCTTGGAAATATAAAACTGGAAAGAGCACCACTCTACCGTACAAGAAGAAAAAAAGCTGGACAAAGTACAAATCAATGACTTTTCTTAAATCCATCAGAGAAGTGAAGTCACAGGGTAGATAACTAACCTAAAATATATAGAGAAGCAAGCAACTACAGACAGAATGAGCATTTGCTTACCTGAGATAGGTGCTGCTAAATATCATAAAAGCCACTAGGAAGATTAAACAAAACAGTTTTACCAAATGCCAAAGGCTTAACATAGTCTAGCATGAGAGCATGAAGCCTATGGAGAACACAGACACAGAGAGGTTATTGCTCTCATGTAGGTTTTTTGGGTTTTTTTCCCCTAGGAACTCTACCAGGCTCTCACAGGAAACATTGATTAGAAAGGAATGGGGCTTGAAAAAAGGGATGGAGACATATGGGCATATTCTGATGAAGATGAGGACCTTGAGCCCCCAAGGGTTGGTCTCTACTTGCCTAAGAATCTGTAACAGCCTTTCCTGAAGGAACTGCCCTGAAGGAGATCTAATCTTCTTTAGACTTACCTCTCATTCCCTCATCATCTCTCATTGCTTCTAGACCAGGGTTTCTCAACAATGTCACTACTGACATTTGGGAATAAATAATTGTTTGTTGTGGGAGCTGTCCTGTGCATTGTAGGATGCTTAGCAGCATCCCTGACCTCTGTCCACTAGATGACAGAAATGAATGAATCTGACTGTATTTCAAATGAGTAATAGAATCATATTAAAGAATAAGAACTAACCCAAGAAACTTTTCAACCCAGTATTTTGACTATGTGCCCTCAGGCAAAGACAAAAACAATCCTTAGGAAATACTGAATGTGTTAGGGAGTTTGTTTTACAGTGGTATGAATTAGTACTTCTGAAACCATATTCTGTATATTAGAGGACTGAGATAATATACAGAGAATAACAGAAAGTCATGTTCCTCACTGTTGGAGAAGGGAATGACACATACAGAAAGAAGAAGACTAGAAAGAATTCTGCTGTGGTATTAAATTGGAATTGGGGGTATCTATAAGGATTCACAATCTTTAATACTTTTTAAAAATATAATACAGAAATAGCTACAGATATATGTATATAAATGGTGTATACATACATGTATATATAAACATGTATCTATAGGTATACATATGTATATATCTGTATACATCTATATACACACAAATACATGTATACATGTATAAATATGTATTTTTCCCTAGCTTAGTCTCCAGAGAGGACCCCAAAACATTGATACCTCATTAGAAATTAGCACACCTAGCACAGAGATCTTGATTTCTAAACCATTCTCCCTTAAAGGGAACCAGGGCTAACTACAGAAATGGCAGCTTGTGGGACCTGGGCAGGGAAGGCAAACCATAAGGCCGGAACATCTTGCTGCACCAGAAAGTAAATAAATGCTCAAAGAATAATGGAGACAAGTCAAAAGAATGTAGTAATTAGCTTAAAAGGACTCCCAGTCTGGGACAATTTGAGTAGCAAATCAAATTAAATAACAATAGAAATAGTCCTTTAACCCATTTAGCAAAATAAGAAATAAAATAATTCATGAGATCACACTGATACAAATGAATAAATAAATGGTGGAAAAGGGAAAGCTCTTTCTGGTAAAACATCAATATAGAAGGAAGGAACAGAAAATGCACAAAGTCTAGTCTCAAAATACCTCCCCACAAATAACTAATAAATTACAAAAGGAAAAAATAGTAACTTCACGATAGAGAAACCTGGCAGACCCCACCTGAACCACATAATCAAAGTTCATTTCCCCAGGTATGAAGCACCCCAATACCATGCGTCTCTTGATAAGATGTACTGAGAAGAATAAGTATCACTTCTGTAGTATTTTTGCCCCCAAAATGGAAAACGAGGATCTAATCATGAAGAAACTTAGATAATCAAATTAAGGAATATTCTATAAAATAAATGGCCTGTATTCTTAAAAAGTGTCAAGGTCAAGGAACACAAAGAATGGCTGAGGTTCTAAGCAGACATGAAAACTAAATGCAAAATCTAATCCTGGATTGGATCCTGGACAAGGAAAAATAGCAGATCAAACATTACTGGGATAATTTATTTAATATTAATATAAAATTTGAGTATGAGCTATGGATTTGATAACTGGACTATGATTATGTAAGAGAATACCCTTATTCTCAATAAATACAAATTTAAGTATTTCGGGGCAAAAGGCAACTGTATGTAATTTACCCTCAAATGGTTCGAGATTAAAAATATATATAGAGAGAGAAAATATGGTAAAACAAATGGGGAAAATAATTATTGAATCTGGGTAAAGGGTACACAGCAGTTCTTTATACTAATTTTACAACTTTTTTGTAAGTTCGGAATTATATAAAAATAAAAAGTTACAAAAATAGGCTTCTTACTCCCTCATGCTTTAGGTATGGGACTTGAAGTAGTTTGGTTATGACAATGTAACAAAGTGATAATGAAACTAGAGGAAGTATAGAGAAAGGGAAATAAAATAAGGAATTAGGATGTGTTTTGTGGTTATACACTAAAAAATATCAGGCTTTTTTTGTAAATAAAAATGCTAAGTAAGGATATAAATGAAGCATTTCTAATCATAAAGAGATGGCCAAAAAAAGACTCATTCAACAGAATTCTAGGAGTACTACAAGAAGCTTAAAAGTGATACTTTGAAGATAAGAAAAGAAGCATTGGTAAGTAAAATGACATAGCAGAAACTATTTCGGGGGATCTTCATAACAACTCACAGATAGCCTCTGCTTTTTGTTCCCTCAGTGGAATACACTGCCTGGCGCCACAGCACACCAATTACCTGTGACTAGTGTCTACTCTCCAGCATTCCCCGGCCCTTTACTCCTTCTAATGGAGTGGGTGGTACACTTTACCAAGAGTCTGTTATGACCGCTCCCAAATAAGTTTATATCACATTTACTTGTTACAGTAATTATGCCATCTGACAGAAACTGATGAACTACAAGTGTAGGAAAAAAGCTCTTGTTTCTCTAAAAACTACAGTGAATACTTTCAAAAGACAATGAATCTGAGGCAAATTTGATATAGGTAAAATAATTATAAAATATTAGAAAAAGCCATAAAAATCTAGAGAGGTTGTACACTTAGATTTCTTTTTAAGTGATGCACTCAATTTTTACAACTCTTTGAAGAAAATGAAATTGTAAATGGACGTGGTTTATGCAGGAATTATTTTACAGAACTCTAAGCCTTGAATTAAAGAAAAGTCATTTGTTCTATATCTTAAGGTTATTGGGTCAGTGTTTTTTTATGTTTAATTGAAATAATATGTTTGAATATGTATATATCTTTGTTATAATTTCTATTTTAAAAGATTTTTTTCCATTAACCAACTAATTACTGGTGCTGACTGGATTAAATAAGTTTCAATTTTACTTAATGTCTGTGACCAATAATATGAAAGAGGCTGGAAGTAATAATAAGCAGATTCATTTTAGATGACACGTTAAAATTAAATTGACATCAAATTGGGCAGGCATGACCTGATACACTGTCTCTCAAAGTATGTAGAATGGTGCTGATGTGCAAACTATTACTGGTCTGTGACAAGATAGGTACAGAAAATGAGAGTAAATATTTAAAATCCTTTAAAAATCAATCTGACAGAGTCATTTTAATCTATTTAATCTAATAATTAAAAAAAAAAAAAAACTGGGCCAGGCGCAGTGGCTCACACCTCTAATCCCAACACTTTGGGAGGTCAAAGCAAGTGGATTGCTTGAGCCCAAGAGTTTGAGACCAGCCTGGGCAACCTGGCAAAACCCCCTCTCTACAAAAAAAAAAAAAAAAAAAAAAAAAAAAAAAAAAAAAAACTAGCCAGCCACACTGTCACACACCTGTAGTCTCAACTACTTGGGAGGCAGGAGGATCGCTTGAGCCTAGGAGGCAGAGGTTGCAGTGAGCCATGATCATGCCACTGCACTCCAGCTTGGGTGACAGAGGGAGACCCCGTCTCAAAACAAAACAAAACAAAACAAAACAAAAAAACCTGGAGTTTTCATATTTGGCTCTTTTTTTTCCCTTTTTTTTTTTCGTTTTTCTGTGTGTTTTTATTTGTATTTTACAAAAGTGCTAATCTGTGATGGATTAGAAATTTAAGACTGGTATTTAACCACAGGGAGTTTGAAAAGTACTCCCCTTACACTGTGTGAGTTTTGATGCTATCATGAACTACAGACTACAGAGCTAGATAAAGTAAGATCTGGCCCAGCAGCGAAATTCTTAAGAGTTTGAGGCTTGAGTTTTAGAGAACGTGGATTAGATAGCTACTGTAAGCCTCACTGCTTTAGTGGCATGTGGGGTGGGATGGGGTCCAGGCATAATGAGAATGTCCTCTGACACAGAAAAAACAAGCAGGCAAAAGGTAAAAGGAGTGGAAGGTGGGGAGAGGACATAAGGATAGAGAAATAAATGTAGAATAGCTGTCCCCCAACTTCCTTGAACACAGACAGTTCATTTGATTCATTCAACAAATATGTACTGAACACTTACTATGTGGTAAGCACTGTTACAGGCACTAAAGATACAGAACGCACAACATGAAGAGAAATCGTTGTCCTTATGGAGCTTAGATTTTAGAGGTGAGAAAAAGACAGTAAGGAAAATAAATTATACATATTTATTTTGCAGAATCTAAGATGTCACTGATTATTAGATATATCTATTTCAGAAATGCTAAAATGTGAAAAATATATATGCCAAGAGTCAATAAACATGGCAATAAGTTAGACCAGTGGTAGGATCTGAGGGGAAAATAAAGTAGTAAGGAAGGAGGACAGGCAGAGTTGGGCGGGTTTGAGTAAAAGCCTGAGGGGAGTGACAGAATGAATTAAGTAGATCTCTAGGAGAAGAACAGAGGGAAAAGGCAAAGACTAGATGGAGAGCAGCCACTGCTTTAACACACAGAATGCTTTCATAAAGACAACATGGATTCCACTCAGAGAAACCTCCTTCAACCACTACATTTACAGCTACCCTTCGTCTCCTTTCAAATATGAGGAAAATAATTTACTGAGAAATAATGTATCTTGATTTTCTAATCAGAAGGTAGGCCAAGGATGATTCAACTATATAGAAGGAAAAAACTCAAGAAAACACACTGCTATATCTAAATCAGTGAACTGATAGGCAAGTGCTCTTGAATGACTTAACTGACTTCAGAAATTGTTCTCTTGCTATCAGGGTATAAAGAAGGCAAATAAGCTTCAAAAAAGAAACCTAAAGCTCTGTATTTTCTCTTCCTCGAGTACTAAACGGCTGCTCTGAATTCTCAGCACCTCTGCTTCCAGGGGCTTTTGATCCATTATTCAATGTTTTTAATTCATGACAAATTACATCTAAATTTTCTTGCTCATGTTCATTTATGGGACATTTTTATCTTGTCATCTTTTTTCATGTACCGTGCAAGCAAGAAGAAAATATCCAGCACAACATACCCTTCAGAAACAAGCTAATAGCACAATTTGGTGTCAATTTCACAGCTCAGTGAAGTGAAAGTGATCTAGCTGGCCATCCACATACACCTAGAAGGAGGTCTACTGCAAGTGCCCAGCCTTCATGTTGCTTGTGTCATGCCTACAAGCAAGATAAGTTCAAGTAGAAACATTATGTATTCAGAAAGAAAGCAGTTATCATTCAAATGCCCTTAGAGCCAGCTAGAACAGAATGTGGAGAGATAAAGCAGAGCCAGACTTTCATTTTTATATTGTGGAGAGTTGTTTTTCAGAAGTCATGCTTATATTCACAAATGGTAGGGAACAGTAGCTTCCCTTTGGGATTCTGATAATGTTTAGAAGCAGAAATTTTATTTAACGGATGCATGAAAATTGAATAACTATCTTAACAGTTTCTCATGCTTTATAATGGAGGCAAAATCATAGACTTTCAACTAATATAAAACCAAAATGCCGCAGGAAGAGTATGCAGCTCCTATTATTAACAATTACAATAATACCAATACCATTATTTACCAGCACATGGTAATGACTCTATTTCATCCTTAGGCCAATTCTGTAAAGTAAGGAGGTACACACATATTAATGATTTTCCCAGTTTTATAGATGAGGAGGCTGAATCTAAGGTCACACTGTTAATAAATGGTATACTCAGAACTTAAATCCTATTTTTTAGGGTGGACTCCAAAACATCACAAAAGAAATGAACATTTCACTATACTGCAAACTTATGAGCTATAATTACAATGTTCTTAGCCAAAGTACCCTATGCGTTTCACATGATGCACTAAAAAAATGCAATTCACAAATAAATGTTAAACATTGTAGTCTTTCTCATTGGCACTTTTGTCTTTAATGTTGGATCAAGCTAATGAGACTGCTTTCAATGACTCACCACACTACAGACAAATTAACATTTACCACTGCCTCTAGAACAAAGGTCAAGCTCTTCAACCTGGCCAGTAAGACCTTTCACAATCAGGCTCCTTTCCAATCTTAGCCCCCTATACGAACTTTTCACTGCAATCAAAGAGTGACAGTAAATATTCATGAATACGTCTTGAATTTTCCTGTTTCCTGACTTATGCTATTACTTCATCTGAAATGCTTCCTATGTTCTTCTATCAAACTCTTACCCATCCTTCAAAGGGAAGCTTAAGTATACATCTTCCATGAAGCTAAAAGTAAACAGTGAGCTCTGTTCTTATTTACTCTTAGCTTTAATGGTAGAAAAACTTCATCTTTAAGAGCCCAACATCGTCCCTTACACATACTACACATTTATATATTTGTTAAACGAAGGAATACAATGTTTAATAATAGAAAGAACATAGCATTTGTACACAAGAGACCTGGGTTTAAATCCTCCTTTTCCACTTACTGAGTAGATCATTTGGCCTCATCTCTAAAATAGAGAATAGAAATATCTACATCAGTGCTGTTTTGAGGTTTGAATGAGTTATGATATGCCAACACACCACCCCAAGGTCTGGCATAAAACAGGTATTCAAGAAATGTTTGCTGAATCTGTAAAATAAAGAGGCTAGACTAGATGGACTCTAAGGCTTTTTTCTGGTCTATAACACTCTGTGATTCTTTGAGAAGCTAATCTTAATACTTTTCATGTAATATCTTATATTGCTACTTGTTTCATGTGTCAGTATTTTATGCAACTATGCTAGGAATAGACCCTAGCATAGCTGCATGTGGTAATGATCACAGTGACCAAGTATTTGGCACCTTACATATATAAATTACCTCACTGAATCCTCATACCAACCTAATGACAAAGGAACTATCTTCATTTTCAAATGAGAAAATTGAGGATCAACGGGGCTAAGTAACAGACCGAAGACCACAATCTAGTAAGTGGTGTAGTTCAGCTTTCACCCCAGGTCTCTGACTTCAAAGCTCCTATTATTCTTAGTGTGCTATGGGGCCTCTTGAAAAAATGTCAAGAAGAAGGAAGACCCAGCATCATAAATTCGTAAAAATAAGGCAGAATAAGAGATGGGGATGTGCTACACTTCAATGAAAATGGCTTTTTAAAGGAAGATCTATACACCCCAACACCTGGTTAGGAAAAAAAAATGCATTTCTTGAAAGTAAACAGCATGCAAGCACACACTAAAGCAATGGGAAACTTCTACTAGAGCCCTACCTGAGGGCAAGATCTGTCTGACCCTGGGCAGTTACGCCAAATATAAAAGAAAAATGATTAAGATCAAGATACGTGGCATTCTTTCTAAGACACTACTTTTTTCATAAGTATAAGCAATAGATGATGCGGCTGCTGGGTGCCTGCTAGGACTGCCAGGGACAACACTCAATAAAGAGTGTCTCTAGTGACAACATTCAAGAAGGAAAACAGATTGTACAGTTTGTATATCTGGGCTCTTCAATCACAGAAAATTGAGGGAGTCACACTGCCAGCCAGCTCTTCAGCATGAACTTTCTCATGGTGTGGGTGTGTAAGTCACTGGGATAAGGAATATAATGAGAATCATATGCGACTGCCTGAGTGAAGCTGAGAGTTGCTTACAGTTCAACTCAGCTCAAGAATCACTATTGGCTGCCCCTACGCTGCTTGAGGCACTGGGCTGGGCACCCAAGGGTAGGTGAGAAAAGAGATGTAGTCGAGCCTTTAGGCTGCTATACCGTGAGACAGAGATGGAAACAGATTGCTTCACTACAGTGGGATCAGAGCTACCTATAACAGACGACATCTCACCATTCTCTGAGCACACAGAGGATACCAAGCCCAGACTGGGGGAAGAGAAATAGAGAAGCTTTGCTGGGGGAAAGGGAGGTGATGTCTGACCTAACTCTTATAGAATGAGAATACTTTACCTTGACAAAGAAGGCAGAGAAAGGCCTTGTCAACAAAACAAACAGAGGTCAAGAAAAGGCTAAAATGTATATGATATATGTGGAGAACTAAAAGCAGTTAAGCTTTCTAGAGATAACAGAAGGGGATGAGGCTGCAGAGAAGGGAGGATCCCATCTTGAATGGTTTTGACTACCTACCATGAGTCATTGAAGGGTTTAAGTAAGGTAGGCACATGGTCAGATTTGCATTTTTAATACAAAAAAAATCCCTTTTAGAAGCAGCTAGTAAACCCCTTCTTTGCAAATGAATTGTGAATTGTTAACAAACAATATCATAGTGTGATAAACATTCTAAAAGAACTCAGTCACACTGTTTGCTGCTTACTTGCAGCAGGGCCTGAAGCCCAGTCAGTATTAGTAAGTGGCCTATGATAAATGACCCATTCAACTCTGCAGTAAGGCTGGGGACAGAGAGGGGTCTGAAGTGTCCCTAATGGAAACAGCATGTGTTCTTGTATTTGTATTCACTGAACACACCACATGTGGTGCCCACACATGGCTGAAAACTCCAGGAAACCTTAGAGCCCCTATCTATCTCCTTGACAGTTCTCACTGTAGCCAGCCTGGAAACTAGGGGCCAGGCTGGGGGCTGAATTTACCTTATTCTCCACTACTTTCTCAGGCTCTTCTTCATCATGGAAAAATAAGAGTTAATTCCAAAGGTGCTCTTAAATTAAGGAGGATGTTAGAATTTAAAACAGAATACAATTCTTAACACTGACAACTAAAAAAATATTGTGAAGATAACCAATATGCACCCTACATCATACACTACCTAAATAAGTGGCTAATTTTTTTTTCCAGTTCAATAGTTAAGAAAGAGGAGGAAAAACTTGGAATATGATACCACTTTGCTGATTGCAGCTCTGTCCTTCATAATACACACCTACTGAAGCCACAATGGAGTTGCTTACTCAAGCAGATAGAAAATATCCTGCCCAAAATATCTTGTAAAACTATAGGGCTAATCTATGGGGCCAAGAATAAAGGTCTACACTCTTATTTCAAGTCATCGTTTTTTGCAAGTTTGTTTCCTACCTCTTTCCGTGAGGGCTTGGTAATTCACTGGCCTAATTTCTCCCCTTTTCCACATAATAAGAACAAACTAAAACTTAAAGCAGTATTGGGGCATTTAGCAGGGGGGGAAATACAGAACCATACAAACTGCTTCCTTGTATAGCAGCTTTATCATGTGAGTAAATACTTACTGCACATGTTAATTAATAACAGGTAGGACTCAGAGGAATAGCATTAATTCCTTAATCCTCCAAATCCCTCGATTTGTACTGTATTATATAATTCTTTATATACCCTAATAATAATGTATCCCCTGAAGAGAACCACAATAAGAAGACAAAGCGAGTACCATAACTGGGGGAGACAGAATAACCCAGAGGTCGAGAGCACAGCTTTTAGAGGAAGACAAGCCAGTGTTTCAAATCCCCACTCTGTCACTTGGGAGTTGTGACCTTGAGTCTTCTTATTTGTAAAATGAGGACAAGAACAGTATCTGCCCCACTGGGTAGCTCTGAGGATTAAATAAGTGAATGCACAGAAAGTCTTTATTTCAGTATCTGGCACGCAGGAAAAAAAATGCTCAATATATGTAAGCTCTAATTATCATCACTTCTCATAGGATAGCAAGGCAACTCACTATCCCTACAGATCTTAGGAATAGGTAGAACAAAATCTCCCACAGGTGATTTAAAATCTTTAAAATTAATTTTTAATTATACTAGTAGTACATGAGGACATTCTCCTTTGCCAGAGATAATTTAAGTGAATTCCTACTTGGAGTCAGAGGGCTGAATGAGATAATGTCTTGCAATCTCTAGTAGCTCTAGGAACTGATGAATTTCCCAAGGACAAGGGCAAAAGGTCAGCACCTCCACCAGGACCTGTAATGCAACTGGGATTCAGGCAAGCTTCACTTCCCCCTGAGGCAGGGTTGCATGCCCTCCACGTTGCCTTGAGCTCTCCCTGAGACGGGCAGGCCCTTAATGGCAAACATATTGTCCAGCAAAATGAGAGGATGGATGTGTTTCCAGCTCAGGAAACTTAATAAAAATTCTTTATCTATTTTATTGAAAACTCAGTTCTGAGACATTACCTCAGAGGTCGGGCCTGAAGACCAGCCATTCACTGTTTCATGTTGAGACCAATCCACTGTTCCTCAGAGCAGCTTCTTTGAGGATTTCACTCCTCTTATTGTGATTAAAATGAGGACTCTCAGCTACTTACATATAAAATTTCAATTAACACCCAACTAAGAAATTAATTCTACACATTAGAGAGGTGTCTAATGTAAGCAATTGGCAAATCTCAGTCCCAGGACAGTCATGGAGATACATAAACCATTTTCAATATTTCAAAAGGAAATATAGTTTCTCTAGGAAAAACTATGCAGTCTAACAAAAAGTCACATTTCTTTGCTGTTCCCAGAATTCTATCAGCACAGTACAGCCATTCTGATTACTCACGCTGACCACTTCAGTGTGAGGTTTTTCTTTTTAATGTCCTGGATGACATAAATTGAAAAGACTATTTAGGCATTCTTTTGTTTATTTATCCATTTGTTATATTTCAAAATTTAAAACTCTACATCTCTCATAAGATTTTTAGCCTTACTATTCTTAAAAGAGGGATTATTATAATTTAAATACTTTAATCTACATTCACAAATGTAATATAGTCCAGTCAGTCATCCTTTGGTATCCGTAAGAGGTATCTGTGGTATCTGTGGGAGGTTGTTTCCAGGACTTACCAGCAGATACCAAATTCCAGGATGCTCAAGACCCTTGTATAAAATGGCACAGTATTTCCATATAAGCTATGTATATCCTCCCTCCCTTCTAAGTCATCTCTAGATTACTTAAAATACCTAATTTAATGTAAACTCCATATAAATAGTTTTATGCTGTATTGTCTAGAGAATATTAGCAAAGGAAAAAAGTCTGTACATATTTAGTATAGACACAACCATTTATTTTTCCCTCAAATATCTGCAAACAGCAGTTGGTTGAATCCACAGATGCAGAACCCATGGATATAGTGGGCCAACTATATTCTAGTTATCTGACTGACAAACAAACCCTTAAGTGACTGGAAACAGTGGCTGAGATGCAAGCCTAGAGATGCAGACATCAGAGAATTCATCTCACAACCTGATGGCAAGGAAGGCCCCTTTCTGTGGTTGGCACTACAGAAGCTAAAGAAAGAAGTGGTAAAGTAGCCGAGAGTTATATAATTTTCAAGTCATCAGCTAGGTGGCTATGCCCTTAATAAGAAATTGAACTCTGGGTATCACAAAGCTACTTCTGACTCAATGATCACAGCTTTTAAGAAAGATGGCTATGACTGGTTTTGGTTATCATTTATTTATGCCTCTAATTAATTAAACATGGGAGTATGCACTCATTATCATTCAATATTGAGTTTGTTTCAAAGTCCAACTTTCAAAACATGGGAGACTGAAAGGAGACACAGATGGGAACGATAAAAGGCCTTTTGTAAGGAGCAGTTTGGAAGTTAGTGGTTTAGAGCAGGAGTCAGCCAAATCATACTCACCCCTATTTTTGTAAATAAAGTTTTATTAGAACACAGCTGTAGCTATTTATTTATTATCTATGGCTGTTTTCATACTACAATGGCAAAGTTGGTTAGTTGTGTCCACTGGGCCTGAAAAACCTAAAGTATTTATCATCTGGCCCTTTACAGAAGAAGTTTGCCAACACCAGGTTCAGAAGTACAGCTACAAAACTGGAAATGTGAGAACTGGAGTCTATACCTGGCTCTATCACTGTTAGGAGAAACAAAAATAGGATATGTATGAATTACTAACTGAAGTGTAAAGTGATTCACAAATATAGGGTGGCATATGATTAGTAATTAATCTGTGACCTTAAGCGATTTATTTAACCTTTTTGAGCCACGTACCACAATCTAATGTGTGGAATGTTAATATTTATCCTAAGCAATCATATGAAAACATGAGAAAATGTATGTTTTGAAACATTAAAAGGGCTATGAGATAGGGAAGTTTCATTTCACTCTCCATTAAAAAGGATCCTGAATCAGAAATTCTCTCTCTCTCTCAGTATTCCATATTCCATGTGATTAAAAACAAAATATACAGGACTACAAACATTTATCCTAGATCCCTTAATCAACTGATTATTAGCCATGTCAACTAGCTACAAGACATTCTCCATTCAGCTAATAATTTTTTTAGAAGAGGAAATTAAGTTGTATTATATATAGCGGGGACATTACTCAGGAATAGCCACAAAATTATTTGGTATCATAACTTGCGCATAGGAGATGGCTACATGGTAACATGCTATAACTGCCTTTCCAGAACAGCCCTGGGCCAATATGGAATAATTTCTATCTTATGCTCCAACTCATTTGATAGGGCAATTCCAACAGATTTTCAACAGCTCCTTTCCTATTATCCAGGAGTAGCCATAGCCAGTGGGAAATATCAGCTATAACTCCCTAACAAAAACAGAGCTTTAACATTTCACTGTGAGAAAAAATGAAGTCTCTCTAATCATCATTTTAACCTGACACACCTGTTATTCTCTATTCCAACTACTGAAATGTGCTCAGCAGAGAATGGCTGCAAGATCAAGAAAGGAGGGGAAGAGGTAGATGATGGTATATATTTCTACAAAACTGAAGCCAGATAGTTAAGCTGTAACTACCATGATTAAATTCATAAATGCAAATGGTGTTGTCTCATCTTCCAAGAAGCATTTATCTAAATGAAACAACTGAAACCAGAGAGAAGCCATTTACTTGCAATAAGTTAGACGCTAGGATCCTTTTTTCTTCTCATTTCAGACTGCCAAGTTCATCTCCATTAGTACTACCAGAGTCTTTTAAAGATGTGGATATTATGGGAAAGACTCGGGTTTGTGTTCAAAGGCCACAAAAGACCTGGCACCATCTTCTGGCAGAACTTGACTATGGGGACAGGTGTGATGGTAGTTAGCTCACCCAGCAAGCCCAGATCAATGTTCTGCCACTCCCCCAGTGAGAGTTATTAATTACATGGTTCAGCTGCTGGTTTTAGAAACATGTTGACTGATTCATTACCAAATGTAGCAGGCCCAAAAGAACAGCATAAAATGGGTAAAAAAACACCCAAATATACATCCTTCCTGTCAAATACTGAGATGGGATTTAAGTACTCCAGTATTCACTCAACTCAGTAGCTATAGTTTGTTTTTTTCCTGAAACACTCAAATCATTTTAAAGATACCTATAGAAAGGTTACACAGATATTTCAGAGAATGGACTGAAAACAAAATATTATATGAAAAGAAAATTATAAATACTCTTGAGGGGGAGTATATATTGACTACATATTTCCACTTCTGGGACATTTTCTAAATATAGCTTAAATAAAAAGCAATCATATAAAACAATATATGCAATCAAATTCTTTAAGGAATATATTTCAACAATGTAATGAAAACAATTGTTCAGACTTCCAAATCAATTGAAGTAAATTTATTTTTTGCACATATAAAACTCAGATAAATAGTTATAGTTCTGGTATTTAACTTTAATTATAGATGGAATCTTCAAGAGAGATTTTATTCACATTCCAATAAACAAAGACTGCAAATTGCCTAAATCACCACTAGGTGACAATGAAATGTTACTGCAATGCACTAGCTTATTTTCTAACATCATATTATACATTACACATTTATTTGTTTGCTCTCTCCTACATGCAGATTAAAGCTCCATGGGGTCAGGAACTTTGCTGTCTTAGTCACAACTGTAACCTCAGCACCAACCACACAGTACCTGGCACATAGTATCCAATATATACTTGTTAAATGAAAAATGATGACTTAACTGTGTATTGTGGTAGGAACAGGTAGAAGATTACTCCACATAGGGAGGAGCTAGGTGTGATATTTAAAATATTAAGGAGGTAACACCAAGTCCTAGTATCTGAGTAGAAGAGGGACTGCAGAAGAGGAGTCCAGGATCAAAGGGCAGGTTTCCTATCTGAGTGACCAGGTAAATGATGGTATCATTAAGCAATATAAAGAATTTATGGGGCCGGGCACAGTGGCTCACGCCTGTAATCCCAGCACTTTGGGAGGCCAAGGTGGGTGGATCACTTGAGATCAGGAGTTCGAGAGCAGCCTGGCCAACATGGTGAAACTTTGTCTCTACTAAAAATACAAAAATTAGCCAGGCATGGTGGTGCATGCTTGTAATCCCGCTACCTGGGAAGCTGAGACAGGAGGATTGCTTGAACCCAGGAGGCGGAGGTTGCAGTGAGCCGAGATAACACCACTGCACTCCAGCCTGAGTGACACAGTGAGACTCCATCTCAAAAAAAAAAAAAAGGAAAAAAAAGAATCTGAGTTTTGAAAGGAAAGTAATGAGTCCACAATTAGATAATCTTAGTTTGGGGTACCTAAATGCATGTGTCCAGCAGGCCACTGAATATATGAGGAAAGGAAAGGTTGAGGCTGGAAACATACTTTTGGTAATAATTATAATCATGAAAATATATGGGATCATACAAAGAGAGAATGTAGAGAAAACCACAATGGAAAAGAACATAAACTTGAAGAACATCAACATTCAGTGAGTGGATATATTTGGGAAAGCCCCAGGAATTAAAGTGAAGAAGCAATTACAAGGTAATAAAGAATCAGAAAAGTCAAGGAAGAAGAGCACTTCAAAAGAAGTGTTTATTCAGGAATACTTAATGGTGCAAAAAAAAAAAAGTCTGGTTAGATAAGAGGCTGAAAAGAATTCCTGGGATTTGATAAAATGAAAGTCAATTAGAAGCCATTGAAAAAAAAATGCTTCACTATGGTAGGGGAAGAAATGATTCAACAGTGACTAAAGCTTAGATGTGGACTCCCTCCCACTAAAACACATATTAATGTCAGATATAACAGCATGTTAAAATCCCTAGGTGCTAGAAACAAAGAGGGAACTCAATACCAAAGCGTCAAGTATGAGACCCAAAAGAGTAGTGGCTGAGGAACCACACATGAATGGGGAGGAAGAAACCTGGTTCACAGAAGGCAAAGAATCAGAACTGATATTCCCATATAAAGCAAGGACCCTGGAAAGGCCTGCCTCCTCCATGAAACCAGGACCAGGAAAACTATCCCTGGAAAACACAAGAAACCTTGTCATCTGCCTTCTGTATAGGAACACTGTATCCAGTGATAAATTAAAACCCCAGACCTATGTGATGCATAGATATGGAGTCTGAATTTATATACCACAAATTATACAGGATCTCAAACCACAAAATAAACATTAAGAACAAGTCCTCAACTGGTGAAACCCCTGAGTTTCTTCACCAGAAGCAAATGCAGAGCCATTTTGTAGGAACTCTTCCACAATCATGCCCAGTAAAAATGATCTTGCAATTTTTTTAAAAAAAGCAAAAGACCACACGAGAGAGCCATTCACCAAGAGGGAGTAGACACAATAAATTGAGAATTAGCACCCTGAAAGGGTGACATAATATAACTGTGGGTATCATTAGTGCAAACACTATTTTCAGCCCTTTGCCTTCTGGGCACCTAAGATTACACCTCTTGGCCCACTTGAGGGAGGAGCTAAATGAACAACATGTGTATGACTTGTATTAAAAAGACAGGCAGCCCGGGCGCAGTGGCTCACACCTGTAATCCCAGCACTTCGGGAGGCGAGGTGGGTGGATCACCTGAGGTCAGGAGTTCAAGACCAGCCTGACCAACGTGGTAAAACCCTGTCTCTGCTAAAAACACAAAATTAGCCAGGCGAGGTGGCACGTGCCTGTAATCCCAGCTACTCAGGAGGCTGAGGCAGGAGAATCACTTGAACCCGGGAGGCAGAGATTGCGGTGAGCTGAGATCGTGCCATTACATTCCAGCCTGGGCAATAAGAGCAAAACTCCGTCTCAAAAAAAAAAAAAAAGGTTCTAGTATGAGATGCTCTTTTCCTCTAGTATGGCAACTGGTGATGCTTAAGATGGTGGCTGACTTCCCAGTCTGGGTCCCTGAGTGACTATAGTGAGCAGAGGCTTTGATGACCTGCAAAAAAAACATATATTAATAGCATACATAAATATGCACCTTTGCTCTTCTAAATGACTATTTTTGGATTGTTTGTTATAGTAGGATAAGCTAGCCTGTCCTTTCTGATATTAGAATAATTTAAGATCACTTATAAAATGTTATATATGTTTAATATGACTACATATATTTTTTAAAAAAGGAAGAGTGACTAGTCAGGAAATGTCAGTCATAAGTGTAGGTTATGTTTTCAAAAACTGTGGCTCACATTAGTAGCAAAGAAATAGTACAGTGGCTAAAAGGGGACACAAGGTTGAGGCCTTTTAAAAAAAAAAAAATAGTAGAGGATGGGTGTGGCGGCTCATGCCTGTAATCCCAGCACTTTGGGAGGCTGAGGCAGGCAGATCACCTGAGGTCAGGAGTTCGAGACCAGCCTGGACAACAAAGCGAAACCCCGTCTCTACTAAAGATACAAAAATTAGCTGGGTGTGGTGGCAGGTACCTGTATCCCAGATACTCAGGAGGCTGAGACAGGAGAATTGCTTGAACCCAGGAGGCAGAGGTTGCAGTGAGCCAAGATCATGCCATTGCACTCCAGCCTGGGCAACAAGAACAAAACTCCGTCTCAAAAAAAAAAAAAAAAAATACGAGAGACTTGAACATATGTACAGGCTGATGGTAAAGAGAAAGAGATTAATGTAAGAGTTAAAGAAAGTAAAGATTCAATGCGTCTCTATCAAAATGTCAATGACATTATTCACAGAAATAGAAAAAAAACTCCTAAAATTTAGATGGAACCAGAAAAGAACCTGAATAGCCAAAGCAATTCAGGGTAAAAAGAACAAGGCTGGAGATATCACATTACCTGACTTCAAAATTTAGTATAAAGCTATAGTAATCAAAACAGCATGGTACTGGTAAAAAACAATGACAACAACAAAAAGCAAAAAAACAGACACATAAGACTGGGCATAATGGCCCATGCCGTAATCTCAGCATTTTGGGAAGCTGAAGTGGGAGCATTGCTTGAGGCCAGAAGTTCAAGACCAGGCTGGGCAACAGAGCAAGATGCCATCTCTACCAAAAATCAAAAAAATTAGCCATGCATAGTGGCACATGCCTACAGTCTCAGCTACTCAGGAGGCTGAGGTGGGAGAACTGTCTGAGCTCAGGAGTTTGAGGTTACAGTGAGCTATGATCACACC
Organism: Homo sapiens; assembly: GCF_000001405.40. NCBI lineage: Eukaryota > Metazoa > Chordata > Mammalia > Primates > Hominidae > Homo > Homo sapiens. Next base: position 28,257,000 of record NC_000022.11, read on the forward strand.
ACTATACTCTAGCCTGGGTGATGGAGTGAGACCCTGTCTCTAAAAATAATATAAGAAATAAAATACAAGAAAATGACTTGTATTAAAAAGACAGGCAATAACGGATGCTGGTGAGGATGTAGAGAATGAGGAACCTTTGTACACTGTTGGTGGGAATGTAAGTAAGTACAGCTACTTTGGGGCAGAGTATGGAAATTCCTCAAAAAACCAAAAATAGAAATACCATATGATCCAGTAATCCCACTATTGGGTATATATCCAAAAGAAAGGAAATCGACATATCAAAGAGATACCTGTACTCCCATGTTTACTGCAGCACTATTCACAGTAGCCAAAATATGGAATCAGCCTAAGCATCCATCAATGGATAATGAATGAGTAAAGAAAACATGGCATATATACACAATGGAATATTATTCAGCCATAAAAAGAAGGGAATTCTGTAATTTGCAGCAACATGGATACAACTAGAAGACATTAAGTGAAATTAGCCAAGCACAGAGAGCTAGATATTGCATGTTCTCATTCATATGTGGGAGCTATTAATAAAAAAGCAAATCCCATGAAAATAGAGAGTAGGTTGGTGGTTATCTGATGCTGGGAAGGGGAGAGCGAAAAGGAGAAAAGGAGGATGAATGGGGGAAAAAAGAATATAAATATATTTATTACCACTGAACTAACTGTATACTTAAAAATGGTAAAGATGGTAAATTTTTACCATCTTTAGATGGTAATAGAACATATATATATATATATATATATATATATATATATATATATATCTTCTACTTCAATAAAAAATAAAAAAAGAAAAAACAGCTTTGTCACATAAAAAAGACAGAAAAGAAAGACTACATATAGTTTATTAACCTTACCTAAGCCCTTCAAGCAAATCTTACAAAAACCATCAGTTGATTTTTATCACCACTGTCCTCAGAAATCTTACTCCCTTTCTTTATACTAATGAAAAAACTATGGAGTAAAAGGCCCTCAAAATTTCCCCTAAAGAATAAAATATTTGCCCTCTGAACTTTGTCAGTCCTCCTGTCTTCTATCTTCATAGCAGAAACCAACTATAATTTTATAAACATACTATAGTTGGGATACTGAAGTGGTGAACATTACTTAGCAATGTCTGTGTATTGGTCCTTCAAAGAGCTGTGCCTGACTTTTGATGCGTAATTTGTTCTTCAAAATGTGAACAGGTTGAACGTGCACAGGTCACACAATGGAATTTCATGTTATATAAGGAATCCTGTTAGGATCTTCACAGATACATTTTCAGGATTTACATGTTCTTCAGTCTTGTTATTTTCCTTCACTTATCAGCAGAAGTCAAAGAAATATTAAAACTGACAGTAAAGATGTACTATTTTGGGCACACCAATAATTTTCTATCTTTATCTCAACTGTATTAGATTATTAGACCTACATATATTTTGGTTACTATTAGTACCTTTATATTTAAATTTCCCAATTATTTTTATAAATAAGGGGAAAAATGCAATAAAATATACATATAGCTGCACAAACTCACAACAAAGATGGAAATAAGAAAGACATATGAATGTCTAAAACCGGCAAGTTATCTGAACCCCAGAGCATATCAGAAATGCCTGCAAATAAACGGGACAGCAACCCCAATAAAAAATGAGTAACACTTTACAGAAGAGGGAATTCAAAGGCTAAGAAGCATATGAATAGATGTTCAAATTCATTAGTAATGAAATAAATGCAATTTAGAACAACAGTGAGGAAGTATATTATACTTTTTAGACCAACAAAAATTAGAATGCTGAAGAATGTCAAGAGCTGATGAAGAAGAGGGACATAGAAAACACATTTGTTGAGGTGTAGACTGATATATCCACTCTAAAGGAATCTGGCAGTGTTTGGTTAAAGAGTGTGTGTGTGTGTGTGTGTGTGTGTGTGTCCTACAACCTCACACTTTCAACCCTGAGTATATATTCCAAAGAAATTCTCACATAGGTATTTCAGGGAAAAAATACAAAGGTGACCTCTGAAGTACTGCTGTGGTAGTGGGAAGCTAGAGAAATCTGGTTGTCTATCAGTGGGGAAGTCATTGGCAAAACATGGTGGATGAGCATATATGATGAATATGCATGCAACAGTTCTTTTGAAGCAATTTGTTATTGCTGTAATTGTAATTTCTCCATTCGCTCATCCACCTTTTTCTCTGGACTATGAGCTCTTCAAGGGCAGAGATTGAACCTTGTTGATCTTTGTTTCCAAGTCATCATAGACTGTTCCTAGCCATAGTAGGTATTTATTAAATAATAAATGAATAAAAATGGATTTAATAAAGCTTTTAAGATGAAAAACCAAATAGTGTATACACAATATTAGAACACAATTTTCACTTCTAAGTAAAACAACAATTTGACAGTAATTGCAATAATGGTGGCAGTTTAACATTTTTCTTCAGTTTGGACTTATAGAGTACTAGAGATAACAGAGTAACTGATGTTAGCCCAGAAATGCTCGGGTATGTTACAAAACTATGAGAAATGGCTTTATTTCTAAAATATAAATGCTAGAAAAATCTAGTATGGACTATTGTAGATAACCTCAGATCAATGTATGTTTCTATGAAAAAATGTGTTGCATGTTCAATGGATGAAGCATTAAATATGAAAAGACAGCTCAATGGTTTGTATTTTTTTTAAAAAGAATTGGCTAGCCACATTTATGTATGATGTTTAGAATCCACTAAGAACAGCTATAATGGAAATGTCAGTTGAAACTACTTCACTATTTGCCTTTAAAAGTGTTGTGCTGCATTTTAAAGACACTTAGATATTTGGCATTAAAAACTATGGTGACATGGTCACATGATTTCTCTCAGAGGAAATTGCAAGGAGAGGAGGAAAAGGACAAAAGGAGACACTGGCAGTAGAGGCAGAAAGTCAGTTTTCAGCTCCAACCCTCTGCTCCTGCGATATTCCTCTAATCACAACAAGTCAACTGTCTATGCATTTATCAGGAAAATGTCTTCCCACAATTCTTATATTTTCAGTTGATGCTGTGCTCTCTTGGATGAACACTTCAGAGAAAAGACGGGAACAGATGTGAAAGATGTAATAATTTATTAGGAACTAGTGGAGCTTGTGCTTTGTTCAGGGCAATCACATGTCCTAAAGCATAATATCACAGGACATAAACATGCCTCTAAACAATTCACTTTTTATGAAGCAGAAGTGGAAGAAGTAGAAAACCAGTAGCAGTTGTAATTTTGTACTATAACATTTTGCATTAAAGGGGACACATTTTGAACTAACTCCAAGATACTACTATATCCATTCTATTTAGCTAATGGAATAGGAGTCTATTTTAACCATCTAGAAAAGAATGGGATTAAAAGTCTTTCTATTACATATGTTTATAAATGCATGATACTAGAGAGGAACCTTAACAGGCCAGACATCTGGGGAAAAAAACAATTCCATATTTTTGTGACAAGAACTACAGTTATTATTATAGTACTAAGTCTTCAACCTAGCCTTCTATTGTTCTTTTGAAAGACAAAAAATAGAACTCATTTTTAACATGATAGATTCAGAAAATAAAAGGTGAAATGATCAAAACCCCTAGCCAAATGCGCAAACTTTGCAAAACAAAACAAACAACAGCAATAAAACCTTTCGCTAGAAAAACAGCATCACCAAAATTAATCTGCTCCTTGTGTAACTTGTTTGGCATGATTTGGCACCCAGTAAATCTGTACCTAAAGAATGATAGGCCAGTGATTCCTGGACTCAGTACCAATTCAGCTCTAGACTAATGGGTCACTGTCAGGCCAAGCCAGAGGGCTGCCCTTGTCCTTTCATGTAACACTGGTTGTAATTCCAGAATAAAATAGCACAGTAAGATATGCACCATCACCTACTCCTACTTTCTCTTCTCACCCTCAGTCCTTAAAAGGAGACTGTCACCACATTTATTGTACAAGATCATAATAAGACTCCAATTTTCTCATACTTCCTCTAGGAAATCCTCCTACTCTGTTTGTGCCTCTGTCCCACTGCCTGGCCCACTCAGGATGAAGGAGGTAAAAACCTGTAACTTTCTTCCTAGCCTTAGGTGTATCACCCTAATTTAGGCTCTCTTGATTCCTCCCAAGGGCAATTCAGCTCATTCAACAAAGTTATAGAGCGCCTACTATGTACAAAACAGTATTCTAGGTTCTGGGTATATAACATAGAACTAAATACATAAAAAAGTCTGTCATCATAGAACATTCTAGTAGGAGAAAACAGACAATGAAAAAATTAAGTAAAGTAATGATATAGTTAGTACAGTAGAAGGCTGAAACCTGTGCAGGAATCGGGAAAATATCAGCAACAGGGTGATCCCTGGAGGCCTCAATGAGAAAGCCCAAGCATGGTGGAAGTCGCAGGAGAGGAGGTTAGAAAGAGAAAAGGAGCTCAAGCTCCGAAAGGTCTTGTAAGGCCACTCAAAGGATCTTGGCTTTTATTCTATGTGAGATGAGAAGCTACTCTGATAGTTTTGAGCAGCAAAGAGGCGTACTCTGTCTGACTTACTATTTTAACTGATCCTTCTGATAGATGTTAATAGGTGTTCCACATAAAAAGAATTCAAATAAATTTGAATAACCCTCTCTACCGAATGCCTCCCTTTATGATTAACAAAATGCCTTAGCACATTTGAAGCTCTCAGAGGTCCTGCAGAAAGAAGTCAATGCTTATTTATTTATTTTTGTGACTGGGTCTCGCTATATTGCTGAGGTTGGTCTTGAACTCCTGTGCTCAAGCAATCTTCCCACTTCAGCCTCTCAAGTAGCTAGGATATCATACATCTAGTCCCATAGAATCATCTCACTATTGGAACACCTTTTAACATCTCACAGAACATAGTTCAGATCTAAGGCCAGGAAACACTGGCCTAGATGACTTGAGATCTAATATTCTAAGACTCTGTATCAGAAACATTTAATAGAAGACTCCTAACTAAACTGACATTATACAGGGCCAACAAAGTTTGTTATGAAAAATAGATAACTTCAGGCTTTAAATGTCTATCCTTTCTCTTTCTCTCTCTCACTCTCCCTCTCTCTGTCTCTCCAGTGACATAATAACAAAGAGAAGGAGAAGGGAATCAGGAATACCTGGAAGCAAAGTTGGGCTAAAATTCCCTCAACAGACAGTGATACTAGGCAAAATAAAAGTTAAGGTCATCAGTTCAAGCAGAGACACCTTGGTGTCTCATTTGTCACATAAGAGTAGTTCAACAGCTTTAACTGTTACAACTAACACAACCCTACAGCCATTTATAACCGACACAATGTTTATTCATCTCAGCTACTGACTTTATAAATTAGGCTTTATGCAAGCAATAGTTCGGAGTTGCTAATCTAGAAAAATAGTTTTCCATATGGCGGTATGGCTTCATTAAAGTTACATCTTTTAAAGCAATATATTCATCATCCAATTTGTTTCTTTGATCTTCTCTTATTTACATCAAAGTATCTCAAGTAAGTTTCCTATGTCCATAATATTTCTTAGTCACTGAAGCTTAATATAAACTAACAGCCGATTTCTATAGCTTCCCCTGTGATACAATCAACTATGAGATTTCTGTCTTAAAATGAAAAAATATGAATAAAATAAAATCAGTGCTAATGAAGAGACTAAACTGACAGATCTAGGAGTAGGATTGCTATTTGTTGAGTTCCCCAAGGAGCTGTGACTGACTCTCTCATTTATTACATACATAAAGAGGGCAAATGTGTCATCCCACAAGGCCCAAGTAGAAATGGAGAACTAGGGCTTTCCTTATGGGGAGAGGATGGTTCCTACGATGAGAATGACTACCAGAAGCCAGACCTTTATGAGACTACCAGAGGTCCAATGTGGTTGACAGAGAAGCACACCAAGAACAGAGTGGAAGCGAAGCTACAGAGCCCAACAAACGGGTGAGAGGCATGGGTGGGTCATGAATTAAAACTAGCAAAGACCAACAAGAGGAGACCAAGCAAGCCAAGAAGGCAGTCTGGAAGAATTCTAGAATCAGACTTGAAAAGTCCAAAGTGGTTTTTAAGAAAGCCCTAAAATTGGCTTTCATGGTGAAGCTTTATGTGAGGTGTTGATTGAGATGAATAAGAGACAAATGACAGTTTTTGCCATCAAAAGATCAATAATAATAATGACTAGCATCTATTACATCTTTACTATATACTATACATGATGTAAATGTGTTACATTCATTTAATCTCTTTAACAGGCCTCTGAAATATGTTTTAATCCTCACTTTACAGAGGAGTAAACAAAGGTTTAGAGAGATTGAGCAACTCAACTTTTTAAAAACAGTAAAACTCTATTGCATTTCTGATTCACATATTATAATACATTACATACAACAGCCCAAAATAAACATCTCATGCCAGTGACACAAAAAGGAATAGCAGGCAAAAAAAATTCAGCAATAAGTACATTATTGCTTTCTTTAATTATAAACATTCAATCCTGAATGAAGACAATTTACTACATACTGATGCAGTTTTCTTTTCATTTCATATAATCATCCTACTCTCCTATACCTACACTATTCAGTACATTCCTGAGTTAATTCTTACATATGTGTGGAGCAAAATGATAATAATAGTATAGTATTGTGCATTTTTAATGGGGTGATATTGATAGATCAGTCCTTAGAGTCTGTATGGCAAGGGATCACATTGATGAAGCATTTAGGGAAGGCTGACCAGAGAGGATAAGCTTGATCTAAGTTTTGATCTCAGAACAAAAGGAGTAGGGGGTTAGTCAGGATAGAGGATAGGATCCACAAACAGAGTAGTAGTAAATGATAGTGGAAAGGCAATTAGGAGCTGGATCACAGAGGGCCATGGCTAAAAAGTTTAGACTGATTCGTGGGTTATGGTGACTTGTTGGTAGATTTGATACAGGAGGATGCTGTGTTTAGATCTGCACTTTGAAATTCTACTCTAAGATCTTAGGGAGAATGGGTGAAAAACGGGGAGTGGGGAGGCAGAAAGACCAATTCAGAGGTTATTGCTTTGGCCATGTGATATGGTTTGGCTGTGTCGCCAGCCAAATCTCATCTTGAATTATAGCTCCCATAATCCCCATATGTCATGGGAGAAAGCTGGTGAGAGGTAACTGAATCATGAGGGCAGATTTTTCCCATGCTGCTGTCATGAGAGTGAATACATCTCACAAGATCTGATGGTTTTATAAAGGGGAGTTCCCCTGCACATACTCTCTTGCCTGCTGCCATGTAAGACATGCCCTTGCTCCTCCTTCACCTTCCACTATGAGTGAGAGGCCTCCCCAGCCATGTGGAACTGTGAGTCCATTAAACCTCCTTTTCTTTATAAATTACCCATTCTCGAGTATTTCTTCATAGCAGTATGAAAATGGACTAATACACCATGCCTCTTCCATCATGTGGGAAGCAACACAGAACATAAATTAAAATGTTTAAATGTGTTCAGGAGAAGATGATGAGGGTGTCCATTACAGGCTCTGGGAAGGAGAAGAAAGGATATTTGGAAGAGAGAGATACATAGATATTTCATACATATGATATATAGATATAAATATATGCACATGTATGTGTGTGTACACGCACACACGCATGCACGTGTGGGCGCGTGTGCTTAAATGAGGTCTGAAGACTGCCTTGGTTGTGGAGAATGTTAAAAACTGCCAGGTTTCTGCATGGAGCATCAAGGGAGTCAGAATGACCACATGGGAGGGAAAAGAGATGAAGAACACGGGTTTAGACCTGCTGAATTGAAAGTACCTGTGATATACACTGAAGACTGCGATATGAGTGTAAAGTTTAAAAGCAAGATCCAGGTTGAAGATATATCCCTAGAGACTTCCGAATGATTCCTTATTTTCCCCCAGAGACAATAGTATCGAATATTAGGCTGAACTATATGAAACTACCAATATTCTATGTTTTCAACCTCTAAAAATGACAATTTCAATATGAGAATCTACTTTATACAAGAATTCCTTGAAAATAAGGCAATATGTAAATATATAAGTATTTCTAAAACAGAATCCACAACAGATACTTCACAAATATCCTGGAAGAATAAAGAATAAATGACATACATTTATGAATCCTGTGCTCATTGTTTTTATGTGTTTTGTAAAATTATTACAAAAATTTGCATATTTTACACAATTAATAGAACTATAAGACTGATGTACTGCTCGATTGTAATTTCAAGCAATTGTCTTTTGTGGGGTCACGCACACCATGTATCCATCCCACGATTTTCTGCCTATGTGAGGAACTAGTAATTACAGTTTTTCAAATGGTTTATCAGTGCTCATTAGTTCACTTACTCCCAACCAGTCTTTGTAGAGGGAGAAATGAGAAGAGGTAGGTACCAGACCACCAACGGAAATGTTTTCTCTAAGAAGGCACCTCAGTTTCCACATCTGCAAAGTAGAGGCAATATCACTTGTATCTGCGGCTGACTATAAGGATTAGAGGAGATATTGCACGTACCGCATGGGACACAAGAGAAGCTTAGTAAATGGGTGCTTTTGTTACTATGTCAGTGTTGCCAAATGACCAGCAGCAACTATTCAAAAATCATCTCCTATGTCAGGTTGCTGATGATTGACTATACAAGCTTGTTTATACGCTTAAAATTCTTGGGACAAGAATTCAGTGAAAGCAATGTTGACACAAAGGCCAGCCATAGTAAATAAGACATATATTCAGAAAAACTATGTAGTAACCATTGAATCATAAAGATCTTAGAACAGAAAATGGCCTTTAGAAGTTATCTCATCATTATTCCTTCAACAACACCCAGATAGAGGTGAGGAAGCCTAAATATTTCAGGGATGGCAATACTTATTACAATTATTTTAAAAGTTTCTGTTTTTTGCAGGGCATGTAATCCCAGCACTTTGGAAGGCCAAGGAGGGCAGATCACTTGAGTCCAGGAGTTCAAGACCAGACTGGCTAACATGGCAAAACCCTGTCTCTACTAAAAATACAAAAATTAGCCGGGTTTAGTGGCGTGCACCTGTAATCCCAGTTACTCAGGAAGTTGAGGTAGGAGAATCACATGAACCTGGGAGGCGGAGGTTGCAGTGAGCCAAGATCACACCACTACACTCCAGCTTGGGCAACAGAGCGAGACTCTGTCTCAAAAAAAAAAAAAAAGTTCCTGTTTTTGTGGGGCTTAAATTAAAAAATATGTATGAAAAAGTTAGCTAAGCTGATTCTAGTCACTCTTAGTCCCGTTTTCCCTTCTGACAACATGGACAGCAAGTTTATTACTTTCTCAAAAGGAATCACAGGAATACAAATTAAGGTATCTTCAACCTGCGTGTATCATTTTCAGTCATGCTCATTTATCAGATAATTAAGCCACCACACTGAGGTATAATGATTGCACTGATAACCCCAAATCTTCACTCCTTCCAATAGGGATGTGGGTTGACTCTGGGTTCAGCCTCGTTCCCTTGCCTAGACAAATAGATGTTAGCAAATGTGATGCTAGCATAAGATTGACAAGCACTTGCTCCTTGTTTTCATCATAATAGTGTGACCAAGGTGATCTGTTTCAGGATGACAGCCTGGTGGGCACTTGTCCCAGGGAGGTCTCAGATATGCAAGACAGGCTGAGCATAATCAGGGAAATTGCCAAGCCACTGACTTCAGCTGACTACAGACAAGTAAGTAAGCCCCATGGAACCCAGCTCAGATCAAAGATGTATAAGCAAAAATAAATGTGTATGGCTTTATGCTACCCATATTTTGTGGTTATTTTGTCACAGAGCATTATTATAGCAATATAAAACTGATACAATGACCATTAAGCATCTGAAAATTGTCTACTTACTAAACCTATAAAAACCCAGACTTCACCAGAATGACTACATGATGGCATCTCAATGACAACGTGAGTTATATGCACAAAAACCACTGTTCTCCAGGTGTTTATAAACAGTCTGATTTTAATACAGAGTTAAATATGGAAGCTTTCTAATTATACCACTTTTAAACTCAAAATTAGAAGGCATCAACAATATTGAATTGCTAGGATTATATTCACTTGAGAAAACTGAGTAACAGTTGATCTCTAGGTGCATGTGGGGGACTAGTAGTGTATTGTACTACACACTGGGCCAAGTGACCTACAATATGTTTCCTATGACCAATTTCTGTGATTTCTTACTCTATATCTTGAAAGAAGCTAGTTACCTAACTACACAGAAATACTGGTTTCTAGTGAGAAGAAAGAACAGTTGGATTTCTATTCCTATTTCCTGGCAAGGTTTCTCCAGTAGGTTTCTCAAGAGTCTAATCTTGGCATATCAATGTGGAAGAAAGTTTATAAGCTGGTAAATCTATTCCTTTTAATAGTCACTCAGGACACTAAAACAGCTAGGTGCCAGGGCAAATCACTCTGTAGAAAATGGGAACAAGACAAGCCTAGTATCTGTTTCTGGAATTTGGTGGGAGAAGGACCAAAGTCACTGCCGTCTTTTGATCCTTTACCTATGTCAATTCTTTTGTAAACAAGAGAAATAAAATGTAACAAAAAGTAAATATGGATGTCTGACAGTCATAATACTGAATATGCTAACATGTATAAAATATTTTTTAGTTCTTCAGAGGAAGATCATCATATAAATTAAACCTAGTACTATTAATCCTATTATCCAATCAACACACATGAATTAAACCTGCAGTACCTAATCAGAAGTAAGCACTCCCTAGATATATTAAAGCCAATAATATCAATTAGAACATTTCTAAATCCAAATTTCTTTGCTCAAGTGTTCAGTAATTATTTTTGTAGTCTCTCTAAAATGATTCATATGTCACATTCCAATGTAATAGGACAGGACAGGGATCAAGTCTTTCGGGACTACGACTGGTCAGCTGCACTGAAATCCTTTTACTGACATTTTCAAAGTTTAATATCAGGTATTTTACCTTATTTAAACCTAAAGGGTATGTCAACGCCTAGTGTGCCATCAAGAACAGGCTCTTTATTGTCCTATTAGGGTGGAGATGCATACTCTGTAAAGAGATTAAAAGCAAATGGAGGATATGAACCAGATTAATGGTCTGGTCCCTGCAGCCTTACTGGAGAGTTTACTTAAAATGAAAGCTTTGGATGCTCATCCAACTTTTTCGATTTAACTAAGGTTTCTACTTGAATGGCTCTCATAACAGCATTAGTACTGAAATCCTCTAGCTCATTCTTTCCAAGGCTTCTAGAAAGAAGAATATTGCAGAGAAATGTGATCCAAAGTACCGCCTGCAGTGGGCACAGGAAAGGAGTGCTACAAGTTCAACAGCAGAGACAGTGTGGGGTGTGTGCCAACAAATGTCCTTTTAAAAGACTGATTCATGAGGTTAGGTAAAAATCTTTTCATCTAGGTCACTGAAAAACATCCTTGAAGGCAGACTGACTTCGAGACTCATCTATGTTAATGATATATGTAGGAACAAAAGCCAATTGCCACAGTAATGCATACTTAGTAGTAAGAACCATTGAACCAGAGCAGGCTCTGTGACATACTAGTTTGAAAATATCTGATTCTAAAAGAGAATCAGTTTTCCTTTCAAGTGGTAATGAGAATTCCAGATCTTCTATAAGTATGCATTTAATGGGAAATGCAATGATCTTCACCATACCTTCATGTCTAATTCCTACTTTTTTCCCCTTTGCAGATTACCAGAGAATTAGGTTTTTGGTTGTTGTTCCTCATCTAGACATCTAGTTTCTCAGATGTTAGCTCCTAGACACCCTTCACTTCATCATGGTCTTTTTGAGAAATGCAGAAATATTTCCTCTTCAAAGTTATTTAATTTCTACTTCTATTTTGGTGAGAAAGAGTAACGTTTACTATGACAATCTATTCTTTCTGATACATTTTCTATTACTTAAAAACTTTTTGCACTCACAATCATAAAGAAAGTACGCTATATCTTTAATAACATGCCTAATACAGGTCTCAATGTGCTGGCCAGTGAATGTTTGAATACTGCCAACACCCAGCGGCCTTCTGGCAGCACTGGGCCTTCTAAAAGCTGTTCTCTGGCAATGGTCTTTCACGCAAGCACTAATTTTATTATACCTAGTTTATGATTTTCCCTCATTTCCCTGCTATTTTTAAACGTGGGGCTGTAACAGGAGGTGTCTAGAGGCCCAGGAGATGAAGGAACCATTACACACTGTTGGGTCTCTGTGGTATCAGTGGTCTTTGGAAGCTAAGGATTCAAATGCGATGTCAAAGGGTATTTGAATACAGGGTCCCTCGGGAAGTGTGCCCAACGAGAAACATTGCTTTACTCTCTTTATTTTACTTTTAATTTCTGCTTTCAAGTTGTTGTGGTGTCTCAACACTCTTCCCAATTTTGTTCTTTAGAGTTATTTTTGTACATTGCCCACTCTAGCCAGACCTATTTAGCAACATTTAACAACACTGTCTTGGGAAATGAGTTTTTGACACCCAGCATGATGTACCAGTACTGACTTCTATAACACAATGTTAAAACAGCTCATAATGTGAATAAAACCCTGCATGAAAAAATATCAATTTTACTTGATGTTATTCCACATGTAACCCTGGGCTGCAAGTTTTCAGAAAGACTGGCTAATCAGAAAAAAAGTTTGGAAAATTAGAGTAGTTTGCAAGGATGGTTTATTGGGATGAAGAAAGACACTTATGAAACAGGAGAGGAGGGGAGCCATGTGCTTTTCTTAAATTAGGCTTACTGCTGATAACTGGGATAACCAAGTCTCACATAAGAAGGGGACAACTAGTGTTCTGGATCCAAATCCAACCCGTACCATCCCAATCAACCTCTATAGTGAGAAGAGTGAAGGGAAGAAAGAAGCACAAGATAGAACACAAGCAGCACAATGATAAAGATGAAAACACCCTCACTTTAAGTTGCAAGAAAACACATGCAAAACAATGGGGACCACTGGTAAGAACTGTTGACAAAAAAGCCAAACTCTGTAAAATATTTGAAGAGACTTATCCTGAGCCTAATGTGAGGACCATGACCCATGACACAGCCCCAGGGGGTCCTGACAACATGTGCCCAACGTGGCTGCATCACAGCTTGGTTGTATATGTTTTAAGGAGACATAAAACATCAATCAATGCACGTAAGGTATGTATTGATTCAATCCGGAAAAGCAGGACAATTCAAAGGGGGAAAAAACAAAAGGCCGATGACAAAAAGAGACACATTGGGAAAGCATTTGAATCCTAAAACTGTATTTTTTAAAAAGAGCAAATATTGCAAATGTGACTATTCAGGGTTACATTCATGCTAAAAACAAAATAAAGAGAGATAGGAAAAGTTACAAGCACATAAAATGATGGCTCTAGCAATACTATTAAATAGTAGCAATCCCTAGATCAGACATTGCCTAACAAATGTGCTTTACCTGAAGAAGACTGAGAACCCAAAGCAACTCTAGACTTCTTTTTCAGATTGTCATAAATGCAGATTACAATCTGATATTAAAAAAAAAACCCACAAACTTTAAAGTAGCTTTAATATGTACAGAGGTCACTCAGCAATATTTATTCCCCATTAATGTTCTTTTCTATTAATTTATTTCCATATGTGTTTCACTTTTCCTAACATAAAAACTAAAGGGCAAAGATAGGCAACCCAGTCATACATCCTTGTACAGTATGAGACACCAGGTAATCAAGCTGTGTTACCATAAAAGCCACTGTCAGCCAGAGCCAGTGGCACATGCCTATAGTCCCAGCTACTCAGGAGGCTAAGGTAGGAGGACTTCTTGGGCCCAGGAGTTTGAGACCAGCCTGGGCAACATAGCGAGACTCTTGCCTCAAAAAACAAACAAACAAAACAAAAGCCACTGTCAATGGCTCTTCTATGGGATCCATAAACCAGATCAAACTCTTAAGCCAGAGTCAGCTCCATTCATTCAATAGTGTATCCTCTGAATTTACAAATACGTTTATCTCTTTTTTATAAAAGAAGCTATCAATTTGACTGATAAGATTACGACTATCCAAGCATTCTTAAGGTAAATTGCAAAAATCCAAGACAATATTCTTTGTGGTTTTTTCAGTATTTTTTTTTTTTTTTAATAAAAGACAGGTCTCACTATACCACCCAGGCTGGTCTCAGGCAACTCTCAACACCTTAGCCTCCCAAGTAGCTGGGATTATAGGCATGCACCACTGCACCCAGCAAGACAATATTCCTTGGGTTAGACTGTATACTCTTTGACTGTGTGTTATTCCACAATCGTATATACTGTACCTTTATTCTTCTCTGGCATGCTCATTAAGTTGAGCTGCTCTAGTTAATAAACACTTCTTTAGAGCACTATAGATGAACATAATCTGGCAGTATTCTTTATTAATTATCCTCTCTAGATTGGAAAAAAGAAAACCCTTTACATGTAGTTGTATGGTTTGGCTGTGTCCCCACCCAAATCTCATCTTGAATTGTAGTTCCCGTAATTCCCATGTGTTGTGGGAGGGACCCAGTGGGAGATAACTGATTCATGGGGGCGGTTTTCCCCACACTGTTCTTGTGATAGTGAATAAGCCTAACGAGATCTGGTGGTTTTTTTTGAGACGAGTCTCGCCTTGTCGCCCAGGCTGGAGTGCAATGGCATGATCTCGGCTCACTGCAACCTCTGCCTCCTGGGTTCAAACAATTCTCCAGCCTCAGCCTCCCGAGTAGCTAGGATTACAGGTGCCCGCCACCACGTCCAGCTAATTTTTGTATTTTTAGTGGAGATGGGGTTTCACCATGTTGGCCAGGCTGGTCTCAAACTCCTGACCTTGTGATCCGCCCACCTCGGCCTCCCAAAGTGCTGGGATTACAGGCGTGAGCCACCGTGCCTGGCTGATCTGGTGTTTTTATAAGGGTTTCCCCTTTTGCTTGGTTTTCATCCTTTCTTGCCTGTTGTTATGTAAGACATGCCTTTTGCCTTCCGCCATGATTGTGAGGCCTTCCCAGTCACTTGTAACTGAGAGTCCATTAAACCTATTTTTCTTTATAAATTACCCACTCTCGGGTATGTCTTCATCAGCAGTGTGAAAATGGACTGATACATATAGAGTCTAACAAAAGGGATTAAAAAACAAACCTTAGAGTCTTGAATGTACATGTATTGTCTAGCACAGATGGTGCTTCATAGATGTTCCCAAAATTTGATAATGTTAGCACAATTTCAAAATGTAAGCTCCATCAGAGCACTATTATCACTCAACCAAATCAAGGTTGAATTGATTTTATAGAATGCTGGTTAGACATGGTTTATGACCTCGGGAAGTGAGTAGAAGATACAAATAATACATTATCAGTGATGCAGTGTAAAAGCCAATGGACTACAAATTGGAAGCCCTGATATGAGAATAGTCATTAATTAGCTGTATGTCCTCAGGTAGGTATCTCTATCAGAGCCCTAGCTGTCTCAGCTATAAAATGAGGGCAAGGTGCTCTCTAAGATCCTTATCTGATCCAAAAGGTGTAATTCTAAACAAATAAATATCAGGAATCAAAATATTCATAAAAATCACATAAGAAAACTACTTCCTGTTATGACAGACTAGTCTGTAGCAGAAGAATTCATTTGCCGAAAATAACTTTTAAAATTGTATAATTTTTAAAAATCCATTTAAAGGCACTGGAGTGGTATCAAGGTATTTGGGATGGAAGGGACCAAATCCTGGACAGGGGAACTCACAGAAACTTAGCAGAGCTTTCAGCAATCCCCAGGACTAGGGAGATAAAACCTGAAGTTCAGAGCTACCAAGGAAGCCAAGATTTGACATGCCATTAAAGAAACGTGAACCCAAGTGTCTGAGCCACCACTACCCTCAAGACACTATTTTATAAGTAGCATACACCTAGAGGAGAAGAAGACAAATAGAAAGTAACTGCAATAAATCAAGTTATTGACCTTCGCATGGCACTAGAAAGATAAAAGCCAAAGTTCACAGTCCATCAAGGTGGTGGGACCTGGTAAGTACCTCAGATTTAAAGCTGGGACAATTAAAGGACTAAAGCCTAAGAATAAAGTTGAACCAGAAATTGGTTTAAATGAAACCCAGCTCTGAAATATCTAATTCTTAACTGGATTAAGATGATCTACTCCTACTCTAAATATCTGCCAGATATTAAAGGAAATGTTATCTAGAGGAAGATAATACCATTGAGATTCTCCTAACATATTTTATATACAATGGTCAACATTCAGTAAGAAACTGAACCATGCACCACCAACAATAATAGGATTAAGAGAAGAAATAGAAAATATAAATGAACCCACAAATTATTAGACATATAATTTAAAATCACTTATTAATATATTCAAGGAAAAATGATAAGCTAGAGAATTTCATCAGAGAACTGGATTCTGTTAAAAAAAAGAAATTGAAATTCCAAAAAAATAACTAAAATTAACAATGTGATATATAGGCTTCATAGCAAGCTGGACATAGCTAAAGAGAGATCTGTGATCTAGAATATAGGATAGTAAAAAAAAAATCTAAGCTGAAAGACAGATAAAAAGGATAAAAAATCCGGTACAAAGTATAATGGACATATGGAACATGGTACAAAGGTATAATATATGCAGTAGAAGACCTAGAATAGACAGGAAGAAATGGAGCTGAAGCAGTATTTGAAGAGATAGTAGCCAAGAATGTTCCAATACTAATGAAAAGCATCAAGCCACAAATTCAAGAAGCTCAGTGAATCTCACACAGAATACACAGCAAACCACACCTACACTATTTTACAGTAAAAGTGTGGAAAATCAGGCAAAAGAAAAAGCAAGAATAGAGGGAAAAAGATACTATCTTCAATAACAACAACAACATTGAGATAGTTTTCAATAGAAAACAGTGGAAACAACCCAAAAGAATACATAAATAGTATATGTTTAACAGAACACTATATAGAAATGAGAATACATGAATTACTGGTGTAGCCATCAACAATAATAAATCTAACAAACATAACAATGAGCAAAAGAAACCAGGTATAGAAAAGGATATACTATATGAAACCATTTGTATAAAGTTCAAAAATAGGAAATACTAGCCTATGCTGTTGTAAGTCAGAATAATGGTTATCCTTTGAGTGTGATTAATATTGGAAGGAGGCAAGAAACGCTAATGAGTTACTGGTAACTCCAGTTTCTGATATGCAGAGAGGGTAAAAGGATATATTTACTTTGTGAAAATTCATTTAAAAATTATTTGTGTACCTTTCCATAGATAATACTTCAGTAAAAGTTTATTTAGACACATATACACATCAATGAATAACAGCAGTCTTTAAACTGCAAATTCATTTTACAAATGATTCACACACAACTTCTTTCCTTCTTTCTACTCACTGCTTAATGTATCTTCCAACTACTCCTTCTTTGGGTTCAAAAGACACTAAGGGATGAGATAGTCTCAGAAATAGGTGCTTAATTTATAGTACATTTATAGATTATTGAGTAAATAAGATACTAAGAACCAGGCTGAGAACTTGGTCCTATTTAAGACATTTCTGTGGTGAACCAATTTAAACACAAGGAAAACAAAAACAATCTAAGACAAGAGAGAAAGATTGTTTCTTAAGAGTGACCAAAAAAGAAGTATGGATTGCCAGATTGCAGAAAAGATGCTATTAAGAATGCATTAGGCTGGGCCTGGTGGCTCACGCCTGTAATCCCAGCACTTTGGGGGCCGAGGCGGGCGGATCACCTGAGGTCAGGAGTTTGAAACCAGCCTGGCCAACATGGAGAAACCCCATCTCTACTAAAAATACAAAATTTGCCAGATGTGGTAGCGCATGCCTGTAATCCCAGCTACTCAAGAGGCTGAGGCATAAGAATCACTTGAACCCAGAAGGTGGAGGTTGCAGTGAGCTGAGATCGCGCCACTGCACTCCAGCCTGGGCAACAGAGTGAGACTGTCTTAAAAAAAAAAAAAAAAAAAAAAAAGAGAGAGAGAGAGAAGCATTAGGAATTTGATAGAGTAGATCAAGAAAACAAATGTAAATACAATATCTTGAACCCCACAGCAAGGAGCCTGTTTGTGATACATTAAATATTTAGCAATCACTGGAAGAACCAGAAGAACTTTAAAACAGGACAGACTATTCAGTCCGCATTACGGAAGTTCTATAAGAAATTTTACACTTCTAAAACAACTCAAGAAAATCCATCAGTCTGGTAAAAGCTTTGGCAAAGATTTTTCCAACTTCATGCATGTTTCACCTGAAATAAGGAGAGAAGGCCCTTAAATTTCCATCACTGCCATGAGTTTGCCTCAAACATTAAGACCACTACATAGTTTGTGATACAGTCTGTTAATAAAACAATCTTAATAATTTGGTAGTTGTTTTTCTTACAGGATCTCATATGCAGTGAAGGTGGCTTTAAAACAAATTGGACAATGTTAGGAACCAGGAAGCTAGTCCAGGTTTTACAGTATTGTATATTTTTTCCATTCCAATAATTCTGCAGACTCTGCTGAGCCTTTGGAAAGACAGTTGCTGATACAAATACGCATGTTTTAACTTATAATTGTTTTACATGAAAGTGCCCTTTTCCTCATCTCTTTTATGAAAAAACATACTCCAGCTGCTTTTTTGGAGAGAGTAAAGGTATTCAGCAATAGAGTAAAGCAATCATTTTTTTTTAAACTCACAGTGGGAGGGAGGAAAGGGGAGAAAGTTTAAACAAAAAAAAAAGAAAAAGAAAAAGAGGAAGTGTTTTTCTAACTATGCCGCCTACCCCTACACTCCATTCTGATGCTGAAATGGTGAGAAGATTGTCAATGGGCATGTGGGGTGGGAGCTGGTAAGTTTGGTTTCCAAAGGGTGGCTAGGTAATCCTGACCTCCCAGTTGAAACAGCATTGGACTAAAACTGATCTACAGAAAGTGACAGGCTTTAGAGGACAGTTTTATAGATGGCTAAGAGATAAACAAAATAATGACTGTCACCAGTAATTTTTTTTTCTTTTTTTTTTAGAAAGGGCCTCACTGTCACCCAGGCTGGAGTGCAGTGACTTGATCTTGGCTCACTGTAGCCTCCAACTCCAGGACTCCAATGATCTTCCCACCTCAGCCTCCCGAGTAGCTGGGATCACAGGCATGCACCACGACGCCTGGCTAATTTTGTGTATTTTTTGTAGACACGAGGTTTCGCCATGTTGCCCAGGCTGCTCTCAAACTCCTGAGCCGAAGTGATCTGCCTGCCTCAGCCTCCCAAAGTGCTGGGATTACAGGTGTGAGCCACAGCGCCTGGCCCACTATTTTTTATTATAGGAACCCTTCTTGGTTAGCATAAACCATTGGGATCATGAGCTCATGACTAAAGTAATAGGATAAAATTGTATATCAAAGGAAAAATAAGTACCTGACTGATGTGGATTCAGGAGAAAGATGGATCTGAATTAGTAATAAGATTTGATTAGATAGATGGGTAGAGTTATGCTACTGCCAAATATATACAGTAACTATTAATAGAACTTCTCTAATGTTCTAATTAATAGAACATCCCTAATCTCTAATGGAAGAGATTAGGGATGATAGTCATGGCAGCAACTGCTGTGGCAGCTAAAACTTAGTGTCTACATGCTTTATGCTAAACACTGTGCTAAATACTTTATCACAGATTACCCATTTTATGGATTAGAAGACTCAGGCTTAAAGAAGTTTAATAACTTACCTAAGATCACAAAACTAGATTAAGTGTCAGACTGAGGACTCAACCAAAGTCTATGTGATCTTAACTACCATCTTAACCACATTCTGCTTATAAATTCTGATCAACATAGTTAACTCCTTATATGTCTAATATTTCTAGAGAATTTATGAATACTTATTAAAATACTTAATAAAATACTTATATTAGTATTTTATTCATCCTGTAATCATTTTTAGCTCCTTGATTTGCCTAGGCAAGCCTCCTAAAAAATAGTTAAAAAGTAAAATTTAGACTCAATTACCACAAATTCTAACTAAAATCAGTAAAATTAATTAATTAGTGAAGTGTTATCAGAGACTAAAATAATAAAAAAAATTTAGAAAGTTCTTGCCACTCTCAATCTCTATCTTCCAAGAAAGGGTGAAAGACATGTTCTAACACACCTCCAAAAAGCAGTGGACATCTGGTTAGCGAGTCTGCAGAAGAATATGTATTATGAAATAAAAGCAATAAGCAATTCAATGGTGATTTCTTTGCAATGTGATTTCCTCGTAGAAAAGGAGAACTTTGGGATTCATATATGTTGCATGGTAATTAGAGAAAAATACCTTTATTCAGGGAGAATAAAAGATTCTGATTACTGCTTAGAAAACAGACTATTTTTAGTGAGCTAAAACTGAAATAAGAAAGGATTCCTAATTTGGATCATCTGTATCAGTGAATGGGAAGGGCATTGTTCTACAAACTATTTTAATCAGATTTTAATTATTCTAAGCCACAATGACAAAAATTAAACAAACCTCAGTGATGGTTTTACAAAATTAAAAAGGACTTTAGGAAATTATCATTTCTGTTGTTTTGTTTTGGAAATTATCTTTCTAAAAACTGGACACACGGTAGATTTTGTTTCAGCATGGATAACTCCTTTGTATCAATCATATTCCAAGTAGCTAGCAGAATATATTTCATGTTATTTTAGAAAACCATAAGTATAACACTTATTATTAGCTGTGTAATGTTATGAAAAATCATCCATCCTCTTTAAACTTTAGTTTTCTCATCTACAAAGCAGAAAAACTACCATTAATTTGCTTCAGTTTCTCCAATCTGGCCCCGAGGATCCCAAAGTTAAAAATCAAGAAAGTGCAAGCTTACCTAGCAGCTGTTTTGGTGGGGCAGCCTGCCACCCATTATACCAGAATGACAGCATCTTAGCCACAAAAATCACACTCTTAGCCTTACAGATTGTCATTAGTATCTTTAGGAACAATACCACTCAAACTCCTCTCAGTCCCTGAATGATGCTGCAGTCTCTGATATGTCAGGTTATACCTGTTTCTCAGTCTTTTAATTTTGATTCTTTATGCTTAACTCTCAGCTATTGGTTCAATCTACAGTCCCTAATATGGGTGTAGCATATGCATTATCAAGCAGAAGGCTTTTGGTATATCTCAGGAAGCCTGTTTCTCTGGGAAACTACTGAATTATATCAAACTACATAAAAATCCACTCCTGAAATCCAAATACCTGCTCTGGGTTTTTATGGGAATAACATGAAATAATGTACACAAAAATGAGAAATCTATTTGTCAATGGTAAATATTAATCACATGCAAATCATCCACTATCAACGGTAATCATTATTTTAAATGACTAGGATCCAGTTAATATTCTATAAATTGTATCATTATGGATAAAATACTTAATTAATTTAGGATCTTTAGAAGTCCTAAAATTATGACAAAAGAAAACTACTTTAGATATAACAAATTGAAGCAAGTCACTTGATGATGGTCAAATCATATCATTCCTATAGGCTTCCTATTTTTCAGGATAAAATGAGAGGGTTAGCCCTGGTGATTTCTATTAAATTGCATAAAGTACTTTCTCCATGGGACTTATATCTCATTCTCTGCTTCATCGTAGCACTTTCTTGCAAGAGAGAGGTGACTCCCCACGGCAGATGCTGTAAGAAAAGGCTCTGGCCATACAAATCAAAAAGCACTGCC
The DNA here is from genome assembly GCF_000001405.40 of Homo sapiens. Lineage (NCBI taxonomy): Eukaryota > Metazoa > Chordata > Mammalia > Primates > Hominidae > Homo > Homo sapiens. Next base: position 28,278,722 of record NC_000022.11, read on the forward strand.
ACTATTGCTAAAGCAAAGAAAGACAATGAGTCTGCCACCTCCTCTGTCCACTCATGCCACCCAAACTGCACTTGTAGGATAATGTGCACTCCATTGATTTTGGACATCTAGTTGAACCAGGTTTCAGCCATATATGAACATGTTGTTGTGATATCGTTCTAGGATATGCGGGGTACGTACAGCCAGGAAAGAGATGGGAATTGTGAAGTGGTTTTCTTTTCATGGCATAGGGAGGCAGAGCCAGGGCTACCCAGTGAAATTTATTCCACATGGGTCAGCTCTCACCAAGAATTCGAATCACTAGAATTACTGCTCATCCTTCTTTCACTACCAAGACTTCTATTTTTTATTTTTTCTAAAATTTTATTGTGAAAATTTACAAAGATACAGTCAAAAGAACTGTACAGTGAATAACATAATCCATAGTAAGATTCTACAACTCCTAACATTTTGCTAAATGTGCTTTATAACATATCTATACATCTTTTCATCAATCTGTTTTTTTGATACAATTTAAAGTAAGTTTTAGACATTAGTATACTTTACCCCTAAATACTTCAGCATGTATATCACTAACTAAAGTATTTATATTTTCAGATAAAATTTATAAATAATAAAATGCACAAATTTTAAACATACCATTTGATGAGGTTTTGTTTGTTTTTTTTAGACAGAGTCTTTCTCTGTCACCCAGGCTGGAGTGCAATGGTGCAATCTTGGCTCACTGCAACCTCCTCTTCCTGAGTTCAAGCGATTCTCCTGCCACAGCCTCCTTTGTAGCTGGGATTACAGGCATGTGCCACCACGCCTGGCTAAGTTTTTGTATTTTTAGTAGAGACAGGGTTTCACCATGTTGTCCAGGCTGGTCTCGAACTTCTTATCTTGTGACCCACCCACCTGGGCCTCCCAAAGTGCTGGGATTACAGGTGTGAGACACCACAACAGGCCCATTTGATGAGTTTTGACACACACATACACCTAGGTAACCCAAATACATATTAAGAGATGAAACATTCCCATCACCATATAAAGTACCCGTATAGCTCTTCCTAGTCAAACCTGTCCTCACCTCCGCTCCCAAAGACAACCACTGATCTGACTGTTTTCGCTACGGATTAGTTTTGCCTGTTCTAGAATTTCTTATTAATGGAATTATAAAGTATGTCCTCTTTTGGTATCTGATTTCTTTCACACAGTGTAATATTTTGGAGATTTATTCCTGTTGCTACACATATTTTAAAATACACAGTTTTTACATCCATTCTTCCATTGAGAAACACTTGGGCTATTTTCAGATTTTGCTATTATGAGTAAAACTGCCATAAACATTCTTATACAAGCCATTTTATGGACACATGTTTTCAATTCTCTGGAGTAAATATCTAGCAGCAGACTTGCTGGCCACAGGGTTAGTGTATGTTTAGATTTTAAAGAAATGCAAGACTCTTTCCAACATAGTTGTACCATTTCATGCTCCCAACAACAACGTATAAGAATTAAATATAATACATTGATGTATGCTGTAAATCCTACAATTCAACGCTATACTTTTTGCTTTAATTAGCCATACGCATTTTTAAAAAATTAAAAAAGAAAAAAGTAAAAAAAAAAATTTTTTTTTTGAGATGGAGTTTTGCTCTTGTTGCCCAGGCTGGAGTGCAATGGCGCGACCTCGGCTCACTGTAACCTCCGCCTCCGCCTCCGCCTCCTGGGTTCAAGCGATTCTCCTGCCTCAGCCTCCCAAGTAGCTGGGGTTACAGGTATGCACCACCATGCCTGGCTAATTTTGTATTTTTAATAGAGATGGGGTTTCACCATGCTGGTCAGGCTGGTCTTGAACTCCTGACCTCATGTGATCCATCTGCCTCGGCCTCCCAGAGTGCTGGGATTACAGGCAAGAGCCACTGTGCCTGGCCAAGAAATCTTTTATATTTACCAACATATTTATTATTATCTCTGGAGTTTCTCCTTTTTTTCCCTTGTAGGTCTGGGTTTCCATTTGATGTCATTTTCCTTCAGAATGGAAAATCTTCCTTTAGCATTTCTTATAGCGCAGGTCTGTTGATAATTTTCTTGGTTTTCCCTTATTTTTAATTGTTTTTATTTTGCCTTCACTCTTGAAAATTATTTCTGCTGATTATTGAATTCTGGGGTTGACAGATTTTTTTTTCTTTCAGCACGCTGAAGATTTTCTCCCACTGTCTTCTGGTCTCCATTATTTCTGATAAGAAATAGGCCATCATCTGTATTATTGCTCCCCCTCTATCTAATGTGTCATTTTTCTCTGGTTGCTTTCAAGATTTTCTCTTTATAATTGGTTTATAGTAGAATATAAAACATTTAGGTGTTGTTCTCTTTGTATTTATGCTGTTTGAGAGTAGCTGAGGTGTTAGAATCTGTAAATTTATTTTTTACTAAATTTGGGGAAAATTTTAGCCACTATTTCTACTAACACTCTCTTTTGCATCATTATCTCTGTTTATCTTTCCGTAACATGTATATAATTATACATATGTAAGACCATTTGATATTGTCCCATAAGACACTGAGGCTCTTTTTATTCTTTTTAATCTATTTTCTCTCTGATTTTCAGATTGGATACTTTCCATTGATCTGTCTTCAAGTTCATGTCTCTTTCTCTGTCATCTCTAATGTTTTATTAAATCCATCAATGACTAATTTGATTTTAAATATTATATTTTTCCATTTTATTTTCTTATAGTTTCTATTTCTCTGTTGAGATTTCCTATCCACTCTTTATAAGCATATTTTACTTTACATATTTGGACATAGTTACAGTAACTTTTAAAACTCTTTTCTATTAATTTCAACATCTGGGTTATCTTGGGGCTGGTTTCACTGAATATCTTTTTTCTTTAGCATGAGTTATATTTTCCTGTTTCTTCATATGTCTAACAACTTTGGACTACATCCTGGACATTGTGAATGATACACTGTATACACTAGAAATTTTGTTATATTATTCTATACAATATCAACTTTTCTGTTTTAGCAGTTAACCGTGATGAACTCAAACACCGAACTGTTTCTCCTGAAGTGGGCAGCAGGTGAAATCTCTATTCAGTTCTTCCAGCCTTACTTGAGTTGCTTGGAATCTGTCCTCATATGCCTGGGAGCTACCTAGAGATCTGATCAGAGTTTATACATAGAATTTGGGGCTCCCCTACATGGCTCTCCCCTTTACAGGATTTCCCATCTCACTTTCTGGTTGTTTTTGTGGCCCATACTCTGCCCTCTGATTCCTCAATCAATAAGGCTACAAGTTTCTATATAATTTTAGTAGCACTGTGAGGACTGGGGCCTACACTCTTACAAAACCAAACAAAAAATATAAAACCAAGGAATTCACTCAGTGTTATTCTCTTTTTCCAAGTGTTAATTCTCTTCCAGTTTCTGCCTGTTTGGTTATTCTCTAGTACCCTCATATAGCTGTTTGTTTTATATTTTGCCCACAGTTTATAATTGTTATGTGGCTGTGCTGATATAAGCGACTTTGCCAGAAGCAGAATCTTCTCTCTTTCCTTTGCATAGCTACAGGGGATAAAAATGATCCTAATATAAATAGCATATACTATATAAAAATGAAAATAGTCTATGATTCACATTGCTGCACTTTTTGTCTTCTGATTAAAGAGTCAATGTACAAAAGACTCTGGAAGCACTATCCAATAGAATTTTCTAAGATGATAAAAAAATTTCCTGTGCTGTCGAATATGGCCACTACTAGCCACATTAGGCTATTTTTGCACTTAAAATGTGGTTATTGTGATTGGGAAACCAAATTTTTTACTTTATTTATTTTAATATAACCACATGTGGCTAACAGCTACTACATTGAGCAATCCAGCTCTAACAATCATATAATCTGGTCTTCCTGTTTTACAGGTGATGAACTAGCAGCCCAAAGAGCTTCCACAAGAGGTCTGTCCATGATAGAAGGCCTCTAGCGGCAAAACCAGGATTTGAATTTAGATCTCCTAATTCCTATTCTCAAGTTGCTTCTACTCTACATATGAAGAGACTACAAAATGTTATGACTGAAAGAGAAGAATGAAAAATATAATAGATGGAGTGATGATAAAGTAGAACTTTGAAAATTACAGTTGGAAAAGATGAAACAGCTGAGGGCAGAATGATTTGCAAACATTATCATACATTATACATATATATACATATATTCCCTGGGTGTACAATTTCTTTTGAGGTGGTAATTATTTTATCAGCAGAAGAAAAAGAGCTTTTTATAACTCACTACAGGCCCAAAAAGTCAGACTCAGCCGATTTATAATACAAAGTACAAAGAACACAATCAAGAAATTGATGTCCTGTCTCCATTCTTCGCAAGCATTTCCAAGTCCTACACTCTTCAGTGATTTGAGAGTTACTGTTTAGCAATCCTATTTGTTTCCCAAAAGCCTGTAAGATACACACCCCAGAAAAGTTGCCAAGCCTTCCCCTCATGAACTTAATACTCCCTAAGAGGATTTGTTTCTCTGCTAAAATGTAATGCTTTTTACCTTTTAACCCACTCTCCTGTACTATTAGAAGTAAAATAATTACCTCAACTACATTCTTTCTCTCTTACACACACACACACACACACACACCACAAGCCTTTGCATGGATTTCACGTTAGCATTATTGCAAATTATATAATAAAGCACATAGTGTAGAAAATGTCTGCAAAAAGGTCCAAGAAAAATAGCACTGTTTTCAGAGAAAGTGCTGTGGTCAGGATGATGTCATCAAAAATCATCTAATTAATTTCCTGTAGCTACATCCTAAAGGAAATCCAGAAGGCTCAATTTTCTCACAAAGTCAAAAATAGTCTTTTCTTTTGGTCAGTAACTGTTCATGCAAACCCACAGGTGTCAAATTGATAATGATTATGATTCACCTTCATTCTTCACAATCACAAAAAATGAAATTTCATTTTAAAAGATTTTTCATGTGAAAGGCATCATCAGAATATAAAAAGTATCCTTTATTTTAGAGATAGGGTCTCACCATGTTGCTCAGACAGACCTTGAACTCCTGCTCAAGCAATCCTCTCACCTTAGCCTCCCAAGTAGTTGAGACTATAGGTGCATGCCACTACATGTCGTTGGAAGTATCCTTATTGAATGTGAATTTTAGATTTTAGTTACTAGGAGCAAAGTAACTGCAGAAATGACCAGATGATTAAACTGAGTTGGTATTTACTACTTGGCTTTATATGACAACTTCTCCAGCTCTGAGTAAAATAAAGATTATCACTCATAAGAACCAAGGAGAGAAGAGCACTTTTTACCTACTACCACCCTCAATATTCTTCCTCCAAACCAACAGGCATTTATCATGACTGGCCTGGAATACCATAGGAGGTTTGCCAGGAGATGTGAGCTCCTCAAAGGCAAGAATGATGGCATATTCATCTTTATATCCAAAGGCATTACAGCACCTTGTACATAGTAAGCACAAGCATGTTGAATGGATAAATGGATGAGATTATTAAAATAAATAAACTGTGCCCCTTTCCCACCAGAAGCTCCCAATTCTACAGTGGGGGGAAGAACACCATTACAAACAAATATATGGGAAGTGCTGTAACTAAGGGATCACCGAGGGCCACAGTTTGTCAATCAAGTTGAAAAAACAAACTAACAGATTGATATCAAGTGCTAAGGTGTTTAGAGCAGCCTTTCTGGTGAGCAATTTGGGTAAATCTTTTAATTTAAAATATGTATTGGATATGACGCCAAAAGCATAGATAACAAAAGAACAAATAAGCAAATGGGACTACATCAAACAAAAAGCTTCTGCACAGCAAAAGAAAACAATCAACAAAATGAAAAGGCAATCTACGGAATGGCAGAAAATTTATAAAATACATATTATATAAGGGAATTCATACAACTCAATTGCAAAAAATAAATAAAAATAACCCAATTTAAAAAAAGCAAAGGACCTGAATAACATTTTTACAAAGAACACATATAAATAGCCAACAGGATTATGAAAAAGTGTTAAAACATCACTAATCAATGAAATGCAAAACAAAATCACAATAAGATATCACCTCATAGCTCTTATGATGGCTATTACCAAAAACAAAAGAGATAACAATTGTTTGCAAGGGTGTGCAGAAAAGAAAATGCTTGTGCACTGCTGGTGGGAATGTAAATTGATACAGCCATTAAGAAAAATAATATAGACATTCCTCAAAAAATTAAAAAAGAGCTACATTATGATCCAGCAATTCTACGTCTGAGTATATATCCAAAGCAAATGAAATCAATGTCGAAGACATGTCTGAACTCTGTTCACTGCAGCATTATTCACAATAGCCAAGATATGGAAACAACCTAAGTGTCAGATGAATGGATTCAGAAAACGGAGTGTATGTGTGTGTGTGTTTGTGTGTGTACACATACACATACATACACACACATACATACAAAAATATATGTACAATGAAATATTATTCAGCCATAAAAGGAAATCCTGCCATTTGTGAGACAGAAGAGACGACTCTGAAGAACATTATGCTATGTGAAATAAGCCAGAAACAGAAAGACAAATACTGTACGATTTTACTTACATGAAATTCCACTTATATATGAAACTTTAAAAAAGTCAAACTCATCGAAGCAGAGAGAGTAGAACAGTGGTTGCCAGGGCTTGGGGTGAGGGAAATGGGGAGATGTTGGTCAAATAGTACAAACCTTCAGTTATAAGACAAATAAGTTCTGGGGACTCTAACACACAGTATGGTGACTATCGTTAATAATACTCTATTGTTTACTTAAAATTTACTGAAAGAATGGATCTTCAGTGTCTTCACCACCCCCAACTCATACAAACGATAACTAAGTATGATACTTAATTGTTAATCAATTTGATTGTGGTCGTTTCACAATGTATACATACATAAAACAATTACATTGTACACCTTGAATACATATAATTTGTATTCAGCAATTATACTTCAATAAGGCTGAATAAAATTTTTTAAATAATCTAATGTGTAAGACACCTGTTGACCTAGCAATCCCACTTCTCAGATGCTATTCTAGTTCTAAATGTATACAAAGAGACTTATATATGGTATTTTTTACTGCAACCATGTTTGTAATGGCAAGAAAACAACAACAAAACCCAAAAAACTCCCTGAATTTCAACAGTGGATGAATGGCACACCCATAATACATACTAGTACACAGTACAAAACAATGTAGTTGATCCATGAGTGCTCACATTAAAAGAGGTTCAAGATTATTAATTTTTTTTTTTTTTGAGACAGAATCTCACTCTGTCACCCAGGCTGGAGTGCAGTGGCGTGATCTCGGCTCACCACAAGCTCCGCCTCCTGGGTTCACGCCATTCTCCTGCCTCAGCCTCTAGAGGTTCAAGATTATTAAGTAACAAAAAATCATTTGGAGAACAATACCACATTCCCATTTATGAAAAATAAAACAATACATTTTTAGACATGTATATTTAAATCCATAGAAAATGGGCTACAACCCCACTAATAGAAAAATAATAAAAGCCACAAATATAATTTAAACTTTCTAGTAATCCATAAAAATGTAAAAAGTAAAATTAACTTTAATAACACATTTTAATCCAACGTAGCCAAAATATTATCACTACATTAAACAATATAAAAAATTAATGAGATACTTTACATTCTTTTTGTTCATTCTAAGCATTGAAGTCCAGAGCTTATTCTACATTTACAGCACATCTCAATTAAAACTACCCACATTTTAAATGCTCAATAGCCACATGTGGAAGTAGCTACCACAATGAGAAGTATAAATCTACGAGAATACACTTCAAACTGGTAACAGTGGTTACTTCTGGAAAAGACAGTTTTTAAATCTTTTACATCAATAACTAATTCATACATTACTTATGTAATGATAAAACTATAACAATAAAAAAACAAGTAGTATGGGAATACAGATGGCTGAGCAAATAACACTGTTCCCAGGGTTGCTGAATATCTAGATCAAGGAAGGGAACCAGGGAAAAATAAAATTTAAAAATACCATTTACAATAGTGAGGATGCACACACACACACACAAAACCTAAGGATAAAATTAAGAAATGATATGCAATAGTTCTACACTGAAAAGAATAAAACACTGCTGGAAGAAATTCTACAAGACCTAAATAAATGGAAAAACCATGTTTATGGAATATAAGATTAAAATATATTTATAGATTCAATGCTAACCCAGTCAAAATTCCAGCAAGATGTTTTAGCAGAGGAAAGGAGAACTGACAAGCTAATTCTAAGACATACATATATGTAAAGAACCTGAAATATCTTCAGCAATCTTGAAGTAGAACAAAGCTACAAAAATTACATTATCAAGTATCCAGACTCATTAAAAAGCTATAATAACTAAGAAATTTACTATTGTCATAAAGATAGACAAAATTATTAACAGAGCAGAGTCTTTATATGTATACCTTATATCTTACTTATGACAAAAGTAACATGCAGTACAGTCTGATGAATATAGAGTGCTGGGTCAATTGGATATACATATGGGGAAAAAACATGAACTTCAATTTCTACCTCAATGCAAACAAGTTAATTCCAAGTGGCAGTAAATCTAAATGCAATGACCTTGGGATATACAAACATTTTCTTAAACAAGACACAAAAGGCTCTAACTAATAAACAAAAGTACTGATAAATTGGACTTAACTAACATTTAATATGATATTAGGTAGAGAAGATGAGAATTGAGAAAGAGAGCATCAATGTGGCAGAAATGACAACTAAACCTGAAAAAGGAAAATGTTGCTAAGGAGTCAAAGATGAGGCCTTCTATGCAAAGAGACCAGAAAGAGCAAAGGTACAGAAGGGTAAAAGCAGAAGGCCAGTAGACTTGCATAAACAGATTAAAAGGTGTACAATATACAGAGTAGTTGAAGAAAAGTAATAAGAAAAGGTTATGAAGGGGTTTGGACTTTATCCTGGAGGGAAAAGGAAGGTGTCAAAGGCTAAATTTAAGCAGGCTTTTTCTGATGATGTAATTCATGATCAGAACTAAATTTTAGAAGGATAACTCAAAGAGCTTATAGAAGATGGACTAGATCAAGAAGAAACTAGAATCAGGGCAGGGTTAAAACAGGGCTTCACAAATTAGAATATTTATATACCCCCATGTGACAAGAGGTATGCAAAGCTATCTAATAAAATCTACAGCACTTTTTCAAGGAGTATCTTGTTTACTTGAATATTTAGGGAAAAACAACTTCACACTAAAACAAACACTGATATAATGTAGTCATATGCAATATTCATATGACTAATTTAAATAATTATGACAATAACATCAATAATAACAATAGTATCCCTTTTGCATCCTAATTATGTCTAAGGCACTATCCCCATCAAGCACTTTATATGAACTAATTTAATTCTCACAACAATAAGCAAAACAGATACTATTAGAATCACTTCCTCCATTAAACTACACATACAGAGTTATTTGCTCCGATGTGTGTTTCCATATACCTTTTTCTTTTTACTTTATAAATTTTGTAATTAAGGTTTAACAACTCTTTACATTGCTGATGATATAACTTGGTATAACCACTTTGGGAAACTGGCAAAAACTTCCTAAATCTAAACATCATATGTATGACCAAATACCTAATAGAAATAAGTGCGATGCTCATCAAAAGATATTCACAAAAATTTTATAGCAGCATTTTTATAACAGCCCCAAACTGGAAACAACTCATGATTCCATCAGTACACTTCAAAGAGTTATATAGGCTGGGCGCGGTGGCTCACGCCTGTAATCCCAGCACTTTGAGAGACTGAGGCAGGCGGATCACGAGGTCAGGATATCAAGACCATCCTGGCTAACACGGTGAAACCCCGTCTCTACTAAAAAATACAAAAAAAAAAAATAGCCAGGCGTTGTGGCGGGTGCCTGTAGTCCCAGCTACTCGGGAGACTGAGGCAGGAGAGTGGCTTGAACCCAGAAGGCGGAGCTTGCAGTGAGCCGAGATCACGCTACTGCACTACAGCCTGGGCGACAGAGCGAGACTCCGTTTCAAAAAAAAAAAAAAAGCTATATAATTTTTAGGTCACATGGTAATAAATGGCAGAGCCAAAATTCAAGCCCAAGCTTGTTGACTATCTAATTTCACTCTCTCAACCACTATCCTATATTGGAAAGAAATTATCTACTCACAGCAGCAGCTTCAGACTTTGCTCACAGACCCAAGTAGTATACATCCTTTCTCCTCCACTTGCATAAGAATATCTATTAAAAGCTCTGAAAAGTTCTTAGAGGAGGGTACTGCAACAGTCTAGGTAAAAGAGATGGGAGGAGGCAGGAAAGAGATTTCTAATACAGAAGAAGAGAATCAAGTAACTAACCAAATATGAGAGTGAGGGGAGGAGGTGGTTTGGGCAACAGGACAATGGTGAATGCAGAAATAGGCACAGATTGAGGGCTCAGTCAACAGAGTTGAAGGTATGTATCCAGGAGGCAGGTGGGTAGAGAGTATGAAGCTCAAGAGACAAATCAGACTGATAAAAAATACTTTGGAGTTACCAGCATATTTGTATATCAGATTTCCTGAATAGAGAACACTATCTCTAATCCTATGTAATTTATGTACTCTTCTGACAATTCATATTAACTCATAGGAAGGCCTCTGTGGGCAATTAAAATTAATTTTGAAGCCATTAAAGTAGACAGAAGGTTAGTCAGAATAAAAAAATCCTGTGGAGAAGATACCACCTCCCCTATTAAGCATCTGAGAGCAACAGTAGAAAAGACAACCTATTAAGCTATGCATTCGTGTGTCTGTAGTCCCAGCCACTCAGGGGGCTGAGGCAGGAGGACTGCCTGAGGCCAGGAGTTTAAGGCCACCGTGCACTATGATCACACTTGTGAATAGCCACCGCACTACAGCCTGAGCAATGTAGCAAGACCTCTGTCTTTAAAAAACAATAAAATTTTAAAAAAAATTTTTTTGTGCAAGCACAGTGGCTCATGCCTGTAATCCCAACACTTTGGGAGGCCAAGGCGGGTGGATCACCTGAGATCAGGAGATCGAGACCAGCCTGGCCAACATGGTGAAACCCCATCTCTACTAAAAATAAAAATTAGCTGGGCGTGGTGGTGCGCACCTGTAATCCCAGCTATTTGGGAGGCTGAGGCAGGAGAATCACTTGAACCTGAGAGACAGAGGTTGCAGTGAGCCGAGACTGCGCCATTGCACTCCAGCCTAGGCGACAGAGCGAGACCCCATCTCAAAAAAAAAATTTTTTTTTTTAAAGAAAACCTATTGCTTTTTAAAGGTAGGCAGACAAACTACTTTCAGGCTGCTATCTAGCTACTTTGGAAAATCCTAAAACTTATTACAGCCAAAGATGCAAGGGGTAGAAAGATGCAGTTTAGTATTCTTCCCACGCATAGCATTTACAGTATTAATTTTTGCTTCAAAAGGCAGTTTACTGTATTTTATTTCACTATCAAAATGATGCAAAAGGGCAAACAAGGTATAATTTAGGATCACAGGTACAATGTAAGAATAGGATAATCATAAAATCTGTATTGACTGAACTTATAAAAAACTTATATAAAACTTATATAAAATTGAAGATGGTAAGACTGCTGTTTGGGAGTGTTCTCAAAGATCTAATTAGTGCAATAATTAAGAGGAAAAAATAGGAGTGTAACATAAGAACAGAGATGTACAAAATTATCATTATCTTCAAATAATTTGCATTACAAGAGAATCAACAAAAAAATATGCACTAATATAATTTTCATATGGTAATTTTCATGACAAAACATGCAAGATGAACACCCTTCCTACATACCATCAAAAACTATTTTTTTAAAAAATCACAATGAGGGCCTGGCGTGGTCGCTCATGCCTATAATCCCAGCACTTTGGGAGGCCAAGGTGAGGGAATTGCTTGAGCCAGGACTTTGAGACCAACCTAGGCAACATAGTGAGACCTTGCTCTACAAAAATTTTTTTCAAATTAGGCAGGCATGGTGGCATGCACCCGTAGTCTCAGCTACTTGGGAGGCTGAGGTGGGAGGATCAATTGAGCCCAAGAGGTCAAGGCTGCAGTGAGCCATGATTGTACCACTGCACTCCAGCCTGAGTGACCCTGTCTCAAAACACACATACACACACACACACACAATGAAAAAATATCTCATTTCCAATAAGATACCTGAAGTGTATAGGAAAAGAAAATCTCCCTAAAAGTGTAGATCAGTGAGGGGACATGTAAGAATAAATGGAGAGACAGACCAGGCAACTAAATGGAAGACTGACTTGAAAATACATCAATGTATTCATAAGTAATATGTAAATTCAATATAATTCCAATAGACACCCCAATGAATGATTCTCTAAAATCTAACAAAATGATTTTAAAGTTCATTTATGGGGCAAGGGGACAAGAATATCCTAGACATTAAAAAAAAAGAATAATGGTATAGGACTTCTCTAGCAAATATAATGTATTATAGGGCAATAATAATTAAAACTGTGTGTTATTTGAACACAAAGTGCCTAACAGCTCAGTGGGATGACACAGCAATGCCCAGAATCAGACCAATACAAAATAACCAGTACCACTATAGAAGAAAACAGGTTTAGAATATTAAAGTTCTTTATAAAGGAAATAAAAGCATAAAGCTCTTTATAAAAGAAATTTTAAAAAACAGTCAACCCAAGTAGTGATCAAAGAAATGCAAATTAAAACAATAAGATATTACCTTTTTCTTAACCTATTAAATTGACTTTTTGGTTTTAATATTAATGCCCAGTGTTGGCCAAGGCAGGGAAATGAAACCTCTGATACATTGCTGATAGGCCTGAAACAGATGCAGCTTTCCTGGGAGCAATCAGTAATAAGTATAAGAAGCCTTACTATGTTTATTCCAAACCAGCCCACTTCTAATAATTTAACTAAAGGAAATGATAAGAGATGTATTTAAAGATTTACCTACAAGGATATTTTTCCAGATTTTATAATACCAAAACTTTTGAAACAACCTAAATATATAACAGTAGGAAAACAGATGAAATGAATTATGAGAAAGTCATAAGAATTTCAGTAGAACACTTAATAAAATGAAGAAATGTGTTATAAGTGGAAAAACATAAGTGCAAAAAATTATAAAACAGCACTCCAAGAAGATTTCCATTTTGGTTTCAATAAATATAAACAATTATAATTACATATATGACTAAAAGAGCATACCAAAAATATTAATAGTATTTATAATTAGTTATTTTCATGTAATTGTTATGTAATTGGATAAAACTAATAAATATTAACTTATAATTAATAATTAGTTATTTTCATGTAATTGTTATGTAATTGTTATACATAGGCTTATAATTAGTTATTTTCATGTAATTGTTATGTAATTGGATAAAACTAATAAATATTAACTTTTATTTTGTAGACAGGGCCTCTCTCTCTCTTGCCCAGACTGGAATACAATGGTGTGAACTTGGCCCACTGCAACCTTGGCTTCTCGGGCTCAAGCAATCCTCTCACCTCAGCCTCCTGAGTAGCTGGGATTACAGGCATGTGTCACCACACCCAACTAATTTCTGTATTTTTTGCAGAGATGGGGTTTCACTATGTTGCCCAAGCTGGTCTCAAATTCCTGGGCTCCAGTAATCTGCCCACCTCGGCCTCCAACTCCTGGGCTCAAGTAATCTGCCCACCTTGGCCTCCCAAAGTGCTGGGATTATAGGCATGAGCCACTGTACCCAACACTATACCAACTTTTATGAAAAACAAGATTCTGTGACTATATTGAATAGGATTGTGGTAAATATCTGGTCTTTGCTAAAGCCATGAACTCTCTTATCACTCAGCAAAACATGACTGATATGCTAACCAGAGTTTAGGATCACATTCCAAGTTTCACCTGTTTCACAAAGCTTCCTCAAGTTTATACCAGTTTCTGCCCCTCTAGAATTCCAGAATTTCAGCAGTGATTAAGACAGCATTCATCATTTATTGCTGAAACAATGTTTTAATATTTTCATGTATTAAAGCTTGCCTCAAAAAGAAAGTAAGTCCCTCAAAGGGAGTAACCCCACACCACACTACCCAGACCTTGAACCCTAAGCACAGTATTAGGTGCCTTATGAGAAGACATCACACTTAACTGAATTAAATCTCAGAATGGCCAGCTAAAACTCTTAACATAGATAAAATACATATTGCTGAAATAGTTCACTTTAGATATTTTGTACATTCCCGTAAGTTCTAAACCAATATTAACTCCAGTCTTGACAATTGGTGTCTGGTTTCAGGAATACAGGGATAAAGATTTCCAGTAAAACATGGGCAGGTAAGAAGCAGCACTCAAAAACAACCTTAAAAATTAGAGAAATGCCCTTGTTCACTGCAGAATTATTCACAATAACCAAGATATGGAAACAACCTAAGTATCTATCAAGAAACGAAAGTGTAAAGGAGTTATAGCTCACACACACAGACACATACATATATTGGAATGTTATTCAGACTTAGAAAAGAAGGAAATCCTGACATTTGCAACAACATGGATGAACTTGGAGAATATCATGTTAAGTGAAACAGGCCAGACACAGAAAGAAAATTACTACATGATCTCATTTATATATGGAGTCTAAAATAGCTGAATTCATGCAAGCAGAGCATGGACAGAATGGTGGTTACCAGAGTGGGTTGAGGGAGAGGAATGGGGAGATGTTGGTTAAAGGGTATACGGTTTCAGTTATGTAGGATAAATAAGTTCTAGAGCTCTAATGTATACCAGAAAGCTACAGTTAATAAATCATATTGCATACTCAAAATTTGCTAAAAGATTAGATATGAAATGTTCCCCCCCTCCAACAGAAAGTTAAAAAGAATTACTGAATGCTTACTATGTATCAGATACACGAAATAAATTTATGAATAAAAAAACTAAGAAAAATACATTAATTTCTCATGAAAATGAATGGTACTTTATAATTCCAGAAGCAAACACAATAGAAGAAACACAGTAGGAAAAGGGGAAATTCCATAGGTTAGTCAAGGAATCAGATAAATATGCTTGAGCAACATCAAGCAGGAGCATGGGCTAAACAGGAGGAACAACTCAGGAGGCCTCTGCAATAGTTGAGCTATCTATGGCTGACAACCCAAATGGGCCACTGTGAAAAGGGAATGGCCAGAAGAAGTTGATTATTAAAGTCTTAATAATCAGAAACTTTGAGGAGAATATTATTAAGCTTAGAAAAGGAATGTGGTAGCTGGACATACTCTCCTCACATAAGGGAAAAAAGAAATTCTCCTCAGGGGGAATTTTAAATCAGCCCTGGAGTCTATTACTTATACATAAGGAGAATATCCCAATAGGCAGGCTTGTGCTACTGCAGTAGCAGCTATGCAAAGGGCAATTTTGGAAGGGCTTAGAAGTGACTATGGTAGGTGGCAAACCTAAGATGGGTAGGTTTGGGGAAGGAATGGGTACCAGTATTACTTCAGGGTCCCTTCTATCCTCATAATTCAATGATTTCTTAATAACATATTGTACAGCAGAGGTTATAAAACATGACGTAAATTACACTATTGAGAAGAGGGAAGGCAGAAAAATTTCATTCCTCCTGTTTAACATCTATAATATAACATCTATGATATCATAGAGAATGTCCTACAATGATATTTCTTTACCATTATGATTCAGATATCTTAAAAGTCTTTCTACCCTTTGTAGTAATTGGGCTAATACATACACCTTGAAGGTTAGGAAAAAAGAGTATAAATGCAGCTCTTGCCTTTTTTTTTTTTCTTTCCCCCCCAAGATGGAGTCTTGCTCTGTCACCCAGGCTGGACTTCAGTGGCGCAATCTCAGCTCATTGCAACCTCCACTTCCCGGGTTGAAGCAATTCTCCTGCCTCAGCCTCCCAAGTAGCTGGGATTACAGGCACCCGCCACCACACCCAGCTAATTTTTGTATTTTAAGTAGAGACGGGGTTTCACCATGTTGGCCAGGCTGGTCTTCAACTCCTGACCTCATGATCCGCCTGCCTCAGCCTCCCAAAGTGCTGGGATTACAGGCGTGAGCCACCGTGCCTGGCCAGCTCTTGACATATTTATAGCAATCTGTCCCTTCACTAAATGGACCTATCTGGACAACTATGCTGTTTTACTTCTTAAACCTGGCTCTCACTTCTTAATGCCATTAGTATATCTGTCTCTAGGAGTCTGATCTCTCATTTCACTCCCTGAACATCAAGAAATCAGATCATCTGGCTTATAAGAATTGTTTGTAATGTTAGTTATTTGGGCAATAAGAAAAGTGTTCAGGTAACTCTCTAGAGAATAATATTGCCCAAAGTCCATGGCCCTTCAATAGTCTGTTTTGGTGGCTTTCAAAGGCTTTTCTTCCCCAATTCCTTCCTAGTGCCTGACCATGTTCCTGAGACACGTAGTTGCTGGATCATTTAAACAATATAATTAATCTTTATAAGGTCCCATAGTAGAATTCTTAGATGTAAACATGACTAAACATATTTCTCAACACATAGATTGATTTATAAACTTTTTGTTGCCTCTGCTATTAACCTTCTCTTCCCTATTAATAATATTATAATAAAAGCTATCATTTATGGAATTCCTTTGTGGAATGCCATTATGGAAATCCTGGCACCATGCCGGGCACTTTACATATATTATTTATAATCCTACCACAACTGTGTTTGGAATAAATAGAATAATCATTTCCTGAATAAGAAAATGGAGGAGAAAAAGAAGAGTTAAGTTATAACTACCCCCAAGATCCCACAGCCAGGAAGTACTGCAGCTGGGATTTAAATCTGGGCCTATCTGACACCAAACCTCACCTTCTTTCCACTCTGCAGACAGTCTCTAATCATGTTACATCTACTGAATATTAACTCTTTGAACATATTATAGTTCATCTCTTTAATAAGACTATGATGATATTTCTTTACCAGTATGATTCAGATATCTCAATCAAACTCAATATGCTCCTGAGTTGAAAATCCACCAAAGCAACAATGTAAAGAGTCTGCGGTAATAATATCTGATCTAAAAAAACCAATGTTTGCTTTTTACAATTTAATGAGTATGGCATAATGACATAGCTTTTTTCTAATTTTACATAAACTTATGCACATTTGAAGATAATAAGAACAATGCATCTGACAAAGCTGTTAGATCGTGAGGTCAAGAACAAGTCTTCTCTATTTCTATATATCCAAGGACTATGCTTGGATATATAGAACACTCAATTGTTGATGAAAAACAGAATCAGTAAGTCTCAAGTAATACTTTCTTCTGAAAGTAATATTTTAAGATACCTGAAACAGTTTGTTTTTAACAGAAAATAGAGCTCCACATTTCCAAAAGAAAAAAAAATGTTTTTGGTCTGCAGATAAACTTCCTACCTCTCGATCTTTGAGTTTCATGGCGAGTACCAACTGATGCCTGTGGTTAGTGAGAGCCTCCCGGTAATTTCCTTTGGAGAAGAATGCAGAGCCCAGATTCCCATGAGCTCGGCATTCTCCTGTCTGGTCACCTGGATTGAATTGAGAAAAAAAAAAAGAAAAAATTTCTCTAAGTTATAATGTTATTTATAACATATAATGGTCATCTTAATTTAAGAGCCACAGATTTATTAGCTAAGATTTCACTTATCTTCTATTAGAAAAGTATTTGTTTCTTCCACAAGACCCTATGTGGGGAGTTACTGCCCTAGAATTTAAATCTCTGGATAACAACTGCTTTTATTGTCATAACATACAACTGCAGACAGGGACTTAGGTGTCTTAGAAACAAAAGGTTAAAGACCTTAACACAAACTAGCTGCTGTTTGAGTCCTCATTGCCCTGCTAATGACCTTTGATTCTAAACAACCATCAGCTTGTTGGTTCAGTCATTTGACTCCAAATCTACAAAAAAATATCTTTACAAGTATGCTGGTGGTAGATGCACCTTATCCCTTCTCTTACTCCAATCCTGTAAGTCCTTGAATAATCACCATAATGACCATCATAATCATAAGCCATACTTATTTTACAAATGAAAAAAGTGGGTCACAGAGAGGTTAAGAAACTTGCCCCAAGTCACACAGCTAGTAAGTGGCAGAGCCAGGATTCTAAACCCAGTAGTCAGGCTCCACAGTATACACTCTTAACCTCTATACTATACTAATCTCCTTCAACAAAATGATAACGCATCCTAATGAAGGAAAAAATTAAAACTAAGATGAAAGATTGACCCAACAATGTTATCATTTGACATATTTTGTAAGCCCAAATCCCTGAAGAGGGCAATGAGTATGTTATTCCACATCTCTTGGCCTTTTGGGAGTGCTGGCACCTTGTTATATGAGAAAGCTGTAAAGACCTGAATAGTCTAAAACAGAGAATGTTCTAGAGGCACTCGCTTTTTTTTTCTTTGTTTTATTTTTTGTTTAAGAGACAGGGTTTTGCTCTGTTGCCCAGGCTGGAGTGCAGTAGCATCATCATAGCTAAGTGTAACTTTGAATGCCTGGGCTCAGGCAATCCTCCCACCTTGGCCTCCGGAGTAGCTAAGACACAGGTACACCACACCCAGCTATTTTTTTTTTTTTTTAAGAAACAGGGTCTCACTATTTTGCCCAGGGTGGTCTCAAATTCCTGGCCTTAAGCAATCCTCCCAAAGCACTGGGATTACAGGTGTGAGCAACCAGGCGATCACTTTTCATTGCATATTATTCTCATTCATGTCATGTTACTCAGCTTTCTTTGTTCCCTTTCTGCACTGAAATAGAGAAGCATCACTCTACCTAAGGTCTTGGCTACATCCAAGTCCTGCTGCATATATCCGGTGCTCTTCTCTGTATTTCCAAGAGACCAGTAAGCACTGCTCAGGGCAGAGAAAACAGAACCTCTCAGTTTGAGGCTGCAGGTGCCAATCTTCAGTGCGGCTTCTAAGACAACCACAGAGGCCCCATGATGGCCAGCTGTCAGGAGTTCCTGCCCAACCACAGACACGACCACAAAGGGACTCTTGTCCAGTTTCATTTTCTGAAGCTGCTGATAAGTGGGCTCGAGGGAGTCTGAAAATAAACAACAATAACAGCAACATAACAGGAGAATGTAGGATGATACAAAAACAATCTTTTCTAATACGCTCTAGAAATAAATGTTTATCATATCTTTTGTGGCTTATTTCAAGTATAAACTCTTCAACCTTTATTCTAGCACCACTTATCTCATATGACTAGCATCACAAACCCCAGTCCAGTAATTTCCTTCTCCTCACTCTTGCATGTATATGTCTTATCCTTTCTTTTGGCCATTGTGATCATCATGTACCACTTTCCCTGAATAGTTCCCTCTCCTCTGTCCTGTTCCCCTCTCAAAATATTACAGGCACATCCCTCAAGTCCTACTTGTACTGGGAATATCCCCAGGTCCTCCTCTGGCATACATTAATCTGTGTATCCAAACTTGTGCTGCATTTTAATGGTATTGCACAGTTTGGTCATTAACTATTTTAGAATTGTTCTACACGTATTAATTTTTTAAATATTTTTCCAGCTAAATCTAAAGACTGCTATAGGACTACTGTAACACCATAGCAAGTGGCACAATGTGGGTACTCAGAAAACGCATCATGAACACAGGTGAAAGTCCCTAACATGTCTGGCATTTGATAAGAGGTTTGTTTGTGACAGGTCTTGCTCCGTCACCCAGGCTGGAGTGCAGTGGCATAATCGTGGCTCACTGCAGGCTCAACCTTCTAGACTCAAGTAAATCCTTCCACCTCAGCCTCCCAAGTAGCTAGGACCACAGGCACACACCATCGTCTGTGGCTAATTTTCAAAAAATTTTTGTAGAGATGAGGTCTCATTAGGTTGCTCAGGCTGTTGTCAAACTCCTCGGCTCAAGTGATCCTCCCACCTCGACCTCCCAAAGTGCTGAGATTACCAGTGTGAGTTACCACGCCCAGGCTGATAAACTTGAATCTGAACGACAGATTAATAAACCCTGTCCATATTTTTTCCTAGAAG
Organism: Homo sapiens; assembly: GCF_000001405.40. NCBI lineage: Eukaryota > Metazoa > Chordata > Mammalia > Primates > Hominidae > Homo > Homo sapiens. Next base: position 28,298,810 of record NC_000022.11, read on the forward strand.
ATGCTATAAAAGCTCTCCCAACAAAACCCTTGTCATTCTCACTGGTAACCCAGTATCCACTGCTGCTTCGGAAACCAGTAGCCCCCGACTAGAAGAATATTATGCATTTTTCTTGTGGTCATAAATGAAACCATAAAGAAATCATCTGAATTTATTTATTAAGATGGAAGATAAAATTAATGTTGGTCTCATTTTATTTTCATATGGTATTAAAAGAACATAGGGGTCAGTAAGCCACAGGAGATTTTTTTCCCATTTGAAGCTAAGTTTGAACGTAGATAACCTCCAAGCTCCTTCTCCCAATTCTTTTTTTCTTTAAAGACAAGTGCAGAGTTATTAATGATAGCCCTACAATGAGATGGCACTTAAAAAGCACTTATTATTAGCTTTCCTGAAAAACTATTTCACATTAGTTATTCCACTATGCACATGTAAAAAAAAAAAACTATAAAAGGGGTGGTCTCTTTAAATCTTGAGTCTCCTAGCCAACAGCACTGCATTAAAATGTAATTTTTACAATTTATGACTTTGAATCTAAAGTCTCCACTAAAAAGCTCTTGTCTGAGTCAACAATGCCACAGAAATCTTGAAACCTGGAAACCTGTGGGTGCCTAAAGCATTTTTTTCCTTCAATCAGATCACTAACAGAGAACAAAGAACATTTTTACACCTGTCAAGATTCAAGCCGTGCAGAGTGCTGGTAAACACTAGCTAACCAATGGGGTTAAGTACAGGCACAAGAACCCAGGAATTGCTAGAATACAAAAGCACAATACCATAATGAAATACTGTGAGCAGAATTTTGGTGGTGCCGTCCGCTGATGAGTTTGGTAGTCAATGTTGATCACATCAGCATCCCACTGGCCAATTAGCAGAAACAAAAATAATAGAATTTTAGAGTTGAAAAGACTTTTAAAATATGCTCTCTTAGAAATGAAGAATCTGAGTATTTAAGTGACTTATCCCAAGTTGGAAAGCTTGGGACATAACCAAGATAAGAACACACTGCAGGGCTCTAAGCCCAGGTTCTATGACATCACACCAGGCAAGATTCTTAGTTGCTAGCAACATACACCAATCTTGGCTGCTTGTAAACAGAAAAGAAACACATTGAGTGACTACTGGGAAAGGTGGAAAACCAGGCGTCCAAACCCTCAGTCAAAATCATACCACAAACGCTGCCTGGTGAAGGCAGCATAACCATTGCAACCAAACACAGGACACCACAGTTTACAATGCTCCTCCCCACACCAACTCACTGAATGCCACCCTTGGAAAATCAGTGTCACCACTGCCACCTCCACCACCAGAACAAATTCTGTGCTATCCTTTCTTCTTTGAACCTTTAGCTTCTGATTCAAGGATGGGGTCCCAGCTGCTAGGGAAAATGGGAAAATTAGGATCTGATGCTTTCAGCTTTTATTATAGATGGCAGAAGCAGAAATGTATGAGGAAGAATGCCCTAAACTGACAGCCCAAACTGACTGATAGCTAGCAAAGACACCATGCTTTACTTGGTGATATCTTTTCCTATAGCAACCACAGCTAAGTTAGAGAAATAATCATCTAATTGAGCCTCTAAAATTCTACAACAATGGTAGAAAGAAGAGTGAACATTGCCACAGAAATACGTGGAAGATTCCCAAAAGAGAAAGAAATCTTTAACTGTACAAATTTTCACTAGATGAAAATGAAACTGATGAAAGAGAAGTAAAAGATAAAATTTCCCTTCTCGGTATATAGGAAATACACTTCAAAAGATAAATTATAATGCAAAGATCAATGCAAGGATAATATACAAAACATGCTATAAGAGTTTGGAAAAGGGAGGGATTATCAAGGGCAACTGGAAAGCTTCATGGAAGAAGAAATTGATCTCTTGAAAAAAGAGTAGGGCTTAGACAAGTCTTTGCTATTTTCTGAGAGTAGAAGGCATTTTATGCAGAAGATTTGTCCTAACAGAAGTGCCAGAGAAGACAGATACATGAAATGACAGGGATTGCTGAATAGGCCAGCTTGAACTGACCAAAGAATACTTGTAGGGAAGGAAGTTGATGTGAAATAATGGGGAAAACACTGAGCTAAATACATACAGACACCTGTATTTAAAAGTCACATAGCCTCAGTCTCTCACTTGGTCAAACGCGTAGGTTGAAACTGGTGATTGTTACACAAATCTATTCATGTATATATGTATGTCAATGTGTACAGATACATACACACAAAAGTCCATTTCACTGTATATAAATTTAAAAATTTTTTACTATCAAATTTCTCCGCTTGGGTTGTAATTATGTCTCACTGGTCCACACCCATAATCAAAAGCTCTAGATATACAAGTGGTAAGATAAGTTTTCTAAATGTATAGGTGATCACTACAATTATTTTCAACTCTATTATTCTAACTCCGATTTTAGAGTAAACTTGGGCTATTAGCAAAGGGACTAATTTTGTGATTTTATCAGGCTAGGTGAAACAGAGTTTTGGCAGCCTATAGCTATTAAGATGCTTTTCTTTCTAGAGTCTATGGATAATACATGAAATAGGCAATGTCAAACCAACTCCATAAGAACATAAAGCCCTTTGCAACATCAGTTCATCAACCATTAAGTGTTTTTGAAATGTAAAGGCTTTAAAAATTTAAGATGAACAAAATCATATTTCCTAACACTTGAAGAGCTTGTAGGAATGTAGCAGAGGCTAATAATAAGCAAAATCACACTCAACTAAGAGATATACTGTATTTCATCAGTTCAGAGATGCACATTTATTCACATATTAACAATCTCTGAATTTGGGATTTAATACCTCTGAAATCAACAGTGCTATGAAATGGTGTGTCACTTTTATATCTAAAGGGGCCTAAAAGAGCTCTTTCGGAAAACATAAAATAAAAATATGTGTCATCATAATAGTCGGTAGTTTTTTTCTTTCTTTGTAATACATAAAATAATGAGGCCAGGCATGGTGGCTCACACCTGTAATCCCAGCACTTTGGGAGCCAAGGCCAATGGCCCAGGAGTTCAAGACCAGCCTGGGCAACATGGTGAAACCTCATGTCTATAAAAAATACAAAAATTAGCTGGGTGTAGTGGTACAGACCTACAGTCCCAGCTACTCAGGAGGCTGAGGTGGAAGGATCACCTGAGCCCGGGAAGGTCGAGGCTGCAGTGAGCCATGACCATGCCACTATACTCCAGCTTAGGTGGCAGAGTGAGATCCTGTCTCAAAATAATAATAATAATAATAATAATAATATAACTTTTAATCCAGAGTTCTTAGAAGTGGTAAAATGTGCTATGGGACCCCAAAAGAGAAAGTTGTTATTAACTCTGTCAGGGTAGGTCTGGGAAGGCTTCCCAGAGGAAGTGGTACCTGAATAGAAATCAGAGACGGAGAAACCATAGTGTTTTCTAGGAACTGCAGATAGTTTTAGTTGAGAATATCTGGAGATAAGAAGGAAAGAGAGGCAAGGTCTTTTCTAAGGCTTGAGAGAAACTTCTCCAGTGAGTGCTCATAAAGAGGACCTTAGGTACTACGTAGTGTTCCTTCCACATCCACACCACTACGCCTGCCCTAAACATAAGAGCAATTAGTACTGCTGCTGCTTCCACTCCTCGGTGAGAAGAATGGCATCACACTGCAGAGGAAAAGGCATCCTACAGAGGCCTGCCTTTAGATGCTAGTTCTTGACTTTCAAAACAACATTAGGAGATGGATATTATAATTTCTCTCTACGGATACAGACTGAAGTACAGAGAAAGGAAGCAACCTTGCTCAGCCAATGGACTAGCAAATGGCAGTGCTGGAATTAGATTCCAATCTTTTGGGGGAAGAAGCCTATGTTTTTGTTTTTTGGTTTTTGTTTTTTGTTTTTTTAAGACGGAGTCTCACTCTGTCTGTCACCCGGGCTGGTGTGCAGGGACACGATCTCAGCTCGCTGCAACCTCCGCCTCCCGGGTTCAAGCGATTCTCCTGCCTCAGCCTCCTGAGTAGCTAGGATTACAGGTGCCCGAGCCTATGTTTTTAACATAACATTTCAGAAGGAAGCCTCCTGTGAAAAGTGACTCCCACCTAAAAGAGAATCAGAGGGAATGAGCCCACTTAGGGTAGACAATTAGACAAATAAAAGGTGAGCCCCAACTTGACCCTGCAAGAAAAGCTTATACATTTAACAGGCATTTTCCATCAGCACTTCATAAAATCAGCTTCCCTGGGTCCCCAGGAGCTGGTGGAAACAACACAACAGGTGATAGACCATAAATGTAATAGTTTTTAGATTGCCAAATTAACAGGAAGAGAGACAATATACACAAAAGGTCCTCAGCAAGAAGCGGCCCTAGCATCTTTAGAGGAACAAATAAAGGTAAACTCAATCTCACTTGGTAATTACATTAATAAATCCATGGTTGGCAGTAATAGTATGCTACAACACCCAAATTTGCTTAAATGTTTGTAAGATACAATAAACTGAAATTGCTGAAAGATTATCTTAAAAAAGAAATAGAATATGGCAAAAGGATTACTTGAGAAATCACATAAAAGAAAGTATCAATTTGTATTTATTTTATATTTTCATTAATGATTTAAGAGAAATACATCATATAAAATAATATAAGTATATCCACAGGAGAAAAGGTTTAGCTGATATCTGATTTGTGTGCATGAGTGAAACTAAAAAAATAAAGTAAAACAGATTTAATCAGTTAGAAATACAGCCAACAATAATAAAAAATCAAATGAGCATCAATGTGGACAAATATAACGTATTTATATGGGAGAAAGGGTATATTAATTTAGGTTGTCCCTGCCTTAAAAGAAATAAAATCTTAACACTTCCACAAAGACCAAACCACAGGAACACTGTGCAGGTTATGAGAGTTTTGTCTGCTTATACAAGCACCAGGACCAGTTTTCTCTGCTGCATTCAAGGATTACAAAACAGGCTGGTCTGAGTGCAATAGTAGTTACAACTAACTGATCACAACCAGTTACAGATTTATCCTTCTCCACTCTCACTGCTTCATTTGACTAGCCTTTAAAATACAAAAAAAAAAAAAAAAATACAAAAACAACTGACATAACAGATCAGACGTATATGTAAAGTGACCCAAACTGCACAGCTCTGCAGCAATGACAAAACTTAGGAAGCTGCACGAGGCTAAAATAAACAATGGCTAAAAAAGTGGGCAGCAGCCGGGCGCGGTGGCTCACGCCTGTAATCCCAGCACTTTGGGAGGCCAAGGTGGGAGGATCACGAGGTCAGGAGATCGAGACCATCCTGGCTAACACGATGAAACCCCGTCTCTACTAAAAATAGAAAAAATTAGCCAGACGTGGTGGCGGGCGCCTGTAGTCCCAGCTACTCAGGAGGCTGAGGCAGGAGAATGGCGTGAACCCGGGAGGCGGAGCTTGCAGTGAGCCGAGATGGCGCCACTGCACTCCAGCCTGGGCGACAGAGCGAGACTCCATCTCAAAAAAAAAAAAAAGTAGGCAGCAAATGATGAGAAATTTTGTCAATTACAACCATATGACAAAAAGAGAGGTCATTAAGATGTGGGATGATGCACAGAACAATACTGTGCAATGTAACATACTCCATAAATTGTTGGTAAGAAAAGCCCACCTGGAATAGATACAGTGGTAAAGACAATGCTGAAAATAAATCAGATAAATTAAATTGCCTTAAGGGAAGAGAAGAAGATATTGAAGCACTCCAGGAACCAGTAAGAAGCTGCTTTCTCCAGGTTCAGCCTTAGGTCACTTACATAAGATGGGAAAGAACCTGGTAGAGAAAACCCTAAGGGCGACAGCAGCTCTGAGCTATTTCCAGCAGCGCAGGGAAGATTTCCCTACATTTATCTAAATAGATCGCTTCAAAGGCAAAATGGTAAGTATGATTCTACTGATCTCAACACATTCACTCCAATATTCTAAGGCAGCAGCAGAAGCACCTCAGAATAAAGAGGTAGTATCTTCATGAACTAAATAAAAAATGTTCCATGTAAATTCCCTGTGGAGGGGTGTAGGGAGAGAACAAGAAAAAACTAGAAAATGGAAAGGAGAGATAGGATGATTTTTTTCTTATTGTCCATTCTGCCCTGCTCCCTAAGCCCTGGAGCTCCAAAATGCATCTGCTGTAAGTCAGAGTTTGTTTATTTATTATTTATTTATTTATTTATTTATTTATTTATTTTGAGACGGAGTCTCACTCTGTCACCCAGGCTGGAGTGCAGTGGTGCGATCTCGGCTCACTGCGACCTCCCCGCCTCCCAGGTTCAAGCGATTCTCCTGCCCCAGCCTCCTGAGTGGCTGGGACTACAGGCGCGCACTACCACACCCAGCTAATTTTTTGTTATTTTTAGTAGAGCCAGGGTTTCACCGTGTTGGTCAGGTTGGTCTCAAAATCCTGACCTCGTGATCTGCCCACCTCGGCCTCCCAAAGTGCTGGGATTACAGGCATAAGCCAACACACCTGGCCAGTCAGAGTTTATTAACAGCAGGTCCCCAGGAGGTTTCAGCCTGTGGCAAAACCTCAGCTTTGTAGAGTTTATAAAATCGCATGACACTTTCTTCCTAAAATATGAAATCCCTGAATTTCAGGAAAATATTTTTTATAGCTATGAATTACCCAGAGACCAAATGAGTACTGTTTAGTTTATCAAACTTTTATTTGGCACATACTTTGAGCCAAGTATAATACTAGCCACTATATTAAAAATATCTAAGGCTGCGAACATTTTCAAAACTAGATAAAATGTTGAATGATGCTGCCATCAAAAATTTTAGGTTCATTTTTCCATATGAAAAATTCAAAAACATACCACTTCAGACTGAAAAACAGTTCTGCTTGACATACCCTGATTAAAATGAATCATTATTAGCTGTCGACTGTCTACCATAAATCTGCCTCGGTGTCTCCATCACTCCCCAAAGATAGCAATTGCTATACATACTTTTAGTCAAATCTTCCCAAGAATTCATTCCTCAAAAATCAACATTCCTCAAAATGAAGCCAATCTGTTTTGGGCCTCAGAACTCCTCCAACCTCTACAGTACCATTTTCAATCCATTCTTTTGTTTGTTCCAGAATACCAACCAGCGTAAAGTAGAAGTAAGAACAGGCAGAAAATATGTAAACTGGTATCTGTCTTGTTTTTTTCTTTTTTTATTTCAACATAATCTTTTAATGCTCCTCTGAAAAATTTGAGACACAGCCTACAATTAGATATGTATTTCTTTTATGAAATATAAGAATGTCAAATGTCTTATTTGAGTATTTCTAGAAGGCATATATTGGTCCATCTGAGATTCAATTTCCTACTAAAAGTGCTGTGGTTTAGAATTACAGAATTTCAGACTACAGAAAAACTATAAGGGTTTTTAAATAATCCCGAAAGCCAAAGAAGTTGATCCATTTACCCACTGTCATACAGTTAGTTAATGAAAAATTTAAGAATGTAATATAGGTCCACAAACTTCTAGGTGAGTGGCCCTTCTACCATACTATTCTGCCTCATTAACATCACTTGCTGGCAGTGATTCTTGATCTTCCTTGGTCTAAAATATCAAATCTTAGCAAATTTGATAACCTATCAATTCTCTGTGCCTGAGCCTAAAGTCTTGGAAGGCTAGAAATGATCTTCTTTAAATTAATGTTATACCAAGTACTTTTATCATATTTACCTCTCATGGGAGATTTCATGGCGGCTTCCACCATCCCCACCAGAAGCTGGAGACTCTTGGGGTCTTGAGCCAGTCCAGATGCAAAGGCTGCCAGGGCATCGGCATGACGTCCAAGGTACTGGAGGGCAACACCCTGTCGGAAGTATGCCTAGAAATAAAAGATATATAAGATATATAATGCCTGTGCTCCAACAAGGCTGATGGTGATTCTTTACTAGAACAACAGGTCAGCAGAACTAAGATTGAGATGTACTTGATTTAAAAACCTAGTGAACAGTTGGTAATGAAATGAACTAACTTCTAACATCATAAGCATACTTTTATCAGGCAACTTCTATTTAAAATTTTCATCTTTTCACTTCTAAGACACATCAATTTTATCACATTCTTTGGTATTTATTCACACGTTACTTTTATTGTTTTTGAAGTATTTTAAAAATATTTCTTATCCCACCTTTAATGCCATAAGCTCCTCAGGAAAGGGACTTGAAGATCTCTTTATATCTCACCTAAGTATCTAGTACAGTGCAAAAATAAATGAGATGAATTCTACTTATTTTCTATTTCCCCCTCTTAAATAATTACAAAGGAACAAATGAGTGTGTGATTACTTTTAAGATAATTTTAATAATGAGTGACACAACATGGCTACTTACTTTTAATATGTTGTTTCACACATAATATTTAAAAGCAATTACCTATATGTGTGCTTTGCTTAGAAACCAAAAAAGGTTATTATCCTTTGTATTCTTTAAGTGAATTATTTTAAAAACTAGTATTATCAATTGTGATTATAGGAAAACATTCCTCCTTCTAACTAACTGCAGAAAAGACCAGAGAATTAGTAAGATATTTAAATATTTAAATTTTAGAATTTTAGAATAGTTTTAAGAAACTACCATTTGTTTTCTTTTCTCTTTCTCGTTCTTTTAATAGACAGAGGGTCTCACTCTTTCAACCAGGCTTGAGTGCAGTGGCGCAATCCTAGCTCACTGCAGCCTTGAACTCCTGGGCTCAAGCGATCCTCCCACCTCAGCCTCCCAAAGTGCTGAGATTACATGCATAAGCCACTGCACCCAGCCTGCAGTTTGTTTTCAACTACACAGAGTAAAACCAAGCAGGTGACAAAGTGTTACTTGTATACAACCAGCAAATTAGGTGTTTACCTAATTAAATAATACATACAAATAACATATAATTAACATATTCATTGCTTATATGACAACATCTGCTTCTAAAATACTTGGTCTCCTATTCAACTGAAATATTCTTACAATTCTGTTTATAACACAAACTTATTTTTCTTCAACCCAATATACTTAGAAATTGTCACAAATTGTATTCATGGGATCTAAATGAAGTTTCAAACTCTTAAAACTACCACTCAATAAAAAATATATAATTTAAAAATTTTATATTACAAATGCATATACACAGAGAGTGAGAAAGCACCTTTCGTGTTTACAAGATATATTTACTTATCTTACTTTTATAATGACTATTTGAGGTAATTTAAGAGAGGCAACACCATTCAGTGTTTCTATTAAAAAACAATCCATAAACAGAATGAATACTCAAATTATTACAGACTACTGAGGCTTCTATTAAAGTACCAGTAGCTGTTAAAACTCAGACCCCAGTAAGATAATAACCTGTAAATGCACTTTCATTACTAATTCATAGGATCACTTCCCTTCACTGGACTCAGCCACTGTTTAAATCTTTAATGTGTTTACAAAGATTTTTCATTACCTTTTTCATTTCACTTTTTAGGTAGTTTCTATATTGCAAGAGGCAACAGTATATTCCAACTAAAAATAACTATAGTTTACATAAGTACAGAAATGCTATATTAAAACTAAACTAAAAATATACATATTTATGTTTTTATATACAAATATGCCAAATAACTGTAAACTTATTAAGAGACACAAAAAATGTCTTAGTTACTGATTTCACATATTATAAGAAAAAATCTTAACTTAGTATCAATGAATTCTGATAACTTCTTACATATTTGAAGCAAAACATTACTTACTTGAGAGGGCAACTGATTTTCCTGTCTGCCAAATAAAAGCACTGAAAAGTATGATTTACCTACTGCTAGGGAGGTAGGTAAAGTTCAGTGTTAAATGCAAGCTTTGGTCTCATGTTCACACAGGAGCTCAAGGAGAAGGTGCATGTTTTGTTTTCTTAGAACGCTTACAAATTAGATAAGAAAAGGTAAGACTGGACCATGCCTCCCACAATCTTGGTTTCCTTTCTTCAAGAAAAGATTTTAAAAAGTGGTATAGGAGAGAAGGTTCAAAGGTCATCTTTGGTCTTCCCTTATGCCCTTCCAGAGTCCCTAATCCAACTTTATAAGATTTACCTGTTAAAAGCTTAGGATTGTATCCCTGTAAAGATAGCATAATGAGTACAGCTCTGACAACTCCCTGTTCCAAACTCAAAGAGTGGGGCTCTCCCAACATTTATCCATGCAATATTCATTGCATGTACAAATGGCTGTTGAATAAAAATGAGTTCTTTATACTTTTGTGAGAGAGATGTCACTATGGAGTTCAAGCTGATGATAAAACCTAGATTGTAAGTTATTGAAATAGAATAAAGAGAATCCAGTACAGTACTTGGCAAAGAGTTAAGCACCCAACGAAATTAGCTATTTTTGTTATTAGCTAATGGGAAAAGAATCTTAATAAGAACACATAATTATAGACTAACAGAATACAAGAGAGTCCAATAAATATTTTAAATATTTTAGCATTCAATATAATATTATTCAATTTCTATCACTGTCTCATTCATTCTTTCTCTTGTTCCATAAAAGACTATGAGCAATCAAGAAACTATATAATTGAGAATTCTCATTGCTGTAAGGCTCCCAGACAAAATGTAAGCCACCTGACTAAAATAAATTGGTATTACCAAGTTCTGAGCGAGATAACAGCCACCCATAGGCTTGCCAGCCTTCTCCAAAGGAAAGGTCAGGATATGTTGAGATTCACAGCTGTTTATCCAAGCTTCAGGAAAATTGATGTGACCTGCCAATAGCCTATCTGCTTCTCCTTCTATGGGTTCCAGCTACTAATGTTTATCTTATTATCACAGGTCTCACAGAAAGCCACTTCATCTGGGAGAGGTACAAACTTATATATACGGACGCAGTATATGTGCAGCATGCCAAAGATGGGTGTCTCTAGGGCAATGTTGAATACTTGGTGCCCAGTCAACATCAGATCACATACACACTTACTTCATGAACTTACCAAACATACACCACATACTGGTCATTGGTTTGGCAGCAGATGGAGAAGAAAGGGCAACATGGACTAACTGTTGAGAACACCTATACCCTAAGTACAATGATTTTAGGCTGAAGCTTTAGCCAAGAAGAAGAGAAATGTACAGGGAGCTAGTTAATACACTGGACTAAAGTGGGATGCCTAGATTTTCAAGTCTTCCATTCATTTATTTTCTTGTTGGTCACCACAAATACACCACAGTGATTATTCCATGCATACTACTAGATGACTTCACAAATCATATAAAGATAACTGGATTACAAGAATAAGTTTCCATTACTTCTTTCTCACAATTAACATTCCCTAAAAATCAACAGTGCCAGGCACTGTGACACATAACACACACACACACACACACACACACACACACACACACAAAAAACAAGACAAGAGCACCCTCAAGGTGCTCACAGTCAAGAGGGAAAAAATATAAAAAGCTCTAAGTGTCTTGACTGCTGGCTGCAGTAAATGATAACTAAAAGTAACTAATGCTGTAAAATTTCAGAGGTAACAAAAATGTAATTAATGACCAAAGTATTTATGCCCTATTGTTAAAATTGTTAGTATTATTAGCATTTGCTTTTTACTAAATGGCATTTCTCTCACCCCAGAGGGTTGAAATAAAAACACTGAAAGGCTAAATAAGTGAAACAGTAAACAATTCACTCTGCAAGTACCTCTGGAAGCAAGGAAAGACCTTTAGTCTTTACTTTCAACACATCATTCCTGGTTCAGAATTCCAAAATGTCACTGAACCAAACAATAACCTAATATTCTACTCTCCCTTGGCCTAAATGAGTAACGAGGTAAACTACCATGTTCACAGGTACATGTGTATAACAACATATGTAATAAATATATGTAATATGTAATGATATATAGAATAGTATATACTCATATGTACAATGCATAACCTAGTACTTATTTCAAGTATTTGCAAATAATCTGCCTTTGATTTTATCTGTATTTTCAAATGTTATAATTTAATTTTTTTTTTTTTTTGAGACAGAGTCTTGCTGTCACCCAGGCTGGAGTGAAGTGGCACAGTCTCAGCTCGCTGCAACCTCCACCTCCCCAGTTCAAGTGATTCTCCTGCCTCAGCCTCCCAAGTAGCTGGAAGTTCAGGTGCGCACCACCACTCCCAGCTAACTTTTTAATTTTTAGTGGAGGCGGGGTTTCACCATGTTGGCCAGGCTGGTATCAAACTCCTGACCTCAAATGATCTACCCACCTTGGCTTCCCAAAGTGCTGGATTACAGGCATGAGCCACCGTGCCTGGCCTACTTTAATATTCTTAGTCGATATTTCAAATTTGGAATTTGAACTTTTAAAATCTCCTGAAGAATAATTATTTCTAATTATAACATGGTTTTATAGCTTCTAGTGAATATATGCTTTCCATATAATCACTATCTTTGTTCAACTATACTTGTAAATCACATGACTTTTTTACTAAATTTTCCCTTTATTTTAAAGATGATTAGAAATGGGGAAAATAGAAATGCTGATGCTAGTTTTTAAAAAGCAGCACCACTGATTTATAATTTAACACAACTGGGTCAAAAGCAAAAATGATTATAAGAGGCCAAAACTAAAAAACTTTAATATCACTGTATGTATACAAAACAACTTTGTTCAATTGTGATGGAAAACGATAAAATTAGAGAATATGTAAACCTTGGTTTTAAAAGAAAAACTGATTTTTGAAAACTTTATATTTTTAATTTTTGCAGGTACACAGTAGGTATATATATTTATGGGATACATAAGATAGTTTAATACAAGCATACAACGCATAATAATCACATCAGAGTAAATGGGGTATCCATCACCACAAGCATTTATGCTTTCTCTGTGTTGCAAACAATCCAATTATACTCTTTTAGTTATTTTTAAATGTACAATAAATTATTGTAGGCTATAGTTATCCTGTTGTGCTACCAAATACTAGATCTTATTCATTCTATATAACTATATTTTTTTACTCATTAACTATCTCACCTTACTCGCCCCCACACACACACTACCCTTTCCCAGACTCTGCTAACCATCATTCTACTCTATCTCCATAAGTACAATTGCTAAATGCCCCCCAATTAAAAGATACAGACTGGCAAATTGGATAAAGAGTTAAGACCCATCAGTGTGCTGTATTCAGGAGATCCATCTCACGTGCAAAGATATACACAGGCTCAAAAGAAAGGGATGGAGGAAGATCTACCAAGCAAATAGAAAGCAAAAAAAAAAAAAAGCAAAGGTTGCAATCCTGGTCTCTGATAAAAACAGCCTTTAAACCAACAAAGATCAAAAGAGACAAAGAAGGCCATTACATAATGGTAAAGGGATCAATTCAACAAGAAGAGCTAACTATCCTAAATATATATGCAACCAATATAGGAGCACCCAGATTCATAAAGCAAGTTCTTAGAGACCTACAAAGAGACTTAGACTCCCACACAATAATAGTGGGAGACTTTAACACCCCACTGTCAATATTAGAGCAACGAGACAGAAAATTAACAAGGATATCCAGGACTTGAACTCAGCTCTGGACCAAGCGAACCTAATAGACATCTACAGAACTCTCCACCCCAAATCAACAGAATATACATTCTTCTCAGCACCACATCACACTTATTCTAAAATTGACCACATAATTGGAAGTAAAACACTCCTCAGCAAATATAAAAGAACAGAAATCACAACAAACTGTCTCTCAGACCACAGTGCAATCAAATTAGAACTCAAGATTAAGAATCTCACTCAAAACCACACAACTACATGGAAACTGAACAACCTGCTCCTGAATAACTACTGGGTACATAACAAAATGAAGGCAGAAATAAAGATGTTCTTTGAAACCAATGAGAACAAAGGCACAATGTACCAGAATCTCTAGGAAACATTTAAAGCAGTGTGTAGAGGGAAATTTATAGCACTAAATGCCCACAAGAGAAAGCAGGAGAGATCTAAAATCGATACCCTAACATCACAATTGAAAGAACTAGAGAAGCAAGAGCAAACACATTCAAAAACTAGCAGAAGGCAAGAAATAACTAAGATCAGAGCAGAACTGAAGGAGATAGAGACACAAAAAAACCTTCAAAAAATCAATGAATACAGGAGCTAGTTTTTTAAAAAGATCAACAAAATAGATAGACCACTAGCAAGAAAAATAAACAAGAAAAAAGAGAAGAATCAAATAGACGTGATAAAAAATGATACAGGGGATATCACCACTGATCCCACAGAAATACAAACTACCATCAGAGTATACTATAAACACCTCTACGCAAATAAACTAGAAAATCTAGAAGAAATGGATAAATTCCTTGACACGTACACTCACCCAAGACTAAACCAGGAAGAAGTTGAATCCCTGAATAGACCAATAACAGGTTCTGAAATTGAGGCAATAACTAATAGCCTACCAAACAAAAACAGTCTGGGACCAGACAGATTCACAGGCGAATTCTACCAGAGGTACAAAGAGGAGCTGATACCATTGCTTCTGAAACTATTCCAATCAATAGAAAAAGAAGGAATCCTCCCTAACTCATTTTATGAGGCCAGCATCATCTGATACCAAAGGCTGGCAGAGACACACACAAAAAAAGAGAATTTCAGACCAATATCCCTGATGAACATCGATGCGAAAATCCTCAGTAAAATACTGGCAAACCGAATCCAGCAGCACATCAAAAAGCTTATCCACAACAATCAAGACGGCTTCATCCCTGGGATGCAAGGCTGGTTCAATATACGCAAATCAATAAACGTAATCCATCACATAAACAGAACCAATGACAAAAACCACATGATTATCTCAATAGAGGCACGAAAGGCCTTCAACAAAATTCAACAGCCTTTCATGCTAAAACCTCTCAATAAACTAAGTAAGATGGAACGTATCTCAGCATAATAAGAGCTGTTTATGACAAACCCACAGCCAATATCCTACTGAATGGGCAAAAACTGGAAGCATTCCCTTTGAAAACTGGCACAAGACAAGGATGCCCTCTCTCACCACTCCTATTCAACATAGTATTGGAAGTTCTCGCCAGGGCAATTAGGCAAGAAAAAGCAATAAAGCATATACAAATAGGAAGAGAGGAGGTCAAATTGTCTCTGTTTGCAGATGACACGATTGTATATTGAGAAAACCCCAACATCTCAGCCCCAGACCTCCTTAAGCTGATAAGCAACTTCAGCAAAGTCTCAGGATACAAAACCAATGTGCAAAAATCACAAGCATTCCTATACACCAATAACAGACAAACAGAGAGCCAAATCATGAGTGAACTCCCATTCACAACTGCTACTAAGAGAATAAAATACCTAGGAATATAACTTACAAGGGATGTGACAGACCTCTTCAAGGAGAACTACAAACTACTGCTCATGGAAATAAGAGAGCACACAAACAAATGGAAAAACATTCCATGCTCATGGATAGGAAGAATCAATATTGTGAAAATGGCCTTATTACCCAAAGTAATTTATAGATTCAATGTTAATCTCCATCAAGCTACCACTGACTTTCTTCACAGAATTGGAAAAAACTACTTTAAAGTTCATATGGAACCAAAAAAGAGCCCACATAGCCAAGACAATCCTGGGCAAGAAGAACAAAGCTGGAGGCATCACGCTTCCTGACTTCAAACTGTACTACAAGGCTACAGTAACCAAAACAGCATGGTACTGGTACCAAAACAGATATATAGACCAATGGAACAAAACAGAGGCCTCCTAAATAACACCACACATCTACCACCATCTGATCTTTGACAAACCTGACACACACCAGCAATGGGGAAATCACCCACCTTCTGCATTGATCTCGCTGGGAGCTGCAGACTGGAGTTGCTCCTATTCGGCCATCTTACCAGCCACCCTCCCTATTTCTTTATACCAAAATTTAAAATATTAGTCAGATGTAGTGGCATGTGCCTGTAGTCCTAGCTACTTGGGAAGCTAAGGTGGGAGAATTGCTCGAGCCCAAGAGTTCAAAGCCGTAGTGAGCTATGATGGTTCCACTGCATTACAGCCTGGGAAACAGAGTGAGACCTTATCTCTAAAAAAAAGAAAAAAAATTCTCCAAGTTTGTACAGATTGGCTGTGTACTGGGGACTATCTGCAGTCTTTTGTATAGGTCGCTGGGGATTGTTTGTTTGCAATACAGTGTTTTTGAGGAATATTTGCTGCTTTTCTTCCCTGAAGGAATTTTGAGGTAGGTGAAACAAAGGCAGATACCTTGCATTAATAATATAGGTAGTCCCCAGACAAGTTAGATCAGATAAACACAATCATTTGAAGATAAAGTTTGCTCTGCTCCCTAGAGAACCAGAGACCGAGTTCTCACTATAGGAATGCAGAATGTCAAGTTTAAGACTCTCAACAAGCCAGGGAGGAGGATGGGACAAGGTGAAGCTAAAATGTCAAAGACTTTTATGCCATTTGGAAGTTGCTTTCTTCTGGATTTGGATTTTTTTTTTTTTAACTGGTGTAAACCTGTGACTGTGTTCTAGAGTTCTGACAAAGTTGGTATTGACAATTTTTCTTTAGTTTTTGATATTGCTTCAGAGGGACAGGCCCTTGGAGCTATGATATCTACTTCTCCATTTTTGCTTAGATTCCTCCTTGTTATCATGTTTAAGAACTTTTTATCTAACCCTTGGTTACAAACATTTTCTTCTAAAATTCTTATAGTTTTACTTGTTCACATTTAGATTTGTGGTCCAGTTTGAGTTAATTCTTATATAAGGTGCAAAACAGTGTTTTAGGTTCATTTTTATTTATATGAATGTCCAATTGTTCCAATGCCATTTATTGAAAAGAGTAAGTTCCTTTCTTTTTTAGTTCCTTTTCCACCTTTGTAAAAAAATCAGTTGTTCATAGTTGTGTGGGTCTATTCCTAGACTCTCTATTCTGTTCTATTGATATTTATCTACCCCTTCACAACATTACTGTTACAGTCTCGTCAATGCACCACAATGTAGCAGTCTCAGTTGTGAGGTATTACCTAGAGTTCTTTGTCTCATGACAAAGAGAATGAAGGAGCAGGGACACAAAGGATGAGGTTGGAGTGAAAGTTTCATAAGTGAAAGAAGAAAGCTCTCAGCTGCGATGAAGGGATCCAGAAGAGGGGTGCTGTTTTTACAGTTAAATGCAAAGACTTTTATAAGAAACTGATGAGGGCTGGGTGTCTTATTTGCATAAGGCACAAAGTTCTGGTAGTTCCATCCCATTCTTTTAATGCGCATGTGGGCCCTAAGCTTGAGTTACTCCATATTGCTTTATTCCGCTTACTGCACATGTTCAGGGGATGGAATTTTCCATTGCAGGTGTGTTTGGGCAAGTCACCTGTGCAGCCTTTCTTATCTGTGTGGCTATGGGCATGTCTTAGGCAAGCCCGACTGTGCAAGTTCCCTTATCTGTGCCTGCAGGCTGTTCTTTTGCTTGAAAGAATTCAACAGATGACCTACCCTAACTGCCTGTCTGACCCGTTTCTTCCTTTCTCCTCTCTCATTACATTGTGTTGATTACTGTAATTTTTTAGGAAGTTTTAAAATTGGGTACTATGATGCATCCAACTTTTTCTTTTCAAAATTGCTTTGGCTATTTTAGTTTCTTTGCTTTTCCATATAAATCTTTTTAGACTCAGATGTCTATATGTACAAAATATCTTGTTTTTCATTGGCATTATGTTAAATCTATTTGTATTGGTTCAATTTTGGGAGAACTGGCATCATAACTATAGTTAGTCTTTCAGTTCATAAACAGGCTATGTTTCCCCATTTATGTTTTCATTTTGATTTATTTCATGAGCATTTTTTTAGTTTTCATTGTAAATCTCTTACATATATTTTGTTACACTTACATCTAAATAATTCATTTTTTGGAGCTATTGTTTTTGAAAGTTCAGTTTTCAGTTGTTCCTTGCCAGTATGAAATATGATTGAATTTTGCATGCTATTAATTTTTTTTGAGACAAGTTCTTACTCTGTTATCCAGGCTGGAACGCAGTGGTATGATCATGGCTCACTGCAGCTTTGAACCCCTGAGTGCAAGTGATCCTCCCACTTAAGCCTCCTGCATAGCTGGAGCTACAGGTATGCACTACCATGCCTGGCTAACTTAAATTTTTTTCTTTTTTTTTAGAGAGAGGATCTCGCTATGTTATCTAGGCTGGTCTCAAACTTCTGGGCTCAAGTGATCCTCCTGCCTTGGCCTCCTAAAGTGCTGGGATTATAGGCTTGAGCCACTGCACCCTGCCTGTTACTGTACTTTTATGTTTTAAAACATTTACTTATTCATTTTTATATCTTTTATTTCTTTTCTGAGTGTTTCTGTCTTTCCATTTGTTATAACGGTTGCCTTTACTTCTTAGAGAATGGTTGTAATAGCTACTATTAAAATCTTTGTGTGATAATTTTAACCTTTATGTCATCTTAGAGTTGTTGTCTATTGATTGATTTCCTTGTGAGTTGAGATTTCCTTGGTCTTTCATAGGCCAAGTAACTTTGGTTTATATTCTGGATATTTTGTTATTATCTTATGAATCTTTATATCCTGTTTATATTTTAAGAAGAACGTAGTTATTGTTTTGTTTAACAAACAATTTACCTAGTTAGATTCAGGCGATAAGTTTCAATGCACATTTTATAGACTTTATTCCCAATGTCAGTTAACTTTTCACAGGTTTTGTTGTTCTATTAGGACCTGTCCTTCATATGCGCCACTGAGTGTTCTGAGAACTGGAGAGTAGCCTATCCTATACTTTTCACAGCCTTTGGCATGCTATTTAGGGCAAGAACCATACACTACATAATGGGATTGCTCTCATGAGCTCACTCCTATATCTGATATCTTCAACACTTTCCAGCTCTCTGACTGTCTTCCTTCCAATCTCCAGCCAAAAGGTAGGACTTTAGTTTCCCTGTGTTGCCATACATATCCTGTAATTAGGTCTACATAAAGTATCAAGCAGTGAAAATGCAGAGAGAGGAAAAAAGTATTGTAAATCAATCTGTACCCTTAAGACCACAGCTCCTATAGTCACAGAGAAGGGTCTCCTTCCTGAGAATTTAGATGCCTGCCCATTATACACTGCTTTTGCTTGTTGTTTTGGGGTCTTGCTCTGTCACCCAGGCTGGAGCACAGTGGTGTGATCATGGTTCACTGCATCCTTGACATCCTGGGCTCAAGTGATCCTCCCAACTCAACCTCCCAAGTAGCTGGGGGTACAGGTGTGTGCCACCAACCCAGCTAATTAATTTTTTTTTTTTTTTTTTAGAGATGAGAGTCTTACTATGTTGTCCAGGCTGGTCTCAAACTCCTGGACTCAAGTGATCCTCCTGCCTCGGCCTCCCACAGTGCTGAGATGAGAGGCATGAGCCACTGCCCCGGCCGCCTCCACTGCTTTCATCATCCCCATTACTGCTGACTTGCCTGGAGTGTGGATTGTGAGAGAATGTTAAGAAAACCAGATTTTCTTTATTCTTTCTGACCTTAAGAGTTCCCTTTTTTGCTTCTCTGACCAAAGAGAAGGCTTTTCTTGGTGCACTTTCTGTTTGCACCCAGTAAGTGCATCCTGATTTGAAGCTGCCTTTGAATCCAAGCTGGTAACACCAGATGGGAAAGAAAAACCAAAACAAATCAGGAAACCCACTGCTTGCTTGTTACTGCTTTGACTTTTGTTCTCCTCCCTTGAGTCACCTGCTACCATTTACTCTTCAGAGTCTTCAGAAAGCTATACTATGAAGTCTTTTCAGGGTGTAGTTGTGTTCAATGGAAAAGATTAAATGAAGTGTACTTGTTCCACCTTGCTTAGAACTGGAACCTCTTTTTGAAAAGATATAAAACATGTTGTATTTTTATACTAGTAAGTATTGAGAGGCAGTCATTTTTCTTTTCCTGTTTTTTCATTTTGATACACGGTACCCTACACACATGTCAATGTAGAAAGATCATATAACATGGGACGGAGAAAAATGTAGGCTGGGAAGTGTATTCTTTTTTTTTTTTTTTTTTTTTTTTTGGACAGAGTCTCGCTCCTTTACCCAGGCTGGAGTACAGTGGTGTGATCAAGGCTTATGAAAGCCTTGACCTCCTGGGCTCAAGTTATCTTCCTGTCTTAGCCTTGCAAGTAGTTAGGACTACAGGTACGTGCCACCATGCCTGGCTAATTTTTAATTAAAAAAAATTTTTTGTAGAGAAAGGATCTTGCCATGTTGTCCAGGCTGGTTTTGAACGCCTGGACTTAAGCGATCCTCTCACCTCAACCTCCCAAAGTGCTGCAATTACAAATGTGAGCCATCACTCATGGCTTCTAAATTTATTCTGTAGAAAAATGTGTGAAATATTTATGCAAGTGTTTTTTGGGCGTATATTTTTGCCTTTCTGCCCTGTTCTCATCACTTACTCATGTCACCCTGTTCAGGTCCCTTCCTCAGAAGCATGTTCTTTTCTGGAGACTCTTATTACTCACTAGCAATTGAAGCAACTGACAAAGGTATTAGTTGTCAGTAAGCCAGCAATATTTCTTGAACTTTGCTTTCCCAAACACCTAAAGTCAGAAGAGAGGGACTATTCCAAGAATTGGAGCCAGAGGAGGAGTAGAGATGGGCATTTCTTTGTATTTCCTCTTTTAAAAAACTGTGTGAACTCTTCATTTTATTCTATAATTTTTATATTAAGATAATCCTCTATAGATTATAACAAATAATATAACACTGTGGTGTGGGATGTCAATAATGGGGGAGGTTATACATGTATGAGGACAGGAGTATATGGAAACTCTACTGTCTGCTCAATTTTGCTAAACCTAAAACTGCTCTAAAAATAAAGCTTATTAATTTAAAAAATTCTCTTCTCAAAACTTCAAATAACTTTGACATTTCATGAGATGTGTCACATTAGCGTATTGCTTTGCTCTTCTTTCTGGTATAATGCTAGAGAATTCCATTTGAATAATTTGAAGGGAAAAGAAAGAGTTGATAGCCAGAAAGATCAAAAGAGTAAGTCATTAATGGTAGAATTTCATCTGCCTGAAGAAGCCTTATGCAGAGTGCCCATATCTCAGTGTATATCTACTTAGAGTAATAATTTTTCATAGACTGCTTTCTGGAAGGAGTATATAGATATCTGACATGGTTTGGGTGTAGTTACATTACGGTAGGCAAGATGCCACGTGTTTTTTTCAACAGTTGGTGAGAATTTTGGCTGCTTTAATTCCCATGTTTTTGCTTCACTGTTTTTTTCCTAATCCACCATTCTCTCTGCTACTACTATTTTTTCCATTCTGGTTCTGGTCTTACCATATTGCTCAGGACCAGGACCAGGCTACATGCATAAAAGCACACATTTGCTGTGTTCTAGGGCTGGGAGAGGATTGGTAGGGCAGGGGCACAGGACTCATGCCAAAGACAGATGATTTCTTGGAGAATGTTCAGGTAATTCTCTAGGTTTTTTTTTTTTTTGGCATGACTTTACACATTTCCTACACTACACCCATAGAATGAAGGCACAAGATATGGAAAATTCAGAACCATTGCTCTAGGGGACTGCAAACTTCTTTCATTGTTTATGTTTTAAGTTTAGAAGAGAGAAACTCCAAGTGATGCTATACACATTTTATAATCTGACATAAATTGTACTTCGGGATTCCCGCCACTGCTAGAAAATGACACCTACTTAGTTATTTAATTCCTGGCTGGCATTTTAGTCTTTTCTTTGGCTTCTTATCAAATTTCTAATTCCTTTTTAAAATATGATTTTCTCATAAACCTGTCACCTTAATAACACTTTTGATACAATTAATTTAACATTAATTTTGGGAAAAGAGTAGCTGATACATGAAACAATCAGAACTGAGAGCAGGTTTCCTTTAGAAATTGATTCTAAATGTACCAAAAGTCAATCTAAGAGAGAGAAACAATTCACAGCTGCAGATTTGGCTAGAACATTTATGTTTAGGGCATTTGGACCTCTGATTCTGGGTTCCAAACTAAATAATGGTGTTTTCTAAAATAGCTCCCAGTCCTTTTGCATGTGCTTTCAGCATACAATATGACAGAAAATAGAAGTGAAAAATAGAAGTGTAGTTTTCTGGAGAGGTAGGAATATTTACTCCCAGCTGATCAGGTAAAACACATTGTGACATGAAGAATGTGTTCTTTGCTGATTCTCAAGGTTTTATTTTATTTTTATTTTTAATATAAACTGTCAACAAATAGAAGCAAGAGGAAATTCACTTGAAAATATCAGAAGATAAAAGAAATATAGCAAATTATACTGCTGGTAAAAAATCCATTTTTAGGCACCAAACAAACAGGCATTGGCTGAGAAGCTTGCTGATGGCTTCTTTTGTTTCTCTTTGATTTAAATCCTTATGCCTGTAATCTAATTAACATCAAACTGAGTTGCAAGTATAGTGGCCTGTTTGGTTCAATAATAATACATTTATATGAAAGGTTAATGAAATGAATTTTTCCTCCATCCAATTCATTAAAAATTGTTCTACAATCAACGGTTGCTAATGGAATAGATATTAAATATTCATGTTCATAAATTTTCTGTGTCATTTCTGATTTTCCTTCATTTCTGCCTCCATACATTGAATTTTACAAGTATAAGATTCTTAAGACAAAAAGCTGATTTAGAGGTTAATTGCACACCATTAATTCTTTTATCAAGGAAGCAGTGTGGAAAGTGGAGAGAGAATATGACAGTAGACTTGTCTCACTTTGTAGCTCTGTGATTTGGGGCAAGTTTTGTAACCACCTCTTTTGTGCAATAGTCATCATAAGAACTTCTTGCAGGGTATTGTGAGGGTTAGTGATAAACTATGGAAAGCACCCAGCACAGTGTCTAGTACAGAGTAGCTATCCCACAAATGACAACTTAGAAAAAGTTTTGGAAAATAAAATACCTACATATATGCAGCAAAACTTAGGATAATTTATAGTGGCAGGAATGATATGACAATACTGGACTTTTTAATTCTAAAATAGGTATCACGTTTGGGCCTTGGAAAACCCTGTAATAATTATTTTTGAGACTGAGTCTCACTCTGTCACCCAGGCTGGAGTGGCAAGATCTTGGCTCACTGCCACCTCCACCTCCCGGGTTCAAGCGATTCTCCTGCCTCAGCTTCCTGAGTAGCTGGGACTACAGGTGCCCACCACCATGCCCGGCTAATTTTTGTATTTTTAGTAGAGACAGGGTTTCACCATATTGGCCAGGCTGGTCTCGAACTTGTGACCCTGTGATCTGCCTGCCTCAGCCTCCACAGGTGCTGGGATTACAGGCATGAGCCACCGTGCCTGGCCAATAATTCTAATAATCAGTGTATCAGTATAAGTCTCTGATAGGAAGGAGTGTTTCATGTGCCTTTAGACAGATTTTTGTATTTCTGTTTTCTGGCACCTGTTCTTTCTTTTCCATTCAAGCCAAAGGACATTATTTAACCTGCATTTAATGTCTTTTCCAAATAATGAACTTACTAGATAACTGCAGCCTGCCCAGTCAACTGCCAAAGTATAAACATAAAAAAAAATTTTTTGACTGAAAAGTTTCCCTGACACGTATTATCTATTATATAGGCTTTTGGAACAGAAGATAACAAATATAAATTAACTACTTCCTCAATGACTCAGGGAGATCATTATGATCATTAATGTTTATTTTGTGCCTAATTTTTGTCACTCCCTTACCTCCTTTACAAAAGGTGACTTATAATATGTGAGCTGGTGAAGAAGATGAGCCACCTCAAAAAATAGAGCGTAACAGTGAAAGAATCACTTCTGTTCAATATTAAAAGTGCCTCGTCCATCAGCCCTATTCTGGCACTGAAAATACTGAGCAGGAGCATTTCCTAGGCACATTAGTTATATTTTGCTAATATAACAAATGATCACAAAGTTAGTAGCTTAAAACAACACACATTTATTCTCTCACAGTTCTGGAGCTGTTCAAATGCCCAGAATGAGTCTTACAGGGCTCTAACATCAAGGCATCCATAGGGCTGTTTCCTTCTGGATCCTCCAGAGAAGAATCTGTTTCTTGCTTCTTCCAGCTTTAGAATCTAGCTGCATTCCTTGGCTCATGACCACTTCCTCCCATCACTTCAAACTTATGCTTCAGTCTTCAACATTTTCTACTGCCCTCTCTTATAAGGACCTATCTGATTACATTGGGCCCACACACATAGGCCCCCAACTTGAGATTCCGAATCACATTGACAAAGTCCTTTATCATGTAAGGTAACATTTCTTACAGGTTTCAGGGATTAGGGCATGGACATTTTTGGGGTGCCATTATTCAGCCTACCACGCTGGGCAATCTCAGGCTAGTCACTTAACTTTTGCAAGCCTAGAATAAATATTTAACTCTTCAATGCACAGACACTGATGAAGATCTACAAGCATCAAGACCATCCAGGAAAGTATGACCTCACCAAATTAACTAAACAAAGCACTAAGGGACCAAGCCTGGAGAGACAGGGATATGTGACCTTTCAGAAAGAGAATTCAAAATATTATAGCTGTTTCAAAGAACCTCAACGGAATTCAAGATAACACAAAAAACTATTCAGAATCCTATCAGATAAATTTAATAAAGGGATTGAAATAATTAAAAAGAAGCAGAAATTCTGGAGTTGAAAAATGCAATTGATATATGAAAGAAGGCATTACAGTCTACTAACAGCAGAATTGATCAAGTAGAGGAAGGAATTATTAAGCTTGAAGACAGGCTGTTAGAACATAGAGAGACAAAAGAACAAAGAATAGAAAACAATGAAGTGGGCTTACAGGATCTAGAAAACAGCCCCAAAAGGGAAAAATCTAAGAGTTATTAGCCTTAAAGAGGACGTAGAGGGTGAGATCAGGGTGGAAAATTTATTCAAAGAGAAAATAACAGAATTTTGCCAACCTAGAGAAAGATATCAATATTCAAGAACAAGAGGGTTATAGAACACCAAGCAGATTTAACCCAAATAGGACTACCTCAAGGCATTTAATAATCAAACTACTAAAAATCAAGAATAAGAAAGGATCCTAAAAGCAGCAGGAGAAAATAAATAACATACAATGGAGCTCCAATACAGCTGGCAGCAGACATTTGAGTGGAAACCTTACAGGCCAAGAGAAAGTGGCATGACATATTTAAAGAGCTGAAGGAAAAAATTTTTACACTATAATAGTATATCTGGTGAAAATATCCTTCAAACATGAAAGAGATATAATGACCTTCCCAGACAAACAAAACCTGAGGGATTTCATCAACACCAGGCCTATTCTAAAAGAAATGCTAAGGGAGTTCTTCAATCTGAAAGAAAAGGACATTGATGAGCAATAAAAAATCATTTGGGCTGAGTGGGGTGGCTCATGCCTGTAGTCCCAGCCATTTGGGAGGCCGAGGTAGGTGGATCACTTGAGCCCAGGAGTTCAAGACCAGCCTAGGCAACATGGCAAAACCCTGTCTCTGCAAAAAATTCTACCAAAGGTACATAGAGGAACTGGCACCATTCCTTCTGAAACTATTCCAAACAACAGAAAAAGAGGGACTCCTCCCTAACTCATTTTATGAGGCCAGCATCATCCTGATACCAAAACCTGGGAGAGACACAAAAAAAAAAAAGAAAATTTCAGGCCAATAATCCCTGATGATCATTGATGCAAAAATCCTCAATAAAATACTGGCAAACCAAATTCAGCAGCACATCAAAAAGCTTATCCACCATGATCAAGTGGTCTTCATCCCTGGGATGCAAGGCTGATTCAACATACACAAATCAATAAACGTAATCCACTACATAACAGAACAAATGACAAAAACCACATGATTATCTTCAGTAGATGCAGAAAAGGCCTTCGATAAAATTCAACACCCTTCATGTTAAAAACTGTCAATAAACTAGGTACTGATGGAACGTATCTAAAAATAATAAGAGCTATTTATGACAAACCTACAGCCAATATCATACTGAATGGGCAAAAACTGGAAGCATTCCCTTTGAAAACTGGCACAAGACAGGGATGCCCTCTCTCACCACTCCTATTCAACATAGTGTTGGAAGTTCTGGCCAGGGCAATTAGGCAGGAGAAGGAAATAAAGGGTATTGGTCTAAAATTCTCTTTTTTTGTTGTGTCTCTGCCAGGCTTTGGTATCGGGATGATGCTGACCTCATAAAATGAGTTAGGAAGGATTCCCTCTTTTTCTATCAATTGGAATCGTTTCACAAGGAATGGTACCAGCTCCTCCTTGTACTCTGGTTGAATTCGGCTGTGAATCCGTCTGGTCCTGGACTTTTTTTGGTTGGTAAGCTATTAATTATTGCCTCAATTTCAGAGCCTGTTATTGGTGTATTCAGGGATTCAACTTCTTCCTGGTTTAGTCTTGGGAGGGTGTATGTGTTCAGGAATTTATCCATTTCTTCTAAATTTTCTAGTTTATTTGCATAGTGGTGTTTATAGTATTCTCTGATGGAAGTGTGTATTTCTGTGGGATCAGTGGTGATAATCCCTTTATCATTTTTTATTGCATCTATTTGATTCTTCTCTCTTTTCTTCTTTATTAGTCTTGCCAGTGGTCTATAATATTTTATATTATGTGAACCTCATCACACTAAATGAAAATTTTTAAAAATTAACACTGAAACACAGTCCATAAAGGAAGTTTTACAAGCAGGGCTTCCTCAAAATTAAAAGCTTCTGCTCTGTGAAAGACATTTTTAAGAGAATGAAAAGTCAAGCTACTTTTCTAGAAGAAAATATTTGCAAAATACTAACCCAAAAGAGGATGTATATCCTTTATATACAAAGAATTGTGAAAACTTACTGGCTAGAAAACACAAAACCCAATTTTTAAAATGGGCAAATAGATTTGAACCCACTTCAACAGAGAGGATATTCAGATAGCAAATAAGCACATGAAAAGATGTTCAAAATCATTAGCCATTAAGAAAACACAAATTAAACTATAATAGAATACCACTATATACCTATTAGAATAGCAAACAAATAAAAAAGGAAAAATGACAATACCAAGTGCTAGTGAGGACAGAGAGAACCTGAAACTCTTATATATTGCTGGTAGAATACAAATTCTAGAAAATGGTTTGGCAGTTTCTTGTAAAGTGAAATTTAGACTTATCATATGACCCAGCAATCCCACTCCTAGGAACTTATCTTAGAAATAACAACCTATATTCACATAAAACCAGTATATGAATATTTATAGCAGCTCTATTCATAATTTCCCCAAACTAGAAACAATCCAAATGTCCTTCAATGGGTGAATGGATAGACATGCTGTGATACATCCATACAATGAAACACAAGTAAGCAACAAAAAGAAACAAAACTATTGATGCATGTAATATGGGTGAAACTCAAAGGGATTATGCTGAGTAAAAGAAGTCAGTCTACATACCATATAATTCCATTTATATGACATTTGAAAAAGGCAAAAGTATAGCAATTAGTTGTTGCCAGGGTTTTA
This sequence comes from Homo sapiens, assembly GCF_000001405.40. Lineage (NCBI taxonomy): Eukaryota > Metazoa > Chordata > Mammalia > Primates > Hominidae > Homo > Homo sapiens. The sequence goes on from NC_000022.11 coordinate 28,326,304, forward strand.
AAGGTAGAAAATTTAGAAGTGATAGAACTGTTCTGTATCTTAAGTCTAGTGGTAGTTAAATGAATGTATACATGTGTTAAAATTCATAGAACTACACACACAAACAAGTCAATCTGACTGGAAAGGTTTGAGTAAATAGTGGTAACGATTATATGACTTTATGAATGTAATTCATGCCACTAAATTGTACACATAAAATGGTTAAAATGGTGAATATTACATTATATGTATTTTTTCACAGCATTGGCATGTGAACTTGTTGTTTTCACTAAATGAGTCAGTTAAGATGGGAATGCTTGTTTTATAATTAAAGAGTGAGAACAAAAGACAGATACCTTTTACTTGGAGATATTATCAGAAGAAAGCATTGACAGTTTTATGACAGCAAGGTCAAGGCATCTGCTAAAAATGTTATAAACCGATTTCTTTGCAAAGTCTGCTTCAACTTTTTATTTTCCAAGTCTGATTTTTATTACTAGCATTTAGCCCATTTGCCAATTTCTCCAAACTGAGTCAAACTATAACTCAGATAAAATCAAGCAATAAGTATATAAAGATCAATCCAGGGTTGTGAGACCTGTGGAAGATTGTTTTAAATATATTATACTAAAGGCGTTTTTAAAAGTAAATTAGTACTTTGGACATCTCAATGAAAAGCATACACAAACACAAACACACACACACACACACACACACACACACACACACACACAGCAAGCCCTATTGTGAAATAAAAATAATACGTAAAAATGAAATGTGCTTTGTATTTAAAAAGTGCCAAAAAACACTGTGGAAGAAGAGTTACTCATATGCATATTACACCTTATGTAAATGTGTATTATTTAAAGTAAAGCCCCAAAATTAAATTATGTGACTAGACATAAATAATGAATAGAAATATGTGCAGTTGATCTTATTATTCACAGATTCTGTATCCGTACATTCACCTAATTATTAAAATGTATTTGTAACCCCAATTCTCATATTGTAAGGTATCCTTTTTGTTGATTTCACTGTTTAAAATGACCCCCAAGTATAGTACTAACGTGTTATCTAATGTTTCTAAGCTCAAGGAGGCTGTGATGTGCCTTACAGAGAAAATACTAGTTTGGTAAGCTTTATTCAGGCATGAGTGATACTGCTGTTAGCCATGAATTCAATGTTAATGAATCAACAATATATATTAATCAGATACCTTTAAACAGAAGCACATATAAAAGAAGGTTATGTATTGATCAGTTGACAAAAAGGTTGTGACCAGAGGCTCACAGGAACCTAACCCTCAAACAGTTCAGTATTTGCTAACTCAGTATTTGCAGCAACTTCAAATAAAATAACTACCGTAAATAATAAGAATTAATTGCATGTTTTGATTAGAGGAAAAGGAAACCATTTTCCCCTTGGCTTTGATTCCCAGTGAAGTGGCAAATGTGTAGGGGCCTACTGTTCACTGCCCTCTCCTAGAGCTCTAAAGCAGGAAGCAAAGAGTGGATACCTGCATCTATAAGTAGAGGTATAATATCTAACAGTAACCGTATCAGCTACTAGTCATTAAATGTCTCCAAATTTACCAACACTCTTCCAGGTGTTTTATATTCATTCACTCATTCTTTAAACAACTATGTGCCTGACAGCTCAGTGGCAGGCATTGTTCCAGTGAAAATTCAAGAGAGAAAAGATAAACATGGTCCCTTGTCTACCTTAAAGCTCAATATCTAGTGCAAGAGACAGGGAGTAAACACACAGTTAATACAATAAAATAAATTGTAAAAGTGCAATAAAGAAATAAAACATGTAATAAAGAATAATTAAGAAGGAGAAATACCTTATTTAAAAACATGCTCTGGGCTAGGTGAGGTAGCTCATGTCTACAATCCCAGCATTTGGTGAAGCCAAGGCGGGAGAATGGCTTGAGTCCAGGAGTTCAAGACCAGCTTGGGCAACATAGCAAGACCCCCCACCTCTACAAAAATATAATGATTTAAAAAAATAGCCGGTCATGGTAGTGTGCACCTGTAGTCCTATCTACTCTGGAGGATGAGGCAGGAGAATCGCTGAGCCCAGAAGTTTGAGATTACAGTAAGCTATAATCACACCACTCCACTTCAGCCTGAGTGACAGACAGAGACCCTGTTTCTTTAAAAAAATATATAAAAATAAATAAATAGGGCCAGGCGTGATGGCTCACGTCTGTAATCCTAGCACTCTGGGAGGCCGAGGCGGGTGGATCACCCTAGGTTAGGAGTTCAAGACCAGCCTGGCCAACCCGGTGAAACCACGTCTCTACTAAAAATACAAAAATTAGCCAGGCGTGGTAGCAGGCACCTGTAATCCCAGCTACTCGAGAGGCTGAGGCAGGAGAATCGCTTGAACCTGGGAGGCAGAGGTTGCAGAGAGCCAAGATCGTGCCACTGCACTCCAGCCTGAGCCACAGATCGAGACTCTGTCTCAAAAATAATAATAATAATAATAATAATAATAATAATAATAATAATAATAATATGTTCTGAAGAGGTATAAGCTGAGAACTAAGAATGATAAGCTAACCAAAGAAAAAGCACTACAGAAAGGAGTACAAAGGCCTGAGACTGGGAAAGGTATGATTAGGTTCATAGAATTCAAAGAAAGCCACTACATTAACAAAGAATGGCATGAGATGAGTCATTTAGTTCCCATTTTCAAAAAGAGAAACCTGATTTCAGAGAGGTAAAGAAACTTACCCAAGTTGCACAGATAGTGGGCAAGAATTCAATCTCAGGGTAGATTGGTTCAAAATTCTGTGTTCTTTTACCTATGTCATGCTGCATCCGACTTTCTTCTTGCTGTCCTATAACTTACCCCCAATAACTCTCCTGTAATTGTGTAAATATACATATATAATGTATGTATAGATATATGTATGTATGTGTGTGCATATATATATACATACAGAGTATTATACATGCATGCAGACACAAAGCTTAAAGAAAAATAAGCATAGAAACCCAATAAATAGGACTTGATGCCAACAAGTACAGTTGAAATACACTGTTTCTCTGTCAGTGTACATCCCAGGATCTTACGTACTTTAAATAGTCACATCATACTGCTGACACATGTTCAGTAATTACATTATCATCCTCATTACATCTCTATAACCACTTGATGCCAGGGCTTTCTCTCAATCACAAGCTAATATAGCTTTCCCCGATGAGACATGAAAAGGAAATGGCTTTTATTTTACAAAAATAAGGTAAAGAAAGGTTAAATTTTACAATGTCTTCCTCTTAGCACTTTACAGTTGTCCTAACAGGCAGTTTTGTTTTGCCCTTTACAGACACTTTAATGCTGAAATGTTCTGTGCCAGGGACTCAGGTTTCCCATTTTCTTTCTCTGTTTTTGTTTTTTTAGGTAGTTATTTATGTGACTGTCCTCCTAACCAAATGGACCAATCTGGGCATAAACCATTTTCTCATTTTCTCTGCTTATAGAAAGGAATGCTTTATTTCAGCAGTGCAGATAACATCTTGAGGTCTCAGGAGGATGACAAATTGAAACAGTTTCTTTCTTGCCTAACATTTCTTACCCAAGAGTCAAGTGACGATGGTGGAGAACAAATCTCTCTTCTCCTGACAATTTGCACTTATTTTCTTAATAGCTCTGCTAAAATTCAGTGAATTTCATTTTGCTTAGAGCCTACTTAGTCCCTGCCAACAGGCACAGGAAGCTTTCATTCATCAGCACAGTAGTCCTACTGGTGATGCATTCCTATGAAATTATGACAGCAATTCCAAAAACAAAACAGCAGGGATGGGGCAAATGAATTCTTTTTCAAAAAGAGCCATCAGAATAGCATAGCAGTTCCTATATAACTAGAAACTTAATAAATAATTTTGATTGAGAATCGTTTAGAAATTTTATTCAGGTATAATATCAATGTAGCTAAAAATGACCTATTCCCTAGTATTACCTATATTTCACAAAATCATTTGAAAACAAGCACAACCACGAAATACAACTGCATAACTCTTTTCATAAATTCAGGTCTTGGTAATGCTGCACAAAGACAGCACCATTCACAGACAACTGGGGCCTCGATTGGCTGAACAGCTCCAGATTTATGGTCGTCTTTGACTTGTTAGGGTCCCTTGCACCACATGATTATGGTGTGCTATTTGACAGATACCTTTTTTGCATCAATGATGTGACTCCATACCTTTTCCAAAGACTGCAAATTGCTAACATTGTTCCCTTTGTCATTTAAGCTCTCTTTCTATAAAACGTAAATTAAAACTTACTATTTTCTAGTATTATTTGTTGACAAGTTTTAAATGGCAGTATCAAAACGATTTCCTATTTTTAATGAAAGGGATCTTTGGCATCTTATCTGTAACAATTTCACCTTACATCAAGACTGTATTTTCTACCCATTATGTACAAAGGTTTTCAGTGCAAAGAGGGTATATAAGAAAAGATAATTAATAGCAGTCAAAAAGCATATAATCAACTTGGGGAAATATATAAATGCTGCACATTAAACAATTAAAGAGTTGTTTCAAAGCAACATAAGAACAAGTGCATGTAAAAATTTAATGTGGGTCTTCCCCAGCTTACAAAGGAATTGTATTCCAAAATTGTATTTTTAGGTCAGTTATCTGGAATGCTTTAAGCATTTTTTCCGTTTAAAAATTATGCTGTAAAGATTGGTTATATTCACCAGCCAATTCTAATGGCCTAGTTCATGCAAAATGTCACTGAATTATAGGACTAGCAATATTACAGAAAGGAGAAGAAATGGAACTGAAATTCATTGGTAAACTACAACCACCTTCACACGAGTAATCTTATTTAGTCTTAATAATTCTGCAAGGTAAATTATTATGTCTTCCTTTAAAGGTAAGGCTCCTGAAGCTGATAAAGGTTAAGGACTTGCCTAAGCTAAGAGCTTGTAAGTGTCAGAACAGAGATTCAAACCCAGAACTGTCTGCCTCTGAAGCCAGGACTCCACTCCTAGAATATGCAGTTTCCTTTTAAAAAAGTATATATAAGGAAAACCTTTTTCCATATTCCAAATGAAAATGTTAGGAATATGCTCCACAGCCCCAAAGATTCTGGAGTACAGAAACAATGCCTTTTCATCTTTCTGTTTCCAGCACAGGTTTGACACAGAATAGATAGCCAATGATTACTGAATAAATAAAAAAATTAACAGGAAATGAGTTCCTCCAAAGTCAGGGTCATCTTTTATCCATATGTATATACATATAGCCTAATACAGATACATAATCTATCCATCAATAAATATTTAATAACTAAAGAATTTCATCTTACTTGTACACCTCCTCTCATTCTGCTTTTTATAAATAAGCACTCCTGACCACTTCCAAATGTATTCATTAAACTCAGTGTCTTTCAAACTCTCAGTTCCTTCCTCCCTTCTTGCCTTCAATGCTGAAATCCAGAGAGAATAAATCCATATTTACATCTTTTATGTGGCTAAGCATGCTCCCCAGCTAGGACAGAAATGAATTTAACCTAGGAAGCTTTACCCATAATACTCTTGGATCTCTGAGCTTGAAAAAGATGCACTACCCCTTGGGGAGAAATTATCCAAACTAATATCAATAAAGTGGATTTATCCTGTCCAGAGGAAATGCAAATGAAACTTGGTTGCATCAACTTTCTGAAACTACACTTCTAAAGCAAATTAAGAAACCCATTTCAAGCTGTTTGAAAGGAATGTTGGCTGACACTTGCATATGAGTCTTCTACAGAGAAGTAGCTCTGATTCTGCAGCTTATCATTTCAAATGGTTTTAGAGATGAATATTCAGATTTCACGTCAATTTTTAATGTAATAGAATCCCAAATGCTTAAAAACTAGGTTCCACTTCATAATCTGTCATCCTCTCTACCTTCTTTCAGGATACATTAATTTTTTAATAAGCTCTTTTAACTTAGCTCCGAAGATGCATTTTTTAACCACTACAAGTAAAAAACAATGCATAAGGTCCCTAATTAATATCTTATGTAAAGAATCCTTGTTAATTATAAAATTGTGACCATAATGAAATGAAAATATAGACTTAATAGAAATACAAGTTCTGAATTTCTCACATTAAAAGCCCTTGAAAAAAAAGTCAAATCATTCTCTTAAGCTCACAGATGACTATATTTAATGTCCTACAGCAACCATGTTGATTATTTTCAAAATTATTATGAATATTATTAATGGCAAATGTTAAACTACCAAATATTCTGCAATACTGGTAAGTACTCTCTGAAGTCATGGCTCAGCAATTTCAGTGTACACACATGGTGAAACAAGAGAACCAAGAACAACAAAATCTTCATTCACTTCAGTACAATAGGCTCAGAGCAATGAAACAGAAATACTCATTTGTAAAACATACTTTATATCCACATTTAAATGCCTAATTAATCCTAACAATTAAATGCAACCACTAAACGTTTCCTTTGCAAGATATCTTTTTTATTTCCATAAACTTGAAATCTAATGGAAATCATTGTGTCATTATGGCTAAGGCAATAAATGCCTATTGGTCAATAAGCTCTGAACCTTAACAGGCAGTTAACTAATTCAGCTGGAAATAAGACCAATAGTTCTAATGGCTCCTAATTTCACTGGAAGAGTATACCTTTATGAACTATAGATGGTTTTCATGAGCTCTTCCTACAGCAGAGAACAGCAATGTAAATGTAAAAAACATGCATTTGAAATTCAAGTGCTTACACTGATTTCATTTGCCAGGGAGACCACAGATCAAAAGAGGTACTTCAAATATTTAAGTTAAATAGGCAAGACCAATGCAAACAAAACTAAAACAATTTTAAATTACAAGAACCGATTTAGTCTATTTCAAAATCATTCAGATTTTCTTTTGCTTATTTCAAACAATCTGAACCAATTTTTTAAAAAACTGGACAAATGTTAACAACTGTAAATACACCTTGTAATAAAAACAAAAAGGGAGGTTAAGAAACCTGATCTCTTCCTGCTGTATCACTCCTCTTCCCCTGAGAATGAGGGCCTCTTAATTTCAACATAAATAGATATAAATAACTTAGTATACAGATATCAGTACACTTGAAATCATAATAGTCTGGAGACATCAGTATCCACTCAAAACCTGATCCATTCAGCTATATATCTCACATTGCAACAGCAGAGAAAGCATTTCAAGCAATCAGGTAAGAACGTCCCTTTGCTCTATGATGCCAGGGAGTAACTTCCATATGAAAATGAACTAGGTTATATTTACTGTTCTGCCAATCTTCAATTCTGAACTGATCATTTTGTGTTTCTAACCACACTTCTATAGCAGCTACACCTATTTCCAGAAATGTCTTAAATTACACATTTCAGCTCCTCCTTCCAAATGACATTTAATTTAAAAACCATTTTGCATACCAAATTTTAAAACCCTATATTTATTAATCACTTACTTTGTTAATTATGGTGAAAAAAGTTAAATCAAAGTATTGTGGCATAATTTTGTACCGAACTTGTGAAACACCTAAGGAAAAAAAATCACTGTATTTTCTTTATTTTTTATTTTTTATTATACTTTAACTTTTAGGGTACATGTCCATAACGTGCAGGTTTGTTACATATGTATACATGTGCCATGCTGGTGTGCTGTACCCATTAACTCTTCATTTAATATTAGGCATATCTCCTAATGCTATCCCTCCACCCTCCCCCCACCCCACAACAGACCCCAGTGTGTGATGTTCCCCTTTCTGTGTCCATGTGTTCTCATTGTTCAATTCCCACCTATGAGTGACAACATAAGGTGTTTGGTTTTTTCTCCTTGCGATAGTTTGCTGAGAATGATGGTTTCCAGCTTCATCCATGTCCCTACAAAGGACATGAACTCATCCCTTTTTATGGCTGCATAGTATTCCATGGTGTATATGTGCCACATTTTCTTAATCCAGTCTATCATTGATGGACATTTGGGTTGGTTCCAAGTCTTTGCTATTGTGAATAGTGCCACAATAAACATATGTGTGCATGTGTCTTTATAGCAGCATGTTTTATAATCCTTTGGGTATATACCCAGTAATGGGATGGCTGGGTCAAACGGTATTTCTAGTTCTAGATCCCTGAGGAATCGCCACACTGATTTCCACAATGGTTGAACTAGTTTACAATCCCACCAACGGTGTAAAAGTGTTCCTATTTCTCCACATCCTCTCCAGCACCTGTTGTTTCCTGACTTTTTAATGATACCCATTCTAACTGGTGTGAGATGGTATCTCATTGTGGTTTTGATTTGCATTTCTCTGATGGCCAGTGATGGTGAGCATTTTTTCATGTGTCTTTTGGCTGCATAAATGTCTTCTTTGGAGAAGTGTCTGTTCATATCCTTCACCCACTTGTTAATGGGGTTATTTTTTTCTTGTAAATTTGTTTGAGGTCACTGTAGATTCTGGATATTACCCCTTTGTCAGATGAGCAGATTGCAAACATTTTCTCCCATTCTGTAGGTTGCCTGTTCACGCTGATGGTAGGTTCCTTTGCTATTCTTGTGCAGAAGCTCTTTAGTTTAATTAGATCCCATTTGTCAATTTTGGCTTTTGTTGCCATTGCTTTTGGTGTTTTAGACATGAAGTCCTTGGCCATGCCTATGTCCTGAATGGTATTGCCTAGGTTTTCTTCTAGGGTTTTTATGGTTTTAGGTCTAATATTTAAGTCTTTAACCCATCTTGAGTTGATTTTTGTACAAGGTGTAAGGAAGGGATCCAGTTTCAGCTTTCTACATATGGCTAGCCAGTCTTCCCAGCACCATTTATTAAATAGGGAATCCTTTCCCCATTGCTTGTTTTTGTCAGGTTTGCCAAAGATGAGAGAGTCATAGATATGTGGCATTATTTCTGAGGGCTCTTTTCTGTTCCATTGGTCTATATCTCTGTTTTGGTACCAGTACCATGCTGTTTTGGTTACTGTAGCCTTGTAGTATAGTTGGAAGTCAGGTACCGTGATGCCTCCAGCTTTGTTCTTTTGGCTTAGGATTGACTTGGCAATGCGGGCTCTTTTTTGGTTCCATATGAACTTTAAAGTAGTTTTTTCCAATTCTGTGAAGAAAGTCTGTGGTAGCTTGATGGGGATGGCATTGAATCTATAAATTACCTTGGGCTGTATTGCCATTTCCACAATATTGATTCTTCCTACTCATGAGCATAGAATGTTCTTCCATTTGTTTGTTGGGCAGTGGTTTGTACTTCTCCTTGAAGAGGTCTTTCATGTCCCTTGTAAGTTGGATTCCTAGGTATTTTATTCTCTTTGAAGCAATTGTGAATGGGAGTTCACTCATGATTTGGCTCTCTGTTTGTCTGTTATTGGTGTATAAGAATGCTTGTGATTTTTGCACATTGATTTTGTATCCTGAGACTTTGCTGAAGTTCCTTATCAGCTTAAGAAGATTTTGGGCTGAGATGATGGGGTTTTCTAGATATACAATCATGTCATCTGCAAACAGGGACAATTTGACTTCCTCTTTTCCTAACTGAATAACATTTATTTTCTTCTCCTGCCTGATTGCCCTGGCCAGAACTTCCAATACTATGTTGAATAGGAGTGGTGAGAGAGGGCATCCCTGTCTTGTGCCAGTTTTCAAAGGGAATGCTTCCAGTTTTTGGCCATTCAGTATGATATTGGCTGTGGGTTTGTCATAGATAGCTCTTATTATTTTGAGATACGTGCCATCAATACCTAATTTATTGAGAGTTTTTAGCACGAAGGGCTGTTGAATTTTGTCAAAGGCCTTTTCTGCATCTATTGAGATGATCATGTGGTTTTTGTCATTGCTTCTGTTTATATGCTGGATTACGTTTATTGATTTGTGTATGCTGAACCAGCCTTGCATCCCAGGGATGAAGCCTGCTTGATCGTGGTGTATAAGCTTGTTGATGTGCTGCTGGATTCGGTTTGCCAGTATTTTATTGAGGATTTTTGCATCAATGTTCATCAGGGATATTGGTCTAAAATTCTCTTTTTTTGTTGTCTCCACCAGGCGTTGGTTATCAGGATAATGCTGGCCTCATAAAATGAGTTAGGGAGGATTCCCTCTTTTTCTATTGATTGGAATAGTTTCAGAAGGAATGGTACCAGTTCCTCCTTGTACCTCTGGTAGAATTCAGCAGTGAATCCATCTGGTCCTGGACTTTTTTTGGTTGGTAAGCTATTAATTATTGCCTCAATTTGAGAGCCTGTTATTGGTCTATTCAGAGATTCAACTTCTTCCTGGTTTAGTCTTGGGAGGGTGTATGTATCGAGGAATTTATCCATTTCTTCTAGATTTTCTAGTTTATTTGCGTAGAGGTGGTTTATAGTATCATCTGATGGTACTTTGTATTTCTGTGGTATCGGTGGTGATATCCGCTTTATCATTTTTTATTGCATCTATTTGATTCTTCTCTCTTTTCTTCTTTATTCGTCTTGCTAGCAGTCTATCAATTTTGTTGATCTTTTCAAAAAACCAGCTCCTGGATTCACTGATTTTTTGAGGGGCTTTTTGTGTCTCTATGACCTTCAGTTCTGCTCTGATTTTAGTTATTTCTTGCCTTCTGCTAGCTTTTGAATGTGTTTGCTCTTGCTTCTCAAGTTCTTTTAATTGTGATGTTAGGCTGTCAATTTTAGATCTTTCCTGCTTTCTCTTGTGGGCATTTAGTGCTATAAATTTCCCTCTACACACTGCTTTGAATGTGTTCCAGAGATTCTGGTATGTTGTGTCTTTGTTCTCATTGGTTTCAAAGAACATCTTTATTTCTGCCTTCATTTCGTTATGTACCCAGTAGTCATTCAGGAGCAGGTTGTTCAGTTTCCATGTAGTTGCGCGGTTTTCAGTGAGTTTCTTAATCCTGAGATCTAGTTTGATTGCACTGTGGTCTGAGAGATAGTTTGTTATAATTTCTGTTCTTTTACATTTGCTGAGGAGTGCTTTACTGCCAACTATGTGGTCAATTTTGGAATAGGTGTGGTGTGGTGCTGAAAAGAATGTATATTCTGTTGATTTGGGGTGGAGAGTTCTGTAGATGTCTATTAGGTCCGCTTGGTGTAGAGCTGAGTTCAAGTCCTGGATATCCTTGTTAACTTTCTGTCTCGTTGATCTGTCTAATGTTGACAGTGGGGTGTTAAAATCTCCCATTATTATTGTGTGGGGGTCTAAGTCTCTTTGTAGGTCTCTAAGGACTTGCTTTATGAATCTGGGAGCTTCTGTATTGGGTGCATATGTATTTAGGATAGTTAGCTCTTCTTGTTGAATTGATCCCTTTACCATTATGTAATGGCGTTCTTTGTCTCTTTTGATCTTTGTTGGTTTAAAGTCTGTTTTATCCGAGAGTAGGATTGCAACACCTGCCTTTTTTTGTTTTCCATTTGCTTGGTAGATGTTCCTCCATCCCTTTATTTTGAGCCTATGTGTGTCTCTGCACGTGAGATGGGTTTCCTGAATACAGCACACTGATGGGTCTTGACTCTTTATCCAATTTGCCAGTCTGTGTCTTTTAATTGGAGCATTTAGCCCATTTACATTTAAGGTTAATATTGTTATGTGTGAATTTGATCCTGTCTTTATGATGTTAGCTGGTTATTTTGCTCGTTGGTTGATGCAGTTTCTTTCTAGCCTCGATGGTCTTTACAATTTGGCATGTTTTTGCAGTGGCTGGTACCGGTTGTTCCTTTCCATGTTTAGTGCTTCCTTCAGGAGCTCTTTTAGGGCAGGCCTGGTGGTGACAAAATCTCTCAGCATTTGCTTGTCTGTAAAGGATTTTATTTCTCCTTCACTTATGAAGCTTAGTTTGGCTGGATATGAAATTCTGGGTTGAAAATTCTTTTCTTTAAGAATGTTGAAAACTGGCCCCCACTCTCTTCTGGCTTGTAGAGTTTCTGTCGAGAGATCAGCTGTTAGTCTGATGGGCTTCCTTTGTGGGTAACCCGACCTTTCTCTCTGGCTGCCCTTAACATTTTTTCCTTCATTTCAACTTTGGTGAATCTGACAATTATGTGTCTTGGCATTGCTCTTCTCGAGGAGTATCTTTGTGGCGTTCTCTGTATTTCCTGAATTTGAATATTGGCCTGCCTTGCTAGATTGGGGAAATTCTCCTGGATAATATCCTGAGAGTGTTTTCCAACTTGGTTCCATTCTCCCCATGACTTTCAGGTACACCAATCAGACGTAGATTTGGTCTTTTCACATAGTCCCATATTTCTTGGAGGCTTTGTTTGTTTCTTTTTATTCTTTTTCCTCTAAACTTCTCTTCTCGCTTCATTTCATTCATTTGATCTTCCATCCCTGATACCCTTTCTTCCAGTTGATCAAATCAGCTACTGAGGCTTCTGCATTCATCATGTAGTTCTCGTGCCGTGGTTTTCAGCTCCATCAGGTCCTTTAAGGACTTCTCTGCATTGGTTATTCTAGTTAGCCATTTGTCTAATTTTTTTTCAAGGTTTTTAACTTCTTTGCCATGGGTTCGAACTTCCTCCTTTAGCTCAGAGTAGTTTGATCATCTGAAGTCTTCTTCTCTCAACTCGTCATTGATCATCGTAAGCCTTCTTCTCTCAACTTGTCAAAGTCGTTCTCCATTCAGCTTTGTTCCGTTCCTGGTAAGGAGCTGTGTTCCTTTGGAGGAGGAGAGGCGCTCTGATTTTTAGAGTGTCTGGTTTTTCTGCTCTGTTTTTTCCCCATCTTTGTGGTTTTATCTACCTTTGGTCTTTGATGATGCTGATGTACAGATGGGGTTTTGGTGTGGATGTCCTTTCTGTTTGTTAGTTTTCCTTCTAACAGTCAGGACTCTCAGCTGCAGGTCTGTTGGAGTTTGCTGGAGGTCCACTCCAGGCCCTGTTTGCCTGGGTATCAGCAGTGGAGGTTGCAGAACAGCGGATGCTGCAGAACAGCGGATATTGGTGAACAGCAAATGTTGCTCCCTGATCGTTCCTCAGGAAGTTTTGTCTCAGAGGAGTACCTGGCTGTGTGAGGTGTCAGTCTGCCTCTACTGGGGGGTGCCTCCCAGTTAGGCTACTCGGCGGTCAGGGACCCACTTCAGGAGGCAGTCTGTCCATTCTCAGATCTCCAGCTGCATGCTGGGAGAACCACTACTCTCTTCAAAGCTGTCAGACAGGGACATTTAAGTCTGCAGAGGATTCTGCTCCCTTTTGTTTGGCTATGCCCTGCCCCCAGAGGTGGAGTCTACAGAGGCAGGCAGGCCTCCTTGAGCTACAGTGGGCTCCACTCAGTTCAAGCTTCCCGGCCGCTTTGTTTACCTACTCAAGCCTTGGCAATGGCGGGCGCCCCTCCCCTAGCCTCGCTGCCGCCTTGCAGTTTGATCTCAGACTGCTGTGCTAGCAATGAGTGAGGCTCCATGGGCGCAGGACCCTCCGAGCCAGGCATGGAATATAATCTCCTGGTGTGGTGTTTGCTAAGACCGTTGGAAAAGCGTAGTATTACGGTGGGAGTGACCCGATTTTCCAGGTGCCATCTGTCACCCCTTTCTTTGACTAGGAAAGGGAATTCCCTGACCCCTTGTGCTTCCTGCGTGAGGCGACGCCTCACCCTTCTTTGGCTCACACTCAGTGGGCTGCACCCACTGTCCTGCACCCACTGTCCAACACTCCCCAGTGAGATGAACCCGGTACCTCAGTTGGAAATGCAGAAATCACCCGTCTTCTGCGTCGCCTACGCTGGGAGCTGTAGACTGGAGCTGTTCCTATTCGGCCATGTTGGCTCCCTAAATCACTGTATTTTCTAACCTCTAGTTCAATCATAATCACACTTCCTGCAAAACATTTAGACTGTTCTCCCTGATCACACTAGACAGGGAATAAGGAACAAACCTTGGGCTGGTCCTACCCTTATTATGGACGAGTTACATGAACCTCAATTACTTTCCTTCTCTGGGGCTTCGTTCCATCATTTCTAAAGTGAGGGGTTGGAGTAAGTGACCTCTTAAGGTGCTTTACAACTGTAACATTCTAAAATCACATTTCTATGAAATGTGATCTTCTTTGCCTTTAATTATTTATAGAGTGGGTAACTGCTAAGGCATACCAAACGTCTCCTTCATGCCTCCAAATTCACTATAATTTGAGACCTTGTGATTACCACACTTGGTTTCATTTCAATGTCAACTTCTTTCCTTTTCAAACATTTTTTTCCTTAAAAAAAAAAAAAAGAAAAGAAGAAGAACACCTAATATAAAAATCTTGGATAAGTAATCTGTCACCACCATCCTCCCAAAGCAGGGCAACCTTCTCCTTTTAACAAAAACACATGTGATTGGCAACAAGGGTATAAGCCAGGCTATTTCTTTCCATGTGTTAATGAACTTATTGCCAAATGGAAGTCTTTCCTTAATTCCAGACCAGCAAACACCATTTTCTGATGAAGTAAAATGACAAAGTACTAATTACCAAGAACCTAATCTGAGTCACAATCCTCTTTAATTGGAAGTTACTGCAGTAATTATTCACAAGTCACATTATCATTAGACCAAAGAAAAAGTCAAAATTGATTTATACATACAGGAACCCCTAATAAACAGGGTCTACAATGAAGGTCCTTTATAAAATGACCAAAGCAGAGAAAATAACATTTTACATTTTAATATATGCTCCACATTGGTTGTTGCTCAGATGCCTTTTTCCAGCATTAAAGATACCCTGAAATACCAAATTAAACTAGATGACTAGGAAGAAAAATTATTTTAATTTAAAGTCTCCAAAGGGTACAACATGTAGCATCTTTTGAGAAGCCTAAAACAATGCCAAAGATGACTAATGCCCTAAGGATCCTAAGATGCATCTATCTCTAAGGTCAAAAGAATACTGCCTTTGTTCCAAGTTCACTTGGTAATTCAGATGAATTGAAGATAAATGTAAACAGGAATTGTGGGCAATTGGAGACAAATATATCAAAACAATAGAGGAAGAAAAAACTGCTCCATTAATTGCAAGGCCATAATAACATGGGTAAATGTCTTGTTTCTTTTGGAATTTATTCAACTTCCTGATTCTTTTCTTACAAGCTTTTGCAATTTTGAATGAGCTCAGCTTATATTATACAGACATTTTTGGCTGGGGGTAATGCCTGTAATCCCAACACTTTGGAAGGTGGATGTGGGAGAATCACTTGAGGTCAGGAATTTGAGACCAGCCTGGGCAACACAGTGAGATCTCATCTTAACAAAAAATAAAAATAAAAATTAGGCCAAGTACAGTGGCTCATGCCTCTATTCCCAACACTTTAGGAGGCCGAGGCAGGTGGATCACTTGAGGTCAGGAGTTCAAGACCAGCCTGGTCAACATGGTGAAACCCTGTCTCTACTAAAAATACAAAAATTAGCGGGGCGTGGTGGCATGCCTGTAACCCCAGCTACTCGGGAGGTTGAGGCAGGAGAATTGCTTGAACCCGGGAGGCAGAGGTTGCTATGAACCGAGATTGTGCCACTGCACTCCAGCCTGGGTGACAGAGTGAATGTGACTCCATCTCAAAAAATAAAATAAAATAAAAAAATAAAAATAAAAATTAGCCAAACATGGAGGTGTACGCCTGTAGATGCAGCTACTTGAAAGGCTGAGGTGGGAAGATGGCTCGGGCCCAGGAGTTCAAGGTTACAGTGAGCTATGATCATGCCACTGAACTCCAGCCTGGGTAACAGAGCAAGATCCTGTCGCTTAAAAAAACAGAAAAAAATTTAAAAAACAAAGATATTTTAATGTTAGTAAATTTTGCTATTTATTTGTACTCTGAACATGTTTAAAACTCTGTAATAAAAAGTGATCTATCTTTGGGTTTCTAAGAGCTAAAATTGTTTTTTGTGTTAAATTTCCTAATTGATACATGTGGTCTGGGTTAGGAAACTATGTTCTAAGTGCATCATTAACATGTTTCTGTAATGTTAAACAAAAAGCTAATATTACTTTAAATTATTTTACAGTTAAGCTTGAGATTCAGACTCAAATACTTTATGCTGATATATTTGTTGCTTTCATTAATCAAAAACATATCTATCAACTGAAAGAGAGTAAGCTGGATTTCCACTGCATTTAAGATTTATATTATTCTGATTAAAGAATATATGTTCATTCTAGAAAATTTAGGAAAATATAAAAACACAACCATTGCCCAGAGACCATCACTTTCATTTTTGCTTATATGTTGCCAATATTTTCTATTCTGACATATGCTATTTCACAAAACTTGAAATTCATCTAAACTTTTATTTTCGGCTTAAATTGCTTTAAAACAGTTATTTTGTTACATAATTCTCATAGATAAAAATGGACAAAGCAGGATAAAATATATATGTATGATACACAAAAAACGGTGGTATATGAAATGCACATACATACGCATATATGAAAAATCATGTGTTAAGAGCTCATCTTTCATACAGATCCAATCAAATTTACATTTTAGAACTGAAATATCATAATTCTACCAAATAAGCATATCTACACAGTATGTCTAACTCATAAGCTCTTGATCACATTATAGCCACACAATGCAGACTAACCAGACAAGAGAAGCTATAATAAAGTATAAAACATTTTCCAAATAAGTCTGAGAAATTAACATAGGCATGCACAGACCTAGACTAAAATTTTTATTAGGTCCACGAGAGGAAATTACAAACCTTTCAATTCACATCAGTCTTTGCTACTAGAGAACCAACTACTCTCACAAAATAAAGTGAAAATAAATATTTTCACTATGAAAACATCTAGTTGGTGGCAGAAGACAACATACACACATAATGAAAAAGTATAACACCTTATGAACAATGCATACAAAATGTATTGATTTACCTAATATTAAGAAGTATCTCCAAAATGTATAATCCATGAAATTGTTTAAAAATAGAATAAAATAAAACACAACGGAGATTAGACAGAAAAAAATAGACGAGAAAATCAGATGTAACTTTAAAAGCTTCTGATACAGGCCAGGCACAGTGGCTCATGCCTGTAATCCCAGCACTTTGGGAGGCCAAGGCAGGTGGATCATTTGAGGTCAGGAGTTTGGGACCAGCTTGGCCAACATGGTGAGACCCCATCTCTAGTAAAAATACAAAAATTAGCCAGGTGTGGTGGCAGGTGCCTGTAATCCCAGCCACTTGGGAGGCTGAGACAGGAGAATCACTTGAACCCGGGAGGTGGAGGTTACACTGAGCCAAGATCATGCCACTGCACTCCAGCCTGGGACACAGAGTGAGACTCTGTCTCAAAAAAAAAAAAAAGCTTCTGATACAAAGGGATAACAATGTCCTCTGCCTAATTCAAAAATTTCAACAGATTACTTTTATGGAGCACAAGTAAGTCCTTTAAGTGAGATTTGTAGAATGTGACACTGGAGATGAATATACTTTAATTTGTAACATGTGAAAACATCTATAAACATCTACTGGAGCCTGTTCTGTCTGCACCAACATTTTCATTGAGTACGTTCTGCCTACCAGATACAGCTGCTCTACAGCTTTCAAGGGCTGGTATAAAACTAGCTTTTACCTATTTTTTAAAATTACATGAATAGTAAAAACTTGGATTAACCCAGTATTCTGGTATTTTCAATTTCCTTGGAAGCTTAGAGGAAGGACAAAGAAAAGGATTCTTTATTTCAACATCAAATATACGCTATTGTTTACATATTAATATAACCACATATATGTATAAATTCAGTTACTTTTTAGCAATACTATAAAATCCAACAGAAAAAAATAGCATTTACTATTTCTAAAAAGTCTCATTCTTACAGTTATTTGATATCTGGCCTATGCCTGTGAAACAATGTATTAACCACACATATACCAATCCTATAATCACTAGTCTAGCAATCTAGTATGGTGTCTAGAAACACAACTCAGAAATTAAGCTATATTCAAAACAAGTACCTTCAAGTTGTGTCTTGAAGCAGTGCTACTCACCGAAGAAGAATGAAACATATATTCTCTGAAGCAACATTACCATAAAAATCCCAGCAAATTCAACAAGACTTCTGTTAAAATATTCTCAACTCAATAAGCTTTCTTCAGCTTTCTTTCCTGATGCAAAGGATCTGATATTAAGATCTTTTTGAAATATGCTTAAGAACTAAGACATGACAAATACCTTATTGTTAGTATTGAACCATGACACTGACACCACTAGCCAAATCCAAGAATATGAAAGCATTAAGGAAACTGTAGGAATGGATCTCTAACATGCTGAAAGATCTAGAAAGTTTAAAAGAAATATAATTGAAAATACATATTCTTTTGATTGTTATTAAATAATTATAACTGACAGGCACTCCATTTATGCCCCAACCCAAAAATTATTTTATATTCATCCTAATTCTATAATCTTCATGCAATAAGATAGAGTCCACTGTTAGGATAGTAAAGTTTCCTGAAGGTATCAGAAAACAAGTCTCCCTAACCTTAATTAGGAAAAAGAAGGAAGAGTTTTTCTCTCCTTTCATCTCCAAAGGAGCTCCTAAGGCTCTGTCCCCATGTGAAACCGGAGGTTAAATCATTCTTTGATTAATAAGGAGTGAAAGAGGAAGGAGAAGAAAGGAGAGGACTAATATGAGCAGATCTTTACATATCAGACATTTTACATAAATTAATGTTCTCAGCCACCCCAAAACATAAGAATTACAATTCATTATTTTCAGTGAAGGAGATGAGATTCAGACGGTAAGCAGCTTGCCTCACGTCACATCACACACATTTCTTAAGCAACTGAGTTAGGATTCAAACTCAGATCTGACTTCAAAGCCCCCACTCTTTACACTGTAGTATGCCGCCTCCCTGACTGAAGTTTTATTCAGCGTGGTTTAGTCATAATACCATTCTGTATCAAAATAAATAACTTTAACCAGCTGGTCTTAATATCATAGAAACTGAAATTAAAAAGAAAATCCCACAACAGCCGCAAATATTTGGAACCACAAAGGAATATGTCATACTACAGCCAATAAAGTTCTAGTTAATAGAACATCCAAAGCTAGACCCCCAAAATAAAAACTCACAGGAAGGAGAAAAAAATAACTGCTGCCAAAATGCTAATAATCACCCCCTAAAAATTCTTATACAGTGCATGGGACTATTGAATCCTCAAGTCCGGAACCATCTCCTTTCCAAGCCCTCCTTTTTTCCCATTCCCTTGGCCCTGCTCTTGTAAGAGAGCTAAGGAGGCTGGGTAGCTGAGGTGCCTGCGATGACCTTTTATGGATCTGCCTGAGCTTGCTCACAGAGCCCAAGGCAAAGCAACTTTGAGGGTTTGGCAAAGAAACTCAGTTTTAGTTGTTTTTATTTTTAAAAGAAAACATCATCACAAAAACACTGATGCTCTGGTTACAAAGACAAGAAATATTTCTAATGAGGCTCAGTCTCTTTTTCAAAGACTTTTATTGAATAGAAATCAGAACTTAAAACCCAGGAAGGCATATTATATTGGTTTTACGAAAACAACAAAGAATCATGAAATTACAGGGCTTGAAGGGAGCTTGAACAGTAACGTAGTACAACCTCTTCACTTCAAACAAACTGATATTAAAGTATTTAAAATAAATGGGAATTCATTCAATATTAAAACATCTCAGAAAAAAAGTCACAGGTAAGAAATTGTTTTCTATAAGTAACCTGAATCAGTCAGTCTACCTTACAAATCTGTAAATTTTTATTCAGTCTTCAGAGTAGAAGTTGGTGGAGATGGTGGTTTGTGTGAAAGAAAGGAAAACAAACATTATCAAATGTCAAGGCCCTATCCTGGATGCTTTTTTAAATATGTTTTCACGTATTCTTTATAACAACCTGTAAAACAAGTACTACTAGCCCATTTTACTAAGCAGAAATTGAGATTCAAGAGGGTAAATAAATTGCCCAAGGCCATAAGGTAGTTCATAAGGTAGTTAAGATTTGAGACATTAACTCAGGTCTGTCTAACTTCCTACATGTTGGTTCATAGTTCATCATTCTTTATACCAGTTATCGCCAAACTTGTCAAAACGGGGTACTAAAGTGTTGCATTACTTTCATTCTAATGTATCAGATTGGATTAGGGACCACAGCCTGAATATCTGGGGACAAAGACATGTACTGGCCAACAGCTCTTCTTTGAAACATTGAGGCTACTTTATGTTCACTGGAAAATTCCGAAAGCTAAGACAGGTGACACCAGCTCCAAACTCTCACTAGAGTTTGGCAGGAGGAGATCCAAGCTGGCTAACAATGAGCCACAGAATACCAGGGAAAGATCCAAAAGCTGTCACCACCTGTTAGGGCAAGTGACTGATAATAGCTCTTGCCAAGTGACAAGGAGTGGGACTTGTGGACATAACTTTCTTGCATATCCATGAAAACTGCCTAACAGCTATCCTTGGTGTACATTTAATAGATCTCCAATCTCTGTAACGCAAGACTCTTTACATTCAGACAATGTGTACATTTAGAGGAAGGGGAGCAAGGAAAGGATAGGATGAAATAAAGATGCCTGAACCACTGTTCTGGGAGATAGGGTAGGAAGTAGAGGAAGGCTGTGGTTAAGCACATTGCATTGCACAGTAACAAAGGAAGCAACTTAAATCAAAGGGGAAAAAATTGTCAAGGTACAAGCAAGCAAAAACAAACAACAAACAATATTCAGTGAGGAGATCAGGGTAGAAACAAATTAAAGCTTTTAAAGGAAAGACTATGGCCGGGTGCGGTGGCTCATGCCTGTA
This sequence comes from Homo sapiens, assembly GCF_000001405.40. Taxonomy (NCBI): domain Eukaryota; kingdom Metazoa; phylum Chordata; class Mammalia; order Primates; family Hominidae; genus Homo; species Homo sapiens. The sequence goes on from NC_000022.11 coordinate 28,347,008, forward strand.
ATCCCAACACTTTGGGAGGCCAAGAAGGGCAGATCACTTGAGGTCAGGAGTTCCAGATCAGCCTGGCCAACATGGTGAAATCCCATCTCCCCCAAAAAATACAAAAATTAGCTGGATGTGGTGGTGTGCACCTGCAGTCCCAGCTACTTGGGAGGCTGAGGTGGGAGAATTGCTTGAACCCAGGAGGTGGAGGTTGCAGTGAGCCAACATCATACCACTGCACTCCAGCCTGAGCAACAGAGTGAGACCCTGTCTCAAAAGAGGAAAAAAAAAAAAAACAAAAAAAGAAAAAAGAAAGACTCTTGAAAGTCATTGCCCTTTTCTCCTCAACATATGCTCCTTCAGTTACTTCTACTCCTCTCCATTTATGGTGCACTCTATTAAATTTCATATTTCATCCCTAGAGTTTTGTTGATAGATTTTCATCACAGATAGCTTGAGAATGATCTATATATTACTCATACACAATATAGATATATAAGCGCATAAAGTACCTAAAGCCCTGAGATCACCGCGTTTACACCTAACCCCTTTAGGAGCAGGTAAGGCGCACTGAAAAGGGCGGTAGAAAGAATAGCACCTGGCTGAGTGCAGTGGCTCATGCCTGTAATCCCAGCACTTTGGGAGGCTGAGGCGGGTGGATCACTTGATGTCAGGAGTTCGAGACCAGCCTGGCCAACATGGTGAAACCCCATCTCTACCAAAAATACAAAAATTAGCCAGGTGTGGTGGCAGACCACCTGTAATCCCAGCTACTCAAGTGGCTGAGGCAGAATAATTGCTGGAACCCAGGAGGCGGAGGCTGCAGTGACAGTGAGCCGAGATCGTGCCACTGCACTTCAGGGTGAGAGAGTGAGACTCCGTCTGAAAAGAAAAGAACAGCACCTACGCTGTCTTACATATTTTGAGGAAGGAACTTAAAGCAGTGGGGTTTTGGCATCTCCCTTCAGACCTACCAGACTGGTATCAACCAATCAAAACCAAAAGCAGACTGGCTTGTTTCTTCTTTCTCAAGTAACAAACAAGAAGGAAAGAGCCTGGCACATGCCCTTCCTTCTACTGTTCCAAGTCCGTCTAGGATCTGCAGCTTGGTTTCAGACAGTCAACCTAGTGCTTAGGGCTGTTATAGAAGAAGATTCCCGTAGGGTAAAATTTGTAGAAGAAAACGGCCATTACTCTCTTAGACACTAGGAACAATGGCAGAACTCACAGATGTGGTCTAAAAATAGGAGATGCAGCTCCAGCCATTGCCCACGTGCATGGAGGCCCTCAAGTCTTTTCATACGCCTCTCATCCTTAAAAGATAGAATGAAGCTAAGGGACTAAAGAAAAAAGCTGCTATCCAGGACTCCCTGGGGCTCTCAGAGGGTACTATGTGCAAGCCTACCTAGGACGCCTCCAGAGGCTAATTCTAAGGATCCTGGAAAGATCCTGGGGCGTTCCAAGATAAGCCAAGTGTGCTGAGGAACTGAGCTCAAAATAAAGCATACAGATTTTATAACATCCTTGGAATTAACATTCACCTTAGAGGAGGTGAGGCTTCTCTGCAGCTCAGTTGAGCCAGACCTACTTCTCCATGCCTTCAAAACAGGACAGACCCACAAAGGCTACAGAAATATCCAGTTGTTTGGGAGCTGCCTTACAAACATGCGGACCTTTCATTCATGACCAAATGCTACTTAAGAGTTATAGACTACTGCTAACCAATCGATGGCTTCTGATCCCATACTCCCTGCTCAAGTGAACACAGAGAAATGAAATGTCAGGCTCTTTAAACATGTCAACTGGAAATCAAAGTGAAATGCTGAAAGAGAAGTGACAGGTCAGTGTTTCTCTCTAGTATAAATTCCCTGATGCTCACTCTTAAAAGAATCGTCCCAGTCCTTTCCTGTTTGACATTTCCTTCCTAGCTCAAGCTAAAGTGGGTCCTGTGCATAATCACTGATGAACTAAATGCCCACAAGACCACCTCAAATGACACACACAGTGCCCTGACAAAAAACAAAATCAATAATCTGCTGCTCTGTGTCACATGGAAATCCTGACTGCTGTCAGCAGACAGGAGGAGAAGGCTTGGGGGTTGCAGTAGAGACAATTAGGGCCTTTGGAAAAGCAGAGCAGAAGGTAATGAAACCTTCCCAAGTTCATCAGTTACACACACATGCATGTGCACGCACACACACACACAGACATGTACACACCCATAAAATGAAAAGGCCATGTAGCCAGAGGTCATATTTTTTCAGCCTGCTAAATTGAAATGATTCAAAACCCCTGTAATTACATAGAAACAGATGAAATTGTTATCTTAACTAAATTGTAAAAGCACTTTAAATGTCATAAGTTTTGATGCAATTTAATATTTTAAATGGACATTGCTCAGTATAGTCACTGATTTTCAACCAAACAGATGGGAACATAATCCATGTCCATTACCACGACTGAACAAATGCCCATCCATCTGCCTGAATGGTACTAAAGAATACTGCAGAGAAAGCAAAGAGCAAACTCTCTCAGACTGAAGTTACAGAAAAAGAGCACTGGAAAGGAGCCAAGAGGCTTGAGTTCCCATCTCAGTTTCTATACCTTACTGTGACTTTAGGCAAGTCACAACCTCTCTGGACCTCAGTTTCCTCTTACACAAAATAGAAATAATCCCTGCCATATGTGTGTCACTAGTTACTGTGATACAATGAGACTGAATAAATTAAAGTGTATTAGAAACATTACATATAAATGTAAGAAAGTATTATAATTTTGTGATTATGTATTGGGGCAAAATATAAAACTCATCATTTCTTACTGTAACCTAAAAAACATTTGAATTAACTTTATACTAACAAGTTGGCAAAAAAGCAAATGAATGACATGATCCCAGTGCACTCCTTGTAACCCCGAGTGCCCAACACTTCTAAAAGAAATTAACCCAATGTTACACTACAGTGAAGATGAGATAGTAATGTACAAAACTCATGTACAAAACTCGCACAATTGTCCAGTGTGTATCTAGAAGGTTGAAAGAGTAAATGTACCTCTTTTCATATCTAACTCATTAGTAGAGAATGACATAAGCACTGGAGAGAAACAGGTCCATTATCTCTCACCTTTCTTTGTCCCTTCCTACACATATTTTACATAAAATAGCAACTAAGGAAGGCTATAAGAGCAGTACTGAAGAGGCAAGTTGAAATATTAACCACATTCCAGATAAAGTATATTTTTTTCTCACAGCTATATTGACTTATTTTCCTGTGCATCTAACAGATTTACTAGCAATTTTAGGGACAGACTGTATTGTGTATATGAATTAATATTGTAAGAAAATTTGGATCTTTATTCTTAGTTTTTAGCTTTTTTCAAGGACTAATGATAGCCCTTGAATTAGTTATTCATCAAAAAGTTGTTTTTCATGGTTTAATGTGTTTTGCTCAAATCCTAAAATTTGCTTTGGGGTCAATCACAGGAATGAAAAGTTTTAGCTTTGATGGAATATTTTTTGAGGTCTAGTTTAGGTTACACTAGAAGATATTCCATACTTTGAGCTGTAAGGAACTCCCATGGATGGAACCGTATTTCTGTAATCAGTTTATCTTGTAACCATAGGCTCTAACAAACTGCTAAAGGGATCCACGGCATGCACGCACACGCACACAAGCTTAAGAATCCCTGAATTAGTGGAAAGCCATCACGACAATGCAATCAGAAACAAAGAGGGCAGGAGTTAACACACAAAAGTAGAAAAACAGAAAATAACCTAAGAGATATTTAGGAGACCCCCTTGCCTGACTTTAGATCTTAAAGTGCCAATCTATGCACACATAGAAAACCCAATTAATCTTTTACAGTAAATAAAGTTTGAGAATCACTGTTATAATCCTTAAGAAACACTTCTCGGCCGGGCGCAGTGGCTGACGCCTGTAATCCCAGCACTTTGGGAGGCTGAGGCAGGCGGATCACAAGGTCAGGAGATCAAGACCATCCTGGCTAACACGGTGAAACCCTGTCTCTACTAAAAATACAAAAAAATTAGCTGGGTGTGGTGGCGGGCACCTGTAGTCCCAGCTACTTGGGAGACTGAGGCAGGAGGATGGCATGAACCCGGGAGCGGAGCTTGCAGTGAGCCGAGATCGTGCCACTGCACTACAGCCTGGGTGACAGAGCAAGACTCTGTCTCAAAGAAAAAAAAAAGAAACACTTCTCCAGAGCTATCAGGAAAGGACTGGCAACACTGCACATAGAGAGCATCTCCTGACAACATGCATTCTACAAACAAAAGAGCTCATTCTCATAACAAACAGATCTTAGTTTTATGTGTGTAAAGAAATGGTATTTTAGTCCACCCAAAAAGAAAAATACTACCAAAACAAAAAGAAGATCATATCTTAATATAGTCTTCTATTGTTTCAGCCGTGGGCTCTCTTGATCTCAAGAATCCCATATATGCTTTGAGACGTGAAAAGCCTTTGTGAATAATTGAAGACAAAATAATGAAACCCTAGAATGTCAGAGACATATTATAGTTTTGTAGAATTCATCACGGAGCTTTTAAATTCCCAAATACTACATGCTGAATAATTTATTCCTGTGTCAATATGGGGCCAGCAGATGTTCATTCAGAGCCAATGTTAACCCTCCTCAAGCTGAAGAGCAGAAAAATGGTCTCTGCCTGAGATAGAAGAAGGCACTTAGTCTAAGTGAGATTACCTTGGTGTTTATGAGAAAATTAAAGTAGCTCTGGAAGTCAAGAAAAAACATACTAGTCAGCAATCTTTTATCAAAGTCTGCTTTAAAGATAAGGAGGAGAATTTCACGAAGAGACACAAATGGTTGATACACAGGGAGCTGATAACACTGCTCTCTTCTTTCAGAAGGGTCCCTGGGGATTTTTCACTGATTCTGTCTAAGAATATCTTTTAGTGGCTTATTGATACTTACCTCCCTCTTTGGATCACTGATTCATGATACAATTTTGAATACTCTGCTGTGTGTTCGTTTCTAGATATTCTCCCCTCTACAACCCACCCTCTAATTCAGTTCACTTTAATTAACAGGTTACACAGAATTCATTTAAGAAGAAAAATAAGGCAGAAGAAAATTACAAAATTAAGCAATAATAAAGTTTAAATTTTCACCAATGATCTATAAACTTTCAAAACTGAAAACCAATGCCTTAGATCTCATCTACTTATCCCTTATTTAATAGCTTGTTATTGAATACCAACTATGTGCAAAGTAATATCCTAGGGCTGAAAAAAGAACCTGATTAATCGAAAATTCTAAGAACCTATTAGACAGAGATATATACATATATATATATATATATATATATCTCCCGGTAAGTGCAGATGCTTGCAGTCAGTACAGCAAATATGGTATATAGGGCTATTGTGGAAAGGCACAGCTCCAAATCTAAAAACAAAGAATGAGCAGAATATATGAAAATAATCTTAGGCTACATTTCGGAGCTCATGTTCAAGAAACGGAAATTCCTAAGTGCCAGAAACAATGAGGAAATAAAAGTCAGAGAGGTAAGCAGGAGCTGGAGCCAATAAAGCTCCCAGGAAGCAGGAGGACTTAGAGTCAGTCATTAGCCTCAACCACTTGGGGGTAGCCCACTGATACCCCCTCAGCAAGAGGTACCCAGGCTGCAGGCTTCATGCAAGCTGCTTGGTAGGAATGAGCCACCTGAATAAAACCAAGAGTTACCAAGGTCTGCCCATGAAATAGGGACTGGAAAAACTGTACCTGTCCACCAGGATAGTGATGTAGATGGGCCAATTTGCACCACAAGAGTTAGATATAATTTAACAGTCTAAAAAACAGTTTAAAATAACTATGTTTCAAACAACCATGTTTAAAATGTTGAAGGAGATAAAGAAAGGAAGAGAGGTAATAAGGAGAAAAAAAGGACAGCATGAAAAATAACAAGGCAGATTTGAAAAAAGAATCAAATGGAAACTCTAGAAATAAAAAAGAGGGTACTTCATTGGGGTAGGGAACCTCAACAGGCAGTCCAAATAATACACAGCTGATAACTAGTGGCTGGGAAGATTAACCTAATAAAATCATAATGGAAATCCCAAAACACAGGACAGACAAAGAGGTAAACACAGAAAAGAATACGTTGAGACAAGAAAGCTAGAATAAGATGGTTCAAAAAGCATCAAACAAGAGTTCCAGAAGAAGTTAATAGAGAGAAAAATGTATTGCCTTATATGTTGCAAGCCAATGAGGCCTTAAGGATTGTATTTTTGGACTACTCACAAATTTTTTCAAGCTGTTATTTTTAAAATTTAAATGAATGTATGTATAAAAAGTAGACAGAACAAAAAGCCATCCTAAAACTCATATGGAATCTCAAGGGACCCTGAATAGCCAAAACAATCTTGAAAAAAGAAGTGCAAAGTTGGAGTACTCACACTTTCTGCTTTCAAAACTTACTATAAAGCAATGGTATCAAAACAGTTGTTATAATGGCATAAAGACAGACATTGACCAATGGAACAGAACAGAGAGCCCAGAAATAAAGCCACACATATGGTCGACTGATCGCTAAATTTTCAACAAGCGTACAAAAGACCATTCAATGAAGAAAGGACAGTCTTTTCAAAAAATGGTACTAAAAAACTGGCTACCCACATGCAAAAGAATGAAGGTGGACCCTTACCTTATACTATATATAAAAACTCATTTTTGCGCATCAAAGGGCACTACAAAGAGAGTAAAAAGACAACACACAGAATGGGACAAAATATTTGCAAATCATATACCTGATAAGAGATTAATATCCAGAATATATGAAGAACTCCTATAATTCAACAACAAAAGAAACAAGCAACCCAATTTTTTACATAGCCAAAGGACTTGAAGAGACATTTCTCCAAAGAAGATACACAAATGACTAACAAGCAAATGAAAAGACACTCAATGTTATTAGTTATTAGAAAAATGCAAGTCAAAACCATAATAAGATATAGTCACTTCATACCCATTAGGATGGCTATTATTTTAAAAATGGGGGGAAAAGGTGCTGGTGAGAATGTAGAGAAATTGCAACTGTGGTGCACCACACGTAGGAATGGAAAGTGGTGCAGCTGCTGTGGAAAATAGTTTGGTGTTCCTCAAAAAGTTAAACATAGAAATACCATATAATCTAGCAATTCCAATTCTAGGTATATAGCCCTCAAAATTGAAACAGGGACTCAGGTAGTTATCCAACAGTGTTCATAATAGCATTATTCACAATAGCCAGCAGGTAGAAACAACCCAAGTATCCATCATCAAATACATAGATGAATACAATGTGGTATGTACATACAATGAAATATTATTCAGCCAAAAAAAATGAAATTCTGAAACATGCTACCTCATGGCTGAACCTTGAAAACATTATGCTAAGTAAAATAAACCAGATACAAAAGGACAAATATTTTATAGTTTCCCTTATACAGGGTACCTGAAATAGGCAAATTTATATCAACAGAAAGTAAAAAAGAGGTTATCAGGGGCTGGGGGAGGAAGAATGGGGAGTCAGTATTTAATGACTAGAGAGTTTCTGTCTGGGGTGATAAAACAGTTCCAGAGCTGCAGAGTGGAAGGTGTTAACAGTTACGTATGTACCTACTACCACTAAATTATACACATAAATGGTTAAAATGGTAAATTTTATGTTATGCATATTTTACCACAATAAATAAATAAAAGAACAAACAAGAAAGCAAGCAGACAGCACTGGCACATGACTCAATGTTGCCTCTTCCTAATGTTACTGATATATATATCAACATGTCTTAACCATCTTCAAAAATAAAGAATACTCTTTTTTTTTAATATACTTTAAGTTTTAGGGTACATGTGCACATTGTGCAGGTTAGTTACATATGTATACATGTGCCATGCTGGTGCGCTGCACCCACTAACTCGTCATCTAGCATTAGGTATATCTCCCGATGCTATCCCTCCCCCCTCCCCCCACCCCACTTTACTACCACAAATATGGGTATAGGTACTTAAAAACACAGGATCTCTAAATAATCTCAAAATAATAGGCAGTTGAAGAAAATAATCATTACTGCTAATATTTATTGAGCACTTAACACTGTGCTAGCCATCATTCTCACATAAACTTCATACAAACACTATGCTATGTATTATTATCCAGACTTTACAGATAAGAAAAGGATGATCCACAGAGGTTAAAATCTACTTGCCCTTATTTAAATGAACACTATGGAGGAAAATATTTCTAAAAAATAAATTGAAGATATTTTCTTTGCAAAAGTATTTTTCCCCCTTTGGAAAAGGAGTTATCACGGAAAGCTTTATTTCGGTGTTAATCCCATCTAGCATATTTTACAAGTTTAAATTGATTTTATGACCATCTCTGGTGCATCAAGGAAGGTATATCTACACAATACTTACCTTTTTAAAAAAGAAGAATCAAGATGAAAACTAATAATGTGTCAAACATCTAATCATGTGCCAGACATTGCACTAGGCATTTTACATATCTAATTTAATCCTTTCAACAAACTTGTGAGGTAGAGATTATTATCCATTTCACTAATAAACAAAAATACAGTAAGTCTAAATACTCCCATTCACTACTTTCAAGTTCTAATAAATATTCTATTAAAGTGGAAGCCAATTCATTCCAATTCCTCAAGGAATCAAAGAATAGTAGTCACGGCCAAAAGCTGTCCAGATCCCACAAAGAGCCAATGTGACAGCTGCCCCCAGCATGTTGCATGGCTGAGTATTCAAAAGCCCAACAGATCTCACACCCAACTATAGTGCTGAAGGGCAGAAGATCACCCTGCTTTACTATGGAGTCCAGAACAACGAATTGTGTGGCCTTCTGCTCCAGCACCAGCCCACTGCAGCGGGGAGAAGATAGCCAAATATGGCTGGCCTTGAGCCACATTAAAGGGGCTCACACTGCCCTCCTCTATTCGGGTATAAAGAATAGAATCTAAGGCACCTTCTGTTGCTTTGGAAAATGAAAACTTTTGAACCTCAGTTCAAGAGTGAATAGCAAAAATGATATGATAGATTTTCAGTAAATATTCTGCAAATGACTATATTTAACTTTTCCTTCCCAACTAACTTCATCATATTAACACATAAACATGTTCTGTTCTTTCTAAGAAAGGAAAGGCAAACAACCCCTCTCCCTATCTTCTACTCCAGCTACTACTCTCTTCCCTTCTCTTCAAGGCCAATCTTTTTAACAAGGTTTGTGTCAATTGCTGTCTACACTTCCCACTTCCTCACTTTTCACTCACTCTCCATCCACTGGATTCTCCTCTATTCTATCCCTACCAAAAGCCCTAGTCAAGGTCATTATTACATAGTCCATGGGGTTCCTGAGAAATCTCTAGGGCTCTGAAGAGCAGAGCCAGTTATTTATTTCATAGGGCAGCCACATAATTTGGCTAGTGCAAAATGAAAATGAGGGGCTTCTTGTTCAAAAAACAGGAAAAACTTTTTCATTTTTTCCCCATGGTCACGCTCTCAACAAGTTATACTTTTTAAAAAATATTTGCAACTTAATTTGTGCTCCCTCAGGCATGAGGATACTTGAAGGGCACTGTGGACTTTCACAGGCACCCAGGATACCACCCATGACTTTGTGTGCAAGGTGCACACCCAAACATACTCATTTTGTGTCCAAACCCAAGCCCTGTCAGGGGTGGAGAGTGGCAGTAGTCACTGAGGTAGGCACAGGGGAGTGGGCAGCTGAGAACCTGTTGCAAGTAAGTAGGGACTGACAAAAAGCTGGCTCGTAGCGGGTTCACGTCCCAGCACATGCTCCATTATCTGAATTCAGTTAAAAAATATAAATTCAAAAAAATTATCATTCAGAATGTCAAGACAGCAACCACATTAATTTCCCAGCACAAGACCTCCTTCTGAGCATGAGACCCCATGCAACTACAGTGGTGGCATGCCCAAGAATCTGGCCCTGGCCATGCTATATAATAATAATAATAATGTCTGCATAGAACATCATAGTCCACAGAATAACTCCAATTTCATTTTAGTCTCACAATAAATCTATAAATACACATAAATAGGTATCCTCATTTTACAGATTAAAAAACTGACTCAGAAAAATGAAATGCATTGCTCAAGGCATGAAAGAGCAGATGCTAAACCCATACCTCCTGGCTCCAAGTCCAGGATTCCCCACTATAATGTACCTCCCCAAATAAAGGGTAGATGGGAGAGGACCAGTATAGTGACCATTTCTCTACATGAGCCACTGGTTTAGTCATTAGGTAGAAATCACTTTTATCAAATTTCTTATTTTTTTTTTTTTTTTTTTTTGAGACAGAGCCTCTGTCAGCAAGGGGTGGAGTACAGTGGTGCAATCATAGCTCACTGCAGCTGTAACCTCCCAGACTCAAACAATCCTCCTGCCTCAGCCACCCAAGTAGCTAGGACTACAGGCATGCTCCATCAGGCCAATTTTTTAACTTTTTGTAGAGACAAGGTCTCACTATGTTGCCCAGGCTGGTCCTGAATTCCTGAGCTGAAGCGATCCTCCCACCTTGGCCTCCCAAAGTGCTAGGATTACAGGCATGAGCCACCAAGCCCAGCCACTTTTATCAAATTTCTGTCAATTCCAGACAGATTTTGTTAAGTCAATTGAGTTTTTTACATTCTAAAATTCAAACACTTTATATAAACATGTAGTCTAAGAGAACAGAAAGAAAGAGTAACAGGTGAAAAGTTAGTTTTCTTCCCCAGTGTTCCCCATCCAATACACACCTTGACCCACCAATGTGGACCCCTAATCACCAGGGGTGAGTCACAAAGGACTCCAGAGCAGCAGGCAACACCACGCTACACTGGGATGCAACATGAGAGCCGATTCGTCGATTTAGCTGGGGAAAAGTTCATCAAAATGCCAGATAGATAGTAAAAACAGGTAAGGTGGCAAAGTACTTGGCTAGGAAATACCAAAATCAAAGAGGGAGCTATTTTCTTTAAGCTCTTTTTTACCCTCATTCCACATACTTTATATAATTCAGTCTTTCCAGATAATGAAATTGTTGCTAAACTTCTTCATGTTAACATAAAGTACCTTATTTTGAGAATTAAACTCTCAATTTATTCTCAGTTTCCTAACTTGGTTATTAAATAATCTCCCTGAAAGCAAGAATAGAGCATTTTTTGGTCGAACTAATATGCATGTGTTACAACCATCCACAGCACCGACCCTTCACACTGTCTGATCACCCAGAAAATATCCAAGGAAAAGGAAGTACAACTGAATGTTAGATCCAAATAGCACAATCTCTCAGCTCACTAGAGCAGAATCTGTCTCTAATACACTGGTCACAGGCTCTATTACTAGCTCTTTTTATCCATCTCGAGGTAGAAAAGCCATAATTTAAACTGACAGCATTACTTGTCATGAAGTCTGTGGGTTTACAATTTCTAAATGTCAGTTTGAACTTCTGACTAGTTCCTTAGAGCACTACACTTTGTTTCTAAATGAGGCAACATGTCAGCTCTGCATACATAAAAGCAGTTAATCAGCAATTTGCAGTGCAACACAAGAGGAATCAACTGGTATGCTAATAGTCCCACAAAGCACCTTCAATTAGGAAGCAAAGCCTTGTCCTAAGCCAGTAATACCCTCGTATATCACAAAATTCATTCTTCTACTTAGTAGATGAAACATTTCATGCCAAGGAGAACTTATTATTTTGAAGCAATTGTCTGCATTCAGCCTGAGGTACCCATGTGTCCACTGGTCTATAATGGAGGAGCTACAGGTAGTGGGTGAATGAGGACCACTATGATTCCTGACCCTCCTCACTTGCGGCTTTCATTCAGTTTCCAATGGGTTCTTATTCTTTGCTCTGTCCTTCTTTACTATCCTACTCCTCCCTTTTCTATATAACCTTCACATCGCCTGTCTTCAGCTAAGTAATATGGGGATGGGTTCTTACCTATGAAGTACTATGGTTCCCTTACCTCTCTAGAACATTACTGAACTATATAACAAAATCAATTCCTAAGATATCACTAGTAATAACTTTAAAAATGAGATTACATCATTAATAAGAACATTCCACTGCGCTATAAGGGTAAAAACAGTTTGGCATAATTTTTAACTATCAATAGGCTTAAGTTTATGAACTGAATTCTAGAATACGGGTTGGAATAACTAAAATTAAGTAGCAAATAAAAGAAGTACAAAAAACTGTTTAAGAAAACCTCTTCCATTACCCCTAGTGGCTATCTATCTTAGGTATCATATAAGAATCATATCAGAAGAAAAAAATGGTTTGTTTGACTGTAGTCATGTACCTCACCCATTTACACAACCTTTGTCTGTGATAGCCTCTCAAATCAAATTTTAAATTGATCAAGCAAATTGGTTTAGTGATTGGGTCAAGGAAAACAGCTACCCAACTTAATCTAATAATCCACTTAGCCCAAATCCAATAATCCATGTTCTTCATATGAGACATATTTTATTGAAGTTAGAAAATAAATGCCTCTGTATATGCTTCAGTTTTTCTTAGTATCTAACACATTTGGAGGAAAAGAAAAATCCTTTCTGGATTCAGTGGCATTCACCTGGTGTCAAGTAACAAGTAGTAAGTATATGGATATATATCAAGAAACATAACCTGATTCATGGTAAGTCCAAGCACCATCTGCCAAATGCCAAGCAGGTGCATGTTGGTAACAAGAGAAGCTGTGTTTATAGATCACAATAGGCTACCCTACTGGGCATTTTGATTAATTCTGAGACACAGGAAAGATGTCTTATCAATGTCAGGATTAGATAACTTCACAATACCATTTGGCCTGGGGATGTGAGAGTGGCAGGGTCAGGGCACAGAGCTCAGATAGCTCCATTCCAAGCAATATACATGACATTATAAAAATACCATACACTTTGAGATAATCTACTTTAAACCTTCCCTACCCCACCCCACCCTGCCACATCTCTAATTAACAGAAGAGAAAATCAAGGCCCAGAAGTAATTTATCCAAGATGACATAGAGCTTGCAGTCAGGTCTCATTCTAAAACATCTGAGTACTAAGCCAAAATATTTACCTCTCTTCTTTCCCTCTCTCCTCTCTTCTCCTCTTTCTCTCTCTCTCCTCCTTTTGTCTTTATCATCATCATCATCTTGAAGCAGCCAGGATCTTTCTTCAAACAAAATCTTAACCAGAATTCCAGTATAAAAAACAGATTAAAAAGGGCCTGCTTAAATGCAAACAGAGAAGAGAGGCAGAGCACAGTGCTAGAATCCTGCTCACTTAACTAAGTCTGCAGCTTCCTCTGGGATCCTGGGTAGAACACTGTGAATAAGGCACTTGAAATCAGGAGACCTACTTCCTTGATACCCTGCAATAAAGCTATCTTGAAACATTAATTAGAATATTATTTTTACACAAATTTAATATTTTATAAAGCTTTAATAAAAGATATGTTGGAATGGCAGTTGCTTTTTTTAAAGTTATTTTCTTTGGTTGTTTTAAAAGCAAAGTACAACATTCTCAAAGCTGAGTACAACGGTATCCTTCTCACTAAGACAACAATAGTAAATCTGAAACACAGAAACATTAATTTTCTTTTATCACCAGTACACATGAACAACTCTGGTGCGATAATTTAGCTGATATTCAAAATTGGAAAACAAGGCCATGAAATGACTGATTGTATAGGCATACTTTGTTTTACTGCACTTTACTTTATTGTGCTTTGCAGATACTGCATTTTTTACAAATTGAAGTTTTGTGACAACCCTGCATTGAGCAAGTCTATTGGCACCATTTTTCCAACAGTGCTCACCTAGTGTCTCTGTGTCACATTTTGGTAATTCTCACAATTTCACACTTTTTCATTATTATTATATCTGTTATGGTGAACTACGATCAGTGATCTTTCATGTTACTATTGTAATTGTTTTGGGATACCACAATGCCTATAGAAGATGGCAAACTTAGTCAATACATGTTTTGTGTTCTGACTACTCCACCAACCAGCCATTCCCTTGTCTCTCTCCTTCTTCTCAGGCCTCCATATTGCCTGAGACACACAATACTGAAATTAAGCCAAGTAATAACCCTATAATGGCCTCTAAGTGTTCAAGTGAAAGAAAGAGTTGCACATCTCTCACTTTAAATCAAAAGCTAGAAATGATTATGCTTAGTGAGGAAGGCAGGTCAAAAGCTGAGATAGGCCAAAAGCCAAGACAGGCTAAAAGCTAGGCCTCTTGCACTGAACAGCCAAGTTATGAATGCAAAGGAAGAGTTCTCAAAGGAAATTAAAAGTGCTACTCTGGTGAACACAGGAATAAGAAAGCGAAACAGCCTTATTGTTGATATGGAGAGTTTTAGTGATCTGGATAGAGATCAAACCAGCCACAACATTCCCTTAAGCCAAAGTCTAATTTAGAGCAAAACCCTAACTATTCAGTTCTATGAAGTCTGAGAGAGGGGAAGAAGCTGCAGAAGAAAAGTTAAAAGCAAGCAGAGGCTGGTTTATGAGGTTTAAGGAAAAAAGCTGTCTCTAAAACATAAAAGCATGAGATGAAACATTAAGTGCTGATGTAGAAGCTGCAGCAAATTATCCAGAAGATCTAGTTAAGATCATTGATGAAGGTGGCTACACCAAGCAATAGATTTTCAATTTAAGTGCAACAGCCTTCTATTGGAAGAGAAGCCATCTAGGACTACAGAGGAGAAGTCAATGCCTGGCTTCAAAGCTTCAAAGAATGGGCTAACTCTCTTGTTACAGGCTAATGCCACTGATGACTTTAAGTCATTTTATTCACCATTCTGAAAATCCTAGGGCCTTTAAGAATTATGCTGAATCTACTCACCTATGCCCTACAAATGAAACAACAATGCCTGAATGATGGCACCTCTGTTTACAGCATAGTTTACCGAATATTTTAAGCACACTATTGAGACCCTACTGATCAAAAGAAGATTGATTTCTTTTCACTGACAACGCGTCTGGCTACCCAAGAGCTCTGATGGAGATGTACAAGGAGACTGATTAATGTTGTTTTAATGCCTGCTAACACAATATACATTCTGAAGCCCACAAATCATGGAGTGATTTTGGTGTTTCAATATGGTGTGGCTGTGTCTCCATCCAAATCTCATCTTCAATTCTCATGTGTTATGCGAGGGACCCAGTGGGAGGTAACTGAATCATGGGGGCAAGTCTTTGCTGTGCTGTTCTCATGATAGTGAATAAGTCTCATGAGATCTGATGGTTTTATAAAGAGGAGTTCCCCTGCACAAGTTCTCTCTCTTTGCCTGCTGTCATCCGTGTAAGATGTGACTTGCTCCTCCTTGCCTTCTGCCATGATTCTGAGGCCTCCCCAGCCACATGGAACTGCAAGTCCATTGAACCTCTTTCTTTTGTAAATTGCCCAGTCTTGGGTATGTCTTTATCAGCAGCATGAAAATGGACTACTGCAGTAAATTGGTACCAGTAGAGAGGGGTGCTCCTGAAAAGATAACCAAAAATGTGGAAGTGACTTTAGAACTGGGTAACAGGCAGAGGTTGGAACAGTCTGGAGGGCTCAGAAGAAGACAGGAAAATGTGGAAAAGTTTGGAACACCCTAGAGACTTGTTGAATAGCTTTGACCAAAATGCTGATAATGATATGGACAATGAAATCCAGGCTGAGGTGGTCTCAGATGGAGATGGGGAACTTGTTGGGAACTGGAGCAAAAATGACTGTTGTTATGTTTCAGCAAAGAGACTGGCAGCATTTTGCCCCTGCCCTAGAGATTTGTGGAACTTTGAACTTAAGAGGGATGATTTAGGGTATCTGATGGAAGAAATTTCTAAGCAGCAAAGCATTCAAGAGGTGACTTGGGTGCTGTTAAAGGCATTCAGTTTTATAAGGGAAGCAGAACATAAAAGTTCGGAAAATTTGCAGCCTGACAATGCCATAGAAACAAACAAAAAACAACAACAACAACAACAAAAAACACATTTTCTGAGGAGAAATTCAAGATGGCTGCAGAAATTTGCATAAGTAACAAGGATCTGAATGTTAATCCCCAAGACAATGGGGAAAATGTCAGCCCTGGAGAAAGCATGTCAGAGTCTTCATGGCAGCCCCTCCCATCACAGGCCTGAAGGTTTAGGAGGAAGAAATGGTTTCATGGGCCGGACCCAGGGTCCCTCTGCTGTGTATAGTCTAGGGACTTAGTGCCCTGTGTCCCAGCCGCTCCAGCCATGACTAAAAGGGGCCAGAGTACAGCTCAGGCTTTGCTTCAGAGGGTAGAAGCCTGAAGCCTTGGCAGCTTCCAAGTGATGTTGAGCCTGCAGGTGCACAGAAGTCAAGAATTGAGGTTTGGGAACCTCTTTCTAGATTTTAGAGGATATATGGAAACACCTGGATGCCCAGGCAGAAGTTTGCTGCAGGGGTGAGGCCCTCATGGAGAACCTCTGCTAGGGCAGTATGGAAGGAAGGGAAATGTGGGGTCGAAGCCCCCACACAGAGTCCCTACTGGGGCACCGCCTAGTGGAGCTGTGAAAAGAGGGCCACAGTCCTCCAGACTCCAGAATAGTAGATCCACTGACAGCTTGCACCATGCACCTGGAAAAGCCACAGACACTCAATGCCAGCCCATGAAAGCAGCTGGGAGGGAGGCCAAACCCTGCAAAGCCACAGGGACAGAGCTGCCCAAGATTATGGGAACTCTTGCATCAGTGTGACCTGGATGTGAGACATGGAGTCAAAGGAGATCATTTTGGAGCTTTAATATTTGACTGTCTCTCTGGATTTCAGACTTGTATGGGGCCTGTACCCCATTTGTTCTGGCCAATTTCTTCCATTTGGAATGGCTGTATTTTACCCAATGCCTGTACCCCCATTATATCTAGGAAGTAACCAACTTGCTTTTGATTTTACAGGCTCGTCGGTGGAAGGGACTTGCCTTGTTTTGGATGAGACTTTGGACTGTGGACTTTTGAGTTAATACTAAAATGAGTTAAGACTTTGGGGGACTGTTGAGAAGGCATGATTCTGTTTTGAAATGTAGGACATGAGACCTGGGAGGAATCAGGGGCAGAATTATATGGTTTAGCTGTGTTTCCACCCAAATCTCATCTTGAATTCCCATGTGTTGTGGGAGCGACCCAGTGGGAGGTAACTGAATCATGTGGGCAAGTCTTTCCTGTGCTGTTCTCATGATAGTAAATAAGTCTCATGAGATCTGATGGTTTTATAAAAAGGAGTTCCCCTGCACAAGTTCTCTCTCTTTGCCTGCTGCCATCCATGTAAGATGTGACTTGCTCCTCCTTGCCTTCCACCATGATTGTGAGGCCTCCCCAGCCACGTGGAACTGCAAGTCCATTGAACCTCTGTCTTTTGTAAATTGCCCAGTCTCAGGTATATCTTTATCAGCAGCGTGAAAATGGATTAATACAATATTTAAGTCTTATTATTTAAAAAATACATTTTGTGAGGTTATAGTTGCCATAGATAGTGATTCCTCTGAAGGCTATGGACAAAGTCAATTTAAAACCTTCTGGAAAGGATTAACCATTCTAGATGTTATTAGAAACATTCATGATTCCTAGGAGGAGGTCAAAATATCAACATTAATGGAAGTTTGGAAGAAGTCAATTCCAACCCTCCTGGATGACTTTGAGGGGCTCAAGACTTCAGCAGAGGAAGTATTAACTGCAGATGTGTTGGAAATAGCAAGAGAACTAGAATTAGAAGTG
The DNA here is from genome assembly GCF_000001405.40 of Homo sapiens. Taxonomy (NCBI): domain Eukaryota; kingdom Metazoa; phylum Chordata; class Mammalia; order Primates; family Hominidae; genus Homo; species Homo sapiens. The sequence continues at coordinate 28,364,743 of NC_000022.11, forward strand.
GAACACAGTGAAGATGTGACTAAATTGCTGCAATCTCATGATAAAGCTTGAACAAATGAGGAGTTGCTTCTTATAGATGAGAAAAGTAAATGGTTCTTGAGATAGAAACTACTCCTGGTAAAGATGCTGTGAACACTGTTGAAATTACAATTAAGGATTTAGAATATAATACCAACTTAGTTGATAATGAAGCAGCAGGGTTTTAGAAGATTGACTCCAATTTTGAAAGAATTTCTACTGTGGGTAAAATACTATCAAACAGCATTGCATGCTACAGAGAAATCTTTTGTGAAAGGAAGAGTCAATCAATGCAGCAAACTTCACTGTTGTCTTAAGAAATTTCTACAGCCACCCCAACCTTCAGCAACCACTGAACTGATTAGTCAGCAGCCATCAACATTGAGGCAAGACCCCTCACCAGCAAAGGGCTGAAGGCTTGATGATCATTAGAATTTTTAGTAATAAAATATTTTAAAATTAAGGCATATACATTGTTTTTTAGACATACTTTTGCACACTTAATAGACTACATTACAGTGTAAACATAACTTTTATATGCACTGGGAAACCCAAAAATTCATGACTTGCTTTATTGCAGTATTTGCTTTATTGCAACAGTCTGGAACTGAACCTTCAATATGTTAAGGTATGCCTGTAATGAAACATAAGCATCATTACTAACAGCTTAGCTACCAGGAAAAAAGCACATAAACCTGAAAACACAGAAGCAAGCTTTGGGAAATTATTTGTAGCAAAAAAACATACATGAGATTACCACATGCAAGCATAAGCCATCCATCTTACTCCCTTGGGTGACTCTTTTCATTAGTGCTAATGGGCTCAGGGCCCCGGTTTAGAGGCTGTTTCTGCAAATGCTGGAAGAACAGAAATCTTGTTCTCTTTGGTGAAGCCCATTCTTGTAAATAAGAAAAGAATTAAATCTGTGTGCTGATATTAACACATGTACACATGCATATTTGTCTGTGTATTACTTCTAATCACTTCTCCTTTTAATTTGAATTTATTAGTCTATTAGAAATATTGCCAAACATTACTAGTGAATGAAACAATATAGAAATAGTACCAAAACTGAATCCAGTGCACATTTCTAATTAAATCCTTCTCATAGGGAATAGGAATTTTAAAAAAATGATGTGCAAAAAGACAGTAGCATTAAATGTCACTTACCACAAGTTGCTTAAAACCAACACAAAATATGGTACATGTCAAATATTTATTAAACATCTATTTGCACATGGCTAAGTGCTAAATACTATGTAAAACTGAACACAAAAGGAAAGAACGTGCTACAATTTGGCAGCGGTTAGCTCAACAACTTCTTTCTTTCTTACATGTATGCATGTTGAAAATACCATTCTATTTTCCTCTATCATTTACTAACTACATTTAACTATGTAAAGAAACAAGGCCAAATTTCAAATAAGAATCCTGTGAAGTTGATAAACCCATGGACAAACATGCAATCCTATCTAAGATTTCCTATAGCCCATATGACATTCTGCCCACAAAGGCAAACCAAATCTAACACAATATATTTTCTTCTCAACAAGTTTTTCTCTTAAAATACTCACTTCTTCTGATTTCCTCTTCTCTCAATCACCCATTCTTTTAACATTTTTCTTACTTAGTGAGTTCTAGTTACTGGGATACAAAGATGAATTAGTCATAATCCTTGTCCCTACTTTCTTAGATCATAGCGGTTAGGAAAAAAAAGATATGCAGATAATCACAATAAAAAGTAATAAGTACTTAATAGAGGTCTGTCTATAGTGTTACAGTGGTGACGAGAAAACAAATGACAAAATGGCAGGAGTAAATCCCTACTTATCAATAATAATGCTGAATGTAAATGAACTAAACTCTCCAATCAAGACATAGAGAAGCTGAATGGATGAGAAAAGCAAGATGCAATGATCTCTTGCCTACAAGAAACACAGTTCACCTATAAAGATACACATAGACTGAAAATAAAGAGATGGAAAAAGACATTCCATGCGAACATAAAAAAGACCAGGGTTAGCTACCCTTATATCAGACAAAATAGATTTCAATACAAAAACTGTAAGAAGAGACAAAGAAGGTCATTATCTAATGGCAAAGGGGTCATTTCACCAAGAGGATATAACACGTGTAAATATACATGCACCCAACACCAGAGCACCAAGATAGAAAAAGCAAATATTATTAGAGCTAACAAGAGAGACAGACCCCAATACAATCATAGCTGGAGACTTCAATAGCCCACTTTCAGCAGTGGACAGATCTCCCAGACAAAAAAATCAACAAAGAAACATTGGACCTAATCTGCCCTATAGAACAAATAGACATAATAGATATTTACATAGCATTTCATTCAACAGCTGCAGTGTACAAATTCTTCTCCTCAGCCCATAGGTCATTCTCAGGGATAGACCATATGTTAGGTCAAAAAAGAAGTCTTAAAAATTTCAAAAAAAAATTGAAATAATATCAAGTATCTTCCCTGACCACAATGGAATAAAACTAGAAATCAAAAAGAGGAATTTTAGAAACTATACAAACACATGAAAATTAAACAAAATGCTCCTGAATGACCAATGGGTCAATGAAGAAATGAAGAAGGAAAATGAAAATTTTCTTGAAGCAAATGATAATGCAAACATAACATATCAAAACTTACGGGATACAGCAAAAGCAGTACTAAGGGAAATTTATGACTATAAGTGCTGACATCAAAAAGAAGAAAAACCTCAAATAAATAACCTAATGATGCATCTTAATTAAAAAAGCAAGTGCAAACTGAACCCAAAATTAATAGAGAAATAATGAAGATCAGAGCAGAAATAAATGAATTTGAAATGAAAAAAATACAATCAATGAAACAAAAAGTTGGGTTTTTGAAAAGATAAACTAAATTGACAAACCTTTAGCCAGACTAAGAAAAAAGAGAGAAGACTCAATTAAATAAAATCTGAAATGAAAAAGCAGATACTACAACCAATATCACAGAAATTCAAAGGATCATTAGAGGCTGCTATGAACAACTATATGCCAATAAATAGGAAAATCCAGAAGAAATGGAAATTCCTAGACCCCTACAGCCTACCAAAATTGAGCCACTGAAGAAATTCAAAACCTGAACAGACCAATAACAAGTAATGAGATTAAAGCTGTAATAAAAAGCCTCCCATTAAAGAAAGGCCCGAGACTCGATGGCTTCACTGCTTAATTCTAACGAACATTTAAAAAAGAACTAATACCAAATCAAACTGTTCCTAAAAATAGAGAAGGAGAGAATACATCCAAACTCATTTTATGAAGCCAGTATTACCCTGATTCCAAAACCAAAGACACATCAAAAAAGGAAAACTACAGGCCAATATCTCTGATAAATATTGATGCAAAAAGCCTCAACAAAATACTAGCATATTGGATTCAACAAGACATTACATATTGGATTCAACAATACATTAACAAGATCACCATGACCAAGTGGGATTTAACCCAGAAGTCAATGTGATACATCATATTAATGGAATGAAGGCCAAAATACATATGATCATTTCAATTGATGCTGGAAAAGCATTTGATAAAGTTCAACGTCCCTTCATGATAAAAACCTTCAAAAAACTGAGTATAGAAGGAACATGCCTCAACATAATAAAAGCCATATATGACAGACCCACAACTAGTATCATAATGAATGGAGAAAAACTGAAAGCCTTTCCTCTAAGATGTAGAACATGACAAGGTTGCCTACTTTTACCACTGTTATTCAACATAGTACTAGAAGTCCTAGCCAGAGCAATCAAACAAGAGAGAGAAATAAAGGGCATCCATACTAAAACAGAAAAAGACAAATTAGCCTTGTTTGCAGATGATATGATCTTATGTTTGGAAAAACCTAAAGACTCCACCAAAGAACTATTAGAACTGATAAACAAATTCAGTAAAGTACAGGATAGAAAGTCAACATACACAAATCAGTAGCATTTCTATATGCCAACAACAAGCAATCTGAAAAAGAAATCAAAAAAAGTAATCTCATTTATAATAGCCACAGATAAAATTAAATACCTAGGAATTACCCAAAGAAGTGAAAGATCTCTACAATGGAAACTATAAAACACTGATGAAAGAAACTGAAGAGGACACCAAAACATGGAAAAATATTCCATGTTCATGGATTATAAGAATCAATATTGTTAAAATGTCCATGGTGCCCAAAGGAATCTACGGATTCAATGTAATCCCTATCAAAATACCAATGGCATTCTTCACAGAAGTAGAAAAAAAAATCCTAAAATACCAATGGCATTCTTCACAGAAGTAGAAAAACAATCCTAAAATGTATATGGAATCAGAAAAGGCCCAGAATAGTTGAAGCTATCCTGAGCAAAAAGAACAAAACTGAAGGAATCACATACCAGACTTCAAATTACACTACAGAACTATAGTAACCAAAACAGCATGGTACTAGCATAGAGACACACAGACCAATGGAACAGAATAGAGAACCCAGAAACAAATCCATGCATCTACAATAAACTCATTTTCAACAAAGGTGCCAAGAACATACATTGGGGGAAAGGACAGTCTCATCAATAAATGATGCTGATAAATCATTAAACTATTGACTATAGTCTCCCTGTTGTATCATTAACATGTGTCAACTACAGAAATATTTGAAAAAGGTTGTCCACTGAATGATCAGTCATCATAACAAGTATTAGATTAGTAACAGGTCATTCAAAATAAAAGACTGGTGTTAAAATAGGAAGACTCCTTTCTTCATACAATCCACGTACTTCAGAGCATTGGTCATGTTTTTAAAATGAACTGGCAGATTCTTCAAAGATTCATGCTTCATTTAAAATATCTTTCATCACCTTAAAAAGAAATGTCAACACTACCAACTAGTTCATCTCCTTTCCTTAAATATAATAAACGTTTACAGAAGTAAACAAAATCTAGAGAACAAGTTGAATTTGATGTTACCATTTATATAGAACTCCCTTTTTTTAAAGGATTCACACAGCATGGTGAAAATTACTATCTATAAAAACTTTCAGAATAAATGTGTAAAATATATATATAAGAGTAATAGGAATATACAGTAGACATGAGATGAAATCATATATATGCTTCATTTTACATTAAGACTGAATCCTATCTGTAAATCAAAATGTATCCCTTCTGTTCTGAATATGCTCTTTGCATAAACCCCACCCTCTATATCCAAACCCTGCCTTATCGCCTCCCTCTGTATACCAGGAAGCCAACCTATACAGACAACTGCACTCTCTTGCTCTGTGGCTTTGGGTGGGGCTTAGCCAGTGAGAGGCACTGGCAAGAGTTAAGAATGCAAGGGGACAGAGAGCTATCAAAGTATTTACTCCCCATCCCTTTCCCAAGACGCCTTACTCCCTCCCTGCCTCACTGCAATTGTTTCAGTGGCTTCATTCCTCTGAAGCTACAGCTTCTATCACACAGTCCTTCTTAACAAGCTCTCATTAGACTTCAATCATACTATTTCCTCCTTTCTCCTTCTGACCTAGAGAAGGTGGTAACTGCTTCCTTGGTGGGTGAGCTAGTCCCAGATATCTTACCATCCTGTCACTTTCCTTAACCCTGCTCAAACCTCTATAAATAGCACCTTCATTATATTCTCCTCAGTTAAACCTCGAATTCCTACATACTGTATTTCTTTAAAGTGACATAATACCCATTTTGATAGGCAAATGAACATTTTACATAAAAACTATTCTATATCTTGTCCAATCTCATATTCTCCATCTATGTGAACTCTCACTGTAATACCAATGACTGAACATAGACCAATCTGCATATATGACTACATTTATAATAATATATTTATCCAAAGACTTCCCTGAAAAAAATTAAGACTTATCTCAGAAGAAAGGTAAAGATACAGAGAAGTAAAGACAGAAATAGTGAAAGAGAGTAGTAGAGAGAGAGACAGATGGAGACACCCATGGTTCAAGAAACACAGAGAAAGAGAGAACTATAGAGAGAGAAGGGAGTAAGAGAAAAGGAACACTACAAATCCTTGCTTTTCAATGTTGTCCCTGGCCCAGCAGCATTAGCGGTGCATGACTTTGTTAGAAGGCGGAAACTCAGGCCTTGCCCCAGATCTAATGAATCAGAATCCAACTTTTAAAGAATATCCCCAGGTGATTCAGGTGCACTTTAAAGTTTGAGAAGCACTGACACTACAGTTAACTCAAGGTCATAGTAACCATTATTAAAGCAGTGAAACTGTTGCTCCTACATACTAAGTCATGAGGTTCCAACACTTAGAAACCCAGGACACACTCTTCAACCTCAGGACAGGTAGCTTGCATGTCTGTACAGATTCAACCTAACTATCTTTGCTACCAGTTTTTTTCACAGTGGGGTCACATGTAAGGAGTTAGTAATAGAACCATTTGTTTCCATACAAATTTTCTTTCAAGAGTTCAGAAAACAGATTGGCCAGGCATGGTGGCTCATGGCTGTAGTCCCAGCACTTTGGGAGGCTGAGGCAGGCAGATCGCTTGAGCTCAGGATCAGCCTGGGCAACATGGCAAAACCCCAGTACTACCAAAAAAAAAAAAATTAGCTGGGCGTGGTGGCACTTGCCTGTAGTCCCAGCTACTGGGGAGGCTGAGGTGGGAGGATCACTTGAGCCAGGGAGGCAGAGGTCGCAATAAGCCCAGATTGCACCACTGCACTCCAGCCTGGGCAACAGAGTGAGACCCTGTCTCAAAAAAAAAAAAAAAAAAAAGAGTTCAGAAAACAGACAAGCCTGGGCAACATGGCAAAACCTCATCTTAACCAAAAAAAAAAAAAAAAATTTTTTTTTTTTTTGAGACAGAGTCTCACTCTGTCACCCAGGCCACTGATCTCAGCTCACTGCAACCTCTGCCTCCCAGGTTCAAGCGATTCTCTGCCTCAGCCTCCCGAATAGCTGGGATTACAGGCACCCATCACCATGCCCGGCTAATTTTTGAATTTTTTGTAGAGACGGGGTTTCACCATCTTGGCCAGGCTGGTCTTGAACTCCCGATCTCGTGATCCATCCACCACAGCCTCCCAAAGTGCTGGGATTACAGGCGTGAGCCACTGCACCCAGCCCCAAAAAAAAAAAAAATTTTTTTAATGAATTTTTTTTATTTTATTATTATTATACTTAAATTAGCCAGACGTGGTGGTGTGTGCCTGTAGTCCCAGCTATTCGGGAGGCTAAGGTGGGAGGATTGCTTGATCCCAGAGTTTCAGGCTGCAGTGTGCTGTGATTGTGCCCATGCACTCCAGCATGGATGACAGAACAAGACCCTGTTTCCCCCTACCACCTCCCCGCCTTAAAAAAGAGAGTCCAGCAAACAGGAAACCTTCAACAATGACAGATGATAGATTTAATCAGGTAACTCTGAATTGATCATCCACAGTTGGAAAACTTCTGAACAGCTACTACTAAAAACATCTAATTTCCTTTTTTAAAAAATTTAAGAGGTAGTACCCATCCCATGATGACATGTATTTAAGATATGCTTCATTTCAAATACAGAGTAAATATGTAGTAATTTCACTACAGGATATTTTTATTAAACAGCCACGCACATAATTACAGAACTTTCAGTGTAAAATTACTGCTGCTTTGAAACTGCAGCATTTCACTCACCCACATGGCAATGTTTTTCTTTCCCTACAGTCCCAGCCATGTTCCCTGAATCCTCCACCAGCTTCCATTTTCCCTCCGCACCTCCCTATTGTTCATAGTTTATCCTTTTTTTTTTTTTTTTAATTAGAAGGAAAGAGGTAGAAGACACTGATGTCTATTTGTTCCAAGATTACGCTCTTTGTTCTACACACTGGGTAACAATAATTGTTCCCAACTAAAGGGCCAGGCCAGGGACTCGTAGATGCTGATGGTCAGCTTTTCCTTCTCCTTTCTTCTCAATGAATCTCAATGGCCCCTAACCCCACCAACATGGCCCAGCTGGCAAACATCTAATGTGGGGGAAAGCAGCAAGATTTGTGCTGTAGGGGAATAAACACCGAAGTCAGGAGAATGGGGCCATAAACCACACACTGACTGACCAAATGACCTTGGACAAATCATTTCCAAACCTAGAAATGCCTCCAACAGTAAAATGTGGTTAGCTAAATCCCTTCCAGAACAGTGTATGTTTCTAGCTGAAGCTTGCATTTAGCTGAACCCCTCTTTTCTTCTAATATATAGCAAAGGGATGAGGGGCAAAGAAGGCCATAACAGCAGGTTAGAGGAGCAAAAAGAGCAAGAAAAGAGAAAATGAGAGAACAATGGATACAGGTGACCTCACCCCTAAAGATAACTTTATACCTTGGAAATATTGTCACATTATTCATTGGATCCTTTCATTTTTCAAATAAAAAATATTTAGCAAGCATACCAGGTACTATGCCAGATGTTCAAGATAGAGAGGAGATAAAAATATAAGGAAGGTTTTATTCCTGTTTTACAAATGTTGAAAAAAAAAAAAGCCTGGAGTTTGGCTTTCATTTTTACTCCTTCAGATACTTTATGAGGCCCTTCATATGGTACACAAAAGTTTAATTTCTTACAAGCATCCAGTGTTTTTTAAGAGATGACCAAATCAAGGGGAATATGCTAGGCTGCTTTGCTAATACAGTAACACTTACTATCCTAGGGGCTATTAGCAGAATTCATCTATTGGAGAAGAGATAGTGAAGAAGTTCAGAATCTACAGATTGCAACCACATCTTCAAAACTACCACTGTTCAACATATGCACTCACTAGATATTTTAATTATGAGCAAGTACCATTTAATGTAGATTTATCATCTAGAGTGATAGATTTTATAAACAAGCTTGTTTAGTAGGTAATTATGAAGACTATAATCATTAGCTAAGAAAATATATAAGAATACTACAAAATAACTATACGAAGTTTACAGAGTGATGTGACCAAAACTAGCTTCCGAAAATGACAGTAATCCTCTGTCAGTAATCACTGCCCCAAAGAAAGTTCTCTCTCTGTAAGGATACTACAGTATAGGCAAAAAACATAAAAAGCAGTTAAGGTATTTTGTTTTGTTTTGCTTCTGAAAGCAAACATGGAAGAACGAAGCCATTTTCAAAATAAGGACTATTTTTCAGAAAAAAATGGGAAACGTCCATCCTTTGAAACATCCTGCCTCCCTTCTTTGCTTTAAATTCCACATAAGCTATTTTGAGCTTACTGCTTTGATCAGATTTAGCTGTAAGTAACTATACTTAGTCATAGACATCTGATCTATAAATAGAATCTACTAGAGGAATTGCTATAACTTCCTTGAAATTGGCAAGTAGCAGTTCCATTTGATGTGATTCTAGGAAAGCTTTATACTGAAAAGAAAATGCAGTAAATTTACCTACAGAGAAGACATTTGCTTTCAAAATTACAATGTCTCAAGAGTAAATTTGCACATCCATGTTTTGAAGAAAGAATTGCCATTTAACAGTATCTTAAACAAACATGTATTAATTACTCAATAATCACCCTCAATTTGGGGAAGTAAACAGTAACAGAAAAATTATGTTTTTCCTTTCATAGATATCATGTAAATAATACCTATATATTGAATGCTCGCCACTAAGTGAAATACAAAGATAGGGTTCCTCATTATCCTTGCCTTGAAAAAATATAAAGTCCATTGTTGGTGAACAGTATGTAAATGTAGACACAAATAAAATAGTTCTCTGGGAAGCAATATGGGTAGTGTAAAGAACACTTAAACAGGAGTTCCCAAATCACTGATCTAGTTGTGACTCTGTCATTTACCAGCTATTTAGCCTTGAGTTCATTGCTTCTCTTCTCTGACTCTGTTTCCTCATTGGAAAATAGAGACAAAGATTCAGACATCAAAGTGATATACAAATATTAAGTTTTTTGTTTGTTTGTTTGTTTGTTTGAGATGGAGTCTCGCTCTGTCACCCAGGCTGGAGTGCAGTGGCACGATCTCGGCTCACTGCAACCTCCGCCTAGCAGGTTCGAGCGATTCTCCTGCCTCAGCCTCCCGAGTAGCTGGGATTGCAGGCTCCCACCACCATGCTCAGCTAATTTTTTTTTTAATATTTTTTTTAGTAGAGATGGGGTTTTGCCATGTTGGCCAGGCTGTTCATGAATGTAAGTTGCATATTAAAAAAAAAAGGTGCCAGGAGCAGTGGCTCATGCCTGTAATCTAAGCAACTCGGCAGGCTGAGGCGGGAGGATCGCCTGAGCCCAAGACTTCCAGGATGTAGTGAGCTATGATCCTGGCACTGCACTCCAGCCTGGATGGCAGAACAAGACTCAAGACTCTAATTCCTTAAATAATAAAAAAATAATAATAGAAGAAGAAAGAAAAGGCCACAAAAAAGAAAGGAAAGCATACCCTAGAAAGTTGGAGTTAGGGTCATTTCAGTTTTAGATCTCCGAAATGAACTTTAATATAAGTAAAGTTAATAATTACTACCATTTATTATGCCTGAACTACGTGACAGGCACTGTGCTGAAGGACTTCATATGCACTAACTTATTTAATTCTCTGAACAACCTTATAAAGTATGTGGTGGCATCTCATTTGTAAAACTGAGGATTAGAAAGAATAACTTTGCTGCAGATTAATAAAAGGGAAAGCAAGAACTTCAATCCAGACTGTGCTCCTAATTACTATACTATTCTGACCTAGAACTAAAACAAAATGGTTTTAAAGAAAATTACTGCCTTGTACATTATTTAGAGTATTAAGATTCATGTTTTAGCCCTGGTAAAAGTAAATAATTAGGAGAGGGGAGGAAAGGGTTAAAAACATTTCCACTAATAGCTCTTGCTTTTTAATACTTCTGTGATGGCTAATTTTAGGTGTCAATTTGACAAGATTACGGAATACCTAGAGAACTGTAAAGCATTACTTCTGGCTGTGTCTGTGAGGGTGTTTCCAGAGAATATTGGCAGGTAAGTCAGTGGACTGAGTAGGGAAGATCTGCCCTCAATGTGGGTGAACCATACAAATGGCTGCAGAACTGGAGAGAACAAAAAGGGAAAGAAAAGGATTTCCTGTTTCTCTCCAGGAAGTGGGATAGTCCCTTCCTCCTGTCCTAGGACATCAGAACTCCAGGTTCTATAGCCTTGGAATTCCAGGACTTACTTACACCAGTGCCCCTTAGGTTCTTAGGCCTTTAGCCTTGGACTGAGTATTATTACACCATTGGCTGCCCTGGTTCTAAGGCTGGTTCAGACTTGGACTGAACTACACTACCAGCATCCAAGGGTCTCCAGCTTGCAGACTGCCTGTCATGAGACTTCTTGGCCCCCATAATCTCATGAGCCAATTCCCCTAACAAATCCCTTCTCATCTATCTTCATACCTACCTACCTATCTACCTTTCTATCTACTATTGGTTGTGTCTCCCTGGAGAACCCTAATATAAATCAGAGACAGTGAGCCAAAATGAAATAAATTGGCTCCTGATCCTAGTTGCTCAGACTGGTGTAAGCTATGCTCTCCTCTTTTTTGTGCCAACAATATATTGAGCAACTAACATTTACTGAGCATTCAGCATGTGCCAGGAACTATACTAAGTGCTTTGTGTGTATTATCTTATTCAATCTTCACAAACTCAGAGTATTATCTTCATTTTATAGATGAGTAAACTTGAACATAAGGAGATTAAATAACTTACTTAAATTCTGCTTCTGGCAAGATGGAGTAACAGGGCAAGATTAACATACCTAATAACTTAAACAACTATAAAATTCAGGAAAAATATATAAAAAAATAAATCTTCAGACATTGGACAAGGGGCAACAAAGGACAATAATCCTGAGAGAAGGGGAAAAAAGGGGTAAGCCCTACCTCTAAGTGCACTGCCTAGAGAGTTTTCAGGCTCCAGCTCTGGGAAGGGGAAGCAAAGAAGAGCCCACTGGTCTTAGTTGGGAAGGCAGAGTTGAGAGCTCAGAGAAGCCAAAGTGCCTAGAGTTCACAAGGCAAAATACTGGAATGGAGACAGCTGCACTGAGAGAAAACTGTAGAGATCCTCAGAGAGTGCCCCGACCTGACGTCTTCAGCTGAGAACCAATCAGCACATCCAGGTGAGAAAACTACCCAAGGCTGAGGAAAGAAGCACCAGAAAGAAACAGGCAGAACACTCTCCAGAGCTCATAGAAACAGGAATGGTCTTCTCACAAGCCAGAGTGAAAAAAACCTTGTCATACATAGGACACAATAAATTCTAAAGTAAAAACACAAACCCATGTAATACATAGGACGTAACAGATTCTAAAGTTAAAAAAAAAACATGTAATACACAGGACATAATAGATTCTAAAGTAAAAAAACCCATGTAATACATAGGACTAGGACATAATAGATTCTAAAGTAAAAAACCAAACAAAACCTTGTAATACATAGGACATAATATATTGTAAAGTAAAAAAAAAAAAAAAACCATGTAATACATGGGACTAGGACATAATATATTCTAAAGTTAAAAAAAAAAAAACCTTGTAATACATAGGACATAATACAAAGGAATTCCTGGGCTCAAGCAATCCTCCTACCTCAGCCTCCCTAGTTGAGATTACAGGCATGAGCCACTGCTTCTGGTGCCTTTTTTTTTTTAATATTCAACTTTCTTTACAATATTTATATATCACTTTATAGAATTTGTGTCTGAATCTTTGTCTCTATTTTCCAGTGAGGAAACAGAGTCAGAGAAGAGAAGTAATAAACTCAAGGCTAAGCAGCTGGTAAATGACAGAGCCACAACTAGATCAGTGATTGGGGAACTCCTGTTTAAGTGTTCTTTACACTACCCATATTGCTTCCCAGTGAAAACTCTTCCCAGTATTCCCTCAATAGTGAGGCAAAATTAACGTAGACCAAAGGCTACTCTGGTCCTAACAAACATTAAAAGCAAGTCTGAAAAGGATCAAACCATCTCCAAGTAACTTAACAGCAACAAAGCTCCACAACAAAATTCAAAAATATTTCATATATATAAGAATATCTAGCATTCAACAAGGTAAAATTCACAATGTCTGGCAGGCATGCAAATAAGGAAAATAAAGCCCATAAAGAGGAGAATAATAAACCAATAAAAATGAAACTAGAAATGACATAGGTTAGTAGACAAGGATATTGTCTCCTAAAACAGTTATTATAACAATATTCTATATGTTCAAGAAGCTAGAAAAAAACACGAGCATGCTAAGGAAAGATTGGAAGACATTTTTCAAAAAGACACAAAGCAAAAAAAATGCAATGTCTCACATTTAAAAATGCAGAGGGGGCCAGGTGAGGTGGCTCACGCCTATAATCCCAGCACCTGGGGAGGGCCAAGGTGGGCAGATTATTCAAGGCCAGGAGTTCAATACCAGCCTAGCCAACATGGCAAAACTCTGTCTCTACTAAAAAATACAAGAACATTAGCCAGGCATGGTGGTGCACACCTGTAATCTCAGCTGCTTGGGAGGCTGAGGCATGAGAATAGCTTGAACCTGGGAGGCGGAGGTTGCAGTGAGCCAAGATCTCACCACTGCACTCCAATCTAGGATACAGAGTGAGACTCTGTCTCAAAAAAAAAAAAAAAAAAGCTAAAAACCAGAGGAGCTGGGCACAGTGGCTCATGCCTGTAATCTCAGCACTATGGGAGGCCAAGGTGGTAGGATCTTTGAGCCCAGGAGTTTGAGACCAGCCTGGGCAACATAGGGAGACCCCATCTCTACAAAACAATTAGCCAGGCATGGTGGCATGAACCTCCCAGATACTAGGGTGGCTGAGGCAGGAGGATCACCTGACCCCAGAGGTTGGGGCTGCAATGAGTTATGACTGCCACCACACTCTACCATGAGCAATAGAGCAAGATTCTGTGTCAAAAAAACAACAACAAAAAAAAAAGCAGAGAGAGAGAGAATAGGATTAATAGCAAATTAGAAACCAAAATAGATTAGTAGATTTGAAGATATACCAATTGAAACAATTTAAAATAAAGCAGGACAGTGTTTTCATAGAGAACCAGTGAGCCAGGAGCAAGTTCAAGCAGCCGAATATACAAGTAATTGAAGTCTCCAAAGGAGAAGAGAGACAGGAGAGGGCAAAAAAATATATTTGAGAAAATAAGACCTGAAAATGTTCTAGGTTTAATAACTGTTATTGCTTAAATAAAAATTAATAAAAACTATACCAAGACACATCATAATCAATTTTTTAAATACATTAATAAAGAAAAAATCTTAAAAGCAGCCAGAAAAAAATACAGATTTTACAGAGAGAAAGCTAAAAATGACAGCTAACTTCTCACTAGAAACAATATGAGACAGGTAAGTGGAGCAACATCTCTAAATTTCTGAAAGAAATCTCTAGACCTAGTGAAAATATTTTTCAAACATCTAAGCAAAAAAAATATATAATTTCAGACATATAAAAGCTGATTTGGAAACAGTGTGATGGTTCCTTGAAAATTAAAAATAGAAGTTATCATATGACTCAGCAATTCTACCTATGGCTATATACCCAAAATAACTGAAAGCAGGGACTCAGACATATATTTGAATACCCATGTTCAAAGCTGCCTTATTCACAATAACCAAAGGGTGGAGGCAACCCAAGTTTCTATTGAAGAATACATAAACAAAATGTGATATATACATATAATGGAATATTATTCAGTTTTCAAAAGAAAGGAAAATATGGCACACACTACAGCATAGATGAACCTTGAGGACATTATGCTAAATGAAACAAGCTAGTCATAAAAAAGACAAATACTGTATAATTCCACTTATATGAGGTAGCTAGAATAGTCAAGTTCATAAAGACAGAAAGTAGAATGGTAGTTGCCAGAAGTTGAGGGGAGGGGGAAATGGAGAGTTGTTTAATGAGTACCAAGTTTCAGTTTTGCAAGATGAAGAGTTGTGGAGATTAGTTGCACAACAATGTGAATACATTTAACACTGCTGAACTACACACTTAAAAATGGTTACAATGGTAAATTTTATGTTATGTGTATTTTATCACAATTGGAAATAAATAAAAAGATTTTTTTAATGTGAAAGACTTCAGCAACAGCAGGCCTTCACTACAAGAAATGTTACAGAAAAGACTGACAAAATCATGTATCAGAAGTGACTTAAGGAGATAGGACAATTAAATGCAATGTGGAATCCTGGATTACATCTTAGGACAGAACAAGGACATCCACGGGAAAACTAGAGAAATTTGTACGGGCTACAATTTAGTCAATAATACTGTATCTGTGTTAATTACACTATGCTTCTTCAAAACGTTAACATTAAAGAAAGCTAGGTGAAGGGTATACAGGAAATCTCTGTTCTAGTTTTGCAACATTTCTGTAAATCTAGTATTATTTCAAAATAAAAAGCTCAAAAAAGAAGAAGAAAGCCTGACTAGCATAGCACTTCCGACAAGAGCTGAAAGCCCCACTGTTAATATAGGTGAATAAACTCCAAGATGAGCACATTTTAGGTCTAACTCATAGGAGAGAGAAGCAATTGTGTTTTGTCTGTTTGTTTTAATTAAACAAGAATATACAGGATAATAAGGGCAACAGACAATGCTGGAAACTATTAAAACTCACAGCCTACATATAACAAAATCAAAAATCTCTTTCTCAAAGCTGTGACACATGTGACAGTGAAACAAATCCCAAAATAATCCAACAAATGTAGGAATTTAAGTGTATAAAACATATCAGAGGAATTAAGAATAAGGAACATGCTAATAAAGGACTGGTTTGTGTAATTCTTATGTTGGGTACAAAATCCAGTCTCTTATAATCAATCCTTTATGCTGATGAATAATAATTTTCTGGATCAATTTCCATAAGAAAAAAGCATGTTTTTTCTTCTACTGTTCCTGTCCATTGACATGCAAATATTTCAATCTGAAGAGGCAGTTTTATGGAACAAAAAGCATGAAACTGAAATTACTATTTGTTGATCAGCTACCTTGTTCCAGGTACTGTTCTAAATGCTTTATACATGGATTATCTGATAATCTATTTAATCCCTACAACAAACCTAAGCAGGATGTGCTATTATCACTATTTTTACAGATGAGTGCTTGTGTTGGATCTTCCACTATGTCACTGGAAAAGTTTACAGGAATCATAACCTCTCTAGGACTTAGGAAATTAACACCTATAAAATTTTACTTCTAGCATTTATTTTATGCCTGCTGTTTTGCCTTACCTACTATGAATTCCTACAGGAAGGGGCGGTATTCATCTTGGTATTAGACACATACATGTACTAGGTTTACAGTTGTTAAAAGAGAAAATGTCAGTAGGGAGGCTGAACTAGAAAAACAAGCCACTGAGGTTTCTCACATTTCCATCACATTCTCAAAAAAAAAAAAAAGAAAAGAAAAAAAAGTGTCAGGAGACCCAGTAGAAGGAATAGACTGGAAATGAGGAATTTGAGGTCTGCCCCCAGCTCTACTGATTGGCAATTTGGCCTTAGGCAACTCACAGATTTCTCTCTAAGATTCTCAACCAGTCCAATAGAAATTATAGTACCTGCCCTTGATTCAGCAGATTATTGAGAGGAATGAATAAGCCTACCTTAGAGGCTTCTTGCAAACCTAAAAGAGATAAAATGTGTGACGCTCCTGGTATAAGATCAATGCTCAATGATAGCAGTTCCCTCCCTTCCAACAAGTATTCAAGGACGGAGCTTCCCTATTAGTAGATGGTGCCTTCCTGTCTGCTGCATTTTAGTAACCTGGCATTTTTACTCTGATGATATTTTTTGTGGTATCCTACAAATGTTAGTATAGAGAATGATTCATCATGTAAACTAAAATCACTGCTCGCAAGTAACTGCAAACTGCAAATTACAGGGAGAACAGAGGTTTAAAAATGTACTTTAAAATAATAAAAACTCAAGAGAAGTCACTTAATCCAGTATTTTATTGGAAATTGGACCAACTCCAATTCTCTTAAGGGTACCACAGTTTGGTAACCAGATGTTAATACTGTTCTTCTGCCAAAGAAAACTGCAAGATTTAAAGGGTATTTTTTCCTTTAAGAATTATGTTCTATTTATATTTCCAAAACATATATTTCTCTGATAATGCAATAGATTAGAGTAAAATCTAATTGAAGTATCTCTTCAATCTCCATGCTACTCTAAGATATATTTGAGGTGCACTGGGCACTGGAAGAGAAAGTGCCAATTCCTCGGCAAATAGGCTAAAGGGTAAAATGGACAACAGTAGATAGCTAGCCCAACATTCAGATTTACAACTAAAAGACAAGCATTGTGGAAGCAGCCCAAACCCAATAGTAGAACTTAATTATTCCATTGTAACTAGCAACATGAGCCTCATTAAGGGATGGGAACAGTAGTCATGAAGAAATGTGACTGTTGGTAAGATCCAAGCTGTCAAAAGAAATAAAGTAAACCCTCATCCAAACCAACCAAATTTCAAAGTAAAGTAAATTCTCTGTATTTTTCCCTCAAGATACAAATATAAGTATACTAATCTACAGTATCATAATAAAAATTATGACAACTATACCAAGAGCATTTTATTATTCTCTATTAGACTTGGCAAGAGCTCTGAGCTGCTTTCTCCACATCATCACTTGAGTATTCCCTGGGCCTCAAAGCTGTTTCTGATATAAATGAAGCACAGCAAATATGATATTCACCTTGTAACATATTCAAAGTGTAGATAACAGAGATTTGATTCTTTGGCAGCATTATCCATGGACTTGACCTTTGGTAACTGTTCACAAATTAATCAGTTATCCAATACAAGTAAATGATCAAATGAACAGAAAAGCTAAAATGCAACAACATTAGATCAAATCCACATCTTCTGTGTAAACACCTTCAACATACTATCTTAATTATCAAAAGAAATAAAAGCTAAAAAGCACAACACTAGACCAAATTGACATCCAAGTGGCTACAGCAAGTAGCTATAGTAGTATAAAATAAAGTAGACTGCAAAACAAAAGTAGAACCAGAGATAAAGAGGGACATTTACAATTATAAAGGGGCAAATTCAACAGAAAGACATATCATCATAAATATGTATGTATGCACCTAATAACAGAACTTCAAAATGTATGAAACTATTTGTACCACCACTATTTGGTCTCCCACTTTCTTGAACCACCTTCACCTAAATTCCTCTAAACAAGATCACAAATGACCTCTAGTATTGTTAAAAATGATGACCAATTCTCAATCTCATCTTACTTGACCTATCATTTACTCACCTTCAAAAGATTGTCCTCTTTTGACCTCAATGGCTTCATTCTTTCTCCATTCTTCCAAAGTCTATCATAATTCCAGGTAAGAAGTACTGTACACAAGAGATTGGATGTAGACAGAACAATTCTATTCATTTGTTCATTCACTGGCCATTATTTCTCAGTTTCCTTTCCTAATTCTTAACCTGATCTTTCTTTCTTAATATTGGAGTACCCAAGATGTGGTTTCCAGACCTCTCCTGTACTTATTACATCTATTGCTTTATACCTATGTACTTTCTTTGGTGAAAATGGCATTGTTGAGTTTGAGACACTTTCCTTTGTCCGCAGCAGCAATATGTTGATCCCAAATTGTCCCCTCACCCATTTCTACTTATTATTTGTGATTTCAGGGTAACTGGCTACGGTTATAATATACATCTCACAAATTTACAACTCAATTGAATTACAAATGTACACTCAAATCTCCACTTGGATATCTAATAAACATCAAAAACTGAACTCTTACTTCTAACTCCCTTCCCCTAAAACCTTTATCCACATTATTTCTCTACTCAATAAATGGCAATTTCAATCTACCAGTTGCTCAGGTCAAATGATTCTGCTGTGTTCTTTTTCTCATATCCCACATTCAATACTTTAGAAAATTCAGTTAGTCCTACTTTCAAAAAGATATCTAGAACGCACCTTTTCACCACTCTATTGCTACCACCTTTGTCCAAACCATCATTTCTCTTGCCTAGATCACAAGGGCCTCCCAATTGGAATTGGCCTCATGTATCTGGTGTCCTCACAGCCTATTTTTCACATAGCAGCTAGGATGATCCTTTTGAGCATTAGTCTGATCATGTCAACACTTTGCTCAAAACCTCTGATGTCCTCCTATTAGAGTAAAATCTAAAGTCTTTACCATGGCCTTCAAACCCTATATGATCTTCCCTCCCCTAAACAACTTATTTGACTTCATCTTCTTCATTCACCCCAGTCAAAACAAACCGTTCTCTTTGTTACTCTGTGAGCAGAGTAAGCACATCCCCTCCTGTGGGCTTTTACCCCAATGGTCCCTCTGCCTAGATTACTCTTTCCCCAGAAGCCACATGGCTTTTTCCCTTATTTCCTTCAGGTCTCTGCTTATACATTACTTCTTAAGAAACACCTTTATGTTCTATCCAAGATAAAATTGCACCCCATCCTCTTCATCACTCTTTTTTTTTAAACATTTGTTTTTTTGTTTGTTAGTTGGTTTTTTGTTTTGGTAGAGACAAGGTCTCATTATGTTGCCCAGGCTGATCTCAAACTCCTGGCCTTGAGTGACCCTCTTGCCTTGGCCACCCAAAAGACTGGGATTACAGGCCTGAGCCATGGTACCTAAGCCCTTCATCACTCTTTATCGCTCCTCTTTACTTACTTTATTCTTCTTCTGAGTACTTATCATCATCTTCCATACAGTATGTTTACCATCTCTTTGTCCCATACTAGAACATAAGCTCCATGAAAGCAGAAAATTTATTTTATTCAGCAACAAGTCCCTATTGCCTAAAGCAGTATCAGTTACATAGTAAGTATGCATTCAATACGTGGTGATGAAACGAAGGTATTCTCGCAGTTAACTGGGTATCTTCAATGCTTCCTCTGCCTTGTGACCCACATCCCATTAGTCACTAAGTTCTTTCAAGTCTATAACTAAAATACTCCATTACATCTCTCCATTTCCACTACCACTGCTAGGTCAGCCCCTTATCATCCGTCTTCTGCAACGGACTTATCACTGCACTTTCTGTACCCAAACTTTGTCTACTGCATTTCCTAAGTAGAAAGATGACAGACTTTAAAAATTAGACAGGTGGCTGGGCGTGGTGGCTCATGCCTGTAATCCCAGCACTTTGGGAGGCCGGGGACGGGGGGGATCATCTGAGGTCAGGAGTTTGAGACCAACCTGGCCAACATGGTGAAACCCCATCTCTACTAAAAATAAAAATTAGCTGGGCATGGTGGCATGCGACTGTAATCCCAGCTACTCGGGAGGCTGAGGCAGAAGAATTGCCTGAACCCAGGAGGCAGAGGTTGCAGTGAGCCGAGATTGCGCCATTGCACTCCAGCCTGGGCAACAAGAGTGAAACTCCGTCAAAAAAAAAAAAAAAAATTACACAGGTATAGGCTTTACTTGAGCTGTCATTTCCAGCTATGTGACCCTGAACAAATTATTTGCAATTTTCTTTTTTCTTTTTTTTTTCTTTGAGACAGAGTCTCACTCCTTTGCCCAGGCTGGAGTGCAATGGCGCAATCTTGGCTCACTGTAACCTCCACCTCCTGGGTTCAAGCAATTCTCCTGCCTCAGCCTCCCAAGTAGCTAGGATTACAAGGCTTCAGTTTGTTCACTTGTAAATGTAGATAATAATATCTACTTTTAATAGATGTTAATTTTTAATATACTTTTTTACAGTTTACATTTTTAGTTTTAGGTTCACAGCAAGATTCAGTAGAAGGTACAGAGAGTTCCCATACACTCTCTCCACACTTATAATACCTACTTTTCAGGATTATCATGAGGAGTAAATAAAATAATATAAAATATATAATTTTATTAATAGTAGAAGTATAAGTAATAGGCACTCACTTATTGTGAATTTTTTACTTTCCAAATGCCTCTGATCAGGTTATTTCATGCCTCAAAATTTTAACTGGCTTACCTCTATATAGGGAATGAATCAAATTATTTAGTCTGATATTTAAAATACTACAATTTAGCTCCATCCTAGCTTTCCAACTTTATCTTTCACTAAATATCCCCATGCACTAGCCCATATGCAATCTTTACCCACAACTCTACTCACTATGTCTGATCACATTCAGCATTTTCCTACTTCTGTTCTTTGCTCCACCTCTGCCAAAAACACTTTTTCCCTCCAGTAAGTCTGCCAAAATCTTCCAAACTTTCTAAGCCCCGCTCGAGTCCCATTTTCTATAAGAAGGCTTCACCAGGCCGGGCGCGGTGGCTCACGCCTGTAATCCCAGCACTTTGGGAGGCCGAGGCGGGCGGATCACGAGGTCAGGAGATCGAGACCATCCCGGCTAAAACGGTGAAACCCCGTCTCTACTAAAACTACAAAAAATAGCCGGGCGTAGTGGCGGGCGCCTGTAGTCCTAGCTACTTGGGAGGCTGAGGCAGGAGAATGGCGTGAACCCGGGAGGCGGAGCTTGCAGTGAGCCGAGATCCCGCCACTGCACTCCACCCTGGGCGACAGAGCGAGACTCCGTCTCAAAAAAAAAAAAAAAAAAAAAAAAAAAAAAAAGAAGGCTTCACCAGTTTTAGCAGTTGGCATATTCATCTCTTCTCCAATACTTTCACATTACTTTGCTTATGCTTTTTCTTCCTGCTCTCTCATGATGGGCAGGGACCACATCTTATTCAGCAATTAGTACAGTGCTGTGCAATCCTTGGCATTCAGAAAGAGTCTGTTGAATTAAATGAATTAAATTTAATTTGCTGACTATACAATCACAAGTTACTCAACAACAGATGAGAAAGCTAAAGATTCATACCTAAAATATTTGTCCTTGAATGGGTATAGGGTCAGACACAGGTATTTCTTTCTATACTATGACTCCATAGGGTCTAAGAGCTTTAAAAAAATGCCTTGGGGTGAAAGGGAGAAAGGAAGTAAAAGGGAGAGAAGCCACTAAATATTTAATAGCTACAGAATCTTGATAATCATATACTACTGCATTTTGTCACTTCTTGCAGTGTTTCCTTGAGACATTTTTAAACTTTCATCATTTAACTTTAGCTTTCTTATAGTTTTTTTTTGTTTTTTTGTTTTGTTTTGTTTTAAGTTATTATTATTATACTTTAAGTTTTAGGGTACATGTGCACAATGTGCAGGTTTGTTACATATGCATACATGTGCCATGCTGGTGCCCTGCACCCACTAACTTGTCATCTAGCATTAGGTATATCACCCAATGCTATCCCTCCCCACTCCCCCACCCCCAAAACAGGCCCCAGAGTGTGATGTTCCCCTTCCTGTGTCCACGTGTTCTCATTGTTCAATTCCCACCTATGAGTGAGAATATGCGGTGTTTGGTTTTTTGTTCTTGCGATAGTTTGCTGAGAATGATGGTTTCCAGTTTCATCCATGTCCCTACAAAGGACGTGAACTCATCATTTTTTATGGCTGCATAGTATTCCATGGTGTACATGTGCCACATTTTCTTAATCCAGTCTATCATCGTTGGACATTTGGGTTGGTTCCAAGTCTTTGCTATTGTGAATAATGCCGCAATAAACATACGTGTGCATGTGTCTTTATAGCAGCATGATTTATAGTCCTTTGGGTATATACCCAGTAATGGGATGGCTGGGTCAAATGCTATTTCTAGTTCTAGTTCCCTGAGGAATCGCCACACTGACTTCCACAATGGTTGAACTAGTTTACAGTCCCACCAACAGTGTAAAAGTGTTCCTACTTCTCCACATCCTCTCCAGCACCTGTTGTTTCCTGACTCTTTAATGATTGCCATTCTAACTGGTGTGAGATGGTATCTCATTGTGGTTTTGATTTGCATTTCTCTGATGGCCAGTGATGGTGAGCATTTTCTCATGTGTTTTTTGGCTGCATAAATGTCTTCTTTTGAGAAGTGTCTGTTCATGTCCTTCGCCCACTTTTTGATGGGGTTGTTTGTGTTTTTCTTCTAAATTTGTTTGAGGTCATTGTAGATTCTGGATATTAGCCCTTTGTCAGATGAGTAGGTTGCGAAAATTTTCTCCCATTTTGTAGGTTGCCTGTTCACTCTGATGGTAGTTTCTTTTGCTGTGCAGAAGCTCTTTAGTTTAATTAGATCCCATTTGTCAATTTTGGCTTTGGTTGCCATTGCTTTTGGTGTTTTAGACACGAAGTCCTTACCCATGCCTATGTGCTGAATGGTAATGCCTAGGTTTTCTTCTAGGGTTTTTATGGTTTTAGGTCTAACGTTTAAGTCTTTAATCCATCTTGAATTGATTTTTGTATAAGGTGTAAGGAAGGGATCCAGTTTCAGCTATCTACATATGGCTAGCCAGTTTTCCAAGCACCGGTTATTAAATAGGGAATCCTTTCCCCATTGCTTGTTTTTCTCAGGTTTGTCAAAGATCAGATAGTTGTAGATATGCGGCGTTATTTCTGAGGGCTCTATTCTGTTCCATTGATCTATATCTCTGTTTTGGTACCAGTACCATGCTGTTTCAGTTACTGTAGCCTTGTAGTATAGTTTGAAGTCAGGTAGTGTGATGCCTCCAGCTTTGTTCTTTTGGCTTAGGAATGACTTGGCAATGCGGGCTCTTTTTTAGTTCCATATGAACTTTAAAGTAGTTTTTTCCAATTCTGTGAAGAAAGTCATTGGTAGCTTGATGGGGATGACATTGAATCTGTAAATTATCTTGGGCAGTATGGCCATTTTCACGATATTGATTCTTCCTACCCATGAGCATAGAACGTTCTTCCATTTGTTTGTATCCTCTTTTATTTCCTTGAGCAGTGGTTTGTAGTTCTCCTTAAAGAGGTCCTTCACATCCCTTGTAATTTGGATTCCTAGGTATTTTATTCTCTTTGAAGCAATTGTGAATGGGAGTTCACTCATGATTTGGCTCTCTGTCTGTTGTTGGTGTATAAGAACGCTTGTGACTTTTGTACATTGATTTTGTATCCTGAGAATTTGCTCAAGTTGCTTATCAGCTTAAGGAGATTTTGGGCTGAGACAATGGGGTTTTCTAGATATACAATCATGTCATCTGCAAACAGGGACAATTTGACTTCCTCTTTTCCTAATTCAATACCCTTTATTTCCTTCTCCTGCCTAATTGCCCTGGCCAGAACTTCCAACACTATGTTGACTAGGAGTGGTGAGAGAGGGCATCCCTGTCTTGTGCCAGTTTTCAGTGGGAATGCTTCCAGTTTTTGCCCATTCAGTATGATATTGGCTGTGGGTTTGTCATAGATAGCTCTTATTATTTTGAGATACGTCCCATCAATACCTAATTTATTGAGAGTTTTTAGCATGAAGGGTTGTTGAATTTTGTCAAAGGCCTTTTCTGCATCTATTGAGATAATCATGTGGTTTTTGTCTTTGGTTCTGTTTATATACTGGATTACATTTATTGATTTGCGTATATTGAACCAGACTTGCATCACAGGGATGAGGCCCACTTGATCATGGTGGATAAGCTTTTTGATGTGCTGCTGGATTCGGTTTGCCAGTATTTTATTGAGGATTTTTGCATCGATGTTCATCAAGGATATTGGTCTAAAATTCTCCTTTTTGGTTGTGTCTCTGCCCGGCTTTGGTATCAGGATGATGCTGGCCTCATAAAATGAGTTAGGGAGGATTCCCTCTTTTTCTATTGATTGGAATAGTTTCAGAAGGAATGGTACCAGTTCCTCCTTGTACCTCTGGTAGAATTCGGCAGTGAATCCATCTGGTCCTGGACTCTTTTTGGTTGGTAAGCTACTGATTATTGCCACAATTTCAGCTCCTGTTATTGGTCTATTCAGAGATTCAACTTCTTCCTGGTTTAGTCTTGGGAGGGTGTATGTGTCGAGGAATTTATCCATTTCTTCTAGATTTTCTAGTTTATTTGCGTAGAGGTGTTTGTAGTATTCTCTGATGGTAGTTTGTATTTCTGTGGTATCAGTGGTGATATCCCCTTTATCATTTTTTATTGCGTCTATTTGATTCTTCTCTCTTTTTTTCTTTATTAGTCTTGCTAGTGGTCTATCAATTTTGTTGATCCTTTCAAAAAACCAGCTCCTGGATTCATTAATTTTTTGAAGGGTTTTTTGTGTCTCTATTACCTTCAGTTCTGCTCTGATTTTAGTTATTTCTTGCCTTCTGCTAGCTTTTGAATGTGTTTGCTCTTGCTTCTCTAGTTCTTTTAATTGTGATGTTAGGGTGTCAATTTTAGATCTTTCCTGCTTTCTCTTGTGGGCATTTAGTGCTATAAATTTCCCTCTACACACTGCTTTGAATGTGTCCCAGAGATTCTGGTATGTTGTGTCTTTGTTCTCGTTGGTTTCAAAGAACATCTTTATTTCTGCCTTCATTTCGTTATGTACCCAGTAGTCATTCAGGAGCAGGTTGTTCAGTTTCCATGTAGTTGAGCTGTTTTGAGTGAGAATCTTAACCCTGAGTTCTAATTTGATTGCACTGTGGTCTGAGAGATAGTTTGTTATAATTTCTGTTCTTTTACATTTGCTGAGGAGAGCTTTACTTCCAAGTATGTGGTCAATTTTGGAACAGGTGGGGTGTGGTGCTGAAAAAAATGCATATTCTGTTGATTTGGGGTGGAGAGTTCTGTAGTTGTCTATTAGGTCCACTTGGTGCAGAGCTGAGTTCAATTCCTGGGTATCCTTGTTGACTTTCTGTCTCGTTGATCTGTCTAATGTTGACAGTGGGGTGTTAAAGTCTCCCATTATTAATGTGTGGGAGTCTAAGTCTCTTTGTAGGTCGCTCAGGACTTGCTTTATGAATCTGGGTGCTCCTGTATTGGGTGCATATATATTTAGGATAGTTAGCCCTTCTTGTTGAATTGATCCCTTTACCATTATGTAATGGCCTTCTTTGTCTCTTTTGATCTTTGCTGGTTTAAAGTCTGTTTTATCAGAGACTAGGATTACAACCCCTGCCTTTTTTTGTTTTCCATTTGCTTGGTAGATCTTCCTCCATCCTTTTATTTTGAGCCTATGTGTGTCTCTGCATGTGAGATGGGTTTCCTGAATACGGCACACTGATGGGTCTTGACTCTTTATCCAATTTGCCAGTCTGTGTCTTTTAATTGGAGCATTTAGTCCATTTACATTTAAAGTTAATATTGTTATGTGTGAATTTGATCCTGTCATTATGATGCTAGCTGGTTATTTTGCTGGTTAGTTGATGCAGTTTCTTCCTAGCCTCGATGGTCTACATTTTGGCATGATTTTGCAGCGGCTGGTATCAGTTGTTCCTTTCCATGTTTAGCGCTTCCTTCAGGAGCTCTTTTAGGGCAGGCCTGGTGGTGACAAAATCTCTCAGCATTTGCTTGTCTGTAAAGGATTTTATTTCTCCTTCACTTATGAAGCTTAGTTTGGCTGGATATGAAATTCTGGGTTGAAAATTCTTTTCTTTAAGAATGTTGAATATTGGCCCCCACTCTCTTCTGGCTTGTAGAGTTTCTGCCGAGACATCAGCTGTTAGTCTGATGGGCTTCCCTTTGTGGGTAACCCGACCTTTCTCCCTGGCTGTCCTTAACATTTTTTCCTTCATTTCAACTTTGGTGAATCTGACAATTATGTGTCTTGGAGTTGCTCTTCTCGAGGAGTATCTTTGTGGCGTTCTCTGTATTTCCTGAATCTGAATGTTGGCCTGCCTTGCTAGACTGGGGAAGTTCTCCTGGATGATATCCTGCAGAGTGTTTTCCAACTTGGTTCCATTCTCCCCGTCACTTTCAGGTACACCAATCAGATGTAGATTTGGTCTTTTCACATAGTCCCATATTTCTTGGAGGTTTTGCTCGTTTCTTTTTATTCTTTTTTCTCTAAACTTCCCTTCTTGCTTCATTTCATTCACTTCATCTTCCATCGCTGATACCCTTTCTTCCAGTTGATTGCATCAGCTCCTGAGGCTTCTGCATTCTTCACATAGTTCTCGAGCCTTGGTTTTCAGCTCCAGGAGCTCCTTTAAGCACTTCTCTGTATTGGTTATTCTAGTTATACGTTCTTCTAAACTTTTTTGAAAGTTTTCAACTTCTTTGCCTTTGATTTGAATTTCCTCCCGTAGCTCGGAGTAATTTGATCGTCTGAAGCCTTCTTCTCTCAGCTCGTCAAAGTCATTCTCCGTCCAGCTTTGTTCCGTTGCTGGTGAGGAACTGCGTTCCTTTGGAGGAGGAGAGGCGCTCTGCTTTTTAGAGTTTTCAGTTTTTCTGCTCTGTTTTTTCCCCATCTTTGTGGTTTTATCTACTTTTGGTCTTTGATGATGGTGATGTACAGATGGGTTTTTGGTGTGGATGTCCTTTCTGTTTGTTAGTTTTCCTTCTAACAGACAGGACCCTCAGCTGCAGGTCTGTTGGAGTACCTGGCTGTGTGAGGTGTCAGTCTGCCCCTGGTGGGGGATGCCTCCCAGTTAGGCTGCTCGGGGGTCAGGGGTCAGGGACCCACTTGAGGAGGCAGTCTGCCCGTTCTCAGATCTCCAGCTGCTTGCTAGGAGAACCACTGCTCTCTTCAAAGCTGTCAGACAGGGACATCTAAGTCTGCAGAGGTTACTGCTGTCTTTTTGTTTGTCTGTGCCCTGCCCCCAGAGGTGGAGCCTACAGAGGCAGGCAGGCCTCCTTGAGTTGTGGTGGGCTCCACCCAGTTCGAGCTTCTGGGCTGCTTTGTTTACCTAAGCAAGCCTGGGCAATGGCGGGCACTCCTCCCCCAGCCTCGCTGCCGCCTTGCAGTTTGATCTCAGACTGCTGTGCTAGCAATCAGGGAGACTCCGTGGGCGTAGGACCCTCCAAGCCAGGTGCGGGATATAATCTCCTGGTGCGCCATTTTTTAAGCCCATCGGAAAAGCGCAGTATTCGGGTGGGAGTGACCCGATTTTCCAGGTGCCGTCTGTCACCCCTTTCTTTGACTAGGAAAGGGAACTCCCTGACTCCTTGCGCTTCCCGAGTGAGGCAATGCCTCGCCCTGCTTCGGCTCACGCATGGTGCGCGCACCCACTGACCTGCGCCCACTGTCTGGCACTCCCTAGTGAGATGAACCCGGTACCTCAGATGGAAATGCAGAAATCACCCGTCTTCTGCATCGCTCACGCTGGGAGCTGTAGACCGGAGCTGCTCCTATTCGGCCATCTTGGTTCCTCCCTCCTTTTTTTTTTTTTTTTTTTTTTTGAGACAGGGTCTTGCTCTGTCACCCAGGCTAGAGTGTAGTGGTATGATAAATGGCTCACTGCAACCTCGACCTCCTGGGCTTAAGCTATCTTCCCACCTCAGCCTTCTGAGTAGCTGGGACCATAGGTGCAAACCACTATACCCAGTTAATTGTTTTATATTTATTTTTTGTAGAGATGAGGTCTTGCTGTGTTGCTCAGGCTGGTCTCAAACTCCTGGGCTCAAGCAATCCTCCGACCTTGGCCTCTCAAAATGCTGGGAATACCCAGATGTGAGCCACCAAGCCTGGCCTTTCTCATATTTTCAAACTAGATGATCAGTTCTATGTAGGCAGAGTTCACCTCTAGCCAGATCTAGCACTTTTACAGTCGATTCTTTTACAACACAAGCTTTCTACAGTACCACTTAGCTCATGTCAATAGCATATAGATATTGTATTGGTTCATGGGTGTGATTTTTTTTTCCTAGGCAAGAGGAGCTGGAATAGAACAGAATTCAGAAAGAAGAGCAAAACAGGGCCAGATGCGGTGGCTCGTGCCTGTAATCCCGGCACTTTGGGAGGCTGAGGCAGGAGGAATGCTTGAGCGCAGGAGTTCAAGACCAACCCAGGTAACATAGTGAGACCTCATCTCCACACAAAAAAATAAAGAACTAGCCAAGTATAGTGGTGCATGCCTTTAGCCCCAGCTACTAGGGAGGCTGAGACAGGAGGATCATTTGAGCCCAGGAGGTAAAGGCTGCAGTGGGCTGAAATCATACCACTACACTCCAGCCTGAGTGACAGAGGGAGACCCTGTCTTAAAAAAATAAAAAATGGAAAAACAAAGCAAAACGGCTTCAGCTTGGCTGTTGCACATACGGGCTCTTCATTTTATTTAAGAAAAATTCAAAGTGAAAGCTTGCATACAAGGCTAAAAGAGGTGTTAATTCTTGGTTCTCATCTTGGAACAAGCCTTATTTCCTTCTGTGCCCACCTTAATGGCAACTCCACTGGCTCAGAGCTCCACTTACCTTTTTGTTTTTGTTTTTGAGATGAGGTCTTACTATGTTTCCCAAACTGGTCTCAAACTTCTTGGTTCAAGTAATCCTCTTGCCTCAGCCTCCCAAGTAGCTGGGACTACAGGTCCCACCACGCCAGCTCAGGGTTCACTTCCAAATAGCTCCACATTTATACAAGCCAGCATTTTTTTTACTCTTTTTTGTGCATTTTTAATTTAATATAATCTATGGCAACCTCCACCTATGCTGAGCTGCCTGCCTGGGCTGTCCAAGCCCTTGTGTTCTGGGTACCATGGGTCAATGTTGCACAGATTTTGAGTGGTCTGCACCCAACCCTATTTTTTAATAATCCATTATTTTTAGTATACAATTTTGTAGAATGTACAAGTATCATGTTTTATTAAATATCTGTTTATCCAAAGCCACTAGCATAGTGCCTTGAATATAACACTTAAAAGTTTAATGGAATCAATTTGAAAACAACTAAAAACATTTTATTTTGCTATTGTTCCCCTGATCTTAAATCTAAAATCAATTTGTCTTCTCCAAACTCTGGGATTCCTAAAAACTCTCAGCCCCACATAAGGAGTACTTCCCTGCTAAGGTTTCCATTCATCACACCAAAATCACTACTTAAACAGCTTCTGCTAATACAAGATTCAATTTACTGTTATAAAAAGATCTAATCTGCAACAACATCCGTATGACTGTCAAACCCCAATAAGCAAGGTGACCTCTCTGCTTGGTGATTCAAACTTGGGCCAAAATGAATTGAAAAGCTGAGACAAACAGGGACAGTTTTCTATTCAGTTTCACAGCTGCTTGGGCTACTGCCCAGTCTCCATAATGAGGGTGGTCTCTTGCTTTGTTTTCATGAAACCAACAGCATGTAGAACACACAGCATTTCAATAACGTATGAATTTCAGCCTTCAGGATATCATATTGTCCCCAGTTGCTTGATATTTTGTCTCTCTCCTCCTCAGAATAGTCAGAAACACACTGGAGCACACACATAGTAATACTATGACTATGTGCTCCAGAACACACAAATACTATGACTTCTACTTGAACCAGCTTAAATGATCTGCTTATTGTCTACACAATGAATAACCAATATACCATTTTAAGTGAAAGCCTCCATACTTTTATCTTTAATTTCAAATCCCCAGACAGGAACATGAGTTTCAATTTAAAAATCTGGAGATCAAAAGTACATTGTACTGTATGTCTAACCAGGCCTGACAATGCTCCTTTAACCCAATTTAGAGATATGCATGCATATGTATGTATTTTCATGGATATGGCAACAGGATTTGTTTTTAACACATACAAATATCTGCCATATATAATTTTTACAAAGAGAGAGCAAATTAATCTTCCTCCCTTCCTTTCTTCTTTCTTTCTCTTCCCTGCCTCCCTACTTCCTTCCCTCCTTCTTCTATCCCTTCCAGGGAGACAAGTGTGGTACTAGAAAACATTTTCCTTATAAAACAGCAATAACTGGCCGAGGTGGGCGGATCAGGAGGTCAGGAGATCGAGCCCATCCTGGCTAACGCGGTAAAACCCCAACTCTACTAAAAATACAAAAATTAGATGGGAGTGGTGGTGGGCACCCGTAGTCCCAGCTACTCGGGAGGCTGAGGCAGGCGAATGGCATAAACCCAGGAGGCAGAGCTTGCAGTGAGCACTCCAGCCTGGGCGACAGAGCAAGAGTCCGTCTCAAAAAAAAAAACCAAACAAACAAAAAAAAAAAAACCAGCAACAACCCCAATACTCATTGTTACTGTGTATTTATATAAACTTTGTGTAAACAGCCCACACATCCTTGTAGGACTGTTTTACCCCTGACATATGCTGCTCAACCTAATTATTTACATTACAAAATATATTCAAATAACAGCAACAATATTTTTAAACACCATGCACCCAAGGTCTAATAACCATTTGGATATGAACTATGGCTTATCTTTCATCAAAGCAAGCAAAATCAGGAAAGGCATTTATAAATTTCATATAGAAGCCCTAAGAATGTGAAAAATATTCACAACTATGACTAATGCAGACAAATAATAAACTCAGAGAGGTTAAGTGGTTTGTCCAAGATCACATAGCTATTTGGTAGCAAAACTTATTTATCATTATTATCCAATGTTCTTCCCATTATTCCACATTGCTCCCCTCTGCTAATAGGTCAGGAAAGATACTACTTAAAATAGTAATGCTGGGCATCAGATAAACAGTCTAAAAGAAAAACTTGACTTTGGGGAAATAGAATTTCTAAAGAGTGACACATCAAAGAATGAAGTATGTGTGTAATTTGGTGATTACATTTTCCAGGAACTGGCAGAAGAGATTGCACTAGTTCAAAGAAAGCCAAAGCCAAAGGTTACACTCTCCGTTAGAAAATAAGAGCGATTTCACTAGTATTGAAAGGCCCAATCTGACAACTGGTAGTAAAAGCAATCTGTCCACTGGCTGTCTGTTCATACTGGGCCACATAGCTCAACTTGTAAAGGTTGTAATTCTGAGTAATCAGTTTGTGGATGTAAGCCTTAAGCAAAGCCCAAAGCAGCAGCCCAGATCATTTCCTCTGTCCCCCTCCCCAACCCCTTTTTAATGAAGCCACAAATTCAGTGGAGTCTGGAGATTTAAATTCTAATCATTTTCCCTTTGCCCTTTAACATTGGTGCTCCCAAGGGAACCTTTACTTCCAAGCATTACTATTCTAGGACCCTGAATCAATAACCCACAGCTCTAAAAGGCAAGAATGCCAAGTAAATGCTGTTTTCTTCCTCCCTCCCCATCCCAATTAAGGAAAATGAAATTTATAAGGCTGTGGAAGAGTCTCCAATAGAGACACTATAATAATAAAACCACTCAGAATTTCTCCAACCAGACTAAACAAAATGCTGCATTCAACTTGCACACAGCAACCATGTGATAATCCACTTTACTACATTTAGAAAGAATGCTTCCCAAAAGAGGGCACTTACGACTATGATTGTCTTTCTGTCCCTGCTCCCCATCCAAAACTACCAGGCACCAATACTCACCTTATTCCTCTGTACACAATGAAATGTACCAGACCACAGCTTGACACTGCTTTACACAGAGAAGGCTGGCTGTGTGGCAAACTAATCCAATATTAAGAATAAAAACAATAATTTTAATTTTCAATTTAATGAATATTTATTGAACATCTTTTATATAGCAAACAGTGAGCTACATGCTGGCGATAAAGTTAAAAAGAAAAAAAATCCAGTCCCTGATCTCAATAATCTCATTAACTAGTAAGATAAAGAGACAAGGGAACAAACAAAAATCTAACAAAAATCCCTTAGAGTTCTATATAGCCCTTCATAACTTTCATAAAACCTTTGTATCCTTTAAAGCTCATTGATCCTCACAAGAGTCCCGATGTAGGTAAGGCAGTTCTTACTGTCCTCACTTAACAGGTGAAAACACAAATTCACTGTACGGAATTGTCATGAATAAGAGGCAAGAGTAGTAACACACCACAAAGCTAGTGCTCACAAAGAATGAGACTGTATTTAATGAAACCATACATAATGTTGCATCCTAATTACATGAGACAGCACAGGCAGAGAGTGAACAGCTCTTACAGCAAAACAGTGCTGAAAGGATGACCAAGTAAATAGTATACAAACCACGGATGCTTCTGATAGACATCAAGACTCTGTGATACTCTGTAATTCGACTGAACCATTACTGATTTGTTAGTGCTGTTTTGAGTCTTTTATTTCCTTCAGCAATGTCACCAAAATTCTAGTATTAGAAAATGTGCCACAAACATGAAAAGCTAAGAAACACTGACTTAAGAACATAGAGCTAATACATGGTAGTATAAAATCAAGTTTTTGATCCCGCATTCTATGTTCTTTCTCCTACAAAATACAGCCCCAGATGTACAAAGGAAATCCAGATCATATGAATTTCACTTTGGAAAGGAATTCTTCAACACTCCAGAGGGCTTTGAGTCCAGGATCCCTGGGTGTATCCCAAGTCTCCAGTAGCCGCATAGTAAGCCCTAGAATCCCATATATACTCAGAATTTATTAATCAGGTCTGAACATTTTATAGGCACCAGATCAGGCTGGATCCCCCAAGAGCCTAGTTCAGATCTAATCTTCAAGGTGACACATGTTGCCCCCAGACTGACTCCTGAAACATAGGTACTGTAAGTTGCAGTATAAACCTGGTCAGGCTAGAACACTGGTCCCCGCCCCATTCCAAATCAAAGAGGATCTGGTTAAGTGCCTGAAACTGTCATCCTGAGAACTATGGAGCCCAAGTGGTTACAGCAGCCCCACTTCTGTGGTCAGGAGAGATGGAGAGGGGGCCAGGGCCTGTGCTCAGGAGACACAAAGAGGGGGCCAGAGGGGGCCACTGTGGATTAAATACAGTAGCCGCATTTCTGTGCTCAGGAGAGATGGAGAGGGAGCCAGAAGAGGGGAAAGAGAAACAGACAAAATAAATGCTAAGAAGAGGAGGGGCAAGAAAACATGGGAACAAAAATTAGAAGCATGAGCATAAAGAAGGGATGAAAGATGTGAATCTGCTCTTCCTTCAGTCAGCCTCCATTTCTGTGAGCCTCTCACAGTGTGAACACTTTGACAAACTGAGGGTGACTCCAGCATGTAAGGCATTATTCATCTCTAAACATCATGGCCCCTAAATGCAAGCCAAGTATATCTAGGGCTCAACCAAATAAATGGTGCTTTGTTATAATGCTGCAGAAAAAGCCTGCTGTGCCTGCTGTGTTGAATTTATTGATCTCTAATATGGAATTTCTAAATGGATTTTTCAAGGTAATTTTGACTATTTCATTTTTCACTTTATATGCTAACTTTGGAACCTACCCCCCAAATAAGGTATAGCTTCATAATAATATTTTTCTCAAGGTAAACATGACCTATCAAGTGAGTATTGCCAATCTTTTACCATTAATCTTCTTTCTAATTTCCAGTTTATCACTTCTATATCCTTCTTGTTACTTCAATTTAAAATAACAGGACTACAATAACTGGTTCAGATATATGTGTTTTTAAACTTAAACATGGACTACAGAAATCAAAACAGTTGTTTGGGGAGTTATTTTGCCTTTTTTTTTTTTTTTTACATTTCTAACTGTAGTGATCTGGCAATGAACATTCATTGCAATGGTGTTGATCCTAATATATGATATACTTCAACTCTACCAGACTTTTTCATTCTCCAGCCAACTGTCTCCTGTCAGCCTTTGTTTGAAATTTCTTAACTTCTGGGGATTGCTGCCAAACTCTTAATACCATGAACCCCGCATTATCTCTGTAAAATTTAAATCCCTGCCTGTATACTCCAGCTACCCAGCTCATTTCTGAGCCCTATCAAGTACAATGTTTGTATAAGTTGAGACTAAAACTGTTTTTTTTTTTTTTTTTTTGAGACAGGCTTGCTCTGTCACATAGGCTGGAGTGCAGTGGCACAGTCATAGCTCGTTGCAGTCTTGACCTCCCAGGCTCAAGTAATCCTCCCTCCCATCTCAGCCTCCCAAGTAGATGGGACTACAGGCATGCACCACCATACCTGGCTAGTTTTTTTTCAGTAGAAACGAGGTGCCTGGGCTGTTCTCAAACTCCTGGGCTCAAGTAGTACTTCACCTTGGCCCCCCAAAGTGCTGGGATTACAGGTGTCAGCCACTACGCCCAGCCTAGAAACTTGTATTATCAGCCTAAAACATAACTAGAAAAGTAAATTTCTATAATCACACAAACTGATAAATTTATCTTAAATACTATCAGTTCAAAGATAATAAGTTTTTAATTCTTGTTGTTTCATATTACCAAAATCACTGTATTATTGGTCCATATATTATCCTTCAAAGCACTCCATCCCTTGCCTTGCCTCACCTAGCCTCACAACAATCTGATAAGCCATCCTCATCTACAACCAAGAGGAGAATTCACCAGATATTCATCTTCAACAGGCAATTTTTAAAACAGCCTTCCATAATAATAACAGAAATATGCACACTGTAGAAAATTAGAGAATACAGATGAGCAAAAAATCTTAAAACACTTCATATTCCCATCGTCCAGAAAGATCAGCACTGTATGTATATCCTACTAGTCTTTTCCCCCATCCCAAATACACATATTTTTATATATGCATTTTCAACAAAATATTTCATTCTACATACTTCTGCAATCTGATTTCCAAAGTCAACAATCTTCACCTTTCCATTTCAGTAACTTTTCATCTTGTCTAACTCCTAGATGAAATTCGGTTATTCAAGATGGACTCCAGCTGGTATGTTCAAATTTATACCAAACCTATAACCATCATCAACCAATTTTTACTTAAAGCTCTGTCTGCCGTGCCAGGTATGATCTGTCTTCTTCCCTTTGCCAGTGTGTACGGCTCCAGTCCTGCTCAGCATTTCAAAGAGTGCCAGGACTCTTCCTTTTTAAAAAGATACAAATACATATTCACCAAGCTTTGAAAAGGCACATATTCTATTCTTATTTTAAATTAATCTTTTAGCTTATTTAATTCTTGTTTATATTTGAATTGAGAAAGAAGATGGGGTATTAAGGGCAGGAAAGACCCAGTGCACATATAGTTCTATATAGTAGTGGTAGTAGTAGCAGTGGCAACAGTAGCAGCAGTGATACCATCATCCTGCACTTGGAAATGTCTCCTTATCCCACACATACAAAACTTAAAGCAAAACAAAATCCTTTAAGTTTGTAAGGAGCCTTTTCCCAATCTGGAAGAAAACAGAACCTTCAAGTTAGAGGCCATATTGTTCAAACTGATTGAGATATATATGAATTTTGTGACTTAATATGTAAATATTGGCTAAAATATTTAGGATAGCCCAGATGGTAACAGCAATAGTGCCAATTCTCCAGGCCACTTTTTAATGCATTTCTAGTATTATTATTTTAGTCTTTTATATTCTAAACAAGTACACATAAGAAATCCAACAAGAGTCCAATCTAATTTCTTCAACTCTTAGATTCAAACATTTTTTAAAATATACAAATATATATTCACTGAATACTAAAAAGGCACAAATTCTATTCTTATTTTAAGTTGATGTTTTAGCTTCTTTAATTCTTATTCATATTTGAGTTGAGAAAGAAGATAGGAGTAGTAAAGGCCAGAAAAATGGAAATCAGGGAAGTATGATAAGAAAGATGGTACAGAGTTGTTTATAGTCTAAAAAGGAGAAGTCTAAGAAGGAGAAGGAGGAGAAAGAGGAAAAGGAAGAGGAGGAGAAGGAAAAGGAGGGGGGGAGGAGGAGGAGGATGACGATGACGATGACGACGACGATGACGACGACGACGACGACAACTACTAACTTCTTCCAGCTGAACTATTTTCAGTGGGCTAAAGTCTCTTGATAAAGACACATTCATTAAAAAACTAAACCAGGGCCAGGCACGGTGGCTCATGCCTGTAATCCCAGCACTTTGGGAGACCGACGTGGGCGGATCATCTGAAGTCAGGAGTTTGAGACCAGCCTGGCCAACATGGTGAAACCCCATCTCTACTAAAAATACAAAAATTAGCCAGACCTGGTGGTGCCTGCCTGTAATTCCAGCTACTCAGGAGGCTGAGGCGAAAAATCACTTGAACCCAGGAGGTGGAAGTTGCAGTGAGCTGAGATCGCACCACTGTACTCCAGCATGGGCAACAGAGCAAGACTGTCTCAAAAAATAAAACAAAATAAAAAACTAAACCAGGTCAGGCACAGTGGCCTGCATCTGTAATCCGAGTACTTTGGGAGACTGAGACAAGATGATTGCTTCAGGCCAGAGGATTCCTTCAAGCCAGACCAGCCTAGGCAACAAAAGCGAGACCCCATCTCTACAAAAAAAATTTTTAAATAGAAAAATTAAAAATTAACCACTAGGCTCACAGGAGAGCATAGACATAATCAATTAATTTACTGATTGATGATGCCAGACCTAAATATTAACTTGTTAGAAAAAGTTCCATGCATTTAATTCACAACTGCTATGTTTCAGACACAGGATTTTTAAATTGACCCTTTTCTTAGATAAAACCCAAGCTCTCCCTCCCATCTGTTTACTGGTCAAGTTCCCCTACCCTTGGTCCAAATTTAAAGTCTGACTTCAGCACTAATTACACTTAAATATGTACTCCCAAAGAATACATCTATCAGTAAAGGCTGATGCACTGAAGACTGAAGTCTTCTCTTTAATCCCAGAAATGGTAGAATAGTAATAGCAAATACAATACCACCATTTTATGTGAGCTTGTCAGAGAAAACTTTGGCATGGTAGGCCTAGGAGAACACGTTTCCAGTAGCAGTGGCAGATGGATGACACGGAAAAACAAGCTCCTGGTGTCCACAGTGAATAATGCCTAAAGTGGTAACAGGAGACACAGGGCTTACAAGCACTGTTATTTTATAAAGCATAGAATGTCAGTTCACTAAAAGTCCTGTGGTGGCACATGCAATAAATAAGACCTATTAACACTTTTCTTTACCTAAAATCACCCCCAGAGAGTTAGTTAAGTAACTCACTTCTTAATTCACATTGATCATTACGTGTCATTGGTTTGTGATCTTTGATAACAAGGGCTTTCTGGACTTCTATACCTTAAAATTTTTAGGCCCTACTTTTTTTTAGGCCTATCTGTAATTATTTCTCATTTTAAAGTATCCAAGTATAGAACTGAGCAGCACATCTATGTCAGACAGATCCAGTTTCAAACCTCAGATCACTATGTAGTAATTCTGTGATTCTCGGCAAGTTACTGACCCACTCTTAAGACTCAGTTTCTTCCGCTCTCAAACAGTCATTCTAAAACTCTCACAGTACTGTTAAAATGTAAAGCAGCGTAGGCTTTGCACACAGGACACACTCAGTAAATGGTAACTGTTGCTATCATTAGCGTTGACAACTTTTCTCCAGTAAGTCTATGCCTCTGTTTAACTCCATCTGTGAAACTAGAAACGAATTTCAAAAGTTTCATTTCCAATCATGCTCTTACCAGCAAGATTTAAGATGTCTTTTTTATTATAAGTCTAATTACTCTTGGGTCAGAAATCAGCAAGAGGCCTATCTAACTTCTATACAATCTCCCAGTCCCCAGAAGGTAATTTAACCTACGGAAGTAGCCAATCTCAAAAGCTAAAGATGTTGTGCTTTTGTATCTCCTTACTGGGCTTAATCTGTTAATTAAGCAAACCAGGAGAAGTAAACAAAAGTTTACCTCAACCAACTCTTGCCAGACTTATAGAGGGAATACAGAACATGATCACCAGTCTTTGCTATTGGCCAATAGTCTATTGTAACCAGCGCTAGAGACCCAACACGACTATCTACAAGGCTGACACATGGAAAAACGATTGGTCCAAAACATTTTGTCTTCATCACAGATGATTCCGTTATGAATAAAGCCGTTTTCCTCCTCAGAATATTAATAATACTGATGTCCAGAAGAAGATGTGGCTTAGAGAATGGGCAGGTGGATTCCATAGTGACAGTTCAACTCATAAAATGAACAATTGCCCTGCACCCTTGTTTAAATATGACGCCAGGATCTAAAGTCAAAGTTTTGCTAACATTTATTCATGTTACCTTCTGTTTTAGGTCCTCTATACAGATACCACCCTTAGCCTGATGTCTCCATGAAGGCTCATTTTGCTTTTCCTTCAGCTCCCTTACCCAAGTGCTTCAGGAGAAACATTAAATCGATGCCTTCAACTTCCAACATACCTGGCAGCCCATCAAAGATGACTCTTTAACTGTAAATGATAGTATCCTGTCTCGCAAATGCCCATTTTGTCTGCTTCACGTATAACAAGGGTGTGAGAGGCTATAGGAGAGTATTAGACAGGTTTTACTCGGTTTCTTGCCATCAAAGGTAAACAGTTTTGTATTGTTCAAAGCAGTCATGGGTCTCATTTCCTCATAAAAACAATCTCTACAGCTATTTACACCATAGGGCTAAGGAGGTCAGTCAGTGTTGGAAATGCAATTAGGGAAGACAGACTTTTTTTAAGTAAAGAAACATCTGCCCAAAAAGCTTAGGTAACAAGCCTCCATCATCATGTGGCTTTGGCTTGGCTTTTGATCTCTTTTCTCAAATGGCAGGCTCCAGAGGCAAATGACACATAGCTACTAACAAAAAGACATCCTAAATATTAATTTAAAAATTTTTAACTAGAATATATGTTTTTTGTTTGTTTGTTTGTTTTTTGTGAGACAGAGTCTTGCTCTGTTGCCCAGGTTGGAGTGCAGTGGCACCATCTCGGCTCATTGCAAGCTCTGCCTCCCTGGTTCACACCATTCTCCTGCCTCAGCCTCCCGAGTAGCTGGGACTACAGGTGCCCACCACTACGCCCGGCTAATTTTTGTATTTTTAATAGAGATGGGGTTTCACCTTGTTAGCCAGGATGGTCTCGATCTCCTGACCTCATGATCCGCCCGCCTCGGCCTCCCAAAGTGCTGGGTTACTGGCGTGAGACACCGCGCCCGGCCTATATGTGTTATTTTTTAAGATATACACACAAAAAGCAAACGGTGTTGTTGGTAGATGTGGACCACTGTTCTACACACACTTGTTATCCTCTCCAAGCACCTGCCTATGTGTCAGCCCATCTGATTCCCTCCTCTCCTGCTTCTCACTCATGGCCTGCATCCCAGGACTTAACCTCCAGTTTCTTCCCTCTCTCTATCATTCTTTCTATCACCGCTTTTCCACTCACCCCTGATTTTCTCACTATCTTCTCAGATGTACCTCTATGACAACTTATTACTAGAAGCATTAACAATGGCTTCACCATTAGGTGTCAAAGTCTCAACTGTTCATTTTATATATCTCAGAAGGGCAGAGTTTTAAGGGAGATGAAGTTTGGAGAAGTGAGGATGATAATGATCACCACCAAGGGCCAGAAAAGGTGGGAGACAGCAGAAAATTGTTTTGAGTCATACGGGGCTGGGAATGACCAATGACTGATGGCAGCAGGGCTTGATTATGTTACTTTCTAATACTTCCTGAAATGCATGGTATTTTTCCTGTTTGCCCATTGGTTCACTATTTAATAGTGTGTGTTGTTGAGACAAGAGATTTTATTGACAGCTCGGAGCAATTAATAAAGAATTCTATCTTCACACAGGGTTTTCTTGAAGAAGGCTCAATTTACTTGGTATTCAGTCTGTAAGATCATGTTCATTCTGCTAAAAGGATCATATGTCAGTTTTTACTCATACACAATTCATCATGCAGAAGGTTTTTTTAAATGATTTTGACAATGTTTTTGAGATTTAAAAAATTAAAACATCCTATATACCTAAAAATAATCTCTAAGTTCCTTTTTAAGACTATGATTATGATTGCATTAAAAATATTAAAATCTATGGT
Source organism: Homo sapiens (assembly GCF_000001405.40). Lineage (NCBI taxonomy): Eukaryota > Metazoa > Chordata > Mammalia > Primates > Hominidae > Homo > Homo sapiens. Next base: position 28,405,300 of record NC_000022.11, read on the forward strand.
AAAGTGTTATTTCTATTTGTCATTCACTCAACAAATATTCCTGAGCAAACCACAATGTGCAAATGATTGCAATGGGCCCAGTGGAGACAAAAGGGTGGTCACAGAGCCTTCCTTCAAGGAGAAGCATTTATAAATGTGCATATACAAATAGCTATAGCAGAAGGTAGAAAGCATGACCTACCACAAAAAGGATACAGTAAAGCACTCTTGAAGTACAGAGGAAGAAGAGATCCATTTCAACTGAGGGACTCATGGAAAAGATAGTAATGGTGAGTAGGTCAGACAAGAGGCTAACAATTTTACTGTGTAGTAGAATTTCAATTTCTGTGAATTTCTCTGGGAAGCTAAATTTCCCATGGAATTTACAGGTACTATGTCTCTCTGAGGTAAGGGGCAGGACTCAACTCTGGACCAGACTAAAGACTGGCTGAAACAGGGAAGAGGTGCTGAAAGCACCACTCCATAAGATACACCCACCAGCACCATGACAGTTTACCATTGCCATGGTAATACCCAGAAGTTACCACCCCCTTTCTAGAAATTTCTGAATACACCACTTCATTTGCATGTAATTAAAAGTGGGTATAAATATGACTGCAGAACTGTTCCTGAGCTACTGCTTTAGGCACACTGCCTATAGGTTAGCCCTGCTCCACAAAGAACAGTACCTCTGCTGCTGCTATACACTGTCACTTCAATAAAAGTTGCTGTCTAACACCACCAATTCCCCCTTGAATTCTTTCCTGGGTGAAGCCAAGAACCCTCCTGCGCTAAGCCCCAATTTTGGGGCTCGCCTGCACTGCATCTTGTTCTTAGTATTCCTGTCTATTACATCTCTCCAGTTACCTCTTCCATTCACTGAAATGAAAATATAAGGAAAAAACACAAAGATTTAACTCTTAAATTACAATGAATTAGTGAAGGGAATAAAATACAAGCATAATTCACTCAGCTAAGCCTTATGCCCTTTGTATTTGATAGCAATAATCCCACAGTAACTAGAACACACACTTATCTTATTAACGAGACTAGAATTATTTTAATTAGGTATCTCCACATGCACCAACTGTTAGAAATTAGACTGTTTTGAAACAGTTGTTAATGACTTAACACGGCAAATGTTTTCCCAAATTTCAGGCTGAAATCTATGCTTGAGACAGATGGGGAAGAGCCTGGCCCTGCTGTGTAGCGGAGGAACAGCCTGGTGGGCCTAGAGATGCATTTTCTACTGGGATTCAGCAAAACAATCCTAGGGACACATAGAAAGATAATCATAAACTTTGATAACATCTGTTACATTAAAAGTTTGAAGTCTGGCACTAGTAAACACCTAAAAATTGGGGAAAATGCTTTATTTCAGAAACAAGTCTCTAAATTTCAAAATTTAAAAACACCTAATGAGAACATCAGAAGTCCAAGGTCTAATCCTAGTCTTCTGGTTAACCTGGGTGAGTCTGTGCTCGCCCTTTAACAGACCCTCCTCTTAGACAAGAATCAGGACTCATATGGAGTTCCTCTCTATGCTTTACTTCCTCTGGGAAATGATTTTGTTTTCAGTTTATTGTTAATTCATGGAAAAGCTTTAAAATTTTGGAAAGGCTATTAACAAATTTACAAAAAACTTTACTGGACCAATTTTGGCCCTCTGAGGAGGCACACACCCTAGAAATTCTAACCTGTCTTAAAGAGGTATGTGGCCTGCCTGAAGCAAGATCAAGATGTGTTGAAAAGCAGTAATTATAAAAGGAATAAATTTTATGTTTTGACAACTGGATAAGTTATATTCTCTTGGTACTTCTTAGAAGGTAAGTCTCCAACTGCCTATGGACAGCAAACAAGTTAAAAAAAGCGGGGACACAATAGTGGACATTTATTTATTCTGACTTATTTTAACCTAATTAGGGAGAAAATAAATAAGAGTTCCCTTCCAACCTGTCTAGTCTTTTCCTAGACCGAGACAAAGATAATTCTGGAGAAAGCAGGAGAAGAAAAGCAAACACAAGCACAGCAATACTAACTTCCAAGGCTTATGGTATTTTTGTGTCTGACGTTTCTCCAAGGCTCTACTGAACAAAGGCCTTTCCCCAACATGCTTGTCCAGTATGCCCAGGTTCCCAGGTTCGGGAATATGGAAGAATTGTTACACATACACATATACACACACATGCGTGCGCACACACACACACACACACACACAGTAATGCCTTATAAAAGGTTTTAGTGTTTAGATTACACAGATTGTCTTGATTTTCTATACAGCTGAGAGTCAAAGTAGGTATGGCTTAGTAATCCACTTAATTGCTTCACTGCCTGATTAAATTTGTCAGAGCACTAATCTTATTTTATAAGAAAGAAAAACATTACAGTTGTTACAAGTGACAATAACATTTAGTCTAGGTATTTTTGCAGTATTATGGGCTTTGTGACTTGCGCATATAATGAATACAGGGATAGAATCACTCGCTGACAAATTCTTATCTCCCCTATTTTTCTAGTTCTTACATGGCCAACCACTTCTATTGGAACATAATGATCAAAGGGGCCATTCTATTGGATCTGGCATTATGCCAAGTATACAACTCAAGGAATTAAATCGAATGTCATATAGTCAACATCCTTTCTAAGGCCACAGGATATCAATTAACTCTTAGAATGACAATATTCTGGAAAAAATTGTTTATAACTTCTTCGTAACCTCTCTTATATTTTAGTAATTTCTCTTATATTTGGGTTACATTATGGGACTAGTAACTGTGCATTCAGCTTTCTGTTTTCTCCTTTTTTATAAACACATTTTTATAGAGTAGACTTAATTAATAAGATACTAGGAAGCCGACTTCCTAAGAGTTGCACAGGACTGAAAAAAAAACAATAAATAACGTTTCTAAAACATCACTATTTTATGTGGCAAATACACAACTTTCCAATCCCATTCCTCAATGAGTTGTTTTAGTTCCTCGGGAAGAACACGGAGATTGAACCATGTGTCTTCTAAAGTCTGTTCCACCCAGAAGATTTCATATAATTCTCAAAGTAATGTTTCACTTCATAATAAACACAATTAGAAAACACTATGATGAAAAAGTCCCAACTTTCATTTTTTTTTTTTTAGACAGAGTCTCACTCTGTCACCCAGGCTGGAGTGCAGTGGCGTGATCTTGGCTCACTGCAACCTCTGCTGCGCAGGTTCAAGCAATTCTCCTGCCTCAGCCTCCCGAGTAGCTGAGATTACAGGTACCTGCCACCACACCCGGCTAATTTTTGTATTTTTAGTAGAGACAGGGTTTCAACATGTTTGTCAGGCTGGTCTTGAACTCCTGACCTCATGATCCACCTGCGTCGGCCTCCCAAAGTGCTGGGATTACAGGCGTAAGCCACTGCATCCGGCCCCAACTTACATTTTAAAACTCAATCTTAAGCCAGTGCTTTTCTACAGATGACTTACAATGACTACAGGCCACCAACATGTGTTGGAAAGTAACCTGCAATTAAAATGAGCTCTTCGAATGAGTCTTGAACTACCACATCTGAAAGAGAAGGTGAACAAAGTGAGCTACTTCTCATGTAGGACAGATGGTACAGTTACTCAGAGTCACTTAAGAACTAGGCAACAGTATATCTTGCATAGAATTTCTTCAGATCATGTTTCATTATTCACTAAACTTAAGGCTGAATCTCTTCTGAGCTACTGCAGCATAGAGGAATCAGTTCCAAGCTTCCAGCTGCAATTTATGACTCTTTTCGTTGCTTCCTTGTCCTCCTTGTAATGTTATACAATATCCACCTTCAAAATGTGGGAGTTTCACTCTGCCCTTTTCCTGCTGTGAAAAATTAGTGATAATCATGAGAAGAAAAATAACAATTCTTAAATACTACAGTTCTTAAAACTAAAAAAGAGATCACTCTCATAATCATGTCTATTGTTTACTGACTCATATTATTAAAGAGCCGAGAGAAGTGCATCTTTCAGAGACAAAGAAATTCAACCCAGCAGTCATCTAATTCAATCTCTTATTTGATGCCAAAATCCCATCAACAGTAGCCCTACAATCCAGAGCTGACTATGTCTATTAACAGAAAATCACAACTTCCATCAGCAAAGCATCATATCCTGAGACCATTCTAACTCTTTGAAAGTTCTTCTTAAATAAAACAAATAAGCCAAAACAAGTTTCTGTCATTTCCATCACCTGCTCCTTGTACCACTTTAAAAAATGTACACACGTTAATATATATTATATATACATATGTTATATGTGTTTATATGTTATATATAACATATATAAAAAACATATATGGAAACATACATATGTGTATATATAATTCATATGCCATAAAATTAACCTTTGTGCTTTTTCTTTTTCTTTTTTTTTTTTTTGAGATGGAGTCTCGCTCTGTCACCACTGCATTGCAGTGGCAAGATCTTGGCTCAGCGCAACCTCCGCCTCCCGGGCTCAAGCAATTCTCCTGCCCCAGCCTCCCGAGTAGCTGGGACTACAGGCGCACAGCACCATGCCCAGCTAATTTTTTGGATTTTTGCTAGAGATGGGGCTTCACCATGTTGGCCAGGATGGTCTCGATCTCTTGACCTCATGATCCGCCCATCTCAGCCTGCCAAAGTGCTAAGTGTTTTTTTTTTTGAGACAGAGTCTCGCTCTATCACCCAGGCTGGAGTGCAGCAGCACGATCTCAGTTCACTGCAATCTCCACCTCCTGGGTTCAAGCGATTCTCCTGCCTCAGCCTGCTGAGTAGCTGGGACTGCAGGCATGTACCATCACAACCGGTTGATTTTTGTATTTTTTGTAGAGATGGGGTTTCACCATGTTGGCCAGACTGGTCTAAAACTCCTGACCTCAAGTGATCTGCCCACCTCGGCTTCTCAAAGTGCTGGGATTACAGGTGTGAGTCATAATGCCTGGCCTGTGCTATCTTTTAAGACAATGCAGAACAAAGCTAATTCCTCTTCCATATGATAATCTTTCAATGACTTGAGGAAGTTATTATATTCCTCTTCTTCTTACTAAACATAGGCATTTCCCTCTGTCATTCCTCATTTTAAATAATTTAAAATCACCTCTCTCATCCACTCTGTTGGCCTTGGTGACTATTGTGAACATATTCTTGTTTATCTATATTCATCTTAAAATTACTTAGGCTTTATCAGAAACATGCTAAATAATGAATAAAAATAAGTTATGGAACTGTAGCAAATATTTCATTGTGAAAAGGAACATAGATTGTATTCGTGTGAGAGAGAAGAGGAAACTGTGAATCCTAAGCACAGACCTTAGTAATCAACAGAAGATGTGTGGGATTCAGAAAGAATGAGGTCATTCAAAAAGGGGGAATAGCCAAGTAGGTTGAAAGGAGCCCAAGAGAGACTAAAGCAATATAAGGAAAACAAAACTGGTATTCAGCAAGATTACAATCAGAAAGATATTTAAATGATGAATTTAGAATACATTTGTGAGGATGAAAAGATAAAATGCCTAGAAATAGAAAAAAATAGTAATTTACTGAACTAGCAAATAACATGAATTTATAAGGCAGAACTCTATTTTTCAACCTTTTCTAAAGAAAAGAATTCCATCTTTAATGATGTAAAGTTCAATATACAATATTTTTCATTAATAATTCTTACCTTGGATGAAATTAAAACAAAACAAAACACAAAGATAAACTGAACAACTATTTCTAAAATGGTAATTTGAAAATGAAAAAAAGACTTCATTTTTATTCAATTCCTTTATTTTCAAGTTTGTGTAAGAAATAGATGGACTAAGTTCTCTTGCTAAACAGGCAAAGTTTTTATATTCTAATGAACACCTGTTCAGTAGGTATTATTTTTTAAAAAATCGATACCCCAGAACGAATTCTTCTAATAGGTTTTAGATTAAAGCAGTGCATCTTTGTAATGTTTTGTCGCCTTCAAAAATTTGTCAAGTCCAGCTTTCAGAGTGAATAACAGAAACACTTGGAGATCCTAGCTATCTGATGCCAAGAAAAGCAACTACAGAGTTGTTCAACTCTTATGAAAAGGCATTCCTACTCACAGAATAGCCATGTTTATCACATCTAGAGATCTAAAAGAAAGCTTATTCCAAGAGTCCATTCTTAATATGTAGTCTTGGAAAAGAATTCTGATTCAGAAGAACGTTCTTATCCTTCCTGAGAAACTCAGAAAGAGGTTCTGCAAAGAAGATCTGAAAAAATTCATCAGAAAGCAATGCTTACAAGATAATACCATGTTCCCTGACAACTAAATGAGAACTACATCCTTTCCAAAAAGGCACAGGATGAAATAATGCCTGCAGGAAAGTACTGGTTTCACAGCAACAGTTACAATGTCAGTTTAATAGCTTTTACTATTGATGATCTCTGTGGTTGCATAGGCAGTGAAAATAGTGCCTTAAGAAGAATAGTTCCAACCACTATATACCTAGCAGTGTATAAGGAGAAACAAATGTACTACCTGAATTATTCAAGTTTTCCTTACAAGAGATATGAGAAACAACCAAAACCAAAAATTCCTTGTTGCCATTCTGAGATCTAGCCAACAGAATCATAACATACAGGTTCGAGGATCCTGCTCTCCAGAAGTTCTATACCCTGCTGGTTGCCTAAAATAAAAACCCTACATCAATGTTATTTCAAAATATTCAAATACTTTAAAGTATTACAATTTCAATGTAATAAAAATACTATGGTCACTAGAAGTAATGAACAAAGAATAGTAAGGCAAGTTCTATAAGTGGGTTGACACGTCACTGAGGCTTATCCCCTGTTTTAGTTGGTGAAGGAAGCTGGGATTACACAGGTTCTCCAAATATATGCCTTGCTAAAGGACACAAAACTGCCTTCAGATATCTGAAGATCTGTTCTTTAGAAGATGAATGGAGGCTGTGCCAGATGGCCACAGCCTTTGTCACTTCTTGGTTACAACTATTACAAACTGCCTCAGGTTGCTTAGCAGACCTTCCTGCTACCCTTCTCCAGAACAGCTCCTTTCCAGTTCATCCTCCACCATGCAACCATGCATCCTCCACTATGTGGCGGGGGGCGGGGGGAGAGGGCAGAAGTGGGAGAAGAGCTCATGATTCTCTGCCAAGTTTGGAAAATGTCTATTGAATGTGTGCTGGCTCCTAAAAACCAAAACTCCTTAGCCTGGCATACAAGTCCTTCACAATATGACCCTATCTAGCTTTCCAGCCTTGCCTCCTTATGACTTCCAATCAAATGTATGATGATCCCACTACAATACTCTTCTCTCCCTACCAGATATGCCAGGTGTTTTCACAATTCTGTGCTAGATATATGCTTTCCACACCCTTCTTCCATTTGACAAAATTTTACTCCTCCTTTAGTGCCAGCTCTGCTCTCAAAGTTTGTTAGTGTACTGTTCTTACGTTCATTTCACAATTTCAGCATGGACTGTGTTTTTATGTAGTTTGTGTATTTAGGCATGGTGATGCTTAGTGACAGAAAAGGGAGGAAATGGGGCAGGTGGGCTGCAGAGACAGGAATGTAAAACAGTGGTAGGCAAACTTTCTCCATTTAAAATATTTTATCTAAACCCTTGGCTATCAGCTTTATGATTACTAAGGTCTGTGCTTAGGATTCAGTTTCCTCTTCTCTCACACTAATACAATCTATGTTCCTTTTCACAATGAAATATTTACTAGAGTTCCGTAACTTTTTATTCATTATTTAGCATGTTTGTGAAAAATCATCTCACTCGCTGTGTTATTTATATATCTAATGCCTAGGAGCACATTCAGGTGGGTTTCTATGAAGAATCCAGGCATCGAAATGCCTAATCACTCCTTTCAGATTAGAAACTTTCTAGTCGTCTCAGCCGGGCGCGGTGCCTCACGCCTGTAATTCCAGAACTTTGGGAGGCCAAGGCGGGCGGATGACGAGGTCAAGAGATCAAGACCATCCTGGCTAACAAGGTGAAACCCCGTCTCTACTAAAAATACAAAAAAAAATTAGCTGGGCGTGGTGGCAGGCGCCTGTAGTCCCAGCTACTCGGGAGGCTGAGGCAGGAGAATGGCGTGAAGCTGGGAGGCGGGGCTTGCAGTGAGCCTAGATTGCGCGACTGAGCGAGACTCTGTCTTAAAATTAAAAAAAAAAGTTTCTAGTCGTCTGATGTACTATCAAAAAACAATGTCAACTGTATTTTATTTTCATGAAATACTAAGCAATAAAATTGGATTTTATTGTTTAAATGTTGCGACGAACTCTGGTACTTACACCAATACCAGAGGCAGCTTGGAAGGCAGCCACAGGGGTTAAGGGGAATTAATTTTGCTATAGAAAAACATAACTTATTTTAAATTTATAATGCAGGAGAAATGCCTTACATTTAAAAACACTCTGTCAAAAATTATTTAGAATGCTAAAGAAACAAATCTATGTTTTCAGTAAATTTCAATTAAGGCTAAAAGTTAAAAAAAAGGTGGTAACTTTCCACCACCAATGACATGGGCTGTGGCTCATATCATTAATGATGATACAGCAAAATAAATGAAGGAGGACTTTACTTGCTTTGGGCTGTGAAGAAGCAAAGTATAATGACAGCCAAATGACATTAAACCCAAAAGAGAGGTGGAAACTATGTGATCTTCGAGCTTTGTGGAAAGTATTATAAACATGAAGAGAAGAATGAACAATTCAAACTCAGAAAAAAATTCTCTGTTTAATCCATTATGAAACCTAGACACATGTCAAAGCTTAGATGAGCTTAAATATTATTCTTTTCACCTATTTCTGTCAATCATTAATATGTCACATCATCTAATTTTGTGTGTTGTACGCACATTTGAAATAAGTCTTCATTTCTCTTCCAAGTAAAATGAGTAAGTACATAACAGAAAGAAGGCTGTACTCTGGCTTGATCTCCTTTGGTTGGAATTCACACCAGGAAATGACCTTTCAGAAACAAACACCCTGCACAGATGCAGCATAGCTCTCTTGAGAGTAATAATAAATCTGAAGTTGATCAGACTGCAACTGAGGAATATTTGAAACATTTGGGATGCTAACTGCAACCCTCTAAAATAATGTAAAGTGATGGACAGTATAAGGAGAGCCCAGTGTGTCATGTTCTAGGGAGACAGTTCTTGTCAGACCGAGATGTCTCAGGATTCTATCAACTGAGAAGTCAGTTCTGAGTTGAAAACTGCAGCAGAGTTGGCCTATGGTGGGAAAAGCATTCTGACTGGAGACAAGCAACCCAGAGACATGTGTGTCAGAGATGAAGTGGCAATGTAGATAATGAGAAAAAAGCAGCAGAAAGAAGTATCTCAAAACCATAATTTTCTATCCAAGCATTTACATTAGTGAGTGGATATGGGGAAGAATTGAAGAGGGAAGGACAGGGCAGCGATGTAAGACAGTCCCTGAGGGAAGAAAAGTGAATACGCAAAAGAAAAGTGAATACGCAATGATCTAAGAACCAAAAAAGTAACAATATTCTGCTAATTGTCTAATAAATTCACAGTCTATATAATTCAATTTCCAATTTTGCATGGAAACTTCAAGAACTATCATCCTTTGAAATAAATGGAGTAATAAGCAATAATCAGTGCAATATTTACAACTCTTAAAAAATTTGTCATGAGGTTAGACAGATTTGATTGGTCTACTTTTAATATTTTAATCGCATACTTTTTTGAATTATGGGAAAAAACCAATGATCTAACACTGTATTCTAGTAAAATATCTGAGACAGGTTCTTACCATCTAGCTCACAAGTTTAATTATAATTGGCCCAATATGAGCACTGCCAGATGGATTGGAAAGTGGCTCTGAGATCACATAGGAAAATGATCAAGCAAAACATGTCAAATGAGAGGAGGGTCTGCTGTATGTGCCAAGGTTGGTATGGGGTCTGAGTTTAACAAAATCCTTAAATGACAAGAAGATATTATCAGATAAATGGAATTCCCTTGAGATAAATAAAAGAAATTTTAAATGAAAAAAACAGTTATAGCAAAGTGGAGACTATCCCTTGGAGGCATGCAGGTAAGCAATTACAACTTTTAATAGACAAAAAAAAAATGTAGTACAGATTTAAGAGAAAAATCATGTTGTTAAATCAGAGTGAAACATATTTTCAATGTGACTAGAATTATAGTAAGATCATATTTGGAAATTAATAAAAAGAAATTCAAAAACAGATTCACTTAAAATAGACCGTAGTAATCAAAAGGTAAATATGATTTGAAACGTCCTTTTAGAGATAGAATAATGTACTGCTTGACACTTTCCCAAATGCTTTCACATATATTATCCCTTGAGATGTACACAACAGTCCTCTGAGACAGGCAAAGTTCTATCCAATTTTACAAATAAGAAGCCTGAGGCTTTGAATGGGTACATAATGGATACACAGCAGGAACACAGAAAGACCGCCAGCAAACCTAAATTTGCTAACTGCTGTTCCAATGAGAGGAAAGGGATCACACCACTGTATAAAAAGCTTATGCTACTACAGTTGTACATCTTCCTTCAGTGCTTTATCAGGCATTTCAATCTCTCAAACTGGGCAAAACCCAAATAATGATATAACTTATTTAAAAAGGCCAAACTAGTTTCATAAAATTTTTAAAATACTAAATGTATACGTTTTCTCCATTTTGCAACCTTCAATAAAAAGTTTCAGAATGTGTTTATCTAAAAAAGGCATTGAACTTTCAGAAAAGCCCTAGAGTAAGAAAGCTTAAAGGCTTTCTTTTAAAGAGGCTCCAACATTTCGACATTAAAATTGGAATTTTCCTAAAACTTTCCCTATCTATTCTATAAAAATTGCCTGATTTTTCTTTACACTGAACTCTAAAAAACACATTGGAGAAGCCAATCTCATGGTTACAAGAAGTACATTCAAGAGTCTTATGCTCCCACCTCTGGTTCCATTAACTTCAGTGTACACTATCACAATATTCTATGGATTGCTTTGGGGTTTTTCTCCTTTACCCTTTGAAAGATTTCCTCTCACCAAAACCATGTATTAATTAAGAGGATATTAGAAGAAAATATCATACCCACACACAATTTCCTACATAATTCTGAACAGTCTCAGAAGATACTGATCCTCCATGTGTCAATCTGATGTGATGGAAATTATTTCAATATCATGTGGTTACTACCTACTGAATACAATCTCCCCATCTCCATCCCTAAAGAACTTTATACTTTGCTAGTGACAAATCAGAGGAAGATTTACCAGGCTGTAAAATGGAACTTGTTGTTGTTGTTGTTGTTCTCCTAGAAATACTCTTTTCTTATGTCTATCAATCTTACTGCTTCAATAAAACATGACCCATTAGGGTGAGCTCCACCAACATGACTTGGCTCAGTTTCGTCACTCCAAGATTTTAGATTACCCTTACCAATCTTCACAACCCATTCGGGAAAGCATAGCACACAACACTGAAACAAAAAGCTCGATGACATAGTAACATACTCTGCAAAGAGACTGGGAACATTTAAACAAAACCACAAGACTATGGAGAAAACAAAGATTCAGAACTCCTATGATAAAACTTTATTACATTCATTTAATCAACGAATATTCACTGAGTACTTCATCTCTATATAAAGAACATATTCATAGAAAATGCCACATCCATAGCATATCCATAATATTAATAACTTTCCATAAACAATTTTGCAAGCGAGTTTCTTTTAGCACAGTTATTTTTTCCCAATTTAGACAGAGTTCAGAAACAGAGGTTTGCTTGCACAATTCCAATGAGAAGTATCTTATGCTGACATGGACCTTAGGAAAAATAATAAAATCACTGTTGAGGCACGGTGACTCACACTTGTAATCCCATCACTTTGGGAGGCTGAGGTGGGAGGATGGCTTGAGCCTAGGGGTTTGAGACCAGCCTAGGCAAGAGTAATCCCAACACTTTGAGAGGCCAAAGTGGGAGGATCACATCAGCCCAGGAGTTGTAGCCAGCCTGAGAAACATAGCAAGACCCTGTCTCTACTAAAAAAAAAAAAAAAAAAAAAAAAAAAGGACAGGTGTGATGATGCACACTTGCAGTCTCAGCTACTCGGGAGGCTGAAGCAGGAGGATTCCTTAAGCCCGGGAGTTCAAGACTACAGTGAGCTATGACCATATCACTGCACTCCAGCCTGGGCAACACAGTGAGACCCCCATCTCACAAAAAGAAAAAAACAAGGAAATCTGAAATCACTGTATTCTATGTTGGACAGACATTCTAAAAAGATAGACGACATATGGCTGACTTAGACGACTCAGGAATTTACAAGGTTTAGATTTTATCTACCTACCAAACACTGTGGTAGACATGTTCACATAGTTTTATTACCAAGGCATATGCACATGCATTTTCATTACATTAGTAAGTTACAATACCCCAAGTCAAGCAGTCAAGCTTCCTGACAGAAAAATGGCACATTTAATTACTAATCTACATATCAGGCAAAGCTTTGGAAACCCTAATAGCTCTGAGCCTAAATCTTCAAGTCCTCCCAATACATAGATGAGGGCCACTGTATGAGTCTAAACCCAGAAATCAAAAGCCAGCAATTACTGTGGCTTTGAAAATATTAGCCATCTCTTGCTCTGAACAGTACACTACTCTTTGGTTTCTCTAAAATACAGCCAACTTCTTATGGCACTCCCAATGCATTAAAAGACAGATCTTTTACCTTTTGTCTGACTGTAACTAAGAAAACCCAGTTTTAAATAAAGTACAAGTATAACCTACAATGGAGGCAATCTCTCAAGATTTAAGCAAAGAAGAATTAAGAGGGAAAACCTTGAGAAGACAGTAATTGGGCCATTGGAGTTTCTTCTCACTAATTATCCCAGAGTGGCCATTAGCTATGTAACCAAGGAGGAAAGTGTGTCAGACTTCAGCAAAGCTGTGTCTTCAGCATCTTATGGAATGTACCCTAAAGCCACTGTGTAATTAACTGCCAGGAAAATGCTGAGCAAGTAGAATAAAAAAGCTATAACAAATCAAATATACTGCACAGTTCAACCCCCAATGACGGCAGTTGAACTGCTTAGAACTTCAAAATACTCAATCAGCATGCATTCCCTTTTCAGAATCTCTAGAAATTAGATTTTTTGAAGAAGCAAAAATACATGCTACAAAAAACGCTTAAACTTACATAAATTCTCAGCAATATGACTTGCTTTATCTAACTGCCCTTAATAATGGTATAGGAACTTAGCAATCAGTGATGCTCAAAGTGTGGGTCACAAAGAACCTGCAGGGCTTTTCTAAAAGAGCTTCATATACTGACTGGAGTCAAACATAGAACAGACAAAAAAAGAGGCACACAGAGAGAAAGAGTCTCTTAAAGGAATTTATTGTGTAGTACTCTCCAATATAACCTTGAGATTTTTTTAGTATATTTTTATCTATTTAACAAATATTTATTAAATATTGAGCACCTATGTGCCTATTATTAGCTAACAACAAACATCAATACCACTTGAACACTGAAATTTCAAGGATCAAATAACTAAACATAGACTGAAACATGTCCATTTGCTTTGAATTTGGAAGTGGGAAAATCAGAAGAAGAAAGGTATTTTTGTGTAAACAATGAAAACTCATGCAGAAGGTTATCTTCCAAACCTGGCTGAACAAAATCAAAGAGCTTAAAATCAGAATCTGGAGCCCTACTCAAGATTTACTGAGACAGACTCTGTAGGAGCAGAGTCTGGAAATGTGTATTTTTTAAAGATCCCTAGGCCTAGATTATTATAATGACCAGACAGTTTAAGAATTAACATTTTGTTGAATCTACTGTCACTCTGAAGAACCTAAGAGCCAAAGAACCCCTATTACATAAGGAATCATAACTAAGAATCCTGTATAACTCTCTGAAACTGCAATTTCTCACTCTGTCAATATTTCCTCCATATCTACTTGTTAAAATTCTATCCATTTTTCATGACAAATTAAGATACTATCTTTTCCAAGAAGTCTTCTCTGATTCCTCAAGCAGGAATTGTTCCCTCCTCCATGTTCTACAGTACTTTATAATATGCTTCTCATATTCTGCCTTGTATTACACTAGGTTGCTTGCATTGATCATCTGATAAGAAGTTAACCTCTTTAATAAATAAAACCTCTCCTATGTAAATATCTGTATCCATTCCAGCCCTAATTCCTTGCCCAAAGTAGATGGTTCATTCATACTTGTTTAATTGAACTAAATTTACATACCAAAAGAGAACTTTAGTATTTTCTTACTGAGGGCATTATTAACAAACTGCTGATTTAGAACTCTTGCTGAAAGCATATGATGCTAAACAGCCTATCGACAATCTAAATAAGAAAACAAACACCTTTGAGGCATGGTATGTCTACATGCTAATTAAACTAGAGCGCTCAATTATGAGCAAACTGATCATGACAAAAGAAACTATTTCACTTTAAATAAAAATCTCAGAATCATATTCTAAGTACAAGACTATATAGTTTCTCTTTGTTTTACTTCTTCCAAGTAACATAAATAGCTAGATACCTGAGAATGCTATTTTCCCAACAGAGGCTCTAAAATGAGACTAAGACTCACTGCTTCTCAAGAAAAAGGGCTACAGATGATTGTAAATAAAAGGAAAAGATCTTGAAATCCATATTACAGGGTATTAATTCACAGATTTATCGGAAGTTAAACAATTGAGTTACCAATCTTATCATGAAAGGCTGATTTTTTTCCTATGCAGCAAGTTTGATTTTGAAAAGTTACATTTTTGATTGCTTGGCAGCTGCTACCAGTGTTTGTACAGCCCTTGTCATCACCCCAGATGACTGCTGATTGACAGAACTAATAGACTTTGTTTTAATTATAAAAGAAGACAGATGAAAGCTTTTGGCTGGATGACTAAATGTTCATCTTGAGTAATAAACACGCCTATTTCTCTACCTCTGTATAAAAAATCTACTTTAAATTCACAATTTGATAACTAGGGCTGCAGTAAAAAAAGAATTAGTATAATACAAAAGTCCAAGCATATCTCTTTGAAAAATAGTTTCATTTTTCTGACTTTAATACCAATGAAAAATTACTAAACACAAATGCCACTTGAAACTTAAGTACTTTTCTAGTAGTTTCTCTTCTCTGTGGCTACAATAATTCTCAAAAACACACTTAAAGAGAGAGACCATGTAAGCTTTAACTCTTTGACCTTTTGTTTCTTTTTTCTCAAGCAGTTGAAAGAAAGCAATCCTAATTCTGCCTTTGTAGCCATAAAACTAAAAAATGCAAAAAAAAAAAAAAAAAAGGTGTTTTTTTTGTTGTTGTTGTTGTTGTTTTGAGACAGAGTCTCGTTCTGTCGCCCAGGGTGGAGTGCAGTGGCACGCAATCTCAGCTCACTGCAACCTCCACCTCCTGGATTCAAGTGATTCTCGTGCCTCTGCCTCCCGAGTAGCAGGGATTACAGGTGTGCACTACCACGCCCAGCTAATTTTTGTATTTTTTAATAGAGATGGGGATTCACCATGTTGGCCAGGCTGGTCTCGAACTCCTGACCTCAGGTGATCCGCCTGCCTTGGCCTCCAAAAGTGCTGCGATTACAGGTGTGAGCCATTGCACCCAGCCAGAAATGCAAAATTTTAAACACTATTTTAGCTGAGACACACTTGGAAAACTGATGTCTTCCCTCTTTTTGCAATATTTTATATTAACTAGTACATATTCATCCAAAAAGTATCATAATTATGAGTGATCTAATAAAATGGTCTTTCCCTCAAAATGATAAAAGCAAAAATACCTTATTCTGCTATAGAGTTGCAACCTGTAGAGACTGATAACTAACATGGACCCAAATTGTGCTCCCATACTTTAAGTATTTCTTTCTACCTCTTTCCTTTTATCATGGTTCAGCTAACTACAGAAAAGGAATCTAATGTACAGTACCCAATTCTGTTCTATCTTTATATGCATACATCCAAAGGCACGCGTAACAGATACCTTGTATTTCAAAATTAAACAAATAAAACCACAACGCTGGAAAACTGATTTGTCTCAATCTTGGAAAAAACAAATAACAAAGTGAAATCTTTACAAAGAATTGTTCTGATTCCATTTATATGGTAATTAATTGACTTTTTGAAAAAAATTACAAATCATTGTATCATCAAAAGAAACCAGAGCCCCCAAAAAGGTATATCACATTTCTCTGATGACTAATGAGACTGGAATGTTGTCTTTCCATATATGTATTAGTAATAATTATCAATTAATGGATAATTATCTATTTAAAGATGAAGTTACCATTTATAGAAGAATTGATGAAATTTTGTGACTGTTTAAGACATTTAACAAAATGTCAATAACTGCTGCTTCGGATCAAGAAGAGTCATGGGCCGGGTGCGGTGGCTCACACCTATAATCCCAGCACTTTGGGAACCCAAGGCAGGCGGATCACGAGGTCAGGAGATCGAGACCATCCTGGCTAACACGGTGAAACTAAAAATACAAAAATTAGCTGGGCTTTGTGGCACATTCCTGCAGTCCCAGATACTTGGGAGGCTGAGGCAGGAGAATCACCTGAACCTGGTAGGCGGAGGTTGCAGTGAGCAGAGATCGCACCACTGCATTCCAGCCTGGTGACAGAGCAAGACTCCGTCTCAAAAAAAAAAAAAAAAGAAGAGTTATGATAAATACCTAGTCAGGAAAAAAAAACAAAAAGTAAGAAATATAAGCTTCGAACAGATTTGATGGGGATGTTATGGTCTTCAGTGCATTTCTCTTTTAAAAAATTCCAGTGATAATTGTTAAAATGAAAGGAGAGGAGTAAATGAATATAAGTATCTCTGCTAAATCAGCAGAGCACAAAATGTTATACTCAACACAATAAAAGCAACAGTGTTCAAAACAGTGTCCATGTTCAAAAACATGGAAAGAAGGCTGTCTTCCTCTCACTTTATACTTGAATGGTTTCCCTGCTAAATGGCTTTGACAAGGAGTAAGGGATTCTATATATAAATGGGCATATGTATGAATGGCTTTTTTGAACCTACATAACGCAATACCACAAACACTCTGATCTTGTCATCTTGTCACTTGTGATTTAAAACTTCAAGTACCTCTAAATTCTACACAGTCTTCACGTCTTGCTATTTAATAACATTAAATAATTTTTTTTTTTTTTTGAGACGGAGTCTCGCTCTGTCGCCAAGGCTGGAGTGCAGTGGCGCGATCTCGGTTCACTGCAAGCTCCACCTCCCAGGTTCACGCCATTCTCCTGCCTCAGCCTCCCGAGTAGCTGGGACTACAGGTGCCCGCCACCACGCCTGGCTAATTTTTTGTAATTTTTTTTTTTAGTAGAGATGGGGTTTCACCGTGTTAGCCAAGATGGTCTCGATCTCCCGACCTCACGATTCACCCACCTCGGCCTCCCAAAGTGCTGGGATTACAGGCGTGAGCCACCGCACCCAGCCAAATAAGTTAATTTTTATTCATACCTCTATAAGAAGTTTAAAAGCATTTTAAAAATCAGATGAATTTCTTATTTTGCATACACCAAAAGCCTAACTTTTATTTTAAAAATTAATGATATATTTTAAAATATGTATTGTTAACATTATCAATAATTCCTAACAATCAATGGATGGTATAAATTGCCATCTTCTTATTTCCAGTCACCTACTTCTTCACTTAAAATAGTGAAAGCAGAGTTTGGTTTTTTAATGAAGAAATACAGATAATACATACCATGTATCTGTCATGTAAAAGTTTTTAGATTAACAGTCAAAAACTACTGTAGATTCTTGACATTCCTAAAGATCTCTGGACAATTCTAAATCCCTGGGCACCGTGGCTCACACTCATAATCCCAGCACTTTGGGAGGCCGAGGCAGGCAGATCACGAAGTCAGGAGTTCGAGACCAGCCTAACCAACATGGTGAAACCCCGTCTCTACTAAAAATATAAAAATTAGCCAGGTGTGTTGCCACGTGCCTGTAATACCAGCTGCTCAGGAGGCTGAGGCAGGAGGATTGCTTGAACCCAGGAGGCAGAGGTTGCAGTGAGCCAAGATTGCACCACTGCACTCCAGCCTGGGCGACAGAGCGAGACTCCGTATCAGAAAAAAAGAAAAAAGAAAAAAGAAAACAACAACAACAACAAAAACAAATTTGCAAATGATACTACAGCACATAGCTTTCCCCACAAAATTCAGTAAAGTATGATAAAATTTTAAGTAATCCGTTTCAGCCCTCTATAGTTCTATAATACTACTGGACTAAAGTAATTTATAATGCCACTAAAATAAATCTGGGCATGCAAATAAACTCTAAAGTCCATTAAGTTGCATCATTACAGTAGTTACATTAACCTTACCTGCCTGTGCAAAATCAGAGCAATGCTTCCAAGTCCTGATGACAGTCACTGTATAGCACACAGGCCATTATGACAAAGAGGAGGATGATGGGTGGTGCACAGCAGGCAGAAGTTGGATTACACTAGCAGTAATCCAAATGTGGGCATAGTTATAAAATGGTTTGATATGAGGTTGCTGGGGAGCCAGCTATGTTCACTCATTAAACAACTTACAGTGTATGCTTCAGCAAAATCACAAATTTTGGGATCACTAGAGCAATTTAAATCTTGAATGCTACATCTGCAAAGGCCAAAATTTTTTAAACCACTCAACTCATATGAATTAACCTGATGAAATAACTTGGAAAAATACCTGCACATAGAAAGGTACTATAAAGACCCAGGAAATACATTTTCCTGATTTATCATTTTTGGTACTATTTACATCAAGGAATACAGGAAATTAGGCTCTTTGTTTTCTAGGTAATTCCAGTATAATTGGCAAATAGAAATTGTATATATTTAGGGTATACAACTTGATGTTTTGATATACAAATTAGGCTCTTAATAATTACTTGCCCATAACACTTTACACTCCCACAATAAACAAACAAATAAGTAAATAAATAAATGTGTTCTATTGTTTCATACCTTCATGCCTTTGTCTATGGTAATGCCCTGCCTGAAACAAAACCCTCTACTCCTCTCCATGGGGCAAATTCCCACTCCTCCCTCAAGCATGGGAAACCTTCTCTACTTCCTTCAGGTTCTTTTCTCAGTGTTCTCAAGATTTTTACTACATACTTCTATTAGAATACTTGGAACATTGTATTATAATTAAATATTAATATATGTTTCCTAACTATACTCTGACAGAGATGATGCCTTTTTAGGTCCTTTTGAGGTATTATCTCTTTATCCAAGTCATAGTATAAATATAATAACAGCTTCCTTTGAATACAGTACCAGGTAAAAGCATCTCATACCTAATTCTGTGCTAGCGTCATAGCTGTTTCCAGTAAAGTTCTTACTATTTGGCTTCGATATGAGGTCATTTCTCACCTCTGGGCTTTATTATACCAAACTATAACCACATTTAGTCAAACATTTAGATCTTTGCTAATTTCCAGTTAGCCCCTATCCATATGTTCCTGTTTCACAAACCTCCTGGATTACATCAGTCAGGAATAGCTGCTGGCAGCTGTTTGCCATTCAATTTTGCTACCACTAAAGCATGTGAATATTTCATTGTTTAGGCATTGTAGAGACTCTCAGCAAACATTTACTCTGGGTTCTTGGATTAGAAGAACATTTGTGGTAGGCAAAAGGTAAATAATAAACCACAATGCTACTCAACCAGTGACCTAAAAGCCTTTTGACATTTGACTCTATTGCTTACTAAGTCACTGTACATATAAATAAAGATCCAATCCTTTGTTTCTACTACAAATTTACATTTCTAAAACACAGTTCTTTAGTTATTTGGTTTATTTAATATAAGCTAAAGTAAGGCACAATAGTTCAGTGGCTTGCAAACTAACATAAAAAGTATCAGAATATGAATTAATCTGTTGCTGACGTACTAAATACAGCTGGATGTGTCATTTAATGTAACCTGTCAGAACTCTGTTTTCCTCCAATACAAGCCTATTATACAAATGTCAAATGATGGACCAATATCCAAGAATCTTCAGTTCTGCATGTGTCAGAAACAAAAACAAATATATTCCAAGGCACTGGCTAAATGCCTTTTACAAGTCAGGCACTATGTTGGGCATATGAGAGAAGATGAATAAGTGCCCATTACTGTGTCCTTCAGGGGTTTAAGATCAAGTGGCAGAAACCAATATAAACAAGCAAAAGGAATGCACGATTCGCTCCTTGAAGACAGGGATAGAGTCTTACTCATCAGTACCCTCTCTGATATATTGAATGGCTGATACATTGTGTGTAATGAAAACATGTTGAATCAATAAACCAATGGATTCATTGATCAAGTGATCAAACTGCAATAATTGCTCTAATGAAGGTAAAAATGGTGCAATTAAAGAAGAGATTAATTCCAACTTGGTGAATCTAGGAGAGCCTCACCGTGAAGAGGCTTGGGCAAGGCCTTGAAGAATGAGTTCAACTTGGGCAAGCTGCGATGGAATGAGGGACTTTGGGAACAGAGTAAGGGCAACTCTTCTGCCCTACAATAGGGCCCAACAATATCTCTTCAGTCTTGCTCTCCCTCGAGGTCCATTTACTTTGATAGTGGCTGTCATCATCTCACTAGCAGCTAGCTTCCCTCAACAAAATTTTGGCTGAGCACGGTGGCTCACGCCCGTAACCCCAGCACTCTGAGAGGTTGAGGCAGATGGATCACTTGAGGTCAGGAGTTCAAGACCAGCCTGGCCAACATGGTGAAATCCCATCTCTACTAAAAATACAAAAATTAGTCAGGCTTGGTGGTGTGTGCCCTGTAGTCCCAGCTACTCAGGAGGCTGAGGCAGGAGAATCACTTGAATCCAGGAGGCCGAAGTTGCAGTGAGCTGAGATCGCAACACTGCACGCCAGCCTGGGTGACAGAGTGAGACTCCACGTCAAAAAAAAAAAAAAAAAAAAGAAAGAAAGAAAATTCAAAAGGCACTTAGTAAATATTTGTTCAATGAATGGCCCAACCTAGTGGGGGTGGAAAACAACAACAAAACCTTCCTTTGGTTATCTTCAGTACAGCTGGTAACATTTTCAAAAAGACTTAAAATGCCAAGGTTAACAAAACTAAACAATATTTAAACACACACAAAGTCAGGCTTACATAGTCCATTTTCTGAATCTATCTTTATATAGTTTAGTTGGTTTGCTCAGGAGTTGGATTAGACCATTCTAAATTCCTAAAATAGTTACATTCTAACCCCAAGAGATCTATCTGTACAGCTTCCCAAGTTTCTTACTTCCTAGTTCCTAAGGAACTAGGAATAAGGGAACCACTCGGTGATCCACCATGTAAGAGCTAACTAGTCTATTTTGACAAGACTTAGATCCTGCTCTTTCCCCCTCAGTATTCCTCTTCTTACCTAAGCTACTTGGCAAGACAAGGGCTGAGAGACTCAACGACCTTCCTTGACCTCCCCTCTAATCAAGTTCAGAAATGGCCTTTTGTTTCCCCATTAGAGGTCCAAAAGAATAACAGTACCCCATTAAAAAAGTAACCAAGCAAAAATCCATACTTTCATTCAATACCTAGAGATATTCTACTACAGTTCACACTATCACAGGCAGCATCTCACTTAGAGATTCTTTTCATACCACCTCAAACTTATCTGCCCTTCAACAGTCAGGAAGGAAAAATGCTTTCCCAATTGTGAAATTCACCAAGGGAACTATGCTCTCTTATCTAACTTTATATTGTTAAAAACGTTAGTCCTTTAATAATAAAGTGAAACCTACAGATAACATTTTTCAGGAAAAACAGTAATGTTCTAAGCACTGTAAAAAATTAAATGTGAGAAAAATACTTTGCCACTTAACAATATTGTCATGTCTCTGGGGAAATATTAAATTCAGAAACCTGATAAATGGATTTTACTATGTCACATTTTAGTAACATTTTATAATTTTACAAGATATATTTTCTTTTTACCTTTCTGCTGCTATCAATATTTTTCTCTTAACATCTTTCTATTCCTATAGTCTTCTCATTTTATTTACTTCTCTTGCCTCCTTTCTTTCTTTCCAACTAATTTCAACTGTAAGAGGAAAAAAGGCCGAGCGCGGTGGCTCACGCCTGTAATCCCAGCACTTTGGGAGGCCGAGGAGGGCAGATCACCTGAGGTCAGTTCGACACCAACCTGCCTAACATGGCGAAACCCCGTCTCTACTAAACATACAAAAAATTAGCCGGGTTTGGAGGCGGGCGCCTGTAATCCCAGCTACTTCGGAAGCACTGAGGCAGGAGAATCGCTGAACCGAGGAGGCGGAGCTTGCAGTGAGCAGAGATCGCGCCACCGCACTCTAGCCTGGGCGACAAGAATGAAACTCCGTCTCAAAAAAAGAGGAAAAGAATATTTCCATATTGATTATGTGTATAAATTATTATATCTAATCCAAAAACAAAGGTATGTTAAGAAAGCAATTCCCCAAATACAAATGTTTATGTTATCAAAAAAAAAAAGAAGTCGAATTCAGGTAAATTAAAGTCAAATTCAGGTAAATTAAGTCGAATAAAGGTAAAGAAGTCTCTCTTCTCCTCCCCTCCTACCTTCCTTTTTAATTGTAGGACTTCTCAGAACCCTCACAATGTGCCAAATGACTCTCCAAGAGGGAGACAATATGTACACCTCTTCTAAACTTTTTTAACCATGGAATTTTTTCTTCCTCAGTAAATCATGTGGAATATACTTTAAGAACTGCCTTCCTCATTTTAAAAAATGAAGAAAAAACAAATTAATATAGGTATAATACTCAAAAGGTTTAAATATTAAAAGTATTGCAAAGAAAGAACATCGTACCGTAAGACAAAAAAAAAAAAAAGAGGTAGCACTCATTTTATTAACAATCTAACTGTGAAAACTAATCGGAGGTGAGTATGTAGGAAAATGCCCATCTACCTTGCAGAAGTATTTCAGAGAAAATCAAGCTATGGACAACAATATAATACCATGAAAATATACGAATTTGGAATGGCAAATCCCTTTACTTTTGAAATCACTCTAGTAAAAATGAAGGGATAAATAAGTCTGTACTATGAAAATACAAAGTGGTTATTAACCTAGACAACTTCTACACATAGTTCAATGCTTAGCTCTTATCATTTCCTCCTCCTTTCTCCTGCTTTTCAATGTTTCCATAGCACCCTATCTGTGGTACCACTGTTATTGTACTGTATTGCAATAATTCATTTTCTATTCTGACTTCTTGTCTAGACTGTAAGCTCATTGAGAATAGGGATCATATTATATCTGAATCTGCATCCCCCAAGTTCTAACATTTCATGAATTATTATTTTATTTTATTTTATTTTATTTTATTTTATTTTATTTTATTTTTTGAGACAGAGTCTTGTTCTGTTGCCCAGGCTGGAGTGCAGTGGCACAATCTCAGCTCACTGCAAGCTCCGCCTCCCGGGATCACGCCATTCTCCCGCCTCAGCCTCCCGAGTAGCTGGGACTACAGGCACCCGCCACCACGCCCGGCTAATTTTTTTTGTATCTTTAGTAGAGGCGGGGTTCCACCATGATAGCCAGGATGGTCTCGATCTCCTGACCTCGTGATCTGCCCGCCTCGGCCTCCCAAAGTGCTGGGATTACAGGCATGAGCCACCGCGCCCAGCCCATTTCATGAATTATTAAAAAGCTTATAGTTAATAAATTAAATTCAGTAAACATTTAAAAGAGTAAACTGAAGTATCCCAAATCTTGAAATAGTGGAGTCATCATTAGTGTTACTCAATTTGCCTCCTCATTATGATATAAATAGCCAGCACCTGGCACATAGTAAGCCCCCAGTAAACGCATATAGAAATAATTATTCAATCAATTAATCAAAGTTTGACTACAAATTCAGATCTTAGTAGAACAGGGCTACACACTTCCAAATCAAAGAACAGCTCTCGAGTCACTTGCAGCTTTTGTATCTCACTACCTCTGCCTGATCCTACCTAAAAGCTGCTGTACTGAAGCATGGCTTCTGATCGCTGAAAAATGATGGCCAAAGCTACCTTTCTCCCTCCAGGGCCTCAAACACAGAAAAGTGTCTTCACAATGCAGAGCACTGCACCTGGCATCAAGGGATATAGAAATTCTAGCACTAACATACTTGCCTCGATTTACTGTAGCCAAAGAAATTCCTATAAAATGTGAACAAATAGGTGCTAACTGAAAAAA
Source organism: Homo sapiens (assembly GCF_000001405.40). Taxonomy (NCBI): domain Eukaryota; kingdom Metazoa; phylum Chordata; class Mammalia; order Primates; family Hominidae; genus Homo; species Homo sapiens. The sequence goes on from NC_000022.11 coordinate 28,429,492, forward strand.
AACTCAGAAATTTTAAAACCCCAGCAGCTCTGAAAATCTGAAATCATTTATTTTTGCAGACAATCATAGCCTAAGTTAATTTTCTATACTTAGCACCTTTGTCTCCCATCTAGACATATGTCCATCATTTCTTTTTCAATATTCTTTCCAATTAATTGTATTATACTGTAAACCCATTCTTCCCACTTCAATTTCTCTCTGTCTTAACCTACACATGGCTTACCTTTCCCAGATGGTATAATTGAATACTTAAAAATTAAAAAGTAGACAGAATTCTGTCTTCACAAAAATGCCCAGAGACACAGCATTCCTTTTAAGCCACAGCAATTACCAATCAGCCTAAAGGCCATCTAAATTTTAAAGTCTTCAGAGAATAGCATGACAGGAGAATGCTCCAAGTATGAGTTAAAGACTCTTTTCACCATCCAGACTATGACTTCTTTGTGGGTTTATTCTCCCACAAGAGAATGTGGGATGTATTATTCTTTTACAATTTGCTTAGGATGGATGTGTAAGTTCTCTCCAACAAGGGCTCTGGAATATGATTTTTTTTTTTTTTTTTTTTTTTTAGTGAAGACTGCATTTAGCAGAAATTCAAACAGAAGCATGAATTAAGGGGTAATTTCAGATGTAGTGAAAAGCTGTAATGTCCATTCAAAGTAATGAAGGCACACCGCATTAATCTCCTAAAAAGATTCACACGCTATGAGTAGAGCAATTCTATTTCTTAGTGGGAACAAATTAAGATGATTTCCCTTACAGAAATTGCCATAATTACAAGTAATTATCTTGTACTCTCTAAATTTACCACTATAGCACATTCTGCAAATATCATTCCCTTCAAAGACTTTATTTGGAAATACAGGAGAGATTGTTGCTCTGTGAATTGTGCTACAGATCTCAAACTGATTGTTTAACAGTACTACATAATATATGTAGTAAAGACATGGCATTCTGAAGTTGGAAGAGCTTGGAATTCCAAATACAGGAGAGTCCCTTCATCAGGTAACTAATATTACCCAAAGGAGTGCAAACAAAATGAGAATGGCAAACATTCAAAGATAAACTAGTCAAATGTGGGCTTATGCATGAAACAATGAGCAGAATCATTCTGATATGCATGGGGCAATCATGGAAAACATGTAAACAGCTGCTGTAGTATTTATAAAAATCCTTGCAGAGCCAAATAAAATCCCATCATTTGCAGCCTACTCAGTTTTTCATTTTCCTTTAATAAGAAAATGGGAGAAAAACCAGTTACTCATTGGGCATTAAGAGGAGAATAAGCATGTAAAAACCTAATTTCACCATCTTTGAGGCCAATCACCGTCTGGATTTCAGCTGGCATTTGAAGTCTATTCTCCAGCCAAACTGAGATTCCTTACCATTGTAAAAGAAAAAAAAAAAAAAAACATGCCCAGAGCTTGCCTTTCCTCTTCTTGTTGCCTAGAATGTACTCCCTCATCTCTGCCTGGTAAAAATCAGCCTACCCTTCAAGTCAAGTTAAAATACTACTCTACCGTGAAGACTCTCTTGGTCCACTCATTCCTACCCCCAATTCCAAATACTTCTTCATCTCCCATCCAATCTAGCTGTGACCTCTCCTTTAATTCACTCTCCAGAGAACTTTGTGCCTCTCTGGTGATGCTTAACATATGCCACCTCATATTTCAGGTATTTGGGGACTTGCCTTATCCCCACTACTAGATCGTAGCCTGAGAAATGCACTTTATTCATCTTTGCATCTCCTGCAGCTATAGTAAATGTTTAATAATATGATCACTTATGATAAATTTGATTTTTAAAATTATTCTAATTTAGAAGCATGTCATTGAAACAGTCTCTAAAATAGCTACACAGTCTATTAAGGAATAATATATATTTTAAACTCTAAACAAATATCTGGTTTTATTTAACAAAAACTGTACAATTTCATATTAATGTTTAAAGCTCATCCATGGTAAGATTATACCTCTGTGCCTATTAATCTTACCTAGTTTATTTGGTCAATATAAATAGTAACTCTACTTGTACATGTAATTACACACAGTCAATAATCTGTTAACTTAAGATCCCTCCTTTAACTGATATCTCTTACAGTTAGAATTTTTATGCTTACATTTTAAACAAAAAGATAAAGAAATGTACTAAGTTTCTCCATATTTTCATCTTGTTTCAATCAATGTTTAAATATCAGTAATATAGGCCAAGCACAGTGCCGCACGCCTGTAATCCCAGCACTTCGGGAGGCCAAGGCAGGCATATCACTTGAGGCCAGGAGTTCGAGACCTGCCTGGCTAACATGGTGAGACCTTGTCTCTACTAAAAATACAAAAATGAGCCGGGCGTGGTGGCATGCACCTGTAATCCCAGCTACTTGGGAGGCTGAGGCAGGAGAATCACTTGAACCCAGGAGGAGGAGGTTGTAGTGAGCCAAGATCATGCCACTGCACTCCAGCTTAGGCAACAGAGTGAGACTCTGTCTTAAAATAAAATAAAATAAAATAAAATAGGCCAGGCGCAGTGGCTCATGCCTGTAATCCCAGCACTTTGGGAGGCCGAGGTGGGCGGATCACGAAGTCAGGAGATCGAGACCATCCTGGTTAAAACAGTGAAACCCTGTCTCTGCTAAAAATACAAAAAAATTAGCCAGGCGTGGTGGCGGGTGCCTGTAGTCCCAGCTACTCGGGAGGCTGAGGCAGAAGAATGGCGTGAACCTGGGAGGTGGAGCTTGCAGTGAGCCGAGATCACGCCACTGCACTCCAGCCTGGGTGACAGAGCGAGACTCTGTCTCAAAATAAATAAATAAATAAATAAAATAAAAATAAAAATAAAAAAATATAAAATAAATAGCAGTAAAATGTATTGATTTGTTAATACTTTAAAAATTAGCTTTAGGAATTTTACATTCTCATTCATTCTTAATTCATATGAGACAATGCAAAGATATATTATAGATTCACCTTAAAAAATAAAGTCACCGAGTTCTGCTCAAATTAGCACAATTTGCCCACATTTACAGTTATTTACTGGAAATATTGGTTCTATAATAGCCCAGTTCTTCTAAATTGCTTGTTTCATGAATACTATGAATAGGACAGCATTTATATAGTTCATTAAAATTTCTTGAGAACCACGCTAGCATCAGAAATAATTAGAACAATGACAAGCATATGCAGTTATGATTTACTTATCAATGAGATCTATTTTGTATTTGTGTAAACTGACAAACTACTTACTTTTCACCTAAGTTATTCTACCTTTATTGATAGTAGTCATTAATTTTTCTTCCCTTCTCTTGGTCCTTTGCATCATCTACAGTAACCTAAAGCTAATCCTCCCTTGAAATTATAAAGTATGTGAAGTTTGTGGTCAACATCCTCTATCTTCATTCTCAACTATCTTCTTCTCCTGTCCCCTCAAAACACAGACCCCTTAATGTTGTTTCTTGACTACCCAGGGTCCCCACCAAAGTGGGCCTGTCAGAACAGTTCACACAGTCACTATGGTCTTGATGTTTCATGAATCCTCCCTACCAGCTACATCAAGTGGTTATATGGATCCTGTTTCTCAACATCTTGCTGGATGACTGGCCAGCAAAGATAACAAAGAGCACACAAATGTTACTATCAAATTTGCATTTTCCTATGATTTTTAAAGCCTCAGCACAAAGGAATTTTAGAAAAATAAGTTATAGAAAATGTATCTGAAAGCAAATAAATTTCTCGGTATCTTCAAAATATACTGTCTATAAAACTGTCTTGTCTTTTATTTATTTTTTATTCTTTTGAGATGGAGACTTTTCTTATAAACAAACCAAACCCTAGATTGCAAACTCCTAAAGAAGCAGAAGGAGAGAAGCCCAGTGGATACGGCCCTCCCCCTTAAAGTACCCAGGTCAAGAGCCAGCTTCTGAATAGCTATGTGATCCCAAGGGAACCAGTTTACCTTTCTGCTACTCTGCTTACTAGTCTGCAAAATCAAATGCTCCTTAAGGTTCTTTTTCTTTTACAAATGTTTTAGTCTAAGTATTATAAATACTATCTAGCAAAAGCCTAGGCTAAAACAAGAAGGATTCTCTAAAATAAATAATATTTGTGTCACTAAAAATAACATTTTAATTAATATAGAACTAGTTAATATTTAAATATGTATTAATTATGTATTAATCACATGGGTTCCTTGGTCATTTCTTCTTAAAAGCAATTGCATATGCTCTCCAGGATATGTAATTCTACCCTTCACATAAACCTCTAATACTAGTTCCTTCCACCATGGTTTTGTATTGTGTGTGTTTGTTTGAATAAGTTACTGGGGGAAAAAAAAGGCAAGTCAGATACACCAAAGCAAAAATCAGAAAAGGGGAAACTATAGTGGCATTTAGCCAATCATTCAAAATGTTTTCAGTCTCTGACACTGCATCCTCAAATATATCTAATTCTTGGTCATCAATACCACAATAAATATTATCTTATTTATCAAAAGGTCACTTATTTAACTACCTCAACTATTTAAAACATAGCCTAAAACCAGAAAGTATAAAGGGAGAACAAATGTCAAGCTTTTTGGGGTTTCTTAGTTTAATAAGTAGATAGTTGATGAATTTACATGACAACAGTATTACCTTCAGCAACATGGAAAGAAAAATAAAAACCATACAAAGAAGACATAAAATTATTTTAAAAGAAATAAAACATCAATCTGGGATCATTTAGTATAGAAATAAATAATTCTACATTCCTTAAAAGCTCCTAAAGGTTTACTGTGTTAGAGCAGTAGAATAATTCATGCTTGTGATAATAATACTGAGTAATCAGGAGAAAGTTAAATCATGCTTAGTACCTTCTGTTTAAGAAGGCAGAAAATATGTAATATATTTTAGAAAACTTCACCTAAAAAAATGGGCAGGTATGGGGCAGTGGTAGCTCATGCCTGTAATCCCAGCACTTTGGAAGGCTGAGACAGGCGGATCATTTGAGGTCAAGAGTTCGAGACCAGCCTAACCAACAAGGTGAAACCCCATCTCTACTCTCCATTCCACCCTCTGTTGGAAAAACAAAAACAAAAACTAATTATTAAGCAGTAAAGACTCAACGCCTACCAAAATGATCATGTATCCACCATCACTCACTGTGACATTTTCTCTTCAAAAAAACAACAGTCTTACTTATGCCTGAAAATCTCTACTTCATAAACACAGCTCCCAAAATATCTAATACTCCTGGATTTCATCCTTCCCTACTCCCCTCTACCATCTTTATAGGTTCAAGCCTATATACATTGAGTTTTTGGAAGAGTGTGTGTCCAAACAATCAGTTCCCACAAAGACCTCCCGGCTCCCAACTCTACCAGGCCCCTATTCCAAATGTCAGCTGCTCCGTAACTCGGGCTTGCCTCAACATCTGTGCTTCTACAAGTCTCAGGCCCCCAATATGATGTAAATCTAAAATATTACCTCTCACAAAGTAAATGGTGCTGGAAATATGGGTGCATTCATGAATGACCATTGGCTTACTAACCAGATATAAGATAGATAAATTTCATTCTTTAATAGTTCAAATTGAGAGATATCTACCAGCAAAAAAGCTTATATGCAGCTTTGACAACTGCCTTCAAGCTTATTTCACAAGACTTCTCTAAAAATGCTGCTTAGTATACAGAAGGTGTAAGTCAAAGAACATAATTTTATGTTTTTTCTTAAAATGCATGCAAAAAGGACAGAATACTCAAAATAACAATGACAGAACACCCTAACAGAATACTCTAAATGGCAAAATGTGCTGAAAAGGGAATACAGTTAAAGAATTCAATCATGTGAGAATGTGAGAACTCCTCTTAGCTAGAAGAACCTAAAAAGGGTGGACTAACAAGAAAGTTCAGGACAAAGGTTTCCTATAAATCCTGAAAATGTCAGTTAAATGATATAATTCTTACAGCTTTCAATAAAATGACATGGTTTTAGCACATCAATAAAAGCAAAGTCTTAAAGCTGAGACATACATTGTTATTAATGATATAATGAATTCACTGTAGAAGCTAAAGCTGACAGGGCCAGCCGGGATTTCAGGTTTTCCACAGCATGTCATCACTGTGACTGACTAGCAAAATGAAGGTGGCTGCTGGCGCCCTTTCTTGAAGTTGGGCCAATTAAACTCTGTAGCCTCTTACACTGGCAATGTTTACTGGCTAGCTCCTGAATAGTAAAGGTGCCAACTCAGATTTCTTCATCACTGACTTCCTTCACTTCTTGTCAAGTCTATCAACTATTCCCATCTTCTCAAATGTTCCTGGAAGTAGTTTTCTATAGATGACCATTCCCTACCAATTTTACAGAATCAAAAATATTTAGGACTAAAAGGAGTAAAGATTTAGTCTGGTGGTTTACAACCATGGCACTCCTGCACTGATATCACATGATCAGTTGTGAGCTGTGTCACAAATAACTGTAACTTTCCCATCTCCTCCCCCTGTTTTTAATTGAAAGGAAGTTCACATAACATAGAATTAACCATTTAAAATATTAAATTCAGTGGCGTTTAGTACATGCACAATATTACACAACCACCACCTCATAACTGTGACTTTAATTTTAATAGGTGCATAGTTAAGATTATCCCTTTAATGAGTCACCCTCGTTACTAATGAATAAGTCACCCTCACTTATATTCAATATTGCATTTCTGAGAGGTTGATAAATGGATAGAGATAAATTTGCAAGCTTAGCATTTCTAATAACTGGCCGGTCAGAAGATCTTGCCAACTGACTGAAGATCACTGTGCATCTCATCCCATAAATATATTCATCATTTATACATTCATTCATTCAGCTCCTCTTCTGTGCCTATGCCCTCAAAACTTTAAACTGATAGAGACAGACATACTGACAGCTTCAGTACAGGGCTACAACTGTGGCCTATAAAAATATAGTCAAAGGAGGGTATGGCCATCTATGCCTGGCAATAGAAGAACTGCTTACAGAAGGATTCACCAAGGAGGAGAAGGCTGAGTTAGTTCTTAAAGTATAACCAGTAACAAAAGGAAGGCAAGTTAAGAAGAACATGAGGAGAAGGCCCTCTAGAAAGGGGAAAGAAACTTAGTGAGCCATGTCCAGCTAGACTATGGAGTATTATCATACTACGAGGAAAAACATATTAAGTACTTTTTATATGCAAGGAACTCTCGTAAGCATTTTACATTATAACTACAGAGTCACACTAAGAGCTAGGTGCCATTCACATTAAATAGCTGAGATCTCTGAAGTACAGAGAAGTTAAGTAACTTGGCTACACAGCTGCTGAGAGGCTGGACTAGAATTCTCATGCCCAGGCAGTCTAGCTTCAGAGTCCATCCTCTCCATCATGCTACAACCTATACTACAGTCTTCTTTTTCATCTTCTTCTTTTGAATAAAATTAATTGTTTAAGGTGGATATTTTATGATGTAAACTACAATACGCCACAACACACTGAAAGTGAACAAATGACTTCAACAGTGAGTGGGCACCACTAAGAATCCCTTTGACCTTTCAGCAAAGGAAAGCTCAAGTGACAAATCATATCAGAAGATCAGTAAAGCTTATTTTATTTCTTATTCTTTTAATTTTTTTTTTGAGACAGAGTCTCGCTCTGTCACCTAGGCTGGAGTGCAGTGGCATGACCTCAGCTCACTGCAACCTCTGCCTCCTGGGTTCAAGCGATTCTCGTGCCTCAGCCAGCTGAGTTGCTGGGTTAACAAGCATGCACCACTATTCCTGGCTAATTTTTGTATTTTTAGTAGAGACGGGGTTTCAATATGTTGGTCAGGCTGGTCTCGAACTCTTAGCCTCAAGTGATCCACGCGCCTCAGCCTCCCAAAGTGCTGAGATTACAGACATGAGCCACTGCACCCAGCTCTTATTCTTTTAGAATATAAAAATACATAAAAACATAAGTTCTCAGATTTTCCCATATGCAGTCATTTTCCTGCAACCATCCCCTCTCACCCCAGCCCAGTTTATGCTTATCCAACTTTGGAGAACATTTACTAGACAAGGAAGAAACAGGGTAGGGCTTTAAGAAGGTGAGTAATATGAACAGATATGCATTTTTTTTGTTTGGGAGTTTGTTTTTTTGCTTTGTTTGATACAGGGTATTGCTCTGTCACTCAGGCTGGAGTGTAACGGCACTATCACAGCTCACTGCAGCCTCAACCTACTGGGTTCAATCAATTCTCCCACCTCAGCCTCCCACACAGCTGAGACTATAGGTGTGCACCAGTGCACCTGGCTAATTTTTGTTTTTTTGGTAGAGATGAGGTTTTGCCATGTTCCCTAGGCTAGACATGTGTTTTTTTAAGTAATTACTTGGAAGGATTAGAGGGGGAAAAAAGAGGCCAGAAAAAGAAAATTCATTAGGATGACATTTGCAATAAATCCAGCAAGTGATAATAATGAGGCACTAACTATAACAGTGGGGAGTCAAATGTGAAAGATTAAGTGACTCCCCCAAGGCCAAGAGTCAAGAGATCCGCCAGAACCAAAACCTGGGTCTCTTGGTTGCACTGATCTGGGAATGGAGTATAGAATGGATTTGAAGAAAGACTACTATCATGAAATTTCTAAGACTTCTCTGTATAACTACTTTTGTCCACAATACTTATTTTTAAAGTCTGATGTTATACTATTAAATAAATTGTGGCCCAAAATGAATAATATAATAATACCAACTAGCACAGCATTCTGGCAAGTAACTAAGTAATTTAGTATAGGCATATTAAAATTTAAGACTTAGCCTTATAATACAGAAACAAAGTACTCCATCATAGAGAAAGCATAGGGACTTGAAATACATTCTTTTGTAAAAGTAATAAGCTATTCTAAGACACAAATCTACAGGGCATAATCCTCACAAATGAGCTTCCAAACAAGGCTTTTAAATGGAACTCCATCAGAGAAATCATTTGAGAGCCAGATTCACATTTTATTAATGTGACAAGTATAACAAGATAAATATATCATATGACTCTCAAATGACATAATTAATGTAGCTTATGTCGACATATTCCTATTAATGGTCTTTTATTATGTGTGAACAGTAAAATAACATTAGATGAGCAATGAAAAAATCCAATCAGCAGCAGCTTTCCTGAAGGTTTTGACTGCAGTCTTATTTACACAGTGTTATCTGATACTAATCCTTGGATTTTAAAGAGCAGAAATAGCTTCAGAATTATAAACAAACATGTTCCTATGAGATGAGCATTTTAATTACTATCATTTCTGCAAATATAAGATAAAGATGTGATGCATGATGTAGTCTCTTGACTAAAGGTAAAAACGGGAAAGTATATTTTTCCAGGCCAATAAGGTTATATGAATAAAAGAATCATGACACTGGATGGGGTACCTGGTTGACAGAGCCTGGTACTATGTTTTAACCATGACTTTCACTGAGATTTTGCCGAGAGTGTGATTTCTCCCTCCCTACTATTGTCTACAAAAGATTAGAAATGAGTGACAAAATATTCTGGTTTTCTTTAACAATCCACTACAGTCTGCATCTATGAATCAACTGAAATATAAGAAAGCCTAAAAATATAGGTTTTAAAAATAGTTCTGATTTACTTTCATAACAAATAAGTATATATTGAGCAACTATATTATCCTTGGCACCAAAAAAAGAGTTGTAAAATATGGTTCCTGAACTCAAGGAGTTTTAAGTGTAATGAGGAGGCAAGATATATACACAAATAGAGATATATGCACAAGGAGACCAAAAGATTACAACCAATAAAAGACAATCCACTTACAGAGGCACAGACTCTAAATGCTCCAAGAATTCAGAGGTGGGTAAAATCACTATGGTTTTTTTTCTCAAGAGGAAAGGGGAATGGGAAGAAGAGCACCTTGGTGCTAGTATCTAGAAGTGACGGAGCAAAGCTCTGGCTAACATTCATTTATTGGGATCATCTCAGCTTTATCTTTCTTGGATAAAAATCCCTGGTCAGAAAAATTCCCAAGTATAATGGTAAATAACACACATTTTGAAGTAAATAAGGCCTGGTCCAATCCTAGCTGTGATCCTACCATGCTATGTGACTGGGTAAGTCACTTCACCCCTCTAAACCTCAGTTTGCTTATATGTAAAATACAAATTATAACACCTACCACCTCACTGGATAAGAATTAAATAAACACATATAGAGCAATTAAAGATGACTAGCATAGAACAAGTGCTTTTAAAATTATAGCTGTTTATTTGTATGATATTAAATGCCATTCTTACCATGACAAGGTTGGGTTAACTGCTCAGAATCTTGCTTTTTTATTTTAAACTTTTCTGTGGTATGATTGACATATAAAAAGCTGTACACTTTTTTTTTTTAAGACAGAGTTTTGTTCTTGTTGCCCAGGCTGCAGTGCAATGGCGTGATCTCGGCTCACCGCAACCTCCACCTCCCAGATTCAAGCGATTCTCCTGTCTCAGCCTCCTGAGTAGCTGGGATTACAGGCACCGTCACTACGACTGGCTAATTTTTTGTATGTTTAGTAGAGACGGGGTTTCACCATGCTGGCCAGGCCGGTCTCGAACTCCTGACCTCAGGTCATCCGCTCGCCTCGGCCTCCCAAAGTGCTGGGATTACAGGCGTGAGCCATCACGACCAGCCAGCTGTACACATTTAATTTATACAATTGAATGAATTTGGACATATAAGTATATACTTGTGAATCTTGCTTTTTAGGGCAATTACATGGCTCTTGGTGGGAGACCTATTGCACTCTAGAAGACTGGGACCTAAGGTCCTCATTGACACTGGGGGCAGAACATGATTAATTTTGTTCTGACAGTTTCTTTGTGAAAAGGTTGCAAACCCTAACTGAATATTGCAGACTCACACCTTTAAAAAGCTTGTTTTAGTATTTAGATTAATCCAGCAAGTAAGCAGAGAAAAGAGAGGAGAGAGCTCCCGTTCAATCATATACCCCAGCTGCATGCTCCATTAGAAACAAAGAAATCTAGAACCTATAATCACTCTCTTACAGTGAGCCTAGGATTTAGAAAAGCCAAAACTAGTAGTGACTGACAGGACACCATGATAGCAAGCTACCACAAATGCTGCTTGGGGTAGCACTCTTTGGATGATCTTCCTAGCTTTGTTAAAATCACATCAATGCAGTATCACTTTTCATCTGTAGGGTAAATGGTTTTTATGAAACCGTTTGGTAAAACACATGGCATGTGACTGTATCACTACAAATGTGTTAGCAGACTGAGCCAGAAACCATGGCAATGATCTGATCATGTGAGTATTCTGGCAAGAGTAAGAAAATAAACCTAATCTTTGTAAAGACTTACTGGTGCCCTACCAGAGTTGGATATCTAATCTCTTCCAAGGGAGCTCCTATTTCCAATGTAGAAGAAACAAGAATTGTTGTCAAGCTACCACCAAATAAGCATATGGTATTTGATGGCTCAGCTTATTTTTTAATCTTTTATGAACTCTGAAGAATTGTATCTGGATCTTTACAACATGATGATATGAGATTATGAATACAGTGAATAAATACAACCTTCTGGTATAGCAATTTAAGCATCACAGAGTGAGTAAATACTGCAGAGTGAATCCTAACACTTGAAACAGAATCTTCCAGAGTCCAGAAATCCACCTGACTGCCAAGAATAATACTTCCGTGGTTCAAGCAATACCAGTACCCAGAGGGGTTTCCACAGACATAACCACATGAGTTACTGCATATTGGGTAAAATAGAAAAAGCAGACGTTTATGAATGTAGAGTTTGCAGACATCTTAAAACTACTCATAAACATGCAATTACAAATATAGAAGAAATGGGGGACTTTAGGAATACGCAGCATCTGTTTAAATTGCTTAATTATATGGTTTCTTCTATGAGTTTTCCTCGTTCTGTCTGTATTGGGGTTGGAGGTGGGGGTGGGGAATATATAGTTCTCTCAACCAAAGTGAATGGAATCAATCTCACTGAAAGAAGCTCTGTGATGAGAACTATTATAATATATAAGAGATTCTTGACTTCAGGATGAAGTAGAAAAGACACAGGGTCAGAGGACAAAATGCCATCAATTAGATATCAAAGAAAACCTTTCAATTCGCCAGGCTATGCTAAGGCAGGGTTTGTTAGATTCTCTAGCAATAAAACAAATGCACAATATCTTCTCATGCACCTCACACATGATTTCTATTTCAGTTCTGATATAAAACACAGTATCACACATCGTGCCACAAAGAAAAGAGTCAGTTTAGCTAGTTCAAGTAAAAACCAGGCAGCGGCTAACAGAGACAGGTCAAGGCTGGAGAGGACCACAGCACATTCAGTTTGCTATGTTTTCCTTCAGAAGAATGTCAATAAAAACCACGGCCAAATGAGGTATTTGAAGTTTAAAAAAAAAAAAAAAAAAAGGCCTGTTATGCAGTGAACAACTGGGTTCGCCTAACAGTTAGGGGCAGTCAGACAAGTTGGCAAAAAGGAGCCCTAGCCAAATGTACAGCGGCCAACAACTTGAAGAAAGCTGTCTTTCTCCCTCGACGTCCTAGGGTAGGGACCAGTCCCACATTTAGAAACGTTATTTCTGGGACCAATAGCAATTTATTTTGATAGAACCGCTGGATTTTTTTTTTTCTTGAGTTCTCAACAAAGGAGCCATATTAGGAAATAATCTCGCAAAAAGCAAAGTGCCCCCTCCCCCTTTTCCCCATGATCGATTCACACACGCTGGTGCACGCTGACACGCACAGACACACGCCCGTGCACAATGGCCAGCGCAGGCAATCGCACGGGCCCACGAGGCCTCAGGAGCCCCGCAGGCTGAAGGCCCGGCTATGGCCAGCCCCAGGCGCTCAGGCAGGAGGCCTCTCGGCCCGCCGCCCCGGAACCAGCTGCTGGGCTGGTGTGCTGGGGCTGCTCGCCCCCCAGCGGGGCCCTGGGGAAACGGCTGCCAGCGGCTCAGAGCCTTTTAACCCCTTGGGGAAATAGGTGTTATAACACCACCTGCGGGGCCTGTGTCAGGGGTGCAGCCTCAAATCCACTCCCGCCCCACGCCCCGCCATGGGGCAACACCTAGTAGGTCTTGGCTGGCTCCTGCAAAGCTAATCGTGTCGCTGTCTGCACAGGACTTCTAAAGCAAACGGGTGCTTCCGAGCTGTCACCCCTGGGGCTCCAGGCATATCATGAAGGAAAAACTTAAAGGGCAGTGGATGCAGACCAGATTTGGTAACTCGTCCCTAAGGGACTGATGCAAGTCCCAAAGGAACCAGGGCTGTTTGGACCAGCTGGCCCAGCAAACTACGGAAGGGGTGGAGAGACCTGAAGGTAACCGCCCCGTGTTACCCTTCCCCGGGTTGGGCTTTGGGGCCCCATTCCCCTCTCCAGGACACTTACCTTCTTCCGGGGCTGCCATTTCATCATATTTGTAAAGCCGATACGTGGAACATCAAGATGTTGGCTGGGGGCTGGGGGCAGATGCAGGGCAGCGACGACTGCAAGTCATGCTGCCTCCCTCCCACCCCCTAATTCTTTCCCATATTCACTGCGAAGGGAAAAGCCCCAGGAGAGTCCAGTCTTTTCGCCTTCAGTTCAATGAAAAGTATCCCCAAACCACGAACACACTTCCCACCAGGCTAGGAAGTCCCAGCAGCCACCGGCGTACTCCTGCCAGAGCGGGGCATTTTCCCGGCCGGCGCCTGCAAAAGGAGCCTGTAGCAGGGGGTCTCCAAGCTGGCTGCAGAGACCCTCCCTCAGAGAAGAGACTGAGAACGCGGGCTGCTACAGAATCCCAGCCGGGCTTCTACCATCCAAACCCCTTTTGGCGAATTCTCCTCTTCTCAAAAAAGATTAGACAAGCAATCAAACCCTCACGCGCAGCCTGGAGCAATTCCCACAATTCTGGGTGTATTTCTCGTTTGTAAAATTTAGCAAAGAAAATTCCAAAGATCTGTAATCAGAGCTTCTTTACGCTGTTTTCGCTTCCTTCTTGGATAACTTGGGAAAAGGATCTGCCCTTCTCGAAATGCCTACCTTCCCTGAACACTGTAAATAGGAAAACTTGGTTTGTGTGTTTAGATTTTTTTTTTTTTAATTCCCAAGAACCTTAGTGGGGAAAGGCTGGAAGGAAATCCTGCAAGAACCCAACTCCACAGCTCAGTCTGCACTAATGACTTCCTTCCCTTCAGTGCGAGCACAGCCAGCCCAGCTTCAGCCACACAGAGCAAACGGTTTCTGGGTCTTAGTGCCACGACATCTGCTCCAACACAAAAAGTAAAGCATGCAGTTTCAGAGGCACCCAACGGCTCCTAAGGAATCAAAGCCAAAAACACCTAAGCGGTCAGGAAATCATTTCAAAAGACATACTTAGACTTGTAAGGCAGTTATATCTAGAGAAAAAAAAGGAAAAGGAAAGTACTCTAGGCCAAAATCTTAATTTCTGATTTGAAGAAAAAAGATTTGAAGTATCTGGCAGAATAAAATATTTTAATCAAGAATTTTACCCCCAATGAACTTTAATAGATTCCATTTCCTTCTCTAAATTTAGCACTAATTTCATTACTATAAAAAATATTTCTATGGGGATTGAGTTTCATTCATCTTCTGTGAAATCATTCCATCCTATTTAAGGAGATACATCTACAAATATAAAAATATTATATAATTCTACTATTTATCATCCAACATGTCTGTCAACTCCTAAACCACCATAAAGCTGTTTTGATAGCTGGGAATATAATGGGTAAACTACTAGAATACCAACTGATATGCATAATAATAGTAACTGATGTACCAATGTTCCAACAATGTTTAACTTATTACCCTCAGACTTCTGTATGCATTCCCAGGATTAGCTAATGTGGGAGATTATATGCAGATTGATCACTAACTATATCAGTATAAGTAAGTCATTAAAACACCCAAAACAATTAGTTAACTCAAAGGGACTGCTTTTGAGTTCTTTTCCAAGCCTGAGAATCTGAAATTCAATAGAGGGCATTATCTTTATAATAATAATATTAACAATTTTAGCTGAATGAACAGGTACTATTTATTGAGCCACTAGTCTATGCTAGAACCTATGCCTACATTCATTATCTCACAGCCCTGCAAGGAAGGTCTTACAGTTCCATTTTCCAGACACTGAGATTCAGAGTGCTCATTTACTCAACCAAGACCACACAGGTAGAGCATAGTGGGGCTAGAATTCAGACCCACAATGACCCTACTAGAGCTTATGCCTTTTCTAGGACATGCATCATAGCTACATGCGAACTTCTCGTCTCAAAAAACTTAATAAGTACTACTGACTTAAGCACCTATTATTTCACTGCCAGTCCCTGTTCCAAGTACTAGAAATATGAGTAAGATGTTGTCCCTGCTCGAGAAGATTACATAACTGCAGGCGGCAGTCACAAGTAACTCCAATACTCTGTATATATTTGACATATCAAAATCATTCTGGACAACTTTACTTGGATATGCTACTAGCACAGAAAGCTCAATAAATTTTAAACCAAATTCATCAATCTACTCCAAAATCGGCTTCTCTTCCCAACTTTCCTTTCTCTATCTACAACACCATTATTATTCCAGGATCACAAACTAAAACCTAAACATCATTCCTTATGTGTAATCTATCACCAAGTCCTCTCTTTTTTCTTAGACATCACAAATTCTTACTGCTGACATCTGAAGCCAGAGCCTCACAAAACAAACATACATTAAGTATCAACTAGATACAAAGCATCACATAGGATAGAAAGGTATAAGACTAAGTCCTTATGCTGGAGAAAGTTACGAAGAAGTTAGGACAGAACCAAAAACCTGTAAGAAGACAACCAGGCACTCACTGTTTAGTCAGTTGAGCAACAAATGAATTAGGTGGTCAATAATTTCAGGTTCTCCAGGAATTACCAAGGATAAATCATCAAAAACTGGGATGGTCAAGGAAGATTTCACAAAGAAACTTGAAGTAAAAATTCAGAGGAGACACAGCTTAGTCTGGAGCCAAAAGCCAAGGTTCTTACCATGGACTGTAATGCCCTTCAAGATCTGGACCCCTCCACCTTTCTGAGCTCACCTTTTACCCTTTTCCTATTCCCTTACTCAGCACCTGCCATACTGCCCTCTCACTGTCCCCAGAACATGCCAACCATACACTTGTGCTCTCTGCCTGGATTACTCTTCCTCCAGATGCCCTCTTGGCTGCCTCCCTAAGTCCCTTCAGGAGTCTATTCAGATATCATATAGAAAGGCTGTCTCTCACAATCTCATCTAAGATAATATACACTATGACTCTCACACTGTTCCTTTCTACCCTACTTACCCTGTTACATTTTCCTTCATAGCCCTGATGACATACATATCTATACACACACACACACACACACACACACATATGTATTTCTAAAATGTTCATTCACACCACAAGAACATAAATTCCAAGGGAGCAGGGACTTGACTGTTATAATACCAACACCCAGTGAACAGTGTCTGACACACAGCAGGCAATCAATCAATATTTGTTGAATAAAACAATAAAAGAAATAGAAACAAGATAATGAAGAGAATAGTGTCAGCAAAGGAGGCAGACATACTTAAGATGTGTTCAAAATACAAAATAAAAATACCGAGCCGGTATCTAAAATACAAGTATGGGAATGTTAGAGGCAGGGACTTTGTCTTGTTCAACTTTGTAATCCCTACTGCCTAGAACAGTGCCTGGAACAGATACTGGAACAAATACTCAATATTTTTTAAGGCAAAAGAATGAATGGGGTGTGGGGGTGGGAGGATGGAGAATGAATAGTGAATAAATTCCATTCCATTCCATATAAAGATACTTTGGCAAGGTATGTTGGAACCAAATGGCTGGGAATGCTGACTGTAAGGCGATATAGTTTGAATGTTTATCCCCTCCAAATCTCATGTTGAAATATAATCCCCAATGTCAGAGGTGGGGCCTGGTGGGAGGTTCGGATCATGGGGCTGGATCCCTCATGAATGGTTTGGTGCTGTCCTCACTCGGAGTTCACTTGAGAGCTGGTTGTTTAAAACAGCGAAGCACCCCACCATCATCCCCCCATCTTGTTCCCGCTCTTGCCATGTGATGCACCATCTCCCCTTTTGCCTTGGACCATGACTGTAAACTTCCTGAGGCCCTCATCAGAAGCAGATGTTGGTGCCATGCTTCCTGTATAGCCTGCAGAACCATAAGCCAATTAAACCTCTTTTCTTTATAAATTACCCAGTCTCAGGTAATTTACAGCAATAAACAGTCCTGTATAGCAATACAAAAACAGACTAACAGATAAGGCAAAGAAATTTGGACTTTATCCTGTAGGATGCAGAGCATTGAAGCTATAAACAGTAGGAAAAGGGTAGAGTTGAAACTGCATTTTTAAGCAATCTAATATATAACAAAATATTAACTATGATTTTATAGAGCTGTTTTTTCTGAAAACTCTGTGCCTGATTAAAATGCTTATTATGACCACTTGACAGAAAACAAAACTGAAGTTCAGAGTACCTAAGTAACCTGTGCAATGCCACAGAGCCAGTCAATGGCAGCAGAAGAGCTAGAATCCAGGGTTCTTTCTTATAAACCACTGTCTGGGTGATGGGGCTAGGAACCTACAATTGCTTTAAGAGTTAAGAGAGACATTTCTACTTTCTTTACTTCTGACTTGCTATATAACAAAAGTTTTCAGAAAGGGAAGGCAAGTAACATAAATAAGTGAAACAGAGACAGGTTAAAAAAAAAAGGGAATTGTGAGGATTGTAAACCTAAAGATACATGAATCATGTTAAAAGGGGCAACTGCTAAGCAACTCAATTGATGTCCTTTAGAAATATCAATTCAGCAATATCAGATCCTCTAAATTTTCATGAGAAGCTAAAAATTTCCTAACTTTTAACTGTTTGCTCAAAAATTCTAAAGCATCCTAACAGGCCAAACAAAACCTGCCTATAGGGCTAAATTCCATCTGCAAGTCCTAATTTGTGACTGCTGATTTAAACCACTCAAGGCTTCAGTTTCTCATACGTAAATTAAGAGACCCAGTATTTCCTAATCTGTTGGGGTGGTTTTTCTGAACGCATCTGTGAATCCATATGCATACCACACATGGCCTGTAGACTGAAGTCTCGGTCTTAGGCTCAGATGTTGCTGGACTTAATAAAGTTATTTAAACTGGGGGTGGGAATACAGAATCTGAGAACAGTAAACTGTATCAAGAAGGGAGAAAATATATTTATGTTTCTGTAGAAATAATTAATCTAAAACTTCAAAGTGATACAAGGCTTTAAACTGGTTTTCAATTTTTTAGGTATATTTCCTTTGGGTCGCTTATTTGTGATCTGTATAGCACTTGTTTCCCTGCTGTCTGGCTTTCGTTTAATAGGTACCACTCGACAGAGGACTATTACCTAAAGCCTTTAAATACCCACACCATCTTAAATCACCTTATTGTTTCTTCTTTCTTTCGCTTACTCCAAATTGAACCTGTATTTACACCTGAAATATTTACAGAATTACTATTGTATCAATATTTTTTCATTAGGAATGATTTATATAGAGCTACTAAGCCAGCATAGTTCAGAATGTTAAAATTTAACATTATTGTTTCAAAGATCCAGCATCAAATAGTAATTACACATTTTCCCAGGTCTGTAGGTATTTTTATGTCTCCTTCATTTTTTAACATAGCACTTTGCAGATCACTTCTCTAAATGCAAATACTGAAGAACAGTCAATTAAAATAGTATTTTACTCAATAACCACTTGCCTATTCAAATCTGAACAAAAGCAAGAAAGAGAAAATGAAGAAAACACATCTTTTTCCATTGTAAATTTCTTCAAGATTTCCTAAGGAATGATGTATCTGACATTGATCAAAGGATAAATGCCTGAAAAGGCTAGCCTCATACTTATTTATATTTATTGTGTTTTAGGCGTAGAAATTTGAAAAATTTGTTCAAATTTTGAACCAATTCAAAATTTGTTCAAAAATTAACATATTTGAAAAATATGTTAATTTTCCTACAGACCTCTAAATTGTGTTCAAGTATCTAAGGAGGTGTTAGAAAAATAAAGGGACAAAGGTAGAAGTGTATTTGACACCACAAAAATGTTGCCTCATTAGTGACATTTCACACAGTTGGGTAATCCGAGAATCTCAAGGCCTCACTTTGCTAGAAAAGAAATTAAAATAACTTGTTGCAGGAAGAATTCTGCCACACAGCCCAGGTGATGCAGGACCATGCTCCCATTCCCCTAGCAGAAAACTGCTACAGATCACTCCACAACATTCAAAGCAGATCACCTCTGACCTTACCCATCTCACTTCCTTCCACTATCAGGCAGCTCCAGAAAGGCTGAAGTTCCACCCTTTAAATACAACACATTTACTGAGTACTCATTATGTACAAGGGAGTGCTGTAGACACTGTGAGAAAACAAAAATGAACCAGATGATTTTGCCCTTGAGGAGGCAGGAGTCTGGTGGAGGTCAAAAGAGAAGACAGGTACACAACTAATAAAAATAATAATAACAATAGCAGCTAACACTGACTGATCTTGCTATTTATCTGACTCTTAAGAGCCCAACTCTTAGCCAAAGCTAAGTGCTAGAAGAACGAGAATAATTAGTGGCATATTCTCTCATTAAGTCTAAGGAAGCCCTAAAGAGTAATTAGGTCTGACTGTAGTAACTGAGAATGGTTTCACAGGAGAGGTGGCACAGCATTCTCTCAACAAGTAGGGAACACAGCATGAGCCAAATCATGGAGGTATAAAAGCATGAGCTACATTAGCAAGCATCTAATAGATCTGAAATCTATAATGCAAGCCAAGCTGTAATGACCTGTGGAAGGCTGTGAATGCTATTCTCTTAACAGTACAATAATAGCTATCATTTATTGAGTATGTACCAAGCATTGAAATATTTTAACATTTTTTATTTCATTCAAATAACATCTTCCTAACACTCTTATGTAGAGGAACTATTATTATGCCCATGTTATAGGAGAGGAAGCTAAGGCTAAAGAATTAAGCAAATTCCCAATGTATCATGGCTAGAAAGTAGAAGAAAGGAAATTCAAGTCAGTCAGATCCAAAGCCTTGCTTTTAACTTCTGACTTAGAATACAATGATGAGCCAGAACAAGATTTTAATTAAGGTATTGACAAATCTATTTGAGTTTTATGCTGATAATTCTGCAAGTATTGTGGAGGATGGAAAGAATAGGAAAACAACAAAGACAGGAAGGCCAAATAAGTTTCTGTTGCAACAGAACAATAAGGAATGAAGAGGCCTTGAATTAGGGCAGCAGAAACAGAAAAAGGACCTTTCTGAGAGACATTTCACAAGTCAAACAGGTCCTAAGAGCCTGTTTCATGAAAGGAACCAAGAAGGATTTAAAGGTGATCCCCAAATGTTTCACCATCCGTTAGAAAAAGAGACACTCCACTAACTGAAGTATAGATCACAGAAAAAAATGTTGGATACTGAATTCTGTTTAAGACTTGTAGGATCTAAGGTACTTAGAGGCACAGGGATGTGAAGTTAAGTAGGTGGAGATATGATTACAGTTAAGGATATATATTGATGTAGATATTGATATAGATATGGATAAATAGAGCTATAAAGAGATGGGGGGTCATTGACATGATGATGATGACATATATATATAAAGCCTTAGGTTAAAAAAATTCTTCCAGTGATGAAGTCTGGAGCAAGAAGAATTTTAAAAGGAGAGAAAAAGAGAGATCATAAAATTGAGTCTTGAGCAATACCATACTTCTAAACACAACCGACTTCACTGCTCAGATGGAATGTGAGACTTAACCAGTTTCCTGAGGCAGCAATTTTTATTTGGCCAATAATGCCTGGTTCAAACCCTAGATCCACCACTTACTAGCTGTGTGCTCTTTTGTTACTTCATTTTCCTGTACCTCAATTTCTAACTCTGTACATGGACATAATAATAACACCTACCTATGATTTTTGAGATTAAATTATATATGTAATTATCCGCACACAAGCACACACACAATATATCCCATACGTATGATAATCCTATATGTTATTGTTACTCTACTAGTTTTACTACGCTAACTCTGAATTTTTTTCCTCTTTCATCATCACACCATAGACTTTTTACAAATTATAAGGGCTGCAAAGTACCAGAAATAATGCTCATGTGTTTCAGTGGTATAATCATTTTTCTAATGGGACTTCTGTTTCTGTCTACGACACAACAACTGGGACTAGGCTTACTTTCCTAACATAACTAAAAAACTGGATAAAATAAAGGAAAAATACTGCTTTCCAAATGTTTCAGACAATAGGCAGCACAGTACTATGAACCTTAAGATAAGCAAAACGAATGACATGAGCCCTATGATCACTCTGGCTTTCTGCTTGGAGGCACCTTCCAGACTACAGGGCAGGAAAGGGATCCCAAACAGAGCACGAGGATCTTGCTGAGTTGAGAAAACAGAGATCAGTGTTTAAGGAGGATAAAGTAGCTAGAACATTCAGAGTACAGAATTGGAGCGGGCTACGCAGACATGGAGCTCCAGAAATCAGCACAGGAGTCCTCTTAAGTTTTGGCTGAACACTAAGTTGCCAAAATATGGTGAAACTCCACAAGGCAAAGTGGGAGCCATAAGCTGAACAACTGCCAGAGCTCATCAGGACTGCAAGACTTCCAAGTGTCAACCAGACAGAGTGACGGGATATCATTGAATACCTGGGACATTCAGTAGAGACCTCAGAAAGGTCATGTCTTCGCAGAAGGGGTAAACTAGCCCAGACTAAAGTGTACTCTTAACTCACTCTAACAAAGCTTACAAATCAACCTTAAAAAGTGCAACACTCTTTGAAGGAAAACAACAAAATCCAGCACTCAATGAAAATGTCCAGCATTCAGTCATTTTCCAGTGATGCTTATGAAAGAACACAGGTGTTAGCCTGAAAATACAGTAAGTCTTCACTTAATGTCATAGATAGGTTTTTGGAACTGCAACTTTAAGGAGAACAACATACAGCAGGTCCTCAAATAACATCTTTTATTCAACATCATTTTTATAATGTTAACAAGAAAAAGAAATTTGTTTCATTATACATTAGTTCACTAAAAGTCACAGTTTCCATGAACCTATCAACAATGTTAAGTGAGGATTTTCCATACTTACTTGTTATCTCTTTGGCAGGCAGTTAGTCTTCATCATAACAATGCTATGACTATGTTATAAATTTTCTTATATAAATCAGGTTAATGGATTGTAATACCTTTGGCTACAATCTTTTCTCTACCAGGTGGCCACAGCTATAGTGCATGTGTAATTTTGCTATTATATAATTAATTGGGGGAAATTTCAGTATGTCATACTTAATTAAAACTTATCTGGAATAGATTCAGTGGTCACATATTTGGGCCAGAATATACAGCTTTGAAGTTATTAACTTTCCCAAAGAAACCCTGATTATTCAGTGGTAGTGACTGTGTGTATGTGTGTATGTGTGTGTGTGTTTTAAATATGTACATTTCATTAAAGAAAGATGCTTGAAGTGGGGGCTTATTGACTTGTGTGTTTTTAACCAAAAGAGGCTGGCCAGGCGCGATGGCTCACGCCTGTAATCCCAGCACTTTGGGAGGCCAAGGTGGGCGGATCACAAGGTCAGGAGATCCAGACCATCCTGGCTAACATGGTGAAACCCCATCTCTACTAAAAATACAAAAAAATTAGCTGGGCATGGTGGCATGCACCTGTAGTCCCAGCTACCCAGGAGGCCGAGGCAGGAGAATCGCTTGAACCCAGGAGGCAGAGGTTTCAATGAGCCGAGATTGTGCCACTGCACTCCAGCCTGGGCAACAGAGCGAGATTCCATCTCAAAAAAAAAAAAAAAAAAAAAAAAAAAAAGAGGCTGTATTTCTCTGGCTATGGTGAAAGAGACATAGGGAAAGTGGGTCTTTTCTTAATCCTCGAGGAGAAAACAGATCATAGGAAAAGAAAGTCAATAAGGATAAAATATTCTTGAAGTGCATCTGGAGGCCCTCTAATAACTTGTTGCTTAACTCTACACTTATGAATTCATAAGCAATCAAGTGTATTATATTCACAGAGCTAAAATATGGACATGGCATGAGAGAATAACCATAGTCATTTTGTGGGGGAATGGGACAGGGGCGGTTAGGGAGGTACTTTTTACAGTTGTTAAAATGCCTAGCATTGGAATTGCCATACTCTGTTTTGGGGAACTTCTCGATTATCTGAGTCATGGTGGAATATAAAGAATATCTCATGACAGCAACCAAAAAGTTCAGATAATTACTTTCCCCTACCATCTGAGTTAGGATGAAGACACAATACCTAGCCCCAGTTCTTTACCAGAACATTGAATGTAAAGCAAGTGACACAAGGAATAGTGGCAGAGAGAACTTGCTCTGGAAGTAGCCACAGCAACATCCAGTTTCTAGGGTCACCAGTGCGAGAGGATCTCATGGGGTATCCTATATCCAGCTCCAACAGTGATGACTCAAGTTCTGGTAGCCAGGGTACAACAGTTCCTGTATACAGTTATGGATGAGATCCAGGTACCTGTTTTCCCTTGGATTCTGCCCATTATCTAAACCTGATTTGCCAGCCACCTTAATGATTCTATGAGCCACTCAACATCTTTTCAATAAAGTCTCCTTTCAACAAAAACAGTCACAGTTGCTTTCTGTTACTTGTAACTCAGAACTCTGACTGGCTAGCAAGACACATTAGATTTTGTTTATATTAAAACACAAATTTTTCTTGCATGAACATATCCACAGGTCTTCTGCCCTCTATTCTGTCTATAATTATTCCTCAAAGACCTCAGCCAGTCTCAAACTGCTAACTACCATCTCTTAATTCATGACTCCCATATTTATGCCTCAAAAACCCACTTCTCTACTGAGCTCCAGACTTGTAACTGCCTACCCAACATCTCCTCTAAGATGTCTAACACACATCTCAGACTTACACAGCCAACAAATCTGGTCCTTCTTCAATTTTATTTTATATCAGTTAATGGCATCTCTATTCATCCAGCAGCTCAGGCCAAAAACTTTATAGTCCCCTTTGATTCCTCTCCTTTCCTGGCCTCAACATCCAGTCCACTAACAAGTCCTCAGCTCTCTCCCAACAAAATCTAATCCAAATCTTGCCACTTTATCATCATCTCTACCCTTTCTCTTTAGCAACAGATGCCATCAACATCATCTGGTCTACTACAGTATCTTCCGCTCTGCCTCTTGTGACCCAGTCTCTTAGTGTAGCCAGAATGATCTTTCTATAAATTGGGTTGTACATTTCCCCCTGCTTAAGACCCGCTTAAGGCTTCCCTTTGCACAAAATATAAAATCCAAAGGCTTTAACATGGCCTACAAGGTCATACATGATCTAGCCTCTACTTTTCACCCTCATTTTTTACCATACCTTCCCTTAACTGTGCTGCAGCTATACCTGCCTTCTTATGCTTCCTTTATGACCTTGTTAATTGCAGTTATGTCTACCTGGAATATTCTTCCTGAGGGATAGGTATTTCCTTTTCCACATTCAAGTTTCTTGTCAAATAGCAAGTTCCCAGAGAGGCTATCCCTGACCAAAATTAACCCGCCCCCCTACTCCAAATGATTACATACCCTATTACTTTAGTTTGTCTTCTTCAAGCCACTTATTACAATTTGAAATTACATTATTTCTCATTTAACCTCTGTGCATCCAATAGCTTATAAGCTCTAAGTAGTGCTATCTGCATTTGTTATCCAATCCTTAAAACATTTCCTAGCATATTAGGTACTCATTAAATATTTACTAAACAAATAAATATAATGTTGGTTATATGATAAAACTAAATATATAGAATTTCCTTTTGCAATAAAATGTTCAGCATGGCATTTATTCACTTGTCAAGGGATGCCTGTAAATACCTTCATTCTTGAAAGATATACTCTCCCAAGGAATACAAAAAGAGGTCATTCCCCTTAAGACAGTTTTACACCCAGGAGTAAGTCAGAAGATACTTAACTGAAAGAAATATGTTTCTGAAAAGTAAGCAGTAATTATTCTGGAAATAATTATTGCCCAATAATGTCTTTTATTGCAAGAACTCCAATAGTGTCACTTTCTGTCTTCATTTACACTGATGAGAATCTTGTATAATCCAAAGATGGGTAGATAAAATGATCTTTAGATAGTTTAACAAATAAATTTAACACACTTTGAAATTTTTAGATGAAGTACAAATCACTTGTCAAAAGTACAATCTTATTTGTCAAAACATGAAAATGAAAAAAGAGAAGACACAGAAATAACAAGCTCAGAGCTGCCAAACTGACAGGCAGCCTTAAGTGAGATAGTCAAAACATACATATGCTAATTTTTAAAGTGCTGTCTATCTGGCCACCCATATGAAAACATGAGAAAGCTTTTTCTTCGTATTTCAAAAGTATATAAATGGGTCAGAGAGTGGACACTCTGATTACCACATTAAGCAAGAGAAATTAAGAGTATAAAGAATTTTCCATTTAAGTTCTGAGTGCACATATAAGAAAACTATTAACTGAATTTCATGGGAGGTAATTCAGAAGATCCAACCCCCACAACAATATTCATACCACCTATAACATCTAACAAAATCACTGGCAGTGTTCTGGGTATAGAACACAGTGCAAGAGATAACTTTCCATGTTAGCAGCTGAGGTTAGGTACATATCATAAATGGCAAAAATCACACTTCCAAAACACTACTGAAATTGAGTTAAAGATTTAAATAAAATGTACAGATATTATTTCTAATTATTTTCCTTCTTCATTTAATATAATAAAAGGTTTTCTTATTAACATTTCTCCTAAGCAGTCCTCCCTCTTGCAACACTACTGATTCTAAACAAAAGAGCATCATGGCCAGGTGTGGTGGCTCATGTCTGTAATCCCAGCACTTTGGGATGCCGAGGTGGGTGGATCACCTGAGGTCAGGAGTTCAAGACCAGCCTGGCCAACATAGTGAAATTCCATCTCCCTAAAAATACAAAAATTGGCCAGGCGTGGCCTGTGCATGTCTGTAATCCTAGCTACTTGGAAGGCTGAGGCAGGAGAATCACTTGAACCCAGGAGGCAGAGGCTGCAGTGAGACAAGATTGCACCACTGCACTCAAGCCTGGGTGACAAAGTGAGACTCTTTCCCAAAAAAAAAAAAAAAAATTAGCATTTCCTTGAAATGTTCCCTTCATTGGGTTGATGAATTTGCCATCATATCTACACTTACATCTCACCCACTTTCTAAGATGTGGAATTCAATCTAGTGATACAACTAACTTTTTGCTAAAATTTGCTTTGTAAAGAATGCTGGACCAAGTATTGTGGGTCATGCCTGTAATCCCAGCACTTTGGGAGGCTGAGGTGGGGGGATCACAAGGTCAGGAGTTGGAGACCAGCATGGCCAACAGAGTGAAACCCCATCTCTACTAAAAATACAATAAATTAGCTGGGTGTGGTGGTGGGCACCTGTAATCCCAGCTACTCAGGAGGCTGAGGCAGGAGAATCACTCGAACCTGGGAGGTGGAGGTTGCAGTGAGCCGAGATTGCACCACTACACTCCAGCCTGGGCGACAGTGCGAGACTCTGTCTCAGAAAAAAAAAAAAAAAATGCTGGTATTTCTAGATTTGGATTCTGATATTCCGCCACTAAAAAAAAAATGTGGCCATGTATAATCCGATCCCATTTATGTAAAATGTCCAGAATAGGAAAATCCATAAATACAGAAAGTAGATTAGTGGTCACTGGGGGATGGAGGCAATGAGGAGTGACTGTTAATGGATAAGAGGCTTCTTTTGGGGGGAGATGCAGATGTTCTAGAATTAGATAATGGTGATGGTTGCATAATTTTGTAAAAATACAAAAAAAGTGAATTGTAACTAAAATATACAAATATTATTCTTAATTATTATCCTTCTTCATTCAAAAGGGTGTATGTGGTCAGCTTTCCCCAATTCCTCCCCCAAAAAAGGTTAATGTATAATTCTGTCTACTTAAAACTTTTTCTCTCATAATTTTTTTTTTCTTTGAGACGAAGTCTCACTCTGACTCCGGTTTGGAGTGCAGTGGCATGATCTCGGCTCACTGCAACCTCCACCCCCAGGATTCAAGCGATTCTCCTGCCTCAGCCTCCTGAGTAGCTGGGATTACAGGCGCATGCCACCATGCCCAGCTAATTTTTGTATTTTTAGTAGAGACGGGGTTTCACGATGTTGGCCAGGATGGTCTCAATCTCTTGACCTCGTGATCCGCCCACCTCGGCCTCACAAAGTGCTGGGATTACAGGCATGTGCCACCGCACCCGGCCCATAAATTTTTAAAATATGTGTCACGAGCTACCACTTGTCTTCCATACTAGACAACAAAAATAAACAACTAGCAAACTAATGTCGGCATAAAAAGTTGAGAAAACAGTCTTAGTTGAATGGTTTATTTTATTTATGGGCATGTACTGATGCTATGAATTTATTATAAGTAAGACCACAGAATACATTTCTATAATTATCATTGTCTGTAGCTCATTTGTAAGACAAAATAAAATATGTCAGTATCTCACAGCACTCTATTCAGAACACCACGGCCCTTGCAGTGTCTTGTTTGGATACATTTGAGCCAATGAAATGGAACAAAGCTAATTAGGCCGAGTAAGATGAAACTAATCTTTTTCTTAATAACAGTATGTATTACACTAACCTAATATATCTCAGCTATGACCATGAACTGTTTAAAAAACATCAACAACCAGTGCATAACCCTTTTCTCAATATCCTCAACCCAGGCCAAAAAAGTAGGTGCAAAGGTTGTTTCATATAATCCTCAACGATTTTAGCACCACCACTACAAAGATAAAATTTTTAAAGTCTAATCTTAAAATACAATGACAATCCTATGTGTTAAAATCCGTTCCAACCTACAAGAAACCTAAAAAGAAAACCTCTGCTTTATGAAGCACGGTCATAGCTCATCGACAAGTAACAGTCACAACTTTTAGACTGTATCTGAAAATCCCAAACCCATGTTGTTTATATAGCAATTTCTAGCTTATCATAGTTATTTTTATGTATATGAAATTTAAAGTCTCACATAATAATCAAATCAAATAGTACCATACTGTTTTAATTATTGGTTTTTAAAATTATCCTTTATTGTGTGGTAGGATTAATCCCCTCTATCATTAGCTTTATTTTTTCAAAATAATCTTTCATATTTTTATCTATTCATTCTGCCACATAAATTTCAAATTAATCATGTCAACTTCCAAGAAAAATGTGATTTGATATTCTAATTAACATCGTATTGTCCAGAAATAGTCTTGGGCAGAATATATGTCCATTTATTCAATTCCCTTTTATAACTCTAAATGAAGTTTTGCCATTTTCATTATCTAAAATTATACGTGGTCTTTATTTAATTATTTTTAAGTAATTTTTGCATATTATAAATGTGTATCTTTTTTCCATTTTATTTTCTAACTTAGAACGCTAAGTGAAATGCTGCTTATTTTATGGAACTCTTATTTTTTCTAAAATCTCAGTCAACTTATTTGGATTTACTAGGTATAAAATATGTTTGCTGTGTTTTTACCTTAATTTGATATGAAAATCTGTTTTAAAGTTTGACTTCAAAAAGCTTAGAGTACAATCCAAAATAATAACACAATACATTTAAATGAATATGAGAGCAACATCTGAGGATTTCTACAGATACAAAAATAAAATAAAACAGATAAAGTAATAAATTCATCCAAACAGAAGTTCAAAACTTAAGAAAGTATATTTTACCTTGAAGGTAGTATGTACTTCATTTCAAATTTATATCTACAAACCACTCTGAAATGGGTCAATTTGAAAAATCCCAAATGTATCTAAGCCTACTTTTCAACAACTTCCTAGATAATCTCTCCTGAATTAAAGTTCTTAAACAAATCAGAATGTGGTAAAGACAAAAACATCTAAGATATGTTCCTGAATATGAGGCCTAATCTTTTTTAAAATTGGTTTCTGAAAGGTAATATAAAAATATTTACCAAAATAGGCTGGGCATGGTGGCTCACGCCTGTAATCCCAGCACTTTGGGAGGCCGAGGTGGGTGGATCACGAGGTCAGGAGATTGAGACCATCCTGGCTAACACGGTGAAACCCCATCTCTACTAAAAATACAAAAAATTAGCCGGGCGTGGTGGCGGGCGCCTGTAGTCCCAGCTACTCGGGAGGCTGAGACAGGAGAATGGCTTGAACCCGGGAGGCAGAGCTTTCAGTGAGCCAAGATCATGTCACTGCACTCCAGCCTGGGTGACAGAGCGAGACTCCATCTCAAAAAAAAAAAAAAAATTTACCAAAATAATAATACCAATATCAATGTGCTCTAGTTTTATCAGATCATGAATGCATCATGCATCCCAATAAAAGATTATTGAACATAACATCCAGAGCCCAAAATGTCTCCTAGCTGCAGGGGTGGGTGTGTGGACGTGTGTGTGTTGACAGAGGGGTAATGGTAGTATTAAGTGTTTGAGTTTGAGAGTTTTTCATTCCTACTCCAAAGATCCTAATCTCCTTTTTTTCTAAAAGAAAGCCTGGGCCAGGCATAGTGGCTCATGCCTGTAATCCCAGCACTTTGGGAGGCTGAGGCAGGTGGATCGCTTGAGCTCAGGAGTTCGAGACCAGCCTGGGAAACATGGTGAAACCCAGTCTCTACCCAACAAAATACAAAAAATTACCCAGGCATGGTGGTGCACACCTGTGGTTCCAGATACTCAGGATGCTGAAGTGGGAGGATCACTTGATCCCCAGAGGCAGAAGTTACTGTGAGCCAAGATGGCACGACTGCACTCCAGCCTGGGTGACAGAGTGAGACCCGGTTTCAAAGAAAAAAAAAATTAAAGAAAGAAAAAGAAGGCCTGAGGAAGGTGCATAGAAGCAGGCAGAAACTGCCTTGGTCTTCAACCCTTCAAAACAGAATCAAAGTGCCACCGACCCCCCTCCTTCAGGTCAAAGCCACCCACATCCCAAGACCAGTTCTTAATTTTCGCAGAAAGCATATATCAGCAGTCTGCTTTCTTTCTTGTTACTACTGTCACTCCACATTAACAATGCAGCTATCTTGCCTTTGTCCTCAGTCTTCTGGGCTGAGTCCTTACCCAAGTTTTTTTTATTCCTTGTCTCTGACTACCCAGAAATCGGAGTCAATGCCTGGCTCTTGCCTTCAAGAACACCTTGACAGCTGACCTAATATCTGGCTCTGATCTTTGGTATGTGCCTTGTCTCCTATTCTGGACTGTCCTCTGGTCTCAAACACTCCAGGGTTGGCTATAACTATCATTTCCAAGGTTGTGCTTTTAGGAAATGTTGGCTGTCCTGCGGAGAGAGAATGGGGAGCCAGGGAAACATATTCACTGAGAAAGTGCTAAATAAAAACAAATACGTATACACTTAAAAATAGTTAAGATGGTAAATTTTATTTTACGTGTATTTTACCACAATATAAAATTTTCGGGAAAAAAAATAATAGAAGTGAAACTCAGAGTCGACAGAACAGCTATTTGTCTATCTAGTTTTATCTAGGAGATACAACTAGGATTATCAGAACAAAAGTTGAATAAGCAAAAGAAGCCAGGTCAGACTCAAAGTATCTTAACATGAAGATTTTAATATCAGGATGTTTTGAGTCCAGAGATAAAGTCGTGGGTAAAGGTTGATTGTGGTGGGATGCTTTTTTTGTTTAACTAGTTTTGTAATTACAAAGTTAAAATATATTGTGGTAAAAATGCAAGGAGATAGAAGGATATAAAATAAAAATTAAAAGTCGTTCTTCCCATCACCACCAGTCCTACTCCTCTTTTTCATACACTCCCTAAACTTTTCTATGCATATACATTTTTTTCCAACTCACATGAGATAATACTTTATGTACAGACCTGCAACTTGCTTTTCTGCCCAAAAGAATATCTAGGACATCTCAGGAGCTATCTAATATGTATATATATATATGTATGTATGTATGTATGTACATACATATAATAGATGGATAGATGATTAATGGTAGATAGATAGATAGATAGATAGATAGATAGATAGATAGATAGATAGATAGATAGATAGACAGACAGACAGATAGATAGGCAGGCAGGCAGATTGAGATGGGGTCTCACTTTGTCACCCAGGCTGCAGTGCAGTGGTGCAAACAGGGCTCCCTACAGCCTTGACTTCCTGGGCTCAAGCAATACTCCTGCCTCAGCCTCCTGAGTGGCTGGGACCACAGGTGTGCATCACCACACCTGACTAATTTGTAAGTTTTTTTGTAGAGACGGGTTTCGCCATGTTGCCCAGGCTGGTCTCAAACTCCTGGGCTCATACTCTCCTCCGACCTTGGCTTATCAAAATGCTGAGATTACAGGCATAAGCCACCATACCTGGCCTCCTATGATTTTAAGTAGCTGTATAATCTACAAAATACAATAACTTAATTGACCCACTAGTAGGATCTGTTTATCTACGGTCTGCCTCTGAAAAAATATCTGGCATATGCCCATGCTTGTTCCTCATTGTGGCCTTCTTGCTTATGGTCATTATTTCATTTTCTATATAGTTACCTTCTATTTTTCTAAAACTTTGTTAAAGGCAGAATGTCTATTGTTTCATCTTTATATTCCCAGTGTGTGCAATGGTACATAGTAATACTAAATACTTGTTGAATGAATAACTATTGACCTACCCAAAGATAAATACCTAATAAGTGACAGAAATGCCATTATACCTCTCAGTCTAGCTCTCTCTTTCCATTAGACCGTATGGTCTTGTAGACTATCCTTAAAAACTGACCAACGTAACACCCTACCACATACAATATCAAACCCACAATTCTTTCTTCAGTTTTTTTTTTTTCTTTTGAGACGAAGTCTCACTCTGCCGCCCAGGCTGGAGTATAGTGGTGTGATCTTGGCTCACTGTAGCATCTGCCTCCTGGGTTCAGGCAATTCTCCTGCCTCAGCCTCCCAAGTAGCTGGGATTACGGACACCTACCACCAGGCCCAGCTAATTCTTAATAGAGGCAGAGTTTCACCATGTTGGCCAGGCTCGTCTCGAACTCCTGACCTCAAGTAATCTGCCCACCTTGGCCTCCCAAAGTGCTGGGATTACAGGCATGAGCCACTGTGCTAGGCCTTCCTAAGTTTTTTGTTCCTCCATGATCTGGCCTATCCTCTCTCACCAATCCTGTCCTCCTTGACTTCAAAATAAGGCCACCTTACTCCATACATTGTGCTCTCTTCTCTGTCTTTCCCACCAGTCATGCTAACCCCCACCCAGGTCATAACTTAGTCTGTTGCTCTATTCTGGAATTCCTTCCCTTCTCAGGTCCTTCCGTCCCAGTTACACCCATCATTCACCAACCAGCTTGTCTCAGAATCTTCTCTTCTCTAAACCCATGTCATAATTTTAGTATATATAGTCTGGTACTAGCTATTCTCTGATTGTTTCGTATTTGTTAGAATTTCCTCTCCTATTATCTTTTTAAGGTAGCAACTATATTTTAACAATAATAGCTACAATTTATTATGTGACTGTGATAGCTCATATTATTTGTTCAAAATATTCACTGCTTCTCTGTATCTAGCCCATTTAACCTCCCTTTGAGGTGAGTATACTTCCTGCTCCAGTGATGTCAGGCTTGGCCATGTGACTAGCTTTAGCCAATAGAATGTGAGTACAAGTGTTATATGCCACATCTGAACAGAATTTTAAGAGCCATAATGTGGTTCCATCATGCTTCTTTTCTCTCTGTCATGAGGCTGGGATCTCTCAGATAAGGGTGAGCCCAGTCTAGGTCCTAAAAGAAAGAAGTTGTGGAACAGGCCTACAATTGACCTACAGTCAATGTGAATAAGTAATGTGAGTGAGAACTAAACCTTTGTTCATTGAGATTTGGGGATTGTTACCCAGAATAATGTGAGCAAATAACTTTCATCCTGTTGCTGCTTTCCCCATCCCCACCTTTCCAACCTATACAATAATAATAATGACAACAACTGCAACCTAAGAAATTTCAAGAAGTTACTTAGGAAGTTCTATGGCTTTCCTTACCTCAAGTCAAAGTGGGACTAGGGGCTTCCAAGAAAATTAGTAATAAAAATTGAGAATACCTGTAGTAAGAGAAGATTGGCATCTCATTCCCCATTTGAATTATGAGACCAGCTGTTCTCAAATTTTAGCATGCAACAGAATCACCTAGATGGCTTATTAGAACACAGATCATTAGGTCCCACTGGGCCCAAAAATTTTACATGTCTAACAAATTTCCAGGTGATACTAATATTCCAGTCTAGAGACCAGGCTTTGAGAAATACTAGATTAGGCAATGAATATTTGATCTGCCATTATAACTTGAGAGAACTGGCAGAAAGAGGGACAACAGTACAATAGCTTAAATGCCCATAATTTGATACAGCAAAGATATGCAAATTTCCAAAACTTAGGCACCACAGATGGCTTGGGACATCTTCCTGGTATCCTACCCAAGATGACTGCCAGAAGGCAAGGGGATTCCACAGAAGGAGGCTTTTGGCTGTGCCACTTGATGCGGATGCTGAAAGAAGTTGAAAGAAACAGAGCTGGAACTTACTATCTCACATTAAGAAATTGCAATGGTAGCGTGATGCCTCCAGCTTTGTTCTTTTGGCTTAGGATTGACTTGGCAATGCAGGCTCTTTTTTGGTTCCATATGAATTTTAAAGTAGTTTTTTCCATTGGTGGGACTGTAAACTAGTTCAACCACTGTGGAAGACAGTGTGGCGATTCCTCAGGTATCTAGAGCTAGAAATACCATTTGACCCAGCCATTGCATTACTGGGTATATACCCAAAGGATTATAAATCATGCTACTATAATGGCACATGCACACATGTGTTTATTGCAGCACTACTCACAATAGCAAAGACTTGGAACCAATCCAAATGCCCAACAATGATAGACTGGATTAAGAAAATGTGGCATATATACACCATGGAATACTATGCAGCCATAAAAAAGGATGAGTCATGTCCTTTGTAGGGACATGGATGAAGCTGGAAACCATCATTCTCAGCAAACTATGGCAAGGACAAAAAACCAGACAACACATGTTCTCACTCATAGGTGGGTATTGAACAATGAGGACACTTGGACACAGGAAGGGGAACATCACACACCGGGGCCTGTTGTGGGGTAGGGGGAGGGGGAGGGATAGCATTGGGAGAT
Source organism: Homo sapiens (assembly GCF_000001405.40). NCBI lineage: Eukaryota > Metazoa > Chordata > Mammalia > Primates > Hominidae > Homo > Homo sapiens. Next base: position 28,463,799 of record NC_000022.11, read on the forward strand.
ATACCTAATGTAAATGACAAGTTAATGGGTGCAGCACACCAACATGGCACATGTATACATATGTAACAAACCTGCACGTTGTGCACATGTACCCTAGAACTTAAAGTATAATTAAAACTATATATATATTTAAAAAAATAAAAATTAAAATAAAAGAAATTGCAATGGGAAGCCACCTTAAAGGGTCCTCCAAAAAATTAATATACATGATCTCACGAGAGAACTATCATTTGGATACCTGCCAATGTCAACCCTTAAAAACTGCAACGACCAACAGTGAGTAAATTACAACAGCACCAGTAAGGTAAGAGACATTTAACCCTTTCCATCATCTTCCTTCACATACTAACACATTGGAAGAGCTAGAGACCCAGAAGAGATGGGGAGGAGACGTTTACAAAAAAGTTCCCTCCTAATGAAGTCTGGGCCACTGTCTCTGGAGAAAAGGGAAAGAAGGACTTTGAACTGGATGTGATACTGGAGTTTTAAATTTAACCAGAATTAATTTTTAATACCAAAAGTATGCAGACAGTTATGGAATCTGGAATCTTCCCAGAAACAGGGACTTGGCAAAGCATGGTTGAAGGAAGTGTTTGTAGGAAAATTAAGTCATGTATTTATATCCCCATAAGACTAGTGAGGAAGCATATGCATATTTACTGTATCAGTAGCTTCATTTTCCTGATTACCTGCATATCTTTTATGATTTCTTGATTTTTATTTTTCAATTTTCTTTAGGAAAGGTTTTTTCTATCTATGAAAAAGACTAAATTAAGTGGTGATAAAATTCTATCTGTCTTCACTTCCTCACTTTGGAAGGAAAAAAAATCTTAAGAGCTGAATCTTCTTTAGAACAGAACTTAAAATGAAATATCCTCTTTCTCGCTCAGTATCAGGACTTGTATTTTATCTCTACTTTTTCTACTATCTCTTAAGTTTTTCCCTCTGTTATCACTTCATTTTCAATACTGGAAAAGATGATACTTACCCCACTGTTAATGCTCCCAGAATTTTTACATCTATCTAACTGAACTGCAGCATTCTTCACTGCTTTAATGTCCTCTTCCAGAACAGAAGGAAGCAATACTCCTTGAAAGCCATTTATATTAAGCCAGATTTCAACTCACGAAAGAACTTGAAATGACCTGATATTGTGGTCTTTTACAGACTTCACACCAGATGCTTTCCATTTTTATAGACTCCCCCAAAACTTCACTTTCTTACTGGATTTCTGTACCTCTGTGTGTCCAGTGATCATATATAACAAGCAGAACTATAAAACATCATAGATTTACATTTTCTGGTTACTAACTTAGGTTTACAAACTGGTTTGTCTCATTTGGTAGAAAAATATTTTCTTCAGCTAGCTTCCTAAAACACAATCAGGATAAATTCTGCATATAGGCAAACAGCCAGAGTACAATAAGTTAGACCTAGATAAGGAGAAGAGAACCAGAAGTTCAATTTTAATTTTTAAAAAATCTGAATTCCAGAAACAGTCAATTTCCCAACTTTATAGGAGGCACAAAATTATGCCTTATCCTGGGCCGGGCACCGTGGCTCACTCCTGTAATCCTAGCACTTTGGGAGGCCGAGGCAGGCGGATCACAAGGTTAGGAGTTCGAAACCAGCCTGACCAACAAGGTGAAACCCCGTTTCTACTAAAAATACAAAAATTAGGCCGGCGTGGTGGTGTGTGCCTGTAATCCCAGCTACTCACGAGGCTGAAGCAGGAGAATCGCTTGAACCTAGGGAGTGGAAGTTGCAGTGAGCCTAGATGGTGCCACTGCACTCCAGCGTGGGCAACAAGAGCGAAACTCCGTCTCAAAAAAAAAAAATTATGCCTTATCCTGATTATATTAATCATAGTTAGATTTAGGTCCTAAATAATTCAAAGTAATAGTGGCTTAACATAAGGGAGACGTTTAATTTTCTCTGATATTAACAAAGACCAGACATCAGGAATCAAAGGTTGATATGCTATCTCAACTATCATCAAAGACCTGTTCCCCTATTCTCCTGCCCCATCTTCGACATATAACTTTCAATTACAGTCCAAGATAGCTGCTTAAGTACCAGCTGTCATATCCATATTCCAACCAGGAGGAAAGAGAAAGGAAGAAAGGCACATTCTTCCCTATAAAGATATGTCCAAGAAATTGCACTTGATACTTCTGCTTATATCCCACTGACCAGAATTTCATTTTATTCCTCTATACTAGCTGTAAAGTTGGAAAATGTAGCCTTTATTCTGTGTGGCCAAAGGTCTAGTTAATAACTACAGAGTTTATTGCTAAGGAAGAAACGGAAGTGATTATTGGGGGAACAGCTAGCAATTTCTGCCACAGTGATTATCACATTTTATTGTTTCTGAGCCCCAGGACTTAACTTGTTACCTCAGGCAAGTCAATTTACATTTTTCTCACAAAAGTCTCCCAATACTTCGCATGAAGAGCATCCACTAGAGAAATGCCAGAAAATACAGGATCATCCTGGGAATGCCAAGAAATTCTCAACATAGAGGCAGCAGTAAATTTACTAAGAATTTTAGGTAGCAGTTGAATAAAACAATGCTGAGTTGATGCTCTCTGTTTCCTCTTTCCCCTTGAGATCCTTCCTCTATATTGCAGGTACAGACAGCAAAAATTTCTATTACCTAGCATTAATACTATATAAGATATGGTATGCCAAACCAAAGTAATAAATCTAAAGAAATCACACAGAGTACCAAGAATGCGAAATGTGACTTGGCACTAAGACTAGCAAAGAGCAGCACAGTGTGTGATTAATCCTGCATGGCCACATTTACATCTCTAATTTGCTCATATAAATGCATTAAGCCAGATGGTTTTAGAGACTAGCACTCACATATACTCGTGGGTCAACACCCGCGTCTTATGTACTTTATGGGTGCCCAGGCTTGGGCAATACCCACCCTTCACCCTTCACTACTTTTCTAGCATAAGCCCCCTTATTTTTCTCCACTTCCCATAATCAGTATTCTCACATTATATACATACATACACACACACACACACACACACACACACACACACACCCCTATGCCAGTATCTGTTGTGACCTTGCTAAGTAATACATTAGGAGGATATGAGGAGGCAACTGTCACTTTAATTTAGAACACATTAAGAAGATAATTTTTTAAGTGGGCATTCTATTCTATTTGTGAAGAATTAGAACCCCCATCCAAAAATGGAGTCATATACTTTGTTAATATAAATCATGTTCCATCTACTAAAGAATAATCCACACTAATAACTGGAATTCTTGAAAATGTAATCAAATTCTAAACGAATGCTTTCATTTGTTAAATTTTAAAACTTACCAGGCATGGTGGCTCACATCTGTAATCCCAACACTTTGGGAGACCCAGGCAGGAGACTCACTTGAGCCCAGGAATTTGAGCCCAGCCTGGGCAACATAGTGAGACCCTGTCTCTACAAACAAAACAATAAAAATTAGCCAGGGTTGGTGGTGCACATCTGTGGTCCCAGCTATTCAGGAGGCTGAGGTGGGAGGATCACTTGGGCCCAGGAGGTCAGGGTTGCTGTGAGCTGTGATTGCACCACTGCACTCCAGCCTAGGTGACAAAATGAGACCCTGTCTCAAAAAAATACATATACTGATTTCTAATTATTACAATAATTCTATATTTATTGATTTGTTGGCATCTACCTCCAACCAGACACATCATGTGAGCCTATTCAGTGAGGCAGCTGTAGTAGCAATTTGTTTCTAGACTAACAATATATTGTTAAATATGGTCATTTTCTTCTATCTCAAGTGCTAGCAATTGACAGATTCTCAATTAGTCTTCACTATGGAATTGTAATATTAGGAATTGTACATGACAAGCAAATATAAAACTAAGACATGCCTCAGGCATTAGCAAACTTAGAATTTTTGTTATATCAGAAAAGTGAAACAAATCTGCAACACCTGAGAAGAGATTTTTTTTTCCTTGAGACAGAGTCTTACTCTGTTGCACAGGCTGAAGTGCAGTGGTACAAACATGGCTCACTGCAGCCTCTACCTCCGGGGCTCAAGAGATCCTCCCGTCTCAGCCTCCTGTGTAGCTGGGACCACAGGCGCATGCCACTGCGCCCGGCTAATTTTTTTCTTTTTTTTTTCTTTCGTAAAGACGGGTTCTCACTTTGCTGCCCGGGCTGGTCTCAAACTCCTGGGCTCAAGCGATCTGCCTGCCTCAGTCTCCCAAAGTGCTAGGATATTACAGGCAGGAGCCACTGTGCCTGGCCCATAAGAGATTTTTTTATTTCAGAGAAATAAGGTACAAAGTAAGAATGCTATGAAAATATGATCATAAGTTCAAAAAGAAAACATCCTCAAAGAATGTGAGCATGGTTTGGGGGCAATGAACACAATCCTCTCTGAGAAAAAGCTGAATGGATCCCTGCAGCACGTCTGCAGCTGATCTACAAATGCTGGGAGCAGTTATAGGAGGGGATCTTCAAGTTCACAATGCAACTAGAAGAGGCCCAGGTTTGCAATCCCAAGACCCACAGAATCTATTTATTTCAGTGACGACAAAAGCTACTTAAATCAACAATCTGAGGGGAAACAAACAGTAAAGATACACAAGAATCTCATTCTCTATGTCTCCTCTCCCCCATCTAAGCTCAGGTTATCATTTCTTTTCTTTCATCCTTCATTTCTTTCATACTTAAAAGAGTTCATCTCTCATAATGCTTTTTTTTTTTGAGACAGAGTCTCACTCTGTCGCCCAGGCTGGAGTGCAATGGCACACTGCAAGCTGTTGGCCCACTGCAAGCTGCAGCTCCCGGGTTCACGCCATTCTCCTGCCTCAGCCTCCAGAGTAGCTGGGACTACAGGTGCCCGCCAACTCGCCCGGCTAATTTTTTTTTTTTTTTTTTTTGTATTTTTAGTAGAGACGGGGTTTCATCCTGTTAGCCAGGATGGTCTCGATCTCCTGACCTCATGATCCACCCACCTCTGCCTCTCTAAGAGCTGCGATTACAGGCATGAGCCACCGCGCCTGGCCCATAATGCTATCTTGCGGGTTACAATTATAAGACTGGCTCTCATTTGGTTTTAAGAGCAAAGGGATGATAATCATTAAATGTCTAATACTAGTTGTTAGATTCACCCTGCCTGGTGCAACCAAAACACTCCAATTATTTTCAAGAACATGCATTTATTCTGCCTCTAATTATAGCTAAATTAGCAACGTTAATTACTCATCCTTTCTTCTCTAGGAACTGCACCTCCTCAACGACTGTGAAGTCTGAGGCCATGTTTGTCCTGCATGAGCCTTCCCCCTGGCCTATGAAACTTAACCAGGGTTGGACACTTGACCAAATTAGAGCTTCAGACTACCTCTTGTGGGAATCTGGAACTGATAATCAACCATCTTGTTAGTCCGAAGTATTCTCTTGTGAACCCAGGACCCAAGGCCATCATTGTTGGTAATATATGCTTGGCACCTGTATGCCAAAGCAGAGAAAGCTAGTCTTCAGAAAAAGGGAGAACCACGAAGAACTGCAGAAAGAAAAGTAGCAGTAAGAGACTATGGTAAACTAAATAACAGCCCCCGAAGATATCCAAGTCCTAATCTCTGGAATCTGTAATGCTAGTTTATATGGCAAGAGGTACTTTGCACATGTGATCAAATTAAGGATCAAAAAAATAAAAAAATGGGGAGAATATTATGGATTAGCCAGCTAAGCCCTAAATATAATCTTAAGTGACCTTATAAGAGGGAGGCAGAGGGAGATTTTACTACAGAAGAAGAAGGCAATGTGATAACTAAAACAAAATGCCATACTGCTTTGAAGATGAAGAAAGAGAATATGAATAAAGGCAGGCAAGAAATACAGCTCTATATAATGGAAAAGGCAAGGAAACACATTCTCTCCTAGAGCCTCCAGAGGGAACACAGCCCTGGCAAGATACCTTGATCTGAGCCTAGTGAAATTAATTTCAGACTTTTGAGCTTCCAGAACTTTTAATTTCTAATTTTTTATTTCATTTATTATTTTATTTACTTATTTATTTTTGGAGACAGGGTCTCACTCTGCTGCCCAGGCTGGAGTGCAGTGGTGTGATCACAGTTCACTATGCACCTTGAACTCCTGAGCTCAAGTGATCCTCTTGCCTCAACTTCCACAGTAGCTGAGACTATAGGCATGTACCACCACATCCAGTTAATTTTTTTCTTTTCCTCTTTTTCTTACAGATGGGGTCTTGCTATGTTGCCCAAGCTAGTCTCAAACTCCTGGGCCTCAAGTGATCCTCCTGCCTCGACCTCTCAAAGCACTGGGATTACAGGCATAAGCCACCACACTCAGCCTAGAATTTTAGAAGAATAAATCTAAATTGTTTAAGCCATTAACTATGTGGTAATTTATTACAGTGGCAACAGGAAACTAATATAGAGACAATGTGGCCTTAAACGCAGAGACTAAGAGGTGGCTGGCTGGGTTCCTAACTACTTTCTATTTCATTCTTTCACGTTTTCATGCAGCTTAGCCTGAACATCTTGCTATTGGGTTCCATGAGATACCAGTGTTTCATGACAATAAATTCAACATTTTGCTTAAGCCCACCAGAGTCTTAGCTAAGATATAAGCAAGCCCAAGAAGAAGCTATGCAATGTAATTTGAAAAGAATCATAACTCACAGTCTCCAAAAAAAAATGCATCTGCCTCCAAGGTCTAAAACAGTGCCCCAAATTTCTACCATAGGAGTCACCCTTGTAGCTTTAGGTATTGTATGTAGAATGCCCTGTCTTAAAGTGTAACTTTATTTTTATCCAATAATAGAATTCTCTAATATAACTGCATAAACTGAATCAGCATGCGTTTTTTGACAAAATAATGTAAGAAAAACTTACATTTTGCCCTAAAGAATTGGAGTCCAAGAAAAGTACGTTTGTAAGAAGGAAGTTACAAGAAACTGGAACGTAAAACAGCCGTCTGAGAAGGCAAAAATCAGTAAGGCAATAATATAGAAAAAGGAGGTTTTAGCAGGTGAAGAACAACACAAGAGAAGTGAGTACTAAGAGAAGGTTAGACTCGAAATGTGGAGATGACTCGAAATGTGGAGATGACAAGCACAGATTTTCTCCACATTTCAGCCGAAGGCCTACAGATTTAGAGGATCAACAGAGAAGCCAAAATATGCTTCACAAATCAAACCTATCTTAGACGCTCAGTACAAAAACTATACTCTACCAACATGAATCCCAGACCTTAACAGAATGAGGAAAGCAGTCCATTTTCAACAATGAAAAATGAGCAGGTTCACCAATACTTTCATCTTTCAACGCTTGGAAAATTGTACTTTTGTGAATAATTATTAAAAGTCTACCAGTCTTTAGTTTTCATAACAGTATGCAGAACAACTCTTTTCCAAAAAACCATTATCCTTCCATGTAGTACCTTTATGGAATAGGTCATTAGGTGCTGGAACTCTTTGTACCTCAATCTTCAATTCACATCAAAAGGCAAAATGTCATTAAAAACTTTGATTAGCGATGCAGAAAAGCAAAATCCCAGTATAATAAAAACCTAATCCAGGTTGAAATGTTACAGCTAAAATCATCAGAAATAAAGATATAATTTCCTAGAACAGTCTCTGTGACAAAAGACCTAGGAGGGAAAAATGCATGTTTAACATAAACTAGGAAGAGCTTGTATTATTTGGTGAAGAAAATGCAGAGTGTCCTGAACAATAAATAACTAAAGTATCATTTATCACTTGGAAACAACAGGGAGCATGAAAGGGCACAACAAGGGAGCAATCACTCAAACAGGATTACTCATGAACTCCAAATGCTCGTCACTAATTACAAATTATCCCATAATACTCTGAAATGATCAAATAGGTTAATATATGATTTGAATTAATCTTCCTAGGTTTAAGATTTTCCTCTAATCCACTGAACCTTAGAAGCAGTGGAGTGTGATTTCTGTATAACAAGAGAAAGAACACTAGGAACATTAACATAATATTCCAATCTTTTGCCAGGCCAGTATCAGATACAGCTCTTTTGCGAGGGTAAAAACTTAATGCTTCATGTTCTGACCTTTATTAGGATATATCTCTTAAAGAAAGGTCTATTCAAAGCCAGAGAATATCTTTGAGTCTCTGGAGTGCAGTGACTGTGCTCAAAGCATCTTTGAATCTTCAACATTTAATAAATGATGTATGATTGATTGATAAATGAATGATACAATATCACAAACCTTTCTTCAAAGATTCTGCCTTTCCTGAATAGCTAATAAAAGCCCCTCAATAAGATACCATACACTAATCAAACTAAGAAACACAAAAGAGCATCTATTTGTATCTATCATTCTATTAATTTACATCAAACATTATATCTATCTATCACGTTTCAATTCTCCGCCTTGTATGAGTTTCTTCTTGATTTCCCTATCACTCTTCTTTTTAAAAATACATTGACATTTCTTTAGTTAAATGGTTGCTATTATCTTTATAAAGCATAATGGTAAAGACTGACTTGTGTAACCATTCTTTAGCAGTGGGAGTTATGAACCTTAAGCGGTGAAGAAATCATTCTTGGGGAGATAGGAGGCAAAACGGACAGGATAGAAGAACTGCACTTGATGACTTGTCCTGGGTGGTATTAATAGTTTCATAGACATTTGCTTACTAATAGATTATTGAATTATACATTTTGTTTTGTATACCTTCATGTTTCTAGATTAATTTTTGACAAAAAGAAAATGTGTATGTGTGTGTGTGTGTGTGTGTGTGTGTGTGTGTGTGTGTGTATCCTCAAATATATAAAGAATGAAACTGCAACCGTAAAATAAGAACAGGTTACTTTTAAATTCGAAGACCAGTTCAGGCAAGTTATATCTGCATAACAAACATTCCTAAAAAAGGGAACAGAGAAAACAGGGAGGAAATGATCAAAGAAATAATTCCAAAAAATTCCCAAAGGACACTGTTTTCTAGATAGAAAAGGCCCACCAAGTGACCAATACCATGAATGAACACACACTCACATCAAGCCATAGTAACAAGAAGTTTCAGAACACTGAAAATCTTACAAGCTTCTAACAAAAGATTTAATATCAGATTTAATATCAGAATGGAGAAAGAAAGGATTTGGAATTAGAATGGCTTTAGACTTCTCAATAGGAACACTCTATTTAAGCTAGTTTAGGCTTCTTGTTCCTTCCTAAGGTAAGCAAAAGAGCCTCAGCTAAAACACTATTAATCTCATTGTATTTGGAAAATGCATAATCCAAAAAAATAAAAAGAGAAGGTGGCTCATAATTATTCTTATAAACACGAGGATTTCTTTACACTATAATGAAATAAAAATGAAAAAGGTATGAAAGCTGAAAATAATAAAGTCAACTAACTTAGTAACTGTCAAAAATATTCTTATTATAGGCTGAATTAATATGTTGAGGTCCTAATCCTCAGTACCTCAGAATGTAACTGTATTTGGATATAATGCCTTTAAAGAGAATTAATTTTGTAAAATGAGGTCATATTGAGATAGGAAGTAGGACTCAACTCTGGAGGTGGGGCTTGAATTCGGGACCAGATTGAGGACTAGCTAAAACAGGGAAGAGGCAAAAACACCTCTCCATAAGACACGCCCAATGGCCAGTTTACTATTGCCATGGCAATAACTGGAAGTTACCACCCCTTTCCATGGCAACTACCTAGAAGTTGCCACCTATTTTCTAGAAATTTCTGAATAACCCACCCCTTGATTTGCATATAATTAAAAGTGGGTCTAAATATGACTGCAGGACTGCCACTGAGCTGCTACTTGGGAAACACTGCCTATGGGGTACCTCTGCTGCTGCTGTACACTGCCACTTTCAATAAAAGCTGCTAACACCACTGCATGCCCTTGAATTCTTTCTTGGGCAAAGCCAAGAACCCTCCTGGGCTAAGCCCCACTTTGGGGGCTCACCTGCCCTGCATCAATATGAGTGAGCCCTAATCTAATATGATTGTTGTCTTTATAAGAAGAAGAGATTAGGGCACAGACATACCTGGAGGAAAGACAATGTGAAAGAAGCAGACCATCTAAAAGCCAAAGAGAGAAGCCTCAAAAGAAATCAACCCTCCTGACACCATGTCCTGGTCTCCTATCTTCCAGAACTATGATAAAAGAAAATTTTTTGTTGTTTAAGCTATCCAGTTTGTGGTACTTTGTTACAGGAGCCTTAGCAAACTAATACAATTCTATTAATACCCTGCTAAAATAATTACTACCAGTTAAACATGACAGATTAAACACGAATTTAGATCTTCTCTCTTCCAAAATCCCACTAAAATGACATTTTAAAAATGTTATAAACTCACAAGGAAAAAAAGATCAGGAGAAGAGGCAAAGACAGCAAAGTTTTAAAAGCTAGAAAGCAGATGAACAAGTGGTAACTGACTTAGCAGAACCAAAGAACTGACTTGGCAGAAGCAAAACTTAAGCCAGTAAGGAAAGCTGAGAAGCAAACCAATGTATTTATATGTATATCAGAATCCCTATAAGGCTCAGAAAGTAGAAGTACCATGTACCTCTGGAACCTGAGATGAAGACAAGGCTAAAAACTGGAAGAGAGGTTCAAAGTCTGTTTAAGAAGCAGTTACACTCCCAGAAGACTCCTCCCTCTTATTGCAAAGCCTGAAGAGAGGAAAACAAAGTTCTCTGGGCTGGGAGATACCAGGTGTGGTTAGAGGGTTCCATAATGAAAAACATGTAGATGAATTAAAGGCTTACATGTTTGGCCCTCAGAACACTGACATCAAGCCAAACATGTACCCTCAGGCAGAAAAGTAGAAGAGTTGGTGCTGCAAACTGACTACATCTAAGGTAGAACAAAAGACTCAAAAGGATTCTATTAGGCATTCTCTAAGTATATAGCGCAGCCAGATCACCATGTGATAAATAGCATAGTCAATTGGCCCTGCCCTTGCTCAGAGAGCTTGCATTAAGTTTTATTGTACCTCACTCTTGAATAGAAGCAGAAAAGTAAGAATGACAGATGTTTTCTGGAAAATATCTAATATAAAAGGCAGGCACCAAAGCAAACAAAAAAAAGTAATTTGGGGAAAATAGAGAATATGCACATATATGAGAATTTCAAAAAGCTAATCATTAATATCCTCAAGGATAATAAGAGAATCATGTTTGAATGAAAAAGGAACAGGCTTTACTAAAAAAGAACATTAAGAAAACAAAAGTCCTAGCTACTCGGGAGGCTGAGGTGGGAGAATGGCGTGAACCCAGGAGGCAGAGCTTGCAGTGAGCCAAGATTGTGCCACTGCACTCCAGCCTGGGTGACAGAGCGAGACTCCATCTCAAAAAAAAAAAAAAAAAAAAAAAGAAAGAAAAGAAAAGAAAGAAAGATTAATAAAAACAAGTAAGATAATTATTTAGCTGTTTATTCCAGTTCAGGGCTGCGGGTGGCCAGAGGCTATCCCAGCAGCTAAGGTCACAAGGCAGGAAACCACCCTGGACAGGATGCCCTCCCATGGCAGGGCACACTCACACCCACACTCATACTGGGACCATTTTGACACACCAATTAAACTAATGTACACATCTCTGGAAATGGAAGGAAATCTGAGTACCTGGAGAAAACCCACACCGACATGGGGAAAGCGTGCAAACTCTACCCAGTGGGCCCTGCCAGGAATCCATTTTTTTCCCTCATCAACTTTGTAACCAAACAACATTGGAGCAAACGATGTTACTCAAGGATGCACTTTACTGCTCTTCCTGGTTGACTCTTGTGTATGTGAAGAGTCAGGCTTAGTTAATCAATCCATCAGTAAAGATGTATTCTTATTTATATTCCAAGTAATAACATAAATCTTGTAATTAAGGCAATGCCAATCAGATACTGAATAAATGACAAATTAAATGCTATAAATGTACTTTAAGTAAATTATTTCCAAGTTTATAAATGCCACAGTAGTCATTAATGGGAATTTGGACCTACACGCTGAAGTATGAATGGGAAATCACTAACCCAAAAACCATAGTGTACAGGATGGGTTGCCAAGCCCATCCACTCTCGTAAAATACAGTGTTCCTTTCCAAGGAAAAAGCTTACACTAGTTTTTTTCCTACAATAATTGCAAAAATTTCTGCTTTGAATGAAATTAGTCCCTCTTTTGCCTCATTTTGTCTCCATTGTTCTACACAAAAGCCAGAGTAGCTTTTTAAACAGTATAATCTTTTAAAATATAATACTTGACATACCAAGAGACACATTGAAGGTTATATTAAGTTATAAAGCAATCCAAGACCAGGACATTACCAATAACTTGTTTCTACCTCCCCCATGCCATCTACCTGCCTCCTGCCTGAGAAAATATTATTCTTAATGCTGTATGTATCATCTCCTTGCCTTTTTTGACATAGTTTTATCACATTATGCCTGAATAAAATATTATTTAGTTTTGCTTGTTTATTAACTTTATCAATGATGCATGTAATTATAGTTCATTCATTTTCCCCTTATGTATAACGTTGTGTAATATGTGATATGCACTGTTTATTCTTTATCTTGTCAATGGACAACTGGGTATTTTCCAGTTTTGTTCCTATTACAAAGTGTTGCTTTCAAAATTCTAAAACATAGCTCCTAGTGCACTTGTATAAGAATTTTCCTATCTAGGAGTCAAATTGCTGGTTTATAAAGTTAAAAGTTCAACTTTTAAAATATTGCCAAACTATTCTTAAAATCAGTTATTCCAATGTATGTTGCCACTAGCAAGATATGACGGTTCCTAGTCATCCCCCACAAAACTGTTAAATGGCATTTCTATAAATCTACTAGGTGGATATAGTATCTCACTATGGTCTTAATTTGCATTTCCTTGACTAGTAATGAGGTAGTACAATTTTGAAATAGAGTTTGACAGGTTCTTATAAAATTGAAATACACTAAGCCATATGACCCTGCAATTACACTCTTAAGTATTTGCTCAAGAAAAATGAATATATGTTTAAAAACAGACTTGTATATGAATGTTCATAACAACTTTATTCATAATAGTAAAAAAAATGGAAACAATTCAAATGACCATCAACAGGTGAATAGTAGTAAAGTCAAACAATTACATAGTATGCAGCAATAAAAATAAATGAATTGCTAGTAGCAGAAATAACATGGTGAATTGTACAGACATTACGTTGAATGAAAGGAGCCAGGAACAAAAGAATATATTCATATAATTCCACTATATAAAGTTCTGGAACAGGCATAACTAATTTATATTTGTAGCTGTACAACTCCCCATCAAAATCAGATCAGTGGGGAGGAGCAGCTGACTACAAAGGGACATGAAGGCACTTTATAAGGTGATGAAATGTTCAACATCTTACTGAAGTAGTGGTTACATGAGTATACACATTTCTCAAAACTCATCTGTGTATTTTACTACATGTAAACATAATTCAGATTTATCAAAAACAAAACAAAACAGAAATCAGACCATGTCATTCCTGAGCTCCAAACCCAGCATGACTTCCCAACTGCTCTTAGAATAAAACCCAAACTCCTTCCCATGATCCATAAGACATTGAATGAATTAGCCTATACCCTCCAAATTTCACTTATCACTCTATCCCTCATTAACACATTCCAGCCACATTGGCCTTCTCAATGTTTGTTAGAAATGTCAAATTCTCTTTTAAAAAAAATAAAATACAAGGAAAAAAAGACATGAGGGCGGAATCTAGAGAAAACAACTAATCACAATGTGTGGAGTTTATTTGGATTCTGATTCAAAACAAGATGGAAAAGAAAATCATTTACATCATTTGTGGTAGATAGATTGCATTAACAGATCCAATGAGTGGCCTTCCTGAATTCACCCAGCTTTCCAGCATCTTTGTAGTCACCTCCCACTCTGACTTACTTTGACCAATGGGATGTCAGCAAAGGTAAGGCAAGCAGAGGCTTGAAAATCACTCATTCTTTCCCACCTGCCCTCTCGTACAACTGGTCTTTGTTCTTTCCCTTCTGGCTTCACCATGAAAACATGCCCAACACTGCCTGCTTAAGGAAAAGACATGTGGGACAAAATCAAGTCAGTCCAATTGAAGCCCAAGATGCAGGAGACAGACAAACCAAGATTAATAAAAAGCATCTAATCCAGCTGCAGGACTCACATTAGTGAGTCCCTCCAAGCTCTGCTTACAGCAACTGGACCACCCAGCTGACCCCTAGACTTCATGATTATTCTTGTATACCTCTCAAGTTTTGTGGATGTTTGCTAAGCTGTGTAATTGCGACAACAGACAACATAAAGCACTTATGAGACAAGTGGAAGTTTAAACATACACTAGACATTTGGTGATATTAAAGAACCATTGTTGATTCTTTTCTAGCTGTAGTAATGGTAGTCATATTTTTTAAAAGTCCTGTCCAGGTGCGGTGGCTCAAGCCTGTAATCCCAGCACTTTGGAAGGCCGAGGCAAGCGGATCACCTGAGGTCAGGTGATCAAGACCAGCCTGGCCAACACGGCGAAACCCCACCTCTACTAAAAAATACAAAAATTAGCCAGGCATGGTGGCATGTGCCTGTAATACCAGCTACTCGGGAGGCTGAGGAAGGAGAATCACTTGAACCTGGGAAGTGGAGGTTGCAGTGAGCCGAGATCGCACCACTGCACTCTAGCCTGGGCAACAGAGTGAGACTCTGTCTCAAAATCAAATCAAATAAAATAGTCCTTATCTTTTAGACATGCATGTTGAAATATTTTTAGATAAAATACTATGTCTACAAAATAACATGATGCCAAAATAGTATGTGGGTGGGATGGGGTGGGAAGGTTCATCAATGAAACAAGATAGGCTATGAGTTGCTAATTGTTAAAACTGGTGGTGATGAGCATATATGTTTGAAAATTTCCATAATACAAAGTTTCAAAAAAAATCCAATCCATCCAACCTCAGGGCCTTTGCATGTGCTACTACTCCCTCTGCCTTAGCTCACTGAGGTCTCAGTTAAAATATTACTTTCTCAGACAGAACTTTAACCACCTTATCTAAAACAGACTCTCTCCCCAAGTCACTCTTCTACCACATCACCCTCATTTATTGTCTTCTCAGGACTTAGCACTATCTAAAATCACCTTGTTCATTTGTTTATGTTCTGTCTCACCACCACAATAATGCCAACTTATAAACTCCATTTGAGCAGGGGCCTATCTTGCTCACTTCTGACTTCCCAGCATCTAGCACACATCTGGCTCATTGTACGTGTTCAAAGAACAAAAAAAAAATCAAGCCACAGCTGACCGGACCAAGTTTCAAATGCACAAGTGAAAGCAATGTAGATTGGTTAAATACAAGGGGAAAAAACACCTCTGAGATGTCTTCACAGAACAACAATTAAAAGAGGTACTCAATGCAGAGTAGCAAGCTAACCCAATCAAATTCTTTCTTGAAAATACATACACAGCAGGTGGAAGGAGGGGGCCACTTTGGATTGTTAACTATAAACAAGTTGGTTTATCTATAACAACTACCATCTTTCCAATGTTTGCATCAGAAATGACTACAAACCCGTTATGGTGACTTCCAGTACTCTGCACATATATCCTCACAACTAACTCTCAAACCAAAAATAGTAAGTATGTCTTTTCCTTGGGATTATAAAAATCCATCTAATCACAGAGGATGACAAATCTGAACCTTAATATGATTTTACACTAGTGACTGCTGTTGCATGTAACAGAATTTCCATTCTTGTAGATGCTCTGATTCCTCTATTTGGAATGAAATCTCTAGTTATTAGAGCTGATTAATCATAATTAATTAATAAACATTTTCACGGGGCAGTAGATAACAGGTGACAATCAGAATCTCAAAGCTTACATGAGCATAAGTATATATTCACTGATACTAACCTCAAAATAATCTTCCTTGTTCTCTCTTCCCATTCTCCCCTACCCCTAACTCCACACCCTAGTCTCTTCATCTTTGCCATTCTACCATGAATTCTCAATTTATCTCTCCTTTCCCTGTTTTCTGTTCCACCACACTTATTCCAATCCTTGTCATATCTGCTCATTCTTCCCTTCCCCTGCAAGCCTCCATTAAAATGAAACTGATTCATATTTTTAAAACATTTATTGAATAATATAAGAAATGAAAAATAAAACTATAAAGAGATACCATTTTTACCCATCAGACTGAGCATCTCCTTGCTGAGGGAGAGAAAAAGGCAAGCAGCAAGCTCCTATCACAGAAGATGAGGCAAAGCCAAATGGGGGTTATCAACATGCAGATTTTACAAGTCTCCAGATGTGAACTGTCAGTCACAATGATTACCACAGCAATCCCACAATGGCTATATAAGAGAAACAAGAGTGCTCCTACAAGCATTCATTCTAAAAGCATTTGTTTAATGAGAGTTGGGGAAATTTTTGCAAACATATCCAACATTTCTCTTTCTCTTGTTTTTCAGACACTTGTTTCTCATGTAACTAAGCTATACATAGATCCTAAGGTTCCATGCCAACTATCTTGCCATAAAACTAAAATTTTACACTTGTGACCTCATCACCAACTTCTTGGCGCTAATCTCAGGTCACAAACTCTACAGAAAGGCTCAGGAAAATAAACTCAGTAGGAATCCTGAAATGTTCAGAAAATTAATTAGTATTTGGCATGCTGTTTTTAAAAAAAGCCTTTCGTTCTAATTCTGTCAAAAGCAGTCTGGCACATTTCTCTAGCGCACTAACAATCTGATGATTGAAATCAATGTTTTATTTACATCCCTTCTACAGCTTTTCAGTGTTTCATTTGCATACATATGTAAGAACCAAGTCAAAAGCTGAGGTTCCAGAAGCTCAAGGAGGAAAGGGCATTTCATTAGCAGGCTAATTCTTTCTAAGACTGTTTCCTATCAAATGAAACAACAGTGAGAATGGGTAGAAAGAAAAGCAAACCAAGAAGGAAAAAAATACAGAAAAAAAATACACTTTACTGTGTAAAGTGTTCACAGCTGATAAAAGAGAAGGTAATTTGTGTATTTTCTATTTTCAAAATCATTAATTTCAAAGAATAATCACCTCTGACTGTATGTGAGGCCCTATTTTTAAGGGGTTTATTATACCAGATAGGTTGATCATCCTCATTTTATAAATGAATAAACTGATGATTATCAAGGTTAAATGACTCCCTGAAGGTCACACAGCCAGCAAATAGCAGAGATGGGATGCAAGTTCAAGTCTAATTCCATAACCCCATGCCTTAACTACTATGCTATTCTGTTATTCTATTCTTTGTGATATATTGCATTACATATTTAAAGTCAACTCAACATAAAATCAAGCTATTTCAAGACAGATACTTTTAAAAGAATGAAATGTTTCTTTTTGAACTTTTATTCCTGTCATTTATATGACAGAAGACATACCACAGAAATTTTGGTTGTTCATTATTAATTTACACAGAAAAGCAGTTACAATCTACATTTCAGAGTAACACTGGGCTTACTGTTAGATATTTCCCCATTTTCAGAGATGCCTATAATACGGAAACCATTGCTAATAATTAATCATATGGGGATATAAACTGAAAAGAGAATATGAGTAAAACTCAAAAGTTGTGTTTTTTTAAACAATGACTCTGTGTTCTTTGTAGAACATACATAAAAGGATATACTTTAGTATGGAAAACACCAAGTCTGGATACTTGGTTATAATTTACAATAGTCTAAATTTTTCTAGATTCTGATTAACAAAATGCAGAAAGTCTTCATATGACAATCATTGTAAAGCCCAACAAAGTTACAGAATGAGATTAGGTAAATAGATGAGAATTAGAAATTTGTTCTATTATGAAGTACAAGCTTTTCTGCTTGATGAGGTAAATGAATAAATTCAAATGTTGAGATAGGATTTGGATTAATTTCGTGGTATTGTTCTCCTCCTTCATTCCTCTAGGAAGAAAGATCATGTCACTCAACAGCAATACTTCCAGCCAATTAAATGTTGGTTTTGTGCTGCAATGCTTCCACACCACCCCCAAGCTGGAAGGATTTCAGCTGTGATGTAGGATCCACAATAAGGGTAAAGTAAGGAAAAGTAGGTAAAATGAGCTCTGTCATACAGTCAGTCAGCCCCATGGGAAGGAAGCAGCCAAAGGATTAGCATTTCTGAACTTGACAAGTGAATTTCACATGCACACAGACTCCATATGCATCAGCTATCTTATTCTGCTCTGTCCCTCATATTACATCAGGTTTTAGCAACTATTTCTAAGTGTGTTCCGTGTCAATCAAATATTTTTCTTCTCCCATATGAATCAACTAGCGCAGCAGATACTCTAGTCTAATCATTGCTTGTTCCCACTCCTCCATTTTGCTTAGCTAGTAGAGATAGTAATGGGCAGTCTTTTTTTTTTTTTTTTTTTTTTTTTTGAGACGGAGTCTCTCTCTCCCAGTGTGGAGTGCAGTGGCGCGATCTCGGCTCACTGCAAGCTCCGCCTCCCGGGTTCACGCCATTCTCCTGCCTCAGCCTCCCGAGTAGCTGGGACTGCAGGCGCCCTACACGCCCAGGTAATTTTTTGTATTTTTAGTAGAGACAGGGTTTCCCCGTGTTAGCCAGGATGGTCTCGATCTCCTGACCTCGTGATCCACCCGCCTTGGCTTCCCAAAGTGCTAAGATTACAGGCATGAGCCACCGCGCCCGGCCAGTAATGGGCAGTCAAACTGATCACACTCCTTAATCAAGCATTTTAAAAAATAATTTATTGAAGTAAAACTCATATAACATAACATCAGCCATTTTAAAGTGAACAACTGAATGGCAGTTAGTACACTGTGCAATGCTGTGCAACAACCACCTCTATCTAGTTCCAAAACACTTCCATCCATAAAGTAAAATCCCATACTCATTAAGCAGCTTCTTCCTATTCTCCCCTCTCCCTTTGTTCCTGGAAACCACCAATTCACATTATGTCTCTATGGATTTATCTATTCTGAACATTTCATATCAATGAAATCATACAATATGTGACCTTTTGTGTCTGGCTTCTTTCACTTAGCAAGATGTTTTTGAGGCTCATTCATGTTACAGCATGAATCAGAACTTCATTCCTTTTTATGGCTGAAAATTTTTCATTATAGGTATATACCACAATTTGTTTATTCATCCATTGATGGATATTTGGGCTGTTTCTACCTATTACCTGTTGTGAATAGTGTTACTATGCTATATATTTGTTTGAATAGTGTTCAATTCTTCTGTATATCTAAGAGTGAAATTGTAAGGTCATATGGTAATTCTATGTTTAACTTTTTGAGGAATGGCCGAGCTGTTTTCCACAGTCAAGCAAGCATTTCTGAGCACCAGACATGTATTAGATAAAGTCTCTGCTCTCATGAAGTTTACATTCTAATGAGAAAAAATAAACAAGTAAATCATTAATTATATTATATATTTAAGCATACAGACATGTAAGTGTCATGTCAGATGGCAGTAAGTACTATGAAAAGAAAAGCAGAGTAGGGTACAGGGAGCAATGAGAAGACACTATTTTATATAGGGTGGTCAGGAAAGGCCTCTCTGAAACATGAACAGTATGAAATTAGATAATTAAATACTGATACTGACTCAACAGTCAGTGAAACTTTTTTTTAATGAAACATTATTTCTTTCATGACATTTTCCAAAGCACTTTCATCTTTCTGATTTGAATAATGTTCCCTTTGTGACATTTTTCTGAATGTTAATTCAGACTGGTAACTTTACATAAAGATCCTTGCTATTTATTTTGTACAACATAAAATAAAACCCATCTGATGAATTTTCTTGATCACCAGTATACTCTGTGGCAACCCACCTACTTTTCTAATATGATTACAGTTAGAGGTAATCATCAAATAAAATCTTGTGGAATGTCAGGACTCTATAAATCTCAAACCTTCAATTTCCCAAAAGAACGTAACCAGCAAATCATAAATAGCTCAAAGTATTAAACCCCACATGGGTGGCAAATACACTAGACTAAGGGTTAAGAATCCCAGTTCTAGTTCCTGCTTTACCACCTTGGGCAAGTCAGTTACTTCCTCTGGATCTCAAAGTTTGGCTTTACATACAAAAGTAATATGAGTATATACTGCTTTAAAACAGAATTGTTAAGTAGGTAAGAGGGTTGCATTTTTTCATAATTTATAATTCGACTCCGTAAAGATTGATAAAAATAGCTTTTCGTCTTGCTCTCTGAAGGCTCTGCTACAGTCATCTCCTATCACCCCCAAAGTTTTTTTTATTTTTTTATTTTGGGGGTTTGTTTATTTTGTTTTTGTTTTGTTTTGTTTTGTTTTAGATAGGGCCTGGCTCTCTGCCACCCAGGCTGAATGCCGTGGTGCAGCCGTGATCTCTCAGGCTTAAGTGATCTTGCCACCTCAGCCTCCCCAGTAGCTGGGACTACAGGCACATGCTACCATGCCAGGCTAATTTTTAAGATTATTTTTTATACGGATGGGGTCTCACTATGTTGCCCAGGCTGGTCTCGAACTCCTGTACTCAAGGCATCCTCCCACCCTGGCCTCCCAAAGCACTGGGATTACAGGCATGAGCCACCGCACCCAGCCCCCAAAGTTTTATTAAAAGCTTTATGACTCCATCACTTCAGAATGTCAAATTTATTTGTACAAACAGGCAAACCCCATATTTGTCATTTTTAATATTTAGAGCTCTTCTGATCCCTCCCTGGAAGCCTCTGGGGTAGACAACCTCAACAAAACATCCTATGTACTCATCATACCGTAAGTACGCCTCTATAATTAGTCTCATTCCCTGCTCCTCAGATCCTCTACCAAAGATCTCTCCCATGGACACTAAACTCATAACAAACAGAGCCAACAAGGAAAACCCTCCATAACTCCAACCCCAAAAGAACCTAGAATGACAAAACTACACAGACTTAAAAGAGGAATAAGTAAGCAGAATCTGAAAGAATAGCCAATCAACCTCGTAACTATTCTCTGAAATCTAAAGACTCTTCTGGGTTATTTCTAGAATCCTCAAACATGATTGATATGCCTCATCTGTCTCCTCAGCTTGACACAAAGTACACCAAATAGCATAGCATCTGTAAATCTCCCTAATGAAAGTATCCATAAACTGCTCTCCCTAGAATGGTTCTCAAAGTCCAGTATATTTTTACTATCTTGTCAGTTTTCTCCCATGATATTATGACAGGGTTATTTCATTTTAAAGGTTACCATCCCTTCAACTGCCAGATATCAGCTATCACAGGGGCAAATAATGGAATATTTCTATAATCTACATAGAGTCAACACTTTTTAAAAGGTTGTGAGTGAATGAAATGATCCTAATAATTCTAAAACCTAGTTTGATGAGAAAATTAGAAGAGACTACAAAATCTCAGGAAAAATAAAATCCTTCCACTGTTAAATCAGTAATTCACATCACAGCCGAATCAAGCCATTTCATTACATTTCATTTTTAGTTACATGAAAGTCAACATTCTATACATATTATAAAATAATCTAGAGACCAGAGTAATCTATAACAGTGACTTTATGTTGCCTTTCTTTAATCTTAGTATAAATATATAAACTGCTATCTTAACATAAGGTATTTGCCTAATTCCTACTTCACTTCACTTCTATCCTGTATTTTCCATATCGTTTGTCATTCAGTTGGCTTTAAATATATTCATGCCAATTCTCCATGCCCTCACCAGCATGATTAAAAAAATTTTACACAGCATTGATATGGGAGATGATTGATAACAATCTGACTCTTCTTAAAGTGATTCCTTGCTGGGTCTGTGGGGTGGGGAAAAAATGTTAAAAGTTATTTAAAAGCCAGATTTTCTAAAATCCTACTTTTTCAGATGAATATCAAAAGGGAAAGAAAATGAGCATGTAGTCATTCTACATTTAAAATGAGAAGTCCACACTGTGAAAATGGAGGAAAATATATTCACAAAGATTGAGTAACAAACTACTCAAGCCATTTCCTGAAAAGAAACTGCATTTCTGGTTATAATTGTTAAAATTATAGAAGACAATTCCTGTTCTTCAAAAATCACTCAAATGTGGCTCCAAAATCATAAGTATTATTATTTTTAAAAATGTAAAGGTATTAAGAGCAAAATTTTGGTGTTGATAAATTTAAGTAAGGAGCTATTGTGCTAGAAGATAATCTTGGTAAGAGATACACAGTACTAACCCATCTTGCCAAAAAGAAGACAAAGAGTAATAAAGACAATTATAAGGGAAAATTGATTACATCATTTTAAAAAGGGCATTGGTACCTGTGAAATTCCTAGGAATTTTCTTCCTGTGGGATATTGTACAAATGATTTTGTCTTGTCTAAAGTATACTAAAATTACAAATACATACTCACACTAAGGAAAATTGCTTTTACTTATCAGGTTGAAAGAAACAAGGAAGGCTTGAAAAACAGGTATTTCCAGGGAAGAAAAGTAAAGCAGAAAAGAGAAGGTATAATAAAAGGACTATAATCAGAGATATGGAAGGAAGACAAACTGCATTAATTTTCTTTAAGAAATGAGACTAGCTGCACACTGAGATGAATTGTCTCATTTGCCAAGTGTCCCAAGTGGCAAAGTCAAACAAATAACTCTGTAATTCTTCATTAGTTTTTCATCAAATTTAACCATTTGCAGACTGCCAAAAGTGGGGGGGTGATATCCTTAAAATCTTAAGAGAATTATAACTAATCAACTTTCATGTATATTTTTCAATACCTTCCTTGGTTGAAATAACCAAGTGCCAAATGAAAATGGTATAAATACAGAGCAAAGTCAAATAAGATAAACAGCAAGAAGGGTCTACTCTTCACGGAAGGCCAATTGTAAAGTGGACAGAGCAAAGCCTTTCAAATTACTCAGAGCTGGGTTTAAACTCTGACTTTTCCACTTCCTCGTTAAATGTCTCTGCCCCACATTTAATCTCTTGCAACTCCATTTTCACGTAGGTACAAAATGAAGGATACAACAGCACCAGGGTCATTGTGAGATTAAAGATCATTATGACATAAAATACCATGTATATAAAGCATCTGGCTCTTTCCTTAATAAATACTAATTCCTCTAATAAACTACATAAGTCAGGCAAATATTTAAATGTTTGAGATTTACTGTTAAATGATCAAAAATCTGAGTACAGTGCGAGACCTTCTGATGCCAAATGATCCTCACTTAACATTTAGTTGAGCAAGTGAGTGGAGGCCGTCCCCAATTTTTATGTACTTTTACCACAGAGGTAAGACTTATGGAAAAATCGATGGTGAATTTTTTTTTCCTTTGGACATAAGCACTTTTTCCCCCTCAGCCTTATTAAAAGATAAATTTTTAAATCAAAATCTAGTTTTTATAGCACATGGGACTTTTTTCCAAAATGAATATAGCTTTATCATTTTTTAATAATAAGATTAATAAATTATCTTTGTTTTTAAAAACTGGATATTATAAAAATATCATAAAGAATACATTTTTAAAAATCCCTGGAAATCTTGCCACCCAGAGATAATAGTGGTTAAGATTTCAATATATAAATATACACATAAACATATATATCTTAAACTTCTTTCTCTGTATAAATGCATATATAAATTTTAATAAAAACTATAAAATTAATAAATTTGTAATAAAAACTGAGATGTTAATGCTCGTTGACTAGATTTTGTGTATATTTCATTAGCTGTACAAAATCATGAGAATAACATTAGGATAAAATGAATAAGACCTCCACAATCCCTAACGCTAAACTGTTTTTATTCTTGCCGTGTCCATTTCTAATGCTTGCCATATGGATATATAACTGACATAATTATAAGAGATATAATTTCATATTCTTTTTTCATCCATTGTAAGCATATTCTATGTTGCTGCATGAAAATATTTAAGTCAAATACAACAAATGAGATACTAATAATACGTACCAATATCAAAATATCCTCCCTGATTATGACTTATAAAGCCAAGTCCTCATTTTTGGAAATGACAAATTTAATGGCAAACATACCTACCTTTTATAAAGGATTGAATATTTTATTGCTATGGAGATTAAGTGAGACCATGTAACCGAGTATCTTATATTCAAAATGCATTTTGCAACATATTTTTTCCTTTCTTGCTTTTAGCCTTGAAACATACTTTAAAACTTGGTTCCCCTCCTTTTCCACCAGACGCTCCTGCGCACAGTGCTCGCTTATCTAATTATGTGCTTGCTTAGAAATTCCAGGGGCTAATTTTGAAACAATCCAGGCATAGAGAACCAGTTGCAAATCCTCCAGCTTAGGGGGAGTTATGAACAATTAGTCCACCACTACCAAGAAGTAGTCAAGATGATACCAACCGGACCACCAGACAGGAGGTTACTCAAGATAGTCTACATGTCTCTGAACAATAAATGTAGACCTGCACCCTTCAGCACCACTCCTGCATATTTCCCACACTAAATTTTCCTTATTAAACCCTCCACTCAGCCCAAAAAGCTGGAATGGACTTTTAAGGGAATGTGCCTGGCCATTCCCCGACTGCTAGCATTTGAATAAAGTTGCTTTCCTTTCACCACATCTCACTTCTCATGTTCTGGCCTTCAAGCAGTGAGTAGCTAAGCTTGAGGCAGTTACAGTAAGACATGCTGAAACTCTTGGTAAACCTGCATTATATGAATGTAACACTTCACACATTATTATCAATGGGTATGTTATGAATGAATATTGCAAATATATATGACGTTTCTCAATATTCTCAGAAATTTCTTTTCCAGGACTTTTGCTTAAAGCAGAAAAAATAAGACTTTTCCTCTATTATACAACTAGATCCAGGACATGCTATTAAAAAGCATTTTAATATATTTATGGGCTTGTAGGTAAGGGAAAGCTCTAAGGGTGTAAAAAAGAAGTCTCAGGTCTATAGATCCCTGGCTTCTGACAGAAATCAGTGCAAATCCTCCCTGAAATAAATAATCTCCAATTTAGGCCATTACGATTCTCACAGATTAAGTTCAACTAAATATGTACTTGGTATTTTTTAAATCACTAAACCATGTAAGGAAACAAGCCACCATGAGCAAGAGACAGAATAAAAAACGAAACCCCAACAGATTTAAAATTCCAAGTGTATTGCTTTTCCCATGAGAGCAATATATCATCCATCAATATTAAAAAATCATTACTTGGCCAGGCATAGTAGCTCATGCCTGTAATCCCAGCACTTTCAGAGGCTGGGGGGAAAGGAATGCTTGAAGCCAGGAGCTTGAGACCAGCCTGGGCAATAAAGCAAGACCTTGTCTTTACAAAATATTTAAAAATTAGCTGGGCACAGTAGGGCATGCCTGTAGTCCCAGCTACTCATGAGGCTGAGGCAAGAGGATCACTTGAGCCCAGGAATTCGAGGCTTCTGTTAGCTAAGATAGTGCCACTGCACTCCAGCCTGGGTGACAGAGCAAGATCCTATCTCTAAAAAACAAATTAAAAATTAAAAAAAAAAAACACACACATTACTCTGCCTCCATAAGTCAGAATTCAAAAGCTTTATTTCTGTTTCCTATGATACAACCATAACTATCAAAGATGTGAAGACATATTCCTCAAAAATCTCACCCTGAAAGCATTTTAGAATTGCATCCTTTATAAACTGAAGCTTGACTTTTAAAATAGCCATAAAAATTTTTTCAAAATTAATCATCCATATCTTTTTGTTCTTAACTACCCAGGTGCTAGCACAGGAATCAGAGAAAACAGTAGGATATTTTTCTTAGAAACTAAGTAGTAACACTTATATTCACTCTATATTAGTCAAGACAGGCTAGGTTAGCTAGGTATGGTGGTGCATGCCTGTAGTTCCAGCTACATGGGAGGCTGGGGTGGGAGGACTGTTTGAGCCCAGGAGTTCAAGAGCAGCCTGGGCAATACAGTGAGATCTCATCTCCCAAAAGGCAAAATAAATAAACACAACACATATATTAATTTAAAAAATAAAAAAACAGGCTGGGTGTATTAGGGTTCTCTAGAGGGACAGCACTAATAGGATAGATAGGTATATAAAGGGGAGTTTATTAAGTATTAACTCACTTGATCACAAGGTCCCACAATAGGCTGTCTGCAAGCTAAGGAGCCAGAGAGCCAGTCTGAGTCCCAAAACTGAAGAACTTGGAGTCCGATGTTCGAGGGCAGGAAGCATCCAGCACGGGAGAAAGATGTAGGCTGGAAGGCTAGGCCAGTCTAGTCTTTTCACGTTTTTCTGCCTGCTTTATATTCTAGCTGTGCTGGCATCTGATTAGATGGTGCCCACCCAGATTAAGATGGGTCTGCCTTTCCCAGCCCACTGACTCAAATGTTAATCTCCTTTGGCAACACCCTCACAGACACACCCAAGATCAATACTTCACATCCTTCAATCCAATCAAGTTGACACTCAGTATTAACCATCATACTAGGTTACACCAAAGTGATACAATCCCAAAATGTCATGGCTTTAAGTAACAACATTTTTTTTCTTGATCTCATTGCACCCCCATTGCTCTGCTCTGTAGTCGTCATTCAGGGATGCAGGCTTCAAGAGTTTGTATCACCTGGAACAACCAAGGCAATGGAATAGAACATGGCAAATTGTGTGCTCGTTCTTTCACATTCCTTTGATCAGAACAAGTCATATGACTACTCGTAACTTCAAGGGAGTAGAGAAGTACAAGCCTACGACGTGCCCAGAATGAAAAGAACCAGAAATACTGGTGGATAGAACTAAAGGCCACCACACACAGTTATTTGGACTATTCAAATAGTAAGATAAACAAATAAATGCTGAACTGAATGCAGTTGAAAGTTTATATAATAATTCCACTGCTAGACTTTAATAGAGGACCACAAGATGGTCTCAAAGAAGTGTAGGCCTGACAACAGCCTCAGGCATTGTTTCCAGATCCTAGGCTCCCTTATTAATTGAGTAAATGGTGCGGTTGTCTTCTAAGCAATTTACCCCACTAACTTAATACTTCTCTAGTCAGAGAAAAAATGGCTGATATTCCACAATAGATAGAAGTCAAATAAAAATTACCATTATATACTATGCACTTAAAAAATTCCTCTGATATCACTAGAAATGCCTCTTTGCCTAAAGCCTAAGTCAATCATACAGTAGTTTAAGCTGTTTATTCAAGAAGTTTTGTGATATTCAAGAAGTTTGTTTATTTGAGAAGTTTTTTGGGGGGAAATAAAACTATCAAGCCTTTAAGCTTAGGAATAATCTAGGAAATCTTCAACTTTGTCATTCCTTCTTGTCCACCTGCTTCTCTCCATCCCATCTCTTTCCCTCTCTTCCTCTTCTTACCGAAGTTAGGTGACAAAAGATACTTTTAGAGAGTTTCTCTTAAAGAGAGCACTGCCTTGGTTTAAAACACCAAAAGCAATGGCAACAAAAGCCAAAATTGACAAATGGGATCTAATTAAACTAAAGAGCTTCTGCACAGCAAAAGAAACCACCATCAGAGTGAACAGGCAACCTACAGAATGGGAGAAAATTTTTGCAATCTACTTATCTGACAAAGGGCTAATATCCAGAATCTACAATAAACTCAAACAAACTTACAAGAAAAAAACAAACAACCCCATCAACAAGTGGGCGAAGGATATGAACAGACACTTCTCAAAAGAAGACATCTATGCAGCCAAAAAACACATGAAAAAATGCTCATCATCACTGGCCATCAAAGAAATGCAAATCAAAACCACAATGAGATACCATCTCACATCAGTTAGAATGGCGATCATTAAAAAGTCAGGAAACAACAGGTGCTGGAGAGGATGTGGAGAAACAGGAACACTTTTACACTGTTGGTGGGACTGTAAACTAGTTCAACCATTGTGGAAGTCGGTGTGGTGATTCCTCAGGGATCTAGAACTAGAAATACCATTTGACCCAGCCATCTCATTACTGGGTATATACTCAAAGGATTATAAATCATGCTACTATAAAGACACATGCACACATATGTTTATTGTGGCACTATTCACAATAGCAAAGACTTGGAACCAACCCAAATGTCCATCAATGATAGACTGGATTAAGAAAATGTGGCACATATACACCACGGAATATTATGCAGCCATAAAAAAGGATGAGTTCATGTCCTTTGTAGGGACATGGATGAAGCTGGAAACCATCATTCTCAGCAAACTATCGCAAGGACAAAAAAACAAACACCGCATGTTTTCACTCATAGGTGAGAATTGAACAATGAGAACACATGGACACAGGAAGGGGAACATCACACACCAGAGACTGTTGTGGGGTGGGGGGGAGCGGGGAGGGATAGCATTAGGAGATATACCTAATGCTAAATGACGAGTTAATGGGTGCAGCACACCAACATGGCACATGTACACATATGTAACAAACCTGCACGTTGTGCACATGTACCCTAAAACTTAAAGTATAATAAAAAAAATTAGCTGTCTAAATAAACCAATTAAAAGACAAAAAAAAGAGAAAGAAAATAGCTTAATAGATGCTCTGAAGAAAGTGAAATCAAGAGAGCCAAACTGTTGCTCATAAGAAGTTAGTTAATGAATGGATGCCTTCTAGTTAAAGATAACAATTAAAGCTAACAAATTAAACATAAGTATTTAGCACAAACTCTAAAAATAAAATGAGATATTTTATTTAAAGTCATAAACCCACAAGGACCAAAAAACAAACAAACAAACAAAAACAGGAAGGGAAAAAGGGGCAATTTTTGAAGCTGTAAAGTCAATGAACAAGTGATAAGATACCATGCAGATTCAAGAAAGTTAAGTCAAAAAGGAGAAAGCTATGAAACAACCAATTCACATTTAAGAATCTCCTAAAGTTTTGGGAAGTAGCAATAGCAAGTGCCTCTAAAAAATGATGAGGAGATAGGGCTAAAACTAGGATTGGTTTAAAGTCTGTTTAAGAATCAATTAGCCCTTAGCATACAGTCTGTGGTCTCTAAATTTCCTTTCTCCAAAAATGAACAAAATTCCTCTAATGAATAGTTGATTCCAGGTCTGAAGCAGAAAATACACGAAATGTTCCCAAAACATCTTGTCATTCCAAAAAGTAAGACAGTTTCCAAAGACCAGGGGAGTCACATCAAAATGACTCAGAAGTCAGCTTAAAGAGGCTTAATGGCCCAGAGATTGAGCACTGAAAAGGACAACAGATTGACACACCAAATCCATTTAAGTCCAAGGGTTCACGATACTAAAAAAAAAAAAAAAAAAAAAAGTTTTGGCTGGGTGCAGAGGCTCACGCCTGTAATCTCAACACTTTGGAGGCGAAGGCAGGTGGATCATTTGAGGTCAGGAGTTCAAGGCCAGCTTGGCCAACATGGTGAGACCCTGCCTCTACTAAATATACAAAAATTAGCTGGGCATGGTGGTGGGTGCCTGTAATCTCAGCTACTCGGTAGGCTGAGGTAAGAGAATTGCTTGAACCCGGGAGACAGAGGTTGCAGTGAGCAGAGATAACGCCACTGCATTCCAGCCTGGGCGACAGAGCGAGACTGAGTCTCAAAAAAAAAATTTTTTTAATTAAATTTTAAAAATCACTGCTCCCCTTTGAAGGATGTAAAGAAACCAATTCATTACTGTGAAAACAGGAAAATAAGGGAAAAAAACATTCATTCTGTCTTTCTACAGGAATCACATCACAAGTAACCAAACAGCTGGTGACATTGTTTTGTAGATGTTTTCCATCTAATAAATGCAGATGGAATGAAATAATTAGAATATCTTCATTTTGTAAACCCAAATTAATTTTAGGATCTAGGCAATGGTCATCCACGGCAACTAACATCACAAAAAGAAAAAACAAGTTATTAGTGTCTCATGATAGAAGTACAACAATACTTCTGAGACAGTGTTGTCCTCCCTCTGCTCCCCACCCAAAATATTGCAATTATGCTTCTGACAAGGCATCTAATTTCCCTATCAGTTTCTAGGAAATAGAAAGGACACCACAACACATTAAATGGCACCACAAGGATGCAGTCAGTGAAGTCCAAACAGTGAAACACCACATCATTGGTCCTGTCTCTTCAACAAGTAATTTGCGAAGGGAAAGAGAGAAAGATATTATAAAATTTAAAAGATAAGGCAACCAAAACAAGGATCTTAATTTAGATTCTGAGTCAAACAAACACACTGTGGGGTGAGAATGGAGAACCATTAATGAGACTATCAGGGAAATCTGAACACTGATTAAACTATCTGATAATACTAAGAAATTACTGTTAATTATATCTAGGGGTGATAATGGTGCAGCCATATGGCCTTTGTTCTTTAAAAATGTCTTTTTCCTTTAGAGATACATATTGAAATGTTTATGAATTAAATAGTGATGTCTGGGATTGTTTCAAAATCACAGATAAAACAAAACTGGCCTTGAGTCTGTACTCCACTCTTAAATATTAGACAAAAATCAAGGATCATCTGACATTTGAGCTGTTACAATAATTAACTGGGAGGCCATCAATCTAAGATGGTTCCAGCATCCTGGGTTCCTACTTACACAAACCAAAACTCAACTCAGTGTAAATGGTCATAGTCTAGGCCAATTAGAAACTGTCAACTAATCTCTACCTAGGAACTTTCCCCTACTTAAGCTTAACTAATCAGAAACTGCCAACTACCCCTCACTAGAGACTTTCCACCACTTAAGTTTAACCTATCAGAAACTGCCAACTAACCCCTCACTAGAGACTTTCCACTGGAATGAATTATTTGCCTTGCTTCCTTGTTCATCCTATAAAAGCCTTCCCCTCGTGCCCTTTTTGTGAAGCCCTGTACTGATTGCATTCTGGCTCTGCACAATTCATGAATTGTCAAACTCATGCTCAAACTCTAAAATTCTAATAAACTTCAGTTTATCTTTTAACAAAGTCATGCATCTGAATATAAAAGACATAGACTTAACATAGAAGGAGGAAAGAAAAAGAGGAGGAGGAAAGGAAGGGGGAAGGGAAGAGGAAAGGAAAGAAAACAGGAACAAACTGACTCAAGAAGAAAAAAAAATTCAAAACAATTATAATACCCTCAGAGGGATGAGAAAATATTGCATTGATGAAACAAGAATGGGATACTAAGGAAAAAAGGAACAATCAAAGAGCAAAAATTTTAGAAATAAAAAGGAATAAAAAAAACTAACCAGAAGAATTCTGGTTGAATATTAAAATTGAAGAAATGTTGCAGGAAACAGATTAAGTAACAAGAGAGGTGGAAAATGAGAGAGATATGAGAAAATTATCTCCTGAGATTCAATATCTGAATAAAAATAGTTCAAGGAAATCAGAAAACAAAACTGTGAAAATGAAATCATTAAAGAAATCATTCAAAGAAATTTTTCTAAATTAAACAACATGAGTTTTTAGACGGGAAGTTGTCCATTAAGTAACCTGCACAAATGATGAAAATAGAGCCTCCCTAGAGCATACTGTTACATTTCAGAACACTGAAGACAAAAAAGATTCTATAAGCTTCCAGAACTAAGAAGGTTTTCATACAAAGGATCAAGATTTTAAAGTGCATCAGAATTCTCAACAGCAAAAAGAAAACAGGACAATGGCTGAATCTGTTCCTCCAAAATTCAGAGGGGAAAATTATTCCCAACCTCGAGTACTACAATCATTCAAACTATTCATCTCTTGTTAGAGTAAAATAAAGACATTCTCAGACATACAAGGTTTTAAAGTTTTTCTTCCCATGCTTCATTTCTCACAAAACTGCTAAAGAATATGTAACTCAAAAACAATAAAGAAACTATGGGATACAAAAAATAGTGAATTAAATATAAGGGAATAAAAGGTATTCCTTGTTTGATGGTAAATGAAGATCTCAGGACAATAGTTGTGGAAATAATTCATTCAAATTGGAGCAGATCAGAAGGCTCCAGCCCAGAGAGATTTCTTCAAGAAGATAAAATTGTTCAAGTGCCTCCTGTGTTTGAACATATTAATATAAGTTTAACACAACTGGGTAGATTTGGAGGACTTAATTCATAATATACTCCTCATCTCCAATTTTCTCTTCCCATCATCTCTTAAACGCACACCAAACAGACTTTCACCCCGCCACTCCACCAAATCTGCTCCCATCAATTCATAAGCTCCATGCTGCTAAATCCAATAGTCAATCCTCAGTTCTCATATTAACTGAATCCATTAGCAGCATCTTATAGGCTCATTGCTCCCTCCTCCTTAAAACATAGTTTCACTTGGCTTCCAGGATACACCAAGCTTTCCTGGTTTTCCTCCTACATCACTGCTTGGTCTTTCTCAGTTTCTTTTGCTGAATCCTCCTCATTTCCCCAATCTCTTCACATGTGAGTATTCCAGGTTTCAGTCCTTGGGCCCCTTTACCATTTATACTCCATTCATTTGTGTTTATTCACTTTATATGAATCTATAAATGCGTATCTCTGGCACTGTCATCTCCCTGAACTCCAGATTGCTATATCCGACCTCTCCCCTTAGGTGTCTAATAAATATCTTAAACTTAACATGTCCAAAACCAAGCTCCAGATCTCTCTCAAAAACATCTGCTCCCCTGGCAGTCTTTGCCATTTTAGTTAGCTAAAAGCCCATTCCTCCAATTATTCATGCCAAAAACCTTGGAGTCGCCACTGACCCTTCTTTTGCTCTCACATACCACATCCAATCCATCAGAAAATCCTGTTGGTTCTACCTTTTAAAATATTTCCAATTAGTTAATATGGTAGCTAAAGAAAAAATTTCCCAGAACTTGACTGCTTTTCACCAATGCCACTGCTAATTACCACCCTTGTCCAGGTCATCATCATATCTTGTGTAAGTTCTGCCTTAGCCTACCAACAGGCTCCGTACTCTGCCCTTGCCTTCTCCAGTCTATTCTCCAAGCAGAAGCCAGAGAAATCTTTTCAAACCCTAAGTCAGATAAAGTCACTCCTCCGCTTAGAAGATTATAAAGACTTCTCATCTAGCTCCAAATGAAAGCCAACATCTTGACAATAGCCTCATAAGGTCTTACCCAGTCTAACCCTTGGTCCTCCTCCTCACTTGCTCCAGACACACTGCCTCTGTCTACTCAAGAACATGATGCAGGATCCCACCTCAAGCCATTGCACTTATGAATCCCACTGAGAACACTTTTACCCCCAGATATCTGCGTGAATCTCTCTTTCATAGCCTTCAAGCCTTTACTTAAATATCATCTTCTTGATAAAGTCCTCCCTAATGACCCTATTTGAAATTGTAATCCCTCCCCACTTCCAATATTCTTGTGTCTCCTTTCTTGCTTTATTATTCTCCACAGAACTTATCGACATCTAATATATTAAGTATTTTAGTTTACTGTACATCTTTCCCCCTTAGACTCTGGGAGAACAAGGAGAATTTTAATCTGCTTGTGCACAGCTATATCCCTAACACAGAGTAGAAGTTCAACATACTTTTACTGAACGTATAAAAAGGTATATAGAAAACTAAACAAATACAAAATAAATTATTTCTTAACACTAGGGGGAAAATATGAGCAAGAAAGGAAAAGTAATGACTTACTACATAGCTCAGCTATGCAAAGCATTTACACAGTCATAATAAATACTGATTTATTTATTATTTACTCAGTGGTTCTCAAACCTGGCTGCACATTAGAAGCAATTGAAAACTTTTTTAAAAACACGGATACCCAGGATCCTCCCCAAAACACATAAAGCTGAATTTGTGAGGGTGAGTCTCAGGTATCTAGATTTGTTCACTCAAGTTTGCTAGTGATTCTAATGTACAGCCAGAAATAAGAAGCACTCATCTAACCAAAATTACAATAAAACTACAGTGGGCGGCTAGGGGATCGGAAATACATATGTAGGTGTTAGATACAAGAGGTAT
The DNA here is from genome assembly GCF_000001405.40 of Homo sapiens. NCBI lineage: Eukaryota > Metazoa > Chordata > Mammalia > Primates > Hominidae > Homo > Homo sapiens. The sequence goes on from NC_000022.11 coordinate 28,497,706, forward strand.
GAGTTAAATCTTAAACTTCAGTAACTAAAAATCAATAGATAACTGCTAAAACTGAAAAATAAGTAACATTATAATTCAAATAGAACAAGCTACAAGAGTTGAAAAATGTTTGCTTCTGGGAGGAGTGAGGAATAGGGCTGAGGATGGCTGCTTTTTAAAAGTCAAGTTGAATATTTTATTTTAGACTCCAAATTCACATAATTTTCAATTAATAAACTAAATTTATAATTTTTAATGGTAATGTTGAAGCTGGAACAATTAGCAAAAGAAGAGAAAAAGAGTGGGGGCTGAGTAACTGGGGTAAGGGCTAGAGTCTTATAAAGACACAAATTTCCAACGACAGAGTAGCCACGGTTTTCACAGAAGAATGATTAGTATTCCATCTTAAACTGGCTGTTGTCAAGGAAATAGAACATTGACCTGAGCCTTCCGTTAAAAAAAAAAAAAGGCAAAAAAGGTGGGAAGTGGTGGTGGTAGCAAGAAATTGGTGGTAATTCTCCTCACATGAGGAGCCTATCTTCCTTTAATAAAACAACGAACAGATCAACCACGATAAGGTTCAACCCTATAGAGGTAACATGACTGTTAGCAGCTATGAATACAGCAAATGCAGTTCACTTTGTTTGTTTTCTTTGTCCTTACACAGGTGACAAAGTAGAAAAATTTAAATTATGAAATCTCAAATACAGTCTAAAATGTGTTCAAATGTAAGTTGAGATAAACTATTTTGGAGTACTCCCTAAACAAGACATTAATAGGGACAAGGAGAGCATCTTCAAGGAAAAGCCCATATGTTAATCCTTTATTTCTACTGTATTTTGATAGAACCTAAATCCAGGTTTCACTTGAAATGATACTCAATGTTCACCGAAAGGGGCTCCCTTGGTTTCACAATAAAATGATAATAAAATGATTAGATTGTAAAAGTCCTATTTGTGCAAAACCATTTTTTGATCTGAGGGAACATGAGCACTTTAAGAACATCTAATCATAATTCTGGGGCCCAAAGAGCCCCCAGAAAAGTCCCTACAATATTCCAGAATAAGCATACATTTAGTAGGAGTTCATTCTTATTGATTCACCATATGGGCAGTTCCAGTTGTAAACTTCTGTAAGAAATGTAGAGAAGTGTAATTTCTCTCTTTACTGGGCCAATATATTGACAATTTATTCATAAATAAATTTATTTACTGAGTGCAGTGGCTCACGCCTGTAATCCCAGCACTTTGGGAGGCTGAGGTGGCAGGACTGCTTGAGCCCAGGAGTTTGAAACCGGTCTGGGCAGCACAGTAAGACCCCATCTCTGCAAAAAAAATTTTTTTTAATTACCCAGGTGTAGGCACACGCCTGTGGTCCCAGCTACTTGGGAGGCTGAGGTTGGGGGATTGTTTGAGCCTGGGAAGTTGAAGCTGCAGTGAGCCATGATTGTACCACTACACTCAGCCTGGACAACAGAGAGAGATCCCATCTCTAGAAAAATAAAATAATATATTTATTCAATACATGTTTTCTCTCTCCCTTGCAAGATTAATGGTCAGGAAGATGTGACTGTGAAAAAATGTGAAAATAAACGAGAAATTTCAGAATGTTTCAACAGTTTCAAATATCTAAAAGAAAAAGTAAACTTTGCTACTTTAAAATTAACTATGAAAAAGTAAGAATTATCAGAAAACTATGTAATTTTCACATCCTTCATTAAACAAGTTTATTGACTAAAGTTTGCTACCTTTCTCAGGGCAGGTAGACAAGTTGACAGTCTCTTAGTCCCATCTTACAATTACTATTTCTATTACAATAAGAAAATACCTTTTTTCCTCTGGAAAAAAAAATGCAGATTTTAGCAATACAGTAAACTAATGGTCATCCTCATTAAACGAATGTTTACTGAAGTATATCATATAGAGAGATTACTAGGGCCTCAAAATAAAATGAAGCACAAATTCACTGCTTCTGTCTTGAAAGAAATAGCGTGTGAATTAAAATATAGTATGAAGATAGCATACATGAATTAAGATAGCATAGACTGCAGGTCTAAATTAGCTTATTGAGTAAACTCCAACACTATAATTTTTAATCTTTTTAATATTTTTGTAGAGTTTTTAAAATTGGCATATAAAAATGGACATATTTATGGGGTACACAGTGACATTGCAATACATATAATGTATAGTGATCAGATTGGGGTAATCAGCATACTCATCATCTCAAACATTTATCATTTCTTCATGTTGTGAACAGTCACTATACTACTTCTAGCTATTTGAAATTATATATTACTGTTAACTATAGTCATCTTACAGTACTACAGAACACTAGAATTTGAATAACTTTATTGAGATATAATTCACACACCATAAATTCACCCTTTTATACAATTCAGAGATTTTAGTATATTCACAGAATTGTACATCTATCACCACAATCAATGTAATTTATTTATCACCCCTAAAAGTTCCACATCCATCAGCAGTTATTCACCACTTCCTCCTACCCCAAGCTCCTGAAAACCACTGATCTACTTTCCATCTCTACAAATTTGCCAGTTGTGAACACTTCATATAAATCAAGTTATACAATGTGTGGTCTTTTGTGTCTAGCTTCTTTCACCTAGAACGCTGTTTACAAGGTTCACCTACCTTTTAGCATGTATTAATCAGATACATTAATGTATTAAGATCACTTGTTTTAACCCTTATGTTCATATGGCTTTATCCACTTTGCTAACAAAACAGCAAGGGAAAAATTCAAAGGTGATGTTGAGTACATGTAATAATCTTTCAAAAATATTTTTCTTATACAAGGATCCATAATTACAGCGAGAAAATTATTACAAAATAGTAACAGTAAAACCAGTCTAATCTAGGTCTACTTTATCCTTAACATTCAGATTAGTTTAATCTTTTGAATAACATACAATCTTGCTAGGACATAGCTAATTACATTAAAGACTACGATATGCAGAAAGCTTAACATTTATAATGGACAATTCCGTATCACAGCAATCCCATAATTTTCATTAGCAGTAACAATTTCTATTTATTAGCAGTAACAATCTTCTGCGTGATTCCTGACAAACCGAGTTTCATAAAGCTGTACAAAAAATAAAGATGTGGTCAGTAATTTCACAAAGTGAGGCAAGAGGAAGATAAACTAGAAATGTATCAATCACTTGAGATGCTGCATTGTTCAGTTAGAATAAAAAAAATGTTGACTTCTCTATTATATTTGCCCTTAATTTGCTTGCAAACTTGCAAAACAGGACATCTAATTTGATAAAACATCAGAGTCCAGAAGGATATTTCTTAGTGGCATGAAGTTTGAACATCTTGAACAATATTCCTCAGTTTCTCTTTCTAAAGCTTGAGAAAAACTCATAAAATGAACATCTGTAGAGCACCTACTATATGCCAAGCACAGCATTATGTACTAGGTGTACAAAAAAAGGAGCAAAATGTAACTGTTCTCAAAGAATTCACAATCTAGTGGATGCAGTAAATATAATCATCAGAAAAACAAACATTTATTGAGCACTATCCTGAGACTGGCACTATATTAAAAGCTTTAGATGAATTCAAACCCAGGCTGCCTGACTCTGGAGCCTGTTATTAATTATATGAAGATGTGATGTATAAGGTGTTCCAGGCAAAGGAAAGCAAATGAGTGTAAAAGTAGAAAATGGTATGACGTGTGAAGGGAACTGTGATGAGTTTGATGTAGTGAAAAAAGAATTTAGAGGTAAAAAGTAGCAAGAACTGGGGCTAAAAGTTTAGCAGAGGTCAGATCATAAAGGTTCTGGAATGTCATTCCAATGAAAAATTAAAGAAGATCTAAGTAAAGAGAACTTGAAATGTTCCCAACACATAGAACTGATAAATCCTCAAGGTAATAGATATCCCAAATACCCCAACTTATTCATTACACATTCTAGGCATGTAACAAAATATCTTATGTACCCCATAAATATGTAAAATATTACATATCAATGCAATTTTTAAAATTATGAATAAACACCTAAGTAGTTCTTTTTCAAGTAAAATTAAAACATTCACATTTTCATGATAATGCAAGTGGATAGGACAGGAGTCTTTTTGCATTATGCCATTCTTTTTGCTTTTTAAACATAATTATGCAATGTTGGAAAATATACTTTTTAAAAATCATGACCTGCCTATTTGTTTTTTATACCTATTCTCTTTTGATGCGAAGAATTTTTTTAAATGCCATTAAGTTTGAGGTTTTAAAGTGTGTTCTGATGTTTTAAGCTGAAAAGCTGATTGGTACTAAAAGCATTCTCTAGTATCCATAAAAGCATATGTTTTTTCCATCCTATCTTTATAAGACTTACATGGTTAATATATGACTCTCATACATATTGCTCAAATGAAACAGAATAGAATTACTATTTTTGGTGATGGTCTATAACTAAAGCCTTGGAAATCTACCTGATACCTGTTAAGAGATAACAGTTGTTTCTACAATGAAGTACCAATATCTGCCTCGTATAGCATAATCCCCATTATCCCTGCACCTGAGAGGCTTGAAGCTTGGAAAATGTTCATGAACTGATTTCAATATCACTAGATATCATTGGCTGGCTAGCAACACAGTAGGAATCGTGCAGGATCCTTTCTGAAGAAATTATAAAAGAAAATGGGCCAGGCGCAGTGGCTTATGCCTGTAATCCCAGCACTTTGGGAGGCCGAGGAGGCCGGATCATGAGGTCAGGAGATCGAGACCATCCTGGCTAACACGGTGAAACCCTGTCTCTACTAAAAAAAAAAAAATACAAAAAATTAGCCAGGCATGGTGGCGGGCGTCTGTAGTCCCAGCTACTCGGGAGGCTGAGGGAGGAGAATGGTGTGAATCCGGGAGGCAGAGCTTGCAGTGAGCCGAGATCGTGCCACTGCACTCCAGCCTGGGTGGCAGAGCAAGGCTCCGTCTCAAAAAAAAAAAGAAAGAAAGAAAACGTAGAGGCAGCATCCTGAAGTCCTTCTAAAGAGCTTTCCTCAAGATTCTGACAATAAGGCTGTCAGTGCAGAAATCCTGGATACTGCAAAGATTCTCCAATTTTCACAAAAGTGAGAGGAAAGGCCTTAAATCCTTAAACCAAGGATTAAAAACAAGCATATCCTTGTTTGGGCTATATATCTTATTAATAAAAATTCATCATCAAATGCCACACTACCCACAAGAGTCCATAACTAGCTTTGGCTTTTTTTGGACACTACCTGACAGATTTTTTCTAATTTAGGTTGAATGTTTATATTCTTTCATACTGCATCACATAATGCCTCATGGAAGGCAGGCACTAAACAATTTGTTGATTTTTTTCTACTAAAAAAGAATGAAATTCCCTGACTACCTCACTAGACATCTTTACTACTCATTCTTTGTGCTCCAAACACACCTGCCTGATTTCAGTTTCTAAACCTAACAATATGCCTTTCCCCTCAAGCTGCATACGCCGCTCCCTCCACCTGGAACACTCCCTACATCCTCTACTTTCTTCAGAACTCAGATGAAATATTTCCTCAGAGAACCTCCACACTAGGGCATGTCCTCCTGTCACATGCTCTCATCCCCAGCTGTACTCCTTTGGACCACTTACCATACTGTAATTAAATAAATAATTATGTGATTGATTAGTTTAATATCTGGCTCCCTCTTAGGATATATGTACCATGGGTTTTCGTATCTTTACCCCCAGTGCCTTTCACAAGCAAACTAAAGATGAATATTTGTTGAATAAATGAACAAGTTTGAAAACTAGCTTTACAACTTACTAAGTAAATTTGAAAAACTCACTTAATGTCATTAGGCTTCAGTTTCTGTAGCTATAAAAAGAGAATAATAAAAATGCTACCTCACTGAGTTGTTGGGATTTATGATGAACTCTAAACTTCAAAATGTTACATAAAAATATTAATCTATTATTATTCTCAGCAAGGACATTTCACATTTAATATTGTCTTTAGCCAATCTTAATAGTATTAGCTAAGAACTTTAACGCATATTACAGATTATCAAGATGCTGATAAATAATGGAAGTATCTGGCAAAAATTAATAAGTAGTCATTAGCTCCAGTCAGTAGCAGCCTGTGACAGATTCCAAGAACTGATCTCACGATTGTCAGTTTAATAATAATAGTCCATCTCACAAGAAAGCGTGTCAGGTCTACTGTAATTCATGCTTCAGAAAAAAGTATTTCCTATGGAGTTGGGCTCATGAACAAATACACCAGCTAAAGAATGGATCAATAGTGAAAGATGAGCTTCTCCAATTCACTCACAATTACGCTTGAGTCAATAGACTAATGTAAATCAATAATTTGTTATATTTGCTACATTTACAGACTTTGATCTTTAATATAAACCTGGCAATAAAACAACATACATTTCTTTTCCTATGTTCTACAGTAATCTGATCATGAATATGGTAAAGGAAAAAAATTATTTTCTCTCTCATCTGTGTAATAAATCTAAACCAAATTGTTCAGTAACCTCTTTCAGGTATATCCTTCTAGTAACTGTCTTCATAAGCATATTTTTTAAAAACAAGTAAAAGTGAGATATATAACAGGTAATTATTAATCACAAGTAATTTTGAGTTATATAGTTTTCCTAGGTATTCCTATACTAGCCTATATAGCTATGTGTGTGTGTGTGTCTGTTTGTGTAGCCATATATATACACATTCATCTCATATACACATATATACATACATACACATACATATGTGTGTATATGTACACACACACCTATATATATATAAAATTCCACACTTCCTCTATTGTATTATAATGATGTGGTGTTTACCTGTAAGCTCTCCTAGAAAGACAGCTGTTTGAAGCCATGGCCAATGTCTTTTAAATCTGTACCCTCAGCACCTAGTGCAGTATTTCAACGTAATAGGCATTTAGTGAGTGCTTGCTAAATAAACTGCACAGTCTTTTGCCAACATAACATTTTTCTGATGCCCGACTCACATTACCCAACAGCCAACTTTTGAGGTTGTCCATTCCCAGCTCTGAAGAAGATATGCTCTTAATAAAAAACACTTTCTTGATATAATGTCAGTAATTTGCTTAAAAAAAAATCCAGTGGGAGTGGGTACAGAGATTTAGCGGTGAAATAAGACTGTCTATGAGCTATAATTTAAACAATTTTTGATATAGGTTCATTATACAATTCTTTTTTTATATATATTTGAAATTTTTCATAAGTATTTTTTCTTAACTGGAAAAAAGTTTTAAAAGTTTAAAACTTTAGGCCGGGTGCCGTGACTCACGCTTGTAATCCCAAGCACTTTGGGAGGCCGAGGTGGGCGGATCACAAGGTCAGGATATTGAGACCATCCTGGCTAACACGGTGAAACCCCGTCTCTATTAAAAATACAAAAAAAGTAGCCAGGCATGGTGGCACATGCCTGTAATCCCAGCTACTCGGGAGGGTGAGGCAGGAGAACTGCTTGAATCCAGGAGGCGGAGCTTGCAGTGAGCCGAGATCGTGCCACTGCACTCCAGCCTGGGCAACAGAGCGAGACTCCGTCTCAAAAAAAAAAAAAAAAAAAAAAGTTTAAAACTTTAGAAGCTTCTCTTGCAAGATGGCCGATTAGAAGCAGCTGCGCTCTGCGGCACTCCGAAAGGAATGAAAGTGGCGAGTGAGTTCAGCACCTTCAGCTGAAATATCCAGGTCCTCACAGTGGAACTGTCTAGGCAACAACAACTTGATCCAAGGAGGACCACAGAAAGCAGAGTGGGGTGACAGCCCACCCAGGAATGGCACAGAGCCAAAGGAACCCCCACCCCCAGCCAAGGGAAGTAGTGAGGGAACCACACTTCTCCCATGAATCTTTGCAACCCGCAGATCAGGAGATTGCCTCAGGAGCTCAGGATACCAGGGCCTTGGGTCCAATACACAGAGCTATGTGAAGTATCTGCAGAGCAGCCACTCAGGCACACAGAGAAACCCAGAAGTTTTACCTACTTCAGCCCCAGAATCCCCCGCAAGGCAGAAGATCCAACCATGCATACCCCTAGGAACTGGGGCTGAATTTAGGGAGCCAAGCAGTGTCACTCTGCAGGCCCCACTTCCACGGCACGTCACTGGAAGCCAGTTAAGACCCACTGGCTTGGAATTCCAGCCGCCAAACAGCAACAGGCTGGAGTCGGCCTGAGTTGGAACGGAGTTCCCGGGGAAGAAGGGTGGCCACCGTCTCCGTGGTTCAGTAGATTCAGCTGTTCCAGCCGGCTGGCTTTGGAGAATACAAACAGTCCGAACAAGGAAGGGTCCCCCACAGTGCAGCCCAGCTGCCTTGCCAGATCGTGGCCAGACTGCTTCCTTAAGGGGACCTCAACCCATTCTTCCTCACTGGGCGGGACCTTCCTGCGGTGGCTTCAGCCACTCCAGCCAGGGTTCTAAAGACAGAGTCCTGATCTCTCCCTGGGACAGAGCTCCTGTGGGGAGAAGCAGCCACCATCTCTGCAGTTCAGCAGACTCGGCCGTTCCAGCCTGCCAGCTTTGGAGAACACAGACGGTCTGGATGAGGAAGGATCCCCCACAACACAGCACAGCTGCCTTGTCAGGTCATGGCCAGACTGCTTCTTTAATTGCGACCCTGACCCATTCCCCCTCACAGGCAGGACCTCCCTGCAGGGGTTTCAGTCACTCCAGCAAGGGTTCTACAGACAGTACTCTGATCTCTCCCTGGGACAGAGCTCCCGGGGGGAGGGGTGGCTGCCATCTCAGTGGTTCGGTAGACTCAGCTGTTCCGGTCTACCAGCTTTGGAGAACACGAACATTCTGGACAAGGAAAGGTCCCCCGAATGCAGCACACCTGCTCTACCAAAAAGTAGCCAGACTGCTTCTTTAAGCAGTTCTCTGATCCCATTCCTCCTGACTAGGTGAGACCTCCCAACAGGGGTCTCCAGTCACCTCCTACAGGCATGTTCGGGCCAGCAACAGATTAGTAATCCCCTGGGACAGAGCATTCAGAAGAAGGAGCAGGCTGCCATCTTTGCTGTTTCACAGCCTTCACTGGTGATACCTCCAGGCATGGGAAAAGCCCAGGCAACTAGGGTCTGGAGCAGACCCCCAGCAAACTGCAGCAGCCCTAAAGAAGAGTGGTCTATCTGTTAAAAGAAAAACAAACAGAAAACAACAACATCAACAAAACAGACCCCACAAAAAATCCATTCAAAGGTCAGCAACCTCAAAAATTGAAAGTAGATAAACCCACAAAGATGAGAAAGAATCAACACAAAAATACTGAAAACTCAAAAAGCCAGAGTGCCTCTTCTCCTCAAATGACCCCAACACCTCTCCAGCAAGGGCACAGAACTGGGGTGAGGCTGAGATGGCTGAAATGACAGAAGTAGACTTCAGAAGGTGGGTAATGACAACCTTTGCTGAGCTAAAGGAGCATGTTGTAACCCAATGCAAAGAAGCTAACAATCATGATAAAATACAGGAGCTGATAGCCAGAATAGCCAGTTTAGAGAGAAACATAACCAACCTGATGGAGTGAGCTGAAAAACAAAACATGAAAACCTCACAATGCCATCACAAGTAACAACAGCAGAATAGACCAAGCCGAGGAAAGACTCTCAGAGCTTGAAGCTATCTTTCGGAAATAAGACAGGCAGACAAGAACAGAGAAAAAAGAATAAAAAGGAACAAAACCTCAAAGAAATATGATATTATGTAAAGAGACTGAACCTATGACTGACTGGGGTTCCTGAAAGAGACAGGGAGAATGGAACCAAGTTGGAAAACATACTTCAAAATATCATCCAGGAGAACTTCCCCAACCTAGCAAGACAGGCCAACATTCAAATTCAGGAAATGCAAGAAACCCAGTAAAATACTCCACAAGAAGACCAACCCCAAGACATATAATCATCAGATTCTCACAGGTCAAAATGAAAGAAAAAATGTTAAGGGCAGCTAAAGAGAAAGGCCAGGTCACCTACAAAGGGAAGCCTATCAGACTAATAGCAGACCTGTTAGTGTAAACCCTATAAGCCAGAAGAGAGTGGGGGCCAGTATTCAACATTCTTAAAGAAAAGAATTTCCAACCCAAAATTTCATACCTGGCCAAACTAAGCTTCATAAGTGAAGGAGAAATAAGATTCTTTTCAGACAAGCAAATGCTGAGGGAATTCGTCACCACCAGGCCTGCCTTGCAAGAGCTCCTGAAGGAAGCACTAAATATGGAAAGGAAAACCACTACCAGCCACTACAAAAACACACTGAAGTACATAGACCAGTGACACTATGAAGCAATCACATAAACAGGTCTGCAAAATAACCAGCTAGCATCATGATGCCAGGATGAAATTCACACATAACAATACTAAACTTAAATGTAAATGGCCTAAATGCACCAATTAAAAGACACAGATGGAAAGCTAGATAAAGAGCCAACACCCATCAGTATGCTGTCTTCACATCTCACATGCAAAGACAAACATAGTCTCAAAATAAAGAGATGGAGGAAAATTTACCAAGCAAATGCAAAACAGAAAAAAAAAAGGGTCTCAATCCTGGTTTCTGACAAAACACACTTTATTTATTTATTTAGTTTTATTTTATTTTATTGAGATGGAGTTTCTTCTTGCCCTGGCTGGAGTGCAATGGCAGGATGTCAGCTCACTGCAACCTCTGCCTCCCGGGTTCAAGAGCTTCCCCTATCTCAGCCTCCTGAGTACCTGGGATTACAGGCACCTGCCAAGATGCCCGGCTAATTTTTTGTATTTTTAGTAGAGACGGGGTTTCACCATGTTGGCGAGGATGGTCTCAAACTCCTGACCTTAGGTGATCCACCCACCTCAGCCTCCCAAAGTGCTGGGATTACAGGCGTGAGCCACCATGCCCAGCCCACAAAACACACTTTAAACCAACAATGATCAAAAAAAAGACTAAGAAGGGCATTACATAATGGTAAAGGGTTCAATTCAACAAGAAGAGCTAACTATCCTAAATACATATGCACCAATACAGGAGTATCCAGATTCATAAAGCAAGTTCTTAGAGACTTACAAAGAGACTTAGACTTTAGACTCCCACATAAAAATAGTGGGAGACTTTAACACCCCACTGACAATATTAGATCATCGAGACGGAAAATTAACAAAAATATTCAGGACCTGAACTCAGTTCTGGATCAAGTGGACCTGATAGAGATCTACAGAACTCTCCACCTAAGCCAGGCACCGTGGCTCATGCCTGTAATCCCAGCATTTTGGGAGGCCAGGTGGGCAGATCACTTAAAGCCAGGAGTTCGAGACCAGCCTAGCCAACACAGCGAAACCGCATCTCTACTAAAAATACAAAAATTAGCTGAGCACAGTGGCATGTGCCTGTAATCCCAGCTACTAAGGAGGCTGAGGCAGGAGAATTGCTTAAACACAGGAGACGGAGGTTGCAGTGAGCTGAGATTGCACCACTGCACTCTAGCCTGGGCAACAAAGTGAGATTCTGCCTTCAAAAAAAAAAAAAAAAATACTCTCTACCCAGAAACAACAGAATATACATTCTTCCCATCACCATATTGCACTTACTCTAAAATTGATCACATAATTGGATTTAAAACAGTCTTCAGCAAATGCAAAAGAACTCAAATCATAACAGTCTCTCAGACCACAGTGCAATCAAATCAGAACTCAAGAAATTCACTCATAACCATACAACTACACAGAAATTGAACAACCTGCTCCTGAATGACTCTTGGATAAATAATGAAACTAAGAAAGAAATCAAGAAGTTCTTTGAAACTACTGAGAACAAAGAGACAATGTACCAGAATCTCTGGGATGCAGTTAAAGCGGTGTTAAGAGGGAAATGTATAGTATTACATGCCCAAATCAAAAAGCTAGAAAGATCTCAAGTCAATAACCTAACATCTCAACTAAAAGAACTAGAGAACCAAGAGCAAACAAACCCCAGAGCTAGCAGAGGACAAGAAATAACTAAGATCAGAGTGGAACTAAAGGAGATGGAGACACGAAAAGCCCTTCAAAAAACAATCAATGAATTCACAAGCTGTTTTTTTTTAAATAATAAAATAGATGACCGAAAGCTAGATTAATAAAAGAGAGAAGAATCAAATAAACACAATAAAAAAATGATAAGGGGGATATCACCACTGACCCCTCAGAAATACAAACAACCATCAGAGAATGCTACAAACATTTCTATGCACATAAACTAGAAAATCTATTAGAAGAAATGGATAAATTCCTGGACACATGCACTCTCCAAAAACTGAACCAGGAAGAAATTGGATCCCTGAATAGACAAATAACAAGTTCTGAAATTGAGGCAGAAATAAATAGCCTACCAACCAAAAAAAGCCCATGACCAGACAGATCCACAGGCTGAATTCCACCAGAGGTACAAAGAAGACCTGGTGCTATTTCTACTGAAACTATTCCAAAAAATTAAAAAGGAGGGACTCCTCCCCAACTCATTCTATGAGGCCAGCATCATCCTAATAACAAAACCTGGCAGAGATACAAAACATCAAGTCAATATCCTGATGAACATCAATGCAAAAATCCTCAATAAAATACTGGCAAACCGAATCCAGCAGCACATCACAAAGCTTATCAACCACAATGAAGTTGGCTTCATCCCTGGGATGCAAGGTTGGTTCAACATACACAAATCAATAAATGTGATTCATCACATAAACAGAACTGAAGACAAAAACCACATGATTATCTCAATAGATGCAGAAAAGGCCTTCGATAAAATTCAACATCCCTTCATGTTAAAAACTCTCAATAAACTAGGTATTAAAGGAACATACCTCAAAATAGTAATAGCCATCTATGACAAACCCACAACCAATATCATACTGAATGGGCAAAGGCTGGAAGCATTCCCTTGAAAACCAGCAGAAGACAAGGATGCCCCCTCTCCAACATAGTATTGGAAGTTCTCGCGAGGGCAATAGAGCAAGAGAAAGAAATAAAGCATATTCAAATAGGAAGAGAAGAAGTCAAATTATCTTCGTTTGCAGATGACATGATCCTGTATCTAGAAAACCCCACTGTCTCAGCCCAAAAGCTTCCTAAGCTAAAAAACAACTTCCACAAAGTCTCAGAATACAAAATCAATGTGCAAAAATCACTAGCATTCCTATACACCAATAACAGGCAAGCAGAAAGACCAATCATGAATGAACCCCCATTCACAACTGCTACAAAGAGAATAAAATACCTAGGAATACAGCTAACAAGAGAGGCGAAGGACCTCTTCAGAAAGAACTACAAATCACTGCTCAAAGAAATCAGAGAGGACACAAAAAAATGGGAAAACATTTCATGCTCATGGATAGGAATAATCAATACTCATGAAAATGGCCATACTGCCCAAAGTAATTTATAGATTCAATGGTATTCCTATCAAACTACCACGGACATTATTCACAGAATTAGGAAAAACTATTTTAAAATTCATATGGAACCAAAAGGGAGCCCAAATAGCCAAGACAAGCCTAAACAAAAAGAACAAAGCTGGAAGCATCATGCTACCCAACTTCAAACTATACTACAAGGCTACAGTAACTAAAACAGCATGGTACTGGTACAAAAACAGACACATAGACCAATGGAACAGAATACAGAACTCAGAAATAAGCCTGCACACCTACAACCATCTGATCTTTTACAAACCTGACAAAAACAAGCAATGAGGAAAGGATTCCCTATTTAATAAATGGTGCTGGGAGAAATGGCTAGCCATATGCAGAAAATTAAAACTGGACCCCTTCCTTACACCATATACAAAAATCAACTCAAGATGGATTAAACACTTAAATGTAAAACCCAAAACTATCCTGGCCGGGCACAGTGGCTCAAGCACTATAGGAGGCTGAGGCAGGTGGATCACGAGGTCAGGAGTTCAAGACCAGCCTGGCAAACATGGTGAAACCCCGTCTCTACTAAAAATACAAAAATTAGCCAGGCATGGTAGCACACACCTGTAATCCTAGCTACTCAGGAGGATGAAGCAGGAGAATTGTTTGAACTCAGGAGGTGGAGGTTGCAGTGAGCTGAGATCATGCCACTGCACTCCAGCCTAGGTGATATAGTGAGACTCCGTCTCAGAAAAAAGAAAAAAAAAAAACACCAAACCTCTAAAACCCCTAGAAGAAAATCTATGCAATACCATAATTCAAGACATAGGCATGGGCAAAGATTTTATGACAAAAACACCAAAAGCAATTCCAAGTTTAATTAATTAATTAAACTAAAGAGCTTCTTCACAGCAAAAGAATCTATCATCGGAGTGAACGGAAAACCTACAGAATGGGAGAAAATTTTTGCAGTCTATCCATCTGACGAAGGTCTAATATCCAGAGTCTACAAGGAACTTAAATTACAAAAAAAAAACAAACAAACCCATTAAAAAGTGAGCAAAGGACATGGACAGACACTTCTCAAAAGAAGACATACATGAGGCCAACGAACATATGAAAAAAAGCTCAACATCACAGATCATTAGAGATATGCAAATCAAAACCACAACGAGATATCATATCACACCAGTCAGAATGGCTATTATAAAACAGTCAAAAAACAGCAGAGAAAAAGGAACACTTTTACACTGTTGGTAGAGTGTAAATTAGTTCAACCATTATGGAAGACGGTGTGGCAATTCCTCAAAGACCTAGAGGCAGAAATACCATTTGACTCAGCAATCTCATTACTGGGTACATACCCAAAGGAATATAAACCATTCTATTATAAAGATACATGTATGTATATGTTCACTGCAGCATTATTCGCAATAGCAAAGACAAGGAATCAACCTATATGCCCACCAATGATAGACTAGATAAAGAAAATGTGGTACATGTACACCATGGAATACTATGCAGCCATAAAAAGGAATAAAATAATGTCCTTTGCAGGGACACAGATGGAGTTGGAAAGCATTATCCTCAGCAAACTAATGCAGGAACAGAAAACCAAACACTGCACATCTCACTTGTAAGTGGGAGCTGAATGGTGAGAATACATGGACACACGGTGGGGAACAACACACACTGGGGCCTGTCAAGGCTGGGGGACAGCATCAGGAAGAAAAGCTAACAGATGCTGGGCTTAATACCTAGGTGAAGGGGTGATCTGTGCAGCAAAGAACCACGGCGCATTTTTACCTATATAACACCTGCACATCCTGCACGTGTACCCCTGAACTTCAAATAAAAGTTGAAGGAAGAAGAAAAAAAGAGAAAGTTATCTTTTGAATATTTTAACCTGGATTTTTTTTTTTTTTTTTTTTGAGACAGTCTTGCTCTACTGCCCAGGCTGGAGTACAATGGTGTAAACGTAGCTCACTGTAAACTCAAAAGCTCCTGGATCAGGCGATCCTCTCACCTCAGCTTCCCAAAGCACTTGGATTACAGAAGCATGAGCCACCATGCCTGGTCTGGAAATTTTTTAATACTCATACTGTAAGTAGTGCTTATTAACCAGCCCATACTTTGAATTTTTAATGAACAGTCTGGAAGATATTAGCTCTTGCTTTATACCTATACGAGTCATGCCCAAATGCAGAATGAAAAGAGCCAACGTAAGAGTTAATGTGTCATAGTGATAGCTTCAGCCACCTCACTATTTACTTCTACCCACTGCATCCTTGGTTAAAATTTTAGGAGCTGAAATGGAAGTGGTATATTGACTTTTTCTAATCCAAAAAGCAGTATTTCCTTTACAAAACAAAAACTCCTTCCTTAGGGCCAGGCTCAATGGCTCACACCAGCAGTAATCCCAGCACTTGGAAGGCTGAGGCAGGAGAAGCACTTGAGCCCAAGAATTCGAGGCTGCATAAGCTATGATGGCACCACTGCACTCCAGCCTGGGGAATAGAATGATACCTGTCTCTAAATTTTAAAAAGTTTGTTTAATTAAAAAATTCATTCCCCATTAAAAAGGAGATTTCTAAAAACATTTTACTGACAGGAAAACATCAAGTTACATTATTAAGTAAAAATAGCTGAGAAAAGTTAAAGAGTATTTCCAAATTTTGTAAAAATAAAAATATACATATATCTATACAGACATATATGTTTCTTATATGTATATATGTGTATATGTATATTAAAAATCTAAAATGAAATATCAAAATGTTAACAGAATTGCTATAACAATATAGTTTATTATTTATATTTGTATTTCTAATGTCCTATTATGAAGGGCAAATATTGCTTTTATTTTTAAAAAATTACTTAAAATCATACTGTTATAACAGGCAGTCTTTGTACAAAATACAAAAGAGATTAAGATTTAAGATAGCATCTATTCAAGCTTAAGAAAATACCATTTGATTTTTAGTAAGGACACTGATTTGCTAATAAAAATTTAAGAGTAAAATAACTGGCTACTTCACCTTTTTATATCTCCATGTATTCTTCTACTCTATCTTATATGTCATAAATTTCTAACAGGAATCAATTGCCTTATTTATTTGCCATATCTATTAGTGTAGCATTAGAGCATGTCTTAAATAATAGTAATGAGAATAATTAAAACACAACAATTATATTCTTTCTGATATATTAGTAAGTGTTACAATGATTAGCAGTACGAGTCTCTCTGATAAAACCCAACTCTACTGGGAAAGAGAACAATTTGGCAAGTTAGCTAAATCAATTAATCATTTCCATCTGCTGCAAACCATGCACACTAAAATATTCTCCCAGCTTTACTTTAATGGAGAAAATGGAACTTTCATTTGGTGTTCATATCATATCAAGAAAGAACATGCTGAATAAGGCCTTCTGAATAGACTACTTTTGAGAGCCAACAAAAGGCCGGAAGCTGGAGAATTAAGAAGAGAAAACCTTACACGGAGTGTTCACTCTTGGCAGCTACTGGTGATCTGATCAGGCTCAGGACAGAACATTCTTGTTTTACTTCTCTATATTTTCATAAAAATGATTTTTCCATTCCAACACTTACACATGCCTGTGCGCAGCAGAGAGAATAGCATTCACTGACTCTCAATACATATGGTATGCATTCAGTGACATCACTTACCACTACATTTGCCAAGTTGAACCTTTCCTATAGACCACCAAAACACTGTTTCACAGTCTCTGTGGGGCTAAAAGAGTAGTTCCAAAGCAATAGGTCAGTCTTGCAGAATAGAGAGGTTATTAATGTTTCATCCCATATATACCATACCCTCCCTATCCCCTAATAAATAAAAATCTTTGTAATCCTGTAATGTATTCAGCTTTTATTAACTCTTTCACTGCTGTTTTGAATAACGAAGTGAATACACACTTGATGGCTCTCGTTGCTACAGTGCTCTGGCAGGTGCTGTTTACTTCTTTTTATAGAAGAGATTACAGAGTGAATTTTTATTATGGAGATGTATGAAAATTACTATGCAAGTTGTAAATAATAATTCATGTAACTAATATTTTAAATCAATTATGAAATAAAAATCAAAGCAATTTTTCTATTAAAGAAAAGCTTTCAATAATGTTGTTTTTTCTAATTTAAAGTTAAACATCCAATTTAAAATATTTAAAAATTACTATATGGTGGATTCTATGATCTTCCAAATAGTAAAAAACCTTCATAATTATTTTCAAAGAGGTATTAAAGGCTCTCCTCAATTATTTTTTAAAGCAGTGAAAAATTGGAGGAAAAAGCAACATTACTCACATCAAATTATTTTTTTTCCATTGGTCTATAATATAAAACCACACGTGGGCATATAGGAAAACCAAAATTAAAAGATATTGCAGAAAGGGCTCTGGTGGGGTCTTGCTTCACAGCATGCTGTTTGCTAAAGTAGTTTAGCAAATAGCAGAGCTCTCGAGCACAAACTGTTCAGGGTTTTAAGGTAAATGTCAAGAAATCTAATCTTTGGGCAATGCAACAGAGTAGAGCACTCACTTTGAAGGGGCTCAGCATCTCTTCATTTAGCCCTTCTCACATGAGGGTGGGATACCAGCTAGCCACTATACATGGCATATGCAGTGGGGTCTGAAATTTTACAAATTACAAAATAAGTCAGGTATCATATAACTTAATACATCTTTTTATAAAAATGGATAGTAATAATTGCCATTTACAAAACATTATGTTAAATACCATAAATGTATAAAATTTTCAAAAAATTTCAGTGAGTTCAGCCGGGTGCGGTAGCTCATGCCTGTAATCTCAGCACTTTGGAGCCTGAGGTGGGCAAATCACCTGAGGTCAGAAGTTCAAGACCAGCCTGGCCAACATGGCGAAACACCGTCTCTACTAAAAAATACAAAAATTAACCGGGCGTGGTCGTGTGCACCTGTAATCCCAGCTTCTCAGGAGGCTGAGGCAGGAGAATCATTTGAACCCAGGAGGCGGAGGTTGCAGTGAGCTGAGATCTGCCATTACACTCCAGCCTGGGTGACAAGAGCGAAACTCCATCTCAAAAAAAAAAAAAAGCTGAGTGAATTCATGTGATTTGGAAAATAAATGATTTTATTATCCATATTTTAACATTTTTAAATAGTAAACTAATATGGTAATGCTATGAATTTTCTGAGGCATGAGATTATCTACTAGACATTGTGATGCTTCTTAAGAATTAAGTATTTCAAAAACAAAATCTATCTAAAAATGTAAAACACAAGAATAATTCTGAAAAATCAATTCAATTGTAAAATAGGTGCCACGCTTTAGGATAATATAATGGTTTTCAGGTGTTATTAAGAATACTCATCATTGAGTTCATGTCCTTTGCAGGGACATGGATGAAGCTGGAAACCATCATTCTCAGCAAACTATCACAAGGACAGAAAACCAAACACCGCACGTTTTCACTCATAGGTAGGAACTGAACAATGAGATAATTTGGACACAGGGCGGGGAACATCACACACTGGGGCCTGTCAGGGGGTGGGGGGCTTGGGGAGGGATAGCATTAGGAGAAATATCTAACGTAAATGATTAGTCGATGGGTGCAGCAAACCAACATGGCACATGTATACCTACGTATCAAACCTGCACGTTGTGCACATGTACCCTAGAACTTAAAGTATAATAAAAAAAAAACAAGAATACTCATCATCACAAAAAATAATAAGCATGTGAAGTAACAGATATGTTAATCAGCTTGATTTAGCTACTTCACAATGTATTCATATACATACGTGAAAACATTATGTTGTACACCATAAACAGATAAAATTTTCACTTGCCAGTCGAAAGTATGTAATAAATAAATGATACTCACTACAACTTACTATTCTGTAGTGAGTAAATAATACTCATTATAACTCCTGTTATACTTGAGGAACTTAGACTCAGAGACAATACTCTCTTACCCAGGGTTGCACAGTTAGTAAATCGCAGAGCTAGGTTTTCAAACCAAGTGTTTCCAAATCTAAAGCCCACCAGCTTTCCTCTATATCAGACTGATCAAATTGAAAAAGACTTACAATAAAGGTATAAAGCTCAAGTTAGAGCATGGGTGAGAACATGTGGTGTTTGGTTTTCTGTCCTTGTGATAGTTTGCTGAGAATGATGGTTTCCAGCTTCATCCATGTCCCTGCAAAGTTAAAGCTAGAGATAAAATTGTTAGAGCTAAAGATAAAACTGTCTTTCCAAAGATAAAAATTAGTAAGTCCTAAATACTAAAAAAATCAAGTTGCTGAAGAGTATCTTCCAGTCAGCTTTTGCCCAACTATAGGCTACACAGAGCATCATTAAAGATTTGGCATACCCAGCATTATTAGGAATCTAAAGAGGAAAAGAAAAATCTTTACAAAAGATAGTCAGGTACTCCCCTTCACCCTCAAAAAAAGGAATGCAGACAGAAAACTCTAGGCAGATCCTAGGAAGACAGAATTATGGCCAGCGAACTTCCAATTAATTCAGTATACAAGCCAATGGCAAGGCTATTTTCGTGGTAAGAAAACTTTTAAGCTACAGAATGTCTCAGTCTTCAGACTTCAAGAATTTCTGTTCCCGATGGAGTCCTACAATTCATCCCAACTGAAAAAACTTCATAAAGTCATTTAAATTTCTTGAATATGTTTACTAAGTACTTATTAAAGCAACATTCTGACTATTCTAATTAGGGCTGTAGGGTGAAAATATTTACAACTCTTTACATCAATACTTCATAATATATTAAACGCAAACACATTCAAAGTGATTATTAAGCAATTTTTCTCTTGTCCGAAGTTTTAATTTTTTTAACATTTTTAAAATTTTTATTTTATTTATTGTATTTTTTTTTACACTCAAGGTCCCACTATGTTGCCCAAGCTAGACTCAAACAATTCTCCTACCTTAACCCAAGTAGCTGGGATTACAGGTGTGCATCTTTTTTCTGCAGTTTTTAGAGAGGGTTTTTCAAATGTTTATTAAGCATCAATGGCATATCTACTATAAATACTAGATATATCATGCTCAGCAATTCTTAGCAGAAATCTTAAAATGTTCCTATCATTGGCTTTCTCTGCACAAAAACTTCAGATTCATGAAGACTGCTTTAGTGTTGAGCTGCATGGGGTTTGGAGAACTGAGATGTTATCTGGTTTGTTTATATTAACAAATACCTATTCTCAAATCACAGATGATAGACTTAAATTTTTGAAAATGAGTATACAAAGGCCAGGCATGGTGGCTCGCATCTGTAATCCCAGCGCTTTGGGAGGCCCAGACACGAGGATTGCTTGAGGACAGAAGTTCAAGAACAGCCTGGGCAACATGGCAGGGCCTCATCTCTATGAAAAATACAAAAATCAGCCAGGGATGGTGGCACACACCTGTAGTCTCAGCTACTCAGGAAGCTGAAGCAGGAGGATCCCTCAAGCAGTGAGGTTACAACGAACTATGATTCACCACTGCACTACAGCCTACGTGACAGAGTAAGACCCTGTCTCTATTTTTTAAAAAAAGAATTACTATATAAGGCTAAATAAGTATAAACACATACAAAGAATTAGTATCTAAGATTAAATAAGTGTAAGCACACAGACAAACTTATGTGGAAGTAACATGTTTGGCAGAATTCATCTATCAATTAGGAAGATAGTAAAAAGACAGAATTCATCTATCAATTACGAAAGTAGTAAAAAGGTCTTCATGACTAATATGCTGTACTCAATACAGTCTCCTAGGCCATCATTCAGGGACTAAAAATTTTAAATGATGAAAAAAATTAAAGACTATAGTATAGTACATAGAAGATTCTGTTTTTCTTGTCAACTGTGTTGACAGGCTGTGCATGTGCATTGGGCAAGTCACTTAATTTTTCTGGACCTCAATTTCTAGCCACCCTCTGAAATCCTAAGACAGTATTCTTATTTTTTAAGATAATTTTTACAACCTTGGTTATGAAGTTTTCTAAGCAATAGCAGATCAGAAATAGTCAAAGAGAGCAGGGAGAAGTGTAGCAGGAAGCAAGCCATTGATAATATACTAAGCGGAAGGTAACAAAGAAGATGACTGAAAATTTTTAACAATCAGATCCAGGAACCCTCACAGTAACCTGGGTCCATTAGGAATAGAAGAACATACCTCTTCTATCTATGGATAATTCAAAGGTCTTATTTCTCTTCTGGCACTTCAATTTTGCTTTGGTCATTTTACTGAACTGGAGGATGAAGAAAAACAAACAAGACATGAAACTATGCCCCTAAAGAGTTAAAGACACCAATGACTAACAAATGGTTTGCAGGATGGCAGATAAAAAAATAAACAACTTGCTGAAATGCCGAAACTCTCTCTACTTATAAGATAAAACTGGCTGAAATCAGTTGAAACCAATATGGCCAACTGGAGTTTGCACAGAAATAACTTGCGGACATCACGGTGTTCATTTCTACCAGATGTTTCATACTAACTCTCCCCCAATTTGCACATGGGACCCATGAGGAGGCATGAAGAGGTAACTGTGCATGCCTGAGGACTTTACCAGACCTCCCCTTTCCTTTCACCAATCACCTGCTAATCTCAGCATCTACCCCTCAACCTTTTCTTATAAAATTACTGCCTTAAAGTCAGCATGAGGAAACACATTTGAGCTGGACTCCTGCCTCCTTGTTAGTCAACTTGCAATATAAAGCTTTTCTTTTCTCAAAACTTGGTGTCACAGCATTGGTCTCTAGTGCATTGGGCAGCAAGCCCCCTTCTCTTTGGCTGAATAACACACACAAGTAAAATGTAACACATTCAAGTGTTGACAGTTAAAGCAAAACACAACACAATTTGTGAGCTTTACATTCTACTTAAGACAAAGTAAAGAGAAAGAGAGAGAGTCCTTTGAGTATATCTGTAAATAATACACTATTTTACAGTTCTAATATTTCATAGTAGGCAATAAGACAAATTGATTTACACAAAAGCCAGTTTCTATAGTTCCAAATGGATGCAGATGGGAAAAAATACTAGATGTGGTCTCATACAATCTCGGTTTGAGTCCCAACTTTACCCAAAAGCAGCAAATAGAAGACAGAAGGCAATAGTCTTTCCTAACTCAACTCTTAATTGAAGATAATAATGCTTATCCTTACAAAATTGAAAGGACCTAATGAACTAACATCTGGGAAGTGCTTTATAAGTCTGTAAAAGCCTTTCATAAACTAATGTCTCATGTACACATCTTATGAATCTCCAAAACTGTCCCCTCTTACAGTGAATAACTGGAGATCAACTGCATATGTATGAATAAGCTATAAAATCTAGTGAGTTCCTCTGACCAACACTCAACTCACTCAAAGGCAAAAGCAGCAAGATCATCCAGTTAGGTCAAACTACTGATTTCAGGTAGGATAGAATCATCTGTGGCAGACCAACTCACCTATCAAAACTATCCTCCACAGCCTGGGCACCATCAAGTGACCTTGTCTCTACAAAAAGTAAATGAACAAATAAACAAAAAATCAGCCAGGCATGGTGGCATGTGCCTGTGGTCCCTGCTACTCAGGGGGCTAAAGTGAGAGGATTGCTTAAGCCCAGTAGTTCAAGGCTGCAGTGAGATATGATCACACCACTGCATTCCAGCCTGGGCAATAGAGTAAGACCCTATCTAAAAAACAAAACAGGGCCTGGCAAGGTAGCACACGCTTGTAATCCCAGCAGTTTGGGAGGCTGAGGCGGGCAGATCACTTGAAGTCAGGATTTCAAGACCAGCCTGGCCAACATGGTAAAACCCCGTCTCTACTAAAAATACAAAAATTAGCCAGGCGTAGTGGCACGTGCCTGTAGTCCCAGCTACTTGGGAGCCTGAGGCAGGAGAATCACTTGAACCTGGCAGGCGGAGGTTGCAGTGAGCCAAAATGTGCCGCTGCACTCCAGCCTGGGTGACAGGGCAAGACTCTATCTCGAACAAAACAAAACAAAACAAATTCCTCCAAAAATCCAAATAATATATATGTTAAAACTATGTTGAGGCAAGGGGCAGTGGCTCATGCCTATAATCCAGGGATTTGGGAGGCCAAGGCGAGAGGATAGCTTGAGGCCAGGAATCCAGGACCAACCTGCACAACATAGCAAGATCCTATCTCTACCAAAAAAAAAAAATTAAAAAAAATTAACTGGGCATGGTAGTGTACACCCGCAGTCCCAGCTATTAGGAGGCCAAGGCGAGAGAATCACTTAAGCCCAGGACTTTGAGGTTATGATGAGCCGTGACCAAGCCTCTGCACTTCAGTCTGGGTGACAGAGGGAGACCCTATCTCTTACATTAAAAAAAAAGCCTATCTGTGTAAAGGTGTTAGAAAGAGCTGATTAAGCAGCTACGATTAGAAAAGCCAAGATTGCAGAGAGGAGAAAACAAAAGAGCTGAGCAGATATTCTGCTGCTCCTCTTTCTCTTGGGGCATTGCTGATTCTGGGAAAAGGTCAAGAGGCTGAGAATCCATCTAGGCTCTCCCCCAGCCGTAAGATTGCTTCTGGAAAACATAAAACAAGCAGAGCTTTGGTTGTCTCTTGGGGATAGTAAGACAAAATTAGAAACTTGAGGGGCCAAGATCCCAGAGAGTAGAGAGAGGTAAAGAACAAAGCCTGACATACAGCCAGCTTTTCCCTCAAGATATCTGTCAAATTGTGCAGGATAGGAGGCTGAGCAGGAAATCTTTGAAAAGCAAGACATTTTTAGCAGCCTCAGAATGCTGAGGAGACGGGAATTGGAATTCAGAACCCATTAGGGCTAGAGCCCTGGTGAACACCCAGAGCTCTTTATGGAAAGCTCTACAAGCTAGTCCTTAGCTCAAGGCTCTGATTGGATTAAAATGATCCACCCAACACTCTGCCTAGTAGAAGGAAAAAAGTGGACTTCTCTAGAAGATAACACTGTCTGTAACTCCAGAGCTTTTATACACAATGTCTATATTTCTGTAAGATATGCCAAGAAAGAGAATAATATGACAGACAACTATGAGCAAAAAACAAACAAGAGAATCACAGGTAACTAAAAAAGTAGAGTTAGTAAATAAGAACTTTCATAGTACCATGATTAATACGTTTAAGAAAACGGAGAGGCTGGGTGCGGTGGCTCACGCCTGTAATCCCAACACTTTGGGAGGCCGAGATAGGTGGATTACCAGAGTCAGGAGTTTGAGACCAGCCTGGCCAACATGATGAAACCCTGTCTCTACTAAAAATACGAAAAATTAGCTGGGCGTGGTGGCAAGCACCTGTAATCCCAGCTACTCAGGAGGCTGAGGCAGGAGAATCTCTTGGACCCAGGAGGTGGAGGTTGCAGTGAGCCAAGATCGTGCCATTGCACTCCAGCCTGGGCAACAAGTGCGAAACTCCGTCTCAAAAAAAAAAAAAAAACTGAGACACAGAAAATACTGAGAGAAAGACTGAAAATTGCAGTAGAGGATTAAAATTGTAAATAATAGAACTGAAAAACAACTACTGAAATTTGAACTCAATAGATGGGTTTAACAACAGATTAGTGATGAACTAAAAAGCAGGTCAATGGACAATAATGAACTGAAGCACAGCAAGAATAAAATACTAAAAAAGGTATGAAGTACCAATACACACTACCATATGGACAAACCTGAAAAACAATCTAAGTAAAAAAAACCAGGTACAAAAGCCCAGATATTGTATGATTATATTTATGTAAAAAGTCCAGAATAGGCAAATCCACAGAGACAGAAAGTAGATTAGTGGTTGTCAGAGGCTGGAAGGTAAAGGCAGGGGAGAGGGAGAATGGAGAGTGATCGTTAATGGGTAAAGGGTTTCTTTTTGGAATGATAAAAATCTTCTGGAATTAGATAGTGGTGATGCATGCAAAACTCCATGAATACATAAAAAAATCACTGAAGTATGTACTTTATAAGGGTAGACGTTATGGTATGTGAATTATATCTGAACAAAGCTGTTATTGAAAAAAAGTAAAACAAAACCCAATATGTGACTTGCAAGAGATATACTTTAAATATAAAGACACAGAGAGATCAAAAGTGAAAAAATAGCAAAAGATGTAACATGTAAACACAAACCAAAAGAAAGCTGGCACAGCTACATCAGTATCAAACTTTAACAAAAGCAGCATTACTAGGCAGACATTCATAGTCAGAGCAATAATTTAATAGAAATAATTAAGAATAGTAATAATAGTCACAGTGATAATAGTATTTCAGAATAATTCTATAAGTTAACTCAGCAAAAGGATATCACAATTCTAAATCTATATACATCCATATGATAAATTAAGTTATTAAACAAATGGGGGTAGGGCTGGACCAAGATCTCCCATACTCACTCTGGGCAGTCATGGGGATCCACTACTGAGGCCTTAACTAGTCAGAGCTCTAGTCTGCTCTCTCAGGCTTTCAAAGGGATGTCAAGGGAGGTGGAGACGAGGAAAAAACCAGTATCTGAGAGCGTTCCATGTGCTTGGCCCTTTTTATATATTGTCTCAACAAGCCTCAAAATAGCCCAGTGAGAGAGATGCATCATCATTTCAATTTTATAAACAAGGACACAGACTCTCAGAAAGATTAAGTTATTTTTTCATGCACACACAGTTAGCAAAGAACACAGTAGAGCCTGACTCCAGAATCTAAATAGCTTAAGATCTTTAAAAGTCAGGTCCTAAAGAAATCCCATAGAAAACAGGTATGTTTTAATGTTAATAATAATAGCAGTGGCAATAATAATACGTTTTATAAAATGCTTAATAAATGCCAAGCACAGTACTAAGAGCTTCACATTAATAATCTCATATTTTTCTTCCTTTTCCTCCTTTCAATCCCTTTTCCTCCTTTCAATCCCTTTTCCTCCTTTCTCCCTTTTTTCTTCCGCCCCCTTAAAACTTACATGAAGGCAAAGTAGTACTTAGTAGGAAACCCTGGAGGAGGAAGACTGTGAAAAGGCAAATTCTGAGTAACTCACGATTTTACCAAAATTTACTTCTATTAAAAACTATTTTTAATAGTCTGTTTGAATTTTTTAAAAGTCATTTTTTGAAGGGTGATGAGTGAACATAAGTAGGTAATTACGCTCAAAAAATTAACGATCCCAGCACTTTGGGAGGCCAAGACGGGCAGATCACCAGGTCAGGAGATCGAGACCATCCCGGCTAACACGGTGAAACCCTGTCTCTACCAAAAATACAAAAACAAATTGGCCGGGCATGGTGGCGGGCGCCTGTAGTCCCAGCTACTCGGGAGGCTGAGACAGGAGAATGGCGTGAACCCAGGAGGCGGAGCTTGCAGTGAGCCGAGATCGCGCCACTGCACTCCAGCCTGGGCGACAGAGCCAGAAGCCAGCTCAAAAAAAAAAAAAAAAAAATATTCAACGGTATCCAGACAGGCACAATGGCTCATGCCTGTAATCCCAGCACTTTGGGAGGCTAAGGTGGGAGAATCACTTGAGCTCAGGAGTTCAAGACAATCCTTGGCGAAATGGTGAAAACCTGTCTCTACCAAAAATACAAAAAAAGTATTTAAAAAAATTAATGGTATCAAACAAATATATGCAAAATGTCACCCTCACAACAAATCAAAGAAATACAAATTGACAAAGAAACCATTATTTACCTCATAAAAATAGGAAGTTTTTAAAATTATAAATTCCAGCATTGTCAAATGCACAGTAAAACAGGCACTCTCATATGTTGGTGATGAAAATATAAATTCATGTATATACTTTTGGAGGGCAATTTGGAATTACATATCATTGACCACAAAAATCATACTATTCTTTAACCATGTAATTCTAATTCTAGGTAAGAAATAATCACAGGCAAAGATTCATGCAATAATGAATTATTCAAAATCATATTTTGTTAATTTCAATAACCATAAAATGTGTTCAAGACTTATTATTGATAGAAAAAAAGTTCATTGGGCTTACTGCTGGGGTTATATGAATTGTGATTTTTCTTCATACTTAGTATATCTTTAAAATGATCTATAACTAAAATGTGCCATTATTAAAAATTTCTTTTAATCCAAAGTTTGGGGGTTTTATTGTGTGTGTGAAACGGGTCTCACTCTGTCACCGAGGCTGGAGTGCAGCGGTGCAATCATGGCTCACTGTATGTACCTCGACCTCCCAGGTTCAACTAATCCTCCCACCTCAGCCTCTCGAGTAGCTAGGACCACAGGTGCACATTACCACATCTGGCTAACTTTTATATTATTTTATGGAGACAGGTTTTCACCATGTCGCCCAGGCTAGTCTCAAACACCTGAGCTCAAATGGATCCCTCTGCCTCCGCTTCTCAAAGTGCTGGGATTACAGGTGTGAGCCACCTCATCCAGCCTCCTAAGTTTTGTTTTCATTAGTTATTCCCTAGTACAAATCTTTCAGGCAGAAACAATCAGGTCTTTTTAAACTAGATGACTGAAATTAAGATCACTCTAGGGAAAGGTGAAAATTTTTAAACTTAAGAGAACTTCATTTTTTCTTTTATAAATAAGTTTGTTTAAATAGCCTGGTTATCTATACTCCATGAGGCTTCCTAAAAATAGGACATAAGTACTACAAAATGGAGTCTGTGCAGGTGCCACAAATATAATAAAATTCATTCTTGTATTCTGAAAATTAAACCCTATGGGAACATGAAAAAAGTCTGAAAACTAACAAAATTCGTATTTAAGAATCAACTGACCTATTAAAAACCTAAAAGCACTGTTATTTAGTAACTCCATAAGTAACAGGACTTAAAACAATTTGTATGGCTTTTTAGATGGAAATAAATCCATTTTAACAAACAAACACTATAGTATCTACTATTTTCCAAGTATCATATGAATTCATCACAAAAATGAGATGGCACACCATTTCTGCACTTAAAGAACTAGAATTCTAGAATTCTAATGAACAAGTCAAAACAATTATAGTAATGCTATCAACAAAGTTGTGCTTAGTACCATGTCTGTAAGTACGGGACGGGGCTGTGGAGTGGGAAACATTTGCAATCAAATACTAGCTCTGCTGTATGTCTTAATAAAATAAGAACCTCTTCAAACTTCAATATTCTCATCTATAAAACTACTAACAATAATAAGTATCTAGTCTTAAAGCTGAAATAAGACAAACTATCTCATTTGATGTATAAATGTTCAATATTTCTTAGATATAATTATTCTAACAACATCTTTCACAGCTTTAAATTTTTTTCGATAATAAAATGCAGTTTCCACTTCCCATAATGGTACAGTAGCTTACAAAGACCTTCCCAAGGATAAACATTACAAATTCTGAACAAAGTATTAAAAAATAACTATTTGAAGGCAAAGAATAACCAAAATCAGACAGAAAACAGAAGTGTCAAATCTTGAAAGAAGAGAAATGCAGTGGGCAAGAATAGCATGTATACAGCTATTTGAGAACACACCCAGTCCATACAGTGTAGGACAGCTAGAACCTAAGTAGAACGCCCACAGTCTTACAGGCCTGAGGAGTTAGAGCATGAAGGGTCTGTTCCAAACCCACCCTTCAATATCTGCTCTGAAATCCTCTATACAATGAATATGATATTGAGCTTTCTTCATAGAGGATGCTGAAGGATCACTACAGGAGAGAGGAAGAAGCTAATCTGTTTTTTTGTTTGTTTGTTTTTTTATTTTAATTTTTTTTTGAGATGGAGTCTTGCTCTGTTGCCCAGGTTGGAGTGCAATGGTACCACCTCGGCTCACTGCAACCTCCGCCTCCCAGGTACAAGTGATTCTCCTGCCTCAGCCTCCCAAGTAGTTGGGATTACAAGCACTTGCCACCATGCCTGGCTAATTTTTGTATTTTTTAGTAGAGATAGGGTTTCACCATGTTGGTCAGACTGTTCTTGAGCTCCTGACCTCAGGTGATCCACCCGCCTCAGCCTCCGAAACTGCTGAGATTACAGGCATGAGCCACTGCACCCAGCCTATTCTAGGTTTTCTACCTGTTGCACAGGGAATCAGTAGTGTAAATATGAGGACACCAGTGGCACTCTGCCCCAGCCAAGTGCTGAGAACATATAGTCTATCAGCAAATTCACAACTGCAGCTCAGCCTGATGATCACCTCCCTATGGCCCACTCAACACAGATACTGCACATTTCAGGATTCCTGCCCACACTGGTGCCCCAACTCCCTCTACTCACTCCCTCTCCCAAAAGTTTGTCTCCTTCAAACTTCCTGATGCCACAGCCATACCGAAATGAACACCACATACTCCAGGCTTCCTGCATGCATTAATGCCGCCTCTTCCTCTGCACTCCCATGTCAGTCATGAGTTGAAGTTTGCCTGTGCCCAAGAGAGTTGCTTCAAGCTTGCCTAGTTACTGCAAACCAGTTCTGGCCTATGCAAACCAGAAACTTCTCTGCCATCAAATGGGCTACAACTACATCTTCTCCAACAAGGTTTCAGACATTGGGGAAGGGGCACTCTTTCCTGGGTACTCTCCCTAAGCTTTAGGGTGCCCTAGAGAGTTCTCTTAAATGTTACAGATACACTTATATAATATACTAAATATTTTTTTGAGACAGGGTTTTGCTATGTTGCCCAGGCTGGAGTGCAGTGGCACAAACACAGCTCACTGCAGCCTTGACCTCCTGGGATCAAGTGATCCTCCCACCTCAACCTCTTGAGTAGCTGGGACTACAGGCACATGCCACCACATCCAGGTAAATTTATTTTTTGTAGAGATGGGGTCTCACCATGTTGCCCAGGCTGGTCTTGAACTCCTAGCCTCAAGTGATCCTCCCACCTTGACCTCCCAAGGTTTACAGGCATGAGCCGCCACCACCATGACATAGCAGGAGGCATCATACAGCAAGACAGAACAAGTGTGCATGTAAGCTCAGGTCTCTTTTCCTCTTCTCATAAAGCAAACAGCCCCATCATGGGAGGCCCCACCTTGATAACCTTATCTAATCCTAATTACAACATATGAATTTAGGATTGTATTTCCAACAAATGAAATTTGGGGGGCACATTCAAACCACAGCAATGGGGTAGAATGAAAAGCACAGGAAATGAGACATTTTTGAGTAAATATTTTTAAAATGATTATCTTTTCTTCAGTTTCATAAAGGACATATGAATGCTTAAGCCAAAAAATTAAAACACTCTTATGGAGTTTATAATTATGATGTAATATATATGACAGTAATACCACAAAGGATAAGGGGTGGTAAATGAAACAATACTGTTGCAAAGTTCTTATCTTTTACTTGAAGTGGTTCCATATTACTTCTCAGTAGATCGTTAAGGATGCATATAGTAATCCCTTGAATAGCTTTTGCAAAGAAGTCAGCTTAAAAACCCAGTGTAGGCCAGGCACAGTGGCTCATGGCTATAATCCCAGAACTTTGGGAGGCCAAGATGGGTGAACCACTTGAGGTTAGGAGCTCTGGACCAGCCTGGACATGATAAAACCCCATCTCTAATAAAACTACAAAAAAAAAAAAAATTACCCGGGAATGGTGGCATGCACTTGTAGTCCGAGCTACTCGGGAGGCCAAGGCACGAGAACTGCTTGAACCCAGGAAGCGGAGGTTACAGTGAACTGAGATCACACCACTGCATTCCTGATTGGGCAACAGAGCAAGACCCTGTCTCATAAAAAAAAAAAAAAAAAAAGGAAAAGAAAAGAATGAAAACTGAGACAGATGAAGTAAAATTATATTTGCAAATAATAAGATTGAATTCCTGGAAAACACAAAGAAATTAACTGGAAGACTGTTTTTAAAGGCAGTAAAATTAATATGAAAAACAAATGGACTTCAGACATACAAACAACAACTATTTAGAAGACATAAAAGAATGGGGAGGTTCCAAGATTACCAAATAGGAACAACTCCAGTCTACAGCCCCCAGTGTGAGTGACACAGATGGGTGATTTCTGCATTTCCAACTGAGGTACCAGGTTCATCTCACTGGGGCTTGTCAGACAGTGGGTGCAGCCCACAGAGTGTGAGCCGAAGCAGGGCAGGGCATCGCCTCACCCGGGAAGCGCAAGGGGTTGGAGAATTCCCTTTCCTAGCCAAGGGAAGCCATGACAGACCGTACCTGGAAAATCGGGACACTCCCACCCTAATACTGTGCTTTTCCAATGGTCTTAGCAAATGGCACACCAGATTATATCCCATGCATGACTCAGATGGTCCCACGCCCACGGAGCCTCGCTCACTGCTAGCACAGCAGTCTGAGATCGAACTGCAAGGCAGCAGCGAGGCTGGGGGACGGGCGCCCACCATTGCTGAGGCTTGGGTAGGTAAACAAAGTGGCCTGGAAGCTCAAACTGGGTGGAGTCCACCACAGCTCAAAGAGGCCTGCTTGCCTCTGTAGACTCCACCTTTGAGGGCAGGGCATAGCTGAACAAAAGGCAGCAGAAACTTCTGCAGACTTAAACGTCCCTGTCTGACAGCTTTGAAGAGTGTAGTGGTTCTCCCAGCATGGAGTTTGAGATCTGAGAACAGACAGACTGCCTCAAGTGGGTTCCTAACCCCTGAGTAGCCTAACTGGGAGACACCTCCCAGTAGGGGCCAACTGACACCTCATACAGCCAGGTGCCCCTACGAGACGAAGCTTCCAGAGGAAGGATCAGGCAGCAACATTTGCCATTCTGCAATATTTGCTGTTCTGCAGCCTCTCCTGGTGACACTCAGGCAAACAGGGTCTGGAGTGGACTCCAGCAAACTCCAGCAGACCTTCAGCTGAGGGTCCTGACTGTTAGAAGGAAAACTAACACACAGAAAGGACATCCACACCAAAACCCCATCTGCACATCACCATCATCAAAGACTAAAGGTAGATAAAACCACAAAAATGGGGAAAAACCAGAGCAGAAAAGCTTCAAATTCTAAAAATAAGAGCACCTCTTCTCCTCCAAAGGAACGAAGCTCCTCGCCAGCAACGGAACAAAGCTGAACAGAGAATGACTTCGACGGTTGAGAGAAGAAGGCTTCAGATGATCGGTAGTAACAAACTTCTCCGAGCTAAAGGAGGATGTTCGAAACCACTGCAAAGAAGCTAAAAACCTTGAAAAAAGATTGGATGAATGGCTAACTAGAATAAACAGCGTAGAGAAGATGTTAAATGACCTGATGGAGCTGAAAACCATGGCATGAGAACTACGTGACACATGCACAAGCTTCAGCAGCCGATTCGATCAAGTGGAAGAAAGGGTATCAGTGATTGAAGATCAAATGAATGAAATGAAGCGAGAAGACAAGTTTAGAGAAAAAAGAGTGAAAAGAAATGAACAGAGCCTCCAAGAAATATGGGACTATGTGAAAAGACCAAATCTACGTCTGATTGGTGTACTTGAAAGTCATGGGGAGAATGGAACCAAGTTGGAAAACACTCTCAGGATATTATCCAGGAGAACTTCCCCAACCTAGCAAGGCAGGCCAACATTCAAATTCAGGAAATACAGAGAACGCCACAAAGATACTCCTCCAGAAGAGCAACTCTAAGACACGTAATTGTCAGATTCACCAAAGTTGAAATGAAGGAAAAAATATTAAGGGCAGCCAGAGAGAAAGGTCGGGTTGCCCACAAAGGGAAGCCCATCAGACTAACAGCAGATGTCTCGGCAGAAACTCTACAAGCCAGAAGAGAGTGGGGGCCAATATTCAACATTCTTAAAGAAAAGAATTTTCAACCAAGAATTTCATACCCAGCCAAACTAAGCTTCATAAGTGAAGGAGAAATAAAATCCTTTACAGACAAGCAAATGCTGAGAGATTTTGTCACCACCAGGCCTGCCTTACAAAGCTCCTGGAGGAAGCACTAAACATGGAAAGGAACAACCGGTACCAGCCACTGCAAAAACATGCCAAACTGTAAAGACCATTGATGCTAGGAAGAAACTGCATCAACTAATGAGCAAAATAACCAGCTGACATCATAATGACAGGATCAAATTCACACATAACAATATTAACCTTAAATGTAAATGGACTAAATGCTCCAATTAAAAGACACAGACTGGCAAACTGGATGAAGAGTCAAGACCCATCAGTGTGCTATATTCAGGAGACCCAGCTCACCTGCAGAGACACACATAGGCTCAAAATAAAGGAATGGAGGAAGATCTACCAAGCAAATGGAAAACAACAAAAAGCAGGAGTTGCAATCCTAGCCTCTGATAAAACAGACTTTAAATAAACAAAGATCAAAAGACACAAAGAAGGCCATTACATAATGGTAAAGGGATCAATTCAACAAGAAGAGCTAACTATCCTAAATATATATGCACTCAATACAGGAGTACCCAAATTCATAAAGCAAGTCCTTAGAGACCTACAAAGAGACTTAGACTCCCACACAATAATAATGGGAGATTTTAACACCCCACTGTCAACATTAAACAGATCAATGAGACAGAAAGTTAAAAAGGACATCCAGGAATTGAACTCAGCTCAGCACCAAGCGGATCTAATAGACATCTACAGAACTCTCCACCCCAAATCAACAGAATATACATTCTTCTCAGCACCACATCACACTTATTCCAAAATTGACCACATAGTTGGAAGTAAAGCACTCCCCAGCAAATGTAAAAGAACAGAAATTATAACAAATTGTCTCTCAGACCACAGTGCAATCAAACTAGAACTCAGGATTAAGAAACTCACTCGAAACCACTCAACTACATGGAAACTGAACAACCTGCTCCTGAATGACTACTGGGTACATAACGAAATGAAGGCAGAAGTAAAGATGTTCTTTGAAACCAATGAGAACAAAGACACAACATGCCAGAATCTCTGGGACACATTTAAAGCAGTGTGTAGAGGGAAATTTATAGCACTAAATGCCCACAAGAGAAAGCAGGAAAGATCTAAAATTGACACCCTAACATCACAATTAAAAGAACTTGAGAAGCAAGAGCAAACACGTGCAAAAGCTAGCAGAAGGCAAGAAATAACTAAGATCAGAGCAGAACTGAAGGAGACAGAGACACAAAAAACCCTTCAAAAAATCAAATGGAGGAGGTGGTTTTCTGAAAAGATCAACAAAATTGATAGACCACTAGCAAGACTAATAGAGAAGAAAAGAGAGAAGAATCAAATAGACACAATAAAAAATGATAAAGGGGATACCACCACCGATCCCACGGAAATACAAACTACCATCAGAGAATATTATAAACACCTCTATGCAAATAAACTAAAAAGTCTAGAAGAAATAGATAAATTCCTGGACACATACACCCTCCCAAGACTAAACCAGGAAGAAGGTGAATCCCTGAATACACCAATAACATGCTCTGAAATTGAGGCAATAATTAATAGCTTACCAACCAAAAAAAGTCCAGGACCAGACAGATTCACAGCCGAATTCTACCAGTGGTACAAAGAGGAGCTGGTACCATTCCTTCTGAAACTATTCCAATCAAAAGAAAAAGAGGCAATCCTCCCTAACTCATTTTATGAGGCCAGCATCACCCTGATACCAAAGCCTGGCAGAGACACAACAAAAAAAGAGAATTTTAGACCATTATCCGTGATGAACATCGATGCAAAAATCCTCAATAAAATATTGGCAAACCAAATCCAGCAGCATATCAAAAGGCTTATCCATCACAATCAAGTTGGCTTCATCCCTGGGATGCAAGGCTGGTTCAACATACACAAATCAATAAATGTAATCCAGCATATAAACAGAATCAAAGACAAAAGCCACATGATTATCTCAATAGATGCAGTAAAGGTCTTTGACAAAATTCAAGAGTGCTTCATGCTAAAAACTCTCAATAAACTAGGTATTGATGGGACGTATCTCAAAATCATAAGAGCTATTTATGACAACCCACAGCCAATGTCATACTGAATGGGCAAAAACTGGAAGCATTCCTTTTGAAAACTGGCACAAGACAGGGATGCCCTCTCTCACAACTCCTATTCGACATAGTGTTGGAAGTTCTGGCCAGGGCAATCAGGCAGGAGAAAGAAATAAAGGGTATTCGATTAGGAAAAGAAGAAGTCAAATTGTCCCTGTTTGTAGATGACATGGTTGTATATCTAGAAAACCCCATCATCTCAGCCCAAAATCTCCTTAAGCCGATAAGCAGCTTCAGCAAAGTCTCAGGATAAAAAAATCAATGTGCAAAAATCACAAGCATTCCTATACACCAATAACAGACAAACAGAGAGCCAAATCATGAGCGAACTCCCATTCACAATTGCTTCAAAGAGAATAAAATACCTAGGAATCCAGCTTACAAGGGATGTGAAGGGCCTCTTCAAGGAGAACTACAAATGACCACTCAATGAAATAAAAGAGGACACAAACAAATGGAAGAACATTCCATGCTCATGGATACGAAGAATCAATATCATGAAAATAGCCATACTGCTCAAGGTAATTTATAGATTCAATGCCATCCCCATCAAGCTACCAATGACTTTCTTCACAGAATTGGAAAAAAACTTCTTTAAAGCTCATATGGAACCAAAACAGAGCCTGCATTGCCAAGACAATCCTAAGCCAAAAGAATAAAGCTGGAGGCATCAAGCTACCTGACTTCAAACTATACTACAAGGCTACAGTAACCAAAACAGCATGGTGCTGGTACCAAAACAGAGATATAGATCAATGGAACAAAACAGAGCCCTCTGAAATAATACCACACATCTACAACCATCTGATCTTTGACAAACCTGACAAAAACAAGAAATGGGGAAAGGATTCCCTATTTAATAAATGGTGCTGGGAAAACGGACTAGCCATATGTAGAAAGCTGAAACTGGATCCCCTCCTTACCCCTTGTACAAAAATTAATTCAAGATGGATTAAAGACTTAAATGTTAGACCTAAAACCATAAAAACCCTAGAAGAAAACCTAGGCAATACCATTCAGGACATAGGTATGGGCAAGGACTTCATGACTAAAACACCAAAAGCAATGGCAACAAAAGCCAAAATTGACAAATGGGATCTAACTAAAGTAAAGAGCTTCTGCACAGCAAAAGAAAGTACCATCAGAGTAAACAGGCAACCTACAGAATGGGAGAAAATTTTTGCAATCTATCCATCTGACACAGGGCTAATATCCAGAATCTACAAAGAACTTAAAACAAATTTACAAGAAAAACATCAAACAACCCCATCAAAAAGTGGGTGAAGGATATGAACAGACACTTCTCAAAAGAAGACATTTATGCAGCCAAAAGACACATGAAAAAATGCTTATCATCACTGGCCATCAGAGAAATGCAAATAAAAACCACAATGAGATACCATCTCACACCAGTTAGAATGGCGATCATTAAAAAGTCAGGAAACAACAGGTGCTGGACAGGATGTGGAGAAATAGGAACACTTTTACACTGTTGGTGGGACTGTAAACTAGTTCAACCATTGTGGAAGACAGTGTGGCGATTCCTCAAGGATTTAGAACTAGAAATACGATTTGAACCAGCCATCCCATTACTGAGTATATACCCAAAGGATTATAAATCATGCTGCTATAATGACACATGCACACGTATGTTTACTGTGGCACTATTCACAATAGCAAAGACTTGGAACCAACCCAAATGTCCATCAATGATAGACTTGATTAAGAAAATGTGGCACATATACAGCATGGAATGCTAGGCAGCCATAAAAAAGATGAGTTCATGTCCTTTGTAGGGACATGGATGAAGCTGGAAACCATCATTCTGAGCAAACTATCGCAAGGAAAGAAAACCAAACACCACATGTTCTCACTAATAGGTGGGAATTGAACAATGAGAACACTTGGACACAGGATGAGGAACATCACACACCGGGACGTGTTGTGGGGTTGGGGGAGGGGGCAGGGGTAGTATGAGGAGATATACCTAATGTAAATGAGTTAATGGGTGCAGCACACCAACATGGCACATGTATACATATGTAACAAACCTGCACATTGTACACATGTGTACACCCTAGAACTTCAAGTATAATAATAATAAAAAAAAGAAAGATGACGGCTCTAGGAATACAATGGTTACTGTCCCTTAATAAAATCTGTTGCCAAGTATATTTAAAAAAAAGGAATTTGGGAATTATTATGACTCATGACTTTACAGTTGGTTGATTTAGGCAACCATATAGCTTTTGTTTCACTTATTTAATTTAAATCTAATTTATGGACTTGTAAGGGCATAAATATTAATTTTACAGCTTGATTTTGACACAAAGCAAGATATTGAACATTGACAACACCACAGAGGCCTACTTTGTGCTCCTGTCCCTGTTGTTACTTCCTCCAAAGGTAACCACAGCACAGATTCTTAGTACTATAAATTAATGTTGCCTGTTTTTGAATTTTATTTAAATGAGATTACATAGTATACTTTTTGTTGCTAAATTTTATACCTTTGAGATTCATTAATGTTTTTATAGATAGATAAAGTTTTCTTCATTGCTAAATTGTGTTCCATTATACATATATACCACAATGTATCTATTCTATTGTTAATGGGTCATATGGTTTGGCTCTGTGTCCCTACCAAAATCTCATGTCAAATTGTATCCCCAGTGTTGGAGGAGGGGCCTGGTGGGAGGTGACTGAACCACGGGGATGGACTTCCCCCTTGCCAATCTTGTGATGGACTTCTCACAAGATCTGGTTGTTTGAAAGTGTGTAGCACCTCCCACTTCACTCCCTCTCTCTCCTCCTGGCCATGTGAAGACTGTGCCTGCTTCCCCTTTGCCTTCAACCATGATTGTAAGTTTCCTGAGGTCTCCCCAGGAGCAGAAGCCTATACAGCCTGCAGAAGGGCAAGCTGATTAAATCTCTTTTCTTTATAAATTAAAAAAAAGACCTAGGCCAGGCACGGTGGCTCACCCTTGTAATCCCAGCACTTTGGGAGGCCGAGGCGGGCAGA
Organism: Homo sapiens; assembly: GCF_000001405.40. Classification (NCBI taxonomy): domain Eukaryota; kingdom Metazoa; phylum Chordata; class Mammalia; order Primates; family Hominidae; genus Homo; species Homo sapiens. Next base: position 28,535,989 of record NC_000022.11, read on the forward strand.
TCACGAGGTCAGGAAATCAAGACCACGGTGAAACCCCGTCTCTACTAGAAATACAAAAAATTAGCTTGGCTTGGTGGCGGGCCCCTGTAGTCCCAGCTACTAGGAGAGGCTGAGGCAGGAGAATGGCGGGAACCCGGGAGGCGGAGCTTGCAGTGAGCCGAGATCACGCCACTGCACTCCAGCCTGGGCGACAGAGCGAGACACCGTCTCAAAAAAAAAAAAAAAAAAAAAACATAAAAATAATAAATTATCCCCTTTATAGTAACAACAAAAAAAGATTAATAATCTAAGAATAAAGTTGGCAAAAAAAGTACAAGATCTATATGATAAAATCTTTTTAAACTACTTAGAGGCGGCCGGGCGCGGTGGCTCACGCCTGTAATCCCAGCACTTTGGGAGGCCGAGGCGGGCGGATCACGAGGTCAGGAGATCGAGACCATCCTGGCTAACACGGTGAAACCCCGTCTCTACTAAAAATACAAAAAATTAGCCAGACGTGGTGGCAGGCGCCTGTAGTCCCGGCTACTCGCGAGGCTGAGGCAGGAGAATGGCGTGAACCCGGGAGGCGGAGCTTGCAGTGAGCCGAGATTGCGCCACTGCACTCCAGCCTGGGCGACAGAGCGAGACTCCGTCTCAAAAAAAAATAAAAATAAAAAAACACTACTGAGAAGCACTGAATAAATGTAATAGTCTGTCCTTTCTTGGACGGAAAGACTGAATGCCATGAAGGTGTCAATTCTCTGATCTATGACTTATTGTTTTACAAATGTAATGCAATCCCAACAAAACACCAATAGAATTTTTTAATTAGGCAATTGGATTTCAAAGTTAACAACAAAAAACATGTAACACTGGGAAGATACTAGAAAAGAGAAATGGTAGAGTACTAGCCCAACTCAGATATCAATTTATAGTTACATATTGTAACTATATTATGTATAATTTAATATATTAACATTATAATATGTATTATATAATGTAGCATAATTATAAGTACGGTTATGATGTAAGAATAGACAAATTGGCCGGGCGCGGTGGCTCACGCCTGTAATCCCAGCACTTCGGGAGGCCGAGGCAGGCGGATCACGAGGTCAGGAGATCGAGACCATCCTGGCTAACATGGTGAAACCCCGTCTCTATTAAAAATATAAAAAATTAGCCGGGCGTGGTGGCGGGTGCCTGTAGTCCCAGCTACTCGGGAGGCCGAGGCAGGAGAATGGCGTGAACCTGGAAGGCAGAGCTTGCAGTGAGTCGAGATTGCGCCACTGCACTCCAGCCTGGGCGACAGAGCCAGACTCCGTCTCAAAAATAAAATAAAATAAAATAAAATAAAATAAAATAAAATAAAATAAAAACAAGAATAGGCAAATCAATGAAAAAGAAGAGGAAGCCCAAATATGACACAAAGACATATGAGAATTTAGAATACGATATTGTTTCTCAGTAGGGAAAAGATGAATGGGTAGCCATCTTAGAAAAAAGTGAAGATAGATCCTCTCATAACAAAAAAAATTCCAGATTGATCAAAACTTTAAATACAAAAGTAAACATTTTTAAATCTTGGAGTAGGGAGAGGCTGTCAAAGAATGAAGGAAAGACCAAGAAGCGTAAAAGATTGATAGATCAAAATGTATAAAAATTGAAATTTTGTACATGTTTACAAAAATAGCATAAAAATCTAAAGTAAATTTAAATTTTACAAGGAAATATATTCGTTATATCATTAAATTTAACAGCAAAAGCTGGTTAACACTCTATTAACAAAGAACTGTTAAACTACAATACATCTATATGTTCGCTATCAGACAGCTAATAAACTAGGGTAGTTCTCTATAAATACACATAGAAAGAAATTAAGACAAAGAAGCTGTGCGCAGTGTACACTTTGTTGCCCAGCTATGGGAGGCTGAGGTGGAAGGATCCCTTGAGCTCAGGAGTTTGAGACCAAACTGGGTAATATAGCAAGACACCATCTCTTAAAAGAAAAAAAAAGATATAGAAGGAAAGAAGGACATAGGACAGAATAATGTATACAATATGCTATTCAGTATGTGTGTCATTGCATACATATCTAATTTTAATATTTATAGGTATATCTCTTTTAGATTATTTTAAGAGAGAGTGCCTCGCTCTGTTGCCAGGCTAGAGTACAGTGGCATGATCACAGCTCACTGAAGCCTCAACCTCCCAGGCTCAAGTGATCCTCCAGCCTCAGCTTCCTGAATAGCTGGGATTACAAACACATGCCACCAAGCCTGGCTAATTTTTTTTATATTTTGTAGAGACCTAGGGTCTTGCTATGTTGCCCAGGCTGGTCTCGAACTCCTTGACTCAAGTGGTCCTACCATCTCGGCCTCCCAAAGTGCTGGGATTACAGGCATGAACCACTGTGCCTGGCCTATAGGTATATCTTTATATGGATAGACTATCTGTGATAGTATAAATAAGAAACTGGTAATGCGTGTTGCCTTTGAGAAGGAATTCTGAAGAAAAACCAGATTGCTGAAAGTTGGGTGTGGTGATAAGAAGATAAACATATTTCACTGAATTCCCTTTAGCACCTTTCTCTTTTTTTTTTTTTTTTTTTTTGAGACAGAGTCTCTCTCTGTCGCCTAGGCTGAAGTGCAGTGGCACAATCTCAGCTCACTGCAACCTCGGCCTCCCAAGTTCAAGCAATTCTCTTGCCTCAGCCTCTTGAGTAGCTGGGATTACAGGCGTGCGCCACCACGTCCAGCTAATTTTTTTGTATTTTTAGTAGAGACAGGGTTTCACCATTTTGGTCAGGCTGGTCTCGAACTCCTGACCTCAAATGATCCACCTGCCTCGGCCTCCCAAAGTGCTGGGATTACAAGCATGAGCCACTGTGCCCAGCCAAGTACCTTTTTTATTTGGAACTATGTGCATGCTTTACATAATCAAAAAGTGAATATTTTAAAGAACTTGTGTGAACTTTTTTTTGACTACCTGCTTGTCTGCTCAGTGGGTGCAAATAACTGAGGTAGATTCACCCCAATATATTATGGACTGTCTACTGTGAGACTATGTGAAAGGAAGGTCAACTTGCCAGATAGACTGCCTGTTGACAGGCCCAGACTTCAGTCCTGCCTGAGGTCAAGTTCTGCAGAAGGTGGTAAATTTGATTGTGAACATACTAAATTTGATGCAACATCAGATTGTCCTAGTGGAAATGTCTGGCAGGAAGTTAGGAATTGAGGACTGGAGCTCGGCAAGGAGAGGAAGGCGGGGGCTGACAGGCTGGGGGGTAGATTTGAACTGGATGAGCTTACAGGTGCTGAAATGTAGAGGTTGCTAGGAGATAAAGTGTCAGGAATAGATTCTTGAGGAACACCTACATGGGTGGAGAGGCCAGGAGCAGTGGCTCAAACTTGTAATCCCAACACTTTGGGAGGCCAAGGTGGGTGGATCGCTGGAGCCCAGGGGTTCCAGACCAGCCTGAGCAACATGGTGAAAACCCATCTCTATAAAAATATACAAAACTTAGCCAGGCGTTGTGGCATGCACCTGTACCCCCAGCTACTTGGGAGGCTGAGGCGTGAGGATTGCTTGAGCCTGGGAGGCTGAGGCTGCAGTGAACCGTGATTGAGCCACTGCACATCAGCCTGGGCAACAGAGTGAGACACTGTCTCAAAAAAAAAAAGGAAAGAAATAGACAGAGAAAGAGGAGATGGAAAGGACAGTCAAATGGGGAGAAGAATCAGAAAAGAACAAGCCACAAAGGCCCAGGGATAGAGTATCAAGAAGAAGGTGGTCGACAGTGTCAGACCTTGCATCAGGACAAGAGGGCTGTGTGAGGCCGTTCTTGTGTTGTTATAAAGAAACACCCGAGACTAGGTAATTTATAATAAAAGAAGCGTGACTGGCTTGTGGCTCTGCAGCCTGTATAGGAAGCATGGCACCAGCATCTACTTCTGGGGAGGCCTCAGGAAGCTTTTTTTTTTTTTTTTTTTTTTTCTGAGACAGGGTCTCACTCTGTCGCCCAGGCTGGAGTGCAGTGGCACGATCTCGGCTCACTGCAAGTTCCGCCTCCTGGGTTCACGCCATTCTCCTGCCTCAGCCTCCGAGTAGCTGGGACTAAAGGCACCCGCCACCACGCCCAGCTAATTTTTTTGTGTTTTCTTAGTAGAGACGGGGTTTCATCGTATTAGCCAGGATGGTCTCTATCTCCTGACCTCATGATCCGCCCATTTCGGCCTCCCAAAGTGCTGGGATTACAGGTGTGAGCCACTGCGCCTGGCCCAGGAAGCTTTACAATCGTGGTAGAAGGCAAAGTGGGAACAGGCACATCACATGGTGAAAGCAGAAGCAAGAGAGAGAGAGTTGGGTCTGGAGGCAGATGTCACATATTTTTAAATGACCTGGTCTCACAAGAACTCCTTGGGTGAGAATTTTTAATGGGGATTAAGAATTTAAAATCTATATATTCAGTGTGCTTCTCCCTGCAGGAAGTTGTTTCTAAATGAGGTCCTATGCAAACTCACAGATAACATAACAGCATTTTACCATCTATTTGCATAAAACACTGTTAGAGTATACAATATTTATGAATAAATGCCCTTTGTACTATAAAATCTAATACTTTAATACTGTTTTCATCCTTGATTTATTATTTAAGTTGATCAAATTAGGAGCAAATTTTACCAGAGCCAAAACCCATATTTTTCATTTTAAACAATGTTTAACTAGCTTCAGAGCTTAGCATTCAACCTTCAGTATCATTTATAGATTATAATATAGAATCACAGTATTTTCACCAGAGTAAGACTTCAGATCTTAGGTCAGTCTAATATGCTTCCTTCATTCTACAGGGGAAAAAATTGATATCTGAATAGTTTGAATATGTCTAAAACTACACATAAGTCAATGGACAGGTAAAATTGAATCTTTCCAGATCCAGTCTTCACTCTTTATATCAAATGGAATCATCTCACTCCTGATTCCATTACCATAAAATAAGGGAGACTAGCTGAAAGGCAACAAGAAAAGATCAAACTATCTTACAGACTTTTACTCAAAACAGATCTGTATTAAAAATTATACTTGATATACTTGTTATTTACCACACCCTCCAAAGTGTTATGAACTACATGAAAACCAGTGGTGGCTTCCACTTTTGGCCATGATGGAGCAACAGATACCACATCTATGCTCTGCCAAAACAATAGAAAAATGAACAACGTATATAAAACAACTGTTTTTAGAAACTGAACAATAGGCAGCACAAACGTGTGATGCCTGAGAGAAGGGATACAAATGAATTTAGCCCCATGATTGCCCTGGCTTCTGCCTTTTAGGACCTGCTGGGCCATAATGCATGAAGAGAAATCCAAAACAAAGCACAGAGGTCTTGCTGGGTTGGAGGGTCAGAGGTCAGAGTTAGGAAGACTAAAGCAGTTCAAGGTGGCAGGGCAAAGCCTCCAAAAGAAGCAGCTACTCAGGAAAAGAGTTCAACAAGTATGCAAATAATTGCCTGCCAGAACAAAGCCAAACACTTTCTAAAAGAAAACAATAAAAACCAAATGCACAACAGGAAAACATCAACAATGTCCACAATTTAAATTTTTTATTCCAAAAATGTGAAAAAGTAGAATGTAAAACATGACCTGAAGAAAAATTAATAAAGATTGCCAAAATGACTGAGATGATAAAATTAGCAGACAAGAAAATTAAAAGTTATTGTAACTATGTTCAAGTGTTTTTAAATATATATATATATAGAAGAAAGAAGACATAAGAAAGAATGAAAAGGAACTTCTAGAGATGAAAAATACAATATCTGAAATATGAAATTTACTAGATGGGCCAGGGACATTGGCTCACGCCTGTAATCCCAACACTTTGGGAGGTCAAAGCAAGATGATCTCTTGAGTTTGAGACCAGCCTGAGCAATATAGCAAGACCCCCATGTCTTAAAAAAAAAGGTCTTTCAAAAATCAGCTGGGCACAGTGGTGCACACCTGTGGTCCTAACTACTTGAGAGGCTAAAGCAAGAGGATCACTTGAGCCCTGGAGTTAGAGGCTGCAGTGAGCTATAATCATGCCACTGCACTCCAGCCTGGGTAACAGAACAAGATCCCATCTCTAAAAAATAAAAATAAAAATCCCAAAGTGCTAGGATTACAAGCATAAGCCACCATACACCAGCCATAAAAAAATTTTTTTAATAAAAAATAAAAATAAAACTCACTAGATAAATTAACCACAGAATAGATATGCAGAAGATCACTAAATCTGAAGATGCAGCAATAGAATCTATAGAAACCAAAGCACAAAGACTGAATAAAAATAGAGCATCAGCGGCCAATGGAACAATATCAAGCAGTCTACATATATATAATCGGAGCCACAGAAGGTGAGGAAGGAGGGAGGAACAACAAAAATCTGAATAAGTAATGGCAGAAAAATTCTAAATTTGATAAACCTGTAAATCCATATATCCAAAAAGCTCTATGAACCTAAACCAGGATAATCATGATAATTGTTACCTAACAATGTGAATGGACTTAATGCCACTGAACTGTAAACTTTAAAATGGTTAAAATGTTCAATTCTATGTTATGTATATTTTAACATAATTAAAAATAAATAATTTATTAAAATATTACATTACACATCAATAATAAAGAGCTTTCAGGTTAATCCTGAAGTATCTGAATTAAAACACACTTTAGTAATCTAAGAGTCAAGGAATAAACACGTAAGAGATAACAGAAAAGATTTTGAAGTAGTTGAAAATGAAAACACAATATATCAACATTTACAGAATGCAGTTAAAGCAGTTCTTGGAGGGAAATGCATAGCTTCAGATGCTTATAGGAAAAAAAGTCAAGTCCAAAATCAATGATAGAAAAACAAAGTAAGTAGAAAGAAAACATAATAAAAATAAGAACAAATATCAATAAAATTTAAACAAAATCAAAACGAATTCAACAATATTCATTCATGCTAGTAATCAAGAAATGCAACTTAAAGCAATGTTGAGAAATGTTTTGCACATTACCCTAGCCAAAAATATTTTTTAAAAAACTAATTCAAGGACAAATAGAGGCCAGTTGCAGTGGCTCACTCCTGTAATCCCAGCACTTTGGGAGGCCAAGTTGTGAGGACTGCTTGAGTCCACGAGTCTGAGACCAGCCTGGGCAACACAGCAAGACCCCATCTCTACAAAATAAAAAGTAACAAAAATAGCCAGGTATGGTGGTGTTCACCTTATAGTTCCAAATACTTGGGAGACTGAAGCAGGATCAATTGAGCACAGGAGGTCAAAGCTGCAGTGAGCCATAATTATGCCACTGTACTCCAGGCTGGACAACAGAGTAAGACTCTGTCTCAAAAAAGAAAGAAGGAGAAGAAAGGAGAAGAGAAAGAATAGGAAGAAGAAAAGAAGATGAAGATGAAGATGAAGATGAAGAAGAGGGAGGAGGAGGAAGAGGAGGAAGAGGAGGAGGAGGAGATGAACAACAACAGGAGGGGGGAGGAGAGGGAGGAAGAGGAGGAAGAAGAATAAAAAGAGAGAAAGAAAAGAAGAGAGAGAGAGAAGGAGGGAGGGAGGGAGAAGAGAAAATCTGAAGAACTTTGTATCTATTAAAACAATTGAATTCATAATCAATTTTCCTATGAAGAAAACTCCAGGCCCAGACAGCTTCACTGGACAATTCTATCAAATATTTAAGGAAAAAATAACAATCCTACACAGACATTTTTAGAAAAGGTACTAAGAGGAGACATTTTCAAACTCCTTTGATAATGTAGCATTATACTGACAATGAAAGCAGACAAAGACATAAGAAAACTACAAACCAGTATCTTTAATGAACACAGATGAAAAAATTCTAAATAAAATTGTTGCAAATCAAATCCAACAATATCTAAAAAAATAATAATACACCATGACCAACTGGGATTGATTCTCGAATGTTAAACAAACCTTGTGGCTGGGTGTGGTGGCTCACGCCTGTAATCCCAGCACTTTGAGAGGCCAAGGTGGGTGGATCACCTGAGGTCAGGAGTTTGAGACCAGCCTGGCCAACCTGGTGAAACCCCATCTCTATTAAAAATACAAAAATTAGCCAGGCGTGGTGGCGGGCACCTGTAATCCCAGCTGCTCGGGAGGCTGAGGCAGGAGAATCACTTGAACCTGGGAGGAGGTTGCAGTGAGTTGAGATCACACCACTGCACTCCAGCCTGGGCAACACAGTGAGACTCCGTCTCAAAAAAACAAAAACAAAAACAAACAAACAAACAAAAACACCTTGCATTCCTAGAATATTTCCCACAGTTGGCTTAACATTTGAAAATGAATCAATGAACAACAATCAGAATAATAAATAAAACCATGTAATCAATTAAACAGATATAAAAGAAAGCATTTGATAGTATTCAAGATCCATTCATAATATACTTTTTAACAAGTCTCATCAAACTAAGACTAGAATGAAACTTTCTCAACATGATATAAGGCTTCTATAAGAAAACTTAACAGCTAACATTGTCAGAGGCATTTGACCCAGAGCAACTCCATCTTGATTAGGGGATGGATAAAATAAGGCTATGACCGGCTGGGCTGCATTCCCAGGAGGTAAGACATTCTTAGTCACAGGATGAGATAGGAGGTCAGCACAAGACACGGATCACAAAGACCTTGCTGATAAAACAGGATGTGATAAAGAAGCCAGCCACAACCCACCAAAACCAAGATGGCCCCAAAAGTGACCTCTGGTCATCCTCACTGCTCATTACATGCTAATTATCATGCATTAGCTACTAAAAGACACTCCTACCAGTGCCATAACAGTTTATAAATGCCATGGCAACATCTGGAAGTTACCCTATATGGTCTAAAAAGGGGAGGAACCCTTAGTTTCAGGAATTGCCCACCTCTTTCCCAGAAGTCTCATGAATAATCCACCCCTTGTAGAGCATATAATCAAGAAACAACTATAAGTATACTCAATCGAGCAGCCCATGAGGGTGCTCTGCCTATGGAGTAGCCATCCTTTTATTCCTTTACTTTCTTAATAAATTTGCTTTCGCTTTACTCTATGGATTCATCTCAAATTCTTTCTTGTGCAAAATCGAAGAACCCTCTCTTGGGGTCTGGATGGGGACCCCTTTCCAGTAACATCACACTTATTAGTAATAGTGAATTTTCTCCTGAAGGTCAGGAACAAGGCAAGTATATAAATTATCATCACTTCACCATACTACAGATTCTAGCCAATGCAACAAGGCTAGAGAAATCCCAAGACATCTACAAACAAATTTTAAAAACTAATAGAAGTGGCTGGATGAGGTGGTTTACACCTATAATCCTAGCAATTTGGGAGGCCATGACAGGAGGAGCACTTAAAGTCAGGAGTTCAAGACTAGCCTGGGCAACATAGTGAGACCCTGTCTCTACAAAAAAAATTAAAAAAATAAAAAATAGCCAGGCATAGTGGCATGCACCTACAGTCCCAGCTACCTGTGAGGCTGAGGCAGGAGGATCACTTGAGCCTAGGAGTTTGGGGCTACAGTGAGCTATGATTGTGCCACTCTTCTCTAGCCCAGGTGACAAAGGAAGACTGTGTCTCTAAAAACAAAAAATAAAAAAACTAATATAAATAACAGGTGAATTTAGCAAAGTCACAGGATATAGGTTCAATATACAAAAATCAATTGTATTTCTAATACTAGCAATAGACAATTGGATATTTAAATTTAAAAATATATATATCATTCACAATGTTATCCAAAAACATGAAATGTTTAACAATAAATCTAACGTAATACATGCAAGACTATATAAGAAAAATTACAGAATATTGCTGAAAGAAACTAAATAAGATATTTAATTAGAGAAGTATACTATGTTCACAAAGGGGAAGACTCGATATTGTTAAGATGTCAATTCTACACAAATTAATCAATAGAATTCAATGCAATTTCAATCAAAATTCCAACAAGATTTTTTGTAGAAATCAGTAAGCTGATTCTATAATTTACATGGAAATGTAAAGAACCTAGGCTAGCCAGAGCAACTATGAAAGAAAAGAACAAAGCTAGAAGACTTATGCTACCTGATTCTAAGACTTACTATAAAGCTACAGTAATCAAGACACTGTGGTATTTGCATAAGGATAGGTATGTAATAAATCAATAGAACAGAAGAGAAAATCCAGAAATAGGCCTCAAATATATGGTCAACTGATTTTTGACAAAGGTACCAGGTGTGGTGGCTCATGCCTATAATCCCAGCACTTGGGCCTGGCCCAACATGGTGAGACCCCGTCTCTATTAAAAATACAAAAATTAGCCAGGTGTGGTGGTGCACACCTGTAGTCCCAGCTACTTGGGAGGCTAAGACAGGAGAATCGCTTGAACCCGGGAGGCGGGGGTTGCAGTGAGCCGAGAGGGCACCAATGCACTCCAGCCTGGGTGACAGAGCAAAATTCCTCTCAAAAAAACAACAAACAAACAAAATTGAAGACTGTCAACACCATGTGTTGGAGAAGATATCAAGTAACTGAAACTCTATATTGTTGGTGAGCATGTAAAGTGGTACAAACACTATGGCAAACAATACTGTAGTTTCCTTGGAGTTACCATGTGACCCAGTAATTCTACATCTAGGTCTTTACCCAAGAGAAATAAAAACTCATTTACACAGAGACTTGCACTCGAATGTTCATAGCAGTGTTATTCATAATACTAAAAAATAAAACTAACTCAAAGGTCCATCAACAAGTAAATAGATAAATAAATTGTAATATATCTAGAATACCACAACAGAATACCACTCAACAATAAAAAGGAGTAAATTACTTATATAAGAGCAATATGGATGAAACTCAAAAACATCACAATGAGCAAAAGAAGCCAAACACAAAAGATTCCATGCTGTGCGACTCCAAACATATGAGACTCTAGAAAGGACAAATATGATCTATAGTGACAGAAAGCAGGTCAGTGTTTGCCTCAGGTAGGGACACAGGGATGGAGTGACTAGAAAAGGGCAAAGGGAACTTTCTGGGGTCATGGAAGTGCTCTATATCTTGACTGCACAGTCAAAATATAAATATATAAATCTGATTGCACGGGTTCATTTGTTAGGTTCATTGAGCATTGAACTATATATTTTAAATGGATGTTTTATAATATTTGCATGTCAATTATACTTCAATAAAGTGATTTTTAAGATCTCTCTGCATGTGTGTATGTGTGTGTGTGAGTGTGTGTGTGTGTGTGTGTCTTATGCACACATACACATGGAACATGGCAGTAATGCTACAATATTCCATGGCTGTGTGCAGTCCAGTGATTGGGACTGCCAAAGTTTTTCCCTGCACAAATGCAGGCAAAGATTCATTTAAGCACGAATCATCCTCCTATACTTCAGCTGAATGAATGAAGGTGAAGTGGTACAAGACTCTACACTTAATTCATTTCAACAAAGTGGTTCTACCATTAATAAACGATGTAAAACTACACTCAAGATTTTTGTCTCTCCCTTATAAAGTATGCAAAACATTTTCTGCTTCTCATACAAAGTGTCCTAAAGTGTCCTCTTTCTACCCCCAGTCAATGAATCTAGTATTCTGAGTCACAATTTTATACTGCAATCAAATCCAAGAAGCTGTCATTTTTTATTTAACATCCATGGGCTGTAGTCATGAAAAATTTACTCACTGTAATACGGTCGCATTCCTTCCATAGTCAGACTCTTAATGATATGATGCAATATTCTTAAGGACATTTTAATGCTGAGGCATGTTAAAGAAAAGTAGCATAAAATAACTCTACAGACATGTATCATTTAACTCCCCCTAGTTAAAAAAAAAAAAAGTAAACAATGCAAAACCAGAGCCAACAGTTAAATACTCGCTAAAGATTAAATAATTTTAAGTAAAGACATATTTACTCATAGTTTCTTAGCACTACAATCACTCCATCAAGAATACTAGATACGAAAATTGTGGGTCATTAATCTATATTTCTAACCACCCAATACTGCTGCTCTCTTTTGGAACTCTCTTATGTCACATAATTCAAATGCACTAGTTTTTTATTATTATCTAAATATCATCTAATAAAAGACAAAAGCTCTATCAAGTGACATTTAATTTTCTTCCCATATCTAAGCACTCCATGTTTTTGACAGTGACTTACAGAGTGAGGGGAGTACAATTTGTGTTCACCCTGAGGGATACGGCCTAGCCCCATATCATCTTAGAACAAGGCCCGAAAGCAAATATGCATTTATAGCAGGCTGAGCATGAACCCTTCTCTAAAAATATATGTTTTAACCATGAGCAAAGAAATAATCAATTCATTCTGGTATCTCAGGGTGTTGAGGAAGTATGAGGTAGGGTAAGCGGAGAGACCTTCCAGCCCAGTATCAAACCAACATGGCAATCTCTGAACAATAAGGCAAGCCCAGCATCTCCCACACCATTTAAAGCTACATTTTTTTTAATCTAACATCACCACAAATCATCAGTTATAAAGCTCAAAGTCACACTGGTTAACTAGCTTTCACAAAGGGCAGCTTTACTGACATTAACAGCACCATTTCTTACTACCTATGCATCTGTCAAACCATCTGAGCAAATAGCCGAGAGGCAGTGTGCCAGGCAGGCTCCTGGCAGATGGATATGGCTGGAAGCATTCAGCAGATCAGTTTGGTGGTGAATGGTAAAACTGCCATTTGGAAATTTGAATTGTCTGCCTAAACACCACCTATCAATCCAGCATTATTATAGTTTAAAGTTTTACAAGAAGGCCATTTTTCTCATCGGCTCATAAACATGTTTCCTTACCCCCATGACAGTCATGATGTTCCCCTACCTATGATGCCTCTTTTATTCACATCCAAATCCTACCAATCCTTTAGGGCTTGTTCAAGTCCCACATTCTTTAAGAGGACTTCACCTGACTTTACCACTACAGTAAGTTTTGTTAATAGTAGTCCAAATACCATGTTTGAAAACTATTTTAATGTTTCCTCCAAATTCTAACACCTCTAAATTCTACTTTTTTTTCTTTTTTCCTTTTTTTTTCTGAGATGGAGTCTCGCTCTGTCACCCAGGCTGGAGTGCAGTGGCACGATCTCAGCTCACTGCAGCCTCTGCCTCCTGGGTTCAAGAAATTATCCTGCCCCAGCCTCCCGAGTAGCTGGGATTACAGGCACCCACCATCACACCCAGCTAATTTTTTTTATTGTTAGGAGAGATGGGGTTTCACCATGTTGGCCAGGCTGGTCTCAAACTTCTGACCTCAGGTGATCTACCCACCTAAGCCTCCCGAAGTGCTGGGATTACAGGTGTGAGCCACCATGCCTGACCTCTAAATTCTAATTATTGAGCACACTATTATTGTCTATTGATCAGTCTGGTTTTCTGTATATTCATCTTATTACATTTAAGGGCTCTAAGTTTCTTGAGGGCAACTATCAGGTCCTTCTTATTCATTTACTCATTCAACTAACCTTTAGTAAATGTCTACTGCTGCCAGGCCCTGTGTTAAACATCAGGACTGTAAACTATAAAAACAAACAGTTCTCAAAGGATTTGGATTCTCTCCTTTTTAAGTCTATCTTAATTCTTTGGTACTCATTACAATGCCTAAAGTTAATACATAATGATTAATCAACTGTTTGCCAATTAATTGAACAAAAACATCTTTAAATTTTAAAATACATAACAACTATATTCTGTAGGTTAGATCCCTTTTCAAAAGAAGAGCTATGTGGTTATATACTTTTTACAGTTAAGACATTTGCAAAACAAAAAATGTGCTTGATTTGCTAACTGGAAGAGATAAGTCACTGTAAAATTCATGGTCTTCAATGTTTTTCTTCAATCTAAAGATTGGAGATCACCGATTTCACAAAATACAGTTGTAAATTATTATATCATACCTTAAATCTCCAAACTTCTAAATTGAAAAGTCAAAGCTTTTAAGTTTCTTCTGCTCACAATCAAATAAGATCTGTACTTTAATTCCCAACAATTTTAGTCCAGTGAGGATTGTGATCAATCCATTTTAAGATCAATGATAACCATTTTCTCTATGACTGTTTAGTGAAAAAATATCTTCCAGTGATGAGATGCAACAGTCTAACAGATAACATTTGCCATTTTCAAAGAGGTACTCCTCACTACGTCCCTGAAAAAAAGAGGTAAATGGTATTATTGACATTTTGCAGAAGTAGATGTTAAATTCTTTAAAAGAATTTTTTAGGGACAGAGACCCATAATTTCAGAATTGTGGCTACAATTCATTTTGAAATTTTAGCCAAAGCAGTTTAAGATCCCATTTCCCTTTGAAAGCACAAAATGTCAGTAAGGTTTATCTACATTACTATGGTTTCATTATCCTCATTCAAGCTACATCTCCTTAAAGACAAGACTATTTTAGTTTATTTCATCAATCACAAGAATCCTAAATGCCTACTTAAACAACTCAGTGGTCAGGGATTAACTGTAACTGCGATATACTATCCCTGTAACCATCACTGTTAAAGACTAATCAAGTATTCATGCCCTACTTCTATCAGGAGTGTGCGTCTATCATTTGTATCAGTAGCAAAGCTAATATAAAAAATTATCTCCAATGTTACTTTGCTCTACAAAAAACTATAAAAAGAGAAAAATGAAACATTAAAAAGTACCATAAATTCTATTTTACAGTATAATGACATAAATGCGAAGGTTTAATAGACTAGCACTGCAGCAAAACATTTGATTAGTCTTGACAGAATTTTATCTACTGTTCCAGAATTAAAAAATAAAAATTAAAAACTAGAAAAAAATTTGAATGGAGTTGTTTTAAGTGATTTCCAAGGACTCATATAAACTTAAGGCAAAGGGGGTGGAAAAAGATATTCCATGCAAATGGACACCAAAAGCAAGCAGGAACAACTATTCTTATATCAGACAAACCAAACTTTAAAGCAATAGCAGTTAAAAAAGACAAAGACGGACATTATATAATGATAAAAGGACTAGTTTAACAGGAAAATATCACAATTCTAAATATATATGCACCTAACACTGGAGCCCCCAAATTTATAAAACAATTACTACTAGACCTAAGAAATGAGATAGACAGCAACACAATAATAGTGAGGGACTTTACTACTCCAGGAGATTGATAAATTCCTGGAAATATACAACCCTCCTAGATTAAACCGGGAAGATATAGAATCTCGGGACAGACCAATAACAGCAGCAAGATTGAAATGGTAATTTTAAAATTGTAAACAAAAAAAAGTCCAGCACCAGGCAGATTCACAGCTAAATTCTATTAGACACTCAAAGATGAATTGCTACCAATCTTATTGACACTATTCCAAAAGATAGAGAAAGAGGGAATCCTTCCTAAATCATTCTATGAAGTCAGTATAACCCTAATAACAAAACTGGGGAAGGACACAGCAAAAAAAAGAAAACTACAGACCAATATCCCTGATGAAAATAGATGCAAAAATCCTCAACAAAATACTAGCAAACCAAATCCAACAGCATATCAAAAAGATAATCCACCATGACCAAGTGGTTTCATACCAGGGATGAGGATGGTTTAACATATGTAAGTCAATAAATGTGTTATACCACATAAACAGAGTTGAAAGCAAAAATCACATGATCATCTCAATAGATGCAGAAAAAGCATCTGATAAAATCCAGCATCTCTTTATGACTAAAACCCTCAGCAAAATCAGCATAGAAGGGACATACTTTAATGTAATAAAAGCCATCTTCGACAAACCCACAGCCAACATTACACTTAACAAAGAAAACTTGAAAGCATTCCCCCTGTGAACTGGAACAAGACAAGGATGTCCTCTTTCACCACTTCTATTCAACATAGTACCGGAAGTCCTAGCGAGAGCAATCAGACAAGAGAAAAAAATAAAGCACATCCAAATCAGTAAGGAGGAAGTCAAACTGTCACTGTTTGCTGATGATATGATCATATACCTAGAGAACCCTCAAGATTCATCCAAAAAGCTCCTAAAACTGGTAAATGAATTCAGCAAAGTTTTAGGATACAAAATTAATACACACAAATCAGTAGCTCTGCTATACACCAATAGCAACTAAGCTGAGAATCAAATCAAAAACTCAACCCCCTTCACGATAACCACAAAAAAAATAATAAAATACTTAGGAATATACCTAACCAAGGAGGCGAAAGACCTCTACAAGGAAAACTACAAAATACTGCTGAAAGAAATCACAGATGACACAAACAAATGGAAACACAACCCATGCTCATGGATGAGTAGAATCAATATTGCAAAAATGACCATCTTGCCAAGAGCAATCTACAAATTCAATGCAATTCCCATCAAAATATCACCATAAATCTTCACGGAACGAGAAAAAAAATCCCAAAATTCATATGGAACCAAAAAAGAGCCCGCATAGCCACGTAAGACTAAGCAAAAAGAACAAATCTAGAAGTATCACATTACTGACTTCAAAGTATACTATAAGGCCATAGTCACCAAAACAGCCTGGTACTGGTATAAAAATAGGCACATAGACCAATGAAACAGAATGGAGAATCCAAAAATAAACCCAAATACTTACAGCTAACTGTTCTTTGGCAAAGTAAACAAAAACATAAAGTGGGGAAAGGACGACCTATTCAACAAAAGGTGCTGGGACAACTGTCAAGCCACAGGTAGAAGAATGAAACTGGATCCTCATCTCTCACCTTATACAAAAATCAATTCAAGATGGATCAAAGCCTCTCCCTCTCCCTCTCCGCCTCCCCCTCCCCCTCCCCCTCTCCCCACGGTCTCCCTCTCCCTCTCTTTCCACGGTCTCCCTCTGATGCCGAGCCAAAGCTGGACTGTACTGCCGCCATCTCAGCTCACTGCAACCTCCCTGCCTGATTCCCCTGCCTCAGCCTGTCGAGTGCCTGTGATTGCAGGCGCGCGCCACCATGCCTGACTGGTTTTCGTATTTTTTTGGTGGAGACGGGGTTTCGCTGTGTTGGCCGGGCTGGTCTCCAGCTCCTAACCGCGAGTGATCCGCCAGCCTCGGCCTCCCGAGGTGCCGGGATTGCAGACGGAGTCTCGTTCACTCAGTGCTCAATGGTGCCCAGGCTGGAGTGCAGTGGCGTGATCTCCGCTCGCTGCAACCTCTACCTCCCAGCCGCCTGCCTTGGCCTCCCAAAGTGCCAAGATTGCAGCCTCTGCCCGGCCGCCACCCCGTCTGGGAAGTGAGGAGCGTCTCTGCCTGGCCGCCCATCGTCTGGGATGTGAGGAGCCCCTCTGCCTGGCTGCCCAGTCTGGAAAGTGAGGAGCGTCTCTGCCCAGCGCCATCCCATCTAGGAAGTGAGGAGCCCCTCTTCCCAGCCGACATCCCATCTAGGAAGTGAGGAGCGTCTCTGCCCGGCCGCCCATCGTCTGAGATGTGGGGAGCGCCTCTGCCCCGCCGCCCTGTCTGGGATGTGAGGAGCGCCTCTGCCCGGCCGCAACCCCGTCTGGGAGGCGAGGAGCGTCTCTGCCCGGCCGCCCCGTCTGAGAAGTGAGGAGACCCTCTGCCTGGCAGCCACCCCGTCTGAGAAGTGAGGAGCCCCTCCGCCCGGCAGCCACCCCGTCTGGGAAGTGAGGAGCGTCTCCGCCCGGCAGCCACCCCATCCGGGAGGGAGGTGGGGGTCAGCCCCCGCGCCAGGCCAGCCGCCCCGTCCGGGAGGGAGGTGGGGGGTCAGCCCCCGCCAGGCCAACTGCCCCGTCCGGGAGGGAGGTGAGGGGGTCAGCCCCCCGCCCGGCCAGCCACCCCGTCCGGGAGGTGAGGGGCACCTCTGCCCGGCTGCCCCTGCTGGGAAGTGAGGAGCCCCTCTGCCTGGCCACCACCCCGTCTGGGAGGTGTGCCCAGCGGCTCATTGAGAACGGGCCATGATGACAGTGGCAGTTTTGTGGAATAGAAAGGGGGGAAAGGTGGGGAAAAGATTGAGAAATCGGATGGTTGCCGTGTCTGTGTAGAAAGAAGTAGACATGGGAGACTTTTCATTTTGTTCTGTACTAAGAAAAATTCTTCTGCCTTGGGATCCTGTTGATCTGTGACCTTACCCCCAACCCTGTGCTCTCTGAAACATGTGCTGTGTCCACTCAGGGTTAAATGGATTAAGGGCGGGGCAAGATGTGCTTTGTTAAACAGATGCTTGAAGGCAGCATGCTGGTTAAGAGTCATCACCACTCCCTAATCTCAAGTACCCAGGGACACAAACACTGCGGAAGGCCGCAGGGTCCTCTGCCTAGGAAAACCAGAGACCTTTGTTCACTTGTTTATCTGCTGACCTTCCCTCCACTATTGTCCTATGACCCTGCCAAATCCCCCTCTGCAAGAAACACCCAAGAATGATCAATTAAAAAAAAAAAAAAAAGATGAATCAAAGACTTAAATCTAAGATCTGAAACCATAAAGATTCTAGAAGACAACATTGGAAAAACCCTTCTAGACACTGGCTTAGGCAAACACTTCATGACCAAGAACCCAAACACAAATGCATCAACAAAATAAGATACATTGATGGGACTTAATTAAACTTAAAAGCTTCTGCACAGCAGAAGAAATAATCAGCAGAGGTCTGGCACAGACACTCACACCTGTAATCCCAGCACTTTGGGAGGCTGAGGCAAGCAGATCACTTGAGGTCAGGAGTTCGAGACCAGCCTGGCCAACATGGTGAAACCCCATCTCTACTAAAAATACAAAAATTAACCGGGTGTGGTGGCACACACCTGTCATCCCAGCTACTAGGGAGGCTGAGGCAGGAGAATCACTTGAACCTGGGAGGCGGAGGTTGCTGTGAGCCGAGATTGTACCACTCTACTCCAGCCTGGGTAACAGAGTGAGACTCCGTCTTTTAAAAGGAAAAAAAAAGAAAGAAATAATCAGCAAAGTTAACAGACAATCCACGGAGTGAGAAAAAGTCTTCGCAATCTATATATCCAACAAAGGACTAATATTCAGAATCTATGCAGAACTCAAACAAATCAGCAAGAAAAAAACAATCCCATCAAAAAGTGAGCTGAAGACATAAATAGACAATTCTCAAAAGAAGATATACAAATGGCCAACAAGCATATGGAAAAATGCTCAACATCACTAATTATCAGGGAAATGCAAATCAAAACCACAATGTAATACCACCTCACTCCTGCAAGAATAGCCATAATGAAAAAATAATAGATGTTGGCATGGATGTAGTGAAAAGGGACCACTTTTACACTGTTGGTGGGAATGTAAACCAGTACAATCACTAGGGAAAACAGTGTGGAGACTCATTAAACAACTAAAAGTAGATCTACCGTTTGATCCAGCAATCCCATTACTAGGTATCTACCCAGAGGAAAAGAAGTCATTATGCAAAAAGATACTTGCACACCTATGTTTATAGCAGCACAATTTCTAATTGCAAAAATACGGAACCAGCCCAAATGCCCATCAATCAATGAGCAGATAAAGAAAATGTGGTATATTTTATACCATGGAATACTACTCAGCCATAAAAAGGAATGAAATAATGGCATTTGCAGCAACCTGAATGGAATTGGAGACTATTATTCTAGGTGAAGTAACTCAGGAATGGAAAACCAAACATTGTATGTTCTCACTCATATGTGGGAGCTAAGCTATGAGGACACAAAGGCATAAGAATGATACATTGGACTTTGGGGATTACAGGGAAAGGGTGGGGGGTGCTGAGGGATAAAAGACTACACTTTGGGCATGCTGCTCGGGCGATGGGTGCACCAAAAATCTCAGAAATCGCCACTAAAGTACTTATTAATGTAACCAAACACCAACTGTTCCCCAAAAACCTATTGAAATAAATTTTTAAATGCAATATTTTAGTTATGTCTTTTTTAATCCCACAAATTAGATGCTACTCTTTTATACAGATAATTCTTATTTACATTTATCCACATGTTTACTAATTTTGTTGCTCATCATCATATATCAGACTTTTCTGAGATCATTTTCCTTCGCCATAAAATATACCCTTTAGTGAAGGGTTCATGGAAAACTCAGTTTTGGTTTATTAAAAAAAAAAAATGCCCTATTTTTCAGCTGGGCACAGTGGCTCATGCCTGTAATCCCAGCACTTTGGGAGGCCAAGGAGGGTGGATCACATGAGGTCAGGAGTTCAAGACCAGCCTGGCCAACATAGTAAAACCCCGTCTCTACTAAAAATACAAAATTAGCTGGGCATGGTGGCACATCTCTGTAGTCCCAGCTACTCAGGGGGGCTGAGGCAGGAGAATCACTTGAACTCGGGAGGCAGAGGTTGCAGTGAGCCAAGATCGCACCACTGCACCCCAGCCTGGGCAACACAGCAAGACCCTGTCTCAAAAAAAAAGCCCTATTTCTCTTTCATTCTTAAAAGATCATTTTTCTAAATATATAACACTAGGCCAACTGATACTTTCCTCCACACTATGCATGCAGATACTATAGCTTCCACGTTTGCTACTGAGAAATCTAACATCAGTCCAAGTGTTGTTACTCTCTAAGTAATCCATCTTTTCTTTCTGGTTACTTTTAAGATTTTTCTCATTGTCTTTGATGTTCTTTAGTATATTAGGTATGTAATGCTGCATGAGAAGTTATCCCCAAAACACAGCGGCTTAAAACAATAAACACCTATTATTCCACAGTTTCTGTGGCTCAAGAACTCAGAAGCAGCTTAGCTGGCTGATTCTGGCTGAAGGTATTTTATGAGGCTGCAGCTGAGATGCTAGCTAGAGCTATAATCATCTGAAGGGCTGGCCAGGGCAGAAGGATACACTTCCAAGGTAGCTCACTCATGCCTCATAAGCTGATGCTGGTTATTGGCAGGAGGGCTCAATTCTTCTCCAGTAGGGCTTTTCCATGGGTTGCCTGAGTGACCTCACAACATGGTGATTGGCTTCATCCAGAGTGAGTGATCCAAGAATGGGCAAGGTGGAAGCCACAATGCCTTTCATGACTTAACCTCCAACGTCACACCCCTTCATTTGCACAATACCCTATTAGTTATGAAATTCAGCCCCATTAAGTGTGAGTGAGGACAATATAAGGGTGTGAAAGAAAGAATCATTCGGGATCATCTTGGAGGCTGGTTACCAGACACAGTTTCACCTACAGTATCTTCAGGTGTGGGTTTAATTATTCTGCTTTGTCAAAGTTGAGCTTTTCTATATCTATAAATTCAAGTCTTTCAATAATTTTAGAAAATTTTCAGCCATTATCTCTTCCAATATTGTCTCTCCTGCATTTTCTTGTCTTGCTTTCTGGGATTCTGACTAGAGACTTACATTAAACCTTCATATTCCATTTCTCCTAACCTCTCTGTCATATATTCCATTTCTCTGCCTCTGTGCTACATTCTTTGTGATTTCTTCAAACCATCTTCTAGTTCACTAATTCTCTCTGAAGCTAGGTTTAAGCTGCTATTTAACCAATCTGGAGGTTTTTATTCCAACAACTACATTTTTCATGTACAGACATTCTATTTGGTACATTTTCAAATCTTCTTGGTCATATTTGATACTCTCTTGCTGCTCGCTCATTTTTGTGAGTTCCTCTCTTGTATCTTTAAATATTTTATGCATAGTTATTTAATATTCTATACCTGATCCCTTCAATATCTTAAGTTCTTGGGGTCTGTTGTATTTTTCAGCCAACTCCTTAATAATGATTTGTCTCCTTCTGTATTTGGTCATCTTGGATTGTGACTTCAAATCTAGTTGATCTTAAACAGAGAATCCTAGGTGGTAAATGAAGAAGGTTTTCCTTCAGAGAGAGAATTTATATTTGCTTCTTCCAGGAACTATGGGCTCTATCAATCTTCTCTGGTTCCCTTCAAGTGTCCCTGGCTTAAGGCTAGAATTTCATATTCAGCTTTCTTATCTTGTTACCTACCTAAGGCTTCCCACTGCCATGCTGATATAAACATTTACCTCCAAGGCTACCTTTCATGATCATTTTTTACTGTTCCAGTCTTAGTTCATAATTTTTAGCTGTAATTTTGTCATCGTTTTTATTTTGATTTTTTTACTTTTGATAAACATTGTATAATTTCACTTAATTTCTACAAGTCCAGCAATGCATTCGTCAGTGGTTTGTTGTGAAAGGTTCCTATAACCTAACTTGTCTGTTATTCTTCCGAAGGTGAAATACCCAAATCCTTTCCTTATCTATGCTCATCTTTTACTTGATAAATAATTCCAGAGGAACTATCATGGACTAATTTAACATTTATCATAAGTAATTTGTTATTCAGAGTTCATTTACATGGTAAGATGTAAACTGTCACCAAGAAACCAAAAATGTTGGGGTATTTTTGTCAAGTAGTACCTCACTGATGTGGATAAAGTGAGGATTCAGCATGTCAAAAATATTGGCCAGGCGCAGTGGCTCACGCCTGTAATCCCAGTACTTTGGGAGGCAGAGGCAGGTGGATCACCTGAGGTCAGGAGTTCAAGACCAGCCTGACCAACATGGTGCAACCCTGTCTCTACTAAAAATACAAAATATTAGCCGGGCATGGTGGCGCATGCCTGTAATCCCAGCTACTTGGGATGCTGAGGCAGGAGAATCGCTTGAACCCCGGAGGCGGAGGTTGCAGTGAGCTGAGATCGCACCACTGCACTCCAGCCTGGGCAACAAGAGTGAAACTCCATCTCAAAAAAATAAAAAAGAAAAAAAGATATATTGTAAATACTTCATAATAGATTATCCTAAAGAATTTCCATTTCTGGCCGGGCACAGTGGCTCATGCCTGTAATCCCAGCACTTTGGGAGGCCAAGACAGGCGAATCACCTGAGGTCAGGAGATCAAAACAGACCAGCCTGGCCAACATGGCAAAACCCTGTCTCTACTAAAAGTACAAAAATTAGCTGGGTATGGTGGCGGGCACCTGTAATCCCAGCTACTCAGGAGGCTAAGGCAGGAGAATAGCTTGAACCCGGGAGGCGGGGATTGCAGTGAGCCGAGATCACGCCACTGCACTCCAGCCTGGGCAACAAAAGCAAGACTCCATCTCAAAAAAAAAAAAGAGAGAATTTCGGTTTATTTATTTCCAAGTGAATGATGACCCAAAAAGAGTTGATATGTAGAGGGCCTGCTCAAAAATGACTGCTTGAAAATGGTTCACATGATTTCATTAATCATGCATGCCCCTAGATATCTTTATCTTATCCATATGCTTAGAAACAGTTTTTCTACAAAGATCAATTGATATGCCCTAATCCAAAATGTCAGTTAAAATGTCATTAGTTTCACTTAGCCAAACTTGTACAACCAAGATCAGTTCAAATAATACTAAAAATCTCAGTCTCCAAAGAATCCGAAAGTACTCCAGCCACAGTAACTTCAGTTTTTTATTTACTCATTCGAGTACTATAGTTTTTAAAGTTCAATCATTTACGAAGTTAAACTTAAGACCTATAACATTCAGCCCATACCCAATTACCAAGTCTACTAATTCTGCCTGCTGAATTTATCTACCACACTCCATCCCAACTGCCACCACCCCGGCCTAAGACAATATTTATCATTTCTCCCCTAAGTAGAGCAACAGCATCTATTTCCCCACCTACAGTCTTGCCTCTCTGTAGTCCATCATCCATCCTATAACCAAAGTGGTCTTTCTTCAGGACATAATCTTAGTATTTGACACAACGGGTCATTCTCTCCTTCACTTAGCTTCTAGGATATCACGTTCTCCAGTTTTTTCTCTTACCACATTCGCTGCTCCTCCTCAGGCTCCTTTGCTGATATTCCCATCTTTTCCTAAATTCTGAATGTTGAAGTGCCACAAGACTCAGTCCTCAGTCTTCTCTCTTCTATACAAACACTCTCTAAGTATCTCATCAAGTTTTATTATGGCTTTAACTACCACCTATGTGCTGGCAAATCTCAGATTTATAGCTTGAGCCCTGATCTCTCCCATGGGCCCAAATACCTATTTGTCTTCTCCAATTGGATGTCTAAGAGGAATCTCAAATTTAATATCTAAAACAGAACTCTTGGCTTTGTATTACTCCCCTCCAAAAAAAGAATTTCTCCTTCATTCCTTCCTGTCTCAGAACTGGCATCAGCATTCACCCAGCAGCACAGGTTAAGGACCTCTGAGTCATCCTTGATTCCTCGCTTTCTTTCACAACCCAAATTCAAATCCCTCCAAATCCTACTTGATGCTATCTGGAAAACATATCCTAAATCCAGCTGTTTTTACCACCTCAACAGTTATCACCCTAGTCTAAGTTATCATTTCTTTCCTGGATTGCAGCAACAGCGCTCTAATTGACCTTCCTGCTTCTAGCCTTACCACTTTTTACTTATTCTCTGCCAGCCACCAGAATGACCTTTCCAAAACATAAGTCACTTTGGTTCCCTGCTCAAAACTTTCCAATGGCTTCTAATCATATTTAAAATAAAATCCAACATCTTATCATGGCTTACAAGGTCCTGTAACTTATGACTTGGGCCCTCCTACCTCTCTGACCTCATCTCTTATCTCTCTTCACACTCACAAACTTTCTGCAGTTTTTCCCATACATAATCATTCCCACCCAAGGAACTGTCTGTTTTCTCTTCCTGGGACATGCTTTCCCCAGATCTTCATATGACTCACTTCCTTACTTCATTCAGGTCTCTGCTCAAATGTTACCTAATCAAAGAGGCCTTCTCAGATGACCTCCTCAGGGTGAACTTCCCTGACATTTCTACCTAAAATTGCTACCTCTCCTTCATTTTCTTTTTTTTGTTTGTTTGTTTGTTTGAGACAGAGTCTCCCTCTGTCACCCAGGCTGGAGTGCAGTGGCATGTCTCGGCTCACTCCAACCTCCTCCTCCTGGGTTCAAGTGATTCTCCTGCCTCAGCCTCCCAAGTAGCTGGGACAACAGGCACCCGCCACCATGCCCAGCTAATTTTTGTAATTTTAGTAGAGATAGGGTTTCACCATGTTGGCCAGGCTGGTCTCGAGCTCCTGACCTCAAGTGATCTGCCCACCTCGGCCTCCCAATGTGCTGGGATTACAGGCATGAGCCACCATGCCTGGCCTCTCTCCTTCATTTTCTTTTTTTTTTTTTTTTTTTGAGACGGAGTCTCGCTCAGTCACCCAGGCTGGAGTGCAGTGGCGCAATCTAGGCTCACTGCAAGCTCCGCCTCCCGGGTTCATGCCATTCTCCTGCCTCAGCCTCCAGAGTAGCTGGGACTACAGGCACCCACCGCCACGCCCGGCCAATTTTTTTTTGTATTTTTAGTAGAGACGGGGTTTCACCGTGTTGGCCAGGATGGTCTTGATCTCCTGACCTTGTGATCCACCCACCTCGGCCTCCCAAAGTGCTGGGATTACAGGCGTGAGACACCACGCCCGGCCATCTCCTTCATTTTATAACTCCTTACATGACTTTGTTTCTTCTATAGCACTTAAGGTTACTGAAAATATACTTTATATTTATTTGTCTGTTTCCTGCATAGAAGGAAAATTGCAGAAGGCAGGGACTCTGTCATGATCACTTCTAGATCCCCAGTGTCTAGAACAGCACTTGACATGCAGTAGGTATTTAATAGATATAATGTCATTCCCCTGTGAAAAACACCTCAACAGTTCCCCATCGCCTCTTAGGTAAATTCCAACCTATTTAACATGAATTATAAAACCCATTGTGATATGGTTCCTGCCTCAACTGGAACCACTGTTTTCACACTCTCAATGCTAAGCCTGGAACATTCTTCCATATCCTTTCCTCCTCATACTTAGCTAACCCTTACTTATGCTTTCAACTCTCGTCTTAAATAGTACTTCAGAAAGGCTTTTTTTTAAATCATTCAACTAGGTTTACTATGATTAATCTCCTTGCCATATTTTCTTATAGTAGTTTGTCTTTTCTCTATCATAAAGTATTAATTTTGTAATTACTCAGTATGTTGGCCCTGACAAAATACATATTCCTTGAAGGCAGTGACTATGTCTGATTTGTATACCATTATATCTCTACTATCTAACACAGTATTTGACACATATGGCATACTCAAATACTTATGGAATTCCCAAGTGAATCATGAAAATTCACACTCACACAAAAAGGTGAATTAGACACTTAGATCACCTTTAAAATACTAAAGCATAGTAATTAAGTACTTTGAATATAAGTAATGAGGAAAAAAATTGCATGGAAAACAAAATTATGTAGTACATGGAGAAGAGAATAAAAAATATAACCACTCTCTTTCAGGCTAACGAAAAATGGCTTCCTAGAGGACTAGCCATAGCAATGCTTTCAATTTCTCCATTATAGATGCTTTCAATTTCTCCATTATAGATGTATAAAAGTATAGGTGTTTGAGCAAAACAAAAGTTATTTTTCTGTTTCTGATGTGTAAAGGTGAGTTTTAGAGACACTGTCATGAAGACTAGCTGGTGCTGGTATTTCTGAGAGGACAAGGTAAGGTTGGGTCCAAGGACAGTAAAATACAGAGTCTCAAACCAATTGCCACTGCCAGGGTGAAGAACCACCGTAGAAGTGAAACTAACACACAATAAGTAAACAAGAATGAGCATGTACCTTCTCCTATTTTTTGACTTCCATTATCTAAGCACCTTGTACTGGTAGAAGGGAGTAGCTGAAAAAAAAAGAAATGTAGTTTGTCCAGTCCCACACTAGTAACATAAAGAGAATAGAAGGGCAGGTTTGGAGCTGACAAACAATAGCTAAACAACCAGCTCACAAATCTTACCATCAAAAATTGCCAAAAGCACAAAAGAAGTCTTGCCTTCTGACATGAAAGTCAATTACTTCATCAGAGGAAGGGTTTTGAAGTGTTTTAAGATAGACAGAAATGGGCCAGCACAGTGGCTCATGCCTGTAATCCCAGCATTTTGGGAGGCTGAGGCAGACGGATCACTTGAGTTCAGGAGTTTGAGACCAGCCTGGGCAACATAGCAAAACCCTGTCTCTACAAAAAATACAAATATTTGCCAGGTGTGGTGGCGTGTACCTGTAGTCCCAGCTACTTAGGAGGGTGAGGCAGGAGGG
The DNA here is from genome assembly GCF_000001405.40 of Homo sapiens. Classification (NCBI taxonomy): domain Eukaryota; kingdom Metazoa; phylum Chordata; class Mammalia; order Primates; family Hominidae; genus Homo; species Homo sapiens. The sequence continues at coordinate 28,563,036 of NC_000022.11, forward strand.
TCGCTTGAGCTCAGGAGGCAGAGGTTGCAGTGACCTGAGATGGAGCCACTACACTCCAACCTGGGTGACAGGGCCAGACTCTGCCTCAAAATAATAAGAAGAAGAATAAGATAGAAAAAATATACAAAAAATAGAATCTATAGAAATATTTTAAACTAACATTTTTTTAAAGTTTTTTGCTCAATGACCTTACATTGAAAATGTATATTTGTCATCCCTTTCTTACTGCCACAGAAAATGTCAATGATGCTATGAACTTGCTAAAGATAACCTGATTGACTTGAGGAAAGAGAAATTAATATAAAATAAATTTAAATCAAAAGTCTTCTAAATTTCTTGGATTCCTTCATATAAGGTAAGTAATTCTTGGCAAAGCAAATAAGAACTGCAGTGATTTGCTTTGCAACCATATACCTGTGTGAGTCAATTGTAAGAACTGCTTAATAATTCTTATCATCAAAACCAAAGATTAATCCAAAGAAGATAAACAGCAACAAGCACATGAAATGATGTTCAACATCATTAGTTGATTTGCATCAATCAATGCAAATCAAAACCACAATAAGGTACCACCTTACACCTACTAGACTGACTATAATTTTAAAAATGGAAAATAAAAAGTGTTGGTTATGGAGAAATTGGAACCCTTGTAGATTGCTGGTGGGATGTAAAATGATGCAACTGCTGTAGAAAAAAGTCTGACAGTTTCCCAAAGAGTCAAACATAGAATTACTATATAAGTCAGCAATTCCATGCCTAGGTATATACCCAAAAGAAGTGAAACTCAAACAAATACATGTACATACATGTTCGTGACAGCATTATTATTCACAATAGCCAAAAGGTGAAAACAGCCCAACTGTCCATTAACGAATGAATGGATAAATGAATTGTAATATACACACACAAAGAAATATTATTCAGCAATAAAAAGGAATGTAGTACACTATAATGTACATGAACCTCCAAAACATTACACTAAGTGCAAGAAACCAGATACAAATAATCACATATTACATGACTCTGTTTATATTAAATACCCAGAATAGGTAAATCTACAGAATGTAGATTGGTGGTTGCCAGGGGCTGATGGAAGAGGAAATGGGGAGCAAATGCTTAATGCATATGGGACTTCCTTTTGGGGCGATGAAAATGTTTTGGAACTAAAGTTGGCTGCTGTATAATATTGTGAATACACTAAATCCCATGAATTGTTTACTTTAAAATGATTAATTTTGAGTAATGTCAATTTTACTTCAATTATTTAAGTGTAAAATTTTTTAATAAATAATATTTTAAACTTAAGGTTGAAATCAGATGTCAAAGATCTTACAAGATCTTACAAGATACCACATCAAACTTCAGAAAATACTTTTTAATTTTAGTGACTTTTCCACCACTAAATTCAGACTTTTGTTTTATTTGTCCAATTTGGTTTTATTTCAATTTTTAAAGAAAGTAACCATTAATTTACTAATTTTTACATTATAATGACACTAACATATTATAGATAGTTGTTATATTTTTGTCTGTGATAGCAGTATTCCGTGGTTTTCCACCCCACTCTGAACATCTCAACAATACTATACAGTGCATTGAGAATAGTGGCTCACTGTAACAATGATTATCAAATATCTAGGTATACCTATCTAACAAGATATATTAGAATACTTCAAGGAACCCCAGATCATTCTGATCCCTCTCCTCTCCCCACGTTACACAACCCCCAATCATCTTACCTGGCCCCACCTCTGCTATCAATCTTGAGAACCACTGGTCTCAATTTATATATAATTTATAATTTTTTATATATTTTATATATATTTTATATATAAATTTATAATTTATTATATAAATAAATTTATATGTAATTTATATATAAATTATATAATTCCAATGCAAAAAAATGAAAGTAAAAACAAATGTGTTTATGTACTATTTGGGGGTGGGAGGAGGGAGGCACAGGAAGGGAAGTTGACCAATAGCCATCATCAGATTCTCAAAGAGGAATATGACTGCCTGCCAAAAGTGAAGATCCCTACTATATTCGATGAGGCTCATTCACATACAGTACAGTTCTCTAGGTTAACAACTTAATAATCTACAGCAGAAACCAAGTATTACTCTCATAAGCTGGGAAGACAATAGAAACAATATACCTAGGTAAGACATGGCTATGCTCCCTATGTCCCCAGAAAAAAAAATTAAGAAAAATTTTAATCTACCCAAGTTTCCACATGAAATTAAACTGCACCAAAATGTACCAAAGAGGCTACTTTATGATTCCTGAAAAGGATATTAAAGAAAAAGTAACATATAGTACTTAGAGTGTTTAGTCCTGAAGTGCTAGAACACTATCAAAAGGGATTCCTTGATTACACATTTTGATATATTCTGCACACACATATTCACATAATCCATCTTTCAAAGAACGAGATCAAATCCAAGAGTTCCCAAATGAAAAACAGCTATAATGAAATCTGCACTTCCCAGCCAAGCTCTGGAAATGTCATAAGACTATAAAAAGAGTTCTTTACTAACTGCTTACTAATTTCAAATTTTGTTTTCAGATTACATTTCACAAATCATAACTGAGAATGGCTGATTCAAGTTTGGAAAAGTATATTTACTATTAAAGATGGAAAAAATTAGAAGGGCTGAAATCATTTTTAAAAGAGATGACAAAATTTTTCCTGCTATATAATGAAATGATTAATTAATATAACTAGAATAATATTTTTAGATTTTCCCTTAATGGAAAATATTTTTCCTTATACCACATCTGCCATTATGTCTCCAGTTAGGGGGCTGGGACAAACACTACTTTGGAAAAGAAAGGGCTATGAAATAAAGGACCTTCCAAACACAGGGGGAAAGTGGAAAGCTTACTCCATTTATCCCTAGTAGGTAAACAAGGGAAAAATCAAAAGTAGGAGAGAGTTTTGCCTAGCTCCACATGTGAAACACTGCATCTAGACCATCATGTAGGATGGTCCTGGGACAATATGGTTTGGGGGGAGGAATAACAGCCTTAGCAGAGGAAACAAATGGGCTTGGGTCAATACCCCTGCTTTTGTATGGCCTCCATATATAGAGAGAATCCATTAGTTCTATAAGCTCCTAAGGGACAGAGAAACCAGTTCCATTTAGGCAGTCAAAACAGTTCAGGACAAGACTAGAGAAGCTTTGTAGAGCACATACTCCTTAATGACTGGCCACAATTCCAAGACACACTCTATCATCATCACAAAATCACATAGGGACGACCCTGTAGCAGTTAAAACAGCATACTGAGGCACAGTGGAGGGAAAAGGAAAGGGAGGATACCCGAAAGACTGAGCATATACCTGAAAGAAGCTGAATTCCCTAATGAGAAAGACGTTAACTGGCAAATTTAAGCTAATACCTTAAGCCTCTCCTTGCCTACCACTACTGTAACTGAGTAACAGGCTTGTGAAAGATTAGAGCCACTACAAAAAATAAGGAAGCTATATTTTCTTTGAACTTTGAATGCTCGAAGAGAAATTTTCAACTGTGCTACATGAACAATAAGTTCATTGATTTCTCTTTCATTCCCTTTAAACATCAATCAAGATTTTAAAATACTATCATTAATATCCTCAGATAAGACACTGCATCAATAAAACAAAGAGAGTAATTTTAAAAATAAAAAAAAGAACAAAGAGAAAAAAAGTTCTTGAAAATCAGAAATAAGAAAGCAAAAATAAACTCAATAAAAGGACTGGAAGATAAAACAGAAAATATTGGCCAGGTGCAGTGGCTCACACCTATAATACCAGCACTTTAGGAAGCTGAGGTGGCAGGACTGCTTGAGCCCAGGAGTTCGAGACCAGCCTCGGAAACATGGGAGACACCATCTCTAAAAAGGTAAAAATATAGGCTGGGTGCAGTGGCTCACGCCTGTAACTCCAGCACTTTGGGAGGCCAAGGCTGGCGGATCATGAGGTCAGGAGTTCGAGACCAGCCTGGTCAACATGGCGAAATGCCATCTCTACTAAAAATACAAAAATTAGCCGGGCATGGTGGCGGACGCCTGTAATCCCAGCTACTTGGGAGGCTGAGGCAAGAGAATAGCTTGAACCCGGAAGGCAGAGATTGCAGCGAGCCAAGATTGTGCCATTGCACTCTGGCTTGGGCGACAAGAGCAAGACTCCATCTCGGAAAAAAAAAAAAAAAAAAAAAAGTAGCCAGGCATGGTAACACATGCCTACAATCCCAGCTACTCAGGAGGCTGATGTGAGAGGATCAATTGAGCTCAGGGGGTCAAGGTTGCAGTGAGTCATGATTGTGCCACTGCACTCTAGCCTGAGTGACACAGCAAGACCCTGTCTCAAAAAAAAAAAGAAAAAAATATATATATACACACTCACATATATACACACATATACATACACACACACACCACACGCATATACATACATACATATATATATATATATATATATATATATATGTTTTTACCTATTAATGATTAGGATTCAGAACAGCTTGCAATTGAAAAAAAGGCAACCAAGGCAGAAACCAAGCAAAATTTGAAGGAAAATTATTTCTAACCTAGCATTCTATAACAAGTCAAACTATCAAGAATTAGGCAGAAGAAAAAGGTATTTTTCAGACTTGTGGCATTCCCATTCACCCTTTCTCGGGAAGCTGCTTGAGAAAGTATACCACCAAAACAAGGGAATAAATAAAGAATGAAGAAGATATGGAATCAAAAACCAGAATTCAACGCAAAACATAGGCAAAGGGAATTTTCAGACTGATGAGGAAGGGAGATTTTAAGATGAAAAACTGCATAAGGGGAACGAGCGCTCAATCCTAATTAAACCCAATCAGAAAAGGTGTCATCAAGAAGACATTTACAAAATACTCAACGTGTTTCAAATGTAATGAGAGGGAAGTTTAGATAATTGGGGAACAATTTAAAAATGAATTTGTGATAAATACATAGAAAACAAAAAAGGGGGAAGAATGATTATTAATTCAGGGGAAAACAAGGTTTTACAAGAAAGGAAAAGTTATCATGGTATACCAAATGATTCAGCTGTGAACTGCATTTTCAGAGTAATACTAATATAAACAATTCTAACAAGAATTATGATATAATTACATTGGGAGAATGAAAGTACAGAAAGTGTGCATATGTGCCAGAAAAGGGGAAAAGAGTTAAATCCTCATCTTTCATTGCAGGAAGACATTGGATAACACTTTAAGAAGTAACAGCAAAGGTGGTGATTGTTGCACAATAATGTGAATATGGTTAATGCCCCATAAACTTTAAAATGGTTAAAAGGAAGTCCTAGCCAGAGCAATCAGACAAGAGAAAGAAATAAAAGACATACAAATAGGAAGAGAAGTCAAACTATCTCTCTTCACAGATGATATGATGCTATACCCACAAAACCCTGTAGTCTCTGTCTAAAGGCTCCTAGATCTGATAACTAACTTCAGCAAAGTTTCAGGATACAAAATCAATGTTCAAAAATCAGCAGCATTTCTATACACTAATAATGTCCTAGCTAAGAGCCAAATCAAGAATGCAATCCCATTCACAAAATGGGATAAAATACCAAGGAATACAGCTAACCAGGGAGGCAAAAGAGCTCTACAATGAGAATGACAAAACATGCTGAACAAAATTAGAGATGATACAAATAAATGGAAAAACATTCCATGCTCATGAATAAGAGTCGATACTGTTAAAATGGTCATACTGCCCAAAGCAATTTACAGATTTAATGCTATTCCTATCAAACTATCAATACCTTTTTCACAGAATTAGAAAACACCTATTCTAAAATTCACATGGGCCAGGCACGGTGACTTACGCCTGTAATCCCAGCACTTTGGGAGGCCAAGGCAAGCAGATCACCTGAGGTCAGGAGTTCGACACCAGCCTTGCCAATATGGTGAAACCCCATCTCTACTAAAAATACAAAAATTAGACAGGCATGGTGGCGCACACCTGTAATCCCTGCTACCCGGGAGGCTGAGGCAGGAGAATCACTTGAACCAGGAGGCAGAGGTTGCAGTGAGCTGAGATTGTGCCACTGCACTCCAGCCTGGGCAACAAGAGTGAGACTCTGTTCTGTCTCAAATAAATAAATAAATAAATAAATAAATAAATAAATAAATAAATAAAATTCACATGGAGCCAAAAAAGAGCCTGAATAGCCAAAACAATCCCAAGTAAAAAGAACAGAGCCAGGCAAATGACATTACCCAGCTTCAAACAATACGACAAGGCTACAGTAACCAAAACAACATGATATCAAACAACATGATACTGGTACAAAAACAGACACATATACAATGGAGCAGGTTAGAGAATCCAGAAATAAAGCCACACACCTACAACCATCTGATCTTAGACAAAGATGACAATAACAAGTAATGGGAAAAGGACTCCCTATTCAATAAATGGTGCTACAGTAACTGGCTAGTCATATGCAGAAGATTGAAAGTGGAACCCTTCCTTACACCAAATACAAAAATCAACTCAAGATGGATTAAAGACTTAAATGTAAAACCTAAAACTATAAAACCCATAGAAAAAAAAACCTAGGAAATACCATTCTGGACATCAGCCCTAGCAAAGATTTCATGATGAAGACTCCAAAAGCAATTGCAACAAAAGCAAAAAATTGGCAAGTGGGACCTAATTAAACTAAGGAGCTTCTGCACAGTAAAAGAAACTATCAATAGAGTAAACACACAACCTACAGAATGGGAGAAAATGTTTGCAAACTATGCATCTAACAATGGCCTAATGTCTAAGATCTATAAGGAACTTAAATCAACAAGCAACAACCAACCTCATTTAAAAATGGGCAGAGGACATGAACAGACACTTTTCGAAAGAAGACATATACGTGACCAACAAGCATATTAAAAAATGCTCAACATCACTGATCATTAGAGAAATGCAAATCAAAACCACAGTGAGATACCATCTCACACCAGTCAGAATGGCTATTATTAAAAAGTCAAAACATAACAGACGTTGACGAGGCTGCAGAGAAAAGGGAATGATTAACATAGTTAATGGGTATGTAAATTATTAATAGTTCAGGCACTATGCAAAGCAGTTTGGAGATTTCTCAAATAACTTAAAATAGAACTACTATTCAACACAGCAATCCCATGACTGGGTATATAACTAAAGGAATTCAAAATTCTAACATAAAGACACATGCACATGTATGTTCACTGCAGCACTGTTCACAATAGCAAAGATATGGAATCAACCTAGATGCCCATCAATGGTGGACAAGATAAAGAAAATATAAATTCCATACACCATGGTATACTATGCAGCCTTAAAAAAAGAATGAAATCATGCCCTCTGCAGCAACATGGATGGAGCTGGAGGCCATCATTCTAAGCAGGAACAGAAAACCAAATACCACGTGTTCTCATGTATAAGTGGGAGCTAAACACTGAATACACATGAACACAAAGAAGGGAACAACAGACACTGGGGCCTGCTTGAGGTTTGAGGGTGGGAGGAGAGTGAGGATCAGAAAACTACCTATTGGGTGCTATGTTTATTACCTAGGTGATGAAATAATCTGTAAACCAAAGCAATGTGACATGTAATTTACCCATGTAACATGTACCCCCAATCCTAAAATAAAAGTTGGAAAGAAAAAAACTTTTAATGGTTAAAATGACATATTTTATGTTATGTATATTTTACAATAAAATCAAAAAGTAACAGTAAAAGCATATGGAAGGTAAGTTCCAAACAAAATGCTAAAAAAGTTGAGCCTTGTTGCCTCGAAAGATCAAGAAAGCTAGATGGTTAATGGGAGGTCAAGGAGATACAAGGCACTACAGAGGAGTGTGGGAATTCCTTGAGCCTTTGTATTTGCTTAACTTTGATAAAAATGAAAAGTAAATTTAAGAAACAAATAAGGAAATTTTAAAGCTGGCATTTTTTTTTCCTGACTGTAAGATTTTAGACTACTCTTTAATTTGTCCTTTAATTAAAGTACAACACACAAAATGATAGTATGTTTAACATCTGAGGAAAGCATATGTCCTGAATAGGTCAATGCTCATAAAAATACATTTATGCCTATTCCTCAGTGCCAAGTATATGAGGCTATGTGGAATTTTGAACAGTTGCCAAATTAAGCAAAGTAAATCTTTGCTGAGTAAATCTTCGGCACCACTTCTACCCGACTAAATTTTCTACATCATAACTGAAGCTGTGTATATCTATTCTCACAGAGAGAAACAATCTAAATAATTACACATGAAATTACACAAACTCTCTATTGTATTTCCATTAACAATTCAGATACCACCAATTCAGAATTTATAATTCAGAAAAGACAAATTATTAAGAATATGTTTAAAAATTAAGAATTTACTTTGCTCTCAAATCAAGACCCCACCATAAATATTAGAGGTTTAAGTAGTTAAAAATGCACTGCAACTCATCTGATTGGCAAATAATTTAAATTGTGATAACCAAGTGCTGACAAGAATGTACAGCAATAAGAACTCTCTAATTTATCCTGAAGGGCAGCAGGATAATCTGAAACAAATCTTTGAAACATAATTTCATATTATGTAGTAACGGTTAACATAATGTATACTCAGGCTGGGCACGGTGGTTCATGCCTGTAATCCCAACACTTTGGGAGGCCAAGGGCAGGTGAATCACCTGAGGTCAGGAGTTCGAGGCCAGCCTGACAAACATGGTGAAACCCCATCTCCACTGAAAATACAAAATTAGCCGGGTGTGGTGGAACATGCCTGTAGTCCCAGCTACTTGGGAGGCTGAGGCAGGAAAATAGCTTGAACCCGGGAGGCAGAGGGTTGCAGTGAGCTGAGATCACGCCATTGCACTCCAGCCTGGGCAACAAGAGCGAGACTCCATTTCAAAAAAAAAAAAAAAAAAACAAACAAAAAAAAAACCGATAATGTATACTCTGCCACCCAGCAACTTAACTTCAAGAGAAACTCATTGTATAAAGAATTGCTCAGCCCAGAGCGGTAGCTCATGCCTGTAATCCCAACACTTTGGGAGGTTGAGGAAGGCAGATCACTTGAGGCCAGGAGTTGGAGAACTGCCTAGCCAACATGATGAAACCCCATCTCTACTGAAAATACAAAAAAAAAAAAAAATAGCCAGGCATGGTGGTGCACGACAAAGTCCCAGTTACTGGGGAGGCTGAGGCACGAGAATCCCTTGAACCCAGGAGGCAGAAGTTGCAGTGAGCTGAGATTGCACCAACAGAGCGACACTGTCTAAAAAAAGAATTGCTCATAGCAACACTGAGAATATTCATGACAGCATTGTTCGTAATAGGAAAAACTATGTAAACAATATAAATGTTGAAATTACATAAATTATAGTATATCTATGTCAGTTGAATTCTATAAAGGATTGAAAATGAACAAATTATGACTATATCATCAAAGTAGATGAATATTAAACATGGCCCTGACCTAAAGATGGAAGTCTCAGAAGAACACTTAGAGGATCATTCAATTTATTAAAAAATTTTGAAAACAGGCAGAAGCAGGTAATATTAATACATTTTTTAGGGAATCTACATATAGCTAGATGGCAAAACTATAAAGAAAAATAAGAGAATGTTTTATTACAAACATAAGAACTATTTAACTTATTAGGGGAGTGAGATGTGTGGGGAAGAACAGAGCATCTAAGGAATTGGCAATATTCTATTTCGTTTTGGGATTGGTTACAAAACTGTCCACTTGGTGATTAACGTTTAAAGCTATGCCTATAAGTTTTATGTACAGTTATGTAATGCTTCACAAAAAGTAAAGGGAGGCCAGGTGCAGTGGCTTACACCTGTAATCCCAATAATTTAGGAGGCCAAAGTGGGAGGATTGCTTGAGGCCATGAGTCTCAGACCAGCCTGAGCAACACAGGGAGACCCTATGTCTACAAAAAGTTAAAAAATTAGCCCAGCTACTTGGGAGGCTGAGGTGGGAGGATCACTTGAGCCTGGGAGGTCAAGGTTGCAGTGAGCAGTGATTGCATCACTGCACTCCAGCCTGGGTGACAGAGTGAGACCATGTCTCAAAAAAAAAAAAAAACAAGTACAGGGAAATTAATCTTATAAAAAACAGAAACAGGCCAGGCGTGGGGGCTCATGCCTGTAATCCCAGCACTTTGGGAGGCTGAGGTGGGCGGATCACAGGGTCAGAAGATCAAGACCATCCTGGCCAACATGATGAAACCCCATCTCTACTAAAAATACAAAAATTAGCCCAGTGTGGTGGCATGCGTGTAGTCCCAGCTACTCGGGGAGGCTGAGGCAGGAGAATCACTTGAACTTGGGAGGCAGAGGTTGCAGTGAGCCGTGATCGCGCCACTGCACTCCAGCCTGGCGACAGAGCGAGATTCTGTCTCAAAAAAATAAAAAATAATAATAATAATAAATAAATAAGAGAAGCAATAAAGAACAGAAAAATGCATTGAAATTAATGTGAGACTTGTGAACAGTAATTTTTTTCAATTTTTATGGGTACATAGTAGGTATATATATTTACAGATACATGAGATATTTTGATATAGGCATATAATGCGTAATAATCACAGCAGGGTAAATGGGGTATCTACATCACCTCAAGCATGTATCCTTTCTTTGTGTTACAAACAATCTAATTATATTCTTTTAGTTACTTTTAAATGTACAGTAAATTATTGTTGACTGTAGTCACCTGTCGTGCTATCAAATACTAGATCTTACTCATTTTATTTAATTATATTTGTGTACCCTTTAACCATTCCCACTTCCCCCCACCCCCACTACCTTTCTCAGCCTCTGGTAACCATCATTCTACTCTATCTCTGTGAGTTCAATTGTTTTAATGTTTTTAGCTCCCATAAATAAGTGAGAAGATGCAAAGTGTGTCTTTGTCTGGCTTATTTCACTTAACATAAGCTCCAGTCCTATTCACGTTGTTGCAAATGACAAGATCTCTTTTTTAACAGAGTCCCACTCTGTCACCCAGGCTGGAGTACAGTGGCACAATCATAGCTTACTGCAGCCTCAACCTCCCCAGGCTCAGGTGATCCTCCCATGTCAGCCTCCCAAGTAGCTAAGACCACAGACGTGCACCACCATACCCAGCTAACTTTTGTATTTTTTTGAGACAGGATTTCACTATGTTGCCCAGGCTGATCTCAATCTCCTTGGCTCAAGTGATCCACCTGCTTCAGCCTCCCAGGGTGCTGGGATTACAGGCATGAGCCACTATGCCCAGCCAGGATCTCATTCTTTTTTGTGGCCGAATAGTACTCCACTGTTTGTGTGTGTGTGTGTGTGTGTGTTGTGTGTGAGTGTGTGTGTGTTCCACATTTTCTTTATCCATTCATCTGTTGATGAACATTTAGGTTGCTTCCAAATCTTGGCTACTGTAAATGGTGCTGCAATAAATACCGGAGTGCAGCTATGTTTTTGATATACTGATTTCCTTTCTTCTGGGTGTATACCTAGCAATGGCATTGCTATATCATATGGCAATTCTATTTTTAGCTTTTTGAGGAAGTTCCAAACTGTTGTCCAAAGCAGTTTTACTAATTTACATTCCCACAAACGGTGTATGCGAGTTCCCTTTTCTCCATATACTCAACAGCATTTGTTATTGATTGTCTTTTGGATAAAAGCCATTTTTACTGGGGTGAAATGATAGCTCATTGTAATTTTGATTTGCATTTTTCTGATAAACAATGATGTTGAACAGCTTCTCATATGCCTTTTTGCCATTTGTATGTCTTCTTTTCAGAAATATCTATTCAGATTGTTTGCCCATTTTTAATTCAGATTACTAGATTTTTTTCCCATAGAGTTGTTTGAGCTCCTTATATATTCTGATTGTTAATCCCTTGTCAGATGGATAGTTTGCAAATATCTTCTCCCACTCTGTGGGCTGTCTCTTCACTTTCTAGATTGTTTCCTTTGCTGTGCAGAAGCTTTTAACTTGATGTGATCCCATTTGTCCATTTTTACTTTGATTGTCTGGGCTTATGGAGTATTACTGAAGAAATATTTGCCCACTCCAATGTCCTAGAGAGTTTCTCCCAATGTTTTCTTTTAGTAGTTTCATAGTTTGAGGTCTTAGATTTAAGTCTTCAATCCATTTTGATTTGGTTTTTGTGGCAAGAGATAAGGGTCTAGTTTCATCCTTCTCCATATGGATATCCAGTTTTCTGAGCTCCATTTATTGAAGAGTATCTTTTTCCCCAATGTATGTTCTTGGCACCTTTGTCAAAAATGAGTTCACTGCAGATGTACGGATTTGTTTCTACGCTCCCTATTCTGTTCCATTGGTCTATGTGTTTGTTTTTAGGCCAGTACCATGCTATTTTGGTTACTATGGCTCTGTAGTATAATTTGAAGTCCTCCAGTTTTGTTCTTTTTGCTTAGGGCAGCTTTGGCTATTCTGGGTCTTTTGTGGTTCCATATAAATTTTAGGAGTATTTTTTCTATTTCTGTGAAGAATGTGATTGTTATTTCGAAAGAGATTGCACTGAATATGTAGACTGCTTTAGGTAGTATGGATGTTTTAACAATATTGATTCTTCCAATCCATGTACATGGAATATCATTCCAATTTTTTGTGCCCTCTTCAGTTTCTTTCACCAGTGTTTTACACTTTTCATTGTAGAGATCTTTCACTTCTTTGGTTAAGTTTATTCCTAGGTATATTATATGTAGCTATTGCAAATGAGATTACTTTTTTTATTGCTTTTTCAGACTGTTTGCTGTTGGCATATTGAAATGTTACTGATTTTTGTATGTTTATTTTGTATCCTGCAACTTTACTGAATTTATCAGTTCTAATAGTTTTTGGTGGTGTCTTTAGGTTTATCCAAATATAAAATCACATCATCTGTAAAAACAGATAATTTGACTTATTCCTTTCCAATTTGGATGCTTTTTATTTCTTTCTCTTGTCTGATAGCTAGGACTTCCAGTACTATGATGAATAACAGTGGTGAAAGTGGGCATCTTTTCCTGTTCTAGATCTAAGATGAAAGTCTTTCGATTTTTCCCCATTCCGTGTAATACTAGCTGTAGCTCTGTTGTACATGGCTTTTATTGTGTTATATTCCTTCTATGCCCAGTTTTTTTTTTTAGTATTTTTATTATGAAGGGATGTTGAGTTTTATCAAATGCTTTTTCAGCAAGTTGAAATAATCATATGGGTTTCGGCCTTTGTTCTGTTGATATATCACATTGATTCATTTGCATATGTTAAACCATTCTTGCAACACTGGGATAAATTTCACTTCATCATAATGATCTTTTTAATGTGTTGTTGCATTCGGTTTGCAAGTATTTGGGTGAGGATTTTTGCATCAGTGTTCATCAGGGGTGTGACTCTGTAGGGTTTGTTTGTTTGTTTTATGAACCTTTATCTAGTTTTCGTAGTGGTAATATTAGCCTCATAGAATGAGTTTGGAAGTACTCCTTCCTCCTCTATTTTTCAAAATAGTTTGATCAGGATTGGTATTAGTTCTTCTTTAAATGCTTGGTAAAATTCAGCAGTTAAGCCATCAGATCCTGGGGTTTCCTTTGCAGGGAGACTTTTTATTACAGCTTCAATCTTGTTCCTTGTTATTGGTCTGTTCAGGTTTTCAATTTCTTCATGGCTCAATCTTGGTAGGCTATATGTGTCTAGGAATTTATACATTTCTTTTAGGTTTTCCAATGTATTGGCATACTGTTGCTCATAGTAGCCTCTAATCCTTTGAATTTCTGCAGTATCAGATGTAATGTCTCCTTTTTCATCTCTGATTTTATTATTTGGGTCTTCTCTCTTTTTTTCCTAGTCTGGCTAAAGGTTTGTCGATTTTATCTTTAAAAAAAACTTTTCATTTTGTTGATCTTTTGTATTATTTCTTTCACTTCACTTTCATTTATTTCTGCTCTGATCTTTATTATTTCTTTTCTTCTACTAATTCTGGTTTGGTTTGCTCTTGCTTTTCTAGTTGTTAAAGATGCATTGTTAGATTGTTTATTTGAAGTTTTTCTAAATTTTTGATGTAGACACTTATTGCCATAAAGTTTCCTCTTATTACTGCTTTTGCTGTATCCCAGAGACAATGGTATGCTGTGTTTCCATTTTCACATTTGTTTTGAGAAATTTTTTAATTTCTTTCTTAATTTTTTATTGACCCACTGGTCATTCAGGAACACAGTATTTAATTTCCATGTATTTCTACAGTTTCCAAAATTCCTCACTATTGATTTCCAGTTTTATTCCATTGTGCTCAGAGAAGATACTTGAGATTATTTCAATTTTTTTGAATGTTGTAAGACTTGTTTTGTAGCCTAACATACAGTCTATCCCTGAGAACGATCCATGTGCTGAGAAAAATGTGTATTCTGTAGACACTGGGTGAAATGTTCTGTAAATACCTATTAGGTCCATTTGGTCTACAGTGTAGATGAAGTCCAATGTTTATTTGTGGATTTTCTGTCTGGATGATCTGTCCAATGCTGAAAGTGAGGTGATGAAGTCTCTAGCCATTACTGTATTGGGATCTCTCTCTCTCTTCAGTTATAATATTTTCTTTATATATCTGCATGCCCCAGTGTTGGGTATATATATATTTACAACTGCTATATCCTCTTGCTGAACTGACCTCTTTATTATTAAATAATGACCTCCTTTGTCTCTTTTTATAGTTTTTGTCTTGAAATCTACTTTGTCTGATATAAATATAGCTATTCCTGCTCTTTTTTGGTTTCCATTTGCATGGAGTATCTTTTTCCATCCCTTTATTTTCAGTTATGTGTGTCTTTATAGGTGAAGTGTGTTTCTTGTAGGTAACAGATGATGGTGTCTTGTTTTTTATCCATTCATCCACCCTATGACTTTTGATTGGAGTGCTTAGTCAATTTGTGTTCAATGTTATTATTGATAACTAAGGACTTACTCCTGCTATTTTATGTGTTTTCTGGTTGTTTTGTGGTCTTCTCTTCCTTCTTTCCTTCCTTCCTATTTTCCTTTAAGTGACGGTGATTTCCTCAGGTGATACTTTTTAACTTCCTGCTTTTTATTTATTGTGATCTACTGTATATTTTTTTATTTGAGGTTACCATAAGGCTTGCAAATAATATCTTATAACCCATTATTTTAAACTGATGACACTGATTGCATGAACATACAAATAAATAAGCAAAGAGAAAACTATTGAAAACTCTACACTTCAGTTCCTCAATTTTTAACTTTTGTTGTTTATATCTTATTATACTATGTCTTGAAAAGTTGTAGCTATTATTTTTGATAGGTTTATCTTTTAGTCTTTCTACTGAAAATATGAGTAGTTTACACCACTGGCATACAATATGTTCTCAGTAGTTGTTGAACTGAACAAATTATTTAATTAAAATTAAAAAGAAACAAGAACTAAAGGAGGGAGCAAGATGGCTGAATAGAAACCTCCAGTGATCCACCCCTCCAACCCCCACCACTACAGGAACACCAAACTGAACAACTATTCAAACAAAAAATCACCTTTATAAGAACCAAAAATCAGATGGGCAGTCCAGTATCTGGTTTTAACATCATATTAAGGAAAAAGGTACTGAAGAGGATAGGAAAGACAGTCCTGAATTGCCTACACCACCCTTCCCTTATCCCCTGGCAGTGCCCACGTAGCATGGAGAGAAAATGTGTTTTGGGGGAAGGGAGAGTGCAGTTATTGTGGAACTTTACATTGAAACTCAGTGCTACCCTGTTACATTGGAAAGCAACACGGGGCAGAACTCAGCCAGTGTCCATGGAAGAAACATTTAGACCAGCCCTAGTCAGAGGCAAATTGTCTATCCCAGCTATTGGAACCAGAGTTCCAGCAAGCCTCACTACTATGGGCTAAAGGGCTCTGGGATCCTAAACTTGAAAGGCAGTATAGGCCACAAGGGCTGCAATTCCTGGGCAAACATATATATGCAAGTACATATATGTATATATACTATATAGCTATATATGTAGTTATATGTTTAGTTACGTGTATATAGCTATACATACATACATATAGCTATATATATGTATATAGCTATACATACATACATATAGCCATATATGTATATAGCTATACATACATACAGCTACACGTATGTATAGTTATATATACATACATTATATATACACATACATACATACACATGTAGCTACACATAGATATGTATAGCTATATGTAAGTATAGCTATATACGTATATAACCATATACGTATATAGCTATATATGTGCATGTATGTATATAGCTATTCATACATATGTATAGCTATATACATAACTATACATATGACTACATATATAGTATACATAGCTATATACATATATAACTATACATACATATGTATAGCTATATATAGTGTATATATACGTATAACTATATACATAGCTACATATTACTAATTATATATAGTTATATGTATAGTTATATATAGTTATATGTATAGTTATATATAACTATATATTCATTTATCAATATATAGTCACATATACAAATGCATGTGTGTGTATATATATATATACACGAAAAAATTATATAGTCACATATACAAATGTGTGTGTGTGTGTGTGTGTATAAATACACATATATACACACCCAAAAAAAACCGAAGGGCTGAGCACAGTGGCTCACGCCTATAATCCCAGCACTTTGGGAGGCCAAGGGGGAGCAGATCACTTGAGGTCAGGAGTTCAAGACCAGCCTGGCCAACATAGTGAAAGCCCATCTCTACCAAAAAATACAAAAATTAGCCAGGCATGGTGGCACACACCTGTAGTCCCAGCTACTCAGGAAGCTGAGATGGAAGAACCACTTGAACCCCGGAGACAGAAGTTGCGGTGAGCCAAGATCGCGCCACTGCACTCCAGCCTGAGTGACAAAGTGCGACCCTGTCTCAAAACAAAAAAAAATTATACACACACACACACATACACACACACATACACACATATATATAAAACTAGATAAACAGATTATTTCAATGTATTGTGTTGATAAAGTCAGCAATAAGGACACATACAGGGAAATAAGTAAACATAAAGAAGGGGCACTCTACCCAACCTGAAGGTAGTTATTGACTTATTATTCCTTCTCTGTCAAATAACAGGTGATTAAACAGGCTGAGTGGATAACTGCACCTTCCTAATTTTCTCATTATAGGGTTGTGTCTTATAATATGATTCTTCAAATCTTATTAAGGTACCATACCATCTTTTACTATCTCCCTTACCTCCCTACAAAGATGCCCTTTATGGTATTTTTAATTTACTTTTTCATGAGTCCCATGAATTTATCTGTCTGCTTAGAACTAATTTTTAGTTGTATTTTTTTAAACTTTAATTAAAATAGAGGCAGGGTCTCACTATGTTGCCCAGGCTGGTCTCAAACTCCTGACCTCAGGTGATCCACCTGCCTTGGCCTCCCAAAGTGCAGGGATTACAGGCATGAGCCACCACATCTGGCCAACTAATTTTTGTTTTTTTTACACAAATTTCAAACATAGCTATATTTAAAGTAAGCATTTACTAGAGAAATTATAAAAATATTTACCAAATACCAGTAAGATACTAAACACTATGCAAAATCTAGAATTAAATATTCTTCCTACTGAATGTAGAATTATAATTATTTTTATCTGAATCTATTTGCTTTTGTTTGACAAATCTGGTATTAATTCCTAAAGTAATTCATAAAATCTGATTTTTGGGAGAAAACCACTGACTCTTCAGATTTCAGCTATCTATCTCATTCTGAAAGTACAGCAAAGGCTGTCTCAGAAAGTTAAAATCTCAGAAGTTTCAAACTATATCCTTTGAGACTAAATGAAAATCAATATTTATTTAAATCAAATACTCTCATTCTATTATTATTTGACTTTGCAAAGCCTCTCTTCCTTAAGAAAAATATATTTATAAAAAATAAAGTAAAATTAATTTTAATAATTTTATACATCCAATATGGTTTGGATTTGTGTCTCCACGCAAATCTCATGTTGAATTCTAATCCCCAAATGTTAAGAGGACGGTCCTCATGCGAGGTAACTGGATCAAGGGGGCAGATTTCCCCCTTGTTGTTCTTGTGATAGTGAGTGAGTACTCACGAGATCTGGTTTAAAAATGTGTAGCACTTCCCCTTCACTCTCTCTTCCTCCTGTTCCAGCCATTTAAGATGTGTCTGCTTCCCCTTCACCTTCTGCTATGATTCTAAGTTTCCTGAGGCCTCCCCAGCCACAGTACCCGTAAAGCCGGAAGAACCAACCTCTTTTCTTTATAAATTACCCAGCGTTAGGTATTTTATAGCAGTGTGAGAATAGACTAACACGACATCCTTTGAGATAATACACCCTATAATGTCACAAAATAGGGATGTAGTAATGAACTAATATTAGGAGATTCCAAAGGATAAATAATACATTTTAATTCAGTGAAGAAAAGTCTAAAGTAATGGAAGTATTTAAGGGAGGTAATTATCATGAGTAAATGTCAAACACATACATACAATTTGAAATTTCAATCAAGTTAGGAGCATGATTCCACTAATAAATAGAATTCAACAATTTTTATCTACAGATATCATTGCAAGAATATTTCTTCCCTCTTTGGGAGGCCAAGATGGGAAGATTGCTTGAGCCCAGGAGTTCAAGACCAGCCTAGGCTGGTGAGACCCCATCTCTACAAACGAACAAACAAAAGAACATTTCTTCCTTTTGTAATATGGCTTTTTTCATATGTATCTATGTTACTTGGCATAATCTTACAAATAAATCATATATCTGTAAGCTTGTAAACGATACATGGATATATGTGGTATATCAAATATCTAATACAAGGCCTTAAAGTTAAGGACTTTATAGACTTTTGAAACAGTGTATTATTTGGAACACTTTGGCAAGCACAATGTTTTATCTCAAAATATTATTAAGTGGTTTCCTTTTTTGAAAAAAAGCAACATTACTATAATAATTTTATGACCTATAAAGCAAAAATTCATACCTATAATTATCAAACATTTTTCTTAGATAATAATAGACGATTACTATACATGTTTTCAAATTTATCTTACCAGAATATATTGGGATGATTAACTGACCAAGCTCTGTCTAGTGCTGGAACTTAGAATGCCTTAAATATTGCTACAGCATTAAGGGGTGATAGGGAGAAGAAGATCCCAAAACGCAGAAGCAAAAATATTTATTTCTTAGTGCCACCAAGAAGACATAGTAGAGCTTAAACAGAACAACTTTAAAATTACACATAGATTATGTCTCACAGAGGATAAGTAAAATGAACTAAATAATCCAAGATGTTGAAAATTCATATTTCTTTCAAGGAAGACATGGCTGGTAACAGTACTGTATAAAAACAGTCTAACAGCTGCAACTGTGTATTACTTAAGGAGGACTAAAGACACCACCTAATTATTTTTTAATATCAAAATAGTAAATATAAACATTAAAATGAGAAAAGGAGATTGAAATCCATGAAATGATATATGCTAAATTTCAGGGTAACCTAACATGACTAGAAAACTAACGAATCTCAAAAAAATCCATTAAACAGTTTTATGTCTGAAAAATTGGAATGCATCTTTTTTGCAAATTAAAGACAGACTGTAAAGAAGGGTTAGAGTTGGAAAGTTCCCTGCTCATCAAATTAAAAACAAGAACTCTATTCATTAAAAACAAAAAAAAATACTTATGTGGTCAAGTCACATTCTTTGTTTTAAAGTTTTTATATGCAACTTGGGGTAAACATTTTACTTGTGATTCATAATGAGAAATGATCAGTATAATGGGGGTTCCTACAGCACATGGGTACATTCCAGGTGATATGTCAGTAGCCATTTAAGATACCATAGGAAAGGAAGAAACACACCCTTAATACCCAGAGGAAAGAGTGTGTTCACATGATCAACAGCTGGACTTGATTAAAAAGAAATACCAGGTTAGGCTAGATGGTGGTTCTTCCATAGTTACATGACGACACAAATGAGAAATGCTGCATTTCTCACAGCCTGTTGCCTAGCGATCTCAATGCCTGCCTCTCTACCCACCCCCGCAATGCAACCACCTCTTCTCCCTTTCTTCCTCTACAGCATTTCAGTATTTTTCTCATTTTATAAAATCATTTTTTAAAAAAATGAGGACATCATAAAAAAGATTGATGTCACTTATAATTTGTGATTCATTTTCATTTTCATAAGCAGGATAAATAGAAACTGAAATTTTTTCTTCAAGAATTAAGTAAAAGTTATAAATGTGTACAATATTGCTTTAAATAAAATAAATTGCACTGGGACAGTAGAATTCCTGCTGAGGACTGAAAGTTAAAATGCCGGATAAAAAGCAAATGACTAACAATTCATTCTTCCTTAAAATCAGCTGTGCAATACAACAGAAGGTTAAGACAGAATGTAGTACTAAGAAAACAACACAGTTTTATGGAACTGTGAACTAAAGAGTTACATTAAATACCCATAATTCCTTGTGAAAATCTCTTTGTTTTTCTGCTTGTCAGCATCTGTATTTTACAGCTGCTTCTTTCAATATGGACCATCTTGCAGAAGTTCAGGAACTTAAAACATTAATATCCAGGAGCTTTAAAAAAATCACAGCATTAATAACTTACACAGATAGGAGTAAAACAGTTAACAAAATTCTTGACTATAAGCTGAGCAGAAAATAAATCTGAAGACTGGAGATGACTATTTACAGAATATAAGAATAAAAATATCTCTTTCAACTTAGCAAAAACATTTATACATGCAAAATTCTTTTAAACCCAAAAAAGCAGATGGGTCAATACCAGGTCTGAGGTATTATTTACCACAAGGTTAAAATCCCCAAAAACTAGTTATTCTTATAAATATATTCTAATTATCTCAATCATGTATTATTTTCTCTCTTTCTCCGTTTTTTTTTTGTTTTGTTTTTGTTTTGTTTTGTTTTTTTTTTTTTTTTTGGCACAATCATAGACAGCTGACTGCAGCCTGAAACTCCTGGGCTCAAGCGATCCTCCTACCTCAGCCTCTCAGGTAGCTGGAACTACAGGCACATTCTTTTCTCAAATGAAGACCATGTTTTTTTCTTCTGAAATAGCCTGATGCAAGAAACAAAATTCCAGCAGTATTCCATTTCTTTATTTCAACATAATTCCTTTTCTTCCTCATTATTCCAACATAATGACAAAAGTAGCTCTCATATCTCCTGATACCACCATTGCTCCTACTGCTCATTCAAAATATTCATTTCAAGACAGGCTTCTCCCCAGGAACCTGGACTCTGCAGGTTAATAACAGGATCTCTGTAGCATCACCACCTTTACTTCCTTTGTCCAACCTAGCTAAATCTGGTGTAATTCTAGCCTGTCTCTCTCATTTTTTGATATCTTGGATCCATATCAGCCATGTCCAATAGAACTTCATGTGATAATGGGAAGATTCTATATCTAAGCTGACTAATAAAGTAGCCATTAGTCACATGTGGCTATTGAATGTTGGAAGTGTAGCTAGTGTAACTAAGAGACTGTTTTTTAATATTGTATTTAATTGTAATTAACAAGTTTAAATTTAAATAGCCACATATATCTAGCACCTACCATACCGGACAACACAAATTTAGATTGAGTCCTTTTATTCCTACCAGAAATTATTTACTTCATTTTGCAGGTGATGGAGAGTTACTAAAAAGTTGGACTTATATTTTAGAAACCTGTTTACATTTAGAAAGCTTTCTCTGTCTGCTTTACAAGAGAATGATTTTAAGGGTTGGAAAGAAAAATAAACGATGAAGTTCTGAAAAGTGCTCATCAGATCTGACAATTAGATCAATGGTAAACTTGGACTGAGAAGTTATAGAATAGTGGAGGTAGAAACCTAGACTTCCAGTAGTGACTACAAATATAGACTATTCTTTTAAGAAGTCTGGCTCTGAAGAAAGAAAGAAAGGAAGTGGGGAAACTATCCTGTGAGAGAATTTGAAATAAGGACCAGGCCCTTAAATTAATTACTCTATTTAACTTTTTATCAGTAGTCCCCAACCTTTTTGGCACCAGAGACTAGTTTTGTGAAAGACAATTTTTCAATGGACCTGGGGCTGGGGAGATGGTTTCGGGATGATTCAAGAACATGAACATTTATTGTGCACTTTATTTCTATTATTAAGAAGTTGTAATATATAATTAAATAATTATACAACTCACCATAATGTAGAATCAGTGGGAGCCCTGAACTTGTTTTCCTGCAGCTAGACGGTCCCATCTGGGGGTGATGGGAGACAGTGACAGATCATCAGGGATTAAATTATCATAGGGAGCACCAACCTGGATTCCGTGCATGCGCAGTTCACGATAGGGTTAAGGCTCCTATGCGAATCTAATGCCACTGCTGATCTGACAGGAGGCAGAGCTCAGGCAGTAATGCAAGCGATAGAGAGCGGCTGTAAATGCAGATGAAGCTTCGCCCACCGCTCACCTCCTGCTGTGTGGCCTAGTTCCTAACAGGACACGGACCAGTATCAGTCCGTGGCCCAGGGGTTGGGGACCCCTGCTTTACATGATCCTCAAAACAAACCTGTAGTAAGCCTTATCTACATTTTATAGAAATTAAGCCTCAGAGGGGCTAGTTGATTTGTCCAAGGACACCGTGGTGGAGCTGGGATTTCAAACTAGGGTCTTTTTCATGCCAAAATTCATTGTCTTAAAGGTCAATAAAGAACTGAAGAGAGAAACTCAGGATTAAAACAATAAAGAATCTGTAGAAAGATGGGCAAGGGGAAGGATAGCATTAGGAGAAATACCTAATGTAGATGATGGATTGATGGGTTCAGCAAACCACCATGCCCCATGTATACCTATGTAACAAACCTGCAAGTTCTGCACATGTATCCCTGAACTTAAGGTACAATTAAAAAAAAAAAAAGAAGAAGAAGCCGGGTGCGGTGGCTCATGCCTGTAATCCCAGCACTTTGGGAGGCTGAGGCGGTCAAATCACGAGGTCAGGAGATTGAGACCATCCTGGCTAACATGGTGAAACCCCCTCTCTACAAAAATACAAAAAATTAGCTGGGCGTGGTGGTGGGCGCCTGTAGTCCCAGCTACTCGGGAGGCTGAGGCAGGAGAATAGCGTGAACCTGGGAGGCAGAGCTTGCAGGGAGCCAAGATTGCACCACTACATTCCAGCCTGGGCAACTGAGCGAGACTCCGTCTCAAAAAAAAAAAAAAGAAAGAAAGTAGTAAGAAAGATCAATTTTAACTGTGTTTTAGTTACATCTGTATTGGACACAGTTTTACAAATAAAAGTAATAAAATCAATAATATATAGATTTTTAAAAAGAATCTATAGAAAGATTAAAGATAGAGTGAGAGAACAACCGATGGGGCAAGACTCCATAGATTTCTATCTATGGAAAGATAGACATCAAGTGAATACAAATGTATACATATTTATAGTATAAGGGGATGACAGGAAACAGATGAAATTAAAACCTGATGATCTTTCTTTTCTCTGTAAAGCAGAAAGCAAGACCCTGTGTAAGAGGATGAAAAGGAAAAGGAAAGTTTAAAGACTGATCTTTTGGCATAGTCACTATGGGAAACAAGACAGGAATGAACCTCATACCTGAAAAATTATTGCCTGTTTATCACTAGGCCTTGGATCTTGATGTTTAGCTAATAATGCTGAGTACCTGACACATTTAAAGCATATATAGAAAGTGCTTCAACCAATATTTTTTATATGAGATCAAAATTCTTTGGATATCTATACAATTTTCAGCTATTTTGTATAAATAATACAAATATATGAAGTGTACCTTTCATTGGACTTATTACAAATCAGAGAAAACTAAATGTGATTAATAATTTTATAACTGGCAGGGTGGTAGCTCACGTGTGTAATCTCAGCACTTTGGGAGGCCAAGGCGGGCAGATCACTTGAGGCCAGGAGTTCAAGACCAGCCTGGCCAACATGGTGAAACCCTGTCTCTACTAAAAATACAAAAATTAGCCGGGTATGGTGGCGGGCGCCTATAGGCCTAGAACTTTGGAAGGCCGAGGCAGGTGGATCATTTGAAGCCGGGAGTTCGAGACCATCCTAGGCAACATGGTAAAACCCCATCTCTACTAAAAATACAAAAAAATTAGCTGGGCATGGTGGCACACATCTGTAATCTCATCCACTCAGGAGGCTGAGGCATGAGAATTGTTTGAACATCACTTAAACTGAGGAGGTAGAGGTTGCAGTGAGCGGAAATCGTGCCACTGCACTCCAACCTGGGTGTGAGAGTCTGTCTCAAAAAATAGTAATAATAATAATTTTATAATTAATAATGCTAAGACCATGCATTTGTACCACAATTTAAATTTTTATACAGGCCTTTCAGATCAATCATCTTGAATTCTGAACTCTAAAAGAATCCTCCTAATTTTTATTTATTTATTTTATTTATTGAGACAGAATCTTGCTCTGTCACCCAGGCTGGAGTACACAATCTCAGCTCACTGCAAGCTGAGACTATAGTCGTACACCACCACGCCTGGCTAATTTTTCTATTTTTAATAGAGATCGGGTTTCACCATGTTGGCCAGGCTGGTCTCAAACTCCTGACCTCAAGTGATCCCCCCACCTTAGCCTCCCAAAGTGCTGAGATTACAGGTGTCAGCCACCATGCCTGGCCTCAATCCTCCTAATTAATACATTCAAAGTCAAATAGCTTTTTAACCTCTAAAGTGTTGGTGATTTTCCTGAAAATTAAAAGAAAATGCACTTATAAAAACATGCTGTTATTATGGCCAGGTGCAGTGGCTCAAGCCTGTAATCCTAGCACTTTGGGAGACCAAGGCGGGTGGGTCACGAGGTCAGGAGATCGAGACCATCCTGGCTAACATGGTGAAACCCCGTCTCTAATAAAAGTAGAAAAAAATTAGCCAGGCGTGGTGGCAGGCGCCTGTAGTCCCAGCTACTCGGGAGGCTGAGGCAGGAGAATGGCGTGAACCCGGGAGGCAGAGCTGGAAGTGAGCTGAGATCGCACCACTGCACTCCAGCCTGGGTGACAGAGGGAGACTCCGTCTCAAAAAAAAAAACAAACAAACAAACAAACAAAAAACAAAACATGCTGTTATTAACAGTAAAATATAATTTTAAAAATATATATAAAGCTGTAAACTTCAGTAATTAAACATACTTTCCGTCATCAGGAACTATAATTTACCTTTAAATGTCATTTAAGCTTGGCTTTGATAGGAACAAAGCTTAAAATTTTAAAACACCACAACACTTCGGATGTGGAATACTGGAAGTAGGGTTACTCCCACCCTTACAACAAGAAAAATGTAAATAATCTGAACAAATACAATTTTCTAGAAACCATCAGAGGGCTGAGGTTGCAGGAGAATCAACTATCCTCAAATTTAAAGAAAGGCAGGTGTCTCCACAGAGAAATGGGAGAGGAGCACTTGATTACTGGAAGCAGACACCACTTGCTATGCATCTCACAGAAAAAATGCAGCTAAAATTTATATCAAATCACTAGAGCCAAGTGTGGGCTAACATGAAAGTAGCAACTTCTTTCTTTAAAAAGATTTCAGGTTCAATGGCATACAATACCAATTCATAGCCAACTTCTGGCTTTGGAAGGGATTTTCCTTTGCTCTGCAAATGAGTCTGTCTAGCCTCCATGTCCACAGACAGTCAATATTCAGTCAAACCAAACCATCAGAATCTCGAGTACTACTTTGCTGGTTATCCACAGGACACCTGACCCTGACAGCCAATTTTGTTATAACATTTCAATCTAAGCCTCAACAGGAAACACCCCTTCTGCTACATTATCTCATCTAACACTGTTCTTGCCGTTAATTTTTAACACATAGAACTCCAGGCCAGCAAGATCAGATCCTAGAGGAAAAATTACCACCTTTCACTGAGTATCATACTTAATTTCTGTATATTGTATGCTTAAGCCTTCTTAGCCCTCATTTCTCTTTCTGATCTCACACAAGGAAAAGAAAGTAGCATTGAAGTACTCTGAAATGAGACCCTCCAATTCTTACCTCAAGCATTCCTAAATTCTAAAGATAGAACTACCAGTCCCCTATCTTCCAACCTCTAGTTTATCCAAATAATCCTGTTGTACAATCTTAGTGACTATTCTCCCATGTTAAATAAAATTTAGAGGAGCCCCTTGATTTGAGCTGAGCTCCTGTACTAGACCCTAATAGGCCAAACAGAAATGGAGTCACTCATGTTTAAGTTCCACATCGCCAAACTGAACTACAACTAAGCTGTTTATCTGACTGTTCAAGAAATCAGGAGAGAAAGAATGGCCAAATTCCCAAACAAGCCAGCATTAGCCACCATGATAAGAAAGTCCCCTCTGCTTTAAGCCTTACAAGGAAATTAACTTTAAAAGGACCCATCTGCTTTTTGTTCCTTATTTCTGCTTTCTTCAGCCTTTTCCTGTCTATATTGACTGCCCACATTGTGGATGGGAGCTCTCTGAACCTGTTCTGGTTTTGAGGGTTGCCTGGTTGTGAGTCATTCTTTGCAAACTCTGTTGAATTTATTTTGTCTAAGTTTTTATTTTATCACTCAAGATTGTTATATGTAAATCTACGGTTATGGAGTCTAATGAGGTTTTTGGTAACCCTGCAGTTACCTCTAGTTGAATTATAAAAATAACAGAAAACGGTCGGGCATGGTGGCTCACGCCTGTAATCCTAGCACTTTGGGAGGCCAAGGCGGGTAGATCACGAGGTCAGGAGTTCAAGACCAGCCTGGCCAAGATGGTGAAACCCCGTCTCTACTAAAAATACAAAAATTAACTGGGCATGGTGGTGGGTGCCTGTAATCCCAGCTACTCGGGAGGCTGAGGCAGAGAACTGCTCGAACCCGGGAGGCAGAGGTTACAGTGAGCCCAGATCATGCCACTGCACTCCAGCCTGGGCAACAGAACAAGACTCCATCAAAAAAAAAAAAAAAAAAAAAAAAAAAACACAGAAAACCTGAAACTATAACTTCCTATTTGATTTGATCTCATGGGCTTCTTCCAATTTCTAAATTTTTTTTTTTTTTTTTGAGACGGAGTCTCTCTCTGTCGCCCAGGCTGGAGTGCAGCGGCGCAATCTCGGCTCACTGCAAGCTCCACTTCCCAGGTTCATGCCATTCTCCTGCCTCAGCCTCCTGAGTAGCTGGGACTACAGGCGCCCACCACCACACCCAGATAATTTTTTTTGTATTTTTAGTAGAGACGGGGTTTCACCATGTTAGCCAGGATGGTCTCAATCTCCTGACCTTGTGATCCGCCCACCTTGGCCTCCTAAAGTGCTGGGATTACAGGCGTGAGCCACCACGCCCAGCCTCCAATTTCTAAATCTTACAGGAGGCTTCAGTAATACTCTCTGGCTAGGTACAGTAGCTCATGACTGTAATGCCATCACTTTGGGAAGCCAAGGCCGGAGGACTGCTTGAGGCCAGGAGCTCGAGACCAGCCTGGGCAACATAGCAAGACACCCATCTCTACAAAACAAAACAAACAAATGTAATATTCTCCAGGAAAAATTTAGAACAAATCTGTAAGAAGTCCTAATCTTTACAGCAGTGATCCAAGATATTCACTTATATCACAAATTAGTATGATCGATGAACTTTTATAAAACAATTACAGACAGTGGCTCGAGCCTATAATCCCAGCACTTTGGGAGGCCGAGGTGGGTGGATCACTTGAGGTCAGGAATTTGAGACCAGCCTGGCCAACATGGTGAACCCCCGTCTCTACCAAAAATACAAAATTTAGCCAGGCGTGGTGGTGGGCACCTGTAGTCCCAGCTACTCAGGAGACTGAGGCAGGAGAATCGCAACCCGGGAGACAGAGGTTGCAGTGAGCCAAGATTGCACCACTGCACTTCAGCCTGGGCGACAAGAGAGAAACTCTGCCTCAAACACACACACACACACACACACACACACACACATATATATATATATATATATATATATATATATATATATATATATAGGAATTGTGACATTTTGTTGGGGGGAATTATTTTTTATTTGGAGACAGGATCTCACTCTGTCACCTAGGCTAGAGTACAGTGGAGTGACCATGGCTCACTGCACCCTTAACTTTCCAGGCTCAAGTGATCCTCCTACCTCAGCCTCCCAAGTAGCTAAACTGCAGGTACACACCACCTCACCTGACTATTTTTTTTATATATATATTTGTAGAGACAGGGTATTGCTATGTTCCCCAGGCTGAAAAGTGTCCTTAATTATAAGAAGTATACAATTTTAAATAAAATTTACATAGCGCTCTGCTGTCTACAAACTGTTTTTATAAAGAATCTTGTTTGATTCTCATACCAAGCCTGTGAGAGATGTGTTACTAACCTCATTTTGTAAATATGGTAACTGAAGCTAACAGAAGTTAAATGACTTTCCTAAGTGACTCAGCTGGTAAATAGAGATTCTGAGACTCAATTCCAGGTCCACGTGCTTTTTAAAAATTTTTTGAAATAATTATAGATTCACAAGAAGTTATAAAAATAGTACAAAGGACCCATGTACCCTTCACCCAGTTCCCTCCAATGGTTTCACCTTATATAGATGTAGTAAAACCTCAAAACCATGAATTCACATTGGTTTCTATACCTTTTTTTATAGTGTCTGGGAGTGAAAATGGACTACAAACAATATGACTCAAAGATTTTTTTTAATTCAGGTGAAGACAATTTACATATATGAGCTAGGAAGTAATTTCTAGGGATACACTATTTTGCTCTAAGAATTGTGGGAGTATTACATTCCACTTTGATATTTATATTTAATAATGTAAACAACATAGCTGAAAAGTATTTGAAAATATGAATAAAAGATGGTAGAGGGCGGAGCTGGGGGGAGGGTGGGCCTGAATGAAAGAGACTGTCATGCGGCCGTCCAAGGGGCCACCAAGTGGAAGGGTAGGGTGGGTAGACTACCTAGGTGGAGCAGAGGCAAGAGCAAGTTGGGCATGGAAGGGCAAGGCCTGCACAAAGTTGGGTGTGGTAGGACATGAACTAGGTTATGAAGAGAAGCTATGAGTGGGGGACCTGGAGAGACAGGGTCTAGGGGGCCTGCTGTCTAATGAGTGGGATTTGCTAGGTGTGGTGGTGAGCACCTGTGGTCCCATCTACTTGGGAGGCTGAGGAGGGAGGATAGCTTGAACCCAAAAGTGTGAGGCTACAGTGAGCTATGATCATACCACAGCATCTCAAGCCTGGGTGACAGAATGAGACTTTGTTTCTAAAAAATTTAAAATTAGGCCAGGCACAGTGGCTAATACCTATAATCCTAGCACTTTGGGAGGCCTAGATGGGAGGATCACTTGAGGCCAGTAGTTCGAGACCAGCCTGATCAACACAAGCTTAAATTAAATCTGTAATTTAAAAAAAAAATAAAGGTAAAGTGGGCCTAAGTTGATTTGATAAACTTCTCTTCATTTATATGATTGGTTACGTCACAAGATATCTCTGCTCTGGCTAGTTCATAAAAACAACTCTTGAAACTCATGAATGACGATCCTTCCATTTCAAACCCAGATTTTTTTCCTCCTCCCTTCTGTATTCATGACAGTATTGTTACAATTAACTGCTTCATTCTTGTGGACACTTTCCTTCATTGGCTTTTAGGACACTGACTCTCTTGATTCTCCTTTATTCTATCTTTTTTGTTTTCTATTACCAATTACCCTTTATCAAAAACCTACCCTTTTCTTAGAGCACAAGTAAGAATCACAGTCACATTTAGGACACAGCAATTTTTCCAGGTCAAAAATATTATTGACCATCATCTGGGCAACTTAGCACAACCATCCACTCTTCTAAGGTCTCCTCTATATTTCCCAGAATCCCTTTTGTTGTTTAGATTTGGGTTAGATTTTGCTAATGAAAGGAACCAAATAAGATTTGGAAAGAGCAGAAGCCATTATTCTCTGAAGGTGGCTGGAGGCAGGGAAGCAAACATTAATTTCATAGTAGCTTTTGGGTAAGTCCTTGAGAATCACCTAAATATAGCCCTAAATATATGGCAGAAGCTTTCCCAGAGATGCTTCATAATTGCAGCAGTTTTCCAGTGAGCTTTTGAGAACACTGAAAGTCTTCAGTGTTCGTGTTCGGTGGTCTTCAGCTTTTGAGAAAACTGAAAGTCTTCAGAGGTTCGTGTTTCAGTTGTAGCTTCTCTAATTGTCCAAAATGACTTATATGACATTCACTCCCCTAGCTCTTCCAATATTCATGCAAGCCCTAATTCCCAGACTAAAACTTATTCCCAAAATATTTTAAATGCCTCTTTTTGCTGTCAGTTGCAGACTCTTAGCAACCAGATAGACAGACAGGTAGGTAGATAGGTAGATAGGTAGGTAGCTAGGTAGGTAGGTAGGTAGGTAGGTAGGTAGGTAGGTAGGTAGGTAAGTAGGTGGATCGATCAATCAATCGATAGATGAAGAGTTTAGATTGACTGATTGGTTTATATGTTCATCAAATACCCGGGAGGGTACAAAATAATCTAGTAATGGCAATTGCCTTTGGAGAGGAAAACTGAATGGCTAGAAGAATAGAAGGAAAACAGTTTTTACTGTACACTCTTTTTGTACCTTCTTAAATTTTATTGTATAAGTATGTATCAACTATTCAAAAAGGAAGTAATTATTTAAAAGAACATATTCATATAATTTTTGTTTTATTCCTTTAAGGGCCACACAGACCCAGAGGATTTTTCTATCCATGGCCATTTACTAGTTCTACGACATCTTAAATCCCTGTGCAATAGGTAGTGGTGGAGTAGGGAGGGGAAGAATGACTTTTCAGGAATGAGGTATTTTGCACTCTTAAGGAAAAAATCAGCTATAGAGCTATGGTCAAGGCTTCTTGAGTTTGGAAGAAATTGTTTTATTAATTCACTGGTATGTTAAACAACTACTCATGAAAGATACAAAGACGAAAACAAAAAGTTCCCAGGACTATAATTAAGGCACAGATAAAGTACTAGAAGCTGTGATGAGAGACACTGATGTTGAACTTAGAACTTTGAAGACAAACTGAATTTTAGAGATTTAGCCTCCAGCATTATTTTTAAACTAAATAATAAGCTAATCTTGTCTCTCATTCCCTGAGACCTATAATTAAATAAATAATCGTTTATTAATATAATTATATTTATTAATATAAGAAGTAATTAATTATATTATTTATATTATTTATTAATAGCAAGTAATATTATTTTTATGGCCACTAACCCTAATTCTGTCAAGATGCCTAACCCTAACTCTCCAAAGTAGTACTCTTTAATTAGATAATGTAACATGAAACCTTCTGAGGTCTGGGGAAAAACTGCCATAAATTGAGAATCACTGAAGCAGCAAGCCACTGTTAGGATTTTAAGTTTACTTTATCCTTTGGTACCCTGGGGCAGAAAAAAAGGTTGAGACTCATTGTCATAATTCATTTTAAAGTAACATTCAATTTATAAAAATTTTAACCTCTCTATAACTTTCAGGAAAAACCTGTAGTACAGGACAGTAATAGTATAATATAGTATAAAGCGAGGTGCTCCTATGTGTATAACAATCCCTAGATATCATTGCACTCCAAGTACTGAAATAGATAGGATCCTCTCTTTGAGGAAGGAAAACTCTTGAATACAAGATAATAGAATTCTATAGGAAAAGGAAAGTCAAAATATCTCTTGAAATCTTCACCATCCGATAAATAAGAAGGAAAGTCTCTGCATGTTAAATTGCCACTAATCACTAACAGACTTGCAGTGCTGTTTAACATGCCTAAGCACACAATCTTCTTGGTATACTACTGCCTCCTGGGGGTTATAGTACATTACTACTCTTCTGAGAAAATAATATCAGAGTGAATAGACAGTACGGACATTCTTTTCTTCTAACAATACAATGCAAAAAGTCCATGTTGTAGGCCTTTTAATAACAAGTAGGCCTTTCATAAATAATCTTTTTTTAAAAAAAGCATATTTATTTCTAGCTGACTAATCGGGAACTAAGTACACAATAAAACTTAATTATAGAAAGTGGTTGTTAATATGATTGAGGACATCAGGGCTTATACACCATTTTGCATTTTCAAACCACTTAGCCAATATTAAATGATTAATCTTTACAACATTCTTGAGGGCAATATTACCACCATCTTTTTGTAGAAAAGTAAATGGCAAGGTTAAGTAAAGTATTAGAAAGTCAAGAATTGGTCAGTAACTAATCAGCAAAGTGCCTCAGGAGAATGGTTTAATGTAAAATATGAAGCACTAATACATTAACTCATCTCTAATACCCCTTGACCTACTTCTAGGAGAAATGAATTCTTTCTTATTTGTGACCCCGTAGCATTTTCTATATTCCTTTATTATAAAACCTAACACTTTTATATTATAGTTATTGGATTGTCAGTCTCCCTGACTAAACAGTGCCTCCACAAGATTTTGCACAGTGTCCAGCACACAGCAAGACACAACAATGAATCATTCAGTCATTTGTTGAACAAACGATTACATATCTTTAATAAGTAATAATATGTGACCAGGCGCAGTGACTCACGCCTGTAATCATAGCACTTTGGGAGGCCGAGGCAGGCGGCTCATGAGGTCAAGAGATCCAGACCATCCTGGCCAACATGGTGAAACCCCATCTCTACTAAAAATACAAAAATTATCTGGGCATGGTGGCACGCGCCTCTAGTCCCAGCTACTCGGGAGGCTGAGGCAGGAGAATCGCTTGAACCCGGGAGGCGGAGCTTGCAGTGAGCCGAGATGGCGCCACTGCACTCCAGCCTAGCAACAGAGCGAGACTCTGTCTCAAAAAATAATAATAACATGTAAGTCACTGTTCTACACACAGGGGATATGGTGGTGAATCAGAAAGCCAAGCTCCCGACTCTCATGGAGCCTGCATTCTACAAAGGAAAGGCAGATGACCAAAAAACAAAAACAATCTGATAGTAAAAAGAGCTTAAGAGGAAATTGAAATAGAATGATGTGACTAAAGAT
Organism: Homo sapiens; assembly: GCF_000001405.40. Classification (NCBI taxonomy): domain Eukaryota; kingdom Metazoa; phylum Chordata; class Mammalia; order Primates; family Hominidae; genus Homo; species Homo sapiens. The sequence continues at coordinate 28,596,113 of NC_000022.11, forward strand.
GGCTAGGTGGTTATATTAGATTAGGCAGTTATATTCAAGTTGATCTCTGAATTGTAAGAAAACAACCAGTCATAATCACATGGAAAAAAGACAATTCCAGGTGTCAAGTACAAAAGAACCAAAGTGGGGAAGAAATGCAAATATTAAAGGAATGGGGGGAAAAAAAGACTGGTTAGAGTGTAGTGGGCAAAGCAGTGAGTGGTAAAAGATGATTATCACAGAGGTGGGCAGAGACCAGATCAGGGTTTTCTTGGGCCATGATAAGAATTTTATTCTAAAAGAAAAAGAATTTTATTCTAAGTGAGATGGGAAGTTATTTAAGGCTCCATAATACTTATTGCTTATTTGAATTGCTGTATTTGCCTAGTAGATGGCACTAAAAGGAAAATTAATACTTAGAAATTAAAATTACTATTCTATTGGTTAGGAAGCTTTTCTGTTTAATAAATTACTTTTTAGTGAAAAGTTATTTTATAATTAAATGTTCAGACTAAAAGATAAAGCAGCAGTGTCTACTAACATTTTAATAGAAGTTAGAATAATGAGATTTTGACAGTCATTATTGGAAGAAATTGAAGAGCTCCTGCATAAACTACTGTACATTATAGATGACTGTACCAGGATCTTATGCTAATCACTTATTAATTTTGCATAGCCTAAGATATCTCCAAATAGCTCATGATGAGTGCCAGACAGACATCTGGAGAGGAGGCTCCCAAGTGAAAGTATGGAAGTGTCATTAAATATAATAAATCTCTTCCTCTTACCAAAGAAACCAGAATGAAAAAGTAACATATATTTAGAAGCAAGAACACTTCTCACCATATTAACTGAACAAAATACAGCAACAGCCTAGAAATTAAGGTCAGGTTCATATTTCACCTGGGAGGATATAGGTACCACAGAAGCCTCAAGGGTAATACCGAGTCATACCATCAAGATTCAGTTAAATTTAATCTCACAAATAATCACTCCAGAGAAAATATTATCATTTGCTCATTCTAGGTGGCTTGAACATTTGTTGTATTAGTTTGTGCATTTTTTGTCTTTAATGTGTTTTTTAGTTGTCATAAAAAAACACATAACACCAAAATTTACTATCTTAGTCATTTTTAAAGATTCAGTTTAGTGGTGTTAAGTATATTAACATTGTTTTGCAACAGATTTCCAGAACATTTTCATCCTGAAAAACTGAAACTCTACACTCACTGAACAACTATCCATTTCCCCACTTTTCCCAGTCTCTGGCAACCACCATTCTACTTTCTATATAACTCTCTGTTTTTTAAATCATAATATTACATTGTAACAACACCCAGGCCCCTTCAAAAGAAACTATGCACGTAAGCATCTGAATTGCTGGTTTAGTTTGTTTTTGTTTAAACACAATTTCCTAAACCAAAATGTGTATATTGGAAAGGGCTAAGAATTGCCTCTAATATAGACAGGAATACAGAAGTGACTTAGAAATACACTGTAATATGCACTGCACTATTTCCAGTCCACCATGAATATCACCAATTATTATAGAGAAGCACGGTTAGTGGCAACTAGCAGTATGGCAACTAGCCAATATATGATCTATTTATACGGAAAAAGTACATAAGGAGAATGAATACTATTTTTAAAAACTTAAATTTGAGAATAGCCTAAAAAAGATTACTAAAATCCTCTTACCTTTTGCGGGGAGGTGGGGAGGGAGAGGGTTTTGCTCTGTCACCCAGGCTGGAGTGCAATGGCGCAATCATACCTCACTGCAGCATTGAGCTCCCAAGCTCAAGCAATCCTCCTACCTCAGCCTTCCAAGTAGCTGGGACAATAGGCACATGCCACCACACCTCCTGAGCTCAAGCAATCCTCCAGCCTCAGCCTCCCAAAGTGCTGGAATTACAGGCATGAGCCACTGTGCCTGGCCCATTTTTACCCTTTATATTTTACAAGGAACTTCCACATACACAAATTCATTTAGGCAAGTCACAAGCCCTCCAGATCTCAGTTTTCTTGAATCGTTTTCCGTAAAACAGGGATAAAAATATTCACCATGCTGACCTCACAGGGTTTAAACCATGGAAAAACTGCAATAACAAATATAAATGCAACTTAAAAGTAACAAGCAGGCCGGGCACAGTGGCTCATGCCTGTAATCCCAGCACTTTGGGAGGCCGAGGTGGGTGGATCACCAGGTCAGGAGTTCGAGACCATCCTGGCTAACATGGTGAAACCCCATCTCTACTAAAAATACAAAAATTAGCCAGGTGTGGTGGTGGGCACCTGTAGTCCCAGCTACTTGGGAGGCTGAGGCAGGAGAATGGCGTGAACCCAGGAGGCAGAGCTTGCAGTGAGCTGAGATCGCGCCACTGCACTCCAGCCTGGGCAACAGAGCGAGACTACGTCTCCAAAAAAAAAAAAAAAAAAAAAAAAAGTGATAAGCACTACTGTATGGAGGTAAGTTACCTGAAGATCACCTGAAGATAAATTTTTAAAATGCATTACTTCTAACCAACAAATAGTTACACATTTAGTAAACGGTGATGACATATATGGCAACAATTTATGTCAAATGATTTATAGATTATCCTGGATATAAAGAGTTAGTAAAATTTCCTCTATCCATTTGGGGTATAGGAAACAAACTCTCTTAAATCTGCTAATGTTGAGGTCAAAGTTAAAAGAAGATGAAAATATAAATCTACACACTACATATAACAAGAATGACAAGGGAGTACACTTTATTCCCATCGCATTAAGGATTCAAGACTATAAGTATAGTTATTCATGATACAGAGCAGCAAATCTTTAGAGAATTAGTGATGTGGTAGATTACAAAACTGTGAGTGAAATGCTTGTTCAAAGAAAATTACAAGAGCACAAGCACAGGCAAGATTCTTACAAGACAAACACACATCAAAATCAAGAATAAAACTACTTCTCTGTGCGCTATATAGTATAAAACTCTGGGATTTACATGAAGAATACTACATCTCACTCCTTAGAAGTAGATTGTATTAAATTTGAGAATATAATCAAGAAGGCCATATAAAATCCTTTTGACTAGTAAGGATTAAAGAAAAAGAATAGCCATAAATGGCAAGTTCTTTATCCCTACTTCTAAATTGTATAATTTAGCCTATATTTTGCCTATACAAATCAAATGTAGGAAGGACGGTTTTATTATTATCAGTGAGCAGGTAAGGCATTATCAAATTCTGAACCTTTGGTAACTAGTTTTTAGAATAAACTTTTTAATCCCTCCCCCATCTGAAAGAAATGCTTTGCTATGACACCATTTGCTGAATGTCCACAATCAGCTTGGCACAATGGCTCATGAACCTTCAGCAAAGCTGATCTGATTATGATGGGATCCACAAAATCCAAGTAATTCAGTCTATGAGCAAGCTGGGCGTGGTGGCTCATGCCTGTAATCCCAGCACTTTGGAAGGCCGAGGTGGGAGGATCCCTTGAGGCCAGGAGCTCACGACCAGCCTGGGCAAAATAGCGAGACCCCCATCTCTACTAAAAATAATTTTTCTAAAAAAAGTAACTTAGTCCATGAGGGGTCCAAATAAGGGTAGCCCTAGTACCATGTCAATTAGAAGAAGGCTCTAGATTGAGACTTTAAAGCAGTTATGAGTATGATGAGGTATAAAGGTCCTATTTTCAATAAAATACTGACCAAAAGGTTAAAAGTCATTTGTTCCCCAGGTTCTCTGAAACCAGAGTAACAAACTCCGGTTGTTATTGGGTAACAAATTTGTCCCTCGGAATACAGCAATTTGGCAACCATCCAACTAATTTCATTTCTTTCAGTCCACAAAAAAATATGGGTCATCAGCTGTAATTCTTCCATTCTTCCTTTCAACAAATATTTATTGAAGGTTTACAATGTGCTAGGCACTTAACAGTTTGATCAGCCAACATAGCTTACAACTGCCATAGAACCTTCAAATAAAATAACTGCATAATTAAATCTTGTTGCTTAGTCTTTAAAAAATAATTTATGGGAGAGGCACGGTGGCTCACATCGTAATCCCAGCCATTTTGGGAGTCTGAGGCAAGAGGGATGCTTGAATCCAGGAGTTCAAGACCAGACTAGGCAACAGAGCGAGACCCTATATCTACAAAAAGATTGAAAACAAAAAAAAAACAGCTGGGCATGGTGGCACACGCCTGTAGTCCCCGCTACCTAAGAGGCTAAGGTCGGGGGGTTGCTTGAGCCCAGGAGGTTGAGGCTGCAGTTAGCTGTAATCACGCCACTGCACTCTAGCCCGGGCAACAAAGCAAGACCTTGCTTCAAAAAATAAAACTAAAAATATGTTCGAGGACATATATCTCAATGAATGCATGCATTAAATACAACAAAAATTGATATAGAGCATGCAAAAGTAAGTGTAAAAACAGAACCAGCTGAACACTTAACATTCTTTCCAATTGTGCAGTTCTACAAAGATGCTGTAAGACTCTTAAAATAATGAGATTGGATAATATGTATTGAATATTTATCATTATACTGAAAAATTTATAATATCTTCAGAGAATACACATATAACAACCAACCCATCAACCTACACAAGACTACCAAAAGCCACATAATGTAGAATAATCTTAACTATAAATTAAACACAAGAGGGCGCACAAGTCTGCAAAATTCTTCATAAAACCAAAGGCAAATTGCATTTTACTCAACAATTTGCAGCTCTTAAAGCATGGTCACAAGGATTTATAAAAGATTCTTCCTGCATGTACTTAAGGCCAATTGTACTAAAAATATGTCCTTTTCTCAATATGCTTTCTAGAAATCAGATCACTGCTTCTGTAATATCTAAAATTCCGTGTCTAAATTGACTTTAAACCTAAATTAGTATTTTATCATCAAGAAAAATTATGATTCTTACTCAGTTTATACCATTTTTACATTAACTTCTCCTTGGAAGACCTATTAGGAAATTAACCAACTCTTAAAATATTTATTTTCAAATATCACTAGAGCTTACCCATTGAATTATAATAAACGTGTTTATTATAAAACTAATGATCACAATAAACTTGTAGGAAATAGATCTATAATTTTTAGAAATTTATGCAAATCTATATCAGCTGTTTAATTCTTGAACAGTGAATATTCTATTAATAATATTCCATTCCAAGAGTTGCCAACTGATTACAAATGGTAGCCCATGATTTCATTAGTTCACTCCTTCATGAAATAACAAGACCACCTGAGAAGATTACATACAGTAGCCCTCCATATCCATGGGTTCTGCATCTGTGGATTCAACCAGCTGTGGACTAAAAACCTTTTTGAAAAAAAATTGCAGTTGTACTGAACATATAGACTTCTTTTTTTGTCATTATTCCCTAAGTGATACAGTATAACAACTATTTACATGGCATTTACATTGTATTAAATATTATAAGTAGTCTAGAGATGATTTAAAGTTTGTGGGAAGACAGAAGTAGCTTATATGCAAATACTACCTTATTTTATATAAGGAACTTAAGCATCCACAGGTTTTGGTAACCATAGGAGGTCCTGGAACCAATCTCCCAAGATACTGAGAGATGACTATACTAAGATTATAGAGCCTCTAGGCAGAAGCATAATCCAAATAATTTAGAAGCACATTCTGCCTAGCTAACCCAAGATTCACAGCAGAGTAAACCCTAGACACACACACACACACACACACACACACACACACACACAGTTCTGGGTATGTAGCTCTCTCCAGTTTTATATAGCACTAATGCTGACTGTTATATGTGAAATTATTCTAATGCCAACTCCTATTCTGATATATTCTGCCTTATTCCTATACAAAGAGACACCTGGCACAAGGATCTCTGGTAGACACAAGCACAAAAATATTAGTTATCCCTTACATATTATCAACCTAGGGAAACAAAGCAAGGGATGGACTGGATGCTAGGATCAAGAGAGTCAGGCAAGCAGTCCAGACTAGCAGCAATGAACTGCAGGTTAGGTACTATGGGCAAAGGCTGACAGTCCAAAGGAAAGCACATGGAATATATCATTACAGTGGTCAAAGGTCAAGGCACCAAACAAGAAAATAACAATCAGGAACCCAAGAGTGGTCAAAATCCAGTCACCCAAATAAGTTGCCTGTAATGTGGGCACCTGGTACAGATCTGATACTGCAGCTTAACTATCTAAACTAGAGACTCCTAATATACTTCTTGCCACGTAATTGATCCTGGACCAGAAGGGAAAGGGTGTCTATAAAGGAAGTGACTGGAGCAATCATTCAAATTTCAAGGGGGTCTGTGGTTTAGAAAGCAGTACTGTATCAATGATAATGTTCTAATTTTAATGGTGGTACTGTGGTTTTATATCAATGTTACCAATACATACTGAAGGATTTAGGGGGTGATTGCACATCATGTCTGCAACTTACTCTCAAATAATTCAGAAAATAACAGTAATAATAATAGAAAAGAATTATAGGACAAACATGATAAAATGTTAACAACTGGGGGATCTAGATAAAAGATACACAAAAGTCCTTTGTACTAATCTTGCAAATTTTCTCTAAATTTAACATTTCAAAAGTAAAAATTTTAAAATATACCAATAAAATGTTAAATGCTTTGACAATGAAGTATAGTATATTTTAAAAGAAATATCTAAACTGTTCAACACAAGAAATTATTTCAAAATAAGAAGGTAAAAAATAAATGACATGCTTTAGCAATAGAATACATTGCAAAAATTAACTAAACTAATAAATACACAGAGCGTTTCTAACTTTAGTTCTTTTTATTTTTTTGAGACAGAATCTTGCTCTGTCGCCCAGGCTGGAGTGCAGTGGTACGATCTCGACTCACTGCAACCTCTGCCTCCCGGGTTCCAGCGATTCTCCTGCCTCAGCCTCCTGAAGTAGCTGGGATTACAGGCGTGCACCACCACTCCAAGCTAATTTTTGTATTTTTAGTAGAGACGGGGTTTCACCACGTTGGCCAGGATGATCTCAATCTCTTGACCTCGTGACCCACCCACCTCGGCTTCCCAAAGTGCTGGGATTACAGGCATGAGCCACCGTGCCTGGCCCCTAACTTTAGTTCTTAGAAGCCTTGCTGGACTTCAATGAACAACAAATAATATTTCATCATTTGGAAAGAAATGGGAGAAAAAAGAAGAAATAATATTTCCACTAAATTAAATTAAAAGGCACTCCTTCCAGAGAATTGAAATTAAGGTAATAACATAAACATTCTAGAAAGTTATATACAGGTCAATTTTCTTTCTTTTTTTTTTTGTTTTTTGTTTTGTTTTTTGAGACAGGGCTTCACTCTGTAGCCCAAGCCAGAGTGCAATGGCACAATCATGGCTCACTGCAACTTCGGACTCAGAGGCTCAAATGATCCTCTTGCCTCAGCCTCCCAAGTAGCTGGGACTACAGCTACATGCCACCATACCAGCTAATTTCTTTTTTAAATTATTTTTTGTAGAGATGGGGTCTGGCTTTGTTGCCTAGGCTTGTCTCAAATTTCTGTCCTCAAGCGATTCTCCTGCCTCGGCTTTCCAAAACACTGAGATTACAAGTGTGAGCCACCATGCCCAGCCCACAGGTAGCTTTTTCAATATGATTATGTAAAAACAATCCTTATAACAGTCCTCTTGAAAACTGAAAACAGTATAATACTTCTGAAATATTAGTAAATCTCTGTAAGAAAAAAAAATCACGAAATTTAACCTGTGACTAAATTTATTCAATGACTTCAAGTGTTGCTATAACAAAATATAAGAAGAATGTTTCCATTTTAGTATTAGCAATACTTCAATTTCCAAAAGAGACTAATTTTATTTAAGTGTATTGGTCATCTATCTTATCACTTTAAAAACGTTTTTGAAAAAACTGTTTCTTGGCCGGGTGTGGTGGCACACATCTGTAATCCCAGCATTTTGGGAGGCCGAGGCAGACAGATCACCTGAGTTCACGAGATCAAGACCAGCCTGGCCAACGTGGCGAAACCCCATCTCTACTAAAAATACAAAAATTAGCTGAGTGTGTTGGTTTGCACCTGTAATCCCAGCTACTCAGGAGGCTGAGGCAGGAGAATCTCTTGAACCCGAGAGGCAGATGTTACGGTGAGCAGAGATGGTATCACTGCACTCTAGCCTGGCTGACAGAGCAAGACTCAGTCTTAAACAGAAAAAAAAAAAAATTATATATATATATATATATATATATGTCTTTACCACTATTTCTGGAGTAGCTTTCATAACTTTTTATCTGAAATGCTTTTTTGAGAATATTAAAAAATATTTCTATAAAAAGACTCTGGAAACTCCTGGGATAATTTTCTCGTTTCATTAAGATAGAAAATGCTGGCCGGGCACAGTGGCTCACGCCTGTAATCCCAGCACTTTGGGAGGCCAAAGCAAGCAGATCATCTGAGGTCAGGAGTTCGAGACCAGCCTGGCCAACATTCTGAAACCCTGTCTCTACTAAAAATACAGAAATTAGCCGAGCATGGTGGTGGGAGCCTGTAATCCCAGCTACTCAGGAAGCTGAGGCAGGAGAACTGCTTGAACCCGGGAGGCAGAGGTTGCAGTGAGCTGAGATCGTGCCACTTGCACTCCAGCCTGGGCAACAGAGCAAGACTCCAGCTCAAAAAAAAGAAAGAAAGAAAACAAAAAGAAAATGCTGCCAAATCTTTATTACAGGAGACAAGACTAGTAGAAACCTTTAAAAGTTGTGTCCTGATACATTTTATATATCACCCACAAAGCGCCTATCTACATTTTAATCAATGTCACTGTCAAGTATATATGACAACAAAACTCTCACTTCATTTTAAAAAATGCATCCACACTCCTTAGTGATAAACATACCATCTAAGAGTTGGAAATGAAATTTATTACTTAACATATGTTTATAACTTAGTCATTAGAAAGAAACATTCTTAAAACAAATTAGGACAAACCTGAGAACATAAATAATTGAGCTCCTATTTTCTGAATTTCCTTCACAGCATGATTTCTCTTCTTGCCAGGCTTCCTGAATCACTTCCTAAGGACACAGCATCCATCTTAAAGTAGTTGTTTCTATCCCACAAAAGCCTGGTTTCCAAGGAGATGCTATGGACTGTAACATTACTTTAGGCTAACATTTATGAGAAAAATCCCTTTTGGCAAAAACTCTTAGATAAGAAATTCTCCTCTTAGATCAACAATAGTAAAATAAAAACTTAATGTACAAATAAGTAAACAATGACCAGTGGCCTTAAGAGAGTCATTTCAATACCTAATAGAAAAGTTACCAATCAAACGGTGGCAGCTAGAAAACATACTTTTGTTTGTAGTTTTTTCTTGAATAACAAAGAAACAAACACTTCTTTGTGCCCTCTAACATGTACCCAAGAAGAGACAGAAACCTTTCAATCACTTTTTTATCTCATCTCTTATAACAGCACACTCAGTAAAAGGGGATGATTTTCCCCAACACAGAAGGACAGTCCTTTGATGAAAGGTATAGAAGTAACTGCACTTCCCCTGCTAGAACCACCAAACAAGGGCTAATCTCATATTATAGATTTTTATCTTCTTTTTAAGTAAAAACTAAAAAACGTTAAATTGGTATATTCATAATATGAAATACTATGAAGCTGTTAAAAGTAAATTATGTGTAAATTGCCAGAGAAAAATAAGCACATTGCAAATCTAACATTTAAAAAGTATCCCTTTTTAGGAAGATGTTGATCCAAGGATATAAAGTTTCAGTTAGATTAGAGGAATAAATGTCAGTGGTCTATTAAACTGCATGGTGTCCACAGTTAATAAAAATGTGTAATTCAAAATGCTAAAATAGATTGTTAATGTTCTCACCAAAAAAGAAATACAAATTTGGTAAGGCAATGTATGTGTTAATTATCTTGACTGAATCCTTCTATAATGTATACATAGATCAAAACATCACATTGTACTCCATAATATATATAATTGTGAATACTTTTTTTTTTTGTTTTTTGAGACGATATCTCTCCCTGTTGCCCAGGCTGGAGTGCAATGGCACGATCTCGGCTCACTGCAACCTCCACCTCCTGGGTTCAAGCGATTCTCCTGCCTCAGCCTCCCGAGTAGCTGGTATTACACATGCACGCCATCATGCATGGCTTTTTCTTTTCTTTTTTATCTTTAGTAGAGATGGGGTTTCACCATGTTGGCTGGGCTGGTCTCGAACCCCTGACCTCGCGATCCACCTGCCTCAGCCTCCCAAAGTGCTGGGATTACAGGCATGAGCCACCACACCCAGCCAATTGTCAATTTTTTAATTGTTCTAAGTATCTCTTTTCTTTAAAAAGTATGTAGGGGTATGTCTGTGAGTACATGTGTTTATGTGTATAAAGTTACAGATATATTGTAAAAGGTCTCAAAAAATATTCAAACTGAATAAAAATAGTTAACTCTAGGGACTGGAATGGGGAATGGGGTGAGCAACAGACATGAGGGAAATATAATTTTTATTGTTTGAAATTTTTCCAAAAGTAACTTTGAGTTACTTTTGTAATTTTAAAAATTTATATGTGTGTGTATGTATATACATGCAATGTACAGACTGACCAAAAAGACCTGAGCATAGATTCAAACGCATACAAATTATAAGCCTGTCATAAAATCATGTCTTTAACACATATAAAATAATGGACTATATAATAACAACAAACCATTTATTGCCAAAGATAAACAGGTAATAACAATTGTTCTGGTAATGAAATCCATAACATGAAAAGAAGTGCCCATTGCCTTTGATGGATTTAGTTCATGGTGGTGACAGGTAGCTACTCCAAAATGTCGCACCTAGGCATATCAAGTATTTTAAGCTGAAGTAATTTGAGAAATGGTAAGTGCTGGAAGAACTCTCTGACCTTCCTCTGAAGCAGCTCATAAGACCCTCCTTAAACCTGATGGAAAGGAATATCCTTCTCTGTGAAGACAGAGGGATACTGAGAAGAGCCCAAACAGGCCTTGATAAGTTTCTCCCCAGTTTATTACCTCTAGCTCATACCTGCATCGTCCTGTCACATTTTTTCACAACTTTCCACTCCTTATCAAACCTAGCATAAAAATGCTCAAGCTTAACTATTTATTTGGGTTTTCATTTCCTTATGAAGGCTCTCATGTCATGTAAAACTTGGGTTAAATACACTTATATGTTTTTATCTTGCTAATCTCATTTGTCATAGGGGCCGTACTTGAGAACTTGGAAGTGTAGAAGTAAATGTATTTTTTCTCTCCCATAGTTAGAATATAAACTTTTGCTTAAATTTAAAGAAAGCATCACTTTTTTACATATGAAAAAATTCCCTCTCCTGATTATCATTCCATCTATACAAAGCTGAAAAACTGAATTTTCATCTCCTTAAAAACAAGACTAAAATTATGCAAATAATTACATAAGACAATTTTATTGTAAATATTTATTCTGAATACAGTGTTTGACTCATAACTGATTTTTTTAATGTCACAAAACAGCATGCACAGATGTTAAGACTTTTGGAATAGGTAAGTAGAGGTTCTAATTCTGATTTTTTTCCTCACTCTGTAACTCTGGGCGAACTACTTAAATCTCCCTGAATCTTACTTTACCTTTAAAATACAGATAGTACCACCTATAGCAGATGATTGTTATGAGGATCTGCCTTTCACTCATCAAGTTCACTAAGTCTTTACAAAGCATATCCCAAATCCCTCAGGTTCTCTCTATTTCTACCACCACTACTCTAGTCCAAGTTAGCTTCATCATTAGCCTCCCTGCTTCTGCTTTCACTCTCCTACTTTCCATTTCCCTCACAGTGGTTGTTTATACTTTCCCATAAATTAAACTGTGGAAAAACACTTCCAAAATGGCAGAGTAAAGCCTTCCAAAAATCTGCTCTTCCACAAAAGCAATGAGAACACTAACAGAACTTGTCAAAATCAACTTTTTCAAGATTTTGGAAATTAACCAACAAACTGTACCAACACAAGAAGTGTTTCTTCAAAAGAAACAGCTGAGTCTCAGTAAAAGCAGCAAGCTTTGTGGGGTTTTTAACTTGCACTATTTCTATCCCTTTTTCCTCACCTATGTGATCGACTTGAAAACCAGCAGCCTTCTCACCAAAATGGGTATGAAAACCAAAAGCTTAGGAGTAAACAGAGGGGTCAAAATTGTTTGGACCTCTTCAAAATACCCCACCCCCAGAAAATTACCACTATTTGACCTGTCTGGCAGCTTCCTAGAGAAGTTCCATTCACAAGACTGTATTCGGCCTAACTCAGAGGTAGCTGTGTGAACAACCCTCTTCACAGGGCATCTGTCAAATAAAATCAGTGGCAACTGCTTAACATCACAACTGCCTGATGCAGCAATACATATCAGGTAAACAAGAGTTTAATTAAAAACTTTAAAAGAAAAATCTGGATAATGAGATGTCCCTAGGGAGCTTTTAAAACTCCAAAATATCCCTCGGAATCTAAAAATGTGCAGTACTGTGTGCATTCCCAAGAAGGACCTAAGAAGCTCCTAATCTCTCATCTGGCTGTCCTTGAGGTTCTACATAAATGGGAAGTGAAGGCTAAGAGTTGTAATCTACCAGAGTGCTGAAGGTGTGCCCAAACACACACAGGGAACTGTTTGGCAAAGGCTGAGAAACTTAGTAGTTCAAGGCATTTAAGGAATCTCTATCAAGCTGAGGACTACGCTACCTGAGCAGACTTCAGTAGATACACATGACAAAGAATAGAGATTTTAAAGAGTTAGTTTAGGAAAGTCACTAACACACAAAAGCCAATAACAACAACAACAAACTCTGGGAGAGGGGGAGAGCTGATTTCCAAAGTTGCCACATTATATTACCTAAAATGTCCAGTTTTCAACCAAAAAAAAGATGAAACACAAATAGAAACAGGAAAGTACTGCCCATACACTGGGGGAAAAAAAGCAGTAATAGAAACTGTTCATGATAAGAAAATCAAGATACTGGACTTACTAGACGAAGATACTAAATTAGCCATTAAAAACATTGTCAATGGAAACTATGTCTAAAGAATTAAGGGAAAACGTGAGCAATATCTTACCAAATGGAGAATATCAATAAAAAGAAAGTATGTTTTTTGAAAAACCAAATAATTCCAGAATTAAAAAATACATAATAAAAAATTCACAGGGATTGCTGGCAAGATGGCCAAATAGGAACAGCTACGGTCTGCAGCTCTTAGCAAGATCGATGCAGAAGGCAGGTGATTTCTGCATTTCCAACTGAGGTACCTGGTTCATCTCATTAGGACTCGTTGGACAGTGGGTGCAGCCCACAGAGGGCAAGCTGAAGCAGGGTGAGGCGTCGCCTTACCCGGGAAGCACAAGGGGTCGGGGAATTCCCTGCCCTAGCCAAGAGAAGCCATGAGGGGCTGTGAACAGTGGACTCCGGCCCAGATACTGCACTTTCCTCATGGTCTTTGCAACCCACAGACTGGGAGATTCCTTCCGATGCCTATGCCACCAGGGCCCTGGGTTTCGAGCACAAAACTGGGTGGCCATTTGGACAGACACCGAGCTAGCTGCAGGAGTTTGTTTGTTTTTTTTTTTCCATATCCCAGTGGCGCCTGGAATGCCAGTGAGACAGAACCATTCACTCCCCCTGGAAAGGAGGCTGAAGCCAGGCAGCCAAGTGGTCTGGCTTGGTGGGTTCCACCCACACGGAGCCCAGCAAGTTAAAATCTACTGACTTGAAATTCTCACTGCCAGCACAGCAGTCTGAGGTCGACCTGGGACACTCAAGCTTGGTGGGGAGACAGGTGTCCACCTTTGCTGAGGCTTGAGAAGGCAGTTTTACCCTCACAGTGTAAACAAAGCCACCAGGAAGTTCAAACTCGGTATAGCCCACCACAGCTCAGCAAGGCCACTGTGGCCAGACTGCCTCTCTAGATTCCTCCTCTCTGGGCGGGGCATCTCTGAAAAAAAGGCAGCAGCCCCAGTCAAGGGCTTATAGATAAAACCCCCATCTTCCTGGGACAAAGCATGTGGGGGAAGGTGTGGCCATGGGTGCAGCTTCAGCAGACTTAAACGTCCCTGCCTGACAGCTCTCAAGAGAGCAGCAGATCTCCCAGCACAGCATTCAAGCTCGGCTACAGGTCAGACTGCCTCCTCAAGTCCGTCCCTGACTCCCATGTGTCCTGACTGGGAGATACCTCCCAGTAGAGGCCAACAGACACCTCATACAGGAAAGCTCTAGCTGGCATCTGGCGGGTGCCCCTCTGGAAAGAAGCTTCCAGAGGAAGGAACAGGCAGCAATCTTTGCCGTTCTGCAGCTTCTGCTGGTGATACTCAGGCAAACAGGGTCTAAAGTGGACCTCCAGCAAACTCCAACAGACCTGCAGCAGAGGGGCCTGACTGTTAGAAGGAAAACAAACAGAGAGGAATAGCATCAACATCAACAAAAAAGGACGTCCACTTGGAGACACCATCAAAGACCAAAGGTAGATAAATCCATGAAGATGGGGAGAAACCAGCACAAAAAGGCTGAAAATTCCAAAAACCAGAACGCCTCTTCTCCTCCAAAGGATCACAACTCCTCACCAGCAAGGGAACAAAACTGGACAGAGAATGAGTTTGACAAATTGACAGAAGTAGGCTTCAGAAGGTGGGTAATAACAAACTCCTTCAAGCCAAAGGATCATTTTCAAACCCAATGCAAGGAAGCTAAGAACCTTGAAAAAAGGTCAGACAAATTGCCAACTAGAATAACCAGCTTAGAGAAGAACATAAATGACCTGATGAAGCAGAAAAACACAGCATGAGAACTTCATGAAGCATACACAAGTATCAATAGCTGAATCGATCAAGCGGAAGAAAAAATATCAGAGATGGAAGATCAACTTAATGAAATAAAGTGAGAAGACAAGATTAGAGAAAAAAGAAGGAAAAGGAACGAACAAAGCCTCCAAGAAATATGGGACTATGTGAAAAGACCAAATCTATGTTTGATTGTTGTACCTGAAAGTGATGAGGAAAATGGAACCAAGTTGGAAAACACTCTTCAGGATATTATCCAAGAGAACTTCCCCAACCCAGACCAACATTCAAATTCAGGAAATACAGAGAACACCACTAAGACACTGCTCGAGAAGAGCAACCCCAAGACACATAATCGTCAGATTTACCAAGGTTGAAATGAAGGAAAAAATGTTAAGGGCAGCCAGAGAGAAAGGTCAGGTTACCCACAATGGGAAGCCCATCAGACTAACGGCAGATCTCTCTGCAGAAACCCTACAAGCCAGAACAGAGTGGGGGCCAATATTCAACATTCTTAAAGAAAAGAATTTTCAACCCATAATTTCATATCCAGCCAAACTAAGCTTCATAGGTGAAGGAGAAATAAAAGCCTTTTTTTTAATTTTTTTTTTTTTTTATTATACTCTAAGTTTTAGGGTACATGTGCACATTGTGCAGGTTAGTTACATATGTATACATGTGCCATGCTGGTGCGCTGCACCCACTAACATGTCATCTAGCATTAGGTATATCTCCCAATGCTATCCCTCCCCGCTCCCCCTACCCCACCACAGTCCCCAGAGTGTGATATTCCCCTTCCTGTGTCCATGTGATCTCATTGTTCAATTCCCACCTATGAGTGAGAATATGCGGTGTTTGGTTTTTTGTTCTTGCGATAGTTTACTGAGAATGATGGTTTCCAATTTCATCCATGTCCCTACAAAGGACATGAACTCATCATTTTAGACAAGCAAATGCAAGAGATTTTGTCACCAGCAGGCCTGCCTTACAAGAGCTCCTGAAGGAAGCACTGCATCAACTAACGGGCAAAATAACCAGATAGCATCATAATGACAGGATCAAATTCACACAAGATTAACCTTAAATGTAAATGGGCTAAATGCCCCATTTAAAAGACACAGATTGACAAATGGGATAAAGAGTCAAGACCCATTGGTGTGCTGTATTCAGGAGACCCATCTCACATGCAAAGACGCACATAGGCTCAAAATAAAGGAATGGAGGAATATTTACCAAGCAAATGGAGAGCAAAAAAAAGCAGGGGTTGCAATCCTAGTCTCTGATAAAACAGAGTTTAAACCAACAAAGATCAAGAGAGACAAAGAAGGCCATTACGAAATGGTAAAGGGATCACTGCAACAAGAGAGCTAACTATCCTAAATATATATGTACCCAATACAGGAGCACCCAGATTCATAAAGCAAGTCCTTAGAGACCTACAAAGAGACTTAGACTCCCACACAATAAAAGTGAGAGACTTTAATACCCCACGGTCAATATTAGACAGATCAATGAGACAGAAAATTAACAAGCATATTCAGGACTTGAACTCAGCTCTGGACCAAGCAGACCTAATAGACATCTACAGAACTCTCCACCCAAAATCAACAGAATATACATTCTTCTCAGCACCACATCACACATCACACTTATTCCAAAATTGACCACATAGTTGGAAGTAAAACACTCCTCAGCAAATGCAGAAGAATGGAAATCATAACAAACAGTCTCTCGGCCCATAGTGCAATCAAATTAGAACTCAGGATTAAGAAAGTCACTCAAAACCACACAACTACATGGAAACTGAACAACCTGATCCTGAATACTACTGGGTAAATAACGAAATTAAGGAAGAAATAAAGATGTTCTTTGAAACCAATGAGAACAAAGACACAATGTGCCAGAATCTCTGATACGCATTTAAAGTAGTGTTTAGAGAGAAATTTATAGCACTAAATGCCCATGAGAAAAAGCAAAAAATATCTAAAATTGACACTCTAACGTCACAATTAAAAGAACTAGAGAAGCAAGAGCAAACAAATTCAAAAACTAGCAGAAGACAAGAAATAACTAAGATCAGAGCAGAACTGAAGGAGATAGAGACATGAAAAACCCTTCAAAAAATCAATGAATCCAGAAGCTGGTTTTTTGATAAGATCAACAAAAATAGATAGACCGCTAGCCAGACTAATGAAGAAGAAAAGAGAGAAGAATCAAAAAAACACAATAAAAATTGATAAAGGGGATATCATCACTGATCCCACACCTCTATGCAAATAAACTAAAAAATCTAGAAGAAATGGATAAATTCCTGGACACATACACCCTCCCAAGACTAAACCAAGAAGAAGTTGAATCCCTGAATAGACCAATAACAAGTTCTGAAATTAAGGCAGTAATTAATAGCCTACCAACCAAAAAAAGTCCAGGACCAGATGGATTCACAGCCAAATTCTACTACAGTTACAAAGAGGAGCTGGTACCATTCCTTCTGAAACTATTCCAAACAATAGAAAAAGAGGGAATCCTCCCTACCTCATTTAATGAAGCCAGCATCATCCTGATACCAAAAATGGGCAGAGACACAACAAAAAAAGAGAATTTTAGACCAATATCCCTGATGAGCATCGATGCAAAAATCCTCAATAAAATACTGGCAAACCAAATCCAGCAGCACATCACAAAGCTTATCCACCATGATCAAGTGGGCTTCATCCCTGGGATGCAAGGCTGGTTCAACATACGCAAATAAATAAATCCATCATATAAACAGAATCAAAGACAAAAACCACATGATTATCTCAATAGATGCAGGAAAGGCCTTCAACAAAATTCAACACTCCTTCATGATAAAAACTCTCAATAAACTAGGTATTGATGGAACATATCTCAAAATAATAAGAACTATTTATGATAACCCACAGCCAATGTCATACTGAATGGGCAAAAACTGGAAGCATTCCCTTTGAAAACCGGCACAAGACAAGGATGCCCTTTCTCACCACTCCTATTCAACACAGTATTGGAAGTTCTGGCCAGAGAAATCAGGCAAGAGAAAGAAATAAAGAGCATTCAAATAGGAAAAGAGGAAGTCAAATTGTCTCTGTTTCCAGATGACATGATTGTATATTTAGAAAACCCCATCATCTTAGCCCATAATCTCCTTAAGCTGATAAGCAACTTCAGCAAAGTCTCAGGATACAAAATCAATGTGCAAAAATCACAAGCATTCCTATACACCAATAACAGACAAACAGAGAGCCAAATCATGTGTGAACTCCCACTCACGACTGCTGCAAAGAGAATGAAATATCTAGGAATACAACTTATAAGGGATGTGAAGGACCTCTTCAAGGAGAACTACAAAACACTGCTCAAGGAAATAACAGAAGACACAAATAAATGGAAAAACATTCCATGCTCATGGATAGGAAGAATCAATATTGTGAAAATGGCCCTACTGCCCAAAGTAATTTATAGATTCAATGCTATCCCCATCAAGCTACCATTAACTTTCTTCACAGAATTAGAAAAAACTACTTTAAATTTCATATGGAACCAAAAAGAGCCCACATAGCCAAGACAATCCTAAGCAAAAAGAACAAACCTGGCGGCATCACACTACCTGACTTCAAACTATACTACAAGGCTACAGTAACCAAAACAGCATGGTACTGGTACCAAAACAGATATATAGATCAACAGAACAGAACAGAGGCCTCAGAAATAATGCCACACATCTACAGCCATCTGATCTTTGACAAACCTGACAGCAACAAGCAATGGGGGAAGGATTCCCTATTTAATAAATGGTGCTGGGAAAACTGGCTAGCCATATGCAAAAAACCGAAACTGGACCCCTTCCTTACACCTTATACAAAAATTAACTCAAGATGGATTAAAGACTTAAACCTAAGACCTAAAACCATAAAAACCCTAGAAGAAAACCTAGGCAACAGCATTTAAGACATAGGCTTCGGCAAAGACTTCATGATTTAAACACCAAAAGCAACGGCAACAAAAGCCAAAATTGACAAATAGGATCTAATTAAACTAAAGAGCTTCTGCACAGCAAAAAGAAACTATCATCAGAGTGAACAGGAAACCTACAGAATGGGAGAAAATTTTTGCAATCTATCCATCTGACAAAGGGCTAATAATATCCAGAATCTGCAAAGAACTTAAACAAATTTACAAGAAAAAAAACAAAAAACCCCATCAAAAAGTGGACAAAGGATATGAACAGACGCTTCTCAAAAGAAGACATTTATGCAGCCAACAGTTACATGAAAAAATGCTCATCATCACTGGCCATCAGAGAAATGCAAATCAAAACCACAATGAGATACCATCTCACACAAGTTAGAATGGTGATCATTAAAAAGTCAGGAAACAACAGATGCTGGAGAGGATGTGGAGAAATAGGAACACTTTTACACTGTTGGTGGGCTGTAAACTAGTTCAACCATTTTGGAAGACAGTGTGGCAATTTCTCAAGTATCTAGAACTAGAAATACCGTTTGACCCAGCCATCCCATTACTGGGTATATACCCAAAGGATTATAAATCATGCTGCTATAAAGACACATGCACACGTATGTTTATTGCAGCACTATTCACAATAGCAAAGACTTGGAAGCAACCCAAATGCCCATCAATGATAGACTGGATAAAACGTGGCACATATACACCATGGAATACTACACAGCCATAAAAAAGGATGAGTTCGTGTCCTTTGCAGGGACATGGATGAAGCTGGAAACCATCATTCTCAGCAAACTAACACAAGGACAGAAAACCAAAGACCACATGTTTGCACTCATAAGTGGGTGTTCAACAATGGAACACATGGTCACAGGGAGGGAAACATCACACATCGGGGCCTGTAGGGGGGTGGGGGGCTAGGGGAAGGATAGCATTAGGAGAAATACCTTATCTTGATGACAAGTTGATTGGGTGCAGCAAACCACCATGGGATGTGTATACCTATGTAACAAACCTGCACATTCTGCACATGTACCCCAGAGCTTAAAGTGTAATTTTAAAAAATTCACTAGAGGGACTCAAAAGCAGACTTGAATTAGAGAAAAAAATCAGTAAATTGCAATCTCAGACTCTGGTTTATATTATAGGAAACTAAAATTGAATAGTCTCTGCAACATCATTTGGACATATCGGTGTTAGAACTTGAAAGAGAATTCTGGATTCTTGAGTTCTTAAACAATGGACTCCTTTGTCCAGGGAAGTAGTATGGTATAGTAATTAACGACAAAGTCTTCAGAATCACATCAACCTGGGTTTAAGTCCAAATCTTCCAGTTACTAACTAGATGTCCTAGACAAGTATACAATCTCCCACTAAGTATAAATGTTCTCTTTTATAAAGTAGTGATAAAAATGATATCTACCTCACAAGATTATTGTGAGTATAAAATTGGTATTGCAAATAGAAGGATTTGAACTAGCTTGTCATAATAAGCATTCAATAAGAGCTATTATATTTTATTACTATTATAATACTAGGTAAACCAAAGGGAAACATGAGGTCAAGATATGTTTAAACATTTTTTCTTAGTGTGACACTGTCATCAGATATAATACTTGACAGATAAAGTATAATATTCTGTATTCAGGTATTATACCTGATGATAGAATTCTGTCATCACAGACAGACACAGTGGTTCATGCCTGTAATCCAAGCACTTTGGGAGGCCAAGGCAAGTGGACTGCTTAAGCTCAAGAGTTTGAGACCAGCTTGGGCAACACAGTGAAACCCCGTCTCTACAAAAATACAAAAATTAGTCGTAGTGGCATGCGCCTGCAGTCCCAACTACTTGGGAGTCTGAGGCAGAAGGATCACTTAAGCCTGGGATGTAGAGGCTGCAGTGGGCTGTGATCATGCCACTGCACTCCAGCATGGGTGACAGAGCAAGACCCTGTCTCAAAAAAAAAAAAAATTCTGTCATCAGGTGTAATCAGTGAACAAGAATACAAGAAAAGCTTTAAATCCATGCAGAAAGAGGAGGTATTTTATCATGTACTTTAAAATTAATAGGAGAGTCCCACTATGAAATCCTCCTTTATGTAGTGTTATACCATATGAAAATTCACCATTCCTTTGGGTTCTTTTCCACTGACCCTTGAAGATATCCTTGAAGAACATAACCATTTCTGTAACTCATTATTCACACTAAAGTAATAATAACTACTTTGCAACTGACTTATCTGAAAAGAGGGGATTCAAGAAAATTCCAAAACAGAAAGATAAAGGATAAAAAGGTAAATTAAAGTAGATATAATTAAAAAGGGATATGAGACAGGTCTTGGTGGCTCACGCCTGTAATCCCAGCACTTTGGGAGGCCAAGGCAGGAGGATCACTTGAGCCCCAGTGTTCAAGACCATGGGTAACACAGGGAGAACTTTTTTTGAAAAAAAAAAAAAAATTAAGTTAGCCAGGTGTGGTCCTGTGTGCTAACAATTAGCACACACTGTAGTCCCAGCTACTGTGGAGAATCCTTTGAGCCTGGGAGTTTCAGGCTGCAGTGACCACTGCACTCCAGCCTGGCTGACAGAGTGAGACCCTATCTCAAGAAAAGAAATAAAGGGGGCATATGATATGGTCTACGAATGAAGGTACATGAATATGTACCTTAATATGCATATGAACTGACAAAGAATACTGAGGTGAATTATAAGAACAGTCACAAATTCTTCCTCTTCTGCTTTGGGCTTGGCCATATGAATTGCTTTGGCCAATGGGAGAATAACAAATGCAGTACAAACAGACTTTAATAGAGCTATACAATTGTGTTTGCATTCTCTTACGGTTCTTGGAATTTGACAACTGCCATGCAAAGAACCCCAGCAAAATCTGCTGGATGATGACAGACACATGGCCCAGTTGCCATTGTTCTCCTGGCCAAAAGCACACCAACTGCCAGAAATATGAGACTGTCCTAGATATTCTAATCACCAGCCAAACTTCTAGTTTACCTGAAACACATGAGAAAGACCAGCAGAGATCAGTTGAGTCGGCCCAGTCCAGAAGAGTCACTCAGCTGACCTACAAAATAAATGGCTGTTGTTGGCCGGGCATGGTGGCTCACGCCTGCAATCCCAGCACTTTGGGGGGCCGAGGCAGGTGGATCATCTGAGGTCAGAAGTTCGAGACCAGCCTGGCCAACATGATGAAACTCCATTTCTACTAAAAATACAAAAAAATTAGCCAGGCGTGGTGGTGGGTGCCTGTAATCCTAGATACTTGGGAAGCTGAGGCAGGAGAATTGCTTGAACCCAGAAGACAGAGGTTGCAGTGAGCCAAGATTGCACCACTGCACTCCAGCCTGGGCAACAAGAGCAAAAACTCCATCTCAATCAATCAATCAATCAATCAATGGTTGTTATTTTAAGCCACTAAGTTTTGGAGTGATTTTTTATAGAGCAAAAGTTAGTGGACACAAGTGCAAACCAAAAATACATCTAAATGAAAAAACCAGGCCGGGTGCAGTGGCTCACGCCTGTAATCCAAGCACTTTGGGAGGCTGAGGCAGGTGGATCACCTGAGGTTAGGAGCTTGAAACCAGCCTGGCCAACATAGTGAAACCCTGTCTTTACTAAAAATATAAAAATTAGCCGGGCGTGGTAGCGCATGCCTGTAATCCCAGCTACTGGGGAGGCTGAGGCAGGAGAATCGTTTGAACCTGGGAAGCACAGGTTGCAGTGAGCTGAGATCGTGCCACTGCATTCCAGCCTGGGTGACAGAGCAAGACTCTGTCTCCAAAAAAAAAAAAAAAAAACATAGCAAAGAGGTAGGATATCGAAACAATGAAAAAGCTCAAAATGCCAAATTAACAAGAAAAAAAATCAACTAAATACCATTACCAGAGAAGACAGCAGCAAAATAAACAGTGCTTGCTTATAGTAAATGCCCAATCGATGTTTTTGAATTGAAATAAAGAAAATATATCACACATATTAAACAGTGAGCTACACTTATAGGATCCTATATTAATAGGATCTGATAAACTATTCACAAGCATATATATTCTATATATGTGGTGAAAAATAATTCTTCCTTTTCCCTCTGCAACAGAAATACCTGAACAGAATGCTTTATCCATTTTGGAATCAACACATTAAAAAACTTATAAAGCTAATCAATAGGAATTTTAAGGATTCAGAAGATTACTGAGATTATTATAAAGGAAAGAAAAATGCTCAAAAAAGAACTGGATAGTTTTACTAAAAAGCATGTATATATAAATACAGAGTGATTATTACCATCATGATGATCATCACATTAATAACCATGATGTATTAAATAACTTGTATATAAAAAACTCTGTGCTACGTGCCTAACATTTTATTTAATCCTCACTACAACACTTCAAGATATGTAATGTTAACCCAGATACAAATGGAAAAATGGAAGCTTAGGGAGGTATAGCAACCTGTCAAAGACTTCAGCTAATAAGGAGGAACAAACCTAGATTGAATTCCAAAGTACTAGCAGACTTCACTTCACATGCGTATTATGCCAATATACATGAATTTCAGTTATCACAATTAAATAACACCAGTCCCCTAACAACACAATTCAAATTTCAGTTACCACTGTACATCAATTGACATAAATGAGGAGGAAGAAAAAAGGAAAAGGAGAGCATGTTTGTCAGCAGAATAGTAAGAAATACAAAGTGTCTTCAAAAAGCTCATGGAAAATGTGTATTATGCAAAAATTATGCATAGATTTCAAAAAATTTCTGCATCAAAATGAACTCAAACTAACTTGTTGTAACATGTCTGAACAGGGTCTAGTTTGAGGCACTACGAAGAATAAAACATAAGTTTAGAAACAGTCCCTATCAGAGCAACATAAATTCTGCTAAAATCAAAGCAAAGCAAAACAAACATCGAATTTATAGTAAAGCCAGGGTGGAAAAATGGTAAAATAATAGATGCTTTACAAAGAAATTATGGGGACCATGCGCAAAGAAATCAACAGTTTACAAATAGATAACTTATTTTAAGAAGAGACAAGACCACATTGAAGATAAAGTCCACAGCAGCAGATCATCTGCATCAATTTACAATGAAAAAAACCATCTTATTCCTGCTCTAATTGAAGAGGATCAACAACTAGCAGGAGAAACAATAGCCAACATCGGCCGGGCACAGTGGCTCACGCCTGTAATCCCAGCACTCTGGGAGGTCGAGGCAGGTGGATCACGAGGTCAGGAGTTCGAGACCAGCCTGACCAACATGGTGAAACCCTGTCTCTACTAAAAATATAAAAATTAGCTGGGTATGGTGGTGCACACCTGTAATCCCAGCTACTCAGGAGGCTGGGGCAGGAGAACTGTTTGAACCAGAGAGGCAGAGGTGGCAGTGAGCTGAGTCTCTGCCACCACACGCCAGCCTGAGCAACAGAGCAAATCTCTGTCTCAAAAAAAAAAAAAGAAAGAAAGAAACAATAGCCAACATCATAGACAGCTCAACTGGTTCAGCTTACATAATTCTGACTGAAAAATTAAAGTTGAGCAAACTTTGCACTCGGCAGTGCCAAAACTGTTGTACCAGATCAGCTACAGACAAAAGCAGAGCTTTCAATGGAAATTTTAAACAAGTGGGATAGAGATCCTAACACAGTTCTTTGAAGAATTGTAACCAGAGATGAAACATGGCTTTACCAGTGTGATCCTGAAGACAAAGCACAACCAAAGCAATGGCTACCAAAATGTAGAAGTGGTCCAGTCAAAGCAAAAGCAGACCAGTGAAGAGCAAAGGTCATGGCAACAGTTCTTAAGGGTGCTCAGGGCGTTGTGCCTGCTGACTTTCTACCGGGCCAAAGAACAATAACATCTGCTTATCATGAGAGTGTTTTGAGAAAGTTAGCCAAAGATGTCGCAGAAAAATGCCTGGGAAAGCTTCACAGAGTCCTCCACCATGACAATGTTCCTGCTCATTCCTCTCCTCAAAAGAGGGAAATTTCTCAAGAGTTTCAGTTGGAAATTAGGCATTTACCTTAAAGTCCTGATTTGGCTCCTTCTGGCTGCTTTTTGTTTCTTAATCTTAAAAACATATTTAAAGAGAACCCATTTTTCTTTAGTTGATAATGTAAAAAAGACTGTTTCGACATGGTTACATTCCAGAATGCTCAGTTCTACAAGGATAGACTAAATGGCTGGTATCACTGCTTACAAAAGTGTCTTCAACATTATTGAGCTTATGTTGAGAAATAAAGTTTGTACCTTTTGTGTTTATTTTTTAATTCCAATTTTCCACAAACTTTTTGAAGACTCCTCCTAAAGGAAGAAATGTGACCACTGGAGCAGAATCTTGACTATCAATCCAACTGACAACACTGAGCAACAAAAGATTTTGAACAAGAACAATGTTACAATAAAAGGTTATCACAACAAAGTAAGAATGAAACTATAAGAACCTGAACTATAATACTGGCTCTGTTAGGTTGGTGCTAATAGAAACAAACTGTGTAAGATATATATGAAATACATTTAAGAAAAAAGGCTGGGCCTCATGGCTCATGACTATAATCCCAGCACTTCAGGAGGCCAAGGCAGAAGAATCATCTGAGTCCAGGAGTTTGAGACCAGCCTGGGCAACACAGCAAGACCCTACCACTAAAAAAAAATAATAATAATAAAAAAAATAAAAAGTTTAAAAAAAATAGCTAGGTATGATGGCACATGCCTGTAGTCCCAGCTACTCAGGAGGCTGAGGCAGGGGGATCACCTGAGCCCAGGAGTTCAAAACTGTAGTGAGCCATGATGGCACTGCTGCACTCCAGCCTGGGTGACAGAGCAAGACTGTCTCTTAAAAAAAAAAAAAAAAAAAAGAAAGAAAGAAAGAAAAGAAAAGAAAAAGAGTATGAAGGAATTATTTACCAATTTGATGCAGAGAATGAAAATGAAATAAGATAAATATCTTAAATGTATGAGACTAGCTAACTGGAAGAAATGAACCTAGTGGGAGAACTCAAAACATCAAGAGAATCATTAAATCACTGAAAATATATCACTTTTACTTCCAGTAGAGACTGGCTAGGGGAGATCCTGCTGGACTCACCCCAACCCAGAAAACAACTGTAAAGTCTAGACATAATATTTTAAAAAGCTACCTGAAAGTACTAACGAGTGAAGAGAAGCAGGCAGATTTTGGAGGAAGAAAGCTGTAAAGTGAGTCCCCATTTTCAAGGTGCAAGGGTCAGGTACTGTAAGAATGGTAAGCAAGGGTACAGAAATACTGGTAGAAAAATAGTTTTTCTGGCCTGAGGAACTAGAACACTGAAGGTCAGAAAACCACAGCCTTTGGCCAAGGGGGAAGGGGATTCCAGAAAGAAAAGAATCAGAAAAGAAAGACCCAAATTCTGTCTACTCACATCTTTGGCTAACCACTGAGTCACACATGTACGGAACAAATTTCAAAGCAGTTCAACAAAACACAAAATATTTGAACTGAGACCAGAGCTTCCACTTAAGAAACAGAGTTTGCAGTTCTAGTCTAACCAAGATAATTACCTGTCAAATATCAACAATTGAAAACTTTCTCAAAAGAAAAAAAAAATCAACTCTAGAAAGTATTCAAATAAACCAATAAATAGCATGAAAAGAATATCAGAGGGACAAAAACAGAAAGGACAAATTAAAAAGGAATAATACAATGGTAGACGCAAAGTTAAAAGCAATAATTGCATTAAAAATAAATGAAGAAAAAAGTCCAATTTTGGCAGAAATTGACAAGCTTGATTTAAAAAGCAAGACACAACTATATGTTGTCCAAAAGAGATGAATGTTAAATGTAAAGGCACAGACAAGTTGAAAATATATAAACAGAAGAAAATATATAATGCAAAGAGTAAGTAGAAGGCTGGAATGTCTATATTAATATCAGACAAAATAGATTTTTTTTTTTTGAGACAGAGTCTTGCTCTGTCTCCCAGGCTGGAGTGCAATGGCACAATCTCGGCTCACTGCAACTTCTGCCTCCCGGGTTCAAGCGATTCTCCTGCCTCAGCCTCCCTAGTAGCTGAGATTACAGGCGCCTGCCACCACACCGAGCTAATTTTTGTATTTTTTAGTAGAGATGGGGTTTTGCCATGTTGGCCAGGCTGGTCTCGAACTCCTAACCTCAGGTGATCCACCCACCTCGGCCTCCCAAAGTGCTGGGATTACAGGTGTGAGCCACCATGCCCGGCCCAAAATAGATATTTTTTAAGAGACATGATCTCACTATGTTGCCCAGGCTAGACTCCTCAGCTCAAAGAATCCTCCTGCCTCAGCCTTCCAAGGAGCTGGGACTACAGGCATGCACCACCACACCCAGGTCAGACAAAATAGTTTATAATACAAAATTTACTATCACAGATAAAGAGATACATTGCATAACGGTAAAAGGATCAATTTATCAAGAAGATATAATAATGTTATGTGTATATGTTAATAATAGAGCTTCAATATATATGAAGCAAAACTTGACAATATTAAAGGGATAAATAGCCAATTCCAAAATCTTAGTTCAAGATTTTAACTTCTTCATTCCAGCAATGAAGACAAATAGAATAACAAGACAAAAAAAGTCAGCAAAGACACAGAAGATATGAGCAACAAGATTAAGCATCTGGACTTCATTGATATCTATGGAACTACACCTCAAAAATACAGAATACATGTTCTTTCCAAGTGTTCATGGTATATTTCCCAGGATAAACCACATGCAAGGCCATAAAACAAACCTCAGAAAATTTAAAAGCATTAATATTATAAAGAGTATGTTATTTGACTACAGTGAAAGTAAATTAGAAATCAACAATAAGATAACTAAGAAAACACAAATATTTGGAAATTAAACAACAAACTTCTAAATAATCCATGGATCAATAATGTGTTTACAAGGAAAATTGGAAAATATGGAACTGAATAATAATTAAAATACATGTCAAAATTTGTAAGATGCAGCAAAAACAGTGCTTAAAGAGAAATATTCAGCTATAAATGCTCATATTTTAAAAAAAAAGAAAGATCTAAAGTCAATGGCCTATGTTCTCTTCTTAAGAAATGAAAACAAAGAGCAAAGTAAATGCAAAAAAAAGTAGAAAAAAGGAAATAATAAACAGCAGACATCAGTGAAAGATAAAATGCACTACAATATAGAAAATCAATGAGACTAATAACTCATTGTCTAGAAAGATGAATAGAATTGATAAATCTCTAGGTAGACTGACCAGAAAAGGGCAGATTAACAATATCAAGAATGCATGCTGGCTAACACGGTGAAACCCTGTCTCTACTAAAAATACAAAAAATTAGCCAGGCGTGGTGGCAGGTGCCTGTAGCCCCAGCTACTCAGGAGGCTGAGGCAGGAGAATGGCGTGAACCCGGGAGGCAGAGCTTGCAGTGAGCTGACATCACACCACTGCACTCCAGACTGGGCAACAGAGCAAGACTCTGTCTCAAAAAAAAAAAATCAAGAATGATAAAACGAACATCACTATGGATTCTTCAGATATTAAAAAGGATAATAAAGGAATATTAACAACTTTATCCCAATAAAGTTGACAACCTAGATTAAATGAAAAGGTACTTGAAAGAAACAATTACCAAAACTGATCTAAAAAGAATTAGAAAATTTGAATAGCCCTACATCAATCAAAGAAATTGAATTCATAATTAAAACCTTCCAACAAAGAAAAGTACAGATAAAGATAAATATGGCTTGACTGGTGAATTCTATCCAATACTTAAGGAAGAAATAATGCCAATCCTACACAAACTCTTTCAGAAAATACAGACAGAATACTTTACAACTCATTACATAAGGACAGAATCACTTCGATACCAAAACGAAACAAATACATCATGAGAAAAAAAAAGGCTACAGATCAGTATCTCTCTTAAACATAGATGCAAAAATTCTTCACGAAATTTTAGCAAAGCATTTCCAACAATAAACAAAAAGAATAATACATAATGACTACCTGGAATTTACCCCCATTAAAACCAAAGTTGATTTAGTTGATTTAATATCCCCAAATAAATCAATTTAATTTACCATATTAACAGCTAGCTAAAAAAATTATAATTTCAATAGATGAAGAAAAAATAGACAAAATTTGACACCCACTCATAATAGAAATTAAAGGGAATATCCTCCACCTGATTAAGGACATCATGCTCAACAATGTGAAGCTCAATGCTTTCCCACAAAGATCAGGAATGAGTAAAGGAAGTTCACTCCCATGACTTCTAGTCAACATTGTACCGGATATGCTAACCAGCGCAATAGAGCAAAAAGTGAAGAAAAAGAAAAAGAAAGAAAAGGCATACACAAAAGAAAGGAAGAAGCAGAATTGTGATTACCTGCAGACATTACCATGTGCATAGAAAATCCCAAGGAATCTGCAAAAATCCTACTAGAAATTAAAAGCAAATTTAACAGGGTCACATGACACAAAGTACAGAAAATACATTGTATTTCTATAGATTCTCAATAGAAAGTTAGAAGATAAAGTTATTCCATTTATAATAGTATCAAAAGCCAAAATACTTAGAAACAAATTTAACAAAAGACATGCAAGATCTGAACACTGAAAACTACAAAAAGTTGCAAAGGTAATAAAAGAAGGCCTAAGTAAATGGAGGAATACACCATGTTCATGGATTCAAAGACTCAATAACATTAAGATGGCATTTCTCTCCAAACTGGTCTAATTCAGTGTAAGCCCATTAATTTCCAGAAAGGTTTTTTGAAGAAATTGATAAGCTGATTCTACAACTTATATAAAAATGCAAAAATATAGAATAGCCAAAACAACTTAGAAAAAAGAAAGAACAAGGTTGGAAGACTTACAATACCTAATAATCAGACTTACCATACATCTATAGTAATTAAGGCATTATGGTTAAGGCATTGAGATATATACACAGAAATCAGTGAAATAGAGAATCTAGTAATAACTCCATACTTATATGGTCAAATGGTTTGTGACAAAGGTGCCAGGATAATTCAATGTGGAAAGGATAATCTTTAAAACAAATGTTGCTGGATTATGGTTATCATTATCTGGAAAAAAATTAACTTTGACTCTTATCTCACACAATACTAAAAATTAACTCAAAATAAATCATAGGCCTAAAGGCAAAAAACATAAAAATTCTAGAAGAAAATCTTTGTAACCTTGGCGAAGACAAAGGTTTCTTAAATAGGACATAAAAAGAAGAAACATAAAGATAAATCAAAGAAAAAACATCTAGCATGCAGCTGGAGATAAGGTACCTGCAGACTGAACTCATTGCTTTTGTGGGTTCCCATAGTGCTTTGTTCATACCTCTTTTACAGCCCATATCACATCAAAATCATTTTCTCATTTAGATAAAACAGACATGTATAAAAAATTCTCCATCTAGTCTCTGGAGCCTTTAGATCCTTACATAAAAAATTAATACTTATGGAGAGAGACAGAAATTGGAAGGTAGCTTTTCACACATCAGACTAGACAAAAATATTTCAGATAAAGACTTTAGAAAAGCAAAGCATTATAATAAAAAGCCAGAGTAGAAAAGCAAAAATTAAAAGAAAAAGGAATTGACAAAATTTCACCAGATATACATTTATAACAAGAAAATGTAAGTGAATCTTCTTTTACCTAATGAGTATATGCCTAGAAAAATAAGTATAAAATCAAGATTTTATAAAAGGAAACATTCTTTTGCAGTACTGAACATTTCTTTATAAATTAATTTTATTATCATACTACCTCAAAAGAACCTTTTGTGATTTCAATTTTGAACTCTATATTTTATATACTTTAAATGTTCCTAAATTAGGTTTGCTTAAAGCCAAATATAGAACTAAAATATTAATGTAAAATGGACTATACAATAACTTCACTTACTGTGAAGAGAAAAAATCAGAAACCAATAATATAAATTATCCTAAAAGGGTGATTATTTTTTGTCTATAATAATAAAAGTACACTTTTTAAAAGCCATTTTTGGGGTGTAGAAGTCACAAGAAGTGCCAGGAGAAGTAGAAATGATAAAGAAAAATGAAAAAGATAAAAGTTTAAAGGCGTTCACAAATATAGGAAAAACACAAGTGGATCAAAAAAGGACAAGAATTGATACTTAATTTGAAAATTAAGCTCTCCATATTTATAAGGCTCACTGCATCAATTACAGGTTTAAAGAGAGAGAGAGACAGAGGCAGATATATATGCAAAACCTTGCTAGAATAATCTACTAATTCAAACCTTCAGTAAAAATGTCACAATCATAGCTATTACTTACCAAACATCTACTATGTACAAGTTAAAAATTATCTCCAATCCTTAAGCAACAATCTTCCAAGATAGGTATTATTATTATTCCCATTTATCTTAACTTCAGAGAGGTTAAGAGATTACTCAAAACCATATTGTCATTAATGGAGGAACAGGAATGTGAACCTAGGTTTATGCTTTGAAAATAGCACTCTAGTTCGCAAATGGTATCACATACAATTTTTCTTTTTCTTTTTTTTTTTTTTTTGAGACTCTTCACTCTTGTTGCCCAGGCTGGAGTGCAGTGGTGCGATCTCAGCTCACTGCAACCTCTGCCTCTTGGGTTCAAGCAATTCTCCTGCCTCAACCTCCCGAGTAGCTGGGATTACAGGTGCCTGCCACCACGCCCAGCTAATTTTTGTGTTTTTAGTAGAGACGGGGTTTCACCACGTTGGCCAGGCTGGTCTCAAACTCCTGACCTCAGGTGATCCGCCTACCTCAGCCTCCCAAAGTGCTGGGATTACAGGCGTGAAGCCACCGTGCCCAGCCCATATACAATTTTTCTCAACAATTTTTGTTTCATTTAGAATGATTATGGTTACAAAAGTAATCCTTTAGGGAATTACACAATAGTAAACCATTCACAAGGCAGCAGCAATACTAGAAATTCCATTAAATGAGGCCAAGAAGACCTATCAGAGTCAAAGGATAAAGTACTATGACTTTTATTATTATTATTTGAGACAGGGTCTCATCCTGTTGCCCAGGCCAGAGTGCAGTGATGCAATCATGACTCACTGCAGCCTCTACCTCCTGGGCTCAAGCAATCCTCTCACCTCAGCCTCCCAAGTAGCTGGGGATATAGGTGAGTGCCACCATACCTGGCTAATTTTTGTATTTTTTGTAGAGACTATGTTGCCTAGTCTGGCCTCAAACCTGGGGGCTCAAGGGATCCTCCCACCTCAGCCTCCCAAAGTGCTCAGATTATAGGCATGAGCCACCATGCCCAGCCCTTCAGCATATTATTAATAAGACATTAGGAAACTATTTTAAATCTCTAGGAAATATCCATTAACCTTTGTTAATGGGATGAAATGGTTTTGTGGTTCTATAGAAAATATCTCAAATACTTCAATCACATCTCTTTTTATTGTATGTATTTAAGGTATACAACATGATATTTTTGCTTACTTATATGAAGTGAAGTAATTATTGTAGTCGAATTAATATATTCATCATCTCACATAGTAACCCTTTTTGTGTGTGTTTGTGTCATAAGAGAACCTAAAATCTACTCTTAGCAATTATCCCTAATACAATATTATTAACTATAGTCCTCATGTGGTGCATTAGATCTCTAGAATTATTCATCCTATATATCTGCAACTTTATATCCTTGGATCTACATTCTCCCATTTCGCCCCTCTCCTATCCCCCACCCTCTATGCTTCAGGAGCATCTTAAGAAATTGTTTCTGCTGGGCAAGGTGGCTCACACTTTTATCCCAGCACTTCGGGAGACCGAGGCAGGCAGATTGCTTGAGCTCAGGAGTTCGAGACCAGCCTGGGCAACATGGTGAAACCCTCTTTCTATAAAAAATACAAAAATTAGCCGGGCATGATGGCACATACCTGTAGTCCCAGCTACTCAGGAGGCAGAGGTTGCAGTGAGTCAAGATTGCACCACTGCACTCCAGCCTTGGTGACAGAGTAAGACCTTGTCTCAGAAAGAAAAAAGGAAAAAGGAAAAAAGAAAAGGAAAGGAAAGGAAAAGAAAAGAAAGGAAAGGAAAAGAAAGGAATTGTTTCTAAAAGAAACTAGGGGTTAGGTTAGGAGTATGCACACTGAAAATAAAGTATATATAATAAAAAACAAAGATAGTAACTTAAGGGGACTATTCAAGGGAATACAGATAATTACAATGCTTTATTAGAAAAAACAGAAATTTCCCTGATTAAATACCATTCTGAAAATAAACAGTCATTGACAGAGAATGAAATTAATTATTTTAAATTGAAGGAAAGAAACATCATCATACTTCATCTAAAATATTCATTCAAAAAGAGATGTTCCAAAACCTATATAAAGAACTAGAATGTATCTTACTTATCAAGCGGCACAGATAAAAAAAAATTTAAATCTCACACATACAGGAAAAGAATTAAACTTGCACATGGAAAGCATGCTACAAAAAAACAAAGGAAGCTTTTCGCTAGTGTACCAGCTCAAGGAAGTCATTTTATATTTTGCTGAAGTACAGATTATTAAAATATTAGTAAGTACACTAAATCAACAAAATATTACATTAAAGTAAGAAGCCAGGACAAAAGATTCTATGAAAATAAATCTTCATAGGTAAAAATTTCTACCTTTGGCCACTTGGGATTGAGAAGTCGAGCTTTGATTGCATCATCCAGTGCCTTGTCATACTGCTGGATTTTCATGTAGGCTGCAGATCTATTGCTGTATAAGATGCAGTTCTGAGGGTCAACAGCCAGGGCTTCATTATACAGAACAATAGCTGTGTGGAAATCTCCATCATGACAGGCCTGATTACTCTGACGAACTTTCTCAACAAATTCAGCTTTGCTCAGTACCGGTCCATCAGGACTTCTCTGGCCAATAGTGTCAGCACCAAAGAGAGGAATCTACAAACAAAGAAACTTTATCAGAAAAAGTTCAGATAATCCAGATGGGTTCCCCATCTGCTAAGATTTGGATGTCTGTCCCCTCCAGTTGCACATTAAAATGTGATCCCCAGTATTGGAGGTGGGGCCTAATGGGAGGTGTTTAGGTCATAGGAGTAAATCCCTCATGAACAGATTAATGCCCTCCCCTGGGGGTGAGGGAATTCTTACTCTATTATTTCCAGTGAGAGCCGGTTGTTAAGAGACCTGCCACTAGCCCCTCTCTCTCTCTTGCTTCCTCTCACTTTGTGATCTCTGCATGCACAAGCCAGCTCCCCTTTGCCTTCTGCCATGAGTGGAAGCAGCTTAATGCCCTCACCAGATACAGATGCCTAATCCTGAACTTTCCAATCATCAAAATCATAAGCCAAATAACCCTTTTTTATTTATAGATTACTCAGCCTCAGGTATTTATTTTTTACTCTTATTTTTTTTCAGATGAGGTCTCACTCTGTAACCCAGGCTACAGTGTAGTGGCACAAGTCACTGCACTGTTGAGGTTCACTGCAGCCTCAAGCTCCAGGCACAAGCAATCTTCTTGCCTCAGCCTTTTGAGTAGTTGGAAGCAGAGGCACATGCCACGGCATGCAGCTAATTTTTTTTGGTGTTTTTGTTGTTGTTGTTTTTGTAGAGACAGGATTTCACTATGTTGCCCAGGTTGATTTTGAACTACTAGCCTCAAGAGATCTTTCCACTTCAGCCTCCCAAAATGCTGGGATTACAGGCATCAGTTGCTGCACCTGGCCAAATATTCCTTTATAGCCACACAAAACAGACTAAGACATCATCTGAACCTCAATAAACACAAACATTCTTCATGATCTGCTCTACATTATATTTAACTTTTGTGCCCTGGAAGACAATAATCTTCTCTCAAAGCAGCCAACAAAGGGCCTTGCATGCATATGTGTATATGTATGTTTAATAGTTACATACATGTATATTTGTATTTGTATTTGTTGAATGAATAAATGCAAAAGAGTACTCAGGTTTTTCCTTGGCAATTTAAAGTTATATACTATGGAAAAAATAAAATACAAACATATATGGACACTATAATCTCAACTATGTTAAGACAATTGCACTTAAAATAATGCTGAAAAGCCAGGAACAGTGGCATGCACCTGTAGTCCCAGCTACTCAAGATGCTGAAGCAGGAGGATCACTTTAGCCCAGGAATTTAATACTATAGTGTGCTACAACTGCACCTGTGAATAGCCATTGCACTCCAGTCTGGACAACACAGTGAGACTCCATCTCTAAAAATAAATAAATAAGTAATGAGAGAACAAAATCAAAATATTAATCATACTAAATTACCTCTAGAAAGGTTGTGGAGCATTTTAATTTTCTTAAACTTATGCAAGTTTTAAAATAAAAAATAAGGTTTAAAAAATGTTTTCATGTACCAATGAATCTTTTTGGACTGGCAAATTTGGTGACTATAATTTGGCTACTACCATGAAATTTCAAAGACAAACACCAGTTTTTGAAGACTAGCAAAAACTATTCAGCTGTAACTATATTCTGGCAATTTAAAATCTGTTTTTGATGTTGATTTTTCAAAATTACTAAGTTTTCTATAATTTTATAGCAGCAGTGCAGTGACCTTAAAATCAAAGGAAGCAAACGTGTCAAGTGTTTTTGTTTGTTTGTTTTTGTGGGTTTTTTTGAGACAGGGTCTTGCTCTGTCACCCAGGCTGGAGTGCAGTGGTGTGATCAGAGCTCACTGCAGCCTCAAACCTTCTGGACTCAAGCAGTCTTCCCACCTCAGCCTCCCAAGTTGCTGGAACCTCAGGCATGCACCACCCCGCCTGGCTGATTTTTTTATTATTTTGTAGAGACGAAGTCTCCTCATGTTGCCGAGGCTGGTCTCAAACTCCTGGGTCCAAGCAATACTCCCGCCTTGGCTTCCCAAACTGCTGGGACTACAGATGTGAACCACAGCACCCAGCCTGTTACTCATTTTTAAAACATAAAAATTACGAACTGTAGAGTACAAAGGGAAGAAATTTAACACAGTAGTATCAAGGACAGCCATTTTATACTTCTAAGCAAGCTTGCCCTAAGTGAAATTAAAACAAAAAGTATTTTTTTCCCTATGTCTTCCTTTAAGATCAAGTCCAGTACCTCCATTCAGAAGAGGATGCATCTGATTTGATGCAATAGGCCAACATATACAAAGAAATAGACTCCTCAAAGAAGTATTTTTATTAAAAAAAGAAAAAATTCCCCAAAGAAAGGAAGAAAGGCAGATCTAATCACACATATGAGCGACTGTTCTTCCTCTGTTCACACGGATATTATATCCTGATTTCCAGGACAATTCAAAACATTAAAGGATTCTGTAAGTTTCAAATATCAGTGTCCAAGTTATATTCAACTTTTTTTTTTTTTTTTTTTTTTTTTTTTTTTGAGGAGAAGTTTCACTCTTGTTGCCCAGGCTGGAGTGCAATGGCATGATCTCGACTCATTGCAACCTCTGCAACCTCTGCCTCCCAGGTTCAAGCAATTCTCCTGCCTCAGCCTCCCGAGTAGCTGGGATTACAGGCATGCACCAATATTCAACTTTCACATACTGGAAGTGGCCAACCAATAATGCACTTAAAGGTTTTTTAAAAAATTATGATCATGAAACATATTGCTTGAAAGTAAATGGACTATGTAACATTTACCAAACAACCAGAATTTTCAGTCCTTGTTTTTAATTATTACAATATGTAAGACTGATTTCATTTTGGAAAATATGATCATCATGGTTCTGCTTAAGGTCAATAATACCATAAGTTATAGAAACAAATTCTGTATCTGAAAATTCAGGGGCATGACATAAAAATAGCAAGTAAAGACTTTTAAAGTAAGATAAACTGTTAGATTCATAAGTAGCCTGTAAGTTATTAAAAAAAAAAAAAGGAGAAGAAGAAGAATCCTACTATTACAGTATTCCCTACTTCTCATAAAGAATTGCAGAGTAGGCTGGGCTCAGTGGTTCATCCCTGTAATCCCAGCATACTGGGAGACTAAGATGGGTAGACTGCTTGAGCCCAGGAGTTTGAGACCAGCCTGGCAACATAGCAAGACCCTGTCTCTATTTTAGAAAAAAAAAAAATTATTTAAAAAATTTGCAAGGTAGGGCACCGTGGCTCACACCTGTAATCCCAGCACTTTGGGAGGCCGAGGTGGGCGGATCACCTGAGGTCAGGAATTTGAGATCAGGCTGGCCAACATGATGAAACCTCATCTCTACTAAATATACAAAAATTAGCCAGGCATGGTGGCGGGTGCCTATAATCCCAGCTACTCAGGAGGCTGAGGTAGGAGAATTGCTTGAATCCAGGAGGCAGAGGTTGCAGTGAGCCAAAATTGCACCATTGCACTCCAGTCTGGGCAACAAGAACAAGACTCTGTCTCAAAAAAAAAAAAGAAAAAGAAAAAGAAAAAGAAAAAAAATTTTTTTTTCAAAAAGAATTGCAGAGTAAGCCAGGTACAATAGCTCATGCCTGTAATCCCACACTTTGGGAGGCAAAGGTGGGTGGACTGTTTGAGCCCGGGAGTTCAAGACCAGCCTGGGCAACAAAGCAAGACCCTGTCTCTACAAAAAAGACAAAAAATAGCTGAGTGGGTGACACGCACCTGTATTCCCAGCTACTTGGGAGACTGAAGAGGGAGGACCGCTTGAGCCTAGGGGGTCAGGGCTGCAGTGAGCTGTGATCATGCCACTTGCACTTCAGCCTGGACAACAAGCAAGACCCTGTCTCAGAAAGAAAATAATGGCAGAGTAATAATTTTGGTTCAATGCCAACACAGATAAGAATCAAATTAAGAAGAGAAATCATCTTCATTCTATTACCTCCATGTACAGTAATATAAAGTAACATTTCCCAAAATATATTCTAAGGAAAACTTAGGTCCTCAGGAGACAAGGATGAACAACGTTAAATAAATCTCTTCTTTAGTGAAATATCTCTCACAGATCTTATTTTGCACACTGTGAATCTGAGAGGGGGAAATACCATACATTATAAGATCAAATCACCTTTATAGTGAAGGATCTGGCAAGTCCAGAAATTGCTCGAAACACTGATGTAAACCATTACTAAGGCCTCTAAGAGCAAAGAAAATACCATGGATGAGTCAGTACTAGTGCAGAAAGATTCTAAATACTAGAGGAGAACTCTAGTATTTAGAATTAGTAGTAGTTAACCAAATGTTCACAAAACACCATCAAATGTTCACAAATTTAAAAGAAAAATGCGCTGTAGTAAGTGCTCCACAGAAGCTTCTAATTTGTCAAAATATATCTGTGTCTACTCAGCTGGATACTGTGTGGTTGTTAGAAAGCTAAGAAACAGAAATTTCTGGCCGGGAGTGGTGGCTCACGCCTGTAATCCCAGCACACTGGGAGGCCGAGGCAGGCAGATCACGAGGTCAAGAGATTGAGACCATTCTGGCCAACATGATAAAACCCCGTCTCTATTAAAAATACTAAAATTAGCTGGCCGTGGTGGCACGAGCCTGTAGTCTCAGCTACTCAGGAGGCTGAGGCAGGAGAATTGCTTGAACCTGGGAATCGGAGGTTGCAGCGAAAGATCGCCCCACTGCACTCCAGCCTGGCGACTAAGCGAGACTCCATCTCAAAAAAAAAAAAAAAAAAAGAAACGGAAATTTCTATGTATGGCTAAAAAGAATAAACATAACTTCCCAAGTCCTTTTCTTTTTTTTCTTTTTTTTTTTGAGATGGAGTCTCACTCTGTTGCCCTGGCTGGAGGGCAGCGGAGTGATCTTGGCTCACTGCAACCTTCGCCTCCAGGTTCTAGCGCTTCTCCTGCCTCGGCCTCCTGAGTAGCTGGGATTACAGGTGTGCACCACCACACCCAGCCAATTTTTGTATTTTTAGTAGAGATACGGTTTTGCCATGTTGGCCAGGCTGGTCTCGAACTCCTGACCTCAAGTGATCCACCCACCCTGGCCTCCCAAAGTGCTGGGATTACAGGCATGAGCTGCCACACCCGGCCCCAAGTCCTTTTCTATCTTATCTGCAATTGATAAACTTGACAGAGAAAAAAGACCTTTGCATGTATTTCTCAGATTATATATATGTTGTACTTAAAATAACCAGCCATATTAAATTCAGGAACTAATTTAATGAGTTAGAATAGTACTCCGTAAGGGATGGGCACGGTGGCTCACGCCTGTAATCCCAACACTTTGGGAGGCTGAGGCGGGCGGATCACGAGGTCAGGAGATCGAGACCATCCTGGCTAACACGGTGAAACCCCATCTCTACTAAAAATACAAAAAATTAGCCAGGCATGGTGGCGGGCACCTGTAGTCCCAGCTAGTCGGGAGGCTGAGGCAGGAGAATGGCATGAACCCGGGAGGTGGAGGTTGCAGTGAGCTGAGATTGCACCACTGCACTCCAGCCTGGGCAACAGAGCAAGACTCCGTCTC
Organism: Homo sapiens; assembly: GCF_000001405.40. Classification (NCBI taxonomy): domain Eukaryota; kingdom Metazoa; phylum Chordata; class Mammalia; order Primates; family Hominidae; genus Homo; species Homo sapiens. The sequence goes on from NC_000022.11 coordinate 28,635,321, forward strand.
AAAAAAACAAAACAAAGCAAAACAAAACAGAATAGTACTCCTTAAGGAGATAATGAAAAATAAAATGTTTAATTACTCATTTACTTAGATTAACCATTATTTATTCCCTCATGAGTTCCAAAATAGAGAAAAATATTTTGACTGAATTTCATATACATATAGCATAGGGATGTCAACATATATTAACATTGCTGATATTTTCCTCTGATCCTCTGACAAATTCATCTTAAAAGGGTAGAGGGAGTGTCAGTAACATGTGAGCCAAATGGGCTCAATATATGCAGCCACATATAATTACTACATACATAGTAAAATTCCAGTCCTGTTATAAATTTTTCTAGCTTTATTGAGGTATAAACTGACCAATAAAGTCGTATATATAGAATATATATAATGTGATGTTTTGATATATGTATGCATTGTGAAATGACTACCACAATCAAGCTAATTAACATATCCATCACCTCACAGAGCTATCTTTTGTGTGTACATGGTGAAAATACTTAAGATCTACTCTCTTAGCAAATTTCAAGTATATAATATATTAACTACAGTCACCATGCTGTATACTAGGTCTCCAGAACTTATTTATCTTATAGCTGAAGATTTGTACCCCTTAACCAATGTCACCCCATTTCTCACACCCTTGTCCCCTGATAACCACCCTTCTACTCTCTGTTTTTATGAATTCAACATTTTTAGATCCTACATATAAGTTAGATCATACAGTATTTGTCTTTCTGTGTCTGGCTCATTTCCTTTAGCATGACATCTCTAGGTTCATCCATATTGTTGCAAATGTCAGGATTTTTTTTTTTTTTTTTTTTTTTTTTTGAGCTCTGTTGCCCAGGCTGGAGGGCAGTGGCACGATCTTGGCTCACTGCAAGCTCTGCTTCCTGGGTTCATGCTATTCTCCTGCCTCAGCCTCCCAAGTAGCTGGGACTACAGGTGCCCACCACCATGTCCGGCTAATTTTTTGTATTTTTAGTAGAGACGGGGTTTCACCGTGTTAGCCAGGATGGTCTCGATCTCCTGACCTCAGGTGATCCGCCTGACTCGGCCTCCCAAAGTGCTGGGATTACAGGCTGGATTTCCTTAAGGTTGAATAATATTGTATTTTGCACATGTGCATTTTTTTTATTCATTCATCCAGCAATGGACACTTAGGTTGTTTCTATATCTTGGTCATTGTGAATAATGCTGTATACATGGAAGTGCAGATATACTTCAAGATTACTTCAAGATAGTAATTTTATTTCCTTCGGAGACATATCCAGAAGTGGGATTGCTGGATCCTATGGTAGTGATGTTGAGCAGCTTTTCACACCCCTCTTAGCAGTTTGTAGGTCTTCTTTGTACAAATTATATTCAGGTATTTCGCTCATTTTAAAAATCAGATTATTTATTTATTTGCTATAGAGTTGTATGAGTTCCTTATATATTTTGGATATTAACCCTTATCAGGTATATGATTTGCAAATATTTTATCCCACCCCATAGGTTACTTTTTCATCTTTGTTGACTGTTTCCTTTTTTGTGGAAAAATTTTTAGTTTGATGTAGTCCCATCAGCTTTTTTTGCCTAGTTTTTTGGTGTCACATCCAAAAAATCATTGCCAAGACCAATATTAAGAACTTTTTCCCCCATGTTTTCTTCTAGGAGTTTTAGAGTTTCAGGTCTTCAGTTTTTTTTTTTTTTTTTTTTTTGAGACGGAGTCTTGCTCTGTCGCCCAGGCTGGAGTGCAGTGGAGCAATCTCCAATCACTGCAAGCTCTGCCTCCCGGGTTCACACCATTCTCCTGCCTCAGCCTCCCAAGTAGCTGGGACCACAGGCACCCGCCACCATGCCAGGCTAATTTTTTTTGTATTTTTAGTAGAGACAGGGTTTCACCGTGTTAGCCACGAGGGTCTCGATCTCCCGACCCCAGGTGATCCGCCTGCCTCAGCCTCCCAAAGTGCTGGGATTATAGGCGTGAGCCACCGCGCCCAGCCACGTTTAAGTATTTAATCTATTTTGAGTTTATTTTTATGTGTGGTGTAGGTTAAGGATCCAATTACACTTTATGGCATGTGATAGCCAGTTTTCCCAGGACCATATATGTTGGAAACTATCCTTTCCCCATTGTGTATCAGCTTAAAATAGACTGCTATAACTATGTTTTATGTGAGCATCAAGGTAACCACAAAGCAAATACCTATAGCAGATACACAAAAGATAAAGGAACCAAAGCATACTATAGAAAATCATCAAATCAGCAAGGAAGACAAAAAAGGAACGAAAGGTTTACACAACAGTCAGAAAACAATTGACAAAATGGCAATAGTAAGTCCTTACCTATCAATAATTACTTTAAGTGTAAATGGAGTAAGTTCTCCAATCAAAAAACAGAATGATTGAATGGATAAAAATTCAGGACACAATAAAATTTTTAAATTAAAAAAAAAAAACAGGACCCAAAGAGATGCTGCTTACAAAAACTATATGCTGCTTACAAAAGACTCACTTCAGCTTTAAGGATACACACAGACTGAAAGTGAAGGGACAGAAAAGATATTCCACGCAAAATGGAAACCAAAAGAGAGCAGGAATAACTATACTTAGACAAAATAGACTTTAAGTCAAAATCTATTCACAACAGACAAAATAATTGTTTAATTATAAAAAGGTGAATTCATTAAGAGGGTTTAATTATAAATACATATACACCCAAAATCACAGCACCTAAATATATGAAGCAAATATTAACAAATCTGAAGGGAGAAATAGACAGCAATACTGTGATAGTGGGAACTTCAATATGCAACTTTCAACAATGGACAGATCATCCAGACAGAAACCAATACAGAATACATCAGACTTGAACTATACTTTAGACCAAATGGACCCAACAGACATGTACAGAACATGCCATCCAACAGCAACAGAATATAAATTCTATTATAAATTTTGATTATTCAAATGATATATAAAAAAACTTATCCCCTCTATATAAAAAATCACAGGTAATTCAAATAATTAAATATTTTGAAATAAAATTATAAAATATTAAAAGGAAAGAATCTTTTATTATGTAGAACTGAGTCCTAAGTACAACACATAAGCCACAAAACAGAATAGAAAAGACAGATAAATATGACAACATAAAAAATTTTAATGTCTGCATGGAAAATATGGATTAAGACCAAAAAGATTAGTAACAAATCGGTTAAAAAAATGCAACACATGATAAATGGCTAGTTTTCTTAGTATGGATAAAGCTCCTACAAATCAGTAATAAAATGCACAAACAATTCAATGGAAAAAATGGACAAAGGACATACACAGACAAATCACAAAAAAAGGAACTCCATGTGGCTTTTAAACACATTTTTTTAAATGTCTGACCTCAGTTATTTTAAAAGAAAATTAAAACTTAAAGACAATATTTTTTTACCTCCCCTACTATCAGAAATAAAAAATTAGCAATACATTTTGTTGGTTAAGGGGGTAAGGAAAAAGTTATACCCATACATTCATACATTATTGGTAGAAGGGGAGGTCTCGCTATATTGCCCAAGCAGGTCTCAAACTCCTAGGCTCAAGCTATCCTCCCACCTCTCACTACCTAAGAGTTGGGATTACAGGCCTGAGCCACCAAGCCTTGCCTGATACAATTCCTTACAGAACAATTTGGGAACATCTACAAAAATGTAAAAGTTGCATAACCTTTCAATTCTAGAAATTTTCTCCACTTCTGGTAATTTATCTTATAGATGCACTTACATGTGTAAACAAAATAACATATATTAATACAAGGATAGTCATAATAGCATCATTTGTATTAGCATGATGTTAGAAATAATTTAAATGTTAGACAACAGGAAAATGGATAAGCACAGGGCTTTGCAAGGCATAAATTTTATTAGATCCATGTAATTATTATAAATCCAGCCAAAAGAATAAGAAAGATTTTATACGCTGATATAGATAGAAAAAAATCAAAAGGCAGAAGAAATTGTATCAGTTTACACTTCTACCAACAATTTATGAGTGTAACTTTTTCCTTACCCCCTCTCCATTCACCAAGCTATTCTTACGCCTAGAGAGTAGGATCTTTTTCAAATTCACACAAAGATGCCATATGGATGAGCAAAGGCATATGTTAGTTGTGTACTGATATGGTTTGGCTGTGTCCCCACCCAAGTCTCATCTTGAATTCCCATGTGTTGTGGGAGGGATTCCATGGAAGGTAACTGAATCATGGGAGCCAGTCTTTCCCATGCTGTTGTTGTGATAGTAAGTCTCACAAGATCTGACGGTTTTAAAAATGGGAGTTTTTCTGCACAAGCTCTCTCTTTGCCTGCTGTCATCCATGTAAGATGTGACTTCCTCCTTGCTTTCCACCATGATTGTGAGGACTCCACAGCCAGGTGAAACTGTGAGTCCAATTAAACCTCTTTCTTTTGTAAATTGCCCAGTTTCGGGTATGTCTTCATCAGCAGCATGAAAACGGACTAATACATGTATTTTCAAAGCAAACAAAATAGATGATAAGAGAAAATTTCACCAGAGAAATGACCATGTAACAAAGAATTCAATGTACAAGACTAAAATATATAATACACGAAATTAAGAACTGTGTGAATGGATTTAGCAAGACTTGATACAGCTAACAACAAGATTAATAAACTGGAAGATAAGAAACAGAAAAATCCTCAAAATGATGGCCAGGTGCAGTGGCTCAAGTCTGTAATCCCAGCAATTTTGGAGGCCGATGTGGGTAGATTGCTTGAGCCCAGGAATTCAGGACCAGCCTGGGGAACATGGCAAAACCCCACCTCTACTAAAAATACAAAAACTGAGGTGGGAGGATCACTTGAGCCTAAGGAGGTTTAGGCTGTGGTGAACCGTGATCACACCACTGCACTCCAGCCTGGGCAACAGAGTGAGACCCCATCTCAAAAAAAAAAGAAAAAATCCCCAAAATCAACTATAGAGGAGAAAAAAAGTAAAGGGGGGGGGGGGAAAGATGAGCAATAAGAGACCTAAGTAATATACCCAAGAGGTCTGATACACATATAATTAGAATTTAAGAAGGGAGAGAAGGGAGTTAGAAACAATATTTGAATACCAATGACCAAGAATTTTCTAAAACTGATAAGAGACATCAACTCATAAAATATTGAACCCATAGCTTTCAGACTTTCATTCAACTCCAAGATACCACAAAGAAAATCACACCTACGTCTGTCATAGTCAAACTGTTAAAATAATAATAATAATAATAATAATAAACAGAGAAAATGTTAAAGCAGACAGAGGGAAATAAGACACATTACCTTGAAAGGAGCTACAAGCTGCATACTCAACAGAAATGACGGAAGCTGAAATAGCACCTAACATAAAATACTCAGAGAAAATACTCTTCAAAACTGAGAATGAAATAGGAATATTCATACATTACTCATGGGAATATAAAATGGTACAACCACTGTGGAAATAGTACGGCAGGTCCTAGAAAAGATAAACATAGAGTTACTATATGATCCAGCAATTCTACTCTTAGGTATCTACCCAAATGAACTGAAAACCTGTCCATGGAAAAACTAGTGCACAAATTTTCATAGCAGATTTATAATAGCCAAAAAGTGGAAACAACCAAAATATCCATTAATTAGTGAATAAACAAAATGTGGGAAAACCATACAATGGAATACTACTCAACCATAAAAAAGTAATGAATAGGCCAGGCACAGTGGCTCACATCTGTAATCCCAGCACTATGGGAGGCCGAGGTAGGTGGATCACGAGGTCAGGAGATCGAGACCATCCTGGCCAACATGGTGAGACCCCATTTCTACTAAAATGCAAACAATTAGCCGGGCGTGGTGGCGCGTGCCTGTAGTCCCAGCTACTCAGAAGGCTGAGGCAGGGGAATCACTTGAACCCAGGAAGTGGAAGTTGCAGTGAGCCGAGATCGCACCACTACACTCCAGCCTGGCGACAGAGCAAGACTCCGTCTCAAAAAAAAAAAATAAAGAAATGAATAAAACACACATTACAACATGGATGAACCTTAAAAATATTATGTTAAGTGCAAGAAGCAAGTCACAAAAGGCCATATACTGTATGATTCAATTTATTAAATCTCCATAGTAGACAAATCCATTGATATGGAAAGCAGATTGGTGGTTGTCAGAGGATGGAAGGAGAGGAAAATGAGGATTGACTCTTAATGGCACCAGATTTCTTTTGAGAGCGAGGAAAATGTTCTAGAATTAGATAGTGGTATGGTTGAACAACCTTGTGAAAATACTAAAAACCACTGAATTGTATACTTTAAAATGGTGACTTTTATGGTGTGAATTGCATCTCAATTAAAGAAATGAAAACTGAGGGAATTAATAAATAGCAGGCCTACACTAAAAGAAATATTAAAGAAAATACTGAAAGAAAACTATCCCAGACAGAAGCAGAGGAATGCAGGAGGGAATGAATAATACTGGAAAGAGTAAATATATGAGTAAATATAAATGAACATCAGCTATACAAAATAATAAGTTTAAAAATTTATAACACAAAATGCAGGAGATAATAAATGGAGCTAAAGTTCTCTAAGAAAGTATTTCCCAAACCTTAGTGTACGTATAAATTACCCATTCTGATTCAATAGGTTTGGAACAGGGCTTGAGATTCTGCATTTAACAAGCTCCTGATGGCTTAGATGTTGCTCATCTATACATGACACACCATATCAAGGTTTTAAGTTTCTAGCAGAATCTGTTAAGTAGTAAAACTATTACTTTTATTAGACCATATTGAGTCAAGAATGCATGTTGTAATCACTAAGGAAATAACAGGAGTAAAAAACAAGTTAATTTAGAAAAATAAAATCATTTTTAAATTTGATTAATAAAAAAAAAAAAAAGTAGGGGGAGGAAAGGGAACATTAAAACAAGTGGGTAATGTAAAAGTTAAACTCCTAAAAGAAAATAGGAAAAGTTTTGTGAACTTAGGTTAGGCAAAGATTTCTTGGCCAGAATACAGTAAGATTATCTGTATGCCAGGTACTCTCCTAGACACTAGAGATAAACCCTGTGAATAGATAATAACAGTATAAGCTGTTTGCCGTTTAAAAAAAAAAACAACAAAAAAAAAACACTAGCTTCGCCTGTGAAAGGCCCAAGCAGTTTATTTTACCTGGCAAAGCCCTGTGCTTAAGAGGTGAATCCTCCTAACCAGGCTGCAACTATTCAAACCAGTGATCCCAACTGGGATCCTCCAGATCAAAGAAAGATGGCTAATCAAAAGAAAGTGAAGAAGTTGGCCATGCAGATACATATGGAATTAGGTCTCTAGAGAAAACAAAATTAAGGCAATAAGGACCAGGCATGTTTCAGAAACAGCAAAGAGGTCAGTGTGAAAGAGGTGAGGGTACAAAGTAAAAGGTCAGAGAGGTAACTGGGGCCCAGTGTGTTTAGATCTGCACTGCCCAATACAGGAGCCATTAGCAATATGTGGTCGTTTAATTTTTTATTTTACTTAAATAAAATTAAAGATTCAGTTCCTCAGATGTATTAGCCACAGTGCAAGTGCTCAATAGCCACATGGTAGCTAGTGGCTACCAGATTGGAGAGTGCAGATAGAGAACATTTTTTATTCTTATTTTTTTTTCCTAAAGAGACAGGGTCTCAGCCCAGGCTGGAGTGCAGTGGCTATTCACCATTCACAGGTGTGATCCCACTATTGATCAGCAGAGGAGTTTTGACCTGTTTTCTTTCTGACCTGGGCTGGTTCACCCTCCTTAGGCAATCTGGTGGTCCCCGCTCCCAGGAGGTCACCATATTGACGCTGAACTTAATGTGGACACCATCATAGCGTACTATAACCTACAACTCCTAGGTTCAAGCAACCCTCCTGCCTCAGCCTCCCAAGCAGCTGGGACTACAGGCACGTGCCACTGCGTCTGGCATAGATAAAGAACATTTCTATCATCACAGAAAGTACTATTGGACAGAGCTGGTTTAGAGCTTTTGTAGGCTGTCATAAAGATACATAGAGAAGCTAATATAAGAGTGTAAGAAAGAACTAGACACACAACAAGAGGTTAGCAACTCTCAGAATGGCCAAACCCTGAAGCACAATTGCCATTGATCCTTCAATAAATTCCCAGTCCTTGGGTCAATTAAGTGAATACTTCTCAAACGTTTCCTTAAAATTATCTTAGTAGGCATCCTTGAAAAGGTATTCCATGGTCAAACAATTTGGGGAAAATTAATGTAAATTATTTGGGAGAAATTCCTCACCCACATCTTTGAAAAAATTATGTCTTAAGATTTGAAACTTCTTTTAGCTGATTCTAGGTCAATAGTTGCCAGTTCTTTCAAATAATTACTAAGAAAACAGATTTTGTTACTGTAGGTTTTCCTTAGAGACTTTAATATGTTAACGTATATTGTGAGTCTCCAAGAATTACATAGACTATACACTGCATCCAAATAAGGATAAGAATTATTATAATTATTGAGCACTTAATATGCCCCTGGCACAGTTCTAAGTACTTTACATATGTTAGCTGATTTACTCTTCACAAAACTCTATAAGATAGGTACTATTATTATCTCTAGTAGGGGAAGAAACAAGGCACAAAAAGGTTAAATAACTTTACTATCAAAAGGTGAGGGTGTGAAAGTGTAACAGGGTAGTATGCAGTAGAGGTGATTCAAACCCTTGTGCAGGCTGGCTCTGGAGTCCATGCTCTTAACCATTTTATACTTTTCAGAATTATTTGAATATCTACTATGATAATACAGAACTTGGCTGGGCGCGGTGGCTCACGCCTGTAATCCCAGCACTTTGGGAGGCCGAGGCAGGCGGATCACGAGGTCAGGAGATCGAGACCATCCTGGCTAACACGGTGAAACACTGACTCTACTAAAAATACAAAAAATTAGCCGGGCGTGGTGGCAGGCACCTGTAGTCCCAGCTACTGAGGAGGCTGAGGCAGGAGAATGGCATGAACCCAGGAGGCGGAGGTTGCAGTGAGCCAAAATCGCACCACTGCACCCCAGCCTGGGCGACAGAGCAAGACTCCATCTCAAAAAAAAAAAAAAAAATACAGAACTCTGTTCCTACAGTTTGGGAAATGCTAAATGACTACTGAGGCCTGTCTTTCTTGCAACCTGAATGACCCATGCTAGAACTATATCCAAAGTTACTTTTGCCCATTTAAAAATGTTCCAGGCTGGGCGCAGTGGCTCACGCCTATAATCCCCAGCACTTCAGGAGGCCAAGACGGGCAAATCACTTGAGCTCAGGAGTTCAAGACCAGCCTGGGCAACAAGGTGAAACCCCATCTCTACTAAAAATACAAAAATTAGCCAAGCTTTTACACATGCCTGTAGTCCCAGCTACTTGGGAGGCTGAGGTGGGAGGATTGCCTGAGCCCAGGAGGTCAAGGATGCAGTAAGCCGAGATCGCACCACTGCACTCCAGCCTGGGCAACAAAGTGAGAACCTGTCTCAAAAATTAAACTAAATTAAAATTTTTTAAATGCTCCAGTTCAGTGGGGCGCGGTGGCTCACCCCTGTAATCCCAACACTTTGGGAGGCTGAGGTGCGCAGATCATGAGGTCAGGAGATCAAGACCATCCTGGCTAACACAGTGAAACCCCATCTCTACTAAAAATACAAAAAATTAGCCGGGCGTGGTGGCAGGCACCTGTAGTCCCAGCTACTCAGGAGGCTGAGGCAGGAGAATGGTGTGAACCCAGGAGGCAGAGCTTGCAGTGAGCTGAGATTGCGCCACTGCACTCGCCTGGGCGACAGAGTGAGACTCCGTCTCAAAAAAAAAAAATGCTCCAGTTCGTGCTGGGCAACAAGGGTGAAACTCCGTCTCAAAAAAAAATTGTAATAATAATAATGCTCCAGTTCAAGGGCATAACCAAAAAAGAAAACTACAAACCAATATCCCTGACGAACACAGATGCAAAAATCCTCAACAAAATACTAGCAAACCAAATCCAACAGTACATCAAAAAGATAATTCAGGCCGGCGCGGTAGCTCATGCCTGTAATCCCAGCACTTTGGGAGGCCAAGGTGGGGGGATCACAAGGTCAGGAGATCAAGACCATCCTGGCCAACATGGTGAAACCCCATCTCTACTAAAAATACAAAATTTAGCCGGGCGTGGTGGCATGCGCCTGTAGTCCCAGCTTCTGAGGAGGCTGAGGCAGGAGAATTGCTTGTACCCAGGAGTCCAGGGGTGCAGGGAGCCAAGATCAAGCCACTGCACTCCAGTCTGGGCAACAGAGCGAGACTACATCTCAAAAAAAAAAAAAAAAAGATAATTCGCCATGATCAAGCGGGTTTCATCCTAGGGATGCTGGGATGGTTCAACATGTGTAAGCCAATAAATGTGACTCATGACATAAACAAAATTAAAAACAAAAACCATATGATCATTTCAAAAGACACAGAAAGAACACTTAATAAAATGCGGCATCCTTTTGTGATTAAGGGAATGTGATCTCGGCTCACTGCAACCTCCACCTCCTGGTTCAAGTGATTCTCGTGCCTCAGCGTCCCACGTAGCTAGGATTGCAGGCATGAAGAAACATACCTCAAAATAATAAAAGCATGTATGATAAACTTACAGTCAACAACATACTGAACGGGGAAAAGTTGAAGGCATTCCCCCTCGGAACTGCAACGAGATAATGATGCCCATTTTCACCAGTTCTATTCAATACAGTACTGAGGATCCTAGCCAGAACACTCAGGCCAGAGAAAAAAGTGAAGGGCATCCAAGTAGGAAGGGAGGAGGTCAAGCTGTCTCTGCCGATGATATGATAGCATACCTGGAGGACCATGAAAACTCCTCCAAAGGACTCCTAGATTTGATAGGGTTTCAGGTTGCAAAATCGATGTACACAGATCAGTGGCACTGCTATGCACTGGCAACAATCAAGCTGGGAATCAAATCAGAAACTCAGTCCTTTTTACAGTGGCTGCAGAGAAGATAAAATACATGGGAATATACTTGACCTGGGAGGTGAAAGATCTCTATAAGGAGAACTACAAAACACTGCTGAAAGAAATCACAGATGACACAAACAAATAGAAATCTATCCCATGCTCATGGAGTAGAAAAATCAATATTGTGAAAATGACCATACTGCCCAGGGCAATCTGCAGATTCAGTGCAATTTCTATCAGGATACCAATGTCATTTTTCACAGAATTAGAGATAGCAACCCTAATATTCTTATGAAATCGACAGAGGGCCAGGTGTGGTGGCTCACACCTGTAATCCCAGCACTCTGGGAGGCTGAGATGGGGGGATCACTTCAGGCCAGGAGTTCAAGATCAGCCTGGCCAGCATGGCAAAATGCCATCTCTACTAAAAATACAAAAATTAGCCTGGCATGGTGGTGTATGCCTGTAATCCCAGCTACTTGAGAGGCTGAGGCATGAGAATCACTTGAAACAGGAGGTGGAGGCTGCAGTAAGCCAAGATCACACCACTGCAGTCCAGCCTGGGCGACAGAACGAAACTCTGTCGAAAGAAAGAAAGGAAAGAATGGAAAGAAAGAAATCAAATCAAAAGAGAACCCAAATAGCCAAAGCAATCCTAAGCAAAAATGACTTATCTGGAGGCATTACATTGTTGGACTTCAAATTGTACTATAAGACTGTACTAACTGGAATGGCATGGTACTGGTATAAAAGTAGACACATAGACTAATGGAACACAATATAGAACCCAGAAATAAAGCCAAATACTTACAACCAACTGATCTTTGATAAAGCATACAAAAACAAAAACTGGGGAAGAGGACACCCTATTTGGTATATGGTGCTGGGAAGACTGAATAGCCACATGTAGAGGAGTGAAGCTGGATTCCCTGTCTTTCACCATATACAGAAATCAACTTGGGATGGATTAAGGACTTAAATCTAGGACCTGAAATCATAGAAATTCTAGAAGAAAATCTAGGAAAAACTCTTCTGGACATTGGCCTAGGCAAAGAATTTATGACTAAGACCCCAGAAGCAAAAGCAACAAAGACAAAAATAAATAAATAGGACTTAAACTAGTGAGCCTCTGCACAGCAAAAGGAATAATCATCAGAGTGAACAGACAGCCCACAGAGAGGAAGAAGGTATTTGCAAACTATGCATCTAATGTCAAGAATCCACAAGGAACTCAAACAAATCATCAAGAAAAACACAATCCCATCAAAAAGCGGGCAAATGGGCCAGGCGTGGTGGCTCACGCCTGTAATCTCAGCACTTTGGGAGGCCAAGGTGGGCAGATCATGAGGTCAGGAGATCGAGACCATCCTGGCCAACACGGTGAAACCCCGTCTCTACTAAAAATACAAAAAATTAGCCGGGTGTGGTGGCAGGCGCCTGTAGTCCCAGCTACTCGGGAGGCTGAGGCAAGAGAATGGTGTGAACCTGGGAGGCGAAGCTTGCAGTGAGCCAAGATCGAGCCACTGCACTCCAGCCTGGGCGACAGAGTGAGACTCCCTCTCAAAAATAAAATAAAATAAAATAAAAATTAAAAAAGTGGGCAATAGACATTTCTCAAAAGAAGATATACAAATGGCCAACAAATATATTTAAAAATGATCAACATCGCTGGGCATGGTGGCTCACGCCTGTAATCCCAGCACTTTGGGAGGCCGAGGCGGGCGGATCATGAGGTCAGGAGACCAAGACCATCCTGGCTAACACGGTGAAACCCCGTCTCTCCCAAAAATACAAAAAATTAGACGGGCATGGTAGTGGGCGCCTGTAGTCCCAGCTACTTGGGAGGCTGAGGCAGGAGAATGTCGTGAACCCAGGAGGCGGAGCTTGCAGCGAGCCAAGATCGTGCTACTGCACTCCAGCCTGGGCGACCAAACGAGACTCTGTCAAAAAAAAAAAAAAAAAAAAATGCTCGACATCAGTAATCATCAGGGAAATGCACATTAAAACCACAATGAGACACCACTGTATCCCAGCCAGAATGGCCATTATTAAAAAACCAAAAAACAATAGATGTTGACATGGATATGGTGAAAAGAAATGCTTATACACTGCTGGTGGGAATGCAAATTAGTACAACATCTGTGTAAAACAGTATGGCAATTTCTCAAAGAACTAAAAGTAGATCTATCATTTAATCCAACAATCCCACTACTGGGTATCCACCCAAAGGAAAAGAAGTCATTATATCAAAAAGACACATGCATGCATATGTTTATTGCCCCACAATTCACAATTGCAAAGATATGGAACCAACCTAAATGCCCACTGATGAGGGAAAAAAGAAAATGTGGGCCAGGCACAGTGGCTCATGCCTGTAATTCCAGCACTTTGGAAGGCCAAGGTGGGTGGATCACCTGAGCTCCAGAATTCGAGACCAGCCTGGGCAACAGGGTGAAACCCTGTCTCTACTAAAAATACAAAAATTAGCTGGGCGTGGTGGCCTGTGCCTGTAGTCCTGGCTAGTTGGGAGGCTGAGACAGGAGAATTGCTGGAGCCTATGAGGCAGAGGTTGCAGTGAGCCGAGATCACGCCATTGCACTCCAGTCTGGGAAACAGAGCGAAACCTTGTCTCAAAAAAAAGAAAGAAAAGAAAAGGAGAGAGAGAGAGAGAGAAAGAAAGGAAAGAAAAGAAAGAAAGGAAAATGTGGTATGTATACACCATGGAATACTACTCAACCATAAAAAAGAATGAAATAATGTCTGCTGCAGCAACTTGGATGAAGCTGCAGGCCATTATTCTAAGTGAAGATGATTCCATTCCAGAGTTAGGGAATGGAAAACGTAATCCCACATGTTCTCACTTATAAATGGGAGCTAAGCTATGGGTACACAAAGACATATAGAGTGGTATAAAAGACATTGGAGACTCAGGAGGTAGGAGGTGGGACAGGGCTAAGGGATAAAAAACTACATATTGGATATTGGGTACAATGTACACCACTCTGGTGATGACTGCACTAAAATCTCAGACTTCACCCACTACACAATTCATCCATGTAATCAAAAATGACTTGTACCCCAAAAGCTATTGAAATAAAATATATATAAATAAAATTTTTTAAATAAATTAAAAATATAAAATGATCCAGTTCCCAGTTTATAGTTTTTATAACCTGCTGAGGTTTTGTTTGTTTTAAGAAAGGCTAGGTCATATCACCTGCAAACTGCATTGACTTGTTAATTTCCATGGTTTCATGCCCATGAATAATAGAATCTTAACTACAAACTATTCAATATAAACTCTAATCTGGAGATTTACCAAAACATAATTGTGATATTCTAGCCTTTGTATCTCTACAGTGTTCTCTTGAGATGGTTACAAGTAAGTCACTACCATTTTATATGGTAAATAGCCAACTTCTTTTAAGGCTAATGGAGAAAATCATTTGGCTTGTTCAGTTATAATGACAGATTCAAATATACAAGGTCAAAATTAATTATTAAAATTTCAAATTCAACCAAGTTACAAATACATGCAATTTGAATGCTTAACACATAAGCATGAATAATTTATGTTATATGCCATTAAATTTTAAAAGCATTGTTTTTCAGCTCTTATGATAAATAATAAAAATCCCTGAGGCAATTACTGATCTCTGAACTTATTGGTACTGTCACACCTTCTTTTTTTGATAGGCTTTGTGAGAGGGGAACCAGTGAAATCAAAACCACTAAAGGACCCTGTTCCTATTAAAATATCAATTTTTGTGAAGGTATAATCATGACTGTCATACAAGCATAAAATGAACACACATCAAAGACTTTAACTCATTAATTAATGAGTGATCCAGTAAGATATTACAACTAGTTCAGAGGAGAATTCCAAGTACCACACATGAAAAGGCAATCAGGAATGCTGAAATGAATTTCTAAATACTAGATGCACAACTGGCCTTTGCAGGGGAGAAGAAAAGGAAAATTGATCACCCTTCCATTTGGAAAGAATAATTTGCGTGCCTATGGACAAGAATCACTTATACTGCTATCAATTATCTACGATGTACAAAAATAGAAAATAGCTCAAAGACAATGAAAGGTGCAAATCTCTTAGAATTGGATAAAACAGAAGGATAAACTGCATTCCAGACCACCCAGTTTTCCACTGAAGATACCCAGTAATCTTTTCGAGTCTTTCACAATTTTTTCTGACAGCCTCAAAGTGCAATATGCTAGAATCAGGGATAAGCTATTTTTTATAAAATAAATATGATCAAAAGAAACCTGCCATGAGATAATTAGAAGGAAGTGGTGCTAGAAATGAACACAAACACAAAACACAGCATGAACCTAGGAATGCATAATTAATGCAAATATAACTATTTTCAGCATCATCCAAGGGAGAGAGAAACCTAGGTCTAACTATACAAGCATAGGATTCTAAACTTCACAGTCACCAGCACTCTTACAAGACCTTTATTTTACATCAATATAAGAGTCAAGGTTGTCAGGGATGATCTATGATCTCCTGACTGTTCTGTGAGGTATAAAACAAGGTAGTAGTCTAACCTCTCCTCTCATTCCCATTTTTTAAAACTTAGGTCTTAGAATCTGAAACAACTTTTACAAGATCTAGAACAGGAGTCAGCAAATGTTAGGTGTGAGTCAAATCTAGCCTGCTGCCTGTTTTTGGAAATACAGTTTTACTGGAACACAGCCATATCCATTCAGTTACCTGTTATCTATGGCTGTTTTGTGCTACAGTGGTGGGACTCAGTAGCTGCAACATAGACCATATAGCCCACAAAGCATCATCTAGCCCTTTATAGAAAGTATGCCAACCTCTGATCTAGCTCAACAGTTGCCAATATGTACTTTCAAGTCTCTTGATCTCTTTTGTTTTTAATTAGAAACAGAGTCTCACTATGTTGCACAGGCTGGTGTCGAACTCCTGTCCTCAAGTGAGTCTCCCACCTTGGCCTCCCAAAGTGCTGGGATTACAGGCGTGAGCCACTGCACCCAGTCACTCTGTCACTCCTTTTTTTTGAGACAGGGTCTTGCTGTGTTGCCCAAGCTGGAGTGCAGTGGCGTGATCTGAGCTCACTGTGACCTCAACCTCCCAGGATCAGGTGATCTTCCCACCTCAGTCTCCCAAGTAGCTGGAACCACAGGTACTCTTTCGCCTAGGCTGGAGTACAGTGGCACAAGCATGGCTCATTGCAGTCTCAACCTCCCAGGTTCAGGCAATCCTCCTGCCTCAGCCTCCCATGTAACTGGGACCACAGGTGTATGCCACCACACCTGGCTAATTTTTTATTTTTTTGTAGATATAGTCACTTTGTTGTCCAGGCTGGTCTCAAACTCCTTGGCTCAAGCGATTCTCCCACCTCAGCCTCCCAAAGTGCTGGGATTACAGGCACAAGCCACTGTGCTTGGCCCTCGCCACCCTCCTGACCTCTCTTAAACATAAAAAAGTTTTTCTGATCCCTTAATTATACATTTTAAGACAGCTAACTGAGAAAATACAAAGAAATAGCAAAGGCTACTCTGAATGCAGTTTTTGTTTGTTTGTTTGTTTGTTTTGAAATGGAGTTTCACTCTTGTTGCCCAGACTGGAGTGCAACGGCTGGGTCTTGGCTCTCTGCAACCTCCACCTCCCAGGTTCAAGCAACTCTCCTGCCTCAGCCTCCCAAGTAGCTGGGATTACAGGTGCTCTCCACCACACCTGGCTAATTTTTGTATTTTTAGTAGAGACAGGGTTTCACCACATTGGCCAGGCTGGTCTCGAACTCCTGACCTCAGGTGATCCGCCCACATTGGCCTCCCAAAGTGCTGGGATTACAGGCATGAGCCACTGTGCCTGGCCTGAATTTAGCATTGCCTTTAAATACATTATATTCCATGCATCAATACTGTATCTATACATATTTTAAAAAACAGAAGCATATATGTGAAAAAGTTATTTTATTTACCCAGTCTACAGATAATGCTTGGTGTACATGTGAACTGAACCATGGGCTCTGTTTGGAGTCCCCAAAACCTAGGAAGCAGTGATCTGGTTCAAGTTGCCTTGCTACAGAGAATAAAAGCTTATGCTGGTTAATCAATTCTGCAATCTAATTCTAATTGCTGTCAGAAATAATGGCTTGACAGCAACTACTGTACTGTTTTTGCCAGACATCTTCAAAAATCTCAATAATCTTAGTCTATTTAGTTATTTAAAGGAACATCAATGATAATACAATCTGACAAATTCAAAGGGAAGTTATATTGCTCAGAACTAAATGTCTATGGAAACATTTTGAGATTTTGTTCCACAGGTAATACAGATGTCTGGTAACACCAGTCTAGAAATTTTTCAGACCAAAATCTTCTTAGCTGTTTTTATTGCAAAGCTTTGAGAATATAATTTGTTCCAGGCTGAAACAACAAATATTTCTTCAAAAAAATCTAGTTTTGCCTGCAGGTACTCCCTGAACCTGTTCTGTAAGCCAGCAGGATGGTCCTTCAATCAGATGAGACACCAGGTTAAGCATCTCAATATTACAAAAGGAAACTGACAGCATCTTTACCATTTGCCCAACTGATCCCTATTGTATAAATATGCACTCAGTATATACCACAGAATACCTATACTCCAAGCCCTCACCAGAAAATGCCACTTTATATCATTTCCTGTTCTGAAAGGTTTTCCTTTCATTTACCTAAATCTGCCTCCCTAAAACTCCCATTGATCTGAGTTTTGTGCTTGTGTGGACTCACTAGGAACCCCAAAGTTGGTATGAAAATTATTTTAAGCTGAAGACATTTGAAATTCCACAGATAGAGGAAGATTTCTCAGAGCTTCCCTGACTAAAAGCAGTGACTTCTGGGAAATAAGCCTGCCATAAATTCCCTCTTTGGAGCAGGTCTACTCCCAGGAGGAAGAATAAAAATAAACATACCATATGCTGAGCATGGTGGCTCATGCCTGTAATCCCAGCACTTTGGGAGGCCAAGGCAGGTGGATCACTTGAGCCCAGGAGTTCCAGACCAGCCTGGGTAACAT
The DNA here is from genome assembly GCF_000001405.40 of Homo sapiens. Classification (NCBI taxonomy): domain Eukaryota; kingdom Metazoa; phylum Chordata; class Mammalia; order Primates; family Hominidae; genus Homo; species Homo sapiens. The sequence goes on from NC_000022.11 coordinate 28,653,322, forward strand.
GGCGAAACCCCATCTCTACTAAAAATACAAAAAATTGCCAGGAATGTGGTGTGAGTCCGTAGTCCCAGCTACTCACGAAGCTGAGGTGGGAGAATCACCTGAGCCTGGGAAGTCAAGACTGCAGTGAGCTGAGATGGTGCCACTGCACTCCAGCCTGGGTGATGGGGGTGAGACCTTGTCTTAAAAAAAAAAAAAACCAACCCTACCATAAATCCTCTCTTCCAGGAGTTATATGGCCCTGGAGAAGATGGAGAGACCGCTCATACCTGTACAGACTAACATTATCACAAACTTTCTTATCTCTCATTTGTTCTTCTAGAAACCCATTTGTTTTTCTGAAAGAAACCTATTTATTCCTCCCATAGAAGCTGTTTCTCCCCACTTCCCTTCCCATACTAGGTATATAAGCCTTTAACTCTACCGATCTAATAAGCCAGCTACTCCTTTTGTTAGCTCCCTTATACATACCACAAACCCTTTTCTCCTGTTAATGTTGTGTCAGTTTAATTTGCACGGCCCCAGACTGTAAACATAAGAGAGTAGAAGAAATTATTTCCTCTCTTACATGTCCGAAAATGACGTAAGAAGACACTTAAGTCTTCTGTCTTCAGATATTGTGCACTCTCAAATGTCTTGTATGCCTCTGTAACATCTATGGTTTAGGACTATTGTGTGCTGAACTTCCGTTCTTACAACATTCCTTTTTTCACTTGGGAGAAAAAATGAGAGAGAAGAGAGAAGGATAGATGAGGACATTATAAAGGGATTGGCTAGATAAGCTAGTCAGAGTACCTGTTCATTTGTCTTTGATAAGCTGTAGCTCTCCCACCATTTCTCCATTTAAAAGCCCAAGTGCCCTCAGTTACTTGTGAGGGCTAAAAGGCAGCAATCTAATAAGTCCTTAATTAAGGACTATGTACACCCAAGGCAGCTTATGCCTTCTCAGAACTGAGATTCTGCTAAGGGCCTGGTGAGGAACTGCTCAGAGGTGACAAAGGGCTTAAAATAAATATATATATTTTTTTGAGGCGGAGTCTCGCTCTGTCACCAGGCTGGAGTGCAGTGGCGCAATCTCAGCTCACTGCAACCTCTGCCTCCTGGGTTCAAGCGATTCTCCTGCCTCAGCCTCCCAAGTATCCGGGATTACAGGTGCCCGCCACCATGCCCAGCTAATTTTTGTATTTTTAGTAGAGACGGGGTTTCACCATGTTGGCCAGGATGGTCTCAAACTCCTGATCTCAGGTAATCCACCCGCCTCGGCCTCCCAAAGTGCTGGGATTACAGGCGTGAGCCACCATGCCTGGCCTTAAAATAAATTATTAAATGCCCACTCCTTTCTTTCCCTTCCCTCACTGTGAAGTGTCATCTTACATCCTTTAGGATGTTATCACAAATTCGTCACTTCAACCATCTTCAGTGGACTAGCAACTCCTTAGGTGGGAAGTGGGAAATGTTTCCTTAATGTTTCCTTTCTAAGCTAAATGCCCTAACTTCCCTCAAATGTTCATCATATGACCTAGTCACTTTTTAGGATGCTCTCTACTTAATATGTTCCTCTAAAAATATGATTCCTCAAACTGGACTCAAATTCAAAATAGAGCAGAACAGCTTTTTAGAGCATAACTCTATATTCATTAATGAATACTAGGACTATATTCTTTAGCTTTTTAGAGATTAAATATGGTTAGTTCATATTATACTTACAGATAACCTCAATATCTTTTCCTATAAATTACTGATAAGGTTTATTCATATGTATTTGAACCTAAATGCAGGACATCACTTATAACTGATGAATGTTGCCTTGATTTATCAATGTCTTCAACTATTGAGCACATGTGCTCTGTGCCAGGCATTTACTGAACACTGAACATAATAAAAGAAAATAAACATGGTCCCTACCCTATAGATTACAGACTATCTTGATGATTTCATATCATTCTAGTATATCAACATATCTTAGAATCCTAAATCTTTCCATGTATTATCTATCCATTTCATATTTGTGAAAACTACAAACCCAATAAACATGCCTTTTATGCCTTCATATAGGAAACTGTACTATTAAATAAGACAAGATTTTTAAAAATAGTCCTGTGTCTTGGTACAGACTTCCTGCAAATTTCTATGAACTTTATGGTAGTCTAATTCAATAACTTTATTATCAGTGTCTATAAAATTCACGTTGTCCCTAAGATGTTACTTTATCAAATTATTTCAAAAAAACAAGATACACTATTTCATCTTAGAATTCCCCTCACCCTAGGCCGGGCGTGGTGGCTCACGCCTCCCAGCACTTTGGGAGGCCCAGGCGGGCGGATCACGAGGTCAGGAGATCGTGACCACGGTGCAACCCCGTCTCTACTAAAAATACAAAAACTTAGCCAGGCGCCGTGGCGGGCGCCTGTAGTCCCCGCTACTCAGGAGGCTGAGGCAGGAGAATGGCGTGAACCCGGGAGGCGGAGCTTGCAGTGAGCCGAGATTGTGCCACTGCACTCCAGCCTGGGCGACAGAGCAAGACTCCGTCTCAAAAAAAAGAAAAAAAAAAAAAAACTTCCCCCACCCTCAAAATAGGTAATGACAAGTTCTTAAGTGAACCCAGGTTGACACCTACTCCTTATCACCTCTATCTCGTCAGGATTCAGTTAGAAGACAGAAACTACATCAGTTATTTGAACAGATAAAATGTAATACAAGAATTTGTTAACTGAGTTTGAAATTTTTAAGTAAAAAGCTGAAAGGACGCAAAGATAACACAGATAGCAACTGCAGGAAGCAGCTACCACCCCTAAGGCTGAGTTAACAAACGCTCAGAGGAGGGACCCAGGGAACTTAAACTCAGACTTCTGAGAGGGCACTACTCAGCTGTGCTGGTTTTTCTAATTTCCCAGGAGAGGCCCAAGGAGCCTGGGACTCTAGTGGACTCTAAAGGAAGCTTGATAAAACTGGTCCTCAAATGTTGGGAAAACTGCTAACTGGATCCAGTAACTGCTACAGGAAGGTACTGCTGCTGCAGAGATAAAGAAATGTCATTAAGGCAGCACTCACAGGAACAGCAGAGAGGAAGGCCATGACGAGGATACGAGCAAATCCCTCTGCCTCTTCTAGATCTTTACCACCCACCACTCGCAACAGGGAGCAGCTGGCAAAGCTGAAATGTTGCTTGCAGAATCTCAGTCCCAGGATCACAAAGCAGAATACATAAGATATCTTTGCAGCTAAGAATAAACAAGATGGATGGATATGCAGCAATAATTTAACTGGCAAAATACATTCTGTTCCAAGGACACACAAACTATCTGTTTAATAATCTACAATTTTGTGCAAGGGATGAAAATCAGTGACTCCAATCTGTATCCAACAGTTAATCATCTCGTGCTACTCTGAAGTGTAATAATAACAAAAACAATATCTCATTGTTCAATTCCCACCGGCCTGTCGTGGCGTGGAGAGAGGGGGGAAGGATAGCATTAGGAGATATACCTAATGTAAATGACGAGTTAATGGCTGCAGCACACCAACATGGCACATGTATATAACAAATCTGCACGTTGTGCACATGTACCCTAGAACTTAAAGTATAATTTAAAAAAATACAAAAAAAAACAGTATCTAACATTTATTTAACCTTACTTCATGCCCAGAACTGTTTAAATAGTGCTTACGTATTGCCTGATACTTTATTATGCTACACACACACAAAAAAAGAAAAAATAGTATACAGGTATTGAATTCTTTTAATGCTCACAACAAACCTGCGAAGTAGACAAGCTAGTATTCCCACTTTATACGTGGGACAATAAGGTGCAGAAAAGTTAAAAGTTAAACTGTTTGACTTTTGCCCAAAGTCACACAGTTGTGGAGGGGCTTAGATTAAACCTAGGGAGTCAGACTCCAGAGTCCATGATTTTGACCACTACATACGCCTCAATGCCACAATACACAACCTTCTCTAAATCTAAAGTAGCCTTTGAAATGTAACTCTTGTTGAACACAGTTTACATGGTTTTTAAATTTCATATCTGGATTTGTAGCTTTACAGAAAAGCAAACTCTCACAGATGGAGGTATTCTTACTCTCTACTGAGAACATCCAACCTGACAACACATTTCTGGTACCCTAAGCAATACAGAATAAAGTGGGCAGAATAAAGGCAACAAAATAATCTTCCACACTGCAAAATAAAACTACTACCTTCACTACTGTCCCACTCAGAAATCAGAAGTAAATCAATTCACAGATGTGTACAATTTATTTTCTAAATTATTATTTCTGGGCTGGGCGTGGTGGCTCACGCCTATAATCCCAATGCTTTGGGAGGCCAAGGTGGGCAAATCACTTGAGGTCAGGAGTTCAAGACAAACCTGGCCAACATGGTGAAACCCCATCTCTACTAAAAATACAAAAATAAACTAGGTGAGATGGCGCACACCTATTGTCCCAGCTACTTGGGAGGCTGAGACGTGAGAATCGCTTGAACCTGGGAGGCAGAGGTTGCAGTGAGCTGAAATCACACCACTGCACTCGAACCTGGGCGGGCAACAGAGCAACACTCCATCTAAAAAAAAAAATTATTGATTGAAGCTCAAAAATATGCTGGGGTTGAAAATACAAAATTAAAAATGGTCCATGTTCCTTAATATTAGATACTTGCCTTACATTAAAACTTTGCATAAATGGAAATTTAGTAAAGAATTTTTTACTTTCTTACAATATTGTTAAACATAATAATATGCATTTCTAGTGTCATGATTAAGGATTCAGAATTACAAAAGGCCAATGTTAAAATACTTATGCATCTGAAGTTATTATGTACAAAAAGTAATAAAATATTACACAAGAAAAATTTTCAAAAAATTTTTTGAGCCAAATTAATGAGTTCTCTTTCACAACTCCCTCTAAAATTAATCAAAATGTAATGACAATTGTGGGAAACCAAGCACATGTGAAAAAGTTCTGACCAGTAAATATATGAAATAATTCTAACTCTTCCAACTTCAATTAGAAATATGTACTCTAAAGCAGAAGAGTAATCATATTTCATTATAGCTGCTAACATGTTTACAACCCATCTTGCAAGGAGTAAAAAATCTTCATTAAAAATTTTTCTCTAAATTGCTTTGGGTTCACAAACAGACATGATTTGAAACATGGCAGCATAGTCAAAATCATCGAGATGGAAAATAGAATGGTGGCTGCCAGAGGCTGGAGAGAGGGAATAGGGATTTTATTGTTTAGTGGATAGAGTTTCACTTTTACAAGATGAAGAGTTATAGAGATGGATAATGGTGATAGTTGCACAACATCATGAATGTATTTAATTCCACTTAACTGTACACATAAAAATGATTAAGATGGTAATTTGACATACATTTTACAATTTAAAAATTGAGTGCCAGGCGCAGTGGCTCATGCCTGTAATGCCAGCACTTTGGGAGGCCAAGGCAGGTGGATCACCTGAGGTCAGGATTTCCAGATCAGCCTGGCCAACATGGTAAAACCTCGTCTCTACTAAAAATACAAAAATTAGCCGGACATGGTGACGCACATCTGTAATCTCAGCTAGTCAGGAGACTGAGGCAGGAGAATTGCTTGAGCCTGGGAGGTGGAGGTCACAGTGAGCCAAGATCATGCCACTGCACTCTAGCCTGGGTGACAGAGTGAGATTCTGTCTCAAAAAAAGAAAAAAACAATTGAAGAAAAAAAGAGATGATCTCCCTATCATGTAAGAAAACAGCAGGAAGGTGTCTATCTGCAAAGCAGACAGTGGGCCCTCACCAGAAGCAAACTGACTGGCACCTTGACGTTGAACTTCCTAACCTCCAGAACTGTGAGAAATAAATGTTTGTTGCTAAAAACAAGAACAAACAAAAAATAACTCCATCACAGTATAAAAATGTCTCTAAACATTCAACTGTTTCAACTCTTACAAGGGTAAGAAACGGACTCAAATTAATTTTTTTTTGAGACAGAGTCTTGCTGTGTTGCCCAGGATGAAGTGCAGTGGCACGATCTTGGCTCATTGCAACCTCCGCCTCCCAGGTTCAAGTGATTCTCATGCCTCTGCCTCCCAAGTAGCTGGGCCTACAGGTTCATGCCACCACGTCCAGCTAATTTTTGTGTTTTTAGTGGAGATGGGGTTTTACCAGTTGGCCAGGCTAGTCTCAAACTCCTGAACTCAAGTGATCCACCTGCCTCAGCCTCCCAAAGTGCCAGGATTACAGGTCAAAATTACTATTTATTAATAACTACATTTCTAGCTTCACTAGAAATTCCTGCTCAAATAAAGAATATGCCTGGTGTGGTGGCTCATGCCTGCAATCCCAACTACTTAGGAGGCTGAGGCAAGAGAATCCCTTGAGCCTAGGAGTCCGAGGCTGGGGTGAGCTATAAGAGCACCAATGAACTCCAGCCTGGGTGACAGGGCCAGACACTGTCTCTAAATCTTTTATTTTAATTTAAAAATAAAATCTGAAATGCATTTTTTTTTTTCTTGAGACAAGGTCTCGCTCTGTCACCCAGGCTGGAGTGCAGTGGCATGATCATGGCTCACTGCAACCTCAACCTCCTGGGCCGAACTGATCCTCCCACCTCAGCCTCCCAAGTAGCTGGGACTACAGACACACACCACCACGCCCAACTAATTTTTGTATTTTGGAGATGGGGTTTCATCATGTTGCCCAGGCTGACCTTGAACTCCTGGGCTCAGGCGATCCTCTCATCTTGGCCTCCCAAAGTACTAGGATTACATGTGTGAGCCACCACACACAGCCTGAAATGCATTTTTTTTAACAGCAAAAAAATATTTTCAGGAAATTATATCTTTATTTCACAAACCTGGTCTAAAACTAAAATTCTGAATCAAAACACAACTTATAGTACTAACACATTTTCTCTTTAACTTTTATTTGTACTATGAAAATTGATTCTTCCTCATCAATAACCAAGGAATATACAAGTAGTGATTTTCTTTATCATTTCTTTCATCAGCACAGTAAGAAAAGGAAATTTTTTTTCTTTTAGAGACGGAGTCTCGCTCTGTTGCCCAGACTGGAATGCAGTGGCACCATCTCAGCTCACTGCAACCTCTGCCTCCCAGGTTCAAGTGATTCTTCTGCCTCAGCCTCCCAAGTAGCTGGGACTGCAGGCACACACCACCACACCCGGCTAATTTTTTGTTTTTGTTTTGTTTTGATTTGGTTTGGTTTGGTTTGGTTTTTTGAGATGGAGTCTCACTCTGTCACTCAGACTGGAGTACAGTGGCGCTATTCGGCTCACTGCAACCTCCACCTCCTGGTTTCAAGAGATTCTTCTGTCTCAACCTCCCGAGTAGCTGATACTACAGGCATGTGCCACCACACCCGGCTAATTTTTGTGTTTTCAGTAGAGACGGGGTTTCACAATGTTAGCCAGGCTGGTCTCGAACTCCTGACCTCAGGTGATCCACCCACGTTGGCTTCCCAAAGTGCTGGGATTACAGGCATGAGCCACCGCGGCTGGCCAATTTTTGTATTTTTAGTAGAGATGGGTTTCACCATATTGGCCAGAATGGTCTCGAACTCCTGACCTCATGATCTGAGAAAAGGAAAAAAAAAATTTTAAATATATAATTCCCTTTATTTCAAAGTTGCATAGGAAATTAGAATCATTCTTTTGCTATCTTAAAAACTACTGCTTTTAAGGCCAGCCGCAGTGGCTTACACCTGTAATCCCAGCACTTTGGGAGGCCGAGGTGAGCGGATCACCTGAGGTCGGGAGTTCGAGACCAGCCTGACCAACATGGAGAAACCCCGTCTCTACTAAAAATACAAAATTAGCCGTGTGTGGTGGCACATGCCTGTAATCCCAGCTACTTGGGAAGCTAAGGCAGGAGAATCCCTTGAACCCAGGAGGTGGAGGTTGCGGTGAGTCGAGATCGTGCCATTGTACTCCAGCCTGGGCAACAAGTACGAAACTCCATCTCAGAAAAAAAACAATTGTTGTTATATAGCCTCATTTCATATAATCCCTTCTTCATTATTTAATTTCCATCATCCAAGAAACATTTATATCAGGTACTACATTAAGTATTAGTTTAATAACAGCTTTATAACATTCATTTATTCATTTATTTTTAGAGACTGGGTTTCATTCTGTGGCCCAGGCTACAGTGCAGTGGTGCCAACATAGCTCACTGTAGCTTGGAACTACTGGGTTCAAGGGGTCTTCCTGCCTCAGCCTCCTGAGTAGCTGGGACTACAGGTACATGCCACCATACCCGGCTAATTTGACTGATTGATAGACAGATAGTTTTGTTTTTTTTTTTGAGACAGAGTCTCACTCTGTCACCCAGGCTGGAGTGCAGTGGCACGATCTCAGCTCACTGCAACCTCTGCCTCCCAGGTTCAAGCAATTATCCTACCTCAGCTTCCCAAGTAGCTGGGATTACAAGGGCATCACCACACCCAGCTAATTTTTGTATTTTTAGTGGAGATGGGGTCTCACCATGTTGGCAAAGCTGGTCTCGAACTCCTGACCTCAGGTGATCCACCTGCCTCGGCCTCCCAAAGTTCTGGGATTACAGGCATGAGCCACTGCACCTGGCCTAAAAAATATATTTTAGAGACTGGGTCTCACACTATGTCACCCAGGCTGGTCTTGAACTCCTGACCTCAAGCAATCCTCCTACTTCAGCCTCCCAAATAGCTGAAATACAGAAAGGAACAACCATGCCTGGCTCAGTTTTGTAACTTTCAATACATAAAGAAATTACACTGCTCACATTGTAATTAATTTCATCTTTTCATTAAATTAATAGATAATAAAATTTGATAATAAACTTAATGTCAAATACTGCTTGATCAGTATTATAGAGACAAATTCCAGAATGGTGTGCCAACATAACCTTAAACCTCACAATAAAAACTAGGTTTTAACAATATCCACAGGGAAATTATGTTATTTTCTGGCAACAAGTCTAGCGTTTAGTAGCAAAAGGTAGTTATAATTGATCACTATTTGCTTAGTGATCATACAAATCAAAGACAGTCTAAGGCAAATGGTTAAGAACAGATTCCAGAGCCAGGCTGCTAAATTAGAATCCAAGGCAATTCAGTTTCCTAGCTGGATGGTATTGATAAAGTTACTTAACCTCTCTGTACTACACTTGTCTCATATGTAAGATGGGGATAATAGTGCCTACTTCATAAAGTTGTGAGAATTAAATTAGTTAATATATGTAAAGTATTTAAACAGTACTGACACAGAGTACACACAATATAAATGCTAGTCTAGCTATAATAATCTCAAACACCTATACTTACAGAAGGAAGAGTGCTTCCACACAAATACTCTATAATTTATATGGTTCTTCCAAATAAGCCTAATGAAAATTTTATTTTTCATAAAATATATTTGGAATTTGTGGCCAATTTCTTGAACAATTATTATTAAATGGTTTTCATAAATCTTTGTGAATATTAGGAAGCAATGGATTCAACAAAAGCATTATGTGACAGTGGAGCAATATTCAAAACTCCTGTTGCTACACAAGCCAAAAATGACAGGGATCCAAGACAACTCAAAACAAAAATATTACACACAGAACAGAAGCAACTGTGCAGTATCAGGAAATGCAATACACTTTTTCTAGTGATAAGAAACTTCCACCGGGCGCGGTGGCTCACACCTGTAATCCCAGTACTTTGGGAGGCTGAGGCAGGCTGATCTCGAGGTCAGGAGATCGAGACCATCCTGGCTAACACAGTGAAACCCCGTCTGTACTAAAAATACAATAAATTAGCCAGGCGTGGTGGCGAACGCCTGTAGTCCCAGCTACTCGGAAGGCTGAGATAGGAGAATGGCGTGAACCCAGGAGGCAGAGATTGCAGTGAGCCGAGATAGTGCCGCTGCACTCCAGCCTGGGAGACAGAGCGAAACTCCGTCTCAAAAAAAAAAAAAAAAGAAAGAAAGAAAGAAAAAGAGAGGGAGGAGCCAAGATGGCCGAATAGGAACAGCTCCGGTCTACAGCTCCCAGCGTGAGCGACACAGAAGACGGGTGATTTCTGCATTTCCATCTGAGGTACCGGGTTCATCTCACTAGGGAGTGCCAGACAGTGGGCGCAGGCCAGTGTGTGTGCGCACCGTGCGCGAGCCGAAGCAGGGCGAGGCATTGCCTCACCTGGGAAGCGCAAGGGGTCAGGGAGTTCCCTTTCCGAGTCAAAGAAAGGGGTGACGGACGCACCTGGAAAATCGGGTCACTCCCACCCGAATATTGCGCTTTTCAGACCGGCTTAAGAAACGGCGCACCACGAGACTATATCCCACACCTGGCTCAGAGGGTCCTACGCCCACGGAATCTCGCTGATTGCTAGCACAGCAGTCTGAGATCAAACTGCAAGGCGGCAGCCAGGCTGGGGGAGGGGCGCCCGCCATTGCCCAGGCTTGCTTAGGTAAACAAAGCAGCCGGGAAGCTCCAACTGGGTGGAGCCCACCACAGCTCAAGGAGGCCTGCCTGCCTCTGTAGGCTCCACCTCTGGGGGCAGGGCACAGACAAACAAAAAGACAGCAGTAACCTCTGCAGACTTAAGTGTCCCTGTCTGACAGCTTTGAAGAGAGCAGTGGTTCTCCCAGCACGCAGCTGGAGATCTGAGAACGGGCAGACTGCCTCCTCAAGTGGGTCCCTGACCCCTGACCCCCGAGCAGCCTAACTGGGAGGCACCCCCCAGCAGGGGCACACTGACACCTCACACGGCAGGGTATTCCAACAGACCTGCAGCTGAGGGTCCTGTCTGTTAGAAGGAAAACTAACAACCAGAAAGGACATCTACACCGAAAACCCATCTGTACATCACCATCATCAAAGACCAAAAGTAGATAAAACCACAAAGATGGGGAAAAAACAGAACAGAAAAACTGGAAACTCTAAAACGCAGAGCGCCTCTCCTCCTCCAAAGGAACGCAGTTCCTCACCAGCAACAGAACAAAGCTGGATGGAGAATGATTTTGACGAGCTGAGAGAAGAAGGCTTCAGACGATCAAATTACTCTGAGCTACGGGAGGACATTCAAACCAAAGGCAAAGAAATTGAAAACTTTGAAAAAAATTTAGAAGAATGTATAACTAGAATAACCAATACAGAGAAGTGCTTAAAGGAGCTGATGGAGCTGAAAACCAAGGCTCGAGAACTACGTGAAGAATGCAGAAGCCTCAGGAGCCGATGCGATCAACTGGAAGAAAGGGTATCAGCAATGGAAGATGAAATGAATGAAATGAAGCGAGAAGGGAAGTTTAGAGAAAAAAGAATAAAAAGAAATGAGCAAAGCCTCCAAGAAATATGGGACTATGTGAAAAGACCAAATCTACGTCTGATTGGTGTACCTGAAAGTGATGTGGAGAATGGAACCAAGTTGGAAAACACTCTGCAGGATATTATCCAGGAGAACTTCCCCAATCTAGCAAGGCAGGCCAACGTTCAGATTCAGGAAGTACAGAGAACACCACAAAGATACTCCTCGAGAAGAGCAACTCCAAGACACATAATTGTCAGATTCACCAAAGTTGAAATGAAGGAAAAAATGTTAAGGGCAGCCAGAGAGAAAGGTCGGGTTACCCTCAAAGGAAAGCCCATCAGACTAACAGCGGATCTCTCGGCAGAAACCCTACAAGCCAGAAGAGAGTGGGGGCCAATATTCAACATTCTTAAAGAAAAGAATTTTCAACCCAGAATTTCATATCCAGCCAAACTAAGCTTCATAAGTGAAGGAGAAATAAAATACTTTATAGACAAGCAAATGCTGAGAGATTTTGTCACCACCAGGCCTGCCCTAAAAGAGCTCCTGAAGGAAGCGCTAAACATGGAAAGGAACAACCGGTACCAGCCGCTGCAAAATCATGCCAAAATGTAAAGACCATCGAGACTAGGAAGAAACTGCATCAACTAATGAGCAAAATCACCAGCTAACATCACAATGACAGGATCAAATTCACACATAACAATATTAACTTTAAATATAAATGGACTAAATTCTGCAATTAAAAGACACAGACTGGCAAGTTGGATAAAGAGTCAAGACCCATCAGTGTGCTGTATTCAGGAAACCCATCTCACGTGCAGAGACACACATAGGCTCAAAATAAAAGGATGGAGGAAGATCTACCAAGCCAATGGAAAACAAAAAAAGGCAGGGGTTGCAATCCTAGTCTCTGATAAAACAGACTTTAAACCAGCAAAGATCAAAAGAGACAAAGAAGGCCATTACATAATGGTAAAGGGATCAATTCAACAAGAGGAGCTAACTATCCTAAATATTTATGCACCCAATACAGGAGCACCCAGATTCATAAAGCAAGTCCTCAGTGACCTACAAAGAGACTTAGACTCCCACACATTAATAATGGGAGACTTTAACACCCCACTGTCAACATTAGACAGATCAACGAGACAGAAAGTCAACAAGGATACCCAGGAATTGAACTCAGCTCTGCACCAAGCAGACCTAATAGACATCTACAGAACTCTCCACCCCAAATCAACAAAATATACATTTTTTTCAGCACCACACCACACCTATTCCAAAATTGACCACATAGTTGGAAGTAAAGCTCTCCTCAGCAAATGTAAAAGAACAGAAATTATAACAAACTATCTCTCAGACCACAGTGCAATCAAACTAGAACTCAGGATTAAGAATCTCACTCAAAGCCGCTCAACTACATGGAAACTGAACAACCTGCTCCTGAATGACTACTGGGTACATAACGAAATGAAGGCAGAAATAAAGATGTTCTTTGAAACCAACGAGAACAAAGACACCACATACCAGAATCTCTGGGACGCATTCAAAGCAGTGTGTAGAGGGAAATTTATAGCACTAAATGCCTACAAGAGAAAGCAGGAAAGATCCAAAATTGACACCCTAACATCACAATTAAAAGAACTAGAAAAGCAAGAGCAAACACATTCAAAAGCTAGCAGAAGGCAAGAAATAACTAAAATCAGAGCAGAACTGAAGGAAATAGAGACACAAAAAACCCTTCAAAAAATCAATGAATCCAGGAGCTGGTTTTTTGAAAGGATCAACAAAATTGATAGACCGCTAGCAAGACTAATAAAGAAAAAAAGAGAGAAGAATCAAATAGACACAATAAAAAATGATAAAGGGGATATCACCACCGATCCCACAGAAATACAAACTACCATCAGAGAATACTACAAACACCTCTACGCAAATAAACTAGAAAATCTAGAAGAAATGGATACATTCCTCAACACATACACTCTCCCAAGACTAAACCAGGAAGAAGTTGAATCTCTGAATAGACCAATAACAGGCTCTGAAATTGTGGCAATAATCAATAGTTTACCAACCAAAAAGAGTCCAGGACCAGATGGATTCACTGCCGAATTCTACCAGAGGTACAAGGAGGAACTGGTACCATTCCTTCTGAAACTATTCCAATCAATAGAAAAAGAGGGAATCCTCCCTAACTCATTTTATGAGGCCAGCATCATTCTGATACCAAAGCCGGGCAGAGACACAACCAAAAAAGAGAATTTTAGACCAATATCCTTGATGAACATTGACGCAAAAATCCTCAATAAAATACTGGCAAACCGAATCCAGCAGCACATCAAAAAGCTTATCCACCATGATCAAGTGGGCTTCATCCCTGGGATGCAAGGCTGGTTCAATATACACAAATCAATAAATGTAATCCAGCATATAAACAGAGCCAAAGACAAAAACCACATGATTATCTCAATAGATGCAGAAAAAGCCTTTGACAAAATTCAACAACCCTTCATGCTAAAAACTCTCAATAAATTAGGTATTGATGGGACGTATTTCAAAATAATAAGAGCTATCTATGACAAACCCACAGCCAATATCATACTGAATGGGCAAAAACTGGAAGCATTCCCTTTGAAAACTGGCACAAGACAGGGATGCCCTATCTCACCACTCCTATTCAACATAGTGTTGGAAGTTCTGGCCAGGGCAATCAGGCAGGAGAAGGAAATAAAGGGTATTCAATTAGGAAAAGAGGAAGTCAAATTGTCCCTGTTTGCAGACGACATGATTGTTTATCTAGAAAACCCCATCGTCTCAGCCCAAAATCTCCTTAAGCTGATAAGCAACTTCAGCAAAGTCTCAGGATACAAAATCAATGTACAAAAATCACAAGCATTCTTATACACCAACAACAGACAAACAGAGAGCCAAATCATGGGTGAACTCCCATTCACAATTGCTTCAAAGAGAATAAAATACCTAGGAATCCAACTTACAAGGGATGTGAAGGACCTCTTCAAGGAGAACTACAAACCACTGCTCAAGGAAATAAAAGAGGACACAAACAAATGGAAGAACATTCCATGCTCATGGGTAGGAAGAATCAATATCGTGAAAATGGCCATACTGCCCAAGGTAATTTACAGATTCAATGCCATCCCCATCAAGCTACCAATGACTTTCTTCACAGAATTGGAAAAAACTACTTTAAAGTTCATATGGAACCAAAAAAGAGCCCGCATTGCCAAGTCAATCCTAAGCCAAAAGAACAAAGCTGGAGGCATCACACTACCTGACTTCAAACTATACTACAAGGCTACAGTAACCAAAACAGCATGGTACTGGTACCAAAACAGAGATATAGATCAATGGAACAGAACAGAGCCCTCAGAAATAATGCCGCATATCTACAACTATCTGATCTTTGACAAACCTGAGAAAAACAAGCAATGGGGAAAGGATTCCCTATTTAATAAATGGTGCTGGGAAAACTGGCTAGCCATATGTAGAAAGCTGAAACTGGATCCCTTCCTTACACCTTATACAAAAATCAATTCAAGATGGATTAAAGATTTAAACGTTAAACCTAAAACCATAAAAACCCTAGAAGAAAACCTAGGCATTACCATTCAGGACATAGGCGTGGGCAAGGACTTCATGTCCAAAACACCAAAAGCAATGGCAACAAAAGACAAAATTGACAAATGGGATCTAATTAAACTAAAGAGCTTCTGCACAGCAAAAGAAACTACCATCAGAGTGAACAGGCAACCTACAACATGGGAGAAAATTTTCGCAACCTACTCATCTGACAAAGGGCTAATATCCAGAATCTACAATGAACTCAAACAAATTTACAAGAAAAAAACAAACAACCCCATCAAAAAGTGGGCGAAGGACATGAACAGACACTTCTCAAAAGAAGACATTTATGCAGCCAAAAAACACATGAAGAAATGCTCATCATCACTGGCCATCAGAGAAATGCAAATCAAAACCACTATGAGATATCATCTCACACCAGTTAGAATGGCAATCATTAAAAAGTCAGGAAACAACAGGTGCTGGAGAGGATGCGGAGAAATAGGAACACTTTTACACTGTTGGTGGGACTGTAAACTAGTTCAACCATTGTGGAAGTCAGTGTGGCGATTCCTCAGGGATCTAGAACTAGAAATACCATTTGACCCAGCCATCCCATTACTGGGTATATACCCAAATGAGTATAAATCATGCTGCTATAAAGACACATGCACACGTATGTTTATTGCGGCACTATTCACAATAGCAAAGACTTGGAACCAACCCAAATGTCCAACAATGATAGACTGGATTAAGAAAATGTGGCACATATACACCATGGAATACTATGCAGCCATAAAAAATGATGAGTTCATATCCTTTGTAGGGACATGGATGAAATTGGAAACCATCATTCTCAGTAAACTATCGCAAGAACAAAAAACCAAACACCGCATATTCTCACTCATAGGTGGGAATTGAACAATGAGATCACATGGACACAGGAAGGGGAATATCACACTCTGGGGACTGTGGTGGGGTAGGAGGAGGGGGGAGGGATAGCATTGGGAGATATACCTAATGCTAGATGACACATTAGTGGGTGCAGCGCACCAGCATGGCACATGTATACATATGTAACTAACCTGCACAATGTGCACATGTACCCTAAAACTTAGAGTATAATAAAAAAAAAAAAAGAAAGAAAAAGAAACTTCACATGGGGCCACATGTCTAATAAAGGTGACTGAATCCCAAAATTATATTGGTAACATGGAAATTCCTGATAGGGGAAGAATATTCCCAGAAGTGTGACCAGTTAGGGCCAAAATAAAAGGTACAATTTACCCAATTATTATACCTAAGTACCCGGCCTTATTAAATATATGTTCCTCAATATCAAATTGTACTAAAAATCAGGAAACTAAGCTCCTAGTAGAGAACTGGTCAAAGGGAAGATCTTTGTGGAGTCAGCAGTTTCCTCTGTCCTACAATTTGGCAAAATAATCTCATAAGCACAAGAAGGTTAATATGCTTGCATTAAAAATGTTAAGTTACTTATAATCCAATTTAAATGTAAGTTCAAATACCTTAACATGTTCACATTACTTTTTTAATTCACAAAAACGTTCTTATCTATCTTTATTTTAAGATGTTTTCCACATACATGCTTAGTGAATTTTCTTTTAGGAGATGTAAGAGAGTCTACAAATCTTTATTCTACTATTTCCCAAAATATACCCAATTACTGGCAAAAAATGTTATTATTAAACTGATGAGAAAATATAAAGGTTTATTACTGGATTAAATAAGTTTTTCCATATGCTTGAATTTTTTATACACACAGTATATACTCTATTATATGTATACACAGAATACAACTCTATCAGTATTGAACTTAGTTTGTCATTCCATAAAATGGCCATAGATGGCCAGATCAAGTAATCCTACTCATTTTACCCTGTATTACTGAAAATAAAAATGGGGGGGGGGCAAATAAAGACTTTAATATCTTTAATGATGTTTTTTAAGGGTTAGACTTTTATTTTCTGACATTTTTCTACACCTCTAATGAAATACATTTCACATATCGTAAAACTTACCCATTTAAAGAATCCAGTTCAGTGTCTTTTGGTGATTTATTCAGAGTTTTGCAACCATTACCACAATCTAATTTTAGAATAGTCTCATCACCCCATACCCATCAGCAGTCATTCCCTCCTCCTCCCCACCCAACGTTCGTGACAAACACTAATCTTCTTTCCCTCTCTATGCATTTGTCTATGCTTAACTATTTCACATAAATAGAATCATTACAATATGTGATCTCTTGTGACTGGTTTCTTCCGCTTAGAATGTTTTCAAGGTTCATCCATGTTGTATCATGCCTCAGTACTTCTTCCTTTTATGGCAGAATAATACTCCACTGGAAATAATACTCCACTGGAAAAAAATATTTTGTTTATCCAGTCAACAGTTAGTTGTACTTGTGGCTGTTTTCACTTTTTGGCTTTTATAAATAATATAGCAATGAACATTCATGTTCACACAAGTTTTTGTGTGAACAATTGTTTTGATGTCTTTAGGGCATATATATATATATATATATGAGTGGAATTACTGGGCCATATGGCAAGTCTATGTTTAACATTTTGAGGAGATGCCAAAGCATTTTCTAAGACAGCTGCACCACTTTACATTCCAGCAATGTATGAGAGCTCCAATTTCTCCACATCCTCACCAGTACTTGTTATTGTCTATCTTTTTAACTTTAGCCACCCCAGTTGATGTAAAGTGGATCTCATTGTGGTTTTGATTGCATGACTGATGACTAACGATGTTGCATACCTTTTCATGTTATTGGCCATTTGTATATCTTTAGGAAATGTCTACTTTTTTGGTTTCACTCTGTCACCCAGGCTGGAGTGCAGCAGTGTAATCACTGCTCACTGCAGCTGCGATTTCCCAGGCTCAAGTGATCACGGGCTAACATTTTTTTCTATTTTTTTTGTAGAGAAGAGGTGTTACTATGTTGCCCAGGCTGATCTCAAACTCCTGGGCTCAAGTGATCCTCCCACCTTGGCCTCCCAAAGTGCTAGGATTACAGGCATGAACCACCTCAACCGGCCTGTTTATTTTTAAATTCGGTTGTCCTTTTATCATTGCATAGTAAGTTATTAATATATTCTGAATAATAAGTCCTTTAACAAATATATATTTGCAAATATTTTCTTCCTTGGCCGGGCGCGGTGGCTCACGCCTGTAATCCCAGCACTTTGGGAGACCAAGGCAGGTGGATCACGAGGTCAGGAGATCGAGACCATCCTATCTAACACAGTGAAACCCCATCTCTACTAAAAATACAAAAAATTAGCCAGGCGTGGTGGCGGGAGCCTGTAGTCCCAGCTACTCAGGACACTGAGGCAGGAGAATGGCGTGAACCCGGTAGGCAGAGCTTGCAATGAGCCGAGATCGCACCACTGCACTCCAGCCTGGGCGACAGAACAAGACTCCATCTCAAAAAAAAAAAAAAAAAAAATTTCTTCCATTATGTGGATTTTGTTTTCATTTTTTTTTTGAGACAGAGTCTTGCTTTGTCGCCCAGGCTGGAATGCAGTGGCCCAATCTCAGCTCATTGCAACCTCCACCTCCCAGGTTCACATGATTCTCCTGCCTCAGCCACCCAAGTAACTGGGATTACAGGCGCCTGCCACCATGCCCGGCTAATTTTTGTGTTTTTAGTAGAGACAGGGTTTCACCATGATGCCCAGGCTGGTCTCGAACTCCTGACCCCAAGTCATCTGCCCACCTCGGCCTCCCAAAGTGCTGGGATTACAGGTATGAGCCACTGCACCTGGACAAAATAAGGCTTTTATCAGAAAATTAAAATAGAAATAAACCATTTAAAACTAAAACACTTTTTTTTTTTGAGACAGAGTCTCGCTCTGTCACCCAGGCTGGAGTGCAGTGGTGTGATCTCAGCTCACTGCAACATCCGCCTCCTGAGTTCAAGTGATTCTCCTTCCTCAGCCTCCCAAGTAGATGGGACTATAGGCTAATTTTTTGGGTTGTTTTGTTTTGAGACGGAGTCTTACTCTCTCGCCCAGGCTGGAGGCCATCTCGGCTCACTGCAAGCTCCGCCTCCCGGGTTCAAGCAGTTCTCTGCCTCAGCCTCTGGAGTAGCTGGGATTACAGGCGCCTGCCACCATGCACAGCTACTTTTTGTATTTTTAGTAGAGACAGGGTTTCATCATATTGGCCAGGCTGGTCTTGAACTCCTGACCTCGTGATCCACCCACCTCGGCCTCCCAAAGTGCTGGGATTACAGGCATGAGCCACCGCGCCCGGCCAATTTTTTGTATTTTTATTAGAGACATGGTTTCACCCTGTTGGTCAGGCTGGTCTCAATCTCCTAACCTCATGATCCACCCGTCTCGGCCTCCTAAAATGCTGGGATTACAGGCATGACCCACCACACCTGGCCTAAAATATTTATTACTAAAAATCAATAATATTTTCTTGCTGTTGAGAAAGAGAAAGCAACAATAATGTCCTTCCACTCTTTGACTAAATACCAGGAATTATTTTGCTAGACACCAAAAGTCATATTTGGAGAACTGAAGAGGTAATAATAGTAACTGGAGAGTAGAACAGAAAAAGAGGGCAAGTAGGTGTTGTAGTATGGCTGTAATTGGCCTCACTGTGACCACTACAGAAAAAACCCTTTTTCATCATAGCTATACTGCCCCTAGGCAAGGACGTGAAGAACATACCTTATTTTACAAGATTAATAGCGTAAAACTAACATATAGTAATCTGGAATGTGATTTTTTGAGATCCCACTTGATAAATAATTGATTGTAATGAGGATGTGGTTTTGTGGATAAAGAGTAGGATTGCTAAGAAATAGCAAATGGTCTAAGCACAACAAACCTGACTTTGTGTTGTGGTTTTGCAGGAGTTAAAAAAAGAAGTTGGGCCGGGAGCGGTGGCTCACACCTGTAATCCCAGCACTTTGGGAGGCTGAGGCGGGCGGATCACGAGGTCAGGAGATCGAGACCATCCTGGCTAACATGGTGAAACCCCGTCTCTACTAAAAATACAAAAATTTAGCTAGACTTGGTGGCAGGCGCCTGTAGTCCCAGCTACTTGGGAAACTGAGGCAGGAGAATGGCGTGAACCCAGAAGGCGGAGCTTGCAGTGAGCAGAGATCGCGCCACTGCACTCCAGCCTGGGCGACAGAGACTCCGTCTCAAAAAAAAAAGTTAACTGCGAATGTTAAATAAGAGAATGCATTATTATTGTATGTAGCTTCCCCCCCTTACCTGGTACGTACTTGGCATTTCTATGCCATAATGGAAGTCAAAAATCACCATGATATTGTTTCAACATACTATGGACGTAGTTCAGAAAATGTTAGGACAAATTTGATATCAACATTCTTTGCACTCACAGAATTGCATAAAGAGTATCACTTTGGTAAAGATGAAAATTACTAAGATTATTGTCCTCTAATGTCAATCATCATAAAATGAATATCAAATTAGCATTGATACTTATATTTTGCTAAAACATGCCTATAGAAAACTGGTTAGTGTTTGTTTTTGGAAGACTATAGATAATACAGTGTGAATATACAAGAAACATGAGATGTTCCAAGCATCATATTTGTATCATACTATGTCTCTAGTTTCTCTTCTTAGAAAATAACAATGCACCCAGCTGCTGAAGAGACACCAAAATAAATGTTCTACCAAGTTTAAGTTCAAACATCAGGCTTCCCGCTAACAGTTTTTAAAATAGCAATAATTTAAAGGAAGAAAGATTGTAACCATGAAATTTAATGAAAAAATATTGTTTCTGCTTTCAGGAAAAAAAGTAGTGAAAAAACAGCACACAAAACAAGAATCATAGAGTAAAAATAAAGAGCTTTCAATTATACTTTTATTATTTTTAATATTTAAAATTCACTGTCAAATATTCTATATAGCAACCTTGATTTCACATGCATTTGCAATACAACTATGTGGTATGAGAGACTTGTCTTCTTTAGTGGTTCCTCAAGCGCTCACAGGGATTTCTTGGGTCGTAGAAAGGTGATGGGGACAGGAAGAGGCTTGGGGTTTCTGTTTGTGGTTTTTTCTTTGTGGTTTTTTTTTTTTTTTTTTTTGGTCTGTGGTTTTGGAGTTTTTGTTTTTCTTGGTTTTTGATTGGGTTTGTCTGTTTTTTGTTTTGTGGCTCACTTTTAACTGGAATTAATTAGCAGAAGAAGATAAAAAACAAATATCAAATCCCTACCACAGGCAAGGCATTGTTCTAAATATATACCTACATCCTCTTTTATTTAACAATTCTTTGGAATGGATATTACTATGCAATTATACATATGAGAACCATAAGATGCGTAAGAGTTAAGACCTGTTGGCTGGAGCAGTGGCTCAAGCCTGTAATTCCAGCACTTTGGGAGGTTGAGGCGGGTGGATCACTTGAGGTCAGGAGTTCAAGACCAGCCTGGCCAACACGGTGAAACCATGTCTCTACTAAAAATACAAAATTAGCTGGGCATAGTGGTGCACATCTGTAATCCCAACTACTTGGGAGGCTGAGGCAGGAGGATCACTTGAACCCAGGAGGCAGAGGTTACAGTGAGCCAAGATCACACCACTGCACTCCAGCCTGGGCGATGGCGAGACTCTGTCTCCAAAAAAAAAAAAAAAAAAAGGTAAAACATGATCATTGTAAAAATCCCAGCTGTCTTTTTTACAGAAATTGATAAGCTGATCCTAAAATCCATTTGGAAATATAAGGGACCCAAAATAGCCAGTCTTGAAAAAGAACACAGTTAAAGGACTTACACTTAATTTCAAAACCTATTACCAAGCTACAGTAATGAAACAGTGTAGTACTGGCATAAAGACAGAAAGAAATACACATCAAGAGAACAGAACTTAAGAGTCCAGAAATAAAACCTTATATATGTTCAAGTGATTCTCAAAAAAGATGTGAAGACCATCAATAAAGGAAAGGACACTCTTTTCAATATATAGTGCTGGGATAACTTTTTGTATCTATATACAAAATAATAAATTTGGACCACATACCACACACACCTCACACCACACACAAAAATTAAAACAAAATGGATCAACAACCTAAATATAAGGGCTAAAAGCATACAACTCTTAGAAGAAAACATAGGGGTAAATCATAGGGCTAAATCTTCATGACCTTAGATTTGGCAATGGCTTCTTAGACATGAAACCAAAATCATGAGCAACAAAGAAAAAACAGATAAGCTAGACTTCCTCAAAATTAAAAACTTTTTTGGCATCAGAGGACATTATCAAAAGAGTAAACCGGGTGTGGTGGCTCACACCAGTAATCCTAGCACTTTGGGAGGCAGAGGCTGGTGGACCACTTGAGCCCAGGAGTTCCAGACCAGCCTGGGCAACACGGCAAAACTCCATCTCTACAGAAAATACAAAAATTAACCGTGCCTGTAGTCCTACCTGCTCAGGAGGCTCAGGTGGGAGGATCAACTGAGCCCAGGGAGGTCCAGGCTGCAGTGAGCTGTGATCCTACCACTGTACTCCAGCCTGGGCGACAGAGTGAAACCCTGTCACACACACACACACACACACACACACACACACACACACAATGTAAAAAGAGGCATGAGCCTCTTTTATAGCTGCAGTGGCTCACATCTGTAATCCCAACACTTTCTGGGAGGCTGAGGTGAGAGGATCTCTTGAGGCCAGGAGTTCAAGATCAGCCTGGGCAACATAGCGAGA
This sequence comes from Homo sapiens, assembly GCF_000001405.40. Taxonomy (NCBI): domain Eukaryota; kingdom Metazoa; phylum Chordata; class Mammalia; order Primates; family Hominidae; genus Homo; species Homo sapiens. The sequence goes on from NC_000022.11 coordinate 28,675,910, forward strand.
CCCCTTATCTACAAAAAATTTTTAAATATTTGCCAGGTGTGGTGGCACGTGCCTGTAGTCTTAAACAATTATCATATGACCCAGATAGTCTATTCCTTAGGTATATACCCAAGGGAAATGAAAATATACATCCACACTAAAATTTGTACACAAATGTTCATAGCAGCATTATTCATAATAGCCGAAAATTGGAAAAAAAAACTCACGTGCCTATCAACAGAGGAACTGATAAAATATGGTATATCCATTCAAAAGATTACTCAGCATTAAAAAAGAATGAAGTGCTGATATACGCTACAGCATGGATAAACCTTGAAAACACTGTGCCACGTGAAATAAGTCAATCACAAAAGACCATATGTAGTAAGATTTCATTCTGTGAAACCTCCAGAAGAGCTAAACTCAGAGACAGAAAGTAGGCTAGTTATTGCCAGGGACTAGGGGAAAAGGCAATAAGGATGACTGCTAATGGGTATGGGATTTCTTGTGGACTGATGAAAATGGTCTGAAAGTATCTAGATACCTGTCTTGTTTGTGTGATTCTGTGAACATATTATAAACCACAAAATTCTGCACTCAAGGGGATTTCATGGTAGGTGAATTTATCTCATTTATCTTTATCTCAATAAAGCTTTTTAAAGACACTTTAAAAAGACATATCTGTATAAGCTACAAAAATAACACACTGAGAGACTAAAATGCCTAATTTTTCCATTTTTCTTCTTCAGCGCAATCTCAAGTCCAAAAGTCTTTCCTTCCTATATATGCATATTTTGTCCAGTGAAACAAGAAACTCTATTTTTTTATTAGAAATAAAAAAAAAAAAAAGCCAGGTGTGGTGGCTCACAGTTGTGCTTCCAGCTACTCAGAAGGCTGAGGCAGAAGGATCACTTGAGGTCAAGACTGGGAGTTCAAGACTAGCTGAGGCAACACAGCTAGATCCTGTCTTTAAAAATATTTTTTAGGCCAGGCGCAGTGGCTCACGCCTGTAATCCCAGCACTTGGGAGCCCGAGGAGGGTGGATCATTTGAGATCGGGAGTTCAAAACCAGCCTGGACAACATGGTGAAACCCCATCTCTACTAAAAATACAAAAATTAGCCGGGCATGGCGGTGGGCACCTGTATTCCCAGCTACTTGGGAGGCTAAGGCAGGAGAATTGCTTGAGCCAGGAGGGTGGAGGCTGCAGTGAGGCCAAGATCATGCCATTGCACTCCAGCCTGGGTGACAGAGCAAGACTCCATCTCAGGAAAAAAAAAAAAAAAAAATATATATATATATATATATATATATACACACATATATATTAAGTTAAAACCCTACTGAAATGAAACCAATAAAATAAAATTCAATTTAATTAAAAAATAGTTCCTGAAATATTAATTTTCAAACAATTCTATTTTAGCTTTGACTCTGAACAAAATATAAACCTCAATTTCAAAATATCACAAAGATTGGCTGGGGGCAGTGGCTCACGCCTGTAATTCCAGCACTTTGGGAAGACGAGGCAGGTGGATCACCAGAGGCCAGGAGTTCCAGAGCAGCCTGGCCAACATAGGGAAACCCAGTCTCTACTAAAATAATACAACAAAAATTAGCCGGGTCTAGTAACCCCAGCTACTCAAGAGGCTGAGGCATTAGAATCGCTGGAATCTGGGAGGTGGAGGTTGCAGTGAGCGGAGATCATGCCACAGCACTCCAACCTGGGCAACAGACTGAGACTCTGTCTCAAAAAAATAAAAATAAGGCCAGGTGCCGTGGCTCACACCTGTAATCTCAGCACTTTGGGAGGCCAAGGTGGGCAGATCACTTGAGGTCAAGGAGTTTGGGACCAGCCTGGGCAACACAGTGAAACCTCCTCTCTACTAAAAATACATAAATTAGCTGGGCATGGTGGCACATACTTGTAATGCCAGCTACACCAGAGGCTGAGGCAGGGGAATCGCTTGAATTCGGGAGGTGGAGGTTGCAGTGACCTGAGATTGTGCTACTGCACTCCAGCCTGGAAGACAGAGTGAGGCTCCGTCTCAAAAAAAAAAAGAAAAAGAAGAAAATTTAAATTAAAAATTTAAAAAATCACAAAGACTACAAATACTCAGGTTTAAGCAAATTCCCACCTTTCTTGAATTAACAGTAATTCATATTTGCTTTGTCATAAATGTAGATATTTACCTGCCCCAATGGAATGAAATCCTAAAAGCCTAGTGTTCCCAAATGATGAAGAGAAAGAAACATGCATATTTTAATTTAGAATTTTGATTCAGAATTAATTTTAACCTAGCTGGAGTATACATAATCATTTATGTATTTATTTACTTATTTAAGAGACTGGGTTTCATTGTGTTATCCAGGCTGGAATGCAGTGGCACAACCTTGGCTCACTGCAACTTGTACTTCCTGAGCTCAAGCGATCCTCCCACCTCAGCCTCCAGAGTAGCTGAGACTGCAAGTGCACTCTACCACACCCAGCTAATTTTTGCGGAGACGAACGAGTCTCGCTATGTTTCCCACACTGGTCTCTAACTCCTTGGCTCACTACAGCCTCAAGCCCCTGGGCTCAAGCAATCTGCCTCCCAAAGTGCTGAGATTACAGGAGTGAGCCACCGCACCCGGCCTAGTGGATAGTGTATACTAAGCAACATGTACCCTGCTTTTGCCTAAAACATACTGAAAACATGGCATTGAACACAATCACAAAGTTGGGAGCTGAGAAAAATCATATACTGTAAAATAAATCTGAGATATTAATCTCAAGAAGCTCCTGAAAATGTCTCAAGAACTCCTATGCTGCACTCTCCCTAATAATTTAGACTTTCTACAGATATTTTCTGATCATCTACAGTGTGTCAGGCACCATGCCAGGTACCAAGATGCCATGGTGAGGTATACACAAAACCGGCTCCTGCTTGCAGGAAGCCTACTCTCTAAAACAGTGCTTGCCAAGCTCGCCTGATCACAACTTCGGAGCTTGTTTAAGTTCAAAATCGGCTTCCCTGCTGTGGTGAGCCACAGTCCGTGGCATTTTGATCAGGTGCTCCCAATGATTCCTACGCTCTAACGGGTTTGGGAGGCAAGGGTGGGGGTAAGCTCGAGAGCCCAGAGACATCCCGTCCAGCGGGAGCCCCACCTCTAAAGTCCATGTCGCTCAGCATCCTTCCCCCTGACTAGTGGCCCAAACACAGCACGAAGCTGAGGTGGGTGGAACGCTTTTCAAAACAACGCTCTTTGATGAGCCACCGACAGACTTGCTCGCCTCCGGGGACGAAGAGCTCACTCCTCACAAACCCCACCCCGGAAAGGTAGCACCTGAGCATCCCGGGCTGCGCCGACACCTGTCTCACCGCGGGTGCCGCTTACCGCTCCGGTGGACTCCAGTCCCCAGATTCCGCCCCACGGGGGCTGGGGGAAAAGGGGAGGCGCTGGGCGCATTAGGCGCTGACTGTATACCGACACCCCCCACCCCGGTGTGCGCAGGCCAACACCCATACACACCCTCACACACCCACACACATCCACACACACTCTCGCGGAAACTGAGCCAGGCAGGCGGCGGACCAGGTCCCGCCGCCTCACGGCTCGCGGCTGGGATCGAACCCGGACTGCGAGACGCCTTCCGCCTCGCAGGCGCTCCTCTGCCGCTGAGGCCCGGCCCGGCTCCCACCGCCGGAGTTTCACAAAGAAAGTCTCCCGGCCCGAGCCCCTCACGCACTCACCGGCGCCGACGCCGGCGGCGACTCTGGCTCCCGCCGCCTTCGGCTCCTTGCGGGGGTCGGCCCTTGGGTCGGCTCGGGCGCCGGCGGCGGCGACTGCTCCATCCCCACGGGGCCCGGGCCGCGTCCGCCTCGAGCTAACGGTCCCGCCAGCTAGGCGCGCGCGCCGGTTCCGCGCGCCATGTTCCCGCCGTGCTGCGCGCCGCCGCGGCGCCCCTCACTGCCCCCAAACCGCGCGCGCGCCCCCGCGGGCCCACACATGCACCGCGCACGCGCGCGTTCGCCGCGCCCCCTCCCCGCGCGCCCCGCCTCGCGCCCTCTGGAGCTGGCCGCTGTTCCCAGTGTCTCGCCCACCCCCGCCGGGCCCGTCGGACTCGGCGGGTGAGCGCGCGGTTCCCGGCTCCGCACCGCCGCCTGCCTCTCTGCAGACCACCCCGGACCCGACCCCTCGGCCATTTCCCCACACTGCCGCTTTCGCTTCCCCCACGACGCGGGGCCTGGGACGACGGTCTGGGCCAAGAGGAACTTCCCCGCAAGAAGTGTCGAGTTAAGGACGCTACTAAGGGGGCGGGATCGCCATCGTGGAGGTGTGCAAGCACGTGCCTGCGTCCCGGAGACAGCCAGACTCAACGGAGAAGCTGAGTTCAAGTCCCACATCTCCACTAACCCTTGCGTGTTAGGGTCAGGGCTTCGGGACTTGTTTCTCCTAAATCTTTTTTTTTTTTCTTTTTTGAGACGGAGTCTTGGTCTGTCACGCAGGCTGGAGTGCTGTGGCGCGATCTCAGCTCACTGCGAGCTCCGCCTCCCGGGTTCATGCCATTCTCCTGCCTCAGCCTCCCCAGTAGCTGGGACTACAGGCGCCGGCCACCACGCCCGGCTAATTTTTGTATTTTTAGTAGAGATGGGGTTTCACCATGTTAGCCAGGATGGTCTTTATCTCCTGACCTCGTGATCCTCCCGCCTCGGCCTCCCAAAGTGCTGAGATTACAGGTGTGAGCCACCGCGCACGGCCTGTTTCTCCTAAATATAAGGACTCAATATAATAATAAGAGAAAGCCTCAGCACCGCGCCTAGCACTTAGTAGGTAGTGATCAAGAGAGAAGACCTCTTAAGTGGTTTTAATGGTTAAGGACCACAGGTTCTCAAGAAAGGGAAATCTCAATTCAAGTCCCGCCTCCATCTCTTGAAAACTGAGAAACCTTGAACAAGTCACTCAGAGGAGCCAAAGATCCTTGATTTCTACATGTGCAAAAGGGGAGTGTGGCAGTAGCACTGCACAGGGTTGACTGAGCTTTCAGGGAGATGATGACTGTACGATCATGCCTCTCTTAATCACGGGATGGTTCTGAGAAATGCCTCCTTAGGTGATTGCGTCATTGTGCAAACAGCAAAGTGCATTTACACAAACCTTGTATAGCCTTGTATAGCCTACTACACACCTAGGCTGTATGGCGTAGCCTATTGCTCCTAGGCTACACACCTCTACAGCCTGATACTTTACTGAATATACTATAGGCAATTATAACACAATGTAAGTACTTGTGTACCTGAACATAGAGAAGGTACAGTAAGAATAGAGTATAAGAGATTTTAAAATGGTACTCTTGTATAGGGCACTTACCATGAAAGGAGCTTGCAGGACTGGAAGATGCTGTGGATGAGTCACTGAGTGTGAAGGCATAGGACCTTACTGTACACTACTGCAGACTTTATAAACACCATATGCTTAAGCTACACCAAAATATTTTAAAGCTTTTCAATAAATTAACCTTAGCTTACTGAAATTTATCTTTAAAAATTTTGCCAGTCGTGGTGTCTCACACCTGTAATCCCAGCACTTTGGGAGGCTGAGGCAGGCAGATCATTTGAGGTCAGGAGTTCGAGACCATCCTGGCCAAGGCGGTGAAACCCTCATCTCTACTAAAAATACAAAACTTAGCCAGGCATGGTGATGTGCACCTGTAATCCCAGCTACTCAGGAGACTGAGGCAGGAGAATCGCTTGAACCCAGGAGGCGGAGGTTGCAGTGAGCCAAGATCGTGCCATTGCACTCCAGCCCGGGCAATAACACGCATGGAGCTGTCATCTCCTGTGATAACAATGCCTTCTTCTTCCAAAATACTTCCTGAAGGACCTGCCTGAGGCTGTTTTATAGTTTACTATTTTTTAATGTAAGTAGAAGATATACATTCTAAAATTACGAAAAACACTACACCAGGGCTGGGCACAGTGTCTCATGCGGGTAATCCCAGCACTTTAGGAGGCTGAGGCGGGCAGATCATTTGAGGTCAGGAGTTTGAGACCAGCCTGGGCAGTGTGGTGAAACTCCATCTCTGCTAAAAATATGAAGATTAGCTGGGTGTGGGGGTGGGTGCCTGTATTCCCCGCAACTCAGGAGACTGGGGCAGAAGAATCGCTTCAACCTGGGAGGCAGAAGTTGCAGTGAGCCAAGATCGCGCCACTGCACTCCAGCCTGTGTGACAGAGCAAGACTCTGTCTTAAAAAAAAAAAAAACAGTAACATGTTGTTCATTATCAAGTATCTTATATTGTATGTAATTGTACATGCTATGCTTTTATAGAACTGGCAGCACAGATTTGTTTACACCAGCATCACCAGAAACACAGAAATGCGTTACCCTAACATTACAATGGCTACGTCACTAAGCAATAGGAATTTTTCAGCTCCATAATCATCTTATGGTACCACCGATTTACATGCGGTTTTTCATTGACTAAAATGTCATTATACAATACATGACTGCATATCCCAGGGCCCAATGCCTGACACACACAAAGCTGAGTTTCACTGGTGTAATTCCCACCCTATCCATCCAAGACTCCTAAAAGTTTAATGAAATGGACTCTGCTCCCAAACCCTGTAGTATAAGTAGCTGGGAGGAGTTTGCCCAACTTGGGGCTGCAAGGACTCTTTCTTCCCACATCTTTGCTTTCCTTTCTCTCCCCCAAACTTCTCTGAAAACCCTAAAGTTGGCAGAAAAATGGAAAATGTTTTCCCTACTAACAAAAAGAATCTTCGAGAGTCTCTTGGTATTTGTAAATGGTTGCATTTACTAGTCTGTTTTTTTTTGGTTTTTTTTTTTTGTTTTTGTTTTTGAGATGGAGTCTTGCTCTGTCACCCAGGCTGGAGTGCAGTGGCGCGATCTCGGCTCACTGCAACCTCTGCCTCCCAGGTGCAAGCGATTCTCCTGCCTCAGTCTCCTGAGTAGCTGGGATTAAAGGCATGCACCACCACACCCAGCTAATTTTTTTGTATTTTTGGTAGAGACGGGGTTTCACCATGTTGGTCAGGCTGATCTCAAACTCCTGACCTCGTGATCCACCTGCCTTGGCCTCCCAAAGTACTAGGATTACAGGCGTGAGCCACCGCGCCCAGCCTTCTAGTCTGGTATTTTTCTTATTCAAGTAACAAAGAAAAAAAAAAATAACTCCACCAAGAGTAAAACAGAAAAAAGGAACAAAACTGATAGCATGACTGAAAAGGCCTGGGGTGGCACCTCACTTCAGGCATAGCTGGATACAGGCACTTATACAAGATAAGTCTCTCTAATCTCTCAGTGCTTGCTTCCCTTTGATTACTTCATTCTCACGCAGTTCTTTCCACATAGTGGCCTGAGCAGCTCCTAAGTCACATCTCCCCAAGAAAGCAGAGGCTGTTCCCCAATAGTTCCAGCCAAAGTCCCAGGACTGACTTTCACTGGACCCATTTGGGCCACATGCTCCTGCCTCAGCCAATCACTACATCCAGCCTGGTCAGACCTGGCTTTCATGAAGCCCCTTCAGGAAGCGGTTGGGGTCATCCCCTCCAGAAGGACATGGGGAAAACCAGAAAGTGGGAAGAGGGATGCTTCCTTCTGAAAAATAGGGATGCAATTACCACAAGAGGTATCAGGTACAGGGCTGGCACAAACAAGAGCTATCCACGGCACCATCATGTAGGCATGCAGCAGGTCCACCATGAAGCAACCTGGCTGCTCTGCAAAACGGAGTCACAGTTAATTCAGCCAATGAGAAATATCCCTCTACCTGGGTTCCCACCATTCACCCCAGGCCTGGCACGTCCCAAATTTGCTTGGTCAAAGGCAAGCAAATTAACCACCTTTTATGCTGCACAAAAAGCTGAAAAGATTATCTTACTTCTCTGGCTTAAGAACTTTCTATGACTCCCTCTGGCTACTTATGTGGCTCCCCCACCCTTAATGATAGAAGCCAACATTCATGAATCCCTTACCACATGCCAGGTACTTTATGGACCTGCCTCCTCCAAACAGCGTAGAAGAGGTTGGTACTCTTACTGCACCCATTTTATAAATATGGAAACAAAGGCTCAGCAATTTGAGGTAATTTACCCAGAGCCAAAGTTAGGAAGTGCAGAGTTCGGATTAGCACAATATTGTTCTCGCCATTGCCATCCCAGCTCCATTTGTTCATGTTTCAAAGTCCTACACCCACCTCTAGCTGGGGGGCCAGTGGGAACAGCTCCACAGCAGAAGAAGCCTCTAGGAACCCCTTCAGCTTCTGCAGTGGTGGGGGTGGGGGGTAGGTGCAAAAGATGCTTAGCTTTACCATCCTCTCCCATAACTTTTTTTTTTTTTTTTTTGAGATGGATTCTCACTCTGTCACCCAGGCTGGAGTGCAGTGGTGTGATCTCAGCTCACTGCAACCTCTGCATCCTGGGTTCAAGTAATTCTCGTGCCACAGCCTCTGGAGTAGCTGGGATTACAGGTGCCCACCACCACGCCTGGCTAATTTTTGTATTTTTAGTAGAAATGGGGTTTCACTATGTTGGCCAGGCTAGTCTCAAACTCCTGACCTCAAGTGATCCACCCGCCTCAGCCTCCCAAAGTGCTGGGATTGCTAAGCCACCATGCCTGGCCCCATCTCCCATAACTTAATGGGATAGGGAAAAGAATTCCTCCAAGAGAAAATTAAGAGTGAGGTTAGGAGAGGAAGTAGTTGCTGGGTAGCTTTAAATCAGCAGCCGATTTCTCCCATTGGTGAGTCAATTAGTTTCCTATGGCCGCTGTAACAAATTACCACAAACTGATTGGCTTACAACAACACAGACTTAATATCTTATTGTTCTATAGGTCAGAAGCCTCAAATCAGTTTCACTTGGCTAAAGTCAAGTTGTAAAGGACTGATTCCTTCAGGAGGTTCTGAAGGGAAAACCCATTTTCTTGCCTTTTTCTGCTTTTAGTGGTTACCTATATTCCCTGGATTGTGGCCCTTTCCTCCATTTTTAAAGCACACCACTCCAGTCTCTGCACAGTGCTGTGGTTTGAATGTGTCCCCCAAAGTTCATGTGCTGGAAATTTAATCTCTAATGCAACAGTGTTGAGAGGTGGGACCTTTAAGAGGTGATTAGGTCATGAAAGATCTGCCCTCATTAATAGAGTAATGATGTTATCTCAGCAGAGGGTTAATTATCATGGGGGTGGGTTCCTAATAAAAGGATTGAGTTCAGCCCCCTTTCTCTCTTGATGTGATGCCTTCCATCATGGGATGACACAGCAAGAAGACCCTCACCAGAAGCAGGCCCCTTGATCTTGACCTTCCCAGCCTCCAGAACTGTAAGAAATAAACCTGTTCTTTATAAATTACCTAGTCTCAGATATCGTGTAGCAATACAAAAAAGACTAAGACACTCAGTCATCATCACAGTGCCATCTTCCCTGACTGCTGAGTCCCTCTTAAAAGAGCACTGTGGGCTGGATGTGATGGCTCATGCCTGTAATCCCAGCACTTTGGGAGGCCAAGGCGGGCAGATCACAAGGTCAGGAGTTCGAGACTAGCCTGACCAACATGGTGAAACCCCATCTCTACTGAAAAAACAAAAATTAGCTGGGCATGGTGGCGAGCACCTGTAATCCAGCTACTCGGGAGGCTTAAGCAGGAGAATCGCTTGAACCTTGGGAGGTGGAGTTGCAGTGAGCCGAGATTGCGCCATTGCACTCCAGCCTGGGCACCAAGAGCAAAAAACTCCGTCTCAAAAAAAAAAAAAAAAAAGCACTGTGATGGGACACTGGGCCCACAGGCAACATCGGATAAGCTCCCATCTCAAGATGCTTAATCACATCTGCAAAGTCCCTTTTGTCATGGAAAGGAACATAGTCAAAGATTCTGGGAATTAAGATGAGGACACTTTGGAGGGGCCATTATTCAGCCTACCATGGAAGATATCATGAGAGGGAGTTAATACAAAATGCTCTAGAAACAGAGAAAGGCAGCCAGGCACAGTAGCTCATGCCTCTAATCCCAGCATTTTGGGAGGGAGGCGGGTGGATTGCCTGAGGTCAGGGGTTCAAGACCAGCCTGACCAACATGGTGAAACCCCATCTCTACTAAAAATACAAAAATTAGCTGGGCATGGTGGCAGGTGCCTGTAATCCCAGCTACTCGGGAGGCTGAGGCAGGAGAATCACTTGAACCCAGGAGGCGGAGGTTACAGTGAGCCGAGATCACACCATTGCACTCCAGCCTGGGCGACAAGCATGAGACTTCATCTCAATTTAATAAAAAAAAGAAAAAAGAAAAAAAAAAAAAAGAAACAGAGAAAAGCTGGCTAACTCTCCACAGTGGGAAAAATGTCCCAGGAAACCACAGCCTCCACATTAAATATTCAAATGAGCTAAAACCCATCTAATTGGCAATCTCAGCCTCATTCCTTTAAACATGCAAACTACCTAAATTCCCATCAAACCCCCTACACCAGGCCAGCCAAGTCTCAAAATGCTTATATACCCTTTAATAGAAATTTCCAACCACCACCCCCATTTCCTAAGGAAATGGCTGTGTGCCCTTGACCCTGCCCTGACAGAATCGCCAGTGGCCTTTGAACCATGGCACTCAATTCATGGCATGGCCAGCGAGCTACAAAGTGTCCTAGCATCAACCAAGCAAAGTTATAAAAGCAGATTTAGTGGACAATAAGGAACATTAGTTTTAGAGTCAAAAAGACCTGGGTTGGGTCCCAGCTCTGCCATTTACCAGCTGTGCAACATCGGAAAAGTTACCTTCCTCTTCTAACTTTGGTTTCCTCACCTGTGACATGACAGTGGCTAGAGGACCTCACTCATAGAATCACTGTGATGACAAGAGCAGCCAAGGGTAAGTCTTTGCACAGGGCCTCCCTGGTCATTATTGGGTCAACAAGACATAACCACATGCCTTATCTCCACTTCCAAAACCCAAACAGCTCTCAAAAACAAGTCATTGTAGCTCATTTGGAAGAAAAGACTGATATGAACCAATATGCAACTACCTATAATCTTTCTCTATCCCTCTTACTGTGAATATTTGCTGTGGAAATATTAACATGTTTGGTCTCCACTGGGGTAGGACTCCACATGTGTAGGACTCCACTGGGGTGCTACACATACACATAGTAGATATGCCTTACCACCTTCCTAAAATTGGATAATTAAATTTCACAACTTATCTAGCCCAAAGGTTTCAGAGACGGTAGACCTGTATCTTTATGAGGGCGAGGATGAGAATATAACCTGGCCTGTTATCATGCACCAAGGTACCTGCTGTTCTCATGAAGATGTCTGCAGCCAGCCAGCCAGTCTCTACAAACTCCACCCCCAACCTCGCTATGCTCCCTTCCCTGGAACTTTCCAAGGGGCCCTTAGAATTTGTATTCAGCTCTCACAGGCTGAGACCAGGGTGACATCCTGGGAAACCTGCCTAGTGATAGCCAAGGTGTAGCTCCAGATGAAAGGCACACAACTTTAAATATAAAAAAGCCATTCAGGCTAGGCTCAGTGGCTCATGCGTGTAATCCCAGCACTTTAAGAGACTGAGGCAGACAGATCACCTGAGGTCAGAAGTTCAAGACCAGGCTGGCCAACATGGCAAAACCCTGTCTCTACAAAATATATAAAAATTAACAGGCATGGTGGTGCATACCTGTAATCCCAGCTACTCAGGAGGCTGAGGCACAAGAATCGCTTGAACCTGGGAAGCAGAGGTTGCAGTGAGCCAAGCCTGCACCACTGCACTTCATTCAGGCTGGGCAACAGAGTGAGACTCCATCTCAAATAAATAAATAATAAAGCCATTCAACTAAAGAACCGATTATCAAGCAGAAGCACAAAGCCCAGGTTCCATCAGGTTTTTAATTGTACATCAGTGACTGTGAAAAAGCAATTATTCCCATAATTAAAATACAAACTATAAAAAAACAGACTCAAAGAAAAGAAAGATGACAGAGTGAAAGAAGGTACATTTCTTTCGTGTTCAAACCACGGAGTTCACAACACAGCAGCACACACAGCTGGGCGCTTTGTGGTCTCGGCACCCTCGGCTTCCCCTTCACGGGGCCGCTTTCGACTAGTAGAAGGCTGAAAATAAAGGAAAATGGAGAAATGTTCAAAAGAAAATCACTGGCTTCTTTAAGATTATCAAAGTTCCTCAATATGCTTCCAGTAAAGTGGGGGCATTTGATGTGAAATTCTAGAACCAAAAATTACTGGTTGTCATCATTGACAACTGAGTCCTCACCACAGCCCCCAACTCAGACATGCTTATCTAATAGATATTTCTCTCCCTTATGGCTTCTGACCTCTGAACGATGTATACTGAAAGCAAGTAGCATAACCAACTTCCTCTTGATCGTCCTCTTCTAAATATCAAGTTTAAAAGGACTATAATACCTCTCAGTTGAAGCCCCAAGTCTTGGTCTTTTGCGGGAAGACAACCTTTGTGCCTTAGTTGTTTTCCCATATATAAAATTGGGAGGAAGGCTGGGTGCGGTGACTCACAGCTGTAATCCCAGCACTTTGGAAAGCCGAGGTGGGCAGGTCGCTTCAGGTCAAAAGTTCGAGACAAGCCTGACCAACATGGCAAAACCCCATCTCACCTAAAAATTCAAAAATTAGCTGGGCACAGTGGCGGACACCTGTAATCCCAGATACTCGGGAGACTGAGGCAGGAGAACTGCTTGAACCCAGGAGGCAGAGGTTGCAGTGAGCTGAGATTGCACCACTGCACTCCGGCCTGAGTGACAAACCAAGACTCTGTCTCAAGAAAAAAAAAATTGGGGGGAGGAAACAGTGGGAAAAAGGACAGCTACCATTCAACAACAACAACAACAACAAAAAAGCAGGACTGGAATTAACTTATACTCACAAAGAACTTTAAAGAATAAAATTGTAATCAAGGAATCAACTACTGACCCAAATTTTAATTTGTTCAACAAATTTATATTTGAGCCTCTAATAGAGTCTTTCGAAATTGCCTTGCAGGTGACCTTTTGGATGACAATCCCTAGCTGTGCTTATCGGTCTATTATGTGTTAGATATTAAACATATCCTGCATTTTTAAATCTAAGGGTGCTGGAGCGAATCAAGTTAAAACAGAGTTTCTACTACATTATAACTGAAACAATGTTAAGCAATTGCTACTCAGGAAAATCTTGAATTTCATCATCTTTGCTTATCAGCTCCTTAAGCCCAGACTACATTTAGTGATCATCAGGAATACGAATACCTGGGCTAGAACCTGGGGTAGAGCTGTGGATTCATTTTCCTCAGACAGAAGATCTTGAAACTTTCTCTTCATGTCTTCATCCTGTGAGGGAATTAAAAACATAAGTAGCTGTGTCTGAAGGATAATAAACTCCTAGAATGACAGGGCTAGCATGCCCCTGTGGAAAGAGGGAGGAAAAATGTCCGTCCAAGAATCATCCCCTTGATGAAGCTCCCACAGCGAAGGCATTATGTGTTGCCCGCCTCTACCTTCCCAGAGGAGTCTAATTAGCAGTCAATGCTCCATCAATCCTGGCTGACTCACATCCACATGCCTAAAAGCTCTCAGTGGGTCAATCACAGCCTCCAGCAGTCAAGAGTTTCTTAATTAGTATCCAAGATCCTGAGAAAGGTGGCAATCAGGAGGCCAGAGGCTGGGCCTGACTCCGTGCAGCTCCTCAAATCCTTCCCGGACCACTCTCCACCTGCTGCCCCTGCCATGAATGAGGCCAGTCACCCAGACTGTCCTAACAACCAGCCCAGCACCCTAGGAAAATTCACCCAGCAGATGCCATACAAATTTTCAGAAGTACTTAAGCCCACAGTATCCCAGAGCTCAGGTCTAATGAGAAAGGGAGACAATAAACAGAACCAAGTATTTTGTTTCTGCTGCAGGAGCGGGAGGTGAGGGGTTTCATGCTGCAGGAGCAGGAGATGAGGAGGGCACAGACAGTGTGTATGCGAGTAGCTCCCACCTCTCTGGATGCTCACTTCTGCAGGGTTCGAGGATTTGCATTAGGAAACCCTGAGAGGTGGTCTGGTGCAGCTCTCCCCATCTTCAGCAAGGTGAAAGGAACATCCATAACTAGGAATGTGGCCTTTGAGTGCTGGCCAGAAGCCCAGCTCAGCCACTCACAGGTGGCATGTGCAGAATACAGACCCAGAGTTATCTGATTCCAGTGCCTCATGTACTTTCCCACCCAACTCCAGCCCCTCCTCCCACTGAGCCAAGCATACCACAGTGGGGAAAGGGAGAGGATACAGTAAAGTCCTCCACCATTTGGCAATTTGATGGATATGGAAATTTTACAACACTAGGTTGGGCATGGTGGCTCATGCCTATAATCCCAGCACTTTGGGAGGCCAAGGTGGGAGAATTGCTTGAGGCCAGGAATTTGAGACCAGCCTGGGCAACATAGTGGGACTTCGTCACTACAAAAAAAATTAAAAATTAGGCCAGGCACGGAGGCTCACGCCTGTAATCCCAGCACTTTGGGAGGCCAAGGCAGGCGAATCGCCTGAGGTCGGAAGTTTGAGATCAGCCTGGCTAACATGGTGAAACCCCTTCTCTACTAAAAATACAAAATAAGCAGGGCATGGTAGTGCACGCCTGTAATCCCAGCTACTCAGGAGGCTGAGGCAGGAGAATCGCTTGAACTCAAGAGGCGGAGGTTGCAGTAAGCCAGGATCACACCACTGCACTCCAGCCTGGGCAAAAGAGTACAACACTGTCTCCAAAAAAAAAAAAAAAAAAATTTAAATTAGCCAGACATGGTGGCATGCACCTGTAGTCTCAGCTACTTGGGAGGCTGGGGCAGGAGGATCACTTGAGCCTGAAAGTCATGGTGCAGTGATCATGCCACTGCACTCCAGCCTAGGTGAGAGAGCAAGACCCTGAGGAAGGAAGAAAGGAAAGAAGCAAGGAAGGAAAAAGGGGAGGGGGGACGAAAGAAGGGAGGGGAAAGGAATGGAGGAGAGGGGAGGGGGAAGGAAGGAGGAAGAAAGAAAGAAGGAAAGAAGGACCAGGCACAGTGGCTCACGCCTGTAATCCCAGCACTTTGGGAGGCCAAGGCAGGGCAGATCACTTGAGGTCACTCTGTTTTGAGTTTCTCAGTGTAGCTCCCCATTGCCATTTGACAGCAGCAAGCTCATCTGGATTCTACTCCGCACCCTCTCACGGCCTTACTTAGGATCTCAATTATCTTGCAGTGTCACTCTCAAAAGTCCATCTCTTGGCAGCCCTTCAGTGAAGCCAAACAGAGTGGTCACAAGCCTAATCAGGCCTGTATTTAAAACAAGTAATCAGGTCAGGCACAGTGGCTCATGCCTGGAATCCCAGCACTTTGGGAGGCCAAGGTGGGTAGATAACCTGAGGTCAGGAGTTCGAGACCAGTCTGACCAACATGGTGAAACCCCATCTCTACTAAAAATACAAAAATGAGCTGGGATGGTGGCAGGCACCTGTAATCCCAGCCACTTGGGAGGCTGATGCAGGAGAATCACTTGAACCCAGAGGTAGAGGTTGCAGTGAGCTGAGATCACACCATTGCACTCCAGCCTGGTAGACAAAAGCAAGACTCCATCTCAAAAAAGGAAATAAATAAATAAACATTGATTTTCTTCATGATGTCTACAATTATTCCAAAATATTAAATTAGCCAGGAACAGTGGCTCGTGCCTATTATCCAAGCACTTTGTGAGGCTGAGGCGGGAGGATCCCTTAAGGCCAGGAGATCAAGGCTGCAGTGAGCTATAATTGCACCAGTGCACTCCAGTTTAGGCAACAGAAGAAGACCTTGTCTCCAACAGTAAATAAAATAAAAATTAAATTGTAATATCCCTTGAAAGTAAACAGAAGAAATCCTCTATTTCAGGCAGTAAATATGAGGCAGAGAGTAGATGTAAGGGATGCTCCCAAAACTGGGCACTCTGTTAATGACAAAACAGAGACCAGAATCCACATTCCCAACACTCAGTTCAGCGACAGACCCACAAAACCATTTGGTTTTTTCAAAAACACTGAATTTTCCCAAAATAAAACCCAAACTATCACTAACAGATGTTTTAGATGGTCAGTCTTCATCCTTGTCTTCATTCAATGCTCATTCCTCCTTTCACTGCAAAAACAAAAGGTGGCTAAAAGAGTATTCCAGGGAGATCCTGCAACAGAGTTGAACTTCACCTTCTCCTTGGTTGTTAATAAGTTTTCTTTGACACAAAAAAGTACAAGAAAGATAGGCTATGCTTGCTCATAAATTTCAGGCAGATGCAAACCCTGTTCCCAGGCTCAACTGGCCAGCTCTATTTTTTGTTAGAGATGAACACAGCTCCTGTACCTCTACATTTAGACCCAAGAGTTTCCCTATTAGGACACATGAAAAGAGCCAAAAGACATGTTTCTCTTTTTCATCAAAATTAAAATCCCCACATGCAAAGGCACCCTTTGTTTCCAAACCCCTTTCCTCCAGGGTCCCACTGTTTCAAATCTGTGTGGTCTATTAAATGCTAAATCATCTGACAGATTTCTTCTGGGGAGACTGTAGTTTCCAGGGCAACATCCAAACACATATATGTCTTTTTTTGTTTGTTTGTTTGTTTGTTTTAAGTTTTTGTTGTTCTCAACCTGAGCTGGCCTGAGCAAAACTGTTAGGTGTAGAGGATTGGAACAGAGAACAGGGACAGTCTTCCCAGAGTCCCAGAAGTACGGGTCGGAGGCTGGACTGCCCAAGGAGTTCCTGGACCAGTAATCCCCAGAGAAACAGCATTTAGCTCAAGTAACAGCCTCTAGCTCAAGCTACCAGTTCTGTCCCCCATCTCCACAGAAAACGGATTGATACAGTTTGGCTTTGTGTCCCTACCCAAATCTCATCTCAAATTGTAATCCCCAGGTGTTGAGAAAGGGACCTGTTGAGAGGTGATTGGCTCATGGGGGCAGTTTCCCCCAGGCTATTCTCGTGATAGTGAGTGAGTTCTCACCAGATCTGACAGTTTCATAAGAGGATCTTCGCCCTTCACTTCCTTCACAAGCTCTCTCACCTGCTGCCATTAAGACATGCCTTCTTCCCCTTCCACCATGATTATAAGTTTCCTGAGGCCTCCCCAGCCATGTGCAGCTGTGAGTCAGTTAAACCTCTTTTCTTTGTAAATTACCCAGTCTTGGGCAGTTCTTTATAGCAGTGTGAGAACAGACTAATACACAAACCAAAAAAAAATTCATAGAAAGGGGCATGTCTGTGCTGAATGGAACTGCTCATTACAGAAGACCAGACATCTATCAGAAAAACCTGCCCAATGCCGTGGCTAATTCTAAAACTAAAGATTAACCCAGCAAAGCCACAACATACTTCCAACTCTTGGCAGTTCCAGATGAGGTCAGCATTTAAAAATGGCAGCCCCAACCCCTAGCAGGAGCACAGCGGTAATACAGATGAAAAGTGCAGGTGACAGCCTTCATTAAGGACACATTTACTCACCTGAATGAACAAGCAGTGGGACCCTTTATACCCAGTCACTTGGGCTTGAGAAATAGCTGGATTCTCCCCAGGGAGGCTGTCCTCCTCCCCCTCCCCCACTTCCCTGATTTAAGGTTGAAGATGGCTGGAATGCACCCCACCTATGAAGAGCAGTGGACATGGCTGGGGGTAGAGCCAGAACAAGCACTCAAAAGAACACAGGCCAAACAGGAGACTCGGGGCAGCCAAGTGGAACCAGAACAGGACATAAAGTGAGCGTGTACATCCAACAGCCATGAGTAATATCAAAAAGGTTGTAGCCTGGCCAGCACGGCGAAACCCCATCTCTACAAAAAATACAAAAAGTAGCTGGGCATGGCAGCATGCACCTGTAATCCCAGCTACTTGGGAGGCTGAGGCAGGAGAATCACTTGAACCCGGGGGCCAGAGGTTGCAGTGAGCTGAGATCGTGCCACTGCACTCCAGCCAGGGTGACAGAACAAGAACCTGTCTCAAAAAAAAAAATAAAACAGGTTGTAACCCATCCTCCAAGATACCCCCCATACATCTAAAACAATTAGATTAAACACTCAACAAAGTAAACATGTTTCTGTCCTCTGTCTCATGTCTCTCAGGCAGCAGGGCTTCCCATGTATTTTATGCTAGCAGGCACTGTCCCACACCCACCTGAAGCCACGGGTGTCTTAAGGCTTCTTCTGTCGTAAAACGTGCCTTTGGATCCACTACCAACAACTTCTTGACAAGGTCCAGAGCTAAAGCAACAATTGGGCAAATCACAGTGAAAAGGATAAATATATTATCAGTAAGAGTATGCCAGAATTAACAGGCCACCATTCAGAAAGAGCAGAGAGGGTCTGAGATCATCACGGAGTCAGCAGACAGGGCCCCCTAATCTTCCTCACTCTCTGTATTCAGAGTACTGTGAGAAGACCAGGAATGATAATGACACTCCCTGTCTCCTGCTGCTGGGACGTCAGTCACGACCTCTTCACTGCCTGTTCCCTCTCTTGTTGCTAGACTCAAGGTCGGACTAATTAAAGCTAAACTTCTACCCAATTCTAAGATACTTGGGATGCACAGCAAACTCTCTCTGACATCTACAGATGGATAGGTGACAGTTACTCAGCGAGGGAGAGGCTCCCTGGAACTGCAGACTTGTCAGAAATAAAACTTGGCTACTCCAGCAAGCAACAAATGCACGCTGGCCTGTATATTACAACATTATTATTCCTTAAATATTCTGACATTTAACACAATCACCTATGTTATGTTATTTGACATTTAATTTTCTACTTTCTCTTCAGGGAACTAAAGTTGCCAGGATAAATTATAAAATACAAGGTAACTAATGACATCTAGTTTTTACATGCTTGCTTACTCAAAGGAAACCTTGTAACTAAAAAGTTACAAGTGCATTTATTTTGCTCACTAAAATAGGTACCAGGCACTTGTGTACATGATACTTAACCCTCACAAAAACCTTTTAAGGTAGGGTTTATTGAGGGTCCCTTTACACAGAAAGAAATTGGAGATGGAGGTTAAATAACTTGCCTAAGGCCACACAGCTAAGTAGTAGCAGACCCAGGACCTGAGTGCATGCTCTTAATAATTTCCAGTGCCTCTCAAATGGTGTGAAACTAACAATAGAAAATAAGAACAGAATTGACAGGAGAAAACACCATGGAATTTGGGAAGAAACTCCCACCACAGCACATACACATTTTAGCATACCACAAATTCTTAACCCTTTCATATTCATACCTTTCTCTGAGACTTCTGCCCAGACTTCAGGAATGAAGTTGTATTTTCCACTGGTGATCTGATCCTTCAGTGACACTTGAGTCCTATGCTCAGAGAAAGGTGGATACCCACTAAGGCTTAATATTGGTAGAGAGAGAAAGGAAAAGAAATCAAGTGGCATTCTCAGTGGCATTCAGATATAAAGATTTCTTTTTCAGCATAATGAAAAGTCAGATTTTTCTTTAAATCAATGGTCAAAAAGTGAGCTAGGCTGGGCACAATGCCTTAGGCTTGTAATCCCAGCACTTTGGGAGGCCGAGGCAGGAGGATCACTTGAGCCCAGGAGTTCGAGACCAGCCTGGGCAACATGGCAAAACCCCATCACTACAAAAAATAGAAAAATTAGCTGGGCATGGTGGTGTGCATCTGTAGTCCCAGCTACTCGGGAGGCTGAGGTGGGAGGATCACTTGACCCAGGAGGCAGAGGCTACAGTTAGCCAAGATCAAGCCACTGCATGCCAGCCTGGACAACAGAGCAAGACACATTTGTGACTTCATCTAATCACCTCCTACCAGTCTGTGCAGCAATGAAAATATTTCTTACCAGATAAAAAGAATAACTCCTAAACTCCAGCAGTCCACAGCACGGTTATACCCAGCAGTCCCAACAGAAACAAGAACTTCAGGCGCCAAGTAGGTGGGGGTTCCACATAAGGTTCTCATGAGAGAGGTCTCTCCCAAAATCTTGGAGTGCCCAAAATCAGTAATCTAAAATTCAGTACAAAAGGGAATAATGTTGAACTTGCCATAAAATAAAAAGATTAACATAGTCTGCCAGTCCAAGAAGACACGTAGGCTAGATCAGTTTCTATTGTACAATTCACACCTGCCATTAATCTGGAATTTACAGATTCATGTCTTTGCAAGTTAGGACATTTAATTTTGCTTAAATTAAAATTCCTGAGCCTAGGAATCTCAACACTCAGGCTTTCCAACTTAACCTATGTCCTCTGTAATCTTACAAAAAGCTTATTATCTTTATCACAGACACTTCAGGATTCTAATTAGTTCTACATGGTTCTTAGACCCCAGTGTCTCAAACTTGGCTGCGCTATGGAATACCTGGGGAGCTTGGAAACACATGCTTATACCTGAGTGCCACTCTCAGCTTCTGAGGTAAAGCCTGGGTGTCATAAATCCTAACAAGAGATTCTAAAGTGATGCCAGACTTGAGAAACAGGGAAAGGCAGCGCATGTGATTACTCATTCATTCATTCACCTATTCTGAGATGATGTCTGGCCCTTTTGCACAGGCTGGAGTGCAGTGGTGCGATCTCAGCTCACTGCAACTTCTGCCTCCCAGGTTCAAGTGATTCTCGTGTCTCAGCCTCCCAAGTAGCTGGGATTACAGACACCCACCACCATGCCCAGCTAAATTTTTGTATTTTTTGCCATGTTGGCCAGGTTGGTCTCAAACTCCTGACCTCAGGTGATCTGCCCACCTCGGCCTCCCAAAGTGCTGGGATTACAGGTGTGAGCCACCATACCCAGCCCACTCGTCCATTTAGACCCCTCCTCTCTCTCTAAGCACAAAGGTCACTTGTACACAACAGAGCTCAATAAATGCTCATTCGAATCTGGATAAGAGCAGTATCACCTGATCTCTAAAATAATTGGTAACAGTGAAAGGGTCAGATTCTCATCCTTTTTACGCTCCCACTTTTTATTTGAGGAATTAAAAGTTTCTGAACAAGAATCTACAGGAATAGCCACATACAGAATGCCAATTTCTTACCTTTATAAGACAGTCCTCTTCTTGAGATGACAGTAAAACATTCTCTGGCTTTAAGTCACGGTGTATAATACCGTTTTCATGAAGGTACTACACAGAAAGGCAGGCATGACCCTCAGATTCATGCAGTAGATACTTAAGTAGAATCAAAGTTACCAACACACACATCTCACAGCTGGGTGAAACCGTAAGCCGTGATACACACAACCATATTCTCCAAAATCATAGAAAACTGTTGGGGTAAAGTTTACAAATTTGTTTGAGAAGATCTTTAAAAAGCAGGGAAATGAAAAAAGCAACTTAGAACAATTAACCTTTCATTTCACTTTAAGATAATAAACAACTCTTCACACAGCAGAAATGTAAGGTGTCAATTTCAATAAAAATTCAAATGGGTAACAGAAAATGTTTTGAGAACATACCAAATAAACACAAAAATTCCACCAAAATGATATATTTGGTTATTGCAGTCCTGAGAATATTTTTAAAGGGAACCTATACAAATATATATTTGTAAATATCTATTTATGTGATACAAATATATATCTGTTTATGTGAGTTAACCTATTCCTCAATGCAAAGACTTTGTCTTTGAAAAAACTATTGTCTGAAATAGCATATAAAAATGAACAAACACCAACATACTATGCCATATTTCTTTTCTTTTCTTTTCTCTTTTTTTTTTTTCTTGAAACAAGGTCTCACTCTGTCCCCCAGGCTGAAGTGCAGTGGCACCATCTTAGCTCACTACAGCCTCAACCTCCTCAGCTCAAGTGATCCTCCCACCTCAGCCTCATGAGTAGCTAGGACCATAGGCACAAAGCATGCCACTTCAACCAGCTAACTTCTTTATTTTTTTGTAGAGACGGGATCTCACAATGTTGCCCAAGCTGGTCTGGAACTCTTGGGCTAAAGTGACCTTCCCACCTCAGCCTCCCAAAGTGCTGGGATTACAGGCATCAGCCACCCTGCCTGGCCATATTTTTTTAGGAAACAAAATTTTCACATATCCACAAACTGTACTCAATTCATGTTAATATTCTTGGTTACTCAATATAAATAAATGGAATAAACCAATAAGGGAGCAATACACTGAGTAGGTGACAGCTACCATTAAAAAGGGCTTGCGTTGTACCCCATAAACATGTACACCTACTATGTGCCCACAAAAATTAAAATTAAAATTAAATTTTTTTTTTAAAAAGGCTTGTGGGCGGGCACGGTGGCTCATGCCTGTAATCCTAGCACTTTGGGAGCTCAAGGCAGGCGGATAGTTTGAGGTCAGGAGTTTCAGAACAGCCTGGCCAACATGGTGAAACCCTATCTTTACTAAAAAAAAAAAAAAAAAAATTAGCTGGACATGGTGGCAGGCACCTGTAATCCCAGCTACTGGGTAGGCTGAGGCAGGAGAATCACTTGAACCCGAGGTGGAGGTTGTAGTGAGCCGAGATCGTGCCATTGGACTCCAGCCTGGGCGACACAGTGAGACATCATCTCAAAAAAAATAAACAAATAAAAATAAATTTAAAAGGCTTGTGTTTATGGGCTTCAATCTTCTCTGGATGTCCCTCTGGGTTAGAACAAAAATTTTTTGCAAAATCTTTACTGGGAAATGGATCTGGTGAAACCTCCAGGGAGGGCAAACCTAGGTAGATCAATCATAAAAAAATTTCTCTCGATCCTCACTCTGTACAAGGATTGCTCCCAATCACTGCATTTCCTGCAAGGAGTGGGTTTTCAAGAAGAGACTGGAAGGGAATGGCCACAACCACATTTGGTCTGGGAAATGGTGATGTTCCTCAAAGCAAGTGCCACCAGCTATTCTTTCATCTAACACCTACTGAATAGAGATGGCTATGTGCATTCCCTGCCGGCCCGCCCACTGCAGCGAACAGGATGCTGCACCTGAAGGGAAACACCTAGTTCTGAGCCATGGGGGACCAACCCATCTGTCACAATCATCACAACTTGCAGCTCTGCCCTCAAACCTGCCCAGCTCCCACTCTGAGTTAAGAGAGACTTCTACAAGGATCAAGCAGAACTAAAGAACTAATGATCAAGACCCCTCCAGAAATACCTCCAAGCTAAAGATAGGCGACATAGGGCCATGTTATCTCTTTTTTTAAAGACAGAGCATCATTCTGTTGCCTAGACTGGAGCGCAGTGGCATGACTGTGGCTCACTGTAGCCTCAACCTCCCAGGCTCAAGCCGTCCTCCCAACTCAGCCTCCAGAGTGGCTAAGACCACAGGTGCCCGCCACCATGCCTGGCTATTTTTATTTTTTGTAGAGATGGGGGTCCCATTATATTGCCCAGGCTGGTCTTAAACTCTTGGGCTCAAGTGATCCTCCTGCCTTGGCCTCTCAAAGTGCTGGGACTACAGGCGTGAGCCACTATGCCTGGTCTATTTATTTCTTTAATTCCCTTTCTTACTTTCTCTTAAGCTACACAGTGAGAGCTTTTTCTTTTTTTTTTTTTTTTTTTTTTGAGATGGAGTCTCACTCTGTCCCCAGGCTGGAGCACAGTGGCATGATCTCAGCACACTGCAACCTCCACCTCCCAGTTCAAGTGATTCTCCTGCCTCAGCCTCCCGAGTAGCTGGGACTACAGGCACGCAACACTACACCCAGCTAATTTTTGTATTTTTAGTAGAGATGGGGTTTCACTATGTTGGTCAGGATGGTTTTGATCTCTTGACCTCGTGATCCGCCCGCTTGGCCTCCCAAAATGCTGGGATTATGGGCATGAACCACCGCGCCTCGCCAGTGAGAGCTTTTTCATCTCAGTGAAAGGAGTAGGACATTTTTGCCAAGAAGAGAACAGCAAACACACAGATTCTCTTCTGAGTTTTAATCCACGGTCCCTCGATTTCTGCCTAATTCAGGGAGTAATTCAACTAAAAGAAAGGCAGCTGTCAAAAGAATTGAGGGCTTCTTTTACCTGCACAGCCAAGAGCATCTGGTAAAAATAGAGCTTGCAGGTAGCTTCTTTCAGGCGTTTATTCCCCACCACTTTGTCAAACAGCTCTCCCCCTTCCATCCTGAAACACAAAGGCAAGGCAAGGGGTTCATTCCTGGGGGAAAACGCACTTGGACAGAAGACAATAAAACAACAAAACAAATTCATTAAGACAAGCAAACAGTTGACATTTTTATTCACTTTTGACTCTCATTTTTAAAACTAATAAGGTTTATTCACAATCAGATGTCCCAGTTGGAAACTAAGGAATGAGATGAAAGGATTGGGCATTGGAGGCACCTGGGGAACTTTAAAAAATCCAATTCAGTAGCTTGGAAGTGGGGCCCAGGAGTTGCTTTTTTTTTTTTTTTTTTGAGACAGAGCCTCGCTCTGTCACCCAGGTTGGAGTGCAGTGGTGCGATCTTGGCTCACTGCAACCTCCGCTTCCCAGGTTCAAGTGATTCTCATGCCTTAGCCTCCCAAGTAGCTGGGATTACAGGTATGCACCACCATGCCCGGCTAATTGTTGTATTTTTTTTAGTAGAGACAAGGTTTTGCCATGTTGGCCAGGTTGGTCTCAAATTCCTGGCCTCAAGTGATCTGCCCACTTTGCCCTCCCAAAAGTGCTGGGATTACAGGCATAAGCCACCGCACCCAGTCAGGAGTTTGCATTTTTATCACACACCACAGATGATTCTGAGACTGATGTAGAAGAGCAAACAGAATTTTACAAACAGACAACCAGGATCTGAACCCTAACTCTACCATTTCCCAGCTTTTGGACTTTGGGAAAGCTATTTAACCTCTCTCAGCTTGTTTCTACCACTTAAAAAATGGGGATGATACCATCTACCTTGATGGTTGTTATAAAAATTAAGAGATGGCTGATGTAGGAAAAGCTCCTGGCACAGGTGCTTGGCAAGGTTATTCCTTTATTTATTTATTTATTTTGAGACAGAGTTTCGCTCTTATTGCCCAGGCTGGAATGCAATGGCGCAATCTTGGCTCACCGCAACCTCCACCTCCCAGGTTCAAGCGATTCTCCTGCCTCAGCCTCCCAAGTAGCTGGGATTACAGGCATTCACCATCATGCCCGGCTAATTTTGTATTTTTAGTAGAGATGCGGTTTCTCCATGTTGGTCAGGCTGGTCTCGAACTCCTGACCTCAGGTGATCTGCTCCCCTCGGCCTCTCAAAGTGCTGGGATTACAGGCGTGAGCCACCGTGCCCGGCTCTGTATTATCACTTTTATTAACTGTGTTAACTGGATTCAGTCAGGTAACAATCTCCTATTTGATAGCAGCAGATCCACAAGGGGCTCCAGGCTCTCCCAGTGCTGTGATCAGGGGTGATCAGGGGTGTTTTTACCATAGTCTTTTTTCTTTTTTCTTATGTTTTTTGAGACAGTCTTGCTCTGTCCATCACGGCTCACTACAACCTCCGCCTCCCAGGTTCAAGCGATTCTCCACGCCTCAGCCACCCAAGGAGCTGGGACTACAAGCACATGCCACCATGCCTGGCTAATTTTTGTATTTTTAGTAGAGACGGGGTTTTGCCATGTTGGCCAGGCTGGTCTTGAACTCCTGGCCTCAAGGGATCCGCCCACCTCAGCCTCTCAAAGTCCTGGGATTACAGGTGTGAGCCACCACACCCAGCCTGTTGTCTATACAGTCTTAATGATCACCCTGCATAGATACGATTTGCCAACCAGGAGCAAAGCATTCTGTGCCTGCCACAATAGCTGCTCCCAGAAACACTTAATATTTATGCAGGAGCAGATATCAAGACAGGCATCTTCCAGAAATGAGACAGGAAGTTATTCTGATTACACCAAATAACACAAGACATTATCGCCACTGAAATAAACTACCAAGACACTGAAAGATACTCAGGTGCCACCATGCAACCTGGTCCTGGATTGAAAGGACCCGCATAGAAAGTCCTACCCAGGTAGATATTTCAGAGTAGAGCTGTCCCTCAGTATCCATGGGGAATTGGTTCCAGGAGCTCTCTCAGAGACCAAAATCCATTATGCTCAAGCCCTTTATATAAAATGGCGTAAGATTTGCATATAATCTATGTATATCATCCCATATACTATTTTTTTTTTTTTTGAGGCAGAGTCTCACTCCCATTGTCCAGGCTGGAGTGCAGTGGCACAATCTCAGCTCATTACAGCCTTGACTTCCCAAGCTCAGGTGATCCTCCCACCTCAGCCTCCTAAATCACAGGGATTCCAGGCACGTGCCACTATGCCCGGCTAATTTTGTGTGTGTGTGTCTGTGTGTGTGTGTGTGTGTGTGTGTGTGTGTGTGTGTTTTGTACAGATGGGGTTTCACCATATTGCCCAGGCTGTATCCTGTATACTTTCTTTCTCTATTTTTTTTTTTTTAATTTTTTTTGAAACGGAGTCTCGCTCTGTCACCCAGGCTGGAATGCAGTGGCGCGATCTCAGCTCATTGCAAGCTCCGCCTCCTGGGTTCACGCCATTCTCCTGCCTCAGCCTCCCGAGTAGCTGGGACTACAGGAGCCCACCACCACACCCAGCTAATTTTTTGTATTTTTAGTAGAGACAGGGTTTCACCGTGTTAGCCAGGATGGCCTCGATCTCCTGACCTTGTGATCCGCCCGCCTTGGCCTCCCTAAGTGCTGGGATTACAGATGTGAGCCACTGCGCCCGGCCTTTTTTTTTTTTTTTTTTTAATTTTTTGATATGGAGTCTCACTCTGTGGCCCAGGCTGGAGTACAGTGGCACAATCTCAGCTCACTGCAACCTCTGCCTCCCGGGTTCAAGCTATTCTCCTGCTTCAGCCTCCTGAGTAGCTGAAGTAACAGGTGTGCGCCACCACACTCGGCTAATTTTTGTATTTTTAGTAGAGATGGGGTTTCATCATGTTGGCCAGGCTGGTCTCGAACTCCTGACCTCAGGTGATCCACCCACCTCGGCCTCCCAAAGTGCTGGGATTACAGGCGTAAGCCACTGCACCTGGCCCTGGATACTTTAAATAATCTCTAAAATACTTACAAAACCTAATACAATGTAAATGTTATGTAAATAGTGGTTCTACAGTACTGTTTAGAAAATAATAACAAGAAAAATGTTTGTTCATGTTTGGTACAGATACAACCATCCATTTTATTTTTCTAAGTATTTTCGATCTGAGGTTGGTTGAATACACGGATGTAAAAACCCACAGTTATGGTGAGCCAATTATAACAATATTGCCCCATGGTGAGTACACACATGTGCCAGGTGCTCTGCTGGGGGATTTCCATCCCTCATAGCATTTAATTCATACAAGGACTCTGCATGTGGGGGTTCATTATAATCCCCATTTAACACTATGAAGATGAGACTCAGAAAAGTGAGTTAAACTGACCCATGGGTGGTCAGCTAGTCAACTGCAGAGTGGAGTTCAAGTCCTGATCATAGATCCAGGACCTGGAATCCCATACCACCTATTTTTGGAAACATTGGAGGGTTTTTTGGGTTGATATTAACCCCCTATACACAGACTTTGTGGGCCCCACTACTACATACATACGTTGAGGCCCCCCAGGATGAGAAAGGCAAGCCTACATTAGATTCTTTGGTGGCTTTATAAAGCATTTGAATGGAAACAGAAATTTTTAAAAAGTTTACTACTTACAATTCCAAAACAATATAATAATCTTCTGCATCAAAAAAGTTTTTAATCTTGATGATGCAAGGCTAAGAAGAGGGGGAGAAAAAAGGGAAAGTAGTGAGAAACTCCCAAGAGGAAAACCACAAGAGCTTAGAACATCTGCCCAGAGGGACAGGGAGGCCAAGAACAGGCATCTGGCCCCCTGCCTCAGAGGCTTGGAAGTTCAATCAGGGGAGAAGGCAGACAGAATCTAGCCAACTCCTCAGTGAGAACATGCAAGAAATTTTCCACCCCACCATGATGGTGAGAGACTAGTTCATATTTCATATGCAAGGATGCTACCTGGGAATGAAGGCTAGGTCTCTTCCCAGTCTTCTTCCTCACTACCCCAGAGCAGAGGTACTCAAGGACAGCCTAAGGAACCCTGAGGGAGACTGACAAGTAGCATGAATAAAAGCTGTCAAGTAGGAGCCCAGCCATGCTGCCAAACAAGGGTTATTTAAGCTCTGGGCAACTGGAACCTCCAGGCAATTGGACCCCATGGAACAAGATCCTACCATTTTTCAAAGGAAGAGGAAAATTCTAATTTTATAAGAACTCTAAAACACACTTGGGTCGGGGGCAGAGAGAGAGACAGACAGACACACACACACACACACACACACACACACACACACACACACCTATGGCTGATAGTTCATGACCACTGATCAATGCAGGGTGCATGGAGAACACTGAGGGTAAGGAAGAGAATACTGCACATTTTAAAATGCCTATACAATATCATGACTTCATACTTAGCACACCTATTTTTTTTTTAATTTTTCTTTCTTTTTTTTTTATTTTGAGACAGTCTCATTTTCTTTTTTTGAGACAGAGTCTCACTTTGTCGCTCAGGCTTAAGTGCAGTGGCATGATCTCAGCTCACTGCAACCTCCGCCTCCCGGGTTCAAGCTATTCTCCTGCCTCAGCCTCCTGAGTAGCTGGGACTACAGGCGTGCACCACCACACCCAGCTAATTTTTGTATTTTTAGTAGAGAGAGGGTTTCACCATGTTGGCCAGGTTCGTCTTGAACTCCTGGCCTCAAGTGATCCACCCACCTCAGCCTCCCAAAGTGTTGGGATTACAGCAGTGAGCCACCACGCCCGGTGGGCACACCTATTGTTTTTACGATACAGAAGTCAGAAGACAGTTAAGCTCAGTGGGTAAATAAAAGATTTGGTGAGTATTCATCAGGGACATACACCCCAGCACATTGGAGGACTGTAGTTATATCAGAATTAAAAAGAAAAGAGTCATCAGATTTTTTGGTTTTAGATTCAAAAGAGTGGTAAAACTTGCCAGATTGATCTTCCCATAATGTGTATTTCATCATATTCATCACTCATCACTCTGATTAAGATCATCCAATGGAACCTTCCCACAATGAATTGTTATATAGCAATGAATGAATGCCCAGTTTTCCCACCATAGATGGGTCTTGGAAGCATAATGCTGAATGAAAAAGCCAAGTCAGAAAAGACTTCAAAGAGTATGATACAAGTTGAGCATCCCACATACAAAAATACAAAATCTGAATACTCCCAAAATCCAAATCTTTTTTTTTTTTTTTTTTGAGACGGAGTCTTGCGCTGTCACCCAGGCTGGAGTGCGGTGGCGAGATCTCGGCTCACTGCAAGCTCTGCCTCCCGGGTTCACGCCATTCTCCTGCCTCAGCCTCCCGAGTAGTTGGGATTATGAGTGCCTGCCACTGCACCCGGCTAATTTTTGTATTTTTAGTAGAGACTTGGTTTCACCATCTTGGCTGGGCCAGTCTTGAACTCCTGACCTCGTGATCCACCCGCCTCAGCCTCCCAAAGTGTTGGGATTACAGGTGTGAGCCACTGCACCCGGCCCAAAATCTTTTTGAGAGCTGACACAACACTCAAAGGAAATACTCATTGGAGCATTTTGGATTTCAGATTTTTGGATCTGGAATATTCAACCAGGAAGTACAATGCAAATGTTCCAAAATCCAAAAAGATTCAAGACCCAAAAACCTCTGGTCCCAGGCGTTTTGGATAAGGGACACTCAATCTGTATCATTTTTATAAGATTCAGAAACAAGCAGTAAAACTATATTATTTAGGGATACACATATATGTGGCTTTAAAAAAGCAAGGGGCCGGGCGCAGTGGCACATGCCTGTAATCCCAGCACTTTAGGAGGCCAAGGCAAGTGGATCACCTGAGGTCAGGAGTTCGTGACCAGCCTGACTAACATGGTGAAACCCTGTCTCTACTAAATACAAAAAAATTAGCTGGGCGTGGTGGTGCATGCCTGTAATCCGAGCTACTTGGGAGGCTGAGACAGGAGAATCGCTTGTACCTGGGAATCGCTTGAACCCGGGAGGCAGAGTTTGCAGTGAGCCTAAATCGCGCCATGGCACTCTAGCCTGGGCAACAAGAGTGAAACTCCGTCTCAAAAAACTAAACTAAACTAAACTAAAAACTAAACTAAACTAAACTAAACTAAACTAAAGCAAGGGACAGGCCAGGCACAGTGGCTCACGCCTGTAATCCCAGCCCTTTGGGAGGCTGAAGCGGGCAGATCACCAGGTCAAGAGATCAAGACCACCCTGGCCAACATGGTGAAACCCTGTCTCTACTAAAAATACAAAAATTATCTGAATTAGCTGAGTGTGGTAGCACGAACCTGTAGTCCCAGCTGCTCAGGAGGCTGAGGCAGGAGAACCACCTGAACCCGGGAGGGAGAGGTTGCACTAAGCCGAGATCACACCAGTGTGCTCTAGCCTGGCAACAGAGCAACACTCCAGCTCACACACACACACACACACACACACACACACAAAGGGACAGTACACACAGCATTCAAGGTAATGGCATTACCTCTGGGTAGGATGGGGAAAACATAAACAGGTAGCTCGAGTCATGTGGTCAGGTTTTTTGTGTGTTTTTTGTTTTGTTTTGCTTTTGTTTTTGAGACAGGGTCTCACTCTGCTGCCCAGGCTGAAGTGCAATGGGGTGATCATGGCTCACTGCAGTCTCAACCTTCTGGGCTCAAGCAATCCTCCCACCTCAGCTTCCCAAAGTGCTGGGATTATAGGCATGAGCCACCATGCACGGCTGTAAAAAGTACCTTTTAAAGGAGAATAAAGCCAGGAGCAGTGGCTCACGTCTGTAATCCCAGCACTTTGGGAGGCCAAGGCAGGCAGATCACCTGAGGTCAGGAGTTCGAGACCAGCCTGGCCAACATGGCAAAACCCCATCTCTACTAAAAATACAAAAATTAGCTGAGCCTGGTGGTGGGCGCCTGTAATCCCAGCTAGTCAGGAGGCTGAGGCAGAATCACTTGAACCCTGGAGGCGGAGGTTGCAGTAAGCCGAGATCATGCCACTGCACTCCAGCCTGGGCAACAGACGGAGACTCCATCTCATACATAAATAAATAAACAAATAAAGGAGAACAAAAAGAAAAGACACATATAGAAAAGGAACGGAGAGAAGGAAAAAGGGAACTGCTTGGTTCTGGTTGGCTTCATAATGGGCAGTGCCAGTACCTATCTGAAAATGGGTGGGGTCTGGAGCTAACAGAGCATGAAGAGGTGTCCGATAGTCAGAACCAGTGTGAATTACTTCCTCTAGTGTCCGCTACCTCCAGGGTCACTGCCTGGGGCTGTCACAGCTAAAAGGGTCTCTCTACCAGGAATCAGAAGCTACTAACCCACACCTTCCACTTAGGTCATACTGGGAAAGCAGTTCAGGGAATTAACGATCTCTGTCACTCTCCAAGTGTGTTGTCTGCACTGAAAGCTTTAGGAGTACGTCTCATTAAATTCTCACACTGACCTTGTGACATAAGTATTCTTATTGTCTTCATTGTACAGCTGAGGAAACGGGGGCTCCAATAAATAAAATGAACTTCTCAAACGACTTCTCAGCTGCTTTGATAGTACTGAGACAGGAACCCAGTTCTGCCTCCACACTAAAGTCACACTAAAGTGAGGGAAGGGAAGGACAGCAATATCTGTGCTTACCACTGCCGGGGTCCACAAGACAACTGGCATGACAAGTGTTCGAAAAGTAATCACATCAATCTCTGACTCCAAAGGTCAGGCTCTCTTGGCCACTAGACTCTACTTATTGTCCCCAAGCATCAAAATGCACTCATGGGCCCATGTTTAATTCCCAAGAGTTTCTTGTGCCCTTGTAAAATGCAAATAAATATGTCTAGAAATCTTTTTTAGGGTTTTGAATTCTTCTCTATTGCACTGGACACCGGATTTGTACAAATGTTATGTTTGAAGATCATCTGACATCAGAGAAAATTCCCTGAGCATTTGTGTTTATCTTTTTTTTTTTTTTTTTTTTTTGTGAGACGGAGTCTCGCTCTGTTGCCCAGGCTGGAGTGCAGTGGCACAATCTCGGCTCACTGCAAGCTCCGCCTCCCGGGTTCACGCCATTCTCCTGCCTCAGCCTCTCCAGTAGCTGGGACTACACGCACCCGCCACCACGCCCGGCTAATTTTTTTTTGTATTTTTAGTAGAGACGGGATTTCACCGTGTTAGCCAGGATGGTCTTGATCTCCTGACCTCATGATCCACCCGCCCCGGCTTCCCAAAGTGCTGGGATTACAGGCGTGAGCCACCGCGCCCACCGCATTTGTGTTTATCTTAAGGGTAGGTCTGATGCAACCCCACCCCAGAAAATTGGAGGGCTCCTCTCTCCCAGCAGGGTATGGTGTGGCACATGCCTATAGTCCCAGCTACTCAGGAGGCTGAGGCAGGAGTATCGCTTGGTCCCAGGAGTTTGAGGCTGCAGTGAGCTATGATTGTGCCACTACACTGAAGCCTGGGTAACAGAGACAGACTGTCTCTAAAAATATGTGTGTGTGTGTGTGTGTGTGTGTGTGTGTGTGTGTGTTAAAGAGAGACTCCAAATCTCTTGGAAAAAGGACCTGGCAAATTCAGAGAGGACGAATAATTTGCAAAAGAAACAGAAGAAAGCCAAGCAGGAAGGTCAGCCACTCAGGTTCTCATAGGTTTTCAGGTCCACTCACAGAGTTCTAAAGGAACCTGCTGAAGTATTGTGTCAACAACAGTAATTGCTCCTCAGTTTCTACTGACTTTTTTGAGGGATTTGGAGAGGTAGAAAAAGAGAGAAGAAACCTTTTTGCTGTTTCGAGGTTAAAAGCCAGAATAAGGCCAGGCGCGGTGGCTCACGCCTGTAATCCCAGCACTTTGGGAGGCTGAGGTGGGGGGATCACGAGGTCAGGAGATAGAGACCATCCTGGCTAACATGGTGAAACCCCCT
Organism: Homo sapiens; assembly: GCF_000001405.40. NCBI lineage: Eukaryota > Metazoa > Chordata > Mammalia > Primates > Hominidae > Homo > Homo sapiens. The sequence continues at coordinate 28,708,793 of NC_000022.11, forward strand.
CTCTACTAAAAATACAAAAAATTAGCCGGGCGTGGTGGTGTGCCCAGCTACTCGGGAGGCTGAGACAGGAGAATGGCGTGAACCCGGGAGGTGGAGCTTGCAGTGAGCCGAGATTGCGCCACTGTACTCCAGCCTGGGTGACAGAGCGAGCCTCCGTCTCAAAAAAAAAAAAAAAAAAAAAACAAACAAAAAAAATGCCAGAATAAGATCATCATTAGCTGGACAGGAGAGAGATCTTGCCTTGAGTTTAATGCCATTGCCTAATGAGCTTATGCCTTCATGGGCACTTATGAATTAAGGAAGAAACGGGAAAAAAACAAAAAAAAGCAAGATAAGATTAAGCCCACCCTCTAATTTTTCTTCTCACTTTTTAAAAGTGAGACACATTTTTCATTGAGACATAGTCATCATTGCACAAAAAGATAAGAACTAGGCCACAGACACCATTTAATCAGATATAAGGACAGGATGTTGTCATACTTAATGGATACCCTTGGATTTATTTGGATTACTCCAAATAAAAGGTATTCAAAAGTGGTAAAACTTCAGGTATAACTAAACCAAATTTACTAAAATTAACACTGTCTTCTCTAATATAACCAGTTGTGTCTATGAGATAGAATAATTGCTATATGTTTTGGTCAAGAACTAACTCAGAAGAAATATCATTTGTTTATTTAATCATGAAATCTTTATACGGTATTGTTCACTCAGTAACATTTTGGGGTAAAACTCTTCCCAGCTAAATGACAGCTAGGCATGTGTGTGAATG